>NC_000003.12:27510000-28760000 GCF_000001405.40 Homo sapiens
AGCCTACTGAGTAGCTGGGATTACAGGTGCCCACCACCACACCTGGCTAATTTTTGTATTTTTAGTAGAGACAGAGTTTCACCATGTTGGCCAGGCTGGTCTCGAACTCCTGACCTCAGGCGATCTGCCAGCCTTGGCCTCCCAAAGTTCTGGGTTTATAGGCATGAACCACCATGCCTAGCCTGTGGCCCTGTCTTTAATAAAACAACTTGGTGGACTGTCCTGGAGTAAAAAAATAAATACAACAACAACAACAACAACAACTAAAGGAAATCAAGAGGGATAAAAATGTCCTCATTTTAATCTATTATTTTTTGTGCACTCTGCCTAGTATATATAAGTTGGTATCGCAAAAACTTAGAAAGTACAAATACAGGCCGAGCACGGTGGCTGACACCTGTAATCCCAGCACCTTGGGAGACTGAGGCAGGCAGATCACCTGAGGTCCGGAGTTTGAGACCAGCCTGACCAATATAGTGAAACCCCATCTCTACTAAAAATACAAAAATTAGCCAGGCATGGTGGCAGGCGCCTGTAATCCCAGCTTCTTGGGAGGCTGAGGCAGGAGAATCACTTGAACCTAGGAGGTGGAGGTTGCAGTGAGCTGAGATTGTACCATTGCACTCCAGCCTGGCCAAAAAGAGTGAAACTCTGTCTCAGAAAAGAAAGAAAGAAAGAAAGAAACAGAAGAAGGTAAAAGAGTTATATTTCTAAGGCGTATTTGCCATGCCTTCTGTGAAGGCACATCTGTTGGTACTGCTTCCTTTAATTGCAATACTTCAATTACTAGCCATTACAATCAGTTAGTAGTTAGGGTGCTATGGCCTGAATGTTTATGCACTCCTCTCCCAATTTTTTTTTTTTTATTGAGATGCAGTCTTACACTGTCACCCACGTTGGAGTGCAGTGGTGTGATCTTAGCTCACTGCAACCTTCACCTCCCAGGTTCAAGCCATTCTTCTGCCTCAGCCTCCCTAGTAGCTGGAGTTATAGGCGGCTGCCACCACGCCCAGCTAATTTTTGTATTTTTAGTAGAGATAGGGTTTTACCATGTTGCCCAGGCTGGTCTCAAACTCTTGACCTCAGGTGATCCACCCACCTCAGCCTCCCAAAGTGCTGGGATTACAGGTGTGAGCGACCGCGCCCAGCTCCTCTCCCAATTAATATGTTGAAACCCTGACCCCCAAGATGATGATATTAGGATATGAGGACTTTGAGAGGTGATTAGGTCATGAAGCGCCCTCATGGATGGGATCCTTATAAAAGAGGCTGGAGAAAGCTCCCTTGCCCCTTGCACCATGTGAACTTATAGTGAAATTACCAAATTCTATGAGCCAGAAAGCAGGCTGTCACCGGACACTGAATTTGCCAGCATCTTGATCTGGGACTCCCAACCTCCAGAAATATGAAAAATAAATTTTTGTTGTTTATAAACCACCCAGTCTATGGTAATTTGTTATAGCAATCCTAATGCACTGTGACATAGGCTCATACTAACAGCTGTAATAAATAGACCTCAAAATATATAGTACTAAAACATAGTAACCGTTCATTTCTTGCTCACCTAAGAGGTTGTTGTTGCTGAGGGGTGGTGGACCCTCTCTTTATCAGGGCCCCTTATGTTAAGTTTATTATGTAGCTCTCCTTTCCTCAAATCCTCACTGTCATCAGCATCTAGCCAGTAAAGGGGGAAGTAGAGCAGAGAAGAGACTTACGTATTTCTTAAAATAATGTCATAGATCATTATTTTGTTCCATAGATCAGAATTTGTTCCATAGATCAGAATTCAGTTGTGTGGCCACAACTAACTACAAGGCAAGTTTAGAAAAATAGTCTAGTTGTGTGCTCAGCAAAAAGTGGAAACTCATTTTTGCTGCACAGTTGACAGACCCAGACACAGAGTCTTTGTGTAGCACAAGAAAGACAAACAAATACCAAGCTCTTCAAACCATACTAGATGGATCTTAAAGGTGCCAGTCGGCTGACTGCTAGAGTCAGTCAGTAGCAGAAACGCTTCAGATGAGAATCCACCTTCTTTAGCTGTCCTGAGAGTGCTTAAAACTTAGTATCTAAAAATAATTCTAACATTCAATAATAGTTGTACCAATATACCAAAGTAGGCCCCATAGTAAAGCACTCTGTCTGCTTCAAGACAGGATAGATGGCCTCTTAGGAACGGACTGAGTCGGCCTTTTCTGCCCCTTCCCCCTTCTAATGAATCAGCCACATTGTTTGGGAAGGCTTCTGAGACCATTATCTGGTGTCTCATTGCTCTGACACTACCACTTTGGGTGCTAGAATTTCAATCATGAAGACCAATGAGACTTAACCAGTTCATTTTCTTAACGTTTTGTCAACAAATGAAATATGCTTTTCTTATAAAATGACTGTTAAGAAAAAAGTTATTTCTCTTGACCTATTCACACAAGTAAACAGTAAATCTTTCAGCATTCAAGCCAGAGATCAGAATTTTATTTGAAGAAGATGACAACTTTGTGGCTTTGTACTTACTCGCTCTTCCAGATCAACGACAGAGAATAATTGGCCATTCTGTAGATGGCTTCACGAGAGAAGAACTTACAACCCATGTTGGGTTTTTTCTTTTTTTTTTTAGTTCGAAAAGGATGTTCCTGGGGGAAAATATAATCACATTTATATTTCAGATGAAACTGTCTGTGTTGGAGGTTTTCAATTTGTAGCCTAAATGGTTGACTCAGACATGTCTACACATAGAACAGCCAAATAATAATTAAGAGCTATCAGTGAACACCACCACACTAGATATTATCAGTGTTTACCCGTAGTGTCTGCTCATATTTACAAATCACTTTATAATGTTCATGAAAGTATTTTCCCTCAATTATTTATTTCTAACTAGTCATGTAGCATGAGTGGATAATCTTTCTTTTTTAAAAATTGCTGATTACATTCCCTAAAGCAAAACCAACTATGTAATTAATTTAGAGTTGTTTTTCCTTAAAGAAACATTAAACATCAAAATCATGTCCTTTTCCACCTAAGCAAACAAAAAAGTACATAATTCTTACAAAAAATGCTTTAAAATACCATTTATTTCCATTTTGTGGTGAGTTAGGAGAGAGGGGAGGAAATAGGAAGGGAGAAGGAAGAAGCAGGAGGCAGGGGTGGAAAGTAGAGACCTGGATAAAGGGATGAGAAGACATAAAAAGGAAAAGGAAAACATAAATGATCAAGGAATGAGTTGAGAGGGGAAACAAAGCCGGGGAGAGAATGAGAAAGAAAATGGAGGAAGAAGCTGGGCGCAGTGGCTCACACCTGTAAATCCCAGCACTTTGGGAGGCTGAGGTGGGCGGATCATCTGAGGTCAGGAGTTTGAGACCAGCCTGGCAAACATGATGAAACCCTGTTTCTACTAAAAATACAAAAATTAGCCAGGCATGGTGGTGCACACCTATAATCCCAGCTACTCAGGAGGCTGAGGCAGGAGAATCGCTTGAACCTGGGAGGTGGAGGTTGCAGTGAGCCGAGATCGCGCCACTGCTCTCCAGCCTGGGCAACAAGGGTGAAACTCCACCTCAAAAAAAAAAAAAAAGAGGGACATTTGGATAAAGTGAAGAGCAGAACCTACCTATTAGGGAAGGGAAGTGGATTGGGTTTCCTACCCTGTCTGTAGACTCCATGAAGAACCATGTCTCTCCAGCCAGAAAGATATTCTTGCTTAAGTAGCTCCTTACAACCTACTTCTTCATAAATTTTGTAGATTCTTTCTTAAAAATTGAAATATAATTTACACACCATAGAATTCATCCTTTTAAAATATATAGCTCAGGATTTGTGGTAAGTTCACAAGGTTATGCAATCTCCACCACTAATTAATTCAAGAATATTTTCATACTTACCTAGGAGGTGAAATACCATCATCACAAAGGTGATTTTCCCAGGGTGAGGCTTATTCATTGCACTCTGGATGTGCTGATCCCTGCAATTTCCCCAAATGTGGAGAACTCAACTGCATAATCTTTGGCAGTGGGAAACTGTGTTCACACTCTCTTCTGTAACAACAACAACGAAAAAAATATATATATATATTTATCAGCCCTAGGAAATCATGTGTTTTACTACATTAGCAGTAACTCTCCATCTTTTCCTCCCTCTAGCTCCTGGAAACCAATAATCTCTTTTCTGTCTCTATAGATTTGCATATTCTGGAAATTTCTTTTCTTTTCTTTTCTTTTTTTTTGAAACGAGGTTTTGCTCTTGTTGCCCAGGCTGAAGTGCAATCGCGCGATCTCGGCTCACTGCAACCTCCGCTTCCCAGGTTCAAGCGATTCTCCTGCCTAAGCCTCCTGAGTAGCTGGGATTATAGGTGCCTGCCACCACATCCGGTTAATTTTTATATTTTCAGTAGGGACGGGGTTTCACCGTATTGTCCAGGCAGGTCTCGAACTCCTGACCTCAGGTGATCCACCAGCCTTGGCCTCCCAAAGTGCTGGGATTGCAGGCGTGAGCCACCGTGCCCGGCCTGGAAATTTCATATAAACAAAATCATCAAGTATGTGGCATTTGGTGCATGCCTTCTTTCACTTACCATAATGTTTTTAATATTTATCCATGTTAAAGCATGTATTACTATTTCATCCTTCTTTATTTTTTTTTTTTTTGAGACGGAGTCTCGCTCTGTCACCCAGGCTGGAGTGCAGTGGTGTGATCTTGGCTCACTGCAACTTCTGCCTACAATTGCCAGATTGTAAAGGAAGGGCTAAAACTATCCCTTTTTACATACATACGTACATGAAATATAGAGAATTCTAGAGAATCTGCGAAAAATTTTTAGGGCTAATAAATGAGTTCAGCAAGTTTGTAGGATACAACATCAATATATAAAAATCAATTGTTTTTCTATACACTAGCAATCTGAAAATGAAACTTAGAAAATAATTTCATTCAGCATAAAAAGAATAAAATGTTTAGGAATAAACTAAAAAAAGAAGTGCAAAACATATACTCTTACCAGGTACAGTGGCTCACACCTGTAATCCCAGTACTTTGGGAGGCCATGGTAGGAGAATCATTTGAGGCCAGGAGTTTAAGACCAGCCTGGGCAACACAGTGAGAACCTCATCACTACAAAAAATTAAAAATTTAGCTGGGCATGATGGCACACTCCTCTTTGGGAGGCTGAAGCAGGAGGATTGCTTGAGCCCAGGAGTTCAAAGCTGCAGTGAGCTATGATTGTGCCACTACACTCTAGCCTGGGTGACAAAGTGAGACTCTGTTGCTAAAAAAATTACAAAACATGTTGAAATAGTACTAGTACTTTGAAAGGCCAAGGCAGGAGGATCACTTGAGTTCAGGAGTTTGAGACCAGCCTGAGAAACATAGTGAGACTTCATCTCTACAAAAAGTGAAAAATTTGGCTGGGTGAGGTGGCTCATGCCTATAATCCCAGCACTTTGGTAGGCCAAGGTGGGCAGATCACCTGAGGTCAGGAGTTCGAGACCAGCCTGGCCAACATGGTGAAACTCCGTCTCTACTAAAAATGTAAAAATTATCTGGGTGTAGTGGTGGGAGCCTGTAGTCTCAGCTACCTGGGAGGCTGAGGCAGGAGAATTGCTTTAACCTGGGAGGCAGAGGTTGCAGCGAGCTGAGTTCATGCCATTGCACTCCAGCCTGGGCAACAAGAGTGAAACTCCGTCTCTAAACAAAAAAAAAAAAAAAAAAAAAAAAAGAAAGAAAGAAAGAAATGGCAGGAATGGACATCCTTTTCTTGTTCCTGATCTTCGCGGGAAAGCATTTTGTCCTCCACCATTAGGTATGGTGGTAGCCGTGTGATTTTTGTTGATGAACTTTATCAGATTGAGGAAGTTATTTTTCTTTTCTTTTCTTTTCTTTTTATTATACTTTAAGTTTTAGGGTACATGTGCACAACGTGCAGGTTAGTTACATACATATACACGTGCCATGTTGGTGTGCTGAACCCAGTAACTCGTCATTTAACATTAGGTATATCTCCAAATGCTATCCCTCCCCCCTCCCCCCACCCCACAACAGGCCCCGGTGTGTGATGTTCCCCGAGGAAGTTATTTTTCTATTTGTGTTGAGTGTTTTTATTCAGAAAGAGTGTTGGATTTTGTCAGATGCTTTTCTGCATCTACTGAGACGATCATATGATTTTGGTTTTTATTCTATTAATATGGTACATTATATTCATTTATTTTGTACATCAAACCAATCTTACATTCCTGGGATAAACTTTTTTTTTTCTTTTTTGAGATGGAGTCTCACTTTGTTGCCCAGGCTGGAGTGCAGTGGCGTGGCCTCGGCTCACTGCAAGCTGCACCTCCCAGGTTCACGCCATTCTCCTGCATCTGCCTCCCGAGTAGCTGGGACTGCAGGCGCCCGCCACCACGCCCGGCTAATTTTTTTGTATTTTTAGTAGAGACTGGGTTTCACTGTGTTAGCCAGGATGGTCTCGATCTCCTGACCTTGTGATCTGCCTGCCTCGGACTCCCAAAGTGCTGGGATTACAGGCATGAGCCACCACTCCTGGCCAGCATAATCCTTTTTATATGCAGTTTGCTAGTATGCTAGTATTTGGTATCAGGCCAATATTGGTCTCACAAATTAGTAGAAAAGTGTTCCCTTCTCATATTTTCAGAAGGTTTCGTGAAGGATTGGTGTTCATTCCTCTTTAATACTTGGTAGAATTCTCTAGTGACGTCATCTGGTTCTGGGCTTTTATTTATAGAAAAGTTTTGGCTGGGTGCGGTGGCTCACGCCTGGAATCCCAGCACTTTGGGAGGCCAAGGCGGGTGGATCACCTGAGGTCAGGAGTTGGAGACCACCCTGGCCAACATGGCAAAACCTCGTCTCTACTAAAAATACAAAAATTAGCCGGGCGTGGTGGTGGGTGCCTGTAGTCCCAGCTACTCAGGAGGCTGAGACAGGAGAATAGCTTGAATGCGGGAGGCGGAGGTTGCAGTGAGCCGAGATTGCACCACTGCACTCCAGCCTGGGCAACAGAGCGAGATTCCATCTCAAAAATAAAAAAAAAAAGAAAGGTTTTTTAATGATTCATCAACCTTTCTACTTGCTATAGTTCTATTCAGGTTGTCTATTTTTTAAGCAGTTTGATAGTTTGGATCTTTTTAGGAATGTGCCCCTTTCATGTAGGTTATCTTATTTGTCGGCATATAATTGTTCATCGTATTCTGTCATCTCTTCCATTCCTGGTTTTAGTATTTTGAGTCTTCTTTCTTTTATTTCTTTTTTTTGTCAGTCTAGCTAACTGTTGTCAATTTTGATTATCTTTTCAAACAACCAACTTTTAGTTTTGCTGATTTTCTTCATTTTTATTCTATTTCCTATTTTGTTTCTACGGCCATACCACCCTGAATGCACTTGATCTTGTCTATTTTCTATTTTGTTTATTTCTGCTATAATAGTTATCATTTTCTTCCTTGTGTTTGCTTGATTTGGGTTTAGTTTGCTCTTCTTTTTCTATTTCCTTAGGGAGAAAAGTTAGGTTATTGATTTTTGGCCTTTACTCTTTTTAACATACAGGCATTTAGAGCAGTAAATTTCCCTGTAAGCACCAATTTAACTTCATTGAATTTAAGGTAGGTTGTGGTTTTTTTATTTTCATTCATCTCAAAGTATTTCTAATTTTCTATGTGATTTCTTCTTTGACCCGTTAGTTATTTAGAAATGTGTTGTTCAGGCCAAACACAGCGGCTCACGCCTGTAATCCCAGCACTTTGGGAGGCCAAGGTGGGTGAATCACCTGAGGTCAGGAGTTCACGACCAGCCTGGCCAACATGGTGAAACCCTGTCTCTACTAAAAATACAAAAATTAGCCAGGCATTGTGGCTTGCACACTGTAGTCCCAGCTACTTGGTAGGCTGAGGCAGGAGAATCGCTTGAACTTGGGAGGTGAAGGTTGCAGTGAGCTGAGATCACGCCATTGCACTCGGCTGGGCAACAAGAGAAAACTGTCTCAACACCAAAAAAAAAAAAAAGAATTGTGTTGTTCAATTTCCAATATGTGTGAATTTCCTGAAATTTCTTTTACTATTATTTCTAATTTTATTTCACTGTGGTCAGAGAACATACTTTGTATTATTACAGTCTTTTAAAGTTTTCTGAGCTTTTTTAATGGCCTAACATATGGATTGTCCTGGAAAATATTCCATGTTCACTTGAGAAGAATGTGTATTTTTTAAAATTTATTTTAATTTTATTTTATTACTTTTTTTTTTTAAACAGGGCCTCACTCTGTCACCCAGGCTGGAGTGCAGTGACACAATCTTGGTTCACTGCAACCTCTGCCTCCCAGGCTCAAACAATCTTCCCACCTTAGCCTCCCAAGTAGCTGGGACTGCAGGCACTCACCGCCACGCCTGGCTAATTATTGTATTTATAATTGTCCAGGCTAATCTCAAACTTCTGGACTCAAGCGATCTGTCTGCCTTGGCCTCCCAAAGTGCTGGGATTACAAGCATGAGCTACCACGCCTGGCCGAACATGTATTTTATAGACACCTTTGAATATCTTAGAATGTTGGGTGTTATTATTACTACTATTATTTTTGTAGAGATAGGTTCTTACTATGTTGCCCAGGCTGTCTCAAACTCCTGGCTTCAGGCAATTGTCCAACATTGGCCTCCCAAAGTGTTGGTACTATAGGTATGAACCCCCATGCCTGGCTGAATGAATGTTGGATATTCTATAGATGTCTTTCATGTCAAGTTGATTTATAGTGTTGTTAATATCTTCTATTTCCTTGGCCATCTTTTATCCAGTTGTTCTACCCATTATGGAAAGTGGCAGCTAGGCACAGTGGCTCACAACTGTGATCCTAGCACTTGGAGGCCAAGGCTGGAGAATTGCTTGAGGCTAGGAGTTTGAGACCAGCCTGGGCAATATAGCAAGACTCCATCTTAAAAAAAAAAATAGAGGCCGGCATCGTGGCTCACGCCTGTAATCTCTGCACTTTGGGAGGCTGAGGTGGGTGGATCACCTGAGGTCAGGAGTTCAAGACCAGCCTGGCCAACATGATAAAACCCCATCACTACTAAAAATACAAAAAATTAGCTGGGCATGACGGTGTGCACCTGTAATCCCAGCTACTCAGGAGGCTGAGGCAGGAGAATCACTTGAACCTGGGAGGCAGAGGTTGAAGTGAGCTGAGATTGCGCTACTGCACTCTAGCCTAGGCAATGAGCAAAACTCTGTCTCAATAAATAAATAAATAAATAAATAAATAAATAAATAAATATAGGGGCTAGGCCTGGTGGCTCATGCCTGTAACCTCTGCGCTCTGGGAGGCTGAGGTGGGCGGATCACTTGAGGTCAGGAGTTTGAGACCAGCCTGGCCAACATGGTGAAACCCCATCTCTACTAAAAATACAAAAATTAGCCGGGGCGGTGACAGAGCGAGACTCCGTCTAAAAAATAAATAAATAAATAAAAATCTGTTCCACCAATCTCTACCTATTATGTGAAGTGTTCAGTAATACACATTTAATGTAATTGCTGATAAGGAAGGATTTACAACTGCCATTTTGCTGTTTGTTTTCTGTATGTATTGTGTTTTTTGTTTCTCTTCCTCCATAACTGCCTTCTTTTGTGTTAACGTCAGGCTTTCCCACAATGCTAGTTTTGATTACTTGATGACCAAGAAATATTAACTATTCTGAGATTGTACATATGACTTTAAATCTCATTTGAGATATTGATTGTTCTTCACTGTTCCAAAAAAAAAAAATCATGAGTAAGATTTCAGAAGGATACGGTTTAGGATTTATTCACTGCTTACTTGAAAAATTTGCCAGGTGTGGTGGCTCATGCCTCTAATCCTAGCAGTTTGGGAGTCCAAGGTGGGAGGATCATTTGGGCTTAGGAGTTTGAAACCAGCCTGGGCAACATAGTGAGACTTCATCTCTTAAAGAAAAAAAATAGAAGGCTGGGTGCGGTGGCTCATGCCTGTAATCCCAGCTCTTTGGGAGGCTGAGGCTGGTGGATCACCTGAGGTCAGGAGTTCGAGACCAGCCTGACCAATATGGAGAAACCCCATCTCTACTAAAGGTACAAAATTAGCCAGGCATGGTGGCACATGCCTGTAATCCCAGCTACTTGGGAGGCTGAGGCAGGAGAATCGCTTGAACCTGGGAGACGGAGGTTGTGGTGAGCGGAGATTGCGCCATTGCATTGCGGCCCAGGCAACAAAAGCGAAACTCCGTCTCAAAAAAATAAATAAATAAAATAAAAATTAAAAAAATAGAAAAGAAAAATTGAACATATCATCAGTGACAATAAAATATTTTTAAAAGTTTTGTGTCTCAATCTTTTCATTATTTATTATCACAAGAAATTACGTGTCTTCTAGGCCAGGCGTGGTGGCTCATACCTGTAATTCCAGCACTTTGGGATACCAAGGTGGGTGGATCACTTGAGGTCAGGGGTTTGAGACCAGCCTGACCAACATGGTAAATCCCCATCTCTACTAAAAATACAAAAATTAGCTGAGTGTGGTGGTGGTTGCCTGTAATCCCAGCTACTTAGGAGGCTGAGGTGAGAGAATCGCTTGAACTCAGGAGGCAGAGGTTGCAGTAAGCCAAGATCGTTCCACTGTACTCCAGCCTGAGCAACAAAGTGAGACTCCAGCTCAAAAAAAAAAAAAAAAAAAAGGGAAAAGGGCCAGGCCCCATGGCTCACGCCTGTAATCCCAGCACTTTGGGAGGCCGAGGCGGGCGGATCACTGGAGTGCAGGAGTTCGAGACCAGCCTGACCAACATGGAGAAACCCTGTCTCTACCAAAAATACAAAAAAAAAAATTAGCCAGGCGTGGTGGTGCATTCCTGTAATCCCAGCTACTTGGGAGGCTGAGGCAGGAGAATCGCTTGAACCCGGGAGGTGGGCTTGCAGTGAGCCGAGATTGCGCCATTGCACTCTAGCCTGGGCAACAAGAGCGAAACTCCATCTCAAAAAAATAAGTGTCTTCTATATGCCAGGCAATTTTATAGGCACTGGGAAAATTACAGTGAATAAGACAGACTGGGTCCCTGTCCTCAAGAAGCTTGAGTTCCAGTGGGAGAGACAGTTAATAAATAAGTGAATAAGTATATTCTAAAATACACAGAAAGACAAAGGACAGAAAGAAAATGAGGCAAAGGACAGGTGTGGATCATCCTGGAAGGGCTATCTTAGATTGGAGGGTTAAAAGTAGTAGTTTCTGAAGAAGTGACATTTGAGCAGACACCTAAATGAAGAGAGGGTTCAAGTCTTAAAGATTTACTGGAATAGAGTGTTTGAAGCAGAGAAAATAGTAAGTGCAAAGACAGACATGTGCTTGGCCTATTTCCAGAACAGCAAGGATTCCCATGGGACTGGGTAGGAATAAGCAGAGGGACTGCAAGTGAGGTAGCCAGTGATCACATATATATGATTTTATAGGCCTTTTAGATTTTAAGCCATTAGAAGGTTGTGAGCAAGGGAACGGCATTGTTACGTTTTACACTTTAAAAACATCACTCTGGGTTTTGTATAGAAGATAAACAGTAGGAGAGCATGCGTGGAAGTTGGGAGACCGATTTGGTTGACACAGCCTTAGTTGACCTCCAATGAGTCATGCCTTGTGTAATATTCTCCCTTAAGTGCTGACAGAACCTGTGACTTGCTTCCAATGAACAGAATATGGCAAAGATGATGGATGTCATTCTCATGAATATGTTACATTACATAAGACTTCATCTTAGCCGACCAGAGTGTGAGTGATTCTGCTGAAGAAGCAAACCACCATGGTGTGAACTGCTGTGGAGAGGGCCACTTGCAGGGAACTATGAGACACTTCTAGGACCTACAGATAGCTCCCAGCCAAGAGCCAGTGAGAAGCTGGGTCTCCAGTTACACAACCACAAAGAGTTGACTTTACCAACAATTTGAATGAGCTTGGAGTTAAATTCTTCCCTAGTCAATCCCTCAGATGAGAATATAGCAAGCCTACATCTTGATTACAGATTGTGGAGGCTGTAAGCTGAGTATCTGGTTAAGCCATTTTCAGACTCCTGACCCACGGGAACAGTGAGATAATAAATGTGTGTGGTTTTAAGCTATTAAGTGTGTGGCAATTTGTTACACAGCAACGGAGAACCAACACAACCAATTAGGATGTTTCTGTAGTAGTCAGGTGAGAATTGATGGTGACTTGAACCAGGCTAGTAGCCATGAAGATGGGGAGAAATGGTTGGATTTGGGATATGTTTTGAACACAGAGTTGATAGATTTGCCAAAAGCTTGGGTATGTTATATGTGAGAGAGAGAGGAGTCTGACTCCAAGATTGGCTCAATAAATACAAATACTCAGCTCATAAAATTCAATTAATTTATATTTTGCTCACCTTAGAAATCAGATCTGGGCCAGGCGCAGTGGCTCATGCCTATAACCCCGGCACTTTGGGAAGCTGAGGCGGGCGGATCACCTGAGGTCGAGAGTTCGAGACCAGCTTGACCAACATGGAGAAATCCCACGTCTACTGAAAATACAAAAATAGCCTGGTGTGGTGGTGCATGTCTGTAATCCCAGCTACTCGGGAGGCTGAAGCAGGAGAATCACTTGAACCCGGGAGGCAGAGGTTGCAGTGAGCCGAGATCGTGCCATTGCACTCCAGCCTGGGCAACAAGAGCAAAACTCCGTCTCAAAAGAAAAAAAAAAAGGAAATCAGATCTGGTTGAATCCTACTGATGTGCTATAGCACCTCTTCCAGGAATGCACTTGACCGCTTTCTAAACCAGGCTTGTTCTACTAACACTTCAAGTTTCAAATGAAATGATTTCCTTCTCTGAAAACTTTCCCATGCACGTTAGCTAGCTTAACTCTTTACTCCCTTTGCTCAAAAATTTCTTATAGCATTTGTCTCATTAATCATAATTTATATGCACTGTCTCCTATAGCTTTTTTTTTTTTTTTTTTTTGAATGGAGTCTCTTTCTGTCACCCGGGCTGGAGTGCAGTGGCGGAATCTTGGCTCACTGCAACCTCTGTCTCCCGGGTTCAAGCAATTCTCCTGCCTCAGCCTCCCAAGTAGCTGGGATTACAGGTGCCCACCACCACCCCCAGCTAATTTTTGCATTTTTAGTAGAGACACGGTTTCACCATGATGGCCAGGTCGAACTCTTGACCTCAGGTGATCTACTCACCTCCCAAAGTGCTGGGATTACAGGTATGAGCCACTGTGCCCAGCTGGGACATAGCTTTAAAAAAACAAAACAAAAAAAAAACTTTATATTCCCAGATCCTAGAACAGAGTCTGGGACATCTAGGAAATATCCAAATGTTTAATGACTGAATAATTGTAGTCATTCTGAAAACATTTGAAATCATCAGATTAACTGTATTTTACCTAATTCTGTCTTCTCATAGCAACATAGTTCATCTCACTATATGATTAACTAAAGCAGACAAGATATGTATGTATGCATATATTACCTGCATCATAAGTATAATGCAATATGCCCATTTGACAATGTTAACTCCATAAATAATAACACTCATAATTGACCCACTGTGCATATGTGTCTGTTTGTGTATGTGAGAGAAAGAGAATTCTATAAGCTACAAAAGTTTTTTATCCAGTTTGAGTTGCAGATCCAAGATTTATCCTCTTGATTTATTGCTTTCTAGCCTTGCAAAAGGACAAAAGTAAAGTTTTTGAAAAGACTTTGTGACAAATCTACTTCAACTACTCCAGAATGTGAAAAACGGATAAGATAGATGCTGGGTCACTTTAAAAAGGCAAAGGAATGTTCCAATATAAAAAATATGGTACTCGTGGGCTAGTTTGTTCAAACACACCGGAGTGACTTTCTAGGCTTCGATCCAATTGTATGATGCATTCAGAAACCCTGTGCCTACTCATAAAAATATCTCAGATGAAAGATTTTGAAATTTGTTTATGAGTTTAACTGAACTGAAAACTGCAATGTTGGCCATTTCTTTTTGTGACCAGAGGGAGGAACTTCTATTCAGTATTGAACCTAATACACCAATGGCTATATTTTCCCTAATTCCAGAAGACAGCACACACACACACACACACACACACACACACACACACACACTTCCTATAAGGACAAGTAACCTCAAAAGATTGGAGCAGTCTCTCTGAATCAGTTCAGGATTTGCCTTAAAGTGTTCATTTTCCTACTCATATCACTCTGGGACACCCAAACTTGCCAATAAATCTCAAATACGTAACTGCTGTCACTTGGGGAAACTTTTTGGCAACAAGACTTATGATCTGAAGCATGATGGAATTTCCGTCTCTCCAGTTAAAAATGATGCTCAAAGCAGCCCATTAATTTGGTTAGTTATTCACAGATTAGAAGCAAATCTGAAATGCCAAGCCCAGAAGAAAGCCAGGCCTAAAAACAACTGAAATGATTTTCCATGGACAAAATAAAAAAGCAGAACAAATCTAGGTTTTTCAAAAGGTTACTTAATCCAAACTTAGTTCTCAAACAAAGATGGAATAACAACTGATAATGACTGATATGCCTTTACCAGTATGAGTTCAAGCAATCCAAGGAACACTACCAGATGGCAAGTCTCAAAATTTGACCTGGTACCTTGTAAACATTCAAGGGATTCTCATTGCTGAAAATGGATAGCAATTAGCATCTACATTTTTATTTTTTTTTTTAAGAGACAGTTTAGCTCTGTCACCCAGGCTGGAGTACAGTGGTGGGATCATGGCTCACTCTAGCCTCCAACTCCTGGCCTCAAGTAATCCTCCTGTGTTGGCCTTCAAAAGTGCTGGGATTACAGCCATGAGCCACCATGCCCAGCCACAATCTACACGTTTATTACACTATATTCACTATATACTATATTCATTAAGCCCCTCATAACTCTATCAGTGACTCTGTTAATGGAGTCAACAGAATGATCAAAAATGCCATTTAGGTGGACACCCTGGTCGATGCCTCCAAGCTTGTCCCAGGCCCTTGTCCTGGCCCCGTGGCCTACAGGGTTTGCCCTGCTATGCATCCTCCAATGCTGGGCTTCGGATTGGCCACAGCTTGCGGATCCTGCCGTGCCAGCTTGTACCTCCACTCTCTCAATCAGATTCTGAAAGTTAAAAAGCACAGTGTCTATTTGACAAATTTGAGGAAATCGGGAACTTTGGGTGACCTAGGCTCTCTAAATGAGATGACCTATCAAATACCAGCAGAGGAAATGCTGGACTCCTAAGCAGAATTTTTTTGGAAGACCTTGCAGATGAGGCTTACCAATTTGAGCACTATGATGTCTCCTTTGGGAATGGTGTCTTAACAATTAAACTGAGTGAAGATCTAGGAACCTATATGACAAACAGCAGACCCCAAATAAGCAAATCTGGTTATCTTCCCCATATAGCATCTGAATAAGTTGCACTTTGTCTTCAAATCAAGTTAAAGTTTGACCTCTAGTTTGTTTTGAGCATCTCAGCTAACGAAGAACACATGATTGTGTCGGAGGCACAATGCAGCCTGTGCAGCATGAAAACCTGAGGCCATGCAAGGAAAGATGTCCCTCATTCCTCATCTGTCTGGCTGCCAATGAAGTAGTTGTAAGAAAGTAAAAGTGAACTGCCCACAGAAAGCTCTCAGACCTACCTCCCTGGGTTATTCATTTGCACTTCCAAAGAGAACATCATGTTGACTGTGAACTGGGGAAGGCCCATATACAGCCAGGCTGAATTCTTTGAAAACCTGGCTGGGCGCAATGGCTCACGCCTGTAATCCCAGCACTTTGGGAGGCCGAGGTGGGAGGATCATCTGAAGTCAGGAGTTTGAGACCAGCCTGGTCAACATGGTGAGACCCTGTTATCTACTATAAATACAAAAATTAGCCGGGTGTGGTGGTGGGTGCCTGTAATCCCAGCTACTCAGAAGGCTGAGGCAGGAGAATTGCTTGAACCCGGGAGATGAAGGTTGCAGTAAGCAGAGATTGCACCACTGCACTCCAGCCTGGGCGACAGAGCAAGACCTTGTCTCAAAAAAAAAAAAAAAAAAAAGAAAGAAAGAAAGAAAAAGAAAACCTAACGGTATTTGCATTTAAAAACAATTATAACCCTACTCCACTTCCAACATTGACATAATTTCATCATTTTAAGGCAGTTAATATTGTACCATTTATCATGCTGTGGTTTGTATTTCTTTGTTCAGAATGAAGTGCATGCCTCCTTCAAAACTGTAAAATAAAATATACATGCTAGTGAAATTAAACAAAATTAGCAGGTAAAGAAATATTTGCTCTATGGTTACAAAAGTCATATTTCAGAGCCAGAAAATACACATATTTTCTTTTAGAGAAAATCAGGTAATTTGCAAATCCAAATAAATAAATAAATAATAAAACCGGGCCGGGCATGATGGCTCACTCCTGTAATCCCAGGCACTTTGGGAGGCTGAGGCGGGCAGATCACTTGAGCTTGAGTTTGAGACCAGCCTGGCCAACATGGTGAAACCCCATCTCTACTAAAAATACAAAAATTAGCCGGGCATGGTGGCGGGCACCTGTAATTCCAGCTACTCAGAAGGCTGAGACAGGATAATCACTTGAACCTGGGAGGCAGAGGTTGCAGTGAGCTGAGATCCTGCCACTGCACTCCAGCCTGGGTGACAGAGCGAAACCCCATCTCAAAAAGAAAAATAAATAAATAAATAAACCAAACATTAGTAATGTAAATTAGTAACCCCACAGGTTTAAGCAAGAGAGCTATGCTAAATTTTACACAGCTGTTTCTATAAAGATACTCACGCACAGAAAAGAAACATTTTGAAAAATATTTTCATGTTGGTTTTCTAGACAGGAAACCAGACTCATATTGCCCTAACACTTGGTTTGCATTTCATACCAGTTAAATTAAAAATTATTGTTACTTAATTTCTCAGCAAACCAATTTTCTAATTTAGCCTTGTTCCAGATTTAATAATTTTTAAACATAAAATGTGGAGTTTTTCTGTCCTTTAATGTTTATGAGATGGTTTATTGTAGCCTTGTGGGAGCTAGCTTAAATAGATATATGTTTCTGGGATTGAAATGACTAACTTTTATAATTCTGGGGTTAAAGGACACAACGTTTTGATGAGTTTGGTACTATATTCTTTTAGGAGGTTAGCCTAGATTCTAATTTATTCAGGGGAATTCTTTACAGATACATAGTTCTCAGTTTTCGTAGTAAGACGTAGTAAGATGAAACTTTTACTTCTTTCATTACTTTCTTAATTCTTCTTTTTTTTTTTGTAACTCATCTCACCACCACAGGCCTTCTTTCGTTCTAATGCAACTGAATTATCATTACCAACTCTTAATTTATTTTTTCAAATTTTAAGTCCAGCCAGGTGCGGTGGTTCAAGCCTGTAATCCCAGCACTTTGGGAGGCTGAGACGGGTGGATCACCTGAGGTCAGGAGTTTGAGACCAGCCTGACCAACGTGGGGAAGCCCCGTCTCTGTGATCTCAGTTCACTGCAACCTCTGCCTCCCAGATTCTCTCGCCTCTGTCTCCTGAGTAGCTGGGATTGCAGGTGCGTGCCACCAAACCTGGCTAATTTTTGTATTTTTAATAGAGATGGGGTTTCGCCTGGTCCTGCTGGTCTCGAACTCCTGGCCTCAAGCGATCTGCACACCCTTGGCCTCCCAAGGTGTTGGGCTTACAGGCATGAGCAATTGCACCCAGTCATGACCTCTAATCCAGAGCCCAGGCAGGTCACTCCACACATTCAGAGCTTCCAACCACTTTTACGGTCTACCATTTTTAACCATAATGGAAAAATCAATGGCTACCAAATCTAAGGAAAATCTCTAATGTAAAAAATTAAACAACAAAACATGGGAGGGGTAAAAAGACACTTGGAGGAAACAGCTATGCAGGAAGGAGAAAATTTCAAATTAGTATTAATATTTTTAGAGAAATAAGAAAATATGTCATAGCCACAAAACAGGAATAGGATACTACTTAGGAGATAAAACAAACAGAATGAAAAGAGCTTTTCAGCAGAAATGAAAAACCCAATAGAATAATTAAAAGATAACATTTTTTAGAAACTCCCAGAAAGTGGAACTAAAATACAAACAAGTGGAAAATAGAAAATAAAATGTAATAAGAAGAGAGGACCAGTCATGAACATCCAACAACTATTTAATAGGAGTTCCAGAAAGAGAGAACATGAAAAACAGAGAGGAGGAAATTATCAAAGAAATAATATAAGAATATTTTCAGGCCAGGTGTGGTGGCTGAAGCCTGTAATCCCAGCACTTTGGGAGACTGAGGCAGGCAGACTACCTGAGGTCAGGAGTTCAAGACTAGCTTGGCCAACATGGTGAAACCCCATCTCTACTAAAAATACAATAATTAGCCAGGCATGGTGGCATACACCTGTAATCCCAGCTACTTGGGAGGCTGAGACAGAAGAATCACTTGAACCCAGGAGGCAGAGGCTGCAGTGAGCTGAGATCGTGCTACTGCACTGCAGCCTGGGTGACAGAGCAAGGCTCCAACTCAAAAAAGAGTATTTCCATAAGTAGGGGATGCTAGTTTCTGTAATGAGAGATTCCACCAAGAGCTGGGACAATAAATGAAAATTAACTATGCAAAGGCATATTATCATGAAAATTTATAATAGTGAGATAAAAGAGAATATCTTAAAATCTTTTTGAATGTAAAAATAAGTAACATACAAATGGTTGGTTATCATAATGGCAGTGGGTTGCTGAACAAACCCCTAGAATCCAGAGGATAATGAATGGATCAATGTCTTCAAAATTCTGAAAGCAAATGAGTCCCAATCCAGCATTCCCAACCAAACTGTTTACCAACTATAGAGCTAAAATAATGATATGCTTCAATAAACAAAGCCTCAAATGATTTTCCTCTCATACAACCTGGAGAATATGGTTAGTGGAACATATCCTCCAGTAGCCCAGGAAACTCATGTAGCTACTGGAGGATATGTTCCACTAAAATGAGGAAGTAAGCTAAGAAAGAGGAAAGCAGAGATCCAACTTGAGAGAGAGGTCTAGGTTTTTCCTGAGATGATGGTGTAGGGAGATCCTAGGACATCAGCTTTCTCAAGTTTAGAGCACAACCAGTCCAGATTGGAGCATACATAAAGAAAGCACCAGTAGCAATCATTCTTTTTAAAAAACAAAATTTGATAGAGTATCTGATGCATGCAAACATATTCACAGGAGTTGTATTCTTCTGGAAGAGTGTTTGAAGATAACTTAATATAAGCTACATAGAAAATTGAGCAAATTAAAAATGAAGGCCAGGTGCAGTGGCTCATGCCTGTAATCCCAGCAGTTTGGGAGGCCAAGGTGGGCGAACTGCTTGAGCTCAGGAGTTTGAGACCAGCCTTGGCAACACGGCGAAACCCTGTCTCTACGAAAAATACAAAAACTAGCAGGGTGCGGTGGCAAGTGGCTTTAGTCCCAGCTACTTGGGAGGCTGAGGTGGAAGGATCACCTGAACCCAGGAGGTCGAGGCTGCAGTGAACCGTGATCACACCACTGCACTCTAGCCTGGGTGATAGATCGAGACCCTGTCTCAAAAACAAAAGAAACAAAAAACTGGCCGGGCATGGTGGCTCATGCCTCTAATCCCAGCATTTTGGGAGGCCAAGGAGGGAGGAACACCTGAGGTCAGGACTTCGAAACCAGCCTGGGCAACATGGTGAAACCCCCCTCTCTACTAAAATACAAAAAAAAAAAAAAAAGTAGCTGAGTGTGATGGCAGGCACCTGTAATTCCAGCTACTTGAGAGGCTGAGGCAGGAGAATCACTTGAACCTTGGAGAGGGAGGTTGCAGTGAGCTCAGATAGCACCATTATACTACAGCCTGGGTGACAAAAGTGAGACTCTGTATCAAAAAAAAACAAAACAAAATAACAAAGAACTACATGGCCCAGCTTTGAATAATATTACATAATTAACTGAATACTGATCTAACCAAAATCTATGCCTTAATTAGGATATCAGAGAGTATGTATTTGTCTATGTTGTAGAGGTGGAGTAAGAGAGTTAACTCTATCTTTCACATTAGGAAGCCACAGATTGTCTCTGAAAGTAAGAAATCAAGAAATAGCAGGGTAAACCTATTAACTAAACATAGAGTGGAAAATGTTAAAAGAACAGCTGAAAGGACAAATGTGGGTACCTCTGGGAAGTAGAAATTAAGGGAAAAAAAGGTAAAAGCGGAGGAGTGCTAATTTCCACAGTAACATTACTGAACTTTAAAAACGATGTACATATAAAACTTTGATAAAATTAAAACTTGTAAAAAAGATTAAATGACACACTGTGTCTCAGAATAACCTATCAGATTACCTAGTTGTAGTAAATAGCTAATATATGATTTTTTCCGTTGTTTTTAACAGAAGAGTAGGAAAATTAGGTGTTTGCTATAGGTTTTTTTTTGCACAAGACGAAGTCAATGACCCAGAAGGTGGAACTTAAGAGCATATTGTCCAAGATAGCATGATGCTGTTACATCACTTGAAATTATGCAGGCCAGACACGATGGCTCCTGCCTGTAATCCCAGCACTTTTGGGAGGCTGATGTGGGATCTCTTGAGGACTTGTGAGCTCAAGGTTGGGGCAAAGGAGGCCAGGAGTTCAAGATCAGTCTGGCCATCAAGCCAGACCCTGTCTATCCAAAAAATAAAATAATTAGCCGGGCATGGTGGCAAGCAACTGTAATCTTAGCTAATCAAGAGGCTGAGGCAGGAGGATTGCTTGAGCCCATTAACTGGAGATTGCAGTGAGCCATGGTCACACGATTGGACTCCAATCTTGGCAACAGAGTGAGGCACTGTCTCAAAAAAGAAAGAAGAAAAGAAAAGAAAAAAGATGAGGTTCTTCCTCTCAGAGGCCATCTGGAGTGGTTCTCAAATCTGACTATTTGTAAGCTTCATACGGAAAGATTTAAAAAAATCCTGATGCTCAGGATGCATCCTAGACAATTAAATCAGAATCTATCTTTCAACCTACCTCAAATGATTCCAATGTGTAGCCAAGGGAAAGAACCACAGCCCTAAGTGTGAGTTTATGAGACTGGGCTATCTGCCATTTCCAAATCTCATCAGAGCCCAAGGAGGGGTAGAGAGAAGTACATGTTATGGGGAGAGAAGTTGGGTATCCCTCCCTCTGCCAGGCCAACCTGCACTTTTAACTCGACCCCACTGTCACTTGGTAGTTAAATGAATGCATACTCTGGGTGATGTTTGTAGGGAAAAGAAAGAGAGATCAGACTGTTACTGTGTCTATGTAGAAAGGGAAGACATAAGAAATTCCATTTTGACCTGTACCCTGAACAATTGCTGTGTCCTGAGATGCTGTTAATCTGTAACTTTGCCGCAACCTCTTTGCCCTAACCTCTTTGCCCCAACCTTGAGCTCACAAAAACATGTGTTGTATGGAATCAAGGTTTAAGGGATCTAGGCCTGTGCAGGATATGCCTTGTTAACAAAATGTTTACAAGCACTATGCTTGGTAAAAGTCATCGCCATTCTCTAGTCTCGATAAACCAGAGGCACAATGCACTGCGGAAAGCCGCAGGGAACTCTGCCCTGGAAAGCCGGGTATTGTCCAAGGTTTCTCCCCATGTGATAGTCTGAAATATGGCCTCATGGGATGAGAAAGACCTGACCGTCCCCCAGCCTGACACCTGTGAAGGGTCTGTGCTGAGGTGGATTAGTAAAAGAGGAAAGCCTCTTGCAGTTGAGATAGAGGAAGGCCACTGTCTCCTGCCTGCACCGGGAACTGAATGTCTCGGTATAAAACCCGATTGTACATTTGTTCAATTCCGAGATAGGAGAAAAACCGCCCTATGGCAGAAGGCGAGACATGTTGGCAGCAATGCTGCTTTGTTATTCTTTACTCCACTGAAATGTTTGGGCGGATAGAAACATAACTCTGGCCTACGTGCACATCTAGGCATAGTACCTCTCCTTAAACTTAATTGTGACACAGATTCCTTGGCTCACATATTTTCTTGCTGATCCTCTCCTTATTATCACTCTGCTCTCCTACCACATTCCTCTTGCTGAGATAGTGAAAATAGTAATCAATAAAAACTGAGGGAACTCAGAGACCAGTGCCTGTGTAGGTCCTTGGTATGCTGAGTGCCGGTCTCCTGGGCCCACTGTTGTTTCTCTATACTTTGTCTCTGTGTCTTATTTCTTTACTCAGTCTCTCTTCCCACCTGACGAGATATACCCACAGGTGTGGAGGGGCAGGCCACCGCTTCAATGTTTGGGCTTTCTCAATAGGGTCTCATCCTCCATTCTTACCGACCAGAAGAAAAGTTGTGGTTGGTCAAAATCTGAGACATTAATGGGGCCACATTTTGGGGGTGTACCTCAAAAGCAGAGACCAAGCTTCATTCTTTCTCCTGTATTTCTAGCACTTGGGTGAACTGGACCATTTTTCTCTGGCCAGGCCACTTGCCTTAAAGTGGTGGGCTCAGGAACGTTGGCCCCCTGTGTCTCAGTATCTCTGCACCCGGAACAGGGTCTCTGAGAATCTCCGGATTGGAAAGTAGAGAACTTTAGCCCCAGGCCTGGGCCTTGCCTCCAGCACAGACTCCCAGAGGTTATTAGGCCTTCAGCTGGTGCTTCCTAAGTAGAAGGGTATTGTTTCCTATCCAGTCACCGATCCTTTTGTGTGCCCTCCCTTGGTTCAGAATCCCAAAGAGAATGAATGGGAGAACTCGAGTTCTAAATTCTGTCTTAGAAGCACTCAAATACAGTTTGTAGGGAGACTCCAAACTGGTCTCTCACTACCCTGACAGCCTAAAAACGCAGCTGGAATTTTGCATTCTCTTCCCCTAACCAATTAGTATATGCATTTCAAATACTATGCATAATATGCATATTAGTATATACAAGATAGGCTAAACACTGTGTGAAACTAAGAAGGTAAACCCTCTCCTAGCTTACAAACAATTGGTACAATTAAAAATATTTGACAATGGTGAAGGCATGGGCAATGGCTATTTACAAATCAAAATATAAATATTTTAATATTTTAGTAATAGGCGTGGTGGTACCAGTGTGTCTCAGTTAAATAGTAGTCTTGCCCCAAAGCGCTTTTGAATGCTTTGCCACCTATGCATCAGTGGATTCAGGAATGTAATGAGAGTTCTCAAAAGTAATGGAAGCAAAGCCAAGCAAGTCTCCCACTCCACACATCTTGCTTTTCCCTTTCTGTGTTGAGCTTTGGATCTTCCACAAAGGGGACTGGGTGCCCCTGCGGAAGTCCAGCCAGGGAGTAGTCAGACCTGGGGGGAGAGGATGGATTACAAGCCTGAATTTGCCTTCCCTACCAGACAAGCTCTGGCTTGAGGAATAGAGAAGTGAAAGAAAAAAGAGGTGCTTCGACTCAGTTGGAGACAGGGAGGGTTATGAGTGGAGTGAAGACAAGGCTCTTAATTCAAGCTGCCTCAAATTACATTTGTCCACACACGCAGCAAAATGCTGCTTAAAAAATAAATGAGGTTAATTTCTCTTTACGGGTTCCCTTTCATCTCAGGGTTTCAAAGCACTTTGCCACAAAAGATCCTTTATCTTCACAATTCTTTTTTTATCTAAATATAAACAGAGGGCCCTAAGTTTATATTTAAAGTTCAGTAAAGCCCTAAACTTTGGAAAGAAAAGGTACTTTAAAAATTCTTTTATCATTATAAGATCCAAGTAGCCAATCAAGGACCACACAGACAGAAAATCCACATTCAGATGAAAGGCCACACCTCTGCTCAGATGACCTGCGTGCTAATTAAAATCACAATTAAAACAAGCAGAGGGGATGGAGAGTGGTGACTTAACTTGCCCTTATCCCAGCAGATACACTCACAACTGACTCACACAGGATACATCGGATTTTCTCCAGCAGGCATTTGGAAAAAAGCAAAGAAGAAATTCTAGTTTTAGCTGCCCTCCATCTACTAACCCAGTAAACTCCATCCCTGGGTCGGTGACACATCCCTGACTCGCAGCCACCTCAGCAGAGCCCCATTCCGTGCAGGAAGAGCCAGCTTGGCCTCCTGGTGATGGGAATGTTGTTTGCATATGCATTTTTTCAGCAAAAGAAAGTCTCAAAATCTCCCTGGTTCCAGGGTGTGAGTCATTAGTGGGTGTTTGTTTTTTGGGTTCTGAGTGTGAGTCACCACCTTTCCTGCTGTTGGTCTTCTCAATCCTAGGGTAACAACTAAAAAGCGATGACTAGAGATGCCTGTGATGCTTAAAAGCGGACACCTGGACATTATTCATTTGGCAATTGTATCAACAATTAATTTTAAAGTTTGTTCTTTTCTCTGTAAACAAGTGTATAACGTTTATAAATAACAGTGGGAAAGAGGAAGGTGGGGGAAGGGAGAGAAACAAATCTAAAAAGGATATGACTGAGGTAAACGGAAGTAGAGTCTAGTCAAAGCCAAAATAGACAACTGCCTGTTTGTCAGCTAGAGGAGGGCCGGGGCTGGTGATGTTGACCAAACTCTATACATGAACAAGCATCTGATGCTGCTCTCTAGGACTTTTCCTCATTAGCCTGGGAGTGTGCGTCGGGAGGGCAGTCAGGAGGGACTGCCAGTGTTAACCATCAACTCTAGAATCTGAAAGAACAACATGGCTTTGAAATGACATCTTCCGGCCGGGTGCGGTGGCTCACGCCTGTAATCCCGGCACTTTGGGAGGCCAAGGCAGGCAGATCACAAGTTCAGGAGTTCGAGACCAGCCTGACCAACATGGTGAAACCCCGTCTCTACTAAAAATACAAAAATTAGCCAGGTGTAGTGGCATACGCCTGTAATCCCAGCTACTCAGGAGGCTGAGGCAGGAAAATCACTTGAACCTGGGAGGTGGAGGTTGCGGTGAGCCGAGATAGCACCATTGCACTCCAGCCTGGGAGACAGAGTGAGACTCTGTCTCAGAAAAAAAAAAAAGAAAAAAAAAAAGGACATCTTCCTGATGTTCCTCCCATTGGTGCTATGCCTGGTACCGTTTAGTACTGGGAAAGGACCTCAAGACCACCCAGAATTCTACAATGGAGAATGTTCTATAAAGTCACGGTGTCATGCCAGGACCAGGAACCAAAAAACAGCAGCTTGAAAACCAGTGATTTGACAATTTGGGCTACCCTAACGGCTAGTTTTTATTTCAGTGACATTGGGCAATAAATCAAGCCATTTAAGATGGTTGAAAGAAATCAAGATGACCACACACACACACACACACACACACACACACACACACACACAGAGCAGGTTTTGAGCTCATGGAGGACTCAACCTGGATTTGACTCAGAGAAGGCATTTGGCCACAGGCATTTCAGTTTGCTTTCAGAAAGTGAGGAATTACAAATGAAAAAAAGCTCTGACTTTTCAGCTGGTTTGAGTGTGGAAATCAAAGCTTGGCTTTTTTCTACCCAGAGGAGTCTAGGTACTCTGTGTCATTTCTAGTATATAATTACAATATATCTGTATGCCCACATATTGTCACTATATTAGGTATTTTACAAAGCCCAGAAAAACAGAGCCTCTGTCCTGGTGTTCCAAATGTTAGTCAACCTATTTAAACTCTTGGTAACAATGCTGAGGTAATGAAAATGAACTCAGCTGCCACTGTTGGCACAGACACAGCGGAAGGAAGAAGTATTATTTGATTCAAAGCATTCTCATTTAGGGGAGAAAAAATTATAATGCATATCACCACTAAGTGGAAAATAAAGATTATAAACTTGGAGTTGTATTCCTGAGACCTTGACATTTTAAAATAAAAGGCTTCAGTGTTTGCAGAATATTTTTTCATTAATGTCTCAGTTACTTGTTTTTAAGGATAATTATTTGTGGATATTACAAAAGAACTTCCTGAACTACCCATTTACTTGTGGGCATATACATTTGAAAGATGCCCCAGGCCCATTCCAAAGCAAAACAACACACACACCTAATTGTGACTTTATGCCTAACTAGCCTGGTATTCATGACACATCTTTAAAAATTCTCTCAAAAAAGTGACCAGTTGTTTGGCTCCTGCCTTTAATCCCAGCTCTTTGGAATACCAAGACAGGAGGATTACTTGAGGCCAGGAGCTTGAGAGCAGCCTGGGCGACATAGTGAGACCCTGTCTCTACAAAAAGGTTAAAAATTAGCTAGATATGGTGGTGTGCGTCTGTAGTCCCAGCTACTCAGGATGATGATGTGGGAGGATCACTTGAGCCCAGGAGTTCAAGCTTGCCCTGAGCTACAATTGCACCACTTCACTCCACCCTGGGCAACAGGGCAAGACCCTGCCTGTAAAAAAAAAAAAAAAAAAAATTAAAATTAAAATTCTATGAAAAACATGAAGACCTGGGATCAGACTCTGGCAGACTGACTTGTTAACACTTTTTCAGAAGAATTCTGCTCTTATCTCACTTAACCTTGGGTATCTTTTCTCAGAAAAGTGACTGATGAGATGTTCTCAAATCTTATGACAACCCATCAAGTTGCTTCCATGCTCATTCAGCTCAAGATATCCAAGAAGTCGGTACCTAGGGGCCATGTCTTTGCTGTCATCCTGATTCTTTAGCTGTAGATTATCAGTGTGCCTGTCCCAAGTCAGGCTAGTTTGGCAGAGAATCCCATATTCTCTTGTATGAGAGCATGGGGTGTGAAATTTGGAGATGTGGTGTTCCTTGCCATATGGAGGAAGCCAATTTTCAGAAAGAAAAAAAAAGAGCTCACACTTGGAGAGATGAGACAGAGAAAGTGCTGGCTGCATTTCAGTTTCTGGTTCTATTTGTCCCTAAGATCATTCAGCTTGCCACTTAGGGATAACATATGCCAGAATACTTTTTAAAGATGATCACCACTACCTTCTCCTTTTTTTTTTTTTTTTTTTGAGACAGAATTTCACTCTTGTTGCCCAGGCTGGAGTGCAATGGCGTGATCTCCGCTCACTGCAATCTCTGCCTCCTGGGTTCAAGCGATTCTCCTGCCTCAGCCTCCCGAAATAGCCGGGATTACAGGCACCCGCCATCACGCCCAGCTAATTTTTTTGTATTTTCAGTTGAGATGGGGTTTCACCATGTTGGCCAGGCTGGTCTATGAACTCCTGACCTCAGGTGATCCGCCCTCCTCGGCCTCCCAAAGTGCTGGGATTTTAGGCGTGAGCCACCGCGCCGGCCTTTTCGTTTTGTTTTGTTTTGTTTTTGGCCTAAGCTACTTCAGGTTGGGTTTCTAAAATACTGATCAAATTGATTATGAAAAAAAGTATCAAGATCAACACCATTTTTTTCTTAAGGAAAATTAGACCCAAGGGACTGTAGAAAGATATTTATTTACATTGGTAAGAATCTTTCAACAAATGACTGGAGAGCATGCAAATAGAATGTGCTACCTGAGTGCTACTACAGGGCTTTAAGACCAGAGAATTATTATTATTTTTTATTTTTTTTATTTATTTATTTGAGACAGAGTCTTGCTCTGTCGCCCAGGCTGGAGTGCAATGGCACTATCTAGGCTCACTGAAACCTCCAGCTCCTAGGTTCAAGCGATTCTCCTGCCTCAGCCTCCCGAGTAGCTGGGTTACAGGTGCCCGGCACCACGCCCGCTAGGTTTTGTATTTTTAGTAGAAGCAGGATTTCACCATGTTGGCCAGGCTGGTCTCGAATTCCTGGCCTCAGGTGATCGGCCTGCCTTGGCCTCCCAAAGTACTGGGATTACAGGCATGAGCCACTGCGCCTGGCCCACCAGGGAATTATTTTTAAGACCAGAATTATTATTATTTCTGTCCTTCTAGGAGATTGAAATCTTGTTGATATGATAGAATTAGCTTTGCTTCCATGGGAACTTCTTGTTTACTGTATATTACCCACCACTTGTGTAGTCACAAGGCAGGAATATGGGCTTTGTTTTTTGATGTAGCTAAGCACCTAGGACAATGCTTTTTATATAGTTGGCCTGCAAGAAAAATTTGCTAAATGGATGAACTAATGTTTGTTCACATCTTATTCCTGTTAGGTATATTAGTTCTTATATGAATGACAGAAGAAACAATGAAATTGAAGGAAAGGAAGATGAACGCTAAGGTAATTAGGACAAAAAGCAAGCTCAAATGTCACAGGAAAACTATTTTTAAATTTAACAATTTGGAAAATTTTGCTAACACTTCTGTTTCAGTCATTGATCATAGATGAACCAAAGGTATTTCTCTCCATCCCACCTCTATTTAATTTCTGTTTTATGTACTGCTAGTTACAGTCTTTTACATATTCTTTCCTTTCCTTAGTAATAGCACCCCTTCAATTTTAGCTAAGCAAATGGGAGTACAGCCAAAAACCGTATTTTCCAACCTGCTCCCCCTGCCCAGGCTTCTGGGATGGTGAGTTCTGATCCTCCCTTGTACGGGGGGACGATCGTCATTTCACAGTGGAAGATTATGGTGCCCCCAGTGTCTTGCTTGGGTTTCCTGTGGCACGTTGCAGAGGGGAGCCAATCCATTTGACATTGTAAACTAGGCAGCAGTCCGTTGCCAAGAGTGTTGCTGTCTCAGAACTACACAACTTCCCATGTCTTATTAAATAACCGTGACTTACCCTTTCTTTGTACCCACTAAACATCTCACGCTTTTGCCCATAGATGGTGTGTGGCAAATCTCTTTGCCGCCATGTGTCAGATGGTGGTCTGTCTTTAGAACAAAACAGATAATTGGGTCTGCAGACAGCTGCCCCCTTCTCCATCCTGGGCCTGCCGTGGTGCATCCAAGCAGCTAACCTGAGTACCTGTAGCCACTTCTATATTGCTTGTATTGCTACTTAGGGGTCTTGCTGCAATGTTCCTCCACATACCTGGCCCTCTGCATACCTGGCTCTAGGGAAATCATGGAAGAACAATGTGATAAGAATGTGAGGGTCACTCAAGAGTATACTGGGGTGGGCCAGGCACAGTGGCTCATGCCTATAATCCCAGCATTTTGGGAGGCCGAGGCAGGTGGATCACCTGAGGTCGAGAGTTCGAGACCAGCCTGACCAACATGGAGAAACCCCATCTCTACTAAAAATACAAAATTAGCTGGGCATGGTGGCGCATGCCTGTAGTCCCAGCTACTCAGAAGGCTGAGGCAGGAGAATCACTTGAACCTGGGAGGCGGAGGTTGCGGTGAGCCGAGATCGCACCACTGCACTCCAGCCTGGGCAACAAGAGCAAAACTCCGTCCTCCACAAAAAAAAAAAAAAAAAAAAAAAAAAGAGTATACTGGGGTGGAGTGTATTGTAGAAGCAACTTACAGCAATAACTTAAAAGAAGAATGTGTGTTCAGAGCTCTGAGCTTAAGGAATCCAGGAGTGGCCAACGCGGAGATTCATTCCTTATCTATGAGGAACTTCTGAACCCCCAGACTGTCTCATGAACACGGGCCATACAGGGGATTGATGTCCTGACGTCCTTTGTTTTGGGTTGAATGAAGGTTGCCACGTGGAGATTGCTATGGGGAGGATGCTAAGTGAAAATGTTACCTAAACTGCATGCTTTCTGCAAGCAGTCTTGGTTCTCCTTTCCAGCCCACTGCCACTGGGCCGTCTGTTTATGGAAGTTACCCCTAATAAAACTCAATATTGGCCAGGCTCAGTGGCTCACACCTGTAATCCCAGCACTTTGGGAGGCTGAGGCGGGTGGATCACTTGAGGTCAGGGGTTCGAGACCAGCCTGCCCTACATATAGTGAAACCCCGTCTCTACTAAAAAATGCAAAAATTAGCTGGACATGGTGGCGAGCACCTGTAGTCCCAGCTACTTGGGAAGCTGAGGCAGGAGAATTGCTTGAACCCGGGAGGTGGAGGTTGCAGTGAGCCGAGATCGTGCCACTGCACTCCAGCCTGGGCGACAGAGCGAGCCTCGGTCTCAAAAACAAACAAACAAACAAAAAACCTAATACAGTGTCTGACATAATATAGGCATAATGACTCTTCCTGTAATGATAGTGATAGTGGTAATAGTGAAAGAAGATGAGGAGGAGGAGGAAAAGGGAGAATGAGGGGTAATGGAGGGGAAGAAGACAGGGATGAGGAGAAGAATAGGAAAACTATTCCTGGACTAGGTTGGTGGGAATGAAAATGAATAAGAAAGGGTGACTGTGGCCTGTAATCTCAGCACTTTAGGAGGCAGAGGCTGGAGGGTTGCTTGAGCTCAGGACTTTGAGACCAGCCTGGGCAACATAGCGAGTCCCTGTCTCACCCCACTGTAAAAAAAATAATTAAAAAAAGAAGAAAAGATGGATTAGAGAGCTATTAGCAAACATTAATAAGACTATATGCAGTCTGGAAATGGGAAGTGAGGTAAAAGGAAAAGTCAGTTGTGATTCAAGTTTAAAATATCAGTTGAATTGGCTGATTCTTGAATTTCATCATTTGCATCCACCAGTACCAAAAGTAGGAACAACGATGATGAAAAATAACTCTGTGGTGTGTGTGTGAGAGTGTGTGTGTGTGTCTGCGTCTGTGTGTAAGAAGCTAAAGATTTCACTGAGGGCCAGGCGCCGTGTCTCACGCCTGTAATCCCAGCACTTTGAGAGGCTGAGCCGGGTGGCCACCTGAGGTTAGGAGTTCGAGACCAGCCTGACCAACATGGTGGAACCCCGTCTCTACTAAAAAATGCAAAAATTAGCTGGACGTGGTGGCGAGCACCTGTAGTCCCAGCTACTTGGGAAGCTGAGGCAGGAGAATTGCTTGCACCGGGGAGGCGGAGGTTGCATTGAGCCAAGATCATGCTATTGCACTCCAGCCTGGGCAACAAGAGCGAAACTCCGTCTAAAAAAAAAAAAGAAAAAAAAAAAGATTTTCTTGAGTATTCTCCCTATCCAGTGCCAGCTACATAATTTGTGGGACTCCACAAATTTGGTTAAACATCATTCTGGCTGTTTCTGTGAGAGTGTTTTGAAAGAGATTAACATTTCAATCTGTACACTAAGCAAAGCAGTTTGCCCTCCCTAATGTGGGGGGCCTCATTCAGTCAGCTGAAGGCCAGAACAAAGGGCTGACCCTTCCCAAATGAGAGAGAGGTTTTCCCTGACTTAAGATTTAAACTGGCCGGGCGTGGTGGCTCACGCCTATAATCCCAGTGCTTTGGGAAGCCGAGGTGGGCGGATCACGAGGTCAGGAGTTCGAGATCAGCCTGACCAACATGGTGAAACCCCATCTCTACTAAAAATGTAAAAAAATTAGCCAGGCATGGTGGGGCACACCTGTAATCCCAGCTACTCGGGAGGCTGAGGCAGGAGAATCGCTTGAACCTGAGAGGCAGAGGTTGCAGTGAGCCGAGACCACACCACTGTACTCCAGCCTGGGTGACAGAGTGAGACTCTGTCTCAAAAAACAAACAAACAAACAAACAAAGATTTAAACTGAAACATTCTCTTCCTGGGTCTTGAGCCTGCTGGCCATCATACTAGAACCACACCATCAGCTCTCCTGAGTGAGTCTACAGCTTGCCAACTCACTTTGCAGATCTTGAGACTTGACAGCCTCCATAATAGCAGGAGCCAATTCCTTATAATAAATCTCTTTATACACACATATGCGAGTGCATGTGCGTGCACACACACACACACACATACACACACACATACACACACACACACATACACACACACCCCTACATCTTACTGTTTCTGTTTCTCTGGAGAACCCTGACTCCAGAGAAAGTGCAGGATCTTGTGTAGCTGCACTGATCACATATCCATGAAGCCGACCCTGTTCCTATTTTCCCTACTTGCCAACACATACCACAAAGAGAGAGAAAGAAAAAAGTAGGGGAGGAGAAAGAGAAAGAGGTGAGTTAGTGGGAAGAACAAATTGGCTTGGTTTTTATGAGCTATCAATAATCTCTTGCTGTCACTATAAAGCATACATAATTTTTTACATATAGCAATAAAAGTACAGACCACATAAGATAGCTTAGAAATTTCCAGTGTCCTGAGATCATATATTGAAACCTATTGATTTAGAAAAATATTATTTTCATATGCTAAAGAGTAACAGTTCAGAAATAATATCAACTGAACCAATGTCCTTCTTTTGTACAGTTATCTCTGCTCTTATAGGACAACAAGGCTTTATCTAAAACCCTGGGGCCAGATGTCAGAATTCAGAATTATCTTGGATTTTTAGAAAAGTAATACAATGTATGTACTGTGTATTATTTACACTCCCAGCAGACTCTGGGACAGCACTCTGTACTAAAATACATTAATATTTTTGCAGTAAAAGGTGAATATTTATGCTACTTGGCCAAATAGTCTCATGTAGGTCCAGGTAAAGTTTTGCTTTCAAATGAGTTCAGGTGAGGTCAGATTTTGCTGCCAAATAAGCTACAAAAACTCAGTTTGTAGTGCTTTCTGGATTTTGGAATGCAGATCAGGATTAATGGATGTGTGGTTCCTGTTTCCATCAGTTGGCCTCTCCTGCCACTCACATTCATGTTCCGGTTGCAATGAACTCAGGAGAACAAAATGAGAGAGGCGAGTTTGCTGGGAGAGAATCCCATGATACATTGAAAAGGCCAAGAGGATGGCTCAGGATTTAACCTTGCAACTGCCTTCCACACCCCTTGGCCCAGATAACTGAGAGCTACGTGAGCCTAGAAAATGAATCAGAACTAAGGTTCAGGGGACAAAAATCCCCACCGACCTTTCCCGGAGTTGTTCCTTCATGCACTGTAGCACACCCATGGAAACTTCCTCCTAGGTTATCCTAAGTCAAAGTGGCTGCTACCACTTTGGGCTCTGAACTGGGGGAAGTCCTCTAGCTCTTTAAGGATATTCATATCTGTCAACTGAAGGGCTGGTGGTAGTTAACTGTAGGCAAAGTGCTTCAAAAGACTGTCTGCAACATTCAGCCAGATCATTCAGCCAGATAAGTAATTATTTGGAATCGTTTTCTTTTCTTTTTTATTTTTTTTGGTTTGAGACAGAGTCTCGCTCTGCTGCCAGGCTGGAGTGCAGTGGTGCAATCTTGGCTCACTGCAACCTCTGCCTCCCGGGTTCAAGCAATTCTCCTGCCTCAGCCTCTCAAGTAGCTGGGACTACAGGCATGCACCACCACACCCAGATAATTTTTGTGTTTTTAGTAGAGACAGAGTTTCACCAAGTTGGCCAGGATGGTCTCTGTCTCCTGACCTCATGATCCGACCACCTTGGCCTCCCAAATGGTGGGATTACAGGTGTGAGCCACCGCGCCTGGCCTGGAATCATCTTAAAATACATATATTAACACACTAAATATGGCTATATGTAATTATCACATACATAGATAATGGTCCACACCATGTTTTCTCAACATATCTTTAGTCGTGCTCTTAAAATATATGTAGAAGTCTTATCAGCATCTTGTGACACTACCTTGGCAATTCTCAGATGTGTGGCCATTGTATAAATATTGCTTGAAGCCTTCTTAAAAGGATGTAATTTTTAAGAGATTCAATGTTGCTCATATTAAAGGTAAAGGAAGACTTTGCCTATGGGGATCCTTCTGCATGGTGGTGCATTCTCATCCATCCTGCCCTCAAAGCCCAGGACCAATGCCACTTCCTCTACAAAAACCTGAAACAAAGTCTCACCTGGTTCCTCTAGTTGGAAGGGAACTCTCTTACATCTTCTGAAGTCTCACAGAACTATTTCAGCATCTTTTGTGTAGTGTCAATTACTTTTTGTCTTGCCAAATTGTTTCTGGAAACCATTTACTTTTACATCTGCAACTGCCCCCAGGCTAAAACCTTAAATGGAGGTAAATACTTAATCATTTAAAACAGTTTTTTTTAGAGATAGGGTCTCACTCTGTTACCCAGGCTAGAGTGCAGTGGTGCCATCGTAGCTCACTGTAGCCTTTATCTCTGGAATCAAGTGATCCTCTCCGCTCAGCCTCCCTAGTAACTGGGACTACAAGCGCATGCCACCACAACAGGTTGTTTTTATTTTTATTTTTTTGTAGATATGGGAATCCCACTATGTTGCCCAGGCTTGTCTAGTACTCCTGGCCTCAAGTGATCCTCCTGCCTCAGTCTTTCTTAGTGTTGGGATTACAGGTGTGAGCCACCTTGACCGGCCTTGACATTGATTTTTAATATGAACATTTGTGCACTTAACTTTTTAAGTATTTGTTTCTTTAAGTTCACTGAAAAAATGAAGTTAGTCTTAAAAAGTTTCTCTAGGCCGGGCACAGTGGATCATGCCTATGATCCCAGAACTTTGGGAGGCTGAGGCAGGTGGATCACCTGAGGTCAGGAGTTTGAGACCAGCCTGGCCAACATGGTGAAACCCCGTCTCTACTAAAAATACAAAAATTAGCCAGGTGTGGTGGCACATGCCTGTAGTCCCAGCTACTCAGGAGGCTGAGGCAGGAGAATCCCTTGAACCTGGGAGGCAGAGGTTGCAGTCAGCCGAGAACATGCCACTGTACCCCCAGCCTGCGAGACAGCGTGAGACTCCATCTGAAAAAAAAAAAAAGTTTCTCTAATAAGTTGTTGATGCAACTGAATTAAAAAAAGATATTCTATTTTTCAAAGGAAATCAGATTACTCATTAATTACTCAACATCAGTCACTATGAATTGTGCAATAATGAAAGCAAAATTTAAAAACAGGAGACTCTAAAAAGAGTCAGCAAATTAGATTATGAATGGAATGTTTAAAAGACAAAGATTGAGCAATTTTAAGGGTCACAGCTGTCCCTAGGAACTTAACCAACTACAATGTTCAGAACAATAGTGTATGTAAAGGAATGCATATTAGATCAGATCACATAAAGCCAAGTATTGAAACACTGAAATTCAAGTAAGGAACCTACACAATCCCTACTGTTAAAACAGAGAGAGAGAGAGAGAGAAAGAAAAGTAATTTATTCATCTCCAGTAACATGATCATTCACTATATTGAAATGCTAAGGCAGTAAATAATCTAAGATTTGGGTTTGATGAAATTAGTACGTTTATTTCTCAGACATGCAGAAGGAGGTATTTAATTAACCAGCAAGATTGCCAGATGAAATAAAGTACTCTCAAGTAAATCTGAATTTCAGATAAACAACAAATAATATTTTAGCATAAGTGTATCTCACATTTTTAATGGATTTATATCTCAGTTCTGATTCTCTGCTACTAATTATTATGACTCATTAATTCAATTACTGATTCAACAGTAATTTGTTGAGGGCCTTATTCTATGTCAAGTACTGTGGGTGGAATTGACCACATGGTGATAAGCAAAATAGTCATGATCTTTTCCCCATAATTCGTACAGTTTAGTAGGCTGATTGAAATGAGTAAATAGGCAATTACTCTAACATAATACTTGCCATGATTCACAGTTTATTCATTAGAGGGACAATTAACCCAGGCTTGGGTCAGAAAAAGATGCCTAGAGAAAGTAATTTAGATTAGGCCAAAGGCAAAAAGGTTGAGGAAGTAGAGGGAGAGTCTAATGAGAGTGTACCTACCACAAGGGGAAAGCTTGGAAGACAACGGATATCACGGGACATTTGAGAAACCGAAGACTCCAATAAAGTCTAGTTGAACTATAGACCACAAAGCTGTGAGTGGCAAGAAATGTGACTAGAGAGGTATGCCATGGTCAGATCATGAGGGGCCTTGTATAAATCCAATGGAAGCCTTATTGAATGGTCCATGCAGCAAAGTGACAGTCATATTTACAAATTAGAAAGCTCACTCTGGCAGTAGAGGAGAAAATAGACTGGAAGTGAGGACACCATTGTTGTGGGTTCGGAATGGGTATAGAAAGAAGTAAATAGATACAAGAGCTATTTAGAAGGTCACTCAAAAACTGTTTTGCTCTTTAGATAGGTGCAAAATTGGAGAGAGCGTCTCCCTCTGTCGCCCAGGCTGGAGTGCAGTGGCACTGCAGGAGTTCAAGACCAGCCTGGGCAACATAGTCTCTACAAAAAATAAAATTAGCTGGGTACAGTGGCACATGCCTGTGGTCTCAACTGCAGTGAGCCGAGATCGTGCCACTGCACTCTAGCCTGCGGTGACAGAGAGACTCTGTCTCAAAAAAAAAAAAAAAAAAACTAGGCTGGGTGTGGTGGCTCATGCCTATAATCCCAGCTTTTTGGGAGGCTGAGGCAGGTGGATCACCTGAGGTCAAAAGTTCAAGACCAGCCTGGCCAACATAATGAAATCCCACCTCTACTAAAAATACCAAAAATTAGCTGGGCATGGTGGCGGGTGCCTGTAATCCCAGCTACTTGGAAGGCTGAGGCAGGAGAATCACTTGAACCTGGGAAGCGGAGGTTGCAGTGAGCCGAGATTGCATCATTGCACTCCAGCCTGGGCAAGAAGAGCAAAACTCCACCTCACAAAAAAAAAATTAATAAAGTGTACCTAATTTACCTATAATGTGATTTTGGTTGACTTGGAGTTACTGGAAAACCAGCCCATAAATGGGCACTTTGCCAGGGTTATAGACAGAAATTTCCATGGGCCTTATTTGACTGGCTGCCTAAGAGGATCACCAATTATACAAACTATCCATGAGATAGTTTTTATTAATAAAGGAGTATGTTTAGTTTTTTCTCATGAAGATGATCTGTGCCCCGCCATGATGAGAGAAATAATTCAAAAAGGAAGCCAGAAAGCGAAATCAATGATATGCAAAGGAATCAAGACTAGTGACAAACATTGGCAAATGGAAAAGGGAAAGAAGCAATGTCATCAAATAAAACAAATAAGCAAACACGGCCATAGTTTCTCTCTTTTTATTATTTTTTTCTTTTAAAAATAGAAGTGGGGGCTCTTGGGCCACTTGCTTGAACCCACTCCCACTTTGTGGAGTGTACTTTCATTTCAATAAATCTGTGCTTTCGTTAAATAAATAAATAATAAAGATGGGGTCCCACTTTTTCAACTACACTGGTCTTTAACTCCTGACCTCAAGTGCTCCTCTCGCTTAGCTGGAATTACAGGCGTAAGCCACTACATCTAGCCCATAGTGACGACTTATTGAAAACTGGGCCAGGCGCAGTGGCTCATGCTTGTAATCCCAGTACTTTGAAAGGCCAAGGTGGGTGGATCGCATGAGCCCAGGAGTTCAAGACCAGTCTAGGCAACACAGTGAAACCCCGTCTCTACAAAAAATACAAAAATTAGCCAGATGTGGTGGCATGCACCTGTAGTCCCAGTTACATGGGGAGATAAGGTGGGAGGATCACCTGAGCCAGGAAGGTTGAGGCTGCAGTCAGCGGAGAGACCTTGTCTCAAAAAAAAAAAAAAAAAAAGAGAGAAAATGGACTCCTGTGCCATGCCCTGGTTTAGGACAGTACATATATTATCTAATTTCATTCTCACAAATGTACTAAGAATTAATTGTTGTTCCTGTTTTACAGATGAGGAAAATTGTGGCTGTAAGTAACTCCCCGCTAAAATCACACTGCTTGTAATTGCTAGAGTCAATATTTCCATCCCAGGTTTCTTTACCTGTAAAGGACTATTGTGCTGCTCAGAAAAGATAATTTTCTCATGGAGGGTCAACCTGGCATTTCTGAAGCAGTACCTTTGCATTCTGAACAGAACAACAAGGACAACTCATAGGGACCATTAAGTTTATGAAATGCTGGTATCTTTCTATTGGGAGGTAAAAAAACTTCCATGCATAGATTTGGTGAGGCTAATAGAGGCATGTTTTATAATTTGTGAAGATGTTATTCAAGATTCAGTACACCCACCTATTACATCTTTATTTATTTCTTTATTTGTTTTTAGGCTCGTCAGGTGAAGCAGTGGGAATGGAAAAGGAACAAAGAAATCTGTAACTGATTGTGATCAATTAGTTGTAAACACCACTGCCCTTGGACCAGCGACCCACCTAGTACTTCCTAGTTCTATAGATTTAGGTAAGGATAGCAGATGCAGCCAAAATAGTTAAATTATTGATGGTTGATTTATGATGACTTAGAAAACAGTAACACTCATTTAGAGTTAGCAGTAGGAGCTATGTTCACTAAGAACAAGCCATGTCATGCTAATCTCATTTTCATCCATATCTGTGCTATTCTGCTGAACAGGAAGATTAGGGGAATGCTGTAGAAACATTCTACCTTGCTTTGATCAAGGTTCTTAGAAAGATGCTTCACAATATCATTGTGAAATGAGGATGGTAATCTGAATACTAGTTCAATTGAAGACAGCTATGGTTACTTAAACAATCACATCCTGAAATAATCAATAGTGATTGGATATCTCTGGTGAAATTCCATAAGGCATCATATTTCTTTGTGTGTTTGTTTGAGACAAGGTATTGCTTTGTTGCTCAAGCTGGAGTGCAGCGGAGAGATCACGGCTCACTGCGGCCTCAACCCTGAGGCTTCAAGCAATCCTCCCACCTTAGCCTCCTAAGTAGCTGGGACTACAGGTGTGCACCATCACGTGCAGCTAATATTTTATTTTATTTTTTGTAGAAACGGGGTCTCACTATATTGCCCAGGCAGGTCTTGAACTTCTGGGCTCAAGTGATCCTCCTGCCTCAGACTCCCAAAGTGCTGGAATTACAGGCATGAGCCACTGTGCCTGAAGGCATCATATTTGAACTTGTCTTTTTCAGTAAATTTTTAGTAACTTGAATAATGTGATTATCTTATTGAGCTTCAGATTCCTAATAAAAGGATTCCTAGAAATCTTCATGTGAATGTCCAAAGCAACTCAAATTAACACGTTCAAAACTGAACTCATTATCCTCTCTCGGAATTGCCTCTGTCCATTTCTCCCTAACTCAATTAACGGACTATCAAATAGTCAAGATTCTCAACTGCAAGTGCCCGAACTCAATTTTAAGTAGTTTAGACAACAAAGGAAATGTATTGCCTCATGAAATCCAAGGAAAATTTATATAACCAAATTGTAGGAGGGGCAGGGATGCAGATGGGCCCCGGGAATAACTGCAGCCAGGGTCTTCAATATTAGCAGGAATCCTCTTCCTGTTTCTCCTTGCCTTTTGGCTTCATTTTCTTTTGCTTCAGACTGACTTCTTCTATATGATGAAAAATATGGCTGCCAGCTGCATCCTTTTATATCTATCTATTGCAACTTCCATTCTTTATAAGGGACTGACTAAAGTTCACTTTGGTTCCAAGTTAGAAATTTTGGAGAAGTCTGATTGGCTTGGATTGAATCAGTTGTTCTCCCCTGTATCCATCCCTATGTATGCCAGTGGGATGGGATATATGCTTGTCATAGGTGAGGTGTCTTCCTACACCAGTCAGTTAGGGCCACTGTGGCAAAATTATAGGAAAGCCAACTCCAGCTCCCTTGAAGTAAATTGTTAAGCAGTTTCAGAAGAAAAGTTGGGAGTTTCTTTTTTTTTTTTTTTTTTGAGATAGGGTCTCGTTCTGTGACCCAACTGGAATGCAGTGGTGCAATCATGGCTCACTGCAGCCTCAACCTTCTGGGCCCAAGGGAGCTTCCCACCTCAGCCTCCTGAGTAGCTGAGACTACGGGTGGTGCCACCATGCACGGCTGATTTTTTGTAGAGATGAGCTTTCGCTATGTTGAGCAGGCTGGTTTCAAACTCCTGAGTGTCTCACGTGTCTGTGTGAAGAGACCCCCGAACAGACTTTGTGTGAGCAACAAGGCTGTTTATTTCACCTGGGTGCAGGTGGGCTGAGTCTGAAAAAGAAGTCAGCAAAGTGTGGTGGATTATCATTAGTTCTTATAGGTTTTGGGATAGGCGGTGGAGTTAAGAGCAATGTTTTGCTGGCAGAGGGTGGATCTCACAAAGTACATGCTCAAGGGTGGGGAGAATTACAAAGAACCTTCTTAAGGGTGGGGGAGATTACGAAGTACATTGATTAGTTAGGGTGGGGCAGAAACAAATCACAATGGTGGAATGTCATCAGTTAAGGCTATTTTCACTTCTTTTGTGGATCTTCAGTTGCTTCAGGCCGTCTGGATGTATATGTGCAGGTCACAAGGGATATGATGGCTTAGCTTGGGCTCAGATGCCTGACATTCCTGTCTTCTTATATTAACAAGAAAAATAAAATGAAATAGTGGTAAAGTGTTGGGGCGGCAAAAATTTTGGGGGTGGTATGGAGAGATAATGGGCGATGTTTCTCAGGGCTGCTTCAAGCGGGATTAGGTGTGGCATGGGAACCTACAGTAGGAGAGATTCAACTGAAGAAAGATTTTGGGGTAAGGGGTGATATTGTGAGGTTGTTAGAAGGAGCATTTGTCATATAGAATTATTGGTGATGGCCTGGATGCGGTTTTGTATGAATTGAAAAACTAAACTGATGACACAAGGTCCGAAGAGAAGGAGAAAAACAGGTATTAAAGGACTAAGAATTGGGAAGACCCAGGACATCCAATTAGAGAGTGCCCAAGGAGGTTCAGCATAGCCCTGCCAGCAAAGATTATTTATTTACTTTAAGAGGGAGTTAAGAGTGGCGGTTTGGGGATAGCACCAGGAGATATCAGCTGTGATGGCTTGGAGAAACAGTGTAAACCGGCGGTGTAAACAAGAGTAGGGCATTTATGAGTAGTTGAGAATGTTGTAGGAGTGTGACTAGATGGAAGATAGTAGGGATGACTATTTTGGGGGGCTCAGTCTAAGTAGTGGGGGTGACTTCGTAAAGCCCTGTTGCAAAAAGTAGGGTAAGGACGAACAGACCTAATAGAATGAAGGGACGTATTAGGCGCATAAGGGTTATTACTGTTCTTCAGAAATGTGAGTGGGTTTAAGGGAAGTAGGAGAGAGTACTTGCGATTTCCAGGAGGAAGAGGAGAGATTAGGCTGGCTGTCGGAGGGACACAGCTTTATCCTGGAACAGTGAACCCGGTGGGGAGGATCCTGCAGGTGGACGGCAGTTGAGGTACCATAGATGACTAAGTGGGGTAAGGGCGATTAGGTTTTAATGGGATGGTAAGTGGTGCACGATTGGTTGCCAAGAAGGGAGTAGAGGTGTCCTATATTTGTGGTTTAAGGTGGGGAGATACAAGGAGAGGATGTGAAGGAGGGTTTGAACTGGGGAAAAGGGCGGCACTGAGGTGTGGCTGTAGCCTAGGAATAGTCAGGGAAGCAGATAATTTAATTAAAATGTTTCAGCCTAATAAGGGAACTGGGCAGGTGGGCAAAACTAAAAAGGAGTGCTTAAAAGAGTATTGTCTAAGTTGGCACCAGAGTTGGGGAGTTTTAAGAGGTTTAGAAGCCTGGCCATCAATACCCACAACAGTTATGGAGGCAAACGAAACAGGCCCTTGAAAAGAAGGTAATGTGGAGTAGGTAGCCTCCGTATTGATTAAGAAGAGTACGGACTTACCCTCCACTGTAAGAGTTACCCAAAGCATCTGTGATGGTCCAGGAGGCTTCCGAGGCTATCGGGCAGCGTCAGTCTTCAGCTGCTAAGCTGAGAAGATCTAGGAAAGAGTCAGTCAGAGAGCCTTGGGCCAGAGTTCCAGGGGCTCTGGGAGTGGCTGCTGGGCGAGTTGGACAATCTGATTTCCAGTGGGGTCCTGCACAGATGGGACATGGCTTAGGAGGAATCCTGGCTGTGGGTATTCCTTGGCACAGTGGCCAGATCTCTGGCACTTGTAGCAAGCTCCTGGGGGAGGAGGTTCTGGAGGAACCCCTGGCAGCTGCGGTTCAGGCGTTTGGAGTTCTTGTGTGCTGGAAATATGGCTGGGGTTTGTTTCACAGTGGAGGCAAAGAATTGCAACTCAGAAATACATTGCTACTTGGCTGCCTCTACTCTATTATTGTACACCTTGAAGGCGAGGTTAATTAAGTCCTGTTGTGGGGTTTGAGGGCTGGAATTTAATTTTTGGAGGTTTATTTAATGTTGGGAGCAGATTGGGTGGTAAAATAAAATGCATATTGAGAATAAGATGGCCTTCTGACCTTTCAGGGTCTAGGGCTATAAAGCATCTCAGGGTTGCTGCCAAACGGGACATGAACTGGGCTGGGTTTTTATATTTGATGAAAAAGAGCCTAAATGCTAACTGATTTGGGAGAGGTTGGATAAAGAAAAAGGAGCATTAACCTTGACTATGCCTTTAGCTCCAGCCACCTTTTTAAGAGGAAATTGCAGGTAGGGGAGGGCTAGTCGCCGAACGAAACTGTAAGCCGGACCAGGTGTGAGGAGGGGAGGTGATAAAAGGATTATAGGGTGGGGGATTGGAGGCTGAGGAAAAATTGGGGACCTAGCTCGGCCTGGCAAGGAGCAGCCTGGGGAGGAGGGGAGAGGTCAGATGGGTCCGTAGAAAAGGAAGATTCAGAAGACTCAGAGACACTTGGGGTTGGGACTGAAGGGACAGGCAGGAGGGAAAGAAGGAAGATTTGGGATGAGTTGCATTGGGAACAGAGACTAGGGAGGGACCGATGTGTAAAAGAATGCCTGGACGTCAGGTACCTCACACCGTTTGCCCATTTTATGACAAGAATTATTTAGATCTTGTAGGATGGAGAAATCAAAAATGCCATTTTCTGGCCATTTGGAACCACTGTCGAGTTTGTATTGGGGTCAAGTGGTGTTGCAGAAGAAAATAAGACACTTAGATTTTAGGTCAGGTGAGAGTTGAAGAGGTTTTAAGTTCTTGAGAACACAGGCTAAGGGAGAAGAAGGAGGAGTGGAGGGTGGAAGCTTGCCCATAGTGAAGGAGGCAAGTTTAAAGAGAAGGGTAGAGACATGGAGAGAAGGGGTGGGGGGTGCTTGCTCCCCAGGAAAGTGGAAAAGGGGTGGGAGGTGCTTGCACCCCAGGAAAGTGGAAAAGCAGCAGAGACACGGAGAGAAGGGATGAGGGGTGATTTCCCCCCAGGAAAGTGGAGAAAGGGTAGAGACACAGAGAGAAGGGGTGGAGTGAGCAGCCCTGGGCTGCAATGTGGATAAGCAGCCAAAGCAGGCATCCCCGCAATTGACTTGCCACCAAGGGAATGTGGGTGAATGACCAAGGCAGACATCCCTGCGGAGATCAGACACCAATGGAATGTGGGTGAATAATCAGGCAGGCATCCACACAATGATTAAACACCAAGGAAAGGCTGCCTTCCCAAGTCCGTGACCAGCACCGGAGTTTTGGGTCCATGGATAAAATGTGTCTCCTTTGTCTCTACCAGAAAATGAAAGGAACTGAAATTAACAGAAGGGAGAGATTGAAGGGTGGCGCCAAGATTGAAAGGAGAAAGAGGTTGAGGGATAGTGAGAGGGGTTGGACAAGAGAGTAAAAATAGGCCGCTTACCCAATTTACAATCGGTGAGATGTTCCTTGGGCTGGTTGGTCTGAGGACCGAAGGTCGTAGGTGGATCTCTTCACAGAGTGAGGGTGAGGACAAGGGACTGCTCTCCCAAAGGAGTCCCGCTGACCCGGGTCTTCGGCACCAAATGTCTCACATGTCCTTGTGAAGAGACCACCAAACAGGCTTTGTGTGAGCAGCAAGGCTGTTTATTTCACCTGGGTGCAGGCGGGCTGTGTCTGAAAAAGGAGTCAGCAAAGAGTGGTGGATTATCGTTAGTTCTTATAGGGTTTGGGATAGGTGGTGGAGTTAGGAGCAATGTTTTGCAGGCAGGGGGTAGAACTCACAAAGTACATTCTCAAGGATGGGGAGAATTACAAAGAACCTTCTTAAGGGTGGGGGAGATTACAAAGTACATTGATCAGTTAGGGTGGGGCAGAAACAAATCAAAATGGTGGAATGTCATCAGTTAAGGCTATTTTCACTTCTTTTGTGGATCTTCAGTTGCTTCAGGCCATCTGGATGTGTAGGTGCAGGTCACAGGGGATATGATGGCTTAGCTTGGGCTCAGAAGCCTGACACTGAGCTCAAGCAATTCTCCTGCCTCAGCCTCCCAAAGTGTTGGGATTACAGATATGAGCCACCAGGCCTGGCCTGATTTTTTCATTTTTAGTAAAAAATGCAGTGGTATAAGCAGCAAAGCCTTAGGTGCCACAGTAATGACAAATCCATCCATTCAAATGAGAGAAAGTCATCCTAGACCTCTATTCCTCTTGAACTCTCTTAGCCAATCAGTCAACAAATCCCCAGATGTATTAAATTGGCTTCTTCCCATTTTTACCAACTACGTTCCACTTTCCAACTTCAGATCCTCCCTGTATCTTGCCTGAACAACTGGCAGTGGTTTTATCTGGTGGCACTGCCTTTTGCTTTCACCATTCTTCCTGTTTCCATCAGAATGAGCTTCCTGAAACACAAGTCTGATCCTAATTACAATCCTTCCAAGACTCCACATCACCCAAAGGATAAAGTTCCAAACCTAACATAAAGCAAAATCCTTCTAACAAGGTTTGATGCCACTTCTCCAGTCTCATCCTCACTGACTCCTGATTTATTCATATTTCATGACTTCAGCACACTTCTGGAAATTCCCTCAGATGTCTCAACCAGCAAATGCAAGGAGAATCTGCTTAACTGTAGGACTTTAGAAGTTAGCAAGATAATTCCAAAGACCTCCTCTGTCAGCCACTGATCGGGGATCTTATCTTACACAGAATCTAAAGAGATAGAGACTCTCTAATCCACCTTGTTTTATTTTTACAGATGAGATCCTGAGTCCCAGCAGAATAAATTTACTTTATCTATGTTATGGTGGGCAACAGCTTAAGTCTTCTGATTCTCATTCTAATGCTCAAAATCCAGTGAGAAGTGTGAACAGATCTGATAAACAAAAGGGTTGGGAAGGAGGAGGATATAGCCCCAGGGAGAAAGGGTCCAGAAAAGAGGATGCACATTCATTTCCCTAAATCAGACTCCAAAAGTGTAAAATTAAACCAAAAAAGCTTATGAAGGTTAGGGAGAAGAGAGACTAGAAACTTCAAAGGGGAAGTGGAGACGGAAGAAAAGAAATGGAGAAACAGGGAACTTAAGAAATCATCTGCTTGGGAGAGGGATGGGTCCAGGGCCAGGAACAAAGGACCCAGATGGTTTTAATGACCAAACTCTGCCTCATTACTTTCATCTGACTGCAGCAGGAACTGTCATCGGTGGTGAAGGCACCACTGGTGCCTTGGAAGTTTCTCACTGAAGCTGGGATACTTTCCCACTTGCCAAATCTCACACCAAGAAGCCTGTTTACCCATTCTCAGGACTGTTCCAATATTCAAGCCTAGGTTGAAATTTATAAAGTGAGTAACAGTCTCCGAAGTCTCCTTTGGTCCTGCCCATGATTTACTTTAAAATATAATTTATGTTGGAATATGATTTCTGGCTTATCTCGGCCTGCTTGATAAAGCAAAGAATTGTTAACACCTGTGATAAATACAAAACTACCAACCAATGTGTGCTCAAAAAGAATACTTTGAGGCCGGGCATGGTGGCTCATGCCTGTAATTCCAGCACTTTGGGAGGATGAGGCAGGCAGATCACAAGGTCAGGAGCTCAAGACCAGCCTGGCCAACATAGTAAAACCTCATCTCTACTAAAAATATAAAAATTAGCAGGGTGTGGTGCCATGCACCTGTAGTCCCAGCTACTCAGGAGGCTAAGGCAGGAGAATTGCTTGAACCCAGGAGGTGGAGGTTGCAGTGAGTTGAGACCACGCCATTGCACTCCTGCCTGGGTGACAGAGTGAGACTTTGTCTCAAAAAAATAATAATAATAATAATACTTTGAATACATTTGATTTTAAGGAAAATGGTAAAATTCATCTTGAAACAACTCTTCTCTCTTTTCTTCTTGCTGCCCAATCCCCGCGAAAGTTGAATTATTATTATTATTATTATTGTTTTGAGACAGGGTTTCACTCCTGCCACCCAGGCTGGAGTACAATAGCATGGCTCACTGCAACCTCCACCTCAAGCGATTCTCCTGCCTTAGCCACTCAAGTAGCTGGGACTACAGGGGCATGCCATCATGCTCAGCTAACTTTTGTATTTTTTTTGTAGACGTGGGGTTTCGCCATGTTGCCCAGGCTGGTCTCAAACTCCTGGGCTCAAGCGATCCTCCCACCTTGGCCTCACAAAGTGCCAGGATTACAGGCATCAGCCACCACACCTGGCCTAAAAGTTGAATTCTTAAGATATTCCAATGTTGGAGTTACCTATGTTGGGGCTCAAAAACCAAAATACCAACATATGGCATTTTGACATGCTAAATTAAAAAAGTCTCAAGGTCTCTCTGATCTCCCTCCCTCCCTCCCACCCCCCACCACCTCTCCCAGAATCTTTATCTGCTTAAGATCCAAACCCACCAAAAGGAACAATTGTTTTTCTTCCCCTTCCAGTAAGACCAAGAATGTTACCACATCTGAACAGATCCTTTTACCTTCAAAGAGAAATAGATGCAGAACAAATTAATGCCTGTTCCCAGATCTATTAATTCTCCCTTGTAATCCCCTCAACAGAATTTCTCTTCTCCTCCCATAGCCTGTTTTGCGGAGGTGGTATACAAGCTTCTAACCACACTGGAGATGGGCAATTACTCTGAGATACTTCTCATGCATACATTGTACATGTGTTAAGTACATTTGTATGCCTTTTCTCTAGTTAATTTGCCTTTCGTGATTTGACTTTTCAGATAACTCTCAGAAGGCCAAAGAAAAAGCTTTCCCTTGACCCTCACACCTACAATTAATGAAATATTCAGAAACAAAAGGTTTCCTAGCCAGGCACGGTAGCTTACGCCTGTTATCTCAGAACTTTGGGGAGCCAAGGAGGGAGAATTGCTTGAGGCAAGGAGTTCGAGACCAGCCTGGCCAACATAGCAAGACCCCCATCTCTATAAAAAATTTTAAAAATTAGCAGGGCATGATGGCACACTCCTATAGTGCTAGTTACTTGGGAGGCTGAGGAAGGAGGATTGCTTGAGCCCAGGAGTTCAAGATTACAGTTAGCTGTGATCCTGCCACTGTATTCCAGTCGTGTAATGGAGTGAGACCCTGTCTCTAAATAAAAAAAGAAAAAAAAAAGAGGTTTCTCCATAGGAACAAAACAGTAACGTAACTCCATGAATTCTGAAGTGAATCATTGGCCTTCCATAGACCCACCCAAATTTCTTTTCCAACAACTCGAGTTAATATCAGCAACATGAGATCCCAGACTGTGTTCTTTTTATTAGTTTGGAAAGAATGACTAATCCCTGTATTCTATTCTTGGAAACTGTTATTTTCACCAACTTAGGAAGAATGGACTAATACTAATAGTATCTAACATTTATAGCACTTTCACAGTTTACAAAGTCTTCTTCCATATAATCCTCACAGCAGTTCCGAGCCGAAGTGACTTGCCATGGCTCACCTGTAGCTAAGTGGCACAGCTAGGATATAAACACAGGTTTTCTGAATCTGGCCTTCAGTTCTAACTGTGCACTGGACAGGGCATGTAATGGTAGCTGCTGAAACTAATGACATCCATGTTTCAGTGGTGGAACGCAGTAAAGTTGATTCCTCATTCTTGTCACAGCAATATGGGTTGATGGGGCTGGGGATTCTGCTCCATGTAGTCACGCAGAGACTCATGTTCTTTCTACCTGTGCATTAATATCTTCTACATGTGGCCTCCAAAGCTACTAGAGAATGGGAAATAGTGGGAGATCACACATGGGAGCTTTTTATGGGCCAGGCCTGGAAATGGCTCACATCACTTTTGCTCATGTCCTTTGGCCAAAACCCAATCTCAGCAAGGAAGGCCAAGATGTAATTCAACTGTTTTCCCAGATCCACAGCCTTGGGAAAGTAGAACTGAGAACTTTGTCTTTTAGTACTTTAGTTTATCAGGCCTCCGTGAAGTCCCTTCTGCTGAGGAGGCCATGCTGAGCAGTCTCTGGAAGTTTTTTATTTTCCTTCCCATGTGATCCTTTTGCTTCTCTGAGCTCCCAGAACTCCTCTTTCTTTATTCCTCCTACTTTTCAAACCTTTCTCAGAGGCTGTTTTAAGATATATAATGTTATCTTCTTATTTTCTGTAACTTTTCACTTGTGTATTTCTCCCTGACATGAAACATAAACTCTTTAAAAGCAGAATTGTATCTACTATTGCAATACTGTGAGATACATTTCCTCTAGTCACCTTAATCAACCCTCCACTTCATCCAAAGAAATTAAATTCTGCCAAAATTGATGGAGGCTTATTATGTACAAGGTGCTATGCTTGGTGCCATTGGAAGAAGCAAAGAGGAATTAGGAATGGGTCTTTAAAAGCTTGTAAAAAAAAAAGGCTATACGTGAAAGTACAATCAAGAATGTAGAAATACACTGATAAGAAAATATAGTTGGAAGAGGCTGATTCTGAATTGACGGAAAGGGGACTGGAAAAGTTTTCACTGAAGAAATTATAAACATGATAGAAGTAGCTAGCAGTTGTCGAACTTTTCCTATAAGCCAGGCACTGTATTGGAGTGTTTTATATATGTCACACCATGTCATTCTCATAACAATCTTATGAGAGGGCACTGTCATTGTTCCCATTAACCAAATAAGAACAAACATGGGGAGAATTTGCTATAAAGGACGTTTCTGGGTCAATTGGTGAGATGTCAATATGGACTGTAGATTAGATAGATAATCGTATTATTGTATGAATGCTAAATCTCTTGATTTTGATCATTATTTTCTGGTTATATAAGGAATGTCCTTGTTTTTTTTTTTTTTGAGAAGGAGTCTCGCTTTGTTGCCCAGGCTGGAGTGCAGTGGTGTGATCTTGGCTTACTGCAACCTCTGCCTCCCAGGTTCAAGCAATTCTCTGCCTCATCCTCCCAAGTAGCTGGGATTACAGGCGCTCGCCACCACGCCCAGCTAATTTTTGTAATTTTAGTAGAGACTGGGTTTCACCATCTTGGCCAGGCTGGTCTTGAACTCCTGACCTTGTGATCCACCTGCCTCAGCCTCCCAAAGTGCTGGGATTACAGGCATGAGCCATTGCACTTGGCCAGGAATGTCCTTGGTTTTTTTTTTTTTTTTTGGAGGTGGAGTTTCACTCCTGTTGCCCAGCAACCTCTGCCTCCCGGGTTCAAGCCATTCTCCTGCCTCAGCCTCCCGAGTAGCTGGGATTACAGGCATGTGCCACCATGTCCGGCTAATTTTGTATTTTTAGTAGAGACGGGGTTTCTCCATGTTGGTCAGGCTGGTCTTGAACTCCTGACCTCAGGTGATCTGCCTGCCTCGGCCTCCCAAAGTGCTGGCATTACAGGCGTGAGCCACCTTACCCAGCCGAATGTCCTTGTTAATAGGAAATTTACTCTGAAGTATTTAGGAATAAAGGGGCATGATGTCATAAATTTCCTCTCAAATACTTCAGAAAACTGTAATAATTAGATGTGTGTGCATTCATGTGTATGGAGAGAGAGAGAGAGAAGGAAAGAATGATAAAACAAATGCAGCAAAATGTTAACAATTGGTGACATATGGCAGGTTGGGCTGCTATAACAGAATACCACGGACTAGGTGGCTTACACAACAGAAGTCTATTTTTTTTATAGTTCTGGAGGATGGAGGTCCAAGATCAAGGTACAGCATGATCAGGTTCTAATAAGAACTCTCTTCCTGGCTTACAGATGGCTGTCTTCTTACTGTGTTCTCACATGGCAGGGGGGTAGCAAGTTCTCTGGTGCCTCTTCTTCTAAGGGCACTAATTCCATTATGAGACCCAACTCTCATGACCTCATCTAAACCAAATCACCTCCTAAAGGCACCAGGCTAAATACCATCACACTGAGGGTTGGGGCTTTAACATATGAATTGTGGGGAGACACCATTCAGTCCATAGCAGTGAGTGATGGGTATAGTGGAAATTTTGTACTATTTTTGCTACTTCCTGTAAGTTTAGAATTATTTAAAAATAAGAAGGTAAAAGAAAAAAGAAAAAACATTGGCATAAAGTGTTTTACCCAGGTCACGCAGCTGGTGAGTGGTAGGAAATGGTCTTTTCCTATGTTCTTTAGAACCCACTCTCTTAGATGCTGCACGGACACAGATGCTTTGTGACTTCTCATATCCTCTGGCATGGTCCACCTCCTCAATCATACCGCAGCTGAGGACAAACTAGGCCCTCCCCCTTGGCTAGTGCTCTGCAGCTGGATCAAGCAGACGCTCTTCCAGAATGTCTGGCTTCTCCCACTGCTTCCGGATTTGGATGAAATGCTGTGCTGCAGGGCATAGGATCAGATAGGCAAAAGGAAAGAATGATGCAAGCAGGAATGCAAGGTAGTTTCTGCCTGCAGAGCAAACTTTCGCCAATTAGGGCCGTGTGCAGTGGCTCATGCCTGTTATTCCAGCACTTTGGGAGGCCAAGGTGGGCGGATCACCTGAGGTCAGAAGTTCCAGACCAGACTGGCCAACGTGGCTCTACTAAAAATACAAAAATTAGCTGGGCGTAGTGGTGGGCGCCTGTAATCCCAGCTACTCCGGAGGCTGAGGCAGGAGAATTGTTTGAACTCTGGGAGGCAGAGGTTGCAGTGATCCGAGATCGCGCCATTACACTCCAGCCTGGGTGACAAGGTGAGACTCTGTCTCAAATAAAACAAAACAAAACCGCAACAACAAAAAACACACTTTGGCCAACTGGAAGCGGGAGACAGGGTTTCGTCTACCTTCCTCTCTTCCACGGACAACCTCAATGTGAGAGAAGTTCTGTGTGCTGAGCACGCACCCGCACAACAGAGTAAAACATTACTTTATATTGCAATTTTATATTATTATTGCACTTTATATATTACCTTAATATAGTATTATAATATTATAATTATATAACATTAATATATATTAATATATAATATATACATTATATTATTGCACTTTATATTGCACTTTATATATTACTTTATATTGTGCAATATATTACTTTATATTGTACAACAGAGTAAAACATTACTTTATATTGCTCCACATCTTTTCTTGCCCCACTTCCCCTTTTCCCCATCCCAGCTGCTGTGGGTTTGCACTTCTCAAAGGAAGCATTAGCACTTTAATCCCTGCCTTGGGCTCTGTTTTCTAGAGTACTAGGGCTAATTAGAGAAAAAAAAAAAAAAAAAAAAAAAGGGCCGGGCACGGTGGCTCCTGCCTGTAATCCCAGCACTTTGGGAGGCCGAGGGGAGGCGGGCGGATCACGAGGTCAGGAGATCGAGACCATCCTCGCTAACATGGTGAAACACCATCTCTACCAAAAACACAAAAAATTAGCCGGGCGTGGTGGCAGGCGCCTGTAGTCCCAGCTATTCAGGAGGCTGAGGCAGGAGAATGGCGTGAACCTGGGAGGCGGAGCTTGCAGTGAGCTGAGATTGGGCCACTGCACTCCAGCCTGGGTGACAGAGCAAGACTCTGTCTCAAAAAAAAAAAAAAAAAAAAAAAAGGCCGAGCACGGAGGCTCACGCCTGTAATCCCAGCGCTTTGGGAGGCCGAGGTAGATGGATCACCAGGTCAGGAGATCGAGACCATCATGGCCAACATGGTGAAACCCCGTCTCTACTAAAAATATGAAAATTAGCCGGATGTTGTGGTGCGTGCCTGTAGTCCCACATATTCAGGAGGCTGAGGTACGAGAATCAGTTGAACCCAGGAGGCGGAGGTTGCAGTGAGAATTGCACTCCAGCCTGATGACAGAGTGAGACACTCCGTCTCAAAAAAAAAAAAAAAGAAAAGACTATGCTGTACTGCCCCTAATTTGAGCTGAGTCCTAAAGACAGGTAATATTTTGACAGCCAGAAATTTGAGAGAAAGGCAATACAAAAAGAAGGAATGGCTTTATTTATTTTTGAGACAGCATCTCGCTTTGTCATCCAGGCTGGAGTACAGTGGCATGATCATGGCTCATCACAGCCTCACACTCCTGAGCTTAAGCAATCCTCCCACTTCAGCCTCTTGAGTAGCTGGGACTACAAGCGGGTGCCACCATGCCCAGATGATTTTTTAATTTTTAAAATTTTTTTGTAGAGACAAAATTTGCTATGTTGCCTAGACTGGTCTCGAACTCCTGGCCTCAAGAGAGCTTCCTGCCTTGGCCTTCCAAAATGCTGGGATAACAGGCATGAGCCACAGCCAGGCCAAGAAATAGGAGTGGTCTTAGGTAAAGCATGAGGGATAACAGTAAATGGCTTGCTGAGGCTGTAGTATGGGGCAGGCGGGTGGTAATGGGATACAGGGAATGAATTGAGATGCAATAAGGTTGGGCACGGTGGCTCATGCCTGTAATCCCAGCACTTTGAGAGGCCAAGGCGGGAGGATCACCTGAGGTTGGGAGTTCAAGACAAGTCTGACCAACATGGTGAAACCTCGTCTCTACTAAAAAAATTAGCCGGTTTAGTGGTGAGCGCCTGTAATCCCAGCTACTCAGGAGGCTGAGGCAGGAGAACAGCTTGAACCCAGGAGGCGGAGGTTGTAGTGAGCCAAGATCGCACCATTGCACTCCAGCCTGGGCAACAGAGCAAGACTCTGTCACACACACACACACACACACACACACACACACACACAGATGCATTAAAAGATGATTGGCTTAAATGCCTGCTGTAGAGTTCAGACAACATTCTGTGGGCATTAGTGAGCCATGAGGACTTTTTGAGGTAGGATGAATAAAATAATAATAAGAATGGTGATGACAATAAGTATGAGGATGATAATAGTAGCATTACTAATGAAAACTAATGTTTATTAAATACTTATTAATACTATTTGCTCATCTTTGTACTAAGCATTTTTCATAAATTACTTCCTTTTATTCTATCAATAATCCTATGACATGGGTACTGTTATTATTCCCTAAAGCTTAGAATGGTTAATAAACTTGGTCAACGTTACACGGATTTTGAACCCTAGAATGCCACGCACTTTGCCACCAGAGCTAGTTTTAGGAACATAATTTTGGGAAAAGTGTGAAAGCTAAAGACATTAGAAGTAGGGCTGCTCATAGTCAAAGATTTTTCCAGCTTTTTTTTTTTTTTTAAATAAAAGATAGAAAGAAATGCGAAACACAACTTTCCTTGTCCATATTTATTTTATTTATTTATTTATTTATTTTCTTGAGACAGTGAGGCATGATCTCAGCTCACTGCAACCTCCACCTCCTGAGTTCAAGCAATTCTCCTGCCTCAGCTTCCCGAGTAGCTGGGATTACAGGCATGCGCCACCATGCCCAGCTAATTTTTGTATTTTTAGTAGACACGGGGTTTCACCATGTTGACCAGACTGGTCTCGAACTCCTGGCCTCAGATGATCCACCTGCCTTGGCCTCCCAAAGTGCTGGGATTACAGGCGTGAGCCACCACGCAGGGCATATTTTCTCCCTCTTTTGTTTTACTTCAGCCACATTGGACCCCTAGCTGTTCCATAAACACCTCAGGCTCACCCTCACCTGAGGGCCTTTGTACTTGGTGCTCCACATATCTGGAAATCCTCACCCCTCCCCTAACCACACCTAGCACTTCCTAGCTTCCTTCCCTGTTTCATAGTAATCCTTGGGTTGCTATAACAAAATACTACAGACTGAGTGGCTTAGCAACAACAGAAATTTACTTGTTACAGTTCCAGAGGCTGGAAAATCCAACATCAAGGCTCCCGCAGATTAGAAATCTGTGGAGGGCCTGCTTCAGGTTCTTAGACAGCAGCTGTCTTCTTACTGTATCCTCAGATGGTGGAAGAGGCAAGGAAGCTCCCTGGTGTTCCTTTATATGGACAGAAATGTCATTCATGAGAGCTCTGCCATTATGTCCTAATCACCTCCCCAAAGACCCTACCTCTTAATACCATCACCTTGGGGGTTGGATTTCAACATATGAATTTGTTGGGACGGGGGGCAGCAAAAACATACGCACCATAACAGTCACTGTCTAACATACTGTGTCTTCTAACCAGCTCTTCTGTTTAGGATCTGTGTGCCTCCACCAGTAGAATGTAAGCTCTACTGTGTTCACTGTTGGGATGCTTTAGCATTCAAAACAATATCTGCCATATGGTAAAATTCAGTACAGTAAGTGGTTGTCAAGTTAATTAATTAACTTTTGGGGGTGATTGTTCTGCAAGGCACTTTGCTATTGCATTAGCTCAGGATGAAAAAGATAGGAGGTCTTGGAAGCCCAGGCCTCTGTGGGTCTCCCTGTAAAACAGCAAAGGGTTTAGTTACATTACTAATTTTTTTTTTTGAGACGGAGTCTCATTCTGTTGCTCAGGCTGGAGTGCAGTGGTTTGATCTCGGCTCACTTCAACCTCCAACTCCCAGGTTCAAGCGATTCTCCTGCCTCAGCCTCCCAAGTAGCTGGGATTACAGGCGTGTACCACGATGCCCGGCTAATTTTTGTATTTTTAGTAGAGACAGGGTTTCACCATGTTGGCCAGGCTGCTCTCGAACTCCTGACCTCAGGTGATCCACCTGCCTTGGCTTCCCAAAGCGCTGGGATTACAGGCGTGAGCCATGGTGCCTGGCCTAGATAAATTACTTTTGTGATGCATAGGTCAGACCATTCTTCAGGACTGAAGGTCTTATTTCCTCAGCTGACAGCCTTTTTGGGAGATTATCTCAGCTGAAGAGAGGTGCCTCGTCAATTGTCACAATTTTGTCTCAGGGCAGCCCAAATCCAGTGACTGATGTGTGTAAATTTTAGAGGCCCTGACCTCTTGCCTCGGTGTAGGACAATTCTGAAGTGTCCCCCATCTTTAGAACTCCCGTGGGGTTGGCTGTGGCCTTCATCATGTCTGTGTGGTAGCTCCACTTCTTCCTGTGCCCAATTTTGCTTCATTTTCTTTCCTTCCACAGGTGTGGATGGCAAATGCACTCCCCCATACACTTCCTGCACACTAACTCCATCTCAGAGGCTGCTTCCCAGGGAACCCTACCTGGGATAACTCCCCAAATCAAGATGCTTCTCTATTTCTGATGTTTAGACTCACAAAGACTGACTCTTTGTCATAAGAGGGAAAAACAGACTGCCTCCTGGAAAAGTCAATTAGCTTAATAAAGGCCAAGAGGTAATATACCTCGGAACTCTCAAAATCAATGGCACGCCATTACTGAGGAAATACAAAACATATCCAAGCAGTTCTAAAGAAAGGGATTGTTATCTTTGGGGTTTTGGGAATTTTAGTGTCATGTCCAGATAACATATACTCTTTTAACTGGGGCCTCCTGAAGATAGCTCATGCCCTTTTATGAGAATGCTGGGAAGACCATAGTCTTCTCTGTACCTTGGCATCTAAAAATAATCAGAGTTAATGGAGTCTAACTTTCGGGAAGCCTGAGGCAGGGAGGGGTAAAGTGAAGCAGTTACAGGTTTTTACACATACTTCTGTGTTATTTCAACATTTCGGGAGAAAATATTTAGGTTTACTTTTCCAAGTCAAATCAACAAAAAATTTAAAGACTAAAATAAAATACATGTTTTCTGAACATCATTGAATCTGGGGACACAGGAGTCCACTCCCTGGCAGTGTGCCTGGTGTTGCCATTCCAGCCATTGCTCCCAGCTGCTACTCCCCATCAAATACATCTGAGCAGATCTCGAGACATCTTAGGTGCTGCTTCTAGATGTTCTGTGCTGACAACACAAAGACCAACCTCCTTACCACAATATTGAATGCCTTTCACAGTCAAACTGCAACCAGATACTCCAGGTTCCATTGTAAGGCTTGGAACATTTTCTTTCCTCCCTGCCACTGACTTTCAGAACCACTTCCTGTTCCCTTCCCAACTCTTTGTTTTTGCATCTACTAAAATTCCTCTTTCTCTCTTCCTCTAATTCTGTGCCTGCTTTAATGGCACTTGTCTACCAGCCTTCGGACTCCCCCGGTTCCTCCATTCATCACTTCCACCTTTGTTCTCATGCAGCATCTTGTATTTATCGCATTTCAACCTTTTCTCTTTATTAAAAAAAATCACAATATTAGTAAATGTTTATGTAAAAAAGAAACATTAGGCCTAGCATGGTGGTTCACGCCTGTAATCCTAGCACTTTGGGAGGCCAAGGCGGGTGGATCACCTGAGGTCAGGAGTTCGAGACCAGCCTGACCAACATGGTGAAACCCCTTCTCTACTAAAAAAATACAAAATTAGTCAGGCATGGTGGTGCACGCCTTTAATCCCAGCTACTCGGGAGGCTGAGGCAGTTGAATCGCTTGAACCCGGGAGGTAGAGGTTGCAGTGAGCAGAGATCGCATCATTGCACTCCAGCCTGGGCAACAAGACTGAAACTCTGTCTCAAAAAAAAAAAAAAAAGAAAAAAAGAAAAGGAATATTGAAAAATATACAATTACAGGCCGGGTGCAGTTACTCACCCCCGTAATCCCAGCACTCTGGGAGGCCGAGGCAGGTGGATCACTTGAGGTCAGGAGTTCCAGACCAGCCTGGGCAACATGGTGAAACCCCATCTCTACTAAAAATAGAAAAATTAGCCAGGCATGGTGGCACATGCCTGTAGTCCCAGCTACTCCGGAGGCTAAAGCATGAGAATTGCTTGAACTCAGGAGGCAGAGGTTGCAGTGAGCCGAGATTGCACCACTACAGTGAGCCTAGATTGCACCACTGGACTCCAGCCTGGGCAACAGGGCTAGAATCCATCTCAAAAAACAAGTACATAGAGTGGCAAGAGTGAATCCCTTCACCCACGTTTTTATTCAGAAGCTGGTTGGTGGGGTTAGAAGAGGTACCCAGTACAGAAGTGCTCATTATATTATTTTGTGTACATTTTTGTATCTGAACTATTTCATACAAAAGTAATAGTCTTTCATTTTCTTTGCCACTCATCCTGTTTGCTAGAAAAATGACTGTTAATAGTTTATTGGGTGCTCATTTTTCTAGAGTATTTGCCATGTTTCCAAACCTATAAATAGACACAAATATGTAATTTTTTATACACATGGAACCATACTATACCTATTGTTCTATAATTTAAAATAAATTAATAGGCTTTGTTTCTTAGAGCGGGTTTAGGTTTAGAGAAAATCAAATAGATAGGAGTCCTCGGCTGGGCACTGTGGCTCATGCCTGTAATCCCAGCACTTTGGGAGGCTGAGGCGGGCAGATCACCTAAGGTCAAGAGTTCAAAACCAGTTTGGCCAACATGGTGAAACCCTGTCTCTACTAAAAATACAAAAAAAATTAGCCTGGAGTGGTGGTGCACACCTGTAGTCCCAGATACTCAGGAGGCTGAGGCACGAGAATCCCTTGAACCCGGGAGGCAGAGGTTGCAGTGAGCCGAGATCACACCACTGCACTCCAGCCTGGGCAACAGAGTGAGACTTGGTCTCAAAAAAAAAAAAAAAAAAAAAGGAGAGAGTTCTCATTTACTCCCCTCCCTGCTCATAGTTTCCCATGTTATTAACATCTTGCATTGGTGCGGTACATTTGTTACAATTGATGAGCTAATATTGATACATTATTATTGGCTAAAGTCCACAGTTTACATTAGGGTTCACTCTGTATTGTGCATGTTATGGGTTTTACCAAATACAGTCATGTATCCACCATTACAGTATCACACAGAACAGTTTCACTGTCATAAAAGTCCTCTGTGCTCTGCCTATTTGTCCCTCTCCCCTAACCCTGGCAACCACTGATCTTTTTACTGTCTTTGTACTTTGGCCTTTTCCAAAATGTCATATAGTTGGAATCATACAGTATGTAGCCCTTTCAGACTGGTTTCTGTCACTCAGCAATATGCATTTAAAGCTCTTTCCTGTGTTTTAATGGATATAATTTATTTTTAAATAAATTGAAAAATAAAATAAAATTAAAAATGATAAAAATACATCGGTGGATATAAATATTTTTCCATGTCCTTACATAGAGAGCTACCTTTTGCTTTTTAATGTCTACATACATATTTTACAGTATGACTGTACAAGCAATTTTACTCTTTTTCTTTTCTTTCTTTCTTTCTTTCTTTCTTTATTTTTTTGAGATGGAGTCTCGCTCTGTCACCCAGGCTGGAGTGCAATGGCGTAATCTTGGCTCACTGCAACCTCTGCCTCCCAGGTTCAAGTGATTCTCCTGCCACAGCCTCCTGAGTAGCTGGGATTACAGGTGCCTGCCACCACACCTGGCTGATTTTTTGTATTTTTAGTAGAGTTGGGATTTCACCATGTTGGTCAGGCTGATTTTGAACTCCTGACCTTGGGTGATCCACCCACCTTGGCCTCCCAAAATGCTGGGATTACAGGCGTAAGCCACCATGCTCGGCCTGATTTTACCCTTTTCTTCTTGACAGACACATAGGTTTTTTTTCAAATTTTTGAATTGTCTGTTTAGCTCCTACTAAACTTTGTACTTCTTAGCCTCAAAACATCATATTCAGTAAAAAGTCATTATTGTTTCTGTCAGCAAAGAAGACCTATTTATATAAGAAAACGTTGGTGGTAACTCAAAGAAAGAAGATGGAAGGGTCCTGTAAGTGATGACAGAGGCATTTAGAGGAGGGAAGGTGCAGCAGGCTGGCACCAGATGATCAGGAAGGACTTGACGGAGGGGGTGGGCTTTTAAATTGAGCCTTGAAAGAATGGGTAGGGACTGGGACGACTGGGAGATTTTGATCCTTTCTGTTTCTAAAATGAAGAAGCCACCTCAGCCTGTTGGTGCTGGCATCGGCATTGTTGCTCAGCAGCCTGAGGGCTTGGAAACATGCCCACGCTGTCTGCTAAAGCCTTCTCCATCTGCCTTGCTTCACCCGAGGGAGCATGTAAAGGAAAGGCAGACACACTATTAAACAGGGCTTCCTGAAAACATAGATGGGTATGCTTGTGCGACTCCCAGGCAGACCCTGACCAAAAAAGGCAAGGAGGCCTGGCCTTCAAGAGCTCTTGTTCCCAAAATATTCTTTGCTTGTGAAAATCAAATAAATGCCAAAGGACTCATGGGGTAATTGCCTGACAGCTCCTGGGGCTAAAATCTCATAACATTTCTTACCCTCTCTGGTACAGAAAACATCACGATACATCTCATCTTCTTCTACACTGATTTTTCTCATACTCAAGAACCACGTTAGTCACCTTAACTTCTGTAGGATCTACTCCTCAGAGTAACCCCGGTGTTGGTTGCTGAATGACTGCCTTGGTTTGAATGTGTCCCTCAAAGTTCACGTGCTGGAAACCTACTCCCAATGCAACAGTATTAAGAGGTGGGACTTTTAAGAGGTGATTAGGTCATTCATGGATTATTATTATTATTATTATTATTATTATTGAGACAGGGTCTCATTCTGTCACCCAGGCTGGAGTGCAGTGGTGTAATCTCAGCTCACTGCAGCCTTGAGCTCAAGGGCTCAATTGATCCTCCCATCTCAGCCTCCTAAGTAGCTAAGACTACAGGTATGCACAACCACACTTCACTCATTTTCTTTTCTTTTTCTTTTTTTTTTGTTTTGTATGGAGACGAAGTTTTGCTATGTTACCCAGGCTGGTCTCAAACTCCTGGACTCAAGTGATCTGCCTGCCTTGGCCTCCCACAGTGCTGAGCTCATGGGCCTGAGCGACCATGCCCAGCCCAAATTAATCTTTTTATTTTTATTATTTTTATTTTATTCTTTTTCCTTTAAAAAAATTTTTTTAAAATCTTATTTCTTATAGAGACAGGGTCTCACTGTGTTGGCCAGGCTGGTCTTATACTCCTGGGCTCAAGTGATCCTCCCCTCTTGGCCTCCCAAAGTGCTGGGATTAAGGGCATGAGCCACTGTGTCTGGCTATGGATTGGTGTTTTTAGCACGGGAGTATGTTACTTACTGTGGGGATGGTTTTGTTATAAAAGCGAGTTCAGCACTCTTTTGCTCACTCTTGCCATGTGATGCCTTTTGTTGATGCAACAAGAAAGGCCTCAGCAGTTGAAGCCTCTGGATCGTGGACTTCCCATCCTCCAGAACAGTGAGCAAAATGAACATCTTTTTTTTTTTTTGAGACAGAGTCTCGCTCTGTTGCCCAGACTGGAGTGAAATGGTGCAATCTCGGCTCACTGCAACCTCTGCCTCCCAGTTCAAGTGATTCTCCTGCCTCAGCCTCCCAAGTAGCTGGGATTATAGGCGCCCTGTAATCACCATGCCCAGTTAATTTTTGTATTTTTAGTAGAGATGGGGTTTCACCATGTTGGTCAGGCTGGTCTTGAACTTCTGACCTCAGATGATCCACGCACCTCAGCCTCCCAAAGTGCTAGGATTACAGGTGTGAGCCACTGCACCCAGCCATGAGCATCTATTTTTATAAATCACCCAATCTGTGGTATTCCGTTGTAGCTGCACGCAAACTGACAACTAAATGAACAAACACTGTTAGAAGATACTTCTCGGCCCGGTGCGGTAGCTCACGCCTGTAATCCCAGCACTTTGGGAGGCCAAGGCAGGCCTATCACAAGGTCAGGAGTTCAAGACCAGCCTGGCCAATATGGTGAAACTCTGTCTCTACTAAAAATACAAAAATTAGCCATGTGGTGGCAGGTGCCTGTAGTCCCAGCTACTTGGGAGGCTGAGGCAGAGAATTGCTTGAACCCGGGAGGCGGAGGTTGCAGTGAGCCGAGATCGCACCACTGCACTCCAGCCTGGCGACAGAGCTAGATTCCATCTCAAAAAAAAAAAAAAAAAAAAAGAAGAAGAAGATACTTCTCATACTTTGGGTCTCCCTAGAAGCATACTCTGGAACAAGGATTCCTGTGTAAGTTGTTTAGTTGGGAATTGATCCCAGGGACACCATAAGGGAGAGAGGAAGTGAGATGGGGAAGAGAAAGGGAGGCAGCCAATAAAAGGGTGTGTTATTAAGCAAGTTTTCTCTGTGGGCAGCTAGAGTCTAATCTCAGGGAAGCTCTGGGAAATGGTACAAAACATGTCCTCAGAATTATCCCACCCCAGGGTGAGGTGGCTCAAATAATTTATATGCCAAATCCTGAGAGTCATTTGTTGAGGGCTGCTCCTGGGGGAGTCATAATTTCCCAGCCCTTTCAACCTGCCACACATAGAAGGACAGGGTGGCCTTCCACAGTTTCAGAAACTCCCTCAGGCTCCATGATGCAGACGCTGGAAGGTGGAAGTCGGCCAGAGCACACTGACATGGAAAGTCTGAGGGAAAGTCTGTGGGCGAGGCACACACTGCATTTTCTACACCCCTTTCCAGGGAAAAATGTCCACAGGAGACCTGAATCCTCTCCATAGCATTTGTGACAACTGGTTGTTCCCATACCCACCCCACACCTGAACTGAGAAGAAACTTAGTACATATCAGGGCAAATGATTTCATTGCTGGCAACTTCAAGTGTTGAAGTGCTTTCCCATGTATCCTAAAATCTCCCTGTCCCTACATTCCTCAGTGGCTGCTAGTTCAACTCTCTGGAGCTGCTCAAAACACCTAAAGCCTTTTCTGCATGTCAGCCTTTAAATATGTGAAATAGTCACAATAGTCCCTCTGTATACCTGTGGTTCCCTGTTTTTTAAACATCTGCAATTCTTTCAACATAATGCTTACATGATATGATTTTGAGTTCCCAGCCATCCCTCACACACCTAAGAAAAATTTTTTATAAAGGGAAAATAAAGTATCCACTAAGGACCATGTACTAAATTGCTTTTAAACACTGGCGTCCCTTCAACCCACATTCTTTAAATATGTGATGACAACATAGTGAGAAAAGAGGCTGGGCTTCCTTGGGGAGATGGATGGAGGATGAAGGTCGTTAACAAGGCTCAGTGTCCCCTCTACATTCCAGCACAATTCAACTCTTGTTACAAACTTGCAAATACCTACAACAAAAGTAAAGCCCTGTAAGTAATTGTTGTATCTTCTCCAAAGGCATATTAGGGATTTGAGTTCTTGTTCTCTACCCTTACCCCAAATTGTTTATGAATATATTCCTTTCAGTCATGTGTAGCACTTTTCCTGAGTGGACTAGGGGAATTTGATTTTCTCCATCTTGTTACATTTCTAGTACAGTCTTGTTGAGCCCCGTGCTCCTTTCACAGATTAATTCCTTTCCCAGCAGTTGCTCAGCTTTCCTGACAAGGCTTATAGTACTTTCTGTAATGCTCATTGCACCCCTTGGAGAAAAAGATTATTCCTGTTATATTACAGAAGAGGACATTGAGCCTCAAAGAAGTGAATATTTTTGTCTAAAGCTAAAATGGGAACCTAGGCTTGCCTGACTCTCAGCAATTTCTGTTATCTTTTTCCTGTTTAGGATCCATTCCTCCTTATTCTGGTATAGTGCCCACATTTATCTTTTGGAAACCGCCCCCTCTACTTACTTCAATCTTTGTTATTTGGGTGAAGATGTCTCCATCCCAGGTTCCAGGCACAAGCCAGTCACCATACACTCTTCCCTTGGCCAGTTATTGGTTCAAAGATGAGCACGTGACCAGAGTTAGGCCCTTATTTTATTTTATTTTATTGAATTAATTAATTTATTTTTTGAGGTGGAGTTTCACTGTGTCGCCCAGGCTGAAGCACAGTGGCACAATCTCGGCTCACTGCAATCTCTGCCTCCCAGGTTCAAGTAATTCTCTTGCCTCAGCCTCCCAAGTAGCTGGGACTACAGGTGTGTACCACCACGCCTGGCTAATTTTTGTATTTTTAGTAGAGACAGGGTTTCACTATATTGGCCAGGCTTGTCTTGAACTCCTGATAGGCCTGCCTTGGCCTCCCAAAGTGCTGGGATTACAGGCGTGAGCCATCGTGCCCGGCCAGGCCCTTATTTTAATCGGGTGAAAGAAAGCAAGAAATTCTTTCCAATAAGACTAGAAGTTGTAAGGGTGATGTGAGCCTGAATCTACCAGGAGCCACCACGAAGAGCCTAATAATGGAGCCATCAAAGAGGATAATTGAGATAAGGGGGAGAGAGGGTGAGCTCAGATGGCATCACTGGAGTTCCTAGATCCAGCTGTATCTATTTATCTCTGGACTTCTCTGTTACAGGATCAATAAGTCAAAATCAGTCTCTCTATCCACCCCACCATGTTCTTCCCCCTCTGCCTCTTTCTCTCTCTTCTCCTTCCTCCCTCTCTACCTCCTAAGCAAGTTTGAGCTGATTTATTATTTGCAATGGACCAACCAAAATAATTGTAACAAATTGGTACTCCTCTCCCCAAGCTCTTCCCACAACAGTGCACAGATTACATTTTGGTATAGACACCACACATACCCACATCCACGCAATCATTTATTTTTTTCAGACCCATTTGCTCTCACAAACTGATATGGTTTGGATGTTTGTCCCTTTCAAATCTCATGTTGGAATGTGATCCCTAATGTTGGAGGTGGGGCCTAGTGGGAGGTGTTTGGGTCATGGGTGGCAGAACCTTCATGAATGGCCTAGTGCCATCCTAGTAATAATGAGTGAATGGTTGTTCTATTAGTTCACGAGACAGCTGGTTGTTAGAAGGAGACCAGCACCTCCTTTCTTCTCTCTCTTTTGTTCCCTCTCTTGCCATGTGACACACCTGCTCCCTCTTTGCCTTCTGCCATGAGTAAAAGATTCCTGGAGGCTCACCAGAAGCAGATGCTGGTGCCATGTGTCTGTAGCCTGCAAAACTATGAGCCAGATAAACTTCTTTTCTTATAAATTTCCCAGTGTTGGGTATTCCTTTATAGCAATGCAAAATGGAATGACACACGCTTTGAGAGAAGCTGGGGCTGGGTCCGTATTAAGTTGTTATAATGTGTTGTTTTTTTTTTTTCTGAGACAGAGTCTCGCTCTGTCACCCACGCTGGAGTGCAGTGGCACGATCTTGGCTCACTGCAACCTCCGCCTCCCAGGTTCAAGCCATACTCCTGCCTCAGTCTCCCAAGTAGCTAGGATTACAGGCATGCGTCACCATGCCCAGCTAATTTTTGTATTTTTAGTGGAGATGGGGTTTCACTATGTTGGCCAGGCTGGTCTTGAACTCCTGACCTCATGATCCTCCCACCTCCGCCTCCCAAAGTACAGGATTACAGGCGAAAGCCACTATGCCCAGCCTATAGTCTTTTTTATAAGTGAAGAAACTGAGACTCAGAGAGGCTAAATGACTTATCTAAGATCATGCAGTGAGCCAGTGGATGGCAGACCTGGTAGAAGGACCCAGACACCGGGTCTTAGGCCAGTGTTCTTTCCACTGTATCTTGCTGGATTCCTGGGCTCATGACTCACCTTAATCAACAAGCTACATGATTCTCCAAAAAAGCTCATCTCTCTGGACTTTAATTCTCAACTACAAAATGAGGAAGTTGGCAACTATGATTCCAAAGGGCTCTTCCAAAACTTGTATTCAGGTGCTCCATGATATTGCTTCATAACTGTGCCTAGGACTGGCTAGGTTGACTCTAAGACCCTAATGAGAGAATGTCACATCAGTCAGCATGCACACACACACACACACACTCATGTACACACCTGTCATTAAAGTCTCTAGTGTTTTTGTGCTGAGAAGGAGCAAACATTGGTAACAACCCAAGAGTAATAAAATAATTGTGTAGATGCTCCGTACCCCATCTGTTCTATTCCTGTTTTTAAAACGAGTGCCATGTGCTTTAATCTTCTTGTCTTTTAGTCCCCAAACAAAATGAAATAAAGCAGTCTTTGCGTTGCTGCATTTCCAGTGACAATGAGACAACGGGCTCTGCACCAGTCCTGGGTCACTCACTGAGCTCTGCACTGGGGAGTGGGAAAGTGGAGGAGCTGAAAAGCCTGCCTCCTCCCATTCCTTAGGTGTGGAGACAAGGTTCAGACACAGCTCTGAGCCAAACATGTGTTCTCCCAGCTGGGGCCTATGGCTTCTCAAGATGTCAAACAGGGAAGTAGTATGTCCACACACTGATGTATTACTGATAATTCATTTATCTCTCTTCTTTTTTTTCGAGACGGAGTCTCGCTCTGTTGCCTAGGCTAGACCAGTGCAGTGGCACCATCTCAGCTCACTGCAACCGTCACCTCCCGGGTTCAAGCAATTTTCTGCCTCAGCCTCCTGAGTAGCTGGGATTACAAGCTCCCACCACCATGCCCAGCTAATTTTTGTATTTTTAGTAGAGATGGGGTTTCACCATCTTGGCCAGGCTGATCTTGAACTCTTGACCTTGTGATCCACCTTCCTCGGCCTCCCAAAGTGCTGGGATTACAGGTGTGAGCCACCACACCTGGCAATAATTTATTTATCTTATTATTTTATTTTTATTAGTACCAAAGACCAAGACTAGTGGTGTTTTGTTTTGTTTTGTTTTTTGTTTTCGAGATGGAGTCTCACTCTGTTGCCCAGGCTGAAGTGCAGTGGTATGATTTCAGCACGCTGTAACCTCCGTCTCCCAAGTTCAAGCAATACTCCTGCCTCAGCCTCCGGAGTAGCTGAGATTACAGGCTCCCACCACCACGCCCAGCTACTTTCTGTATTCTTAGCAGAGATGAGATTTCACCATGTTAGCTGTGCTGGTCTCAAACTCCTGACTTCAAGTGATCTGCCCGCCTTGGCCTCCCAAAGTGCTGGGATTACAGGAGTCAGCCCCTGCACCTGGCCCAAAACTAGTGTTAATGAGAATCTAAATCCCCATTAGACTACCTGCTTGTTGTGGGCACCTCCCTGGCCTTCATTTACTTTGCAGATTCTTTTAGTCACTCTTGGACTTTTCTTTTTCCTGCATACTGCTTTAAAAGATTTCTAAAAGGAATAGGAGCACAAAGGATATTGCCTTGCTATATTTTGTTGAACCCTAATTGTGTCGGAAAAAACTCAAACCATCTGTCTGCTGTTCTCACACCACAACAACAACGAACACAGAAGACTTCTGTGAGCAAATGTGTGGGAGTTTCTCCCCACACACCATGCAAGCAATCAGTTTTGCAGTGGATCCCAGCTGTATAGCATCAGAAACCACAGGATGAGGGTTCCATCTCACAAGTCTGCCCCCTCTCCTTCCCACCAGTCATGAATCTAGGCCCCTGGAACATCTGACCAACCAGCTTTAACTTGGGGTTTTCACAACCCCCGATTTGGGTTGGATTAATTTGTTAGAGCAGCCCACAGAACTAGGGAAATACTTATATTGACCAATTTAATGCAAAGGATATCTTAAAGGACACAAATAAACAGCCACATGAAGAGATACACAGGATGAGTTCTAGAAGAGTCCTTGAGTGCGGCAGTTTTGTCCCTGTGAAGTTGGGGACATTCTCTTGGCACATGGATGAGTTCTTGTGCACTTCCCTGAAAGCTGGGGGATGGAGCTGAAAGTCCCATCCCCTCTAACCCTGCCTTGTTCCTTCTGGTGACCAGGCCCCCATCCTGCAACTACCTAGGAACTGCCAGCCTTGAGTCAACTCAGTGTATGAAAGACACTTATCACTTTGAATATTCCAAGGATTTTAGGAGTTGTGTGCCAGCACACACGGTCAAAGACCAAATATATATTTCTCAGTATCATACAAATACAAATCCTTCCCAGTGAACTGCAATCAACTGGCTCGTGAGAATCAGGATCATTAGCAACCCAAGAATGTTTCTTGAGTTCCTGCACTCTCCTCATGCAGAGCTCCTGCCCAGTCATTGTTCTAGCTGCTTCATTGCTCCCTTCGTAAGGGAGACACTATGTCCTGACAAAGCATTACTTGCCCAAAGTAATGTCCTGTACTCTGTCTGTTCTTTAGAAAATTAGCATTACACTGTCACATGTTCACCTTTTACTATCCCAGATGTTATCTCTGAATTCAGGATTAGTTTTAGTTAATAGGACTTTAAAACTTTTGCTGGGGTGGGAGGGTAGGTGAGTATACTGGAGTGTAGAACCATATTCCAAAGCTCAACAAGACAACAGCAAAGCCTCACTCATTGTTTAATTTAGAATAAGGTGGGACATGGTCTTCTATGTGAAGGAAAAAAGGCACTTGGTATAATTCTGACTTTCCTAGGAGTCAGGGGTTTCCAGATTGGCCTCTCTCTTTTATTTTTTTGAGACAGGGTCTCACTCTGTTGTCCAGGCTGGAGTCCAGTAGCATAATCATGACGAACTGCAGGCTCTACCTTCTGGGCTCAGGTGATCCTCCCACCTCAGCCCCCCAAGTAGCTGGGGGACTATAGGTGCGTGCCACCAGGCCTGCTAATTTTTTTTTTTTTTTTTTTTTTTGGAGAGATGAGGTTTTACCATGTTGCCAGGCTGTTCTCAAACTCCTGAGCTCAAGTGATCCATCTGCCTTGGCCTCCCAAAGAGCTGTGATTACGGCATTAGCCACCGCCACCATGCCCAGACCAGATTGGCCTATTATTGATGTCCAAGCTCCTTCAGAGAGAACCTTAATGAGAGCTCCATACCTTGGGCAATATGTACATTTTAACACTTCAAGAAGGAAAAGTGATAAACTTCCCAGATAGATTTCCTGCTCCACAAACTGACAATAATGTCCCAGAGTTCATACGATGTAGCCATAAAACACTGGAGTGTTGTTTCTGTAAGAAGAACACCTCTGTCATGGCGTCCATCTGTAGAAACCCTGCCCTGTATCATAAGCCTGGATCCTCTGCTTAGATGCAGACAATCCCTTAATATGGACGTCAGATCCATTACTTAATTCTTGAACCACTGGGGAATTAAAGACCAAGAGTACTCATGAGGCCAGGCATGGTGGTCCTCACCTGTAATATTAACGCTTTGGGAGGCCAAGGCAGGAGGATTCCTTGAGCCCTGAAGTTCAAGACCAGCCTGGGCAACATAGGGACGCCTTGTCTTTACGAAATATAAAAATAACTTAGCCAATTGTCAGTGAGCCGTGATCATCAGATCACTTCCTTCCAAACTACGCAACAGAGCGAGACTGTTTTTCTTTTTTTAAAAAAAGAGTGCTCATGGAACAGTTGGCCTCAGAGCAATGTCTCTTGTTAAATTGTTGGCAACCACAATATCAGCTTGCTGTTCCCTTATAGGCATAGACCAAAATTTGCTTCTCCAGTTTCCTGAAATAACTTCCTGGTCTAATCTAATCTTGCCAATCCCTTAAGGGCCAGCTCAAACCCCATCATCACTGGTTCCATAAAGGCATTCCCAATTACCTCTCTCTAGCCACAGCCTGCAGTCTTAAGCTGTCTTATTTCCTTCTTCTTTAGAATCTAATTCAAACTCCCCACACCTGCCTTTGTTCTTGGTCTATATTTTGGAGGTTTTTTACCTCTTCTTGTCTCTTCCTCTTTCTCCCTAACATCTTTCTGATTTCTGGGGCTCTGGACCTTGTGTCTCATTTCCTGTATCTAGCCTTACACTTGCCCCTGGTATCTGATACTGATATGGCTTCTCTGGAAATGACCAGAGCTCCCTTCTTTGGCTCCAATATTGGTACTTGCCTTTTGGATTTTGTCCACTAATGAAAGATCTGGATACTTTGCCTGACTCACTCCATTCCTGGAACTTACCTCAGTGCTGACCTCTAAGGCCAGCTAGTTTCTGGTCCTGTACAAAGGAAACTGAACAAGCATAGCAAGTAATGTATTTTCCTTTGGCTAAATGTCTTACCCCAGGTAGACAGTAACTCTCCTGATGTGGGACCACAAATCATAAAATAGGGAAGGCCTAGCCTCGTAAGTTTTGGAGTTAGATGTTTCTGAGTTCTAATCGCAGCTTGCCATTGAATTCATTTACTTATTATGATCTTGGGCAAGTAATGAGCCTTTTTGAACCTCAGTTTTTTTCGTATCAGTTAAATGGGAATAATAATAATAGTACCTAATAGGATTAATGCGACGATTAATGAACAATAAAGCGAAACTTTGAAATGTTAACAAAATCCTTTCACACTAGTACAAACTCTAATGCTTGGTCCAAGGATGGTGTGGGGGGTGTGTGTGTGTGTGCGTGTTACTAGGAAAAAATTTCCAAGAACTGTCAGGGTCTATGCAGAATATCCGGCACACACAAAGCACTCAATAAATGTAAGCTTAAAAAAGAAAAGCAGGCCAGGTGCGGTGGCTCACACCTGTAATCCCAGCATTTTGGGAGGCCAAGGTGGACAGATCACTTGAGGTCCGGATTTTGAGACCAGCCTGGCCAACATGGTGAAACCCCATCTCTACTAAAAATACAAAAATTAGCCAGACATGGAGGTACGCTCCTGTCATCCCAGCTACTCGTGAGGCTGAGGCAGGAGAATTGCTTGAATCCAGAAGGCAGAGGTTGCAGTGAGCTGAAATCGCATCACTGCACTCCAGCCTGGGTGACAGAGTGGGGACTCTGTCTCAAAAAAGAAAAGAAAAGCAATAGAAGATTGAAAGTCAATAGATGGGGCCAGGCATGGTGGCTCATGCCTGTAATCCCTGCACTTTGGGAGGCCGAGGCAGGTGGATCACCTGAGGTCAGGTGTTTGAAACCAGCCTCACCTACATAATGAAACCCCGTCTCTACTAAAAGTACAAAAAAAATTAGCCGGGCATGGTGATACACGCCTGTAATCCCAGCTACTTGGGAGGCTGAGGCAGGAGAATTGCTTGAACCTGGGAGGCAGAGGCTGCAGTGAGCCTAGGCTCACTGCACTCCAGCCCGGGTGACAACAGTGAGAGACTCCATCTCAAAACAAAGAGAAAGTCAACAGATGGATCACCATCCTTCCAGATCAGAAAAACAGGCTGGGGCAAAGGGCAATTGCTTACGCTTACCTTACCGATTTTTCCAGGGTTTAAGCGTGCTGTGAAAATTTAAATTTCTTTCTTTCTTTCTTTCTTTCTTCTTTCTTTCTTTCTTTCTTTCTTTCTTTCTTTCTTTCTTCCTTCCTTCCTTCCTTCCTTCCTTCCTTCCTTCCTTCCTTCCTTTCTTCTTTCTTTCTTTCTTTCTTTCTTTCTTTCTTTCTTTCTTTCTTTCTTTCTTTCTTTCTTTCCTCCTTTCTTTCTTTTTGAGATGGAGTCTCGCTGGGTGCAGTGGCTCATGCCTGTAATCCCAGCATTTTGGGAGGCCAAGGTGGGCAGATCTCCTGAGTTTAGGAGTTCAAGACCAGCCTGGGCTGGCCAGCATGGCTTAACCCTGTCACTACTAAACATACAAATTTTTCTTTCCTTTTTTTTTTTTTTTTTTTTTTTGTGACAGAGTCTCTCTCTGTCACCCAGGTTGGAGTGCAGTGGCGTGATATCAGCTCACTGTAACCTCCACCTCCCTGGTTCGAGCGATTCTCCTGCCTCAGCCTCCTAGGTGTGAAAGCCCAGTGACAGCTTAGTAGAGGAGATAGTTGGGGTATGGACTCTGGATTACTTGACTTACATGTAAAAGGTAAACTTTACTAGGTTTACCTAGTAAAGGTAAAAAAAAAAAAAAAGGTAGGTGAGTCCTTTACTATTTCTAGGAATTGGCTAGCCGTTAGAGGGTCAGTCCCTCCAGGGTGCAGAAAACCGCCCGTGTCAAAGCACCCAAAACCCTTGGTTAACACAAGTTTCAACAATCATTGTCAGAGCCAGGGACTGTATTAGTTTGCGAGAGCTGCTATAGCAAAATAACACAGACTGAGTTCCTTATACAGCTATGAGAAATTTGTTTTCTCACAGTTTTGGAGGCTAGAAGTCCAAGATCAAGGTGTTGGCAAGGTTAATTTCATTCTGAGGACTCTCTCCTTGCCTTGCAGATGGTCACCTTCTTGTTGCATCCTCACATGGTCTTTTCTTTGTGCATGCACCTCTCTGGTGTCTCATTGTGTGTCCAAATTTCCTCTTAGTATGAGGACACCAGTCAGATTAGATCTGGGCCTAACTTAACAGCCTCATTTTAACTTCATCTCTTTAAAGACCCTGTCTTTAAATATAGTCACACTCTCAGGTACCGGGGGTTAGGGCTCCAACAGTTGATTTTTAGGAGGACACCTTTTTGATCACCTGAAAACAAGAGATGGATTTGGGGCCGGTCGCAGTGGCTCATGCCTGTAATCCTAGCAATTTGGGAGGTCAAGGGGGGTGGATCACCTGAGGTCAGGAGTTTGAGACCAGCCTGACCAACATGGCGAAACCCCGTCTCTACTAAAACTACAAAAATTAGCTAGGCATGGTGGCACTGCCTGTAATCCCAGCTATTTGGGGGGCTGAGGCAGGAGAATCGCTTGAACCTGGAGGGTGGAGGTTACAGTGAGTGGAGATCGCATGACAAGAGCGAAACTCCATCTCAAAAAAAAAAAAAAAGACACAGATTTGGTAGAGGGAAAGATACACTCATGAGGACTATGAGGTAGCAACATTTGGGTAGTATGTGAATATGACCTCACTCATATCTATGAGCTTTGGGGGCCTAGACAAATTTAGAGTGCAGAGGTGTTTGCTTATGTGAAAGAATATCAATAAATCTATATGGCCAGGAACGGTGGCTCACACCTGTAATTCCAGCACTTTAGGATGCCAAGGTGGGCAGATCACCTGAGGTCAGGAGTTCAAGACCAGCCTGGCCAACATGGTGAAACCCCGTCTCTATTAGAAATACAATTAGCTGGGCATGATGGCGCATGTCTGTAATCCCAGCTATTCAGGAGGCTGAGGCAGCAGAATCACTTGAGCCCAGGAGGCAGAGGCTGCAGTGAGCCAAGATCGTGCCATGAACTCCAGCTTGGGCAACAGAGTGAGACTCTGTCTCAAAATAAATAAATAAATAAATAAAATAAATCTATACTGAATCAAGATTCAATCAATACCAAAGGCCAATGTCCATAACTCCAGGGGGATCAAATCCCCTTTCAAAAGCACATCAATCATATTTACTTGCATTAATAGTTAACGCCCTGACAATGTAGAGCCTGGGTCCTCTCTTTGACAGCAACAGTTCATGCAGATATTGCAGAGAAAGAGGGCCAACAGGCTTGACTGTCTGAAAGAGAGTACATGATATACAGGTTTTAAAGTTCAATGGACCAACAAATTGGCCATTGACTTCTTTCTCCTCTTCCCTGGTCAGGAGAATCTTGTATAGGCTCTCTTCTTGAACACACACACACACACACACACACACACGCATGCACACACGCACACCAAATTTGTTGCAGCCCACCAAATTTCTCCCTCACTAGTTACCATGCAGGACTCTAGAGAATTCCTTTTGTGCCACCTATGCTCTGCTTGAAGAGGTGGTTGGGAACAGCTGGCAGAAGCCATGCTGCTTGCCTCTCTTCCTCTCCATGCCCCTTCCTTCTCACAGGAAGTATAAAACCTTTGTTATGAATAAAGAGAGAGAGAGAGAGCTCATAGGTCATGCCAGGAACTCTGGCTCCAGCTCTTCAGGAGTAAACGGTCCAGATTTGTCAATAACCATGGTGTTCCTAGCAGTATTTGGGTTTTTTTTTTTTGGAGTCTTTGCTTTTGTGGCCCAGGCTGGAGTGCAATGGCGTGATCTCGGCTCACTGCAAACTCTGCCTCCCAGGTTCAAGTGATTCTCCTGCCTCAGCCTCCTGAGTAGCTGGGATTACAGGCACACACCACCACACCTGGCTAATTTTTGTATTTTTTGTAGAGACAGGGTTTCATCATATTGGCCAGGCTGGTCTGAAACTCCTGACCTCAAGTGATCTGCCTGCCTTGGCCTCCCAAACTGCTGGGATTACAGATGTGAGCCACCAAGCTCAGCCTTCTAGCAGTATTTGAATTAACCAAGCAATAGGACTGATGGAAGCAGATTTGCACAAAGTGCTCTGAGAGGCTTTGTACCAGTCAGAGGTGGTGAATGCCAGTAAGGAAAACCAACGCTGGATAACTTAAGCAAAAAGAGAGATTCCTGGAAGGTTATCAGGAGGCGGTTCACAGGATCCACCAGGTCTGGAGTAAGGAGGGTAGAAATCCTTGGAAACAGGTTGGAAATGAGAAGGCTTCAGAAATTGTCACAGAAACAATCTGGGTGGGGGTTCTCATTATCTTTCTAAATGTCAACCTGTTGCTGGACTTGACCACAAAACATGGCCACCAGTGGATACTGTTGCCACTCTGCAAGTGCACACCAGCAGGCCTATGCTTTTTGCATTATACTCTGCCAATTCAAAGTGTCAAGAGTGATCATCTGATCAATTGGCCTAGCTTCCTTGCTTGAACCCCTACTACTAGGGGCAGAAGAAAGTGGGGGCTATCTCCCCTTTGTCTTCCCCTGGTCTTAGAAAGTTGGGAAGAACAGTGTCTTATAATAATAGGCATATTGGTGGATTTCTCCAAAGTAAAAAGGGAGGTTGAATGTTGGAAATGCAAAAAAATTAATGAAGATTCACCACAACTATGACTCTAGCTACAGAAATTAAAAGCTATGTCAGGAAAAAGAATACTGAATGTAGAATTGTATTAATATGTATGTACCAGCCCTTAGCTGGTGAAGCAGAGAAAGCAAGATGTACACTGAAAATCTGTGCCCTTCCTTTCAAAGTATAAAGTTGTCAAAGGGAAGTGCCTTCCAAGCTAGAGACTACATTTACCGACACTGTTTTTTTTTGTTTGTTTTTTTGAGGCAGAGTCTCGCTTTGTCACCCAGGCTGGAGTGCAGTTGTGAGACCACAGCTCATTGCAGCCTCAACCTCCTGGGCTCGAGTGGTCCTCCTGCTTCAGCCTCCCGAGTAGCTGGGACTACAGGCACACACCACCATGCCAGGCTAATTTTTAATTTTTTTTGTAGAGACAGAATCTGACTATGTTGCCGAGGCTGGTCTTGAACTCCTGGGCTTAAATGATCAAAGTTCTGGGATTACAGGCATGAGCCACCATGCCTGGCCCCTCAGTACTCTTTTTTTTTTTTTGAGATAGAGTCTCATTCTGTCACCCAGGCTGGAATGCAATGGCATGATTTTGGCTCACTGCAACCTCCGCTTCCTGGGTTCAAGCAATTCTAGTACCTCAGCCTCCCAAGCAGCAGGGCTTACAGGCATGCACCACCACGCCCGGCTGATTTTTTGTATTTTTAGTAGAGATGGGGTTTCGCCAGTTTCCCAGGCTAGTCTTGAACTCCTGAGTTCAGGCAATCCGCCCGCTTTGGCCTCCCAAATGCTCAGGCAATCTGCCCACCTCGGCCTCCCAAAGTGCTAGGATTACAGGTGTGAGCCACTGTGCCTCGCCCCTCAGTACTCTATAGTAAGGTGCAGCCAAGTGACTGGGTTATATCAAATGGAATGTACAAGTAATACACTCCCACTTCCAGGCTTAGCTTATAGACATTTTCCATGTGGTGTTCCTCCATGTTGTTTTTTCTTTCATTTTTTTTTTTTTTTTTTGGAAACGGAATCTCGTCTCTGTCACCCAGGCTGGAGTGCAGTGGCGCGATCTCAGCTCACTGCAACCTCCGCCTCCCGGGTTCAAGTGATTCTCCTGCCTCAGCCTCCCGAGTAGCTGGGACTATAGGTGTGTGCTACCATGTCTGGCTAATTTTTGTATTTTTAGCAGAGACAGGGTTTCGCCATGTTGCCCAGACAGATCTTGAACTCCTGACCTCAGGTGATTTGCCCGCCTCGGCCTCGCAAGGTGCTGGGATTACAGGCATGATCCACCATGCCGGGCCTAGTTGCTCTTTTTTTTTTTTTTTTCTTTTTTTCTTTTTTAAGAAGGAGTTTCACTCTTGTCACCCAGGCTGGAGTGCAGTGGCTGGATCTCAGCTCACTGCAACCTCTGCCTCTTGGGTTCAAGTGATTCTCCTGCCTCAGCCTCCCGAGTAGCTGGGATTACAGGCATGATCTACCGCGCCAGGCCTAGTCTCTCTCTCTCTCTCTTTTTTTTCTTTTTTGAGATGGAGTTTCACTTTTGTCACCTAGGCTGGAGTACAGTGGCGGGATCTCAGCTCACTGCAACCTCTGCCTCCTGGGTTCAAGCAATTCTCCTGCCACAGCCTCCCGAGTAGCTGGGATTACAGGCACGTGCCACCATGCCCGGCTAATTTTTGTATTTTTAGTAGAGATGTGGTTTCACCATGTTGGTTAGGCTGGTCTTGAACTCCTGACCTCAGGTGATTCGTCCACCTTGGCCTCCAAAGTGCTGGAATTACAGACATGAGCCACCATGCCCAGCCTCGTCTCTCTTTTGAAAAACAAAATTAATGGTATGTACCACAAAAGGTAGATGTCAGGAATAAATGAAATTGTGAATGTAAAACACCTTGCATGATGCTTGGCATGCAGTAAGTTCTTAATGGGTGGTAGGCTGCTGGCAGAACATGGTGTATATGGTGAGGAGAGGGGTACAAACTGGGAAGTAAGAGACTGGAATTCTCATTCCAGGACAGCTGCTTTCTGTATAACTTTGGGAAAATACCTTTATCCCTTTGAACTTTGCTTTTCTTATCTACAAAGCAATGGCATTGGATGGCACCTGGGATCTCCACACTGTTTCCTGTAAAAACAATTGGCTTTGCAAATTTCCTCAGGGAATCCCCTAGGAAGAGGCTGCGTCAAACCAAGCAGACTCTGGTCCCTGTCTCTGTTTCAAACAGAGAAGCTCCAATTCCATTTGTTCGACATGTTGGGCTTTCAGTAGAGTGCTGGTTTAAAGAAAAGGTATTGCTGCGGTTTAAAAAAAAAAAAATTGAATATCAGTGTACTCCAAGATTTAAGTCTTCCCCACTCTAATACTCTAAGATTCTGTGAAGGTCTGAGCAATGATGGGTTAGTCCACTAAGTCATGTTGGGAAAGGCTATAGCTTTCCTCCTCCACTTGACCAGTTTGAAAGAAGCCAAGGGAGTGACCTGCAAGTCCCAAGACTGCCCGGGCATAAAAGTACTTAGGTGGGGCAGAATCATGACTATGAATAAGAACTCAAAATGCAACCAGCAGGTACAGTCCCTGGCACTAGAACTCAGGAAAAGGGCAAGTGCACACTGTTCTGGTTGGAAAATGTGTAAGCCAAGTACGTGACTGAACAGGCTCTTTCTAACCAGTAAGCTAAGGAAAAGAAAGCAGCCGGATTTGCAGGCTTATAGATCTGTCACTGAGGAGAAAGTAACTGGCTCCTGGTCAAGTCATCAGCATTCCAATATGGCTTTCTACCATAGGATGTGTGGCCTTATAACACACAAATGTCCCAGGAAGAGAGTGTGGCCAAAGGCTACATATAGTGCTGGTGTTATGAATTTCATTTACTCAGCCCACATATAGTGCCAAATGTGCTAGGCACTGTTTTAGATGTTGGGGATAGAGACAAATCCCTATATTCTACATTTCAGTCTGGTAGACAGACATAAATCTTTTTTTTTTTTTTTTTTTTTGAGATGGAGTCTCGCTCTGTTGCCCAGGCTGGAGTGCAGTGGTGTGATCTCGGCTCACTGCAGCCTCTGCCTCCTGGGTTCAAGTGATTCTCCTGCCTCAGCCTCCTGAGTAGCTGAGATTATAGGCACGTGCCACCATGTCCAGCTAATTTTTGTATTTTTAGTAGAGACGGGGTTTCACCATGTTGATCAGGCTGGTCTTGAACCCCTGACCTCGTGATCTGCCCGCCTCAGCCTCCCAAAGTGCTGGGATTACAGGCGTGAGCCACTGTGCCCAGCCTTTTTTTTTTTTTTTTTTTTTGAGATAGTGTCTTGCTCTGTCATCCAGGCTGGAGTACTGTGGCATGATAGCTCAATGGAACCTCCGCCTCCTGGGTTCAAGTGATTCTCCTGCCTCGGCCTCCCAAGTAGCTGGGATTACAGGTGCCCACCACCACACATTTTTAGTAGAGACTGGGTCTTATCATGTTGGCCAGGCTGGTCTCGACCTCCTGACCTCAGGTGATCTGCCCGCCTCGGCCTCCCAAAGTGCTGGGATTACAGGCGTGAGCCACCGTGCCAGGATGGTAGTGGTTTATTTTTATTTTTTTTTTAGTTGTTTTTTTCTTTTTTCTTTTTTTGTAGATGTGGGGACCAGTGCAACAGGGTGTTGCAGTAGGGGAGAGAGATTGGACTCAAATTCCTGTTGTTTAAACTACAACAGTAGCAGTGTGAGTAGTAAGCCATCAAATTCTGGATATATGTTTAAGATAGTGCAAATCAGCCCAACTGAACCACCAGGACATTGCCTCGTTGTTCTGTTCTTTTTTTTTTTTTTTTCCTGATTTTAATATTCATTATAAAGCTCTAGTAAGCAGGACAATGTGTTAATGGTATAAAAAAGCAGACAAGTTGGCCTGGCGTGGTGGCTTACGCCTCTAATCCCAGCACTTTGGGAGGCCGAGGAGGGTGGATCACGAGGTCAGGAGATCGAGACCAACCTGGCCAACATAGTGAAACCCCATTTCTACTAAAAATACAAAAATTAGCCATGTGGTGGTGTGTACCTGTAATGCCAGCTACTAAGGAGGCTGAGGCAGGAGAATCACTTGAACCTGGGAGGCGGAGGTTACAGTGAGCCGAGATTGCACCACTGTACTCCAGCCTGGGCGACAGAGTAAGACTTCGTCTCAAAAAAAGCAAAACAAAACAAAACAAAACAAAACAAAACAAAAATACCCCCCAAAACCAAAAAACAGACAAGTCAATGAAATAGAAATGAATCCAGAAAGAGACCCACATATTTATATTGACAACTAGTTTTTATTTGTTTAGTTTTTTTGTTTGTTTTTTGAGAACCCTGGATAGAGTGCAGTGGTGTGTACATGGCTCACTGCAGCCTTAACTGTCTAGGCTCAAAGCAATCCTCCCACCTCAGCCTCCTGTGCAGGTGGGGCTACAGGCACATGCCACCATGTCCAGCTATTTTTTTTTTTTTTTTGTATTTTTGTAGAGATGGGTTTTCACCATGTTGACCAGGGGGTCTCTAACTCCTGGGCTCCAGTAATCCACCCACCTTAGCCCCCCAAAAGCTAGGATTACAGACATGAACCACTGCTCCTGGCCTGATAACTGTTTGTTTATTTTTGTTTTGTTTTGTTTTGAGATGAAGTCTTGCTTTGTTACCCAGGCTGTAGTCCAGTGGTGTAATCTCAGCTCACTGCAACCTCTGCCTCTGAGGTTGAAGCGATTCTCCTGCCTCAGCCTCCAGAGTAGCTGAGTTTACAGGCGTGAGCCACCACGCCTGGCTAATTTTTTGTATTTTTGGTAGAGACGGGGTTTCATCATGTTGGCCAGGTTGGTCTTGAACTCCTGACCTCAGGTGATCCGCCTGCCTCGGCCTCCCAAAATGCTGGGATTACAGGCATAAGCCACCACGCCCAGTCCTGACAACTGTTTTTGACAAAGGCACAAATGCAATTCAGTGGACAAATAGTCTTTTTAACAAATGGTGCTAGAACAATTAGAAATTCATACGCAACAGAAAGAATGTCAATCCATTCTTGCACCATATGAAAATAATGATCTAAATATGTATTATCCCAGCCTGGCCAACATGGTGAAACTCCATCTCTACAAAAAAAAAAAAAAAATAATAGCCAGGCGTGGTGGTGGGCACCTATCATCCTAGCTACTTGGGAGGCTGAGGCAGGACAATCACTTGAACCCGGGAGGCGAAAGTTGCAGTGAGCTGAGATTGTGCCACTGTACTCCAGCATGGGCAACAGAGCGAGACTTTGTCTCAAAAAAAAAAAAAACAATTATTACAGACTTAAATATATTATCTAAAGTGATTAATCTTCTAAAAGAAAATATGGTAGAAAATCTTTGTGATCTTGGGTTAAGCAGAAATTTATTAGATATTATACAATACTAAAAAGCATAATTCCTCAAAGAACAAACAGATTAAATAGACTTAATGAAAATTATAAACTCCTTTTTTTTTTTTTTGAGACAGAGTCTCGCTCTGTCACCCAGGCTGGAGTGCAATGGCACAATCTCTGCTCACTGCAGGTTCTGCCTCCCAGGCTCAAGTGATTCTTCTGCCACAGCCTCCCGAATAGCTGGGATTACAGACGTGCGCCATCACGCCCAGCTAATTTTTGTATTTTTAGTAGAGATGGGGTTTCACCATATTGGCCAGGCAGGTCTCAAACTCCTGGCCTCAGGTGATCTGCGTGCCTTGGCCTCCCAAAGTGCTGGGATTACAGATGTGAGCTGCCACACCGGTAAACTTCTCCTTTTTGAAAGACACTCTTAAAATAAAGAAAATCAGCCAGGCATGGTGGCTCACACCTGTAATCCCAGCACTTTGGGAGGCCGAGGCAGGCAGACCACTTGAGGTCAGGAGTTCAAGACCAGCCCGGCCAACATGGTGAAATGCCGTCTCTACTAAAGATACAAAAATTGGCCAGGAGTGTTGGCGGGTGGCTGCCATCCCAGCTACTCGGGAGGCTGAGGCAGGAGAATCACCTGAACCTGGGAGGCAGAGGTTGCAGTGAGCTGAGATTGGGCCACTGCACTCCAGCCTGGGTGGAAAAAAAAAAAAAAGAAAAGAAAATATAACCCATAGAATGGAAGAAAGGGTAATCTGATAAAAGATTTATATCTAGATATATTTATATCTAGAATACACATTTATACTCAGAATACATAATTTGGATTAAAACAATCCATTTTTGTAAGTGGGCAAAATGCTTTATTTTATTTTATTTTTTTGAGACAGAGTCTCACTTTGTCACACAGGCTGGAGTGTAGTGGCTCGATCTCGGCTCACTGCAACTTCTTCCTCCTGGGCTAAACTGATCCTCCCACCTCAGCCTCCCTAGTAGCTGGGACTACAGGTGCATACCACCACCAAGTCCAGCTAATTTTTGTATTTTGAGTAGAGATAGAGCTTTGCCATGTTAGCCAGGCCTGTCTCAAACTCCTGACCTTAAGTGATCCGCCCGCCTCGGCCTCCCAAAGTTCTGGGATTACAGGCATGAGTCGCTGTGCCTGGCTTTATTTTATTTTTAATTAACATGGAATAATGTACATATTTATAGGTACGACGTGACATTTTGATATCTGTATACAATGTGTAATGATTAAATCAGGTTCATTAGTGTATCTATTACTTCAAAACATTTATCATTTCTTTGTTTTGGAAACATTCAAAATCCACAGGGTGCCATACCTCATGCTGGTAATCCCAGCGACAGAACGAAGCTCTATGTCAAAAAAAGAGAAACATGCAAAATCTTCTCTTTTAGCTATTTGAAAATATACAATAAGTTATTGTTAACTATTGTCACCCTATAGTTCTATAGAGCACTAGAGCTTACTCTTCCTATCTATCTGTCCTTTTGTATTCCGTATCCAATCTCTATCTCCCATCCCCCACCCTTCCTAGCCCATAGTAACCACAATTCTACTCTATTTCTGTGAGCTCAACTTTTTAGCTCCCACATATGAGTGAGAACATTAGAATTCCATTGCTGTTACTGCATGCTTTTTCTCTATTCTATCTCTTTGCTCCTCCCAGGAGAGGAGATTTCCTCCTGAGCAAAGGAGGTGTGTGGGTTGGGAAGGGAAAGCAAAGTAAAGGGATAGAAAACAAAAAAGAAGATATAAATGCAGCAAAAAGTAAAAACAGAAGAGCCAAAGAATGAACACTAACAGGAGAAGAAAAGCAAGAATGAGAAAGATAGGAATGCTATTCATCTTTCTGGCTTTCTCATCTCTTTTCTTCTCTGTTGATAACATAAAAGTGTGAAGAGGCTGATTTCTTTTTCAGCAAAAGCCTTCATGGAAAACACTGGTGACTGTTTTGTTTTCAATGGCTATATGCACAATGCAAGGTTGAAGAAGGAGAAATAAATTTTCTGTAAAGAAAAACAAAAATCAGTCCTGGAGTGGGAGGTGCATGCTGAGAGATGTAAATTCAATTAATCATCACTTTTGATAAAATCCAAGTCTTCTTGCACAATAATGGGTGCTGGCCTAGAATGTTACTTCCTCTTCTGTCTTCGAGGAGAGAAAAATCTGATTTCCAAAGAAAGAGAAATTCATCATCTCTCCTGGGTCACCTTCAACAACCACAGAGCTGGTTTTCTGAAGTGATGTGTCATAAAGTCACAGTACCCTTGAAGGTAACCGGAAATCATTGTTTTCACAGGGAAAAAGGCAACCGGAAGTTACAACTTCCACTGGAGAATATAATCATATCCTCTTGCCAATGTGGCTGGAACATTCCCTGACCACTGTAGCTTTTTGATACTGTCAGTGAAGGAAATAGTGATTATAAATCTTGATGAAAGATTACAGGAGTCATTTCAGCCTTAGAGAATTGCAATATGTTCAAGTGTTTAACATAATCTTAAAATGTAATAGGAACTGTTGTCTAATTTAATCATCAGTCTTTAGCTGTCAACACAGATGCATTAAGTTGGTAAATGGCAAAGGGAAAAATAAAGAAGTGGTTGTGCACAGACGAAAGGATACTTTCATTTCCCTTAGAGCTTGGTTTAGTCAACAGTTCCAAACAGTCACACAGCAGTCTGTTTGTATGAAATTTTGCCAGTGGGAATTAAGCTGAAAAAGAGTATTTTCCCTTCAGAACTTACGAGTTTCCAACTGGGACATTTTGCATAATAGATTCACTTTTCTATTGTGAACATGTGATCTACTTATGAAATGCTTCAACAAATGAAAGCAACAACAGAAAAGGCAGGACACATCCAGTATTATCAAGCTTCAATTGCTCTAAAAATTTTTCTGCAAACTCTCCCTCTTTGTTCCTTACTCTCCTCATAGCCTTCCTCTTTTCTGTCCCACCAAACCCCAAACTAACAAGTAGCAGAGGCATTTTGACGTTGAGCCATAAAAAATAATCACTATGACACACATGGTTCCAGGCCTGCTTTCACCTTCCATCAAAGCTTTGTCTCAACAACAGCTCTTTTCCAGCCTGGAATCTTGCCTTAAATTTTCGTGTCTTTTCCTCCCCAGAAGGACAGGATGTTAATGAATCACGGTCTACTAGGAAAAGCTTTTACCTAGGCTGAGGAATGGGCTTTCAAAGAAAAACCAATAATCTCCATCAAGTCCTGGAAGCAAACTAACATTGGGTCTCCCCTCACCATTCTAACAAAGCTGTGCTCTGTCTTCATTGCTCTCTTTCTCTCTTTCTTTCTCTAATACACATGTACTCATGCACACATACCTTGTCTTTTGAGTGAAAGTCTCTCTCTTTGTGACACACAAACACACATCCACACCCAAACACCGAAACACATACCCATTGTCTATTGAGAGAAAGCCTTTGGGCTTTATTGATAATTTTGACTCTGGAAATTAAGTAACTGTATCATTTTGGCAGGGACACTCGTGGGAGTTGAAGGTCAATATGCAGCTGGCTGCATCTTACAAATTGTTTCAGTAATTTTTGTTATCTCTTCCTGGAGCAGAATCTAGCTGAATACATTAGATGTAAGAACAAAGCCCAGCAGCCACAGAATTTGAATAATCACTTCCGGGGTAAACCACTCATGTCTCAGAAACCAGTTGGTGATAGACAAGATATGGAAGCCATGGAAAACCCATAAATCATTGACCAATGATGCCCGAAGAAAGGGCTTGGGATAAAATGTCAGCATGGGAAGAATAGAGCCATTTATACCATCTTTAATTACACTACAACTTAAATTATATTCAATGACATTACTTCATCTAGAGAGAAATACTAGATTCCCACAGATTTTGCTGTTTTTGAAAATCCACACCTGGCTGGGCGTGGTGGCTCACACCTGTAATCCCAGCACTTTTGGAGGCCAAGGTGGGCAAATCACTTGAGGTCAGGAGTTTGAGACTAACCTGGCCAACATGGCGAAACCCCATCTCTACTAAAAATACAAAAAAAATTTAGCTGGGCATGGTGGTGCACGCCTGTAATCCCAGCTACTTGAGATGCTGAGGAAGAAGAATCACTTGAACCCTGGGAGGCAGAGGTTGCAGAGAGCTGAGATCACGCCATTGTACTCCAGCCTAGGTGACAAGAGTGAAATTCTGTCTCAAAAGAAAATAAGAAAATAAAAAAGAGCCAGGCACAGTGGCTCACGCCTGCAATCCCAGCACTTTGGGAGGCCGAGGCAGGCAGATCACGAGGTCAGGAGTTCAAGACCAGCCTGGACAACATGGTGAAACCCCATCTCTAATAAAAATACAAAAATTAGCCAGGCATGGTGGTGAATGCCTGTAATCTCAGCTACTTGGGAGGCTGAGGCAGGAGAATTGCTTGAACCTAGTAGGCGGAGGTTGCAGTGAGCTGAGATTGTGCAATTGCACTCCAGCCTGGGCAACAAGAGCAAGACTCCACCTCAAAAAAAAAAAAAAAAAAAAAAAGAAATAATGAAATACTTGAATCAGTAGAAACATTTATATTTCCCCCAACATCTTTGTGGCTCAAAAGAAGTAGCTATTCTAGGCTTTTCATTGGGCTATGCAAAATTGTATGTGTGTGTGTGTTTATATATATAAAAAATACAGTTTTATGTATGTATATATAATAACATATATAGTATATGATATTATGTATTATACATTAATATAAATATACTTATAAACATAAGTAAACATGCTTATAAATATACTTATAAATAAACATTTATATTTTTGCAGAAGAAATTTAGAGTATTGATGACATAGTAGCTTTTAATACATTTAATCTAAGCACATGATAAATATATATTTGAAATTTGGTGCATAATAAGTAATGCTGCTAAGAAAGTGAGAAACCTTTTTTTTCAACATTATTATGCTTACTAGCAAGAACATCACATCACGTGACTGCTTCCAAAAGTAAGCTAGCTTTTCAATGAGGAGATTCGTGCTCACTTTGGAGCAAGCTTGTGTCATTTTCAAACTGTTAAATAAACCATGTTTGAATGATAATCCTATCAAAATAATTGTAGACTAGTGTCCACTCATGTAAAATGTTCTTTTTGTTGTTGTTGTTTGTTTTTTGAGATGGAGTCTCACTCTGTCACCCAGGCTGACCTCGACTCACAGCAACCTCTGCCTCCAGGGTTCAAGTGATTCTTCTGCCTCAGCCTCCCGAGTAGCTGGGACTACAGGTGAGCACCACCACACCTGGCTAATTTTTGTATTTCTAGTAGAGATAGGGTTTCACCACATTGGCCAGGCTGGTCTCGAACTCCTGACCTCGTGATCCACCCACCTTGGCCTCCCAAATTGCTGGGATTACAGGCGTGAGCCACCATGCCCGGCCAAAATGTTCACTTTTTAATAGTGCCATCTTTTTGTTGTTTGAGATTTCCACTTCTCTGAGGGTTTCTTACATGTTCTTATCCTTGGGGAACACCTCAGGGAAGAAAAACAGTTCAGGAAGTTAGGCAGGAGGATAAAGAAGGGATATGTTGCCCAGAATGGTCTCCAAATCCTGGCCTCAAACAATCCTCCTGCCTTGGTCTCTCAAGGTGCTAGAATTACAAGTGTGAGCCACTGTGTCTGGCCCCTTGTTACTTTCTTGTCACTAGATACTTGCTTTCCTGGCTTCCCTTGCTGTTAGAGAAGCCAAGTGGTCAAGTTCTGGTCAGCAAGATATGAGGAAAAATCTGCTGGGGGATCCTAGGAAAGTTTTTGCTCTTCTTGCTTTAAGCTGCCACAGTCTCTGTTGTTGTCTTTTTGCTGTTGTGTCACTTGCACAACAAAAGTGAGGTGCATATGACTAATGGCAAGACAAAACGTGATCTATTAAGAGGAAAAGAAAGGTAGTCAAACACTGTGCAACTTGCCTGGCATAATAGGAACCAAAAAGAGCCTGAGGGAAATCTCACAACATTTTTATTTGATATGCTTTTGAGAGTAAAATAAGACTGGAGAAAAGAGCCTTCAAAATATTCCACCTTACCAATAGCACAATCTGGGAAGTTAGCCAGATAATTTAAAAGCAAAACCAAAAATTAGACTGCAGTAGAGATGCAGTACAATCAGTCCACTATTCAGAAAGTTGCTTAGAAGGGAACAGGAGAAAAAGGGAAAAGAAAGCAGGAAAGGAGGGAGTAAGGGAAGAAGAAAGAAAGAAACCATGTTTGTCCCATCACAAGCACTAAAATAGATACCTGTTGCTAGGTAGATGTCGGGGCTTCACCCATAGTGTTACCGGAAAGCGGTCCCGATCCAGACCCCAAGAGAGAGTCCTTGGACCTCATGCAAGAAATAATTTGGGGTGAGTTGATAAAGTGAAAGCAAGTTTATCAAGAAAGTAAAGGAATAGAAGAATCGCTATCCCATAGGCAGAGCAGCAGTGTGGGCTGCTTGACTGATTATACTTATAGCTATTTCTTTTTTTTTTTTTTTTTAAATAGAGATGAGTCTAGCTCTATCACCCAGGCTGGAGTGCAGTGGCTTGATCTTGGCTCACTGCAACCTCCGCCTCCTGGGTTCAAGCAATTCTCCTGCCTCAGCCTCCCAAGTAGCTGGGATTACAGGTGCGTGCCACCACGCCCAGCTAATTTCTTTTGTATTTTAGTAGAGACAGGGTTTCACTGTGTTGCTCAGGCTGGTCTCAAACTCCTGAGCTCAAGCAACCAGCCTGCCTTGGCTTCCCAAAGTGCTAGTATTAAAGGTGTGAGCCACCGTGCCCGGCCTAGTTATTTCTTGATTACATGCTAAACAAGGGATAGATTATTCATGAGTTTTCTGGGAAAGGGGTGGGCAATTCCCAACTGAGGGCTCCTCGCCTTTTTAGACTATGTAGGGTAATTTCTTGACATTGCCATGACATCCATAAACTGTCATGGTGCTAGTGGGAGTGTCTTTTGGCATGCTAATGCATTATGATTAGCATGTAATAAACAGTGAGGACATCCAGAAGTCACTTTTGTCATCATGTTGGTTTTGGTGGGTTTTGGCTGGCTTCTTTACCACATGCTGTTTTATGACTAAGGTCTTTGTGACCTGTACCTTGCGCTGACCTCCTATCTCATCCTTTAACTAAGAATGCCTACCCTCCTGGGAATGTAGCCCAGTAGGTCTCAGCCTTATTTTACCTACCCCCTAGTCAAGATGGAGTTGCTCTGGTTCAAACGCCTCTGACAATAGCCTCTGACAATAGCCTCTGACAATAGCCTCTGACAATAGCCTCTTGAGTTCCTTTTGGTGCACACCACATATTTTATGCACACTGGCTCCCAGGTGATTTCACTCACAACAGTCCAAACCTGAGTGTCTTTATCAGATGATTGTCGTCAGGTTACCGAAGCTACTTTGGCCTGTGTGTATGAAGGGCCAGAAGATTCTGGGGGCCAGAAGTGGTGGCTCATGCCTATAATCCCAGCACTTTCAGAAGCCGAGGTGGGAGGATCACTTGAGCTTGGGAGTTTGAGACTAGCCTGGGCAAAAAGGTGAGACCCCCATCTCTACAAAAAGTGCAAAAATTAGCCAGGTATGGTGGTATGTGCCTGTAGTCCTAGCTACTAGGGAGGCTGAGGTGGGAGGATTGCTTGAGCCAGGGAGGTTGAGGCTGCAGTGAGCCAAGATCACACCACTGCACTACATCCTGGGCGACAGAGTGAGACTCGATCTCAAAAAAAGAAAACAAAGAAACAAACAAAAAACTCATCCCCCCCAACACAACAAAACAAAAATAAGCAAACAAGAAAACCCCCCAAAACTCAGGAGATTCTGGGCATATTTACACATTTGTGAGATGGCCTTTAACCATTGATTTATAGACACAAGAGTATAAATACATCAACTTCACCTCTGTTTGAAACAACTACCTTTTCCAGAGCTACCCAGCAGGTTTGAGGCAGTCCCATGGTGGCTTTGTACTTGATACTGTGCTTGCCTCTTTGTGCTTGAGCCTGGGAGGTCGACCTCCCTCTTGAATCAAGAGGGCAGTATCAACCACAAAACGGTTCCTTTGGCTCCCATCCAACTTCCTTTTTTCTTATTGTTTCTTCTCAGAAACGTTTTCTAATAAAGTACTTTAGCATGAATCTTGGTCTCTGGGTCTGCTTCTGGTGACCTATATCTAAAACTCCTTTTCTCCAGACTGTAAATAAAATTACTCACCCAAGGCAAGTCATGCATAAAAGCAAAAGAAGTTAAGCAGACAGTGAATCAAAAAGAAAATGAGAAGGGGTTTGCCAAAAGCCAAAAACATGAACCATAACTCTTTGGGCTGCCCACTCTGGCCTGATTGTTGATAGAGTGAAGCAGTAATATTTCCCACAGAAGTATGCAATGAATCTGATATCCTGCTAAACACCAAGGCATTTGCAATACTTGAATAGGAAATCTAATATTGCTTATAGTTAGTTAGAAGGGTCAACAAATGAAGAAGAGCAGAATTGCTAATGCAGCCCAGCTGGCAAGGGTTCCAAAGCCTGGCCTTAGACCTATTCCTTCTGTGGGGACACACACAGGAAAAGCTGAGCTCTATATCTTCACAAATTTTCCCATTCCATGTGGGTGACTTGATGCAAGGCTGAATTAAGGAGAAGTTTGGTGTCTTTCTTGTTAAGGAACTAGTCTCCAGTGATCTCAGGCTTCATCTTCATAACGACAAGAAATCCAGACCATGGGTCAGACAACCTAGTGATTCATGTGTCTTAATGACTGACCCTGCTGGCTGCATGGTGGGTAATTTTAGCTGGAAAATACCAGGTCAGTCATCATAGAGCCAGCATGGTTACATCAAACAACCAAAGGATCAGTCTCTGAGGCCCTGGAAAGACTGGATTTGAAGTAAATACAGAAACTTTTTTTCATTTCCATTTTTAACTAAATAAAAAATTTGAGAACAAACAGGGCAAGAGAGAAAAGAAATCATATTTACAACATGAAAATTAATGTGACTTACAGGTTTATTGCTAATTACTCTCAAAAGAAAATATTCTGCTTCCTTGACAAAAAACAAAACCTTCTAGAAAATTTTAACCCCAAAGTGAACAATAACACCTTTAGTGACTCAAAATGCTAATTGACTAGGTATCACCTGAATTCAACAGACATGCCTAAATTCATTGCTATTCTCATTACTAACATAGAAAACATATTTAGGATTTAAAAAATGAGTAGAATTATTCAATAAGAAAGAGATGAACTATGGACCTTTGTGCATGGTTTTATCAAGTGTACTTTTCTACATGACACTCTCTGATCAGTCCACATGATAAATTAATTTCAAAGTAGGCCATATTAAGGAGATAAGATCAAGTTGAGTACGGTCAAAAGATTACTTTTATAGCCATAATAAGTCACTTTATTTTTTATATTCTTATTTTCCATGGAAGTATAAATTACATACAGTAAAATGCATAAATCTTAAGCTTGCAGTTTGATGAGTTTTGACAAATATATACACGTGGTTGGGCACAGTGGCTCACACCTGTAATCCCAGCACTTTGGGAGGCCAAGGCGGGCAGATCACCTGAGGTCAGGAGTTGGAGACCAGCCTGGCCAACATGCTGAAACCTTGTCTCTACTAAAAATACAAAAATTAGCCGAGCATGATGGTGCATGCCTGTAATCCCATCTACTCACGGGAGGCTGAAGCAGGAGAATCACTGGAACCCGGGAGGTGGAGAATGCAGTGAGCCAAGATTGCGCCACTGCATTCCAGCTTGGGTGACAGAGCAAGACTCCATCAAATACAAGACAAAACAAAACAAAACAAAAAAAACATAAAAAGCAGAAAACAAAAACAAAAAAACAAATATATACATTCACGTAACCAATATCCAATGCCCAGTATCATGAGGGAGAACATCTTCTGTGCCCAGCAAGTTTTCCCATGCTTTTTTCCAGTTAGCTGCTTGCCTTCCATGGACAACCACTTTTGGTGTCTTTACTTATTCTTGGACTTCATATAAACGGTATCAACCAGGGTGTACATTTTTGTGCCTGCCTTTTTTTTTGAGACAGAGTCTCGCTCTATTGCCCAGGCTGGAGTGCAGTGGCATGATCTTGGCTCACTGCAACCTCCACCTTCCAGGTTCAAGTCATTCTCCTGCCTCAGCCTACTGAGTAGCTGGGATTACAGATGCACACCACCATGCCTGGCTAAGTTTTGTAATTTTAGTAGATACTTGGTTTCAACATGTTGGTCAGGCTGGTTTTGAACTCCTGATCTCGTGATCCACCAGCCTCAGCCTCCCAGAGTGCTGGGATTACAGGCGTGAGCCACCATGCCTGGCCAGTGTCTGTCTTTTCTGCTCAGCATAATATTATTGACATTCATCACACTGTTTTGTATATCACTAATTTGTTTTTATTGCTCAGTTGTATTATTCAGTTGTATAAATGTGTTATAGTTTGTTTATATATTCACTTAATGGAAATTTGGGTTGTTTCTTGGTTATTATGAACATGCTTATACAGGTGTTTCTGTGGACATGTTTTCATTTTTCTTGGGTAACATTTATTTATTTTTCGAGGCAGGTGTCAGGCCTCTGAGCCCAAGCTAAGCCATCATATCCCCTGTGATCTGCACCTACACATCCAGATGGCCTGAAGTAAGTGAAGATCCACAAAAGAAGTGAAAATAGCCTTAACTGATGGCATTCCACCATTGTGATTTGTTTCTGCCTCACCCTAACTGATCAATGTACTTTGAAATCTCCCGCACCCTTAAGAAGGTTCTTTGTAATTCTCCCCACCCTTGAGAATGTACTTTGTGAGATCCACCCTCTGCCCGCAAAACATTGCTCTTAACTCCACCGCCTATCCCAAAACCTATAAGAGCTAATGATAATCCACCACCCTTTGCTGACTCCTTTTTCGGACTCAGCCCGCCTGCACCCGGGTGAAATAAACAGCCTTGCTGTTCACACAAATCCTGTTTGGTGGTCTCTTCACACGGACGCTTGAGACATTTGGTGCTGAAGACCCAGGTCAGAGGGACTCCTTCGGGAGACCAGTCCCCTGTCCTCGCCCTCATTCCGTGAGGAGATCCACCTACAACCTCAGGTCCTCAGACCAACCAGCCCAAGGAACATTTCACCAGTTTCCAATCGGGTAAGCGGTCTTTTCACTCTCTTCTCCAGCCTCTCTCGCTCCCTTCAATCCCCCTATCCTTCCAATTCCAGTTCTTTTTCCTCTCTAGTAGAGACAAAGGAGACACATTTTATCCGTGGACCCAAAACTCCAGTGCCCCTCACGGACTCGGGAAGACAGCCTTCCCTTGGTGTTTAATCATTGCGGGGACGCCTGCCTTTCACCCACATTCCATTGGTGTCTGACCACCACAGGGACGCCTGCCTTGGTCATTCACCCACATTCCCTTGGTGGCAAGTCAATTGCTGGATGCCTGCTTTGGCTGCTCACCCACGTTGCAGCCCAGGGCTTCTCCCCACCCCCCTTCTCCGTGTCTCTACCCTTCTCTTTAAACTTGCCTCCTTCACTGTGGGCAACCTTCCACCCTCCATTCCTCCTCCTTCTCCCTTAGCCTGTGTTCTCAAGAACTTAAAACCTCTTCAACTCTCGCCTGACCTAAAATCTAAGTGTCTTATTTTTTTCTGCAACACTGCTTGGCCCCAATACAAACTCGACAATGGTTCTAAATGGCCAGAAAATGGCACTTTTGATTTCTCCATCCTATGAGACCTAGATAATTTTTGTCGAAAAATGGGCAAATGGTCTGAGGTGCCTGATGTCCAAGCATTTTTTACACATTGGTCCCTCCCTAGTCTCTGCTCCCAGTGTGACTCATCCCAAATCTTTCTTCTTTCTCTTCTTATCAACCAAATTGTTTTGCCTATCCACCCAGTGGTGCCCCACCCATACACTCTTTTGTCCTCAATACCTTCCTCCACAACTCACTATTCCGTTCCTGATCTTAAAGATGCTTTTTTCACTATTCCCCTACACCCCTTGTCCCAGCCTCTCTTTCTTTTACCTGGACTGACCCTGACACCCATCAGTCCCAGCAGCTTACCTGGGCTGTACTGCCGCAAGGCTTCATGGACAGCTCCCATGACTTCAGTCAAGCCCAAATTTCTTCCTCATCCATTACCTATCTCGGCATAATTCTTCATGAAAACACACATGCTCTCCCTGCTGACTGTGTCCTGCTAATCTCCCAAACCCCAACCCCTTCTACAAAACAACAACTCCTTTCCTTCCTATGCATGGTTAGGTACTTCCGCCTTTGGATACCTAGTTTTACCATCCTGACTAAACCATTATGTAAACTCACAAAAGCAAACCTAGCTGACTCCATAGATCCTAAATCCTTTCACCACTCCTCTTTCTGTTCCTTAAAAACAGCCCTAGAAGCTGCTCCCACACTAGCTCTCCCTAATTCATCCCAACCCTTTTCATTACATACAGCCAAAGTACAGGGCTGTGCGGTCAAAATTCTTACACAGGAGCCAGGACCGCACCCTGTAGCCTTTTTGTCCAAACAACTTGACCTTACTGTTTTAGGCTAGCCCCCACATTATTCTTGATGCCATATCTGACTCCCATGACTATCTCTCTGATCCACCTGACATTCACTCCATTTCCCCATATTTCCTTCTTTACTGTTCCTCACCCTGATCACACTTGCTTTATTGATGGCAGTTCCACCAGGCCTAATCGCCACTCACCAGCAAAGGCAGGCTATGCTATAGTATCTTCTACATCTATCATTGAGGCTACTACTCTGCCCCACTTCACTACCTCTTAGCAAGCCTAACTCATTGCCTTCACTTGAGCCCTCACTCTTGCAAAGGAATTATACGTTAATATTTATACTGGCTCTAAATATGCCTTCCATATCCTGCACCAACATGCTGTTATATGGGCTGAAAGAGGTTTCCTCACTATGCAAGTGTCCTCCATCATTAATGCCTCTTTAATAAAAACTCTTCTCAAGGCTGCTTTACTTCCAAAGGAAGCTTGAGTCATATAGTGCAATGGCCACCAAAAGGCATCAGATTCCATAGCTCAGGGCAATGCTTATGCTGGTAAGGTAGCTAAGGAAGCAGCTAGCATTCCAACTTCTGTCCCTCACGTCCGGTTTTTCTCCTGCTCATCGGTCACTCCCACCTACTCCCCCACTGAAACTGCCACCTATCAATCTCTTCCCACAAAAGGCAAATGGATCTTAGACCAAGGAAAATATCTCCTTCCAGCCTCACAGGCCCATTCTATTCTGTCATCATTTCATAACCTCTTCCATGTAGGTTACAAGCCACTAGCCCACCTCTTAAAACTCTCATTTCCTTTCCATTGTGGAAATCTATCCTCAAGGAAATCACTTCTCAAGTGTTCCATCTGCTATTCTACTACCCCTCAGGGATTGTTCAGGCCCCCTCCCTTTCCTACACATCAAGCTTGGGGATTTGCCCCTGCCCAGGACTGGCAAGTTGACTCTACTCCCATGCCTCGAGTCAAGAAACGAAAATACCTCTTGGTCTGGGTAGACACTTTCACTGGATGGGTAGAGGCCTTTCCCGCAGGGTCTGAGAAGGCCACTGTGGTTATTTCTTCCCTTCTGTCAGACATAATTCCTCAGTTTGGCCTTCCCACCTCTGTACAGTCCAATAATGGACCGGCCTTTACTAGTCAAATCACCCAAGCAATTTCTCAGGCTCTTGGTGTTCAGTGAAACCTTCATACCCCTTACTGTCATCAGTCTTCAGGAAAGGTAGAACGGACTAATGATCTTTTAAAAACACACCTCACCAAGCTCAGCCTCCAACTTAACAAAAAGGACTCTGTCAAGGATAGAGCCCAAAAACTCACCAACCAAGCAAGTAATTACGCTGAACCCCCTTGGGCACTCTGTAGTTGGATGTCCTGGGTCCTCCCAGTTCTTAGTCCTTTAATACATGTTTTTCTCCTTCTCTTATTCAGACCTTATGTCTTCCATTTAGTTTCTCAATTCATCCTAAACGGTATCCAGGCCATCACCAATCATTCTATATGACAAATGTTTCTTCTAACAACCCCACAATATCACCCCTTACCCCAAAATCTCCCTTTAGCTTAATCTCTCCCACTCTAGGTTCCCATGCCGCCCCTAATCCCGCTTGAAGCAACCCTGAGAAATATCGCCCATTATCTCTCCATACCACCCCCCAAAATTTTCACCACCCCAACACTTTACCACTATTTCATTTTATTTTTCTTATTAATATAAGAAGACAGGAATGCCAGGCCTCTGAGCCCAAGCTAAGCCATCATATCCCCTGTGACCTGCATGTATACATCCAGATGGCCTGAAGCAACTGAAGATCCACAAAAGAAGTGAAAATAGCCTTAACTGATGACATTCCACCATTGTGATTTGTTTCTGCCTCACTCTAACTGATCAATGGACTTTGTAATCTCCCCCACCCTTAAGAAGGTTCTATATAATCTCCCCCACCCTTAAGAAGGTTTTTTGTAATTCTCCCCACCCTTGAGAATGTACTTTGTGAGATCCACCCCCTGCCTGCAAAATATTGCTCCTAACTCCACTGCCTATTCCAAAACTGGTAAGAACTAATGATAATCCCACCACCCTTTGCTGACTCTCTTTTTGGACTCAGCCCACCTGCACCCAGGTAAAATAAACAGCCTTGTTGCTCACACAAAGCCTGTTTGGTGGTCTCTTCACACAGATGCATGAGACAGCAGGGTCTTGCTATGTTGCCCAGGGTGGAGTGCAATTCCATGATCATGGCTCACTGCAGCCTCAAACTCCTGGTCTCAAGCAATCCTCCTGCCCTGGCCTCCCAAGTAGTTGGGATGACAGGCACATGCCACCACATCCAGCTAATTTTTGTATTTTTTGTAGAGACAGGGTCTCATTATTTGCCCAGGCTGGTCTTAAACTCCTGAACTCAAGGAATCCTCCTGCTGTGGCCTCCCAAAGTGCTAGGATTGCAGGTATGAGCCACTGGTGCCTGGCTTCTCTTGGGTAATATTTAGAAGTAGAATTTTGGGTCATAGGATAAGTGTAGCCTTTATTTCTAAGAAAATTCTAAACAGTTTTCCCAAGTGGTTGGACCATTTCGATTTCTACCAGCAACATAAGAAGGTTCCAGTTGCTCCATATCCTTTCGGACAGTTGATATTGTCAGTCTTTCCAAATTTAGCTATAGGATGGGTCACTATAGGTAGAAATAGTTTGAAATAACAAAGTAGGGGCCAGATGTGGTGGCTTATGCCTGTAATCCCACCACTTTGGGAGGCTGAGGCTGGTGGATCATGAGGCCAGGAGTTCAAGACCAGCCTGGCCAAGATGGTAAAGCCCCGTCTCTACTAAAAATACAAAAATTAGCTGGGTGTGGTGGCACACACCTGTAATCCCAGCTACTCTGGAGGCTGAGGCAGAAAATTGCTTGAACCTGGGAGACGGAGGTTGCAGTGAGCTGAGATCGTGCCACCGCACTCCAGCCTGGGTGACAGAGAGAGACTCCACCTCAAAAAAAAAAAAAAAAAAAAAAAAATAACAAAGTAGACTCAAATCTCATTCTAGTTGGCAGTTTATTCTTACCTGTTTGTAATTTATTCTGATGTCTTCTCGTTTACACTAATTACTTGATCTCTGGTCCACCAAGAGTAAGCTGCTTCAATGGGCCATGGAATGTCCTGTTCCAAAACAGACGAAATAAATGTTTTTTTTTTTTTTAATTCCTCTTGTCAAATTGTTTGAACCTGGGAGGCAGAGGTTGCAGTGAGCCAAGATCGCATCACTGCACTCCAGCCTGGACGACGGGTGAGACTCCATCTCAATAAAAAGAAAAAAAAAATTCCTCTTGTCTTATATCATTTCTACCTCTTCCTTCCTTCATTAGCACTGAAACAGAAGTAGTGTCAGGTTGTTTTATTGAGCACAAATTCTCATATTAGCACCTTGCCTCAAAAACAAGAAAATGCTTTAATGAATGAAGTAATTTTCAAGTGCTATCCTCAAGAATTATAATGTGAGAAAAAGTGGTTTCAATAACCCATTCTCACTGAGATAAAACTTAAGCAATCATAATTTTTTCATATTTAAGCCACATAGAATGGGTCCCATTAAATGGAAGTCACCTCAAAATAAATTCTAAAATTTTAACTGTTCATCACCTAAACAAGTTTATTGGGCATGGTTGATTGGCAGAGTCATTAGGGGCTTCATGTTGTGAAGAATTCATCTGTTTGTGGTAAAAACAATATAATGGGGTGTAAGATTATATACATGGCTCTGGACAACTCAAGTTCAAATTTTGATTCCACTCCTACCAGCCAGATGACCTTGGGCAAGCTGTTAAAGCTCTTTCTTCCTTAGTTTACTCATATATAAAAGAGAGATAATACCATCTACATCCTAGAGATTATGAGGAATAAAATAGTAAAGATATAATACAATGTTTAGAATTGTGTCAGGCACATTCTACACAAATAGATACATAAATGCACTATTACTATTTATTTGACAAGTATTTACTGAATGCCTTTGATGTACATTGCACATTTTTGTTTGTTTGTTTGTTTTTTAGACAGGGTATCACTCTGTCACCCAGGCGTGATCACAGTTCACTACAGCCTCAACCTACCAGACTCAAGTGATCCTCCTGAAAACACCCTTGCAAAAATTATAACTGATGAAATTATGACAGTGAGAGAAATCTGACATGGCTGACTCCATCTTGTCTCTAGCTCGCAGGTTGGCTGTGCTCATTTCTGGGCATGGGCTGAGCTAACTTTGGAAGAAATTTAGTTTATAATTTAAATAATAGGCCCTTCCCCAAAACTAAACTGTTCTTGTAAAAATAATGAAAGGCCTCCAAGTTAGGATGACAGGGGTTTGAATTCTAAATAATTACCGGCCATTATTCCAGAGGTCATAAGATTTGCAACTTCCTTAATCACCCTTGAAGATAACATCACTACTGCAGAGCCTAAGATTGGCCTTTTGAGATATATTTTCAGGCTTTTGTATTTCTGACAACTGGATGGCCCCACCTGGACCTGCCAACCAGTCCTGTGGTCTCCACCCAGAAACTGACAGAGGACAGCTCGATCCCCTTTGATTTCATCTCCAAGCCAACCAATCAACACTCCTGACTCACTGGCCCCCTACCCACCAAATTATCCTTAAAAACCCCGATCCCAGCCAGGCGTGGTGGCTCACGCCTGTAATCCCAGCACTTTGGAAGGCTGAGGTGGGTGGATCACCTGAGATCAGGGGTTCGAAGCCAACTTGGACAACATGGTGAAACCCTGTCTCTACTAAAAATACAAAATTAGCCGGGCGTAGTGGTGCATGCCTGTAACCCCAGCTACTTGGGAGGCTGAGGCAGGAGAATCGCTTGAACCTGGAAGGCAGAGGTTGCAGTGAGCAGAAATTGCGCCATTGCACTCCAGCCTGGGCAACACGAGCAAAACTCTGTCTCAACAAAAAAACCAAAAGACCCCCACAAAACTCCGATCGCAGCCAGGAGCAGTGGCTCACACCTGTAATCCCAGCACTTTGGGAGGCCGAGGCAAGCAGATCAGCCTTACCAATATGGTGAAACCGCCTCTCTACTAAAAATACAAAAATTAGCCGGGCGTGGTGGCATATGCCTGTAGCTCCAGCTACTAAGGAGGCTGAAGCAGGAGAATCGCTTGAACCCGGGAGGAGGAGGTTGCAGTGAGCCGAAATTGCGCCACTGCACTCCAGACTGGGCGACAGAGAGAGACTGTCTCAAAACAAACAAACAAACAAACAAACAAACAAACAAACAAAAAACCCCAAAAAACTCCGATCCCCGAATTCTCGAGGAGACTGATTTGAGTAATAAAAACTCCAGTTTCCTGTACAACCAGCTCTGTGTGAATTAAACTCTTTCTGTATTGCAATTCCTCTCTCTCCATAAATCAGCTCTGTCTAGGCAGCGGGCAAGGAGAACCCATTGGGCAGCTACACTCCCACCTCAACCTCTGGAGTAGTTGGGACCACAGGCGTGCACCACCATGCCTGGCTAATTTGTAGAGACAGATTTTTGCCATGTTGCCCAGGCTGGTCTTGAACTCCTGGGCTCAAGGGATCCTCCCAACTCAGCCTCCCAAAGTGCTGAGATTACAGATGTGAGCCACCGTGCCTGGCCTCTTTGAACAATTTTAAATGCTGACGATATAGGGGTCACAAGAATTATGAGATAAAGCACAAGAATTATGAGAGCATATTCAGATTCAGAGCTAAAAAATGCAGCAATTGATTAGTAATGTCTGACATGGTGGGTAAGGTATGTGTGTGTGTGGAGAGGATGGTTGAATAGCAATACACACGTCAAATATTGGTTACCCTGACTGAGGCACTTGGAACTGTACTTATTTTCCATGAAAGCACATATCTGATGTGGAACCATGCTCAACTTCCTGTTAAGCTGAAGTTTGTACCCTGGGACCTGTGAACAAAATCTAGGCATGGGTAGCATGAATTCTAGAGGTCTATAGATGGAGCACGCACACTCCATATCTCACATTCACCAATTTCCCCAATCACACTTTTTCTCTGCCTGATATTTGTTTGCTTTTCACTATCTAATTATTATTTCATTTTGCAGACTGGAAATTTCTGTACACTTCTGGATGTACCTTACCTAGGGAAATGCAAGGCCTAGCAGAGTGCTCCATATACAGAGTGGATATTCAATAAATGCTTGCTAAAATGAATTGAGTTCTGCTTTTCATAAATAACAGTGTATTCCTCAGACAATAGATTAGTAATCATCTATCAGACAACAGTTGGTAAGACTATTTGAATGTGGGCAGACCTAGGTGTGTGCTTTAGCTCTACCTTTTACTAGCTGTGTATAGGTAAGTTAACTGATGTCTCAGTTTTCTTATCAGTAAAATGGAAATCATAATACCTCAAAAGATGTTGTAAGTTGTAAGGCTTGAATGGGTTAGCATATGTAAAACATAAGCGGCACTAAATATTGTAGTTCCTTTTTCTTTACTCTCAATATTTGTCAAAAACTAAAACTAGTAAAAGAGTAGTAAAATGGACATTTGTTGACTCTCTCCCACTGGGTAGCAGCTATGTGCTTTGGCATGCAGAAAATTGACTCCACCTCCAGCTCCATGGGTGGGCCATGTTTGTTTAATCCTGTCTCAACCCCTTTGCTAAAGAGATTGGTTGTTGGTTTGGGTTAATCAACACTTGGCATTTCCCCACTGCAGGAAATTATTCAGGAACTGGCATGTGACCAAATTATGAACAATGACACATGAGAATTTAATTTTCTGGGAGCTTTTGGGGAATAAATTTCCATGTTTGTTTTGTTATTTTGTTATTTATTTATTTTTTTGAGACAGAGTCTCACACTGTTGCCCGCCTGGAGTACAGTGGTATGATCTTGGCTCGCTGCAGCCTCCACCTCCCGGGTTCAAGTGATTCTCCTGCCTCAGCCTCCCAAGTTGCTGGGATTACAGATGCCTGCTACCACGCCAGGCTAAGTTTTTGTATTTTTAGTAGAGACAGGTTTCAGTATGTTGGCCAGGCTGGTCTGGAACTCCTGACCTCGTGATCTGCCCACCTTGGCCTCCCAAAGTGCTGGGATTACAGGCGTGAGCCACTGCTCCTGGCCTAAATATTTGTGTTTCATTTAGGACTTTTTTTTTTTTTTGAGATGGAGTCCTGCTCTGTCGCCCAGGCTGGAGTGCAATGGTGCGATCTCGACTCACTGCAACTTATGCCTCCTGAGTTCAAGTGATTCTCCTGCCTCAGCCTCCTGAGTAGCTGGGATTACAGGTGCGCACCACCATGCCCAGCTATTTTTTTTTTTTTGTATTTTTAGTAGAGATGGGGTTTCACCATATTGGCCAAGCTGGTCTCGAACTCCTGACCTCGTGATCCACCCACCTCAGCCTCCCAGAATGCTGGGATTACAGGCGTGAGCCACTGTGCCTGGCTTATTTCTTCTCTCTCCCTGAATATGGAAGTCAGGAAGTATGAAGGATTGGTGGCAACCAGAGACCAAGGAAAAGCTTCCCCTTTGCCTTCTGAACCTTTGCAGAAAATCACGGACAAGAGGCAGATTAATAGGAGAAAAATCATACAAATTCATTTAATAAAAATTTTATGTGACATGGGAGCCTTCAGAATGAAGACCCAAAGGTACAGGGGAGACTGTCCATTTTTGTGCTTAGGTTAAAAAAAGTATGCACAGCCATGTAGAAATATGACTGGACAAAATGGATAAGATCTAATGCTGGGCTGGGCGCATGGCTCACGCCTGTAATCCCAGCACTTTGGGAGGCCAAGGCGGGTGGATCACCTGAGGTCAGGAGTTCAAGACCAGCCTGGCCAACACGGCGAAACCCCGTGTTTACTAAAAATACAAAAATTAGCTGGGCATGGTGGTGCATGCCTGTAATCCCAGCCCAGCTACTTGGGAGGCTAAGGCACGAGAATCACTTGAACCCCGGGAGGCAAAGTTTGCAGTGAGCCGAGATTGAGCCACTTCTCTCCAGCGTGGGCGAAACAGCAAAATTCTATCACACTATATATATATATATAATATAAATAAAATTAAAAATAAATAAGAATGAGGAGAAGGATAAAAACATTTAAAAGATGAGAGCAGAATAGAAGGAGTGAAACAGTGGGTAAATGAAGACGGATTCAATAGAAAGCCAGCAGCAAGGCGAGGGATGCTTTGAATGACCCTAGAAGCAAATTTAACTGGATTTAGACTGGCCCAGGACCAGCCCTAAGAACGGAATGTAATCTTGGTTTCTATATTATTTCCTGCATTAGACCACAGACATTATTGGGTTTGAGATTAAAGTGCCTTAAACAATGCAGGTGATATCAAGACTCACTTAAGCAAAGGTGATTCAGGTTTCAGTGCTGGTTTACAGTAGCATCAAGGTCTCAGTTTATTTCCATTAGGCCCTTTGTCAGGTCCATTTTATGGTTGTGTAGACCCACAAAAAAACAATACCTCAAAATGAAGGCCTCAGAGGCAGCTCTCTCTCTCTCTCTCTCTCTTTCTCCCACCCTCCTGTCTCTGGCCCCTCAATCTCCCCAATGGCTACCCGTAGAAACTGGAGTCCCTCTTCCCCAAGGACAGTCATAGAAACCAGAACCCCTTTTCCCCAAAGCCAGACATAAAACCTAAAAATATTACTCGAACTTCTTTCCCACCTCCCCTGCCTTTCTGTGTAAAATCTGGCCATAAAGAAATTGTAGGTCATAATACCCCCATTCCAGAGAGGATCCCGCCCCATACCCAGAAAGAAGGAATCCATGCTCAGAGAGGCCAAGAAGAATCTAGACAGACAGGCCTTGCTGGGTTTCCCCACTCAGTCCATTAACATTAGATCTTTTTTTTTTTTTTTGAGACAAAGTTTCGCTCTTGTTGCCCAGGCTGGAACGCAATGGTGCCATCTTGGCTCACTGCAACCTCCACCTCCTGGTTCACGTGATTCTCCTGCCTCAGCCTCCTAAGTAGCTGGGATTACAGGCCTCCTCACTCTTATTTAAAAGCATGCCTTCTCAACATAGTCTCAGTTGAGGAAAACAGGGAATACTGATTCACACTGAAGTATTGGTGACTGATGTATTTCCCATGTAGTGGAAGTGAAGCTGTAACACCATTCAGTGATCCTGGTAATGGTGTGGTATCTGAAATTGTCTACAGCAAATCAATGGACAATGATGCTCTTGAACCTTCTCACATCAGATTGTGAAAATAGCTACCATTTACACCTCCATCGTCAATGTGTTTACCACTCTCCCTCCTTTAGTTTTTATCTGAGGCCTGCTGTAGGACAGTTTCTGGAATAAAGCCATAGCATCTCCATCCTATTGAGATCATGGGGACTATAAGTAACAAAGGAAGTGAGCAACTGGAAGGCATCCCATCATTAAATATTCAAGAGTCAGAGGATATCTGATCGTGCCACATCATAAAGTCTCTGCCCTTCAGAAGTCTGTGAGATCACAGTGGGGTACGCCAGAGGGATGAGATAAACACAGCCACTAGACCCTCACTCTTTACATTTGACCCACTCACCTCTCCTGGAAGGCCCTGATACATTAGATAGAATGGCTGTGAATTTTAACTTCCTGGCCCTCCACAATGTCCCTCACTGTCACATTTTTACCTCCATAGGACCAGCCCCTGCTTTCTTTTTTTCTCTCTTTGCCTACTTAGAGAGTCTAACTCCTTGGTCAACTACAGTTAAATTTTTACTTTCTAGGGATGGATTCTTGTTCCAGGAAAATGTACAAAATTTGATACATAATTTAAATCCCTGAAGTCTTCATATCTTGAGGAACTTAGGACCTAGTCATATCCGCTTCTCTAGGCTGAGCCTCCTGCTTTGACCAGGCCCTATCAATTCTGTCTACACATTTTGGGTAGGTTCCCAAATCCTACCAAGTAAACCCCCAAATGGGTTCTGTTTCACATCAACTACGTACCCAAAAGGCATCAGATTCCATCATAGCTTTGTTGGCATCTAACATATGACTGTCTTAGAAAAAAAAAAACCCTTTATTTCCTGTGCTGTGTGCTTTGCATAGGCCTTGGGACTAAGACCACATGTCTTTGAGCCTGTGTTCTCAGGCTACCTTCTTGGTCAGGAAATCTTTTTACAGTTTATGGAAATCACTCTTGCTACCACTTCAAGACTGATTTTCTTTTTGACTGTCTTCCCCCAAATCTTTATAATTGCATAGTGTGAGCGAGTGAGGACTGTGGCTTATCGCAGCCTTGCAGTGAAGGCAGAAGAAGCTACTGCAGAAAGCTGCAGAATCTATTTGATAATGAAAAATCCAGATCCGGACAGATGGATGTTATATTTGGAGGAAACGCCATCACATGACCAAGGTTCCCGCTCTAAGGAGAGAACATACAGATGTTCACATACCAGAGAAGTCATGGCACTTCCAGAGGGATAAAGCAGCACTTTATTATTTTTCTTCATTCACAATCTTAAAGCTATAGAGAAAACCCAAGCAACATTAGGGTTCTGAATCAAAACGAAATGAGACTCAGTTGCAAGGAAACAAGCTTATCTGTATCCTAAATTGCAGTAAGTGTCTTTTTGTTTACTCATTTTACAACCATGCATAGAAAATGACACGTACATAGAAAAGGACACTTTTTCTATGCATGATTGTAAAATGCATAGGAAGAGGCAGCAGGCAGGGAGAGAACGGTGTTTATTCAGTTCTTGTTTAAAATGACCTTTATCTTTAGGGGAAGCTAACACTGGGTTCCGTATTATTATGATGTTACCGTGATTTCAACAGAGCATTTCACACCTACTAAGAAGCTCTAGTATTTAAACGTGTTTGAGTAAAAACAGTATTTTTCCTTCCCTGCATTCCTTTCTTCCTTCTGGCTTTCCTCTTTTCCTTCCTTCCTTCCTTCCTCCTTGCATCCTTGGCCGAGAAACATTAGGTGTCACAGCAGGACCTAGGGGGATTCTACCAAGATTAAACTCATTTGTATCAATATTTGGGCTGGGCGTGGTGGCTCATGCCTGTAATCCCAGCACTTTGGGAGGCTGAGGTGGGCGGATCAGACCTGAGGTCAGGAGTTTGAGACCAGCCTGACCAACATGGTGAAACCTCGTCTCTACTAAAAATGCAAAGTTAGCTGGGCATGGTGGCACACACCTGTAATCCCAGCTACTCAGGAGGTTGAGGCATGAGAATTGCTTGAACCTGGGAGGCAGAAGTTGTAGTGAGCCAAGATTGAGCCACTGCACTCCAGCCTGGGTGACAAAGTGAGATTCCATCTCAAAAAAAAAAAATTATACCAATATTTGTTGGTTATCTGCTCTGTACAGGGGCAGGTCCTATGCACACAAAAGGATGAAATAAATATATATCCACCCTTAAGAATCTTGAAGTTTAAGAAGGACAAAATCAACTGGGCATGGTGGCTCATGCCTTTAAGTCCAGCACTTTGAGAGGTTGAGGTGGAAGGATCACTGGAGCACACAAATTAAAGAACAGCCTGGGCAATACAGTGAGATTTCATCCTACCAAAAAAATTAAAAATTAGCCAAGCATGGTGGTGCACTTGTAGTCTCAGCTACTTAGGATGCTGGATTGGGAGAATCACTTGAGCCCAAAGCTAGAGGTTACAGTGAACCAAAGATCATGACACTCTAGCCTGGGCCACAGAGCAAGACCCTATCTCAAAAAAAAAAAAAAATAATAATAATAAAAGGCTAGGTGTGGTGGCTCACACCTGTAATCCCAGCACTTTGGGAGGGTGAGGCGGGTGGATCACAAGGTCAAGAGATCAAGACCATCCTGGCTAACACGGTGAAACCCCATCTCTACTAAAAACACAAAAACAAAAAATTAGCTGGGCGTGGTGGCAGGCGCCTGTAGTCCCAGCTATTGGGGAGGCTGAGGGAGGAGAATGGCATGAACCCAGGAGGCAGAGCTTGCAGTGAGCCGAGATTGCGCCACTGCACTCCAGCCTGGGTGACACAGGGAGACTCCATCTCAAAACAAAAGAAAACAAAATAATAAAAACCCAAAACCAAAAAACAAAAACAAGAAAACAGATCACAAATTACTGCAGTATAAAGGAGAGCAATAAAAATGTGACCATTGGCCCGGCACGGTGGCTCACGCCTGTAATCCCAGCACTTTGGGAGGCCGAGGCAGGCGGATCATGAGGTCAGGAGATCGAGACCACGGTGAAATCCCGTCTCTACTAAAAATACAAAAAAAAATTAGCCGGGTGAGGTGGCGGGCGCCTGTATTCCCAGCTACTTGGGAGGCTGAGGCAGGAGAATGGCATGAACCTGGGAGGTGGAGCTTGCAGTGACCTGAGATTGTGCCACACCACTCCAGCCTGGGCGACAGAGCAAGACTCATCTCAAAAAAAAAAAAAAAAAAAAAAAAAATGACCATTGTGGTATGGGCTCTGAAAGAGAGGAGATCTTCATGTAAGGCATTAGACTTTGAAGGATGAAGGGGCTTTTGACCAACAGAGATGTGCAGTAGAGTCGCATAACAGGGTTTTGAATGGACCCACTGGGTTCATTCAAGCCACCTTTGAACAGCTGTTGAGTTTGACTGTTCATGGATGGTGGCAAGTATTAAGCATCAGCTTCAAATCTGAGAGGTTAATTTTTCTCATATGCCACAAGGAAGAAACTAATTTTTGAGGGAAGGTTTTAAATGGAACCCAGAAGTCCTTGAGACACCCTCAGAAACTTTGCTTGAGGTTTTGGCAGCATAGGAATTTGCTTGGCCTATTTTGTAAAGTCCAACCCTAGAAACTTGATAGAAAATGACAGTGTAAAGAGACAACCCATCATGGTGGTACAACGGGCCAAATTTGTTTGCTGTACTTGGCCTGAACTTTGAAAAAAAATACAAGAACAGGCTTGTGTGATTGTGTACATCAATATTTTGATCAGACTTATTAAAACTTCTTTGAGTAGGATGATCGTATTTTTCAAAATGAAAAGTCCTGTCACTAGATCCTCGGAAACCTGGATTATTTTTCCATTACCAGTTCTCTCTGACATGTCAAAATGAGTCACTCTAAATTCCTCTACTTCATTTTTCCCATATTTTGTTATCATGAGGGTGAAATAAACTTGCTAAAAAGAAGTGCTGAAAATGTGCAGATGTGTTAATACAGCCTCTTTTCTACCTACTTGCAGTGTGTCCTCTTCATATCTAGTGTTTGCAAGAAAGGCTCACAGTACAGATGTGAAGGTAATGGGAACAACCAAAGTTCAGAAATGGTGTCAATGGACAAAAATATGAGAACTGAAAATAGGGTGAACATGTGGGAGATAATGGTAGGTGAGAGATTGCCAGAAAAATTTGAAAACTATAAGGAACTAAAACTGGTCAAGCTCTGAAATACCAGCAAACAGAAACCAAGAAGGGAGGTTGTCAGAGAAGGAGAAGGTGGGGAAGAGCCCAGAAAGCACATCATCAGATGTCCCTTCATTGTTACTGTCCTCTCTAAGCAATGCTACTCAATCAGGGCAATTTTGCTTCCCAGAGGACATTTGGCAATATCTGGAGATACTTTTGATTACCACAATTTATGCAGGGTTGAGGGGTACTGCTACTGGTATCTAGTGAGTGGAGGAAATAAGGCAAGATTTTCTTCTTGGTCACTTTGCAAAATGGGGACCTCTGGCCAGTGATGCCCCACCCGGGCCTTGCCTGATCATATTACCTCCTTCCTGCTACAGGAGACGGCTCACCCACTCAGCCCACCCAGGCTGAGTCTGGCTTATGCATTAATTCCTGAGCTCTTGTCCCATGCCCAAGAAGAATGAGGATGAACTGACAATCAAAGAGTGAGCAAGGCGGGGAGTTTATTGAGTGAGGAAATAGCTTTCAGCAGAGCAGAGACACCGAGGTGGTCCCCCTACCTGAAGGTGGGAAAGTCCCCCTAATATGACTGAGTCCAGGGCTTCTATGGGCTCAGAATGGGGGAGGGGCAGGCCATAGGTAGTGTTGGAAAAGGCAACATTTGATTGGCTACAAGGCATTATTCAGAAAGAATCAACTGGGGCTGGGCACAGTGGCTCACACCTGAAATCCCAGCACTTCGGGAGGCTGAGGTGAGCGGATCACCTGAAGTCAGGAGTTCAAGACTAGCTTGACCAACATGGTGAAACTCCATCTCTACTAAAAATACAAAATTAGCCATGCGTGGTGGTGCATGCCTATAATCCCAGCTACTCGGTAACCCGAGGCAGAAGAATAACTTGAACCTGGGAGGCAGAGGTTGTGGTGAGCCAAGATTGTGCTATGCACTCTAGCCTAGGCAACAAGAGTGAAACTTTGTCTCAAAATAAGAAAAGAATCAATCGGAAAGGGTGAGCAAACGGGAACAGAAGTTCTCACTGTGAGTTGCAGGTTTCATCTGGGACCAGCAGTCTGGTCTTTCAGCCTTCAGGCTGTTTTTGGCTTGAAGATGGGGTTTCACTGGAGGCCTGTCCCTGTGCATTTGGCTGCCTCCTGTCACTATCAGCAAGAGATGCTGCTAAACATTATACAATTCACAGGACAGACAATAAAGAATTGCCTAGCTTAAAATGTCAATAACGCCAAGATTGAGAAACCTGGCTCTCCACTGTCTGTAGTTACCAGCATCAATGCTTTATCATACTTATTGTTGTTTATCTGATTATAAAAAGTAATCAGTAACATATAAAAAGTAATATGTGTTTAATCTGGAACATTTAATCAACATATTAAATAAAATTTTATTGTTATCCCATCAATTATGTCATAGAAGGTCATAGTCTATTGTCCCCAGGGCCAAAAGTTGTGAAATCAAATGCCAAATGAACCTCAACTGCTGCCAAACACCAATGCACATTGTGCAGCCACTTTGAAGAGAATATAAAGTTCATACCTTTCCTTTCTCTAATTACTTAATCCAGGAGGAAATACTTTGGCTCTATTTTTATAGAAAAAAAATTGTAGCCAAAGTCTTTCCAGAAAAAAAGTGATTTAATAACATGTTGAAGGGAGAGGAATTTTTTTGAAATGTTGAAATAAAATGAAATTTGTTTCAAATCAAAAGCAGAGCTCTCAGAAGCCTGCACCTGGTGCCTATGCCCAGCACCTGCTGAAGAGCCATGAACGGCACCATAATCAGTGGCAACATCCGGAGAGCCATTAAGGGGAAAATTGCAGGAATTAGAAACTGCTAGGGATGAAAAGCATCCTGATTACATTACCGTGATGGAGGCTGAGAAAAGTCAGGATGGCAAAGGACCTCCCAGATGAAGCAACAATTTGGTTCAGTTTAGCGTGTTTCCAGATGTCTGTACCACAGACCAACATGTAGGCATTCTGTCTGAAAAGAGAATGTGGTGTGGCTAGGACAGCTGGCTGGTACTGCACTGAGATGAAGGGCACAAACTTGGGAGCTGGGCTGCCTAGGTTTGAATTCTTATTTCCCTTTACTAGCTATGTGACTGGAGCAATTTATTTATTTATTATTTTTAATATTTAAAACTTTTTTTTGAGATAGAGTCTCACTTGGTCGCCCAGGCTGGAGTGCAGTGGTGCTATCTCGGCTCACTGCAGCCTTCGTCTCTTGGGTTCAAGTGATCCTCCTGCCTCAGTCTCCAGAGTAGCTGGGGCTACAGATGCGCACCACCATTCCCGGCTAATTTTTTTCAGAGCAAATTACTTAAACTCCTGTGCCTCATCTGTTAAATGGATTTTTAAATTTGTTTGTTTGCTTAATAGAACTGGGGTTTCGTCATATTGCCCAGGCTGGTCTCGAACTCCTGAGCTCAAGCAATCCACCCACCTCAGCCTCCCAAGTACTGGAACTACAGGCATGAGCCACCGTGCCCAGCCTGAAATATGTGTTCACTAGAGTTTTTGTTGTTACTGTGAGGCTTTGCAGCAGACATTATTAGTATTCTGGCCCAATATCTCAGCATCCTTTTATCATTTTCTTCGCATCCCTTCTCCTGCTCCTGTATTTTTGCTTGGTGGGCCCATTATCCCATAAGGTCAGAGAGCCAGAAGTGCCTGAGAGTTTACCTTATCCTGGTTTTTAGCCAATGAATGGCAGGGACCTGCATTTGAAAGCTCAGAAACCAAGCACTGGGGCATAAGTTACACTCCAGGACTCCTCTGAGAAATTAGACTGAAGCCACCTCTCTGTGGGATATTGCCTGAAATTGCACCTATTTTGCTTTTTTTTTTTCTTTTTTATCTTTGCTTCCTGCTTCCCCCACTCTCTTACAGGTTATTCCCAGAAGCATTGTCTTAATAACACTTGTACTTGAATCTTGTCTCCAGGCACTAGATGAGTTAACACACATAGAGTGCTTAGAACAATGTCTGGCACATAATGAGAATTTAATAAACGTTAACAGCTATTCTACTTATTTTTATTAAATGCTAACTTTGTGCCAAGTACTATGTCACCTGCACTCAATTTATCATTTAATCTTATCCAGATCTATTTTCCTTTCATGAGAGAAGGAAAAGCTGGAGAAATAGGCCAAGCTTGAATTGGCAGGAGACAACCAGGGGCCCAATACCAGTGCAAGAATTAAATATCCAAAGAAGAAGCACAGGAGAACCAAATTTCAAGTAATGGTGGCATTGACAGTCTGCATTTACAAGTGGGATAGGGTGTGGATGAATCAATAGGTGGGCTGATAAATGCTGATGACAACCTGTACAGTTGAAGTTACTCTTCCCTTAGACAGATGAGAAAAGGAAGTCGCAGGATGCAAAGTTACCAGATGAGGGCCACACAGCCAGGAGGGGTTCTGATCTGAGACCACGTTCTACCCCATTCCTGCTTCCTGGCTGTGGGCTCTTGGCGTCCCCTGAGCATATTATGGATAAAGACCTGGCCGGGCAAGGTGGCTCATGCCTGTAATCCCAGCATTTTGGGAGGCTGAGGCGGGCTGATTACCTGAGGTCAGGAGTTTGAGACCAGCCTGGCTAACATGGTGAAACCCTGTCTCTACTAAAAAAATACAAAAATTAGCTGGGGGTGGTAGTGCATGCCTGTAGTCCCAGCTTCTTGGGAGGCTGAGGCAAGAGAATAGCTTGAACCCACGAGCTGGAGGTTGCAGTGAGCCGAGATCACGCTACTGCACTCCAGCCAGAGCAACAGAGCAAGACTCTGTCTCAAAAAACCCCCCAAACCAAACCAAAACAACACAACAACAACAAAAATCGGACACTGCTAATGTCCCTAAATGGAAGTGAAAGGTACTTATGAAATAAGCAAAGGGTTGGAATACATTCTCAGAAGCAAGGAACTACCCATTTCTGTCTCCCAAACCTGCAATGAGGCCACTCTCCACAATGACATTTAACAATTATTTAAAGCCTGATACTATTTTTTAGCTTTTATTGCTTGCATGTCATGTCTTCTCAATTAAATTGTGTGTTCTTCGAAGGGAGGAACTCTATTTTATGGTTTTTAGAAATTGCCCATGGTAGTTAACACTAGGCCTTCTACATAGTGAGCCCTCGACAGTATTTAACTCATTTATTTTTTCACTATAGAGGTTCATCCTACAAAACTTAACTAAAAAAACAAACAAACAAAACCAACATGAGTTGTCAGTGTTTATTTACAATGTGACAAAGCCAAAACCACATTTTACCACCCTGATCCCCATCTTTCCTTAACTACTCTTGGTTCTTCACAGTATTTAAAATGGGATGCTTCTTATTCTTTCTGTCTCCTCAGAAATGTTTTTATGTTGAACCCCAGGCATGCTTGTAATCCCAGCTACTAGGGATGCTGAAGTAGGAGGATCACTTGAGCCCAGGAATTTGAGACCAGCCTGAGCAACACAGTAAGACCTTCATCTATTAAAAAAAAAAAAATAAAGTTTCTACAGATGGTCGACCAAGACAACAAAAGTAGTTTGCATCTATCCATCTACCCACCTTCCCTCCCTACCAACCTGAGTGGATATATAGAAAGCCATTTCCACCTGGGGACAAATAAATGGAAACATAATGTGTTTGACAAAACATCTGAGTTGGCAATCAGTGTTTCCTATGCATTGCACTGGCTCTAACCAGCTGAGCGATCATGTGGAGGTCACTAGCATCTCTGGAACTCATCCACAAAATGAAAGAATTGGACTAAATCTTTTCTGTCCAATAGATAGCTCTAGCAGCATATGGTTATTTAAATTAAAATGGATTAATTTTTTTTTAAGTTTAAAATTCAGTTTTTCAGTCACATTAGCTACATTTGAAGGGTTCAATAGCCACTTATATCTAGTGGTTACAATCCTGGACAGTGAAGATATGGAATATTCCTATCACTGCAGTTAGTTCTATTAGACAGCACCAGACTAATGAACTCGCAGGCCTGTTCTAGCTCTAAGACTCAAAGACTTACACCAAGGGTAAGAAAATGGGCTCACTGTAGACTAAAAACATGAGCAAATGAGGCCAGGTAAGGTGGTTCATGCCTGTAATCCAGCACTTTGGGAGACCAAGGCAGGTGGATCACTTGAGGTCAGGAGTTCGAGACCAGCCTGGCCAACATGGCGAAACACCTTCTCTATTAAAATACAAAAATTAGCCGGACGTGGTGGTGGGTGTCTGTAATCCCAAATCCCAGCTACTCAGGAGGCTGAGGCAGGAAAATTGCTTGAACCCGGGAGGCAGAGGTTGCAGTGAGCCTAGATGGCGCCATTGCACTCCAGCCTGGGTGACAGAGTGAGACTCCGTCTCAAAAAAGAAAAAAATGAGTAAATGAATTCAACCTGAGTAATTTAACATAACTATGGAGAGAAAATGGCTATGTAACATGGCACTGTCAACATACAGACTGGGTGCTGATGAGATACAATATTTCATGTCCGCACTGGGTCACCATTGGCTGCTTGTATTATGGTACTGTGACCAGTTTATTAGGGTATTTCTCACTGGCTGTTAGTAGACACAGAACTTCTCTTTTGAGGCTGCACCCAATAATGCTGTCTAAGACCAGGCATAGCTCAGGCCAGAAAATTGACTCCAAGCCTCTGCGTTCACAGGTTGCCTTCACTATCCAAAGCATGGGTTCTTTTTCTTCCCCCTACTCATTTGTTCTTTACTTTAATTATTTAATTAATTATTTATCTTCAACTTTGTTTTAAGTTCAGGCGTATATATGCAGGATGTGCAGGTTTGTTACCTGCAAACATGGCGGTTTTCTGCACAGATAATCCTATCACCTAGGTATTAAGCCCAGCATCCATTAGGTATTCTTCCTGATGTCCTCCCTCCCCCCACCACACTCTCTGACAGGCCCCAGTGTATGTTGTTCCCCACTATGTGAACATGTGTTCTCATCATTCAGCTCCCACTTAGAAGTGAGAACGTGTGGTGTTTGGTTTCCTGTTCCTGCATTAGTTTGCTGAGGATAATGGCTTCCAACTTCATCTATGTCCCTGAAAAGAACATGATCTCATTCCTTCTTATGACTGCATAGTATTCCATGGTGTATATATATCACATTTTCTTTATCCAGTCTATCATTATTGGGCATTTAGGTTGATTCCATGACTTTACTATTGTAAATAGTGCTGCAATGAACATATGCGTGCATGCATCTTTATAACAGAATAATTTATATTCCTTTAGGTAAATACCCAGTAAAGGGATTGCTGGGTCAAACAGTATTTCTGCCTGTAGGTCTTTGAGGAATCGCCACACTGTCTTCCACAGTGGTTGAACTAAGTTGCATTCCCATCAATGGTGTAAAAACGTTCCTCTTTCTCCACAACCTCACCAGCATCTGCTGTTTTTTGACCTTTAAATAATAGTCATTCTGACTGGTGTGAGATGGTATCTCATTGTGATCTTGATTTACTTTTCTCTAATGATCAGTAACGTTGAGCTTTTTTTCATATGTTTGTTGGCTGCATGAGTCTTCTTTTGAGAAGTGTCTATTCATATATTTTGGCCACTTTTTAATGGGGTTGTTTGTTTTTTTGTTGTAAATTTGTTTAAATTCCGTGTAGACTCTGGATATCAGACCTTTGTCAGATGTATAGATTGCAATCAAAAATTTTCTCCCATTCTGGAGGTTGTCTGTGTACTCTGATGATAATTTCTTTTGCTGTTCAGGAGCTCTTTAGTTTAATTAGATCCCATTTGTCAATTTTTGCTTTTGTTGCAATTGCTTTTGGTGTTTTCATCATTAAATCTTTGGCCATGCCTATGTCCTGAATGATATTGCCTAGATTTTCTTTTAGGGTTTTTATAGTTTTGGGTTTTATGTTTAAGTCTTTAACCTATCTTCAGTTAATTTTTGTATAACGTATAAGGAAGGGGTCTAGTTTCAATTTTTTGCATATGGCAACCCAGTTATCCCAGCACCATTTATCAAATAGGGAGTCCTTTCCCTATTGCTTGTTTTTGTCAAGTTTGTTGAAGATCAGATGGTTGTAGGCATATGGTCTTATTTCTAAGTTCTCTATTCTGTTCCATTGCTCTATGTGACTGTTCTTATACCAGTACCATGCTGTTTTGGTTACTGTAGCCTTGTAGTATAGTTTGAAGCTGAGTAGCATGATGCCTGCAGTTTTGTTCTTTTTGCTTAGGATTGTCCCGGCTATTTGGGCTCTTTTTGGTTCCATGTGAACTTTAAAATCATTTTTTTTCTAATTGTATGAAGAATGTCAATGGTAGTTTAATGGGAATAGCATTGAATCTATAAGTTACTTTGGGCAGTATGGCCATTTTCATGATATTGATTCTTACTATCCATGAGCATGGAATGTTTCTTCATTTGTTTGTGTCCTTTCTGCTTCTTTGAGCAGTGGTTTGTAGTTGTCCTTGAAGAGGTCCTTTGCTTCTGTAGAGCATGGGTTCTTGAACAGAATGGTGAAATGGTCTTTGTCATAATTGTTTGTGAGGAGTGTTGGCAGTATGTTACTAATAAAGTACCAATGCTTGCATTCTGTTTATTCTTATATTATTGTTATTATTTATTAATAATACATTGCTGTTTATTGAGTATTTATGATGTTCCAGAGACTGTGGTCAATAGCATATATCTCAGAGCTCATTTGTTTCTCAAAACAACTTCGTGAGTAGATGTAGATGTACTCTGCCACTGCTCTAGCTCCAAGGAAGATATACAGGCCCATCAAAAGTTCTCCACACCTCTCTAAACCCTCCTGGTGTCTATGACCTCACCTTCTATCATAAGAGAGGGAGCTTGTGAGTCCAAGTGGAACGTGTCACATGAGCCCTGCATGTCTTGAGGCCAGACAGACATCACTTCTGCTAGATGATGATCCAAGCTGGATGCTGAGGATGGGCTGTTCCCCTCAGACACCATCAGGCAGAAGAGCTAGTCCAGCTCCTCAGCACAGACAATGCTTCTCACTAGAATGGAAACTAGCAGTTGGACAATGCTGGCTAGGCCCACACAGCTTCCTGGTGCCAACAGCAGATGATACTCATGCTGGCCAGTGGAGGCTGGTAGACTCTTGTTCTCTACATAGATCACCTAGATCTGGATCCTCCATCCTAGGACCCAGTGTCTTTGCCTCCACCCCAGAGAAGTGGTAAAACATGCCCATACAAAGTCTAATTTCATAGGAACTAATGAGATACAAGGTATATCTCTTTTAGCACAATGCCTTGCACTCAGTAAAAGCTCAATGCATAGTAACTGTTATCATTTAATCATTGTTGCTGTTACTATTTAATTATTGTTGGTGGTAGTAATAGTAGTAGTAGTAATACTACTACTATTATATTAATATTGGTACTTCTTTCTTGTTAGTAACTCATTTTTTTGCAATTCAGGGATCTATTCTAGTCTGTGTATGAGTGTTGTGAAGAAGTTGGGATAAAGATTTGCTCTGACTAATCATGACTTCTTCCGTGCCCTCACCCCACACTACCTCCAAACATATAACGTTTCAATTATATTTTACAGCTGTGGAAACTGAGGCTCAAAGAGGTTAAGAACTGTGTCCAAGTGGATTCCTCTATTAAGACTTCTCTCATTCTCTGCATTCTTACATGCTTTCTTGGATGGGAGGGAAAGGGACAAGGGGGATATCTGGGGATGCCACATAATCCAAAGACTACTCAAGGTAGGGTGTTGGGCATGTGGACTTCTTCAGTCCTGTATGTCATGCTGAAAAACACAATTTCTGGAAATAGTAATGTGTCACTATCAAGATTGGCTCACAGGCAGTGACGTGGAGTCACTACCGGCTGAGGAACAAAAAAAGTTCAACCAAATAGCCAGTCATCTAGTCAGGAAAGACAATGACATAAGCTCCGTTTGCCTCCTCTCCAGGACCCACTTGTTTGTTTTGCTCTAAATAAACACACTTCAAAAGCCCCAAACAGTTAGAATTCTCTTAATGGTGAGAGGAAGTTGGAGTTAGGATTTGTGACAATTATCTGAAAAATGCCCCCTCAGGCTGGAAGTCTGGTCTGGACTTTGGGCTTCAGTGGTACTCCAGGGACCTTGGATCAAGTTCAGAACAATTTCCTGAGTAGGCCTGGCCCCTGAGGCCTATTCCTCATTCTGTCATTTTTACCAAGCTGTTTGCATTGCTTTCCTTTTTGGATTGGCCAAGGGCTACTTTCCTTGTCACTAAGAGCAGGGTGATAAAGTTCAGCCTTCATATTTTTAAAGTGTATCTTTCTCGTAAGGGCTGAGGGAGCTGTAGGGTGTGGCTTCCTCAAGAGTTACTAGAATGTAGAACTTAATGGCTTGGACTTGTAGGTCAGAAGACCAGGGTGTAAGTCCAGTGTCCCTCTGCCTCTCAGCTATGTGACACGGGACAAGTCATGCTACTTCTTTAAGTCTCAGTTTCCCCATCTTCCAAGTTGGAATAATAAGAGTATCCATCTTGTAGAGCAGGTGGGAAGGAGGATTCAATGAGCAAAGGTACTTAAGGTGCTTGGCACAGTGCCTGGCGTGTAGTAAAACAGGGTTGACATTGGCAGGCCCCAAATATCCAAATAGTCTGTTGTCAAAATATTTAAGAACTGACATGGTGAGGGCATGGACTAATCAGAGTGGATGCCGTTATGGCCAGTATTCATTCTGATTGGTTGATACCTGTGCTGTTTCAGCTGTTAAATATTTTGAATATCACTCCTGGTATAATTATTCAATAAATGTTAGCTGATAATTATTATGATTATTTTATACAAAATGTGTTTATTGAGATGGTTTCCCATTCATCTTGATTCAGAGTTCTTTTAGTGCTGTTTCCTTCTGAAGGAACATCCTTCTGTAAGCCTTGCTTTTACTCCGTAGGCTGGCAGAGGACAATGGAGCAGCCAACACACAAAGCTACAATTTGTGCATCGCTAAAGACCTGTAGTGATTTTATAGCATCCTGGGCATTTCACATCCATGAAGTAGGAATTGAGGCTCTGCACCACGCATTTCTTCTTGTGTTTCCTCTTCTCCTTTTCTGGAGAGGGATGAAGAAGATCCTTTGCAAGGGGTAGGTTCTTGTGGGTAGGTTGTCACCACTGGAAAGGCAACTCTGATTATTATTATTGCTGTTCTCACAAGGAAGGGAATCAGGAATTCAGGAGAGAGGGCATCCTGCACAATCTGTACCCATATATTGTATACTATATTCCTGAGTTCCCTATCCTCACTCTCTCCCTGCTGCTGGGAAGAAACAGCTTCACCATAGCACACAGCATCCATGGTCATCCACCAAATGAAGGTTATTCAGTGTTTCTCCTACAGTGAAGCAGGGGAGGAGAATCCCTCACTCCAACAGCTGAATGCTTCTAAGCATACAGAATATCATTCCCAAAAAATGATTATCTATCTTCACCAGAGGTACACTTTTTCCTACCCCTTTTTTGCTTACCAGAAAAATAATGAGATGAAGAAAACAGAAGACAGAATGAGCAAGTGGAGAAGCAAAGGTGAATCTGATGGATACTCTCAGTTGTTAGAACAGAAGCAAAAGTAATGAAACTGTGTGTTTGTTCATTAAACCCTTAGCTGGTCTGGCATAGGAAATAAGATCATTTCCTTTATCATTAGCACCAAAAAATGTGGTTTCCAAAATACAAGTCTTTTGATTCTTCCCCAAATGGTTACCCGGGTGGTCTGATTTATTGGAGTATTGAAACCATTGCTTTTGGTACTATTTCATCCTTGGACATGTGTTCTCTGAAGTACTCCAAAAGTATACACAAGCACAGGTGACACAAAATAGGTTAAAAATGCCTAAGATGCATATGAAATCTTATTTTTCCTCTGGATACTAAAAAGCATCATTTAATTTTTTCTCTGTGAGGTTGGGAGCGATAGAGACACCCATGTCCATTTCATAGAGAAGGGCAAGGAATCAAAGTAACTTTTCTATAATAGGATTTTCAAGTTATTGATGTTAAAGTTTCTATTTGAATTGTATATTTCACTATTACAGTTGAATTTATTATCCTTTGCCACGAAATTAAGCTAAAAGTCACCACTGGCAGTCTATCAGCAGAAACCTTTTTGTCTTAACAAATAAAGAGGGTAGGCCAGGTGCGGTGGCTCACGCCTGTAATACCAGCACTTTGGGAGGCTGAAGCGGGTGGATCACAAGGTCAGGAGTTCAAGACCAGCCTGACCAAAATGGTGAAACCCTGTCTCTACTAAAAAAAAAAAAAAACTACAAAAATTAATCAGGCATGGTGGCAGGTGCCTATAATCACAGCTACTCAGCAGGCTGAGGCAGGAGAATCACTTGAACCCAGGTGGCAGAGGTTGCAGTGAGCCAAGATGGTGCCACTGCACTCCAGTCTGGGTGACAGAGTGAGACTCTGTCTCGAACAAACAAAAAAACAAATATAGAGGGTAAACCAGGTCTCAAGGCAGATGTGAACCGTGGTGGACAGACTCTAGAGTGGCCCCATGTTCTTTCCCTGAACAATCCTCTCTCCTTCCGTGTAGGAGAAACCTACTACTTGCTTCTAATCAATAGGCTGTGACAAGGCTAATGGCATGTCTCTCCTGTGATTATGTTATGACATATATATGGCTCATCTTGCTAGCATACATCAGAGACAGGCTCTCTATTGCTGGCTTTAGTAGCTGTCACGATGTGAGAGGGCCTATGGAGAGGGCTGTGAGGCAAGGAACCATGGGGGCCTTCAGGAGCTGACTGCAGCCCCTGGCTGACAGCCAGCAAGGAAATGGGATCTCAGTCCTACAAATGAATTCTGCTAACAACCCGAGGGAGCTTGGAAGTGGATCTTCTCCCATTTGAGCCTCTATTGAGGCTGCAACCCTGGCTGACACCTGGATTACAGTGTGGTGAAGACCCCGAAAAAGAGAACCCTGCTAAGCTGTGGCTCTGACTTACAGGAACTGTGGGATTATAAATATGTGTTGTTTTAAAGCACTAAATTTATGGTAATTTGTTACACAACAACAGAACATTTTCTATAAACTTTCATCAGTCAGCAAACATCAGATTATCTGCTCTGTGCCTAGCACTGTGACAAAATGTTTATGGTGGTTTTGAATTTCTCTGAATTTCTCAAATGAACAGACAGAGCAGTTAGGCTATCTAAATCAATCACCTGTAGCAACATTTACAATAAAACTGCATAGCAAGGTATTCTCACAACTCCTAGACACTGTGGGCAAGGACAAACTATCCAAAGCTGCAAGACCCATGTGGGATAAGAAACTGGGATGAAACAGAGGGAAGGTGACTGGGTTTCTGACAGTCATGAGAAAAGGAAAGCACTAAGTCACCAGTGGACACTCACCAGAAAGCAAGGCAGGTCAATCTGAAAATAGCCACTACACTGGAATGGCGTTCTACAAGATCCAATTTGAGTGTGCATGCAAGGAGATGGCAAAGCAGTCGGATCTGACAGTGCTGGAGTCACTGGGGCCCCGAATGCTCTTGAAACACAAACAGGAGCTCCCTTCCAAGACAAAGTTCGGCAGTGAGGAGAAAATGCTGGACGTAATCCAAACTGAGCAGGGCCAGGACAGTAGGGCATGGGACAAAAAGGTTCGGATACAAGTAGGGAAGAAAGCAATCCAGACATGATCAGGTCTAGAAAATTTAAAGTTTCACATACACACACAGAGTTGTTTTCGTTCGTTTGTTTGTTTTGGGGGTGGGGGACAGAATCTTGCAGTTGCTCAGGCTGGAGTGCAGTAGCATGATCTTGGCTCACTGCAACCCTCGCCTCCCTGGTTCAAGTGATTCTCCTGCCTCAGCCTCCCGAGTACCTGGGACTACAGGCTCATGCCACCACCTCTGGCTAATTTTTGTAATTTTAGTAGAGACGAGACTTCACCATGTTGGCCAGGCTGGTCTCAAACTCCTGGACTCAAGCCATCTTCCCACCTCGGCCTCCCAAAGTGCTGGGATTACAGGTGTGAGCCACTGTGCTAGGACTATTTGTTTTTTTAAACACTTTGTAAAAACAGTAGAAGAGCTCTAGAGCTCTGAAGCTAGAAAAGCTATACTGTCACTCCTCCATCCTAACACAGAGGAAAATTTATTTCACTTAAAAAGTTATAAACAGAAACAAACCATGGTGGAATCTTATACAAAATTATTAAAAGAAAAAGGAGGCCGGGTGCGGTGGCTCATGCCTGTAATCCCAGCACTTTGGGAGGCTAAGGCGGGTGGATCACCTGAGGAAGAGGAGTTCAAGACCAGCCTGACCAACATGGTGAAACCCCATCTCTACTGAAAATACAATATTAGCCAGGCATGGTGGTGCGTGCCTGTAATCCCAGCTACTTGGAAGGCTGAGGCAGGAGAACTGCTTGAACTCAGTGGCTCCCACCTGTAATCCCAGCTACTCAGGAGGATTGCTTGAGCTCAGGAGGTCAAGTTTGAAGTGAGCTAAGATTATGCCACTGCACTCCAACCTGGGTGACAGAGCAGGACCTCATCACCCAACACCAAAAAAGAGAGAGATACACATAGAGAGAGACACACATAGAGACAAAACCCCATTAAAAAGTAGGGTTAGGTCAAATAAAAATGATACAATCTGATTATTACAAATTAACTTTTTTCTATCCCCTGTAACTCCCAGCAAAATGCTGGCACATTAAACAAATAAACAAATAAGTTCAATTTGTTAAAAAAAAAATGGGCAAAAGCCTTAAACAGACATTTCACACACACACACACAAACATATATATAGCCAAATAGCATATGACAAATTGTTTATAAGGGAAATATAAGTTAAAACCACAATGAGATTTCACTTCCTGCCGGCTACAAAGGCTAAAATAAAAAGTTCTTGTAATACCAAATTTTGGCAGGGATGTGGTGTAACTGGAGCACCCATACATTTTTATTAGAAGTGTTAAATAGCATAACTACTTTGGAAAACAATGTGACCGTTTCTTATAAAGTTAAGCATATACTACCCTTACCATATGATCTAGCTGTTCTATTTCTAGCTATTTATTCAAGAGAAACAAAAAGTTATGCTCAATAATAGACCTGTATGCACATAGTTACGGCTTTATTCATAATGGTCCCAAATTGGAAACAAATCAAATATATCCATTAACAGATAAACAGATAAGCAAATTACAGTATATTTACACAATGGAGCATTACTCATCCACAAAAATGAATGTATTATTGATACAGGCAACATCGTGGACACATCTTTAAAACATGCTAAACAAAAGAAGTCAGACACCAAACAGTACATACTGCATGGTTGCATTTATATAAATTTCTGTAGCTAAAACCAACATATAGTGACCAGTAACTGCCTGATAGAAGGGATTTACAAACGGGCATAAAGATATTTTCTGAAGTGATGGAAATTTTCTATATGTTTATTGGGGTGCTGCTTGGATGGGTTTCTACTTTGTCAAGTCTTTACCTGTATACTTAAAATGTGTGAATTTTATTGTATATGAATTATACCTCAAGAAAGTTTACATAAAATAAATTTATATTTTTTGTTCTGTCCACTGAAAAGGACTAGCAACAGTAACCAATTATTGCCGAAGGGTAGGCCTAGCACCCAGATTGTGACTCCCTGAAGAAATGGCTAATTCCAACCGGAATCATTGTACATTTCCATATAAAAATAAGCCTACCACACTTTGTCATGCCATAAAGCAAGGCAGCTCTTAAAGACTACGAGGGTCATGTTAAAAAGACTTAGATGCCGTACTTAGTAGGCTCCCACTGGTCAAAGACGAAACAAATTGAACATCAATAATGACTTAAAATTCTCAGATATGTTTAAATCTGTAAGTTCACTAAAAAACCCCATCGCATTAACATTGAATATCTTTGAAGAATGCTAGGAAACAACTTCATTAATTTTTAAACAGACAAATGAATAAAATGTTTATCTTGCCTTCACTATGCAAAAAATAACCAAATAGTTGATATGGGAAATTTTTCTTTACAGAGAAATTCCAGCTAATAAATAAAGAATGAGTGATAGAGTTAGAATATCACCATTTGAATTACTGGATCTAGGCAATGATCACTAGGGGTTGATAACATCACCAAAAAGGAGACAATCAGACATTACGCACTTTCCAGGAAAAAGACACAGCACCACCTATGGTGTTGTCTTGCCAAAAAAAATAATAATTGAGGCTAAATCTGATCAAGCCTCCTGATCTGACTGCACATTTACAGGAAATATGAGACACAGAGAAACGTGTTAAATGGTACCACAGGGATGCAGCAAGCAAGATACAGACTGTAGGAAATGTTTCCTATCAAATGATTCAAGTGACTTCAACAAAAAAAACTGCAAAGAGAGAAGAAAAAAAGAGATGGAAGAAGGATAGATAGTTTAAAAGAAATGAGACCAAACAATCATGATGCATAGACATTATCCTGATGTGGAATGAAATAAAGAAAATATAAAAGCAATATGTAAAAATTCAAACACTGGTTATTTGATTATAGTAAAGAATTATCATTAATTTTTTAGGTTTGGAAGTGGCGGGATTTTTTTAAGATATTAGTAGAGTCTGGAATTTGCACCAAAATAATAAAAGTGTGGGGACTGAGTGGGGATATACGTGAAATAAGACTGGCCATCTACTGATTATTGTTGAAGCTGGGTTATGGGTATATTTGGCTCATTAAGCTAGGGTCTGTGTTTTTGTGTACGTTTTAAAATTTTATCATAAAAAGTGGAAAATAAAAGCAATCCGTTTGAGAAAAGACCGATACATCTGAAATAATTACCAAATTGTGACAAATAGTTAAATGGTAGGACACACAGATAGGTTTAAATACAAAGCAAAATCTTTTTTTTTTTTTTTTTTTTTTTTTTGAGACGGAATCTCGCTCTGTCGCCCAGGCTGGAGTGCAGTGGCGCGATCTCGGCTCACTGCGAGCTCCGCCTCCTGGGTTCACGCCATTCTCCTGCCTCAGCCTCTCCAAGTAGCTGGGACTACAGGCACCCTCCCCCAAGCCCGGCTAATTTTTTTTTTTTTTTTTTGTATTTTTAGTAGAGACGGGGTTTCACCGTGGTCTTGATCTCCTGACCTCGTGATCCGCCCGCCTCGGCCTCCCAAAGTGCTGGGATTAGAAGCGTGAGCCACCGCGCCCGGCCAGCAAAATCTTATCCCCAAAATTATCTTTCAGAAAAGGAGTAACTGGACTTAAATTCTAGTCCTTATAAGTCTTTCACATTATGGGCTCTGTCTCAATGACTTCATTTTGAACAACAAATTATTGATGGAGAATAACATATTAACCTGAAACCACTTCAGTCAATACTAGCTTGACATGTTTATAGATATCAAGTGATAAAGTTGTTTCAAAAAGGAATGCAGAGGTTTAACAAAGATATGGTAATTATTCCAAAGGTTATAGCCTCTCAGTTAAAGATGTTGGCTGTATTATAAAGAAGATAGTTTAAACCAAGATTTTTTAAAAAGGCAATTCAGTAATTATATTGAGGAAATCATAAATATAAGCAAATAGTCCTAATATGTGAATAGCTACTTATAGTTTGGGATAAATTTTCTAGCAATAGCTCAATACAGGATTTCGAAAAGGAAATCTTACTTATCTGGAAGTAAAGAACTTAGCTGGAAGTGAAGATGATACCATCTGAACACTGCATTTGATGACTCAAAATGTGGCCTTAGTGATGACTAAGAAATTAAGTTGCACCTAGGAGTTTTGTTTAAACTGTCTCACGGAATGTGATATAAGAATAAAAAGCAGTATTTCTAAATCAAGACATGATTTTTTATCAATTGCTATTTTAAAAACCTTTGTGCATTTAAATTAATACATTCGAGTTAATTTAAATTGAAATAGACATTTGCCTATTTCGTCAACATGACTAAAAGTTTATAATGTTAAATTGGCCAAATCTCTTTTTCTTTTGGTGGAGGTGATTTCTCATAGAGAAATGGGCGATTGCTTCTCACCTGTGTTTGCCTGTATTCTGGCAGGTACAATAAATTAAAAGCACTGTAATGTTAGAAAATAGAGGGATCCATGTAGGCGGCTGTAGTTAGGGAAGGCCTTATGAAAGAAGATGGGATTAAAATGGGTAGAGTTTGTGTTAGTAAGGTAGAAAGCTTTCCAAATGTGAAAAAGAAATGAATAAAGACACATTAACAAAAGAAAGCTTGACTTGGGTCTCTCCCCCAAATAATAGTTGGAGAAGAACCAGCTAGATTAGCAAGAAGGCCCAACCAGAGGAAAATTAGACATAGGCTATACATGTGGGGTGAGGCCAGGTTGTGGAAGACTTTGAGAGAATGACCCTCTCTGATTATAGCCAGGGTTGTATTATGACTTTCACATGCCCTAGGCATTTTTACCTTCATGGTCCACTTTCTTCCTTCCAAAAAAATTTAAAATTATATTTTATGACTATACCAGTATAAAATGAATATAATCCAGCCGGGCGCAGTGGCTCAGGCATGCAATCCCAGCACTTTGGGAGGCCGAGGCAGGCCGATCACAAGGTCAGGAGATGGAGACCATCCTGGCTAACACGGTGAAACCCTGTCTCTACTAAAAATACAAAAAATTAGCTGGGCGTGGTGGTGGGCGCCTGTAGTCCCAGCTACTTGGGAGGCTGAGGCAGGAGAATGGCATGAACCCAGGAGGCGGAGCTTGCAGTGAGCTGAGATCGCGCCACTGCACTCCAGCCTGTTGGAAAGAGCAAGACTCCACCTCAAAAAAAAAAAAAAAAAATATATATATATGTATATATATAAAATCCAGGTGGCTTTTATTATCATATTCATATTATTATATTTATTTTTTCTTCCAATTTTAAAAGAAATTAAAATTAAAATGTTTTTATTGATTTCTAAAGCTATCATGAGTTTTAGGCGCTGCGCCTGATGCGCCTAGTGATAACTCAGCTGTAATCAGGGTTTGATAATTTGTGTCTTATATATGTTACTTTATGGTTAAGGAGTCACTATGACCATTTTATATATGTGGACAAAACCTTTTTTTTTTTTTGTATATGGAGAGATAGATCTCATCTGGATCACAAAATGCTTTTCTGTGGGCAAAGGTGGTCCAGGAAGAATGAGATCATTTGCTGGTCTGCCATTTGGCCTTGACCATAAATACCCTCCAACTGCAAAGCAGAACTTACTGGGAGAACGTGGGGTGTCTAGAGGACTTATATCTAGGTCTCATTGTTGTGGATACAGCTTCCAGGGTGCTAGAAATAAAATGATGCCAATCGTAATGGAAGCTGGAGTTAAAAAGGAAAGTCAGACCACGTCCTAAGAAAATGATAGCCGCCAGCGGTGCTGACGTCGGCGGTCCGGCCGGGCGACCTCATCGCCCCGACGGCAGCCGGCCCGGGGGGCGGGGAGAGGCGGGGGCGGCCCCCGCGCAGGCAAAGGCTTGGGGGGCCAGGGCGCGGCAGTGCAGCTCTCGCCGGAGCCCAGCCGAGCCCAGCCGAGCGTCCGCCGCTGCCTCCGCGCCGCCGCTGCCTCCGCGCCGCCGCTGCCTCCGCGCCGCCGCTGCCTCCGCGCCGCCGCTGCCTCCGCGCCATGGCCGGCCTCAGCTACCTGGAGGCAGTGAAACGCCAGATCTAGGCCCTGCAGCAGCAGGCGGACGAGGCGTAAGACCGCGCAGGGCCTGCAGCGGGAGCTGGGCGGTGAGTGTGAGCGGCGCGAGAAAGCTAAAGGTGATGTGGCCGCCCTCAACCGACGCATCCAGCTCGTTGAGGAGAAGTTGGACAGGGCTCAGGAAAGACTGGCCACGGCCCCGCAGAAGCTGGAGGAGGCAGAAAAAGCTGCAGATGAGAGTGAGAGAGGAATGAAGGTGATAGAAAACCGGGCCATGAAGGATGAGGAGAAGATGGAAATTCAGGAGCTGCAGCTCAAAGAGGCCAAGCACATTGCGGAAGAGGCTGACCGCAAATACTGGGAGGTAGCTCGTAAGCTGGTCTTCCTGGAGGGTGAGCTGGAGAGGGCAGAGGAGCGTGTGGAGGTGTCTGAACTAAAATGTGGTGACCTTGAAGAAGAACTCAAGAATGTTACTAACAATCTGAAATCTCTGGAGGCTGCGTCTGAAAAGTATTCTGAAAAGGAGGACAAATGTGAAGAAGAAATTAAACTTCTGTGTGACAAACTGAAAGAGGCTGAGACCCGTGCTGAATTTGCAGAGAGAACGGTTGCAAAACTGGAAAAGACAATTGATGACCTGGAAGAGAAACTTGCCCAGGCCAAAGAAGAGAACGTGGGCTTACATCAGACACTGGATCAGACACTAAACGAGCTTAACTGTATATAAGCAAAACAGAAGAGTCTTGTTCCAACAGAAACTCCGGAGCTCCGTGGGTCTTTCTCTTCTCTTGTAAGAAGTTCCTTTTGTTATTGCCATCTTCGCTTTGCTGGAAATGTCAAGCAAATTATGAATACATGACCAAATATTTTGTATTGGAGAAGCTTTGAGCACGAGTTAAATCTCATGCCTTCCCTTTTTTTGTCAAATGGCACCAACTTTTTCAGCTCTCTTATTTTTTCCTTAAGTTGCATTTATTCCTAAGGTAGGCAGGGTATTTCCTAGTAAGCATAGTTTCTTAAGACAGAGGCCATTTGGTTCCTGGGAGAATAGGCAGCCCCACACTTTGAAGAACACAGACCCCAGTATCTAGTCGTGGATATGATTAAAACGCTGAAGACCACAACCTTTTGGGTCAACTGTTGGTCAAACTATAGGAGAGACCAGGGACCATCACATGGGTAGGGATTTTCCATCCAGAGCCAATAAAAGGGCTGGTGGGGGCCGGGGGTGGCTATTGTGGGAAGTCATAACCCACAGATAGATTAACCTAAGAATCCTGGTCCTTCTCCACTCTCCACCATGCAGGACAAACATCCTCTCAAGCAGTCAACGTAGAATGCTTGGGAAATAGTCATAATTACCCACATATAGTAATTAATAGATGGTAATTAATAGATCCTTGATGTGATGTCCTTTTGCATATTTCCTTCATTCTAAAGTTGTTCTCTGGCCGGGCACAGTGGCTTTTGCCTGTAATCCCAACACTTTGGGAGGACAGGACAGATCACTTGAGGTCAGGAGTTCCAGACCAGCCCAGCCAACAGGACAGATCACTTGAGGTCAGGAGTTCGAGACCAGCCCAGCCAACATGGCGAAACCATGCCTCTACTAAAAATACAAAAATTATGGTGACGCCTGCCTGTAGTCCCAGCTACTCGGGAGGCTGAGGCAGGAGGATCGCTTGAACCCAGGAAGTGGAGATTGCAGTGAGCGGAGATCGCACCACTGCACTCCAGCCTGGTCGACAGAGTGAGACTCAATCTCAAGGAAAATTAAAATAAAGTTGTTCTCTGAAGAGCAAATGTCTCATTCCAGTAATGACCCACTCACCAGGAATATGGTGGAGTTCAGTCCAATTCAGATCAGCCATATCCAAAAGACTACAAGTCATTACTAAGTTGAGCAAAAGAGTTTTTATCTATTAGCAGAAAGGGCCTCTCTGGCAGCAGAGATTAAAAATTGGCCCGACTTCATTTCCATACTTCAGGGAATAGCAAATTGAAGATTTACTTATCTAGGACTTGAATTCCTTCTTTGGGACCAAGTTAATAAAAGACCAAGAAACTCCTGATTAAACTGGGTAATGAAGGATTCTGTAGACAGGGCTGCACGTATCGGCTTTGTTTGACTTCTCTTTTCTCAGTTAACATCTCAGAGCTGGAACATTCCACATTCCCCAGCAGCGTGTGGGGGCCGACTAAAGTTTGCAATTCCGACTAAAAATCACCCTGCTTCTGGCTTATCTGAATCCCTTACCCACCCCACCTCACCACCCCACTCCTATTTATTCAGCACCACACTACCCAGGAAATACACTAGCAAATTGTGCAATGGAATAAAATCCACACTTTACTTTAGATTCTTGCAACTGTATCATATGTAATAGTATCACTTTTTCTACATTTTGGTCAAATAAATTTTTACATAAACTACAAAAAAAAAAAAAGAAAATGATACTAGGCTTTGGGGTTGGAGTGTATTGCCTTCAGATCAGATACTTGGCTCTGATTCCCATAATGTCTTTAAGAATTTCTATCACTACTCTCTCTTTTTCCCCTCCTTTCTGTGCTAAGTATAACCAAGAAAAGGGGCTTTTGACCATTTCCAGATGAGGGTTTTAAAGTGGCAGCAGAGAGAGAATCCCTTGGGACTGGTATCATATTGGCAGCACAGATCATGACTAAAAAAAGACTGCACAGAGAATGGGGAATTTGGGAGAAGGTTTGCCAGGTTTGCTTTTTTGGTAGACCTTTTCCAGCAGAGTCAACTAGTCAATGCTTCCCTACTAAACCCTTGGAGTGCCTTGAGCCTGTGTGCCTCTAAGTGGACATGGATCCATTCTAAAACAATCAGAAGAGTACTTAGAAAACATTTATCTTGTGGCCAGGCATGGTGGCTCACACCTGTGATCCCAGCACTTTGGGAGGCCAAAGCGGGTGGATCACAAGGTCAGGAGATCGAGACCATCCTGGCCAACATGGTGAAACCCTGTCTCTACTAAAATACAAAAAATTACTAAAAATACAAAAATTAACTAAAAATTATTAAAAATACAAAAATACTAAAAATACAAAAATTAACTAAAAATTATTAAAAATACAAAAATACTAAAAATACAAAAGTTAACTAAAAATTATTAAAAATACAAAAATACTAAAAATACAAAAGTTAACTAAAAATTATTAAAAATACAAAAATACTAAAAATACAAAAGTTAACTAAAAATTATTAAAAATACAAAAATACTAAAAGTACAAAAATTAACTAAAAATTATTAAAAATACAAAAATACTAAAAGTACAAAAATTAACTAAAAATTATTAAAAATACAAAAATACTAAAAGTACAAAAATTAACTAAAAATTATTAAAAATACAAAAATACTAAAAATACAAAGATTAACTGGGTGGCGCACACCTGTAGTCCCATCTACTTGGGGGGCCGAGGAAGGAGAATCGCTTGAACCCAGGAGGCGGAGGTTGCGGTGAGCCGAGATCGCAGCACTGCACTCCAGCCTAGTGACAGAGACCTCGTCTCAAAAACAAAAAAAAAAAAAAAGAAGAAAGAAAACATTTATCTTGTAACCAGTGGGATACAAGAAGGGCTGGAACTCACCTGAAGGGCCAGAAGGGAGGTTAGAATTGAGAGCAGGGTGGGGAGGAGATTGTTCTTGAAAAACTAGGCTGGGGCCTTGCTACTCAAACTGTCGTCCCTGGACCAACAGGATTGGCACCAGAATATATATTTTAGCAAAATCCCCAGGAGATTTGTCAATATAATTAAAATATGAGAAGCACTGGGCTAGGGTGTTAGCTGAGAGGCTGAGGAGGGAAGAGTAGATTGGCAAGGAAGATCAAGGTAACAATTAGCAGGGCTTGGTATTCTGACATTTTTGGAGATGGAGATGACACAAAGATGAGTCCAAGAATACAAATTTGGGAGACTTAAAGAATACAAGTAACGTCCAATACTCATTTATCTACAGATAATTGATAGACTAATTAAAAATCATGCCTATTCATTAAGGCCTAGATCCATGGTCAAATGACATGTTTAGTTTTGTTTGCTAAGTTTGCTGTACCCATTAGCATTATATTTATGCATTTAAAAACAACAAAATTGTTTTTTTCTGCCTGAGAAGTTAAACGCAGGCTGTACTTATATTCATTTCTCTCTTCATTATTTAATCAATGTTTCCTTTCTATGCATTTGTTTTGTGACCTTGAACATTACTAATTATTATTATTTTTGAGATAGAGTCTTGTTGCTGAGGCTGGAGTGCAGTGGCTTGCTGCAACCTCCGCCTCCCCGGTTCAAGTGATTTTCCTGCCCCAGCCCCCCGAGTGGCTGGAATTACAGGGGTGTGCCACAATGCCCAGAAAATTTTTGTATTTTTAGTAGAGGCGGGGTTTCACCATTTTGGCCAGGCTGGTCTTGAACTCCTGACATCAAGTGATCTGCCCGCCTTGGCCTCCCAAAATGCTGGGATTACAGGCATGAGCCACTGCATCCGGCCAAACATTGCTAATGATTAGTGCCATAGCACACAAGGTGCCAGCTTTCTCAGTGTTGTGTAACCTATTCAGTTAAAATTAGACAGCGTGAGGGTTACACATGGGCTCTAAGTTTTTTACGTAATTCAGGGAACTAGTGAAAATGGTCTGGCACCTTGAGGTTATAAAAGGGATAGAACAACCTCCATGGGTGTCCTATTTATCATGCAGGAGTACTAACTCAAGTGATGCTGTGTTCTTTTGTCAATTGAAAGAATTAAGAAAGAAGAAGAAAGGCATTCCATCTATAAGTGGAAACGCTACTCTCACGGCATTCATGTACCAGCTATTGTCTAAGGTCTGACAGTTTCAGTGACTTATCCAGATGTTTTGTCTACATGATACCAGCCTCAGAGATATTTGCCAACATTAGTATAATTGAATACCTCATTCGGTTTTGCATCTTCTCATTTTCTTTCACCATGTTGACACCGTACTACTTCTTGTCCTCTCTCTCCCAGCTACAGGGGGATAAAGCACCAATGAACACACAATCCAGCCTCTTAACCTCTCTCCAGCACCTAGCTACTTCAAGTTAGAACTTCAAATTTGAACCAAGGAAAACAATGTTCTGTGAATCTTTTTCTCCCTGGAAAAATAGGAGAGAATGAAGTTCTTTTCTGTCTATAGTTCGCGACAGCTAGGGGATGATGAAAGTTGCATGCATTGTTTTTCATAATGTGTGATTTATTCCTTAAGAAAAAGTCACTCAGATGATTCTTGGTGCTCAAGATGTTGAAATGTTCTGACTCTTCTCTAATACAACAATAGTAAAGTGAATTCAACAGCCTACTGCTCACTTTAAAACACCGGGGTACCTCTGTGCTTCCCAGATATTATCGTTTCCCATGGCAGGTTCTAAACTGGTAGTCTGAAGCCTAGCTCTGGTCTGCAGACATGTTTTATTTGGACTCCACAGTATTTTTACAAACTTTGAGCCAAAATGTAAAAATAGGGAGATTTCACACCAAAAAAATCAGAGTCACTTCACTTTAATGAGAATATGTGACAAGACTAGACTCTCGTGTGGCATGGATCCTTCTTCGTATGACAGTGAGCAGCTGGAACTGGCTAGTGACTACCCTAAGATGCCACAGTTTCCACCGTTCCCTACCATTGACCTGACTTTGGGGCTGAGTTTTCATTTACTGATCTTGGGGCCAGTTTTCATTTACTGATCTTTGTACTTGCTATGTTATTTATCTCAAAGTAAAGAAATATTTATCTGGGCCCATGTCTTTATCACGGGAAAGATATCAGGCCAGGCACGATGACTCATGCCTGTAATCCCAGCGTGGAGACCCAGGCAGGCAGATCACTTGAGGTCAGGAGTTCGAGACCAGCCTAGGCAACATGGCGAACCCCTGTCTCTATTAAAAATATAAAAATTAGCCAGGAGTGGTGGTGCATGCTTGCAATCTCAGCTATTTGGGAGGCTGAGGCAGGGAAATCACTTGAACTCGGGAGGCGGAGGTTGCAGTGAGCCGCAATCGTGCCACTGCACTCCAGCCTGAGCAACAGAGTGAGACTTTGTCTCAAAAAAAAAAAAAAAAAAAAAAAACAAGCAAAAAGAGTAAGACAGCAAAAGATAAACTGAAAATTATATTTCAAGTAAAACAGGAGTGCACAAATTTCTTCACGGACTTGAGGAATATTCCTGCACGTTCAACATGTAAACTTTATATGTTTGTCAAAAGATTGTATGTGTTGAAAGAGAACCCAAGAACCTGGTTACTGCCTAGACCCTGAAGTCAATTGAGTAAGTGACCCTTCTTCACTTCCCAGAATTGGAACGGAGTGCCTAAATTGTGAAATAGAATGAAGATAAGTTTGCAAAACCATATGACATAGTGCATGAGATATCTGAACAGAAATGCACCTGGAACTGGAGAACCCAGAGTTGCTGTTTAGTGGGTTCATAGAGGAAGTGCCCTACAGTCTTCCTGTCTCTGCCTTTCTGAGTGAGAACCTGCTCTAGCACAGACCTCAACCAGGAAATAAACTCATATCATAGGCAGCAGCATAAAACATCTCTCTAATTCTCCCGCAGACCCATAATACAGTATCCTGAGAGAGGGTGCTCACTTCTACCTAGCTTAGAGAGCAGAGCCACAGCATTTTGCAAACAGACAGAAGACAAATCTACTTGGAATGATGAGTACAACAGCAGCCCACATCTGTACAGCACATCTGCAGGTTTTCACCTGTAAAGGAAACAAGAGACAAAGATCATGAAATTTGGGCTAGGCGCAGTGGCTCACACCTGATATCCTAGCACTTTGGGAGGCCAAGTGGGTAGATCGCTTAAGGCCAAAGTTTCGAGACCAGCCTGGGCAACATAGGTAGAGCCTGTCTCCACAAATAATAAAAAAATTTAGCCAAGTTTGGTGGTGCATGCCTGTGGTCCCAGCTACTCCAGAGGCTGAGGCAGGAGGATCGCTTGAGCCCGGGGGTTCAAGGCTGCAGTAAGCCATGATTGTACCCATTGCACTCAGCCATGATTGTACCCACTGCACTCCAGCCTGGACCACAAAGTGAGACCCCGTCTCAAAAAATAAAATAAAATAAAAATAAAATCAGACCTTTAAGTAAGTGCATAAGTAGACCTGAAAGTTGGGACATCACAGAGTAGGCAGACAGAGGACAATTAGTAGAAACTTGAAGAAGAAATATTTAGATTATGGCAGAACAGAGATGACTCTTTTGGCTAAGAACCTTTGTCTGTTCTCCAACCCTCAACAATAGTTCTTTAGCAGAAGGAATCAGAAATTGCTATAGATTGTTTATGATAGAGTGCCTGGTAAGCAGAGACTACAGTCTTCTTTCCCCTTGTTTTGGGAGGTGGAAAGGAAGGCAGAGGAAACGGCCAACATTCTTTATGTTCAGAGAAGAGTCTCTCTTCAGGTCTTCTTAGGGTCAAAAGGAGAGAGTTGTTCATTTCTCTGGCTCCTCACCGCTTACAGAGCTGTCCTCTGAGGGAAGGGTAGGGTGAAGGAGCCTTCCTGGAAGAGAAGGACTAAAAATCCTCAGCTTCTACTTTTTTTTTTTTTTTTTTTTGAGCCTGAGTATCTCTGTGTCACCCAGCCTGGAGTGCAGTGGCATGATCGTGGTTCACTGCAGCCTTGAAATCCTGGGCTCAAGCAATCTTACTGCCTCAGCTTCCCTTGTGAGGGAGTGCAAGTAGATGGGATTAAGTGTGCAAGTAGCTGGGACTACAGGCACATACCACCACACGTGATTAATTTTTTTTTTTTTTTTTAAGATGAAGTCTCACTCTGTCACCAAGCTGGGAGTACAGTGGTGTGATCTCGGCTCACTGCAGCCTCTGCCTCCCAGGTTTATGCAATTCTCCTGCCTCAGCCTCCTGAGTAGTTGGGATTACAGGTGTGCACTGACACGCCCAACAAATTTTTGTATTTTTAGTAGAGATGGGGTTTCACCATGTTGCCCAGGCTGGTCTTGAACTCCTGACCTCATGACTAATTTTTAAATTTTTTGCAGAGATGGCAGTCTTACTATGTTGCTCAGGCTGGTCTCCAACTGCTGGGCTCAAGCAATCCTCCTGCCTCGGCCTCCCAAAGCACTGGGCTTATAGGCATGAGCCACTGCATCTGGACCCCAGCTCTTACTCTTTTGAGGTTCAGCACTTGGAGAATCACTCTTAGATTGAGGTAGGACCACTAATAGCTATTATCAGGAAAGAATATCAAAGAGGAACTCACCATGAGGGAAAGGTAGGTCAAGGCTGGTAACCCAAGTTCAATGCAGAGAGGTGGAAGAGGGTGTGGGGGAGGGTTGGTATTGGTACAACATACAGCTGAGGACAAATACTGTTTGGTAGTGCTATACCTTGGTGACTATATGAAGCACATGAAGGTTAATGAAAATAATTATAACCTTGGATCAATCCCAAGTTGGGGTGCTATTAACCAAGGCATGATTCAACCAGTAAGTGTCTCAGTTTAGCAGATAACTGTCCCCCAGCCTGTGTGGGATCAGTCTCCAAGAGTCACACCCACAGCCAAAGCAACAGTGGGATTGGCCTGATGTGTGACTTTCAGTTTTCTCTCTCCCCTTGCTTTGATTAAGGCCCTCATGTCCTTAGACTATTTGCAGAGTGATGAGTGGTCTTTGGGAAATACTGTGCTTCTTAATAATAAGAGAAGGCCTGATTCCACTTGAGCTTATCAAGTGGGCTGTAAGAACTTCAAGGCCTAGGTTAAAGGTAAAGAAAAAATGTATACGGTTATCACATAGATTAGATTAAATCTTTTTTTTTTTTTTTTTTAACAAAACTCCTGGCTGAGTTAAGTAAGTGACTTTTGAGTTAAGAAAAAGAGATACCTGGATAAGGAAGACTCTACATGAGTGTTTCAGCTAAGACTCCGGGGCTTGGTGTGGATGAATCTGTTCATTAGCCCCGCCTTACTAAATACTGCCTTAATAGGGCTTATTTCTATCTGAATATATAGCATGATTCACTTGCTCTTGTTTATGAGGTAGGAGTAGGGAGGAGGCTGAAGGAGAGTGGCAATGGGAAAGATATATGCTTACCTTTCAAAGGGAGGTGGCCACTTGGCTGCCAGAAGGTTGGGGAAATGACCTCTGTCAGGGCAATATCCCTACATCAGATCCATTGCCTGCCCTTAACCAAGGAAACCAAGGAAAGCCCTGAGCAGGGCTGGAGGAGGAGAGTGTGCCAGCCTCATGGGCTATAGTAGTCCTGGTGACGGGCTGAGACATACAGAAACCAACACAGAAGTGAGGACTGACTCCTCTTAACCCTCCACTTCAAACTCCATGGGAGCACTAAGCTTGGGGAACACACCCACCATTCAGGTGAACCTCGGGAGGTTTCAGCATGTTCCAAGGTACAACAGTCAAGTTAGCACATAACAGCATGTCTTGAAACGGCAGGTAATAAGCATTAATCTCCCTAATAAATTCATTAGTCAGCTGTATAGTCTTGAAAGTGGTTTGTACACTCAGATCATAAATTAAACCCTGGTTAGATATTAACCACCTCTGACTTTGCTCAGCAAATGTCCCAGTAGCCCTAATGGGATCAAAAGATTCCATTAAGGTTTCCTGCTTTTCTTTTGCCTAATTACACTGATACAAAGCTTCACAGAGAATTTTTAGGGTATAGTTTAAAAAAAAAAGGCAATGCCTAATCTAACTTTCATGGGCATATTTACTAAAAAAAAAAGACTGACTATGCACGCAGTCATTCAGGATTCTGGATTTCTGGAAACAGATACTTCTCAGGGCATCTTTGTAGGGAGATTAGATGAGATTTCTATCACTCACACGGCTCTTCTTTCAGGGTGGGCTCCCTTGAAGCCTATGTCCGTAAGACCAGCCCTCTGTCCAGTTGTCTTTCTCTCTGGCTGTTTTGACACACATTTCTTGACGCAATATTTCCCTTTTTGGGTATTTTTAAGCTTAATCATACATTATCTATCCAAATCCAATGTTTTGCATTCCTTGTATAGAGAGGTCTGTGAACTAGCAAAGCTTAGAGAGATACCAGGAACTCCTGGCAAAAGTATTTTTCAATACCCTGCCAATCACCTCTCTCTCTCTCAATCCCTAGTTTTATTTTTCCTTCCCCTCTGCCCTGTGCTGCCCGCTCCGCAGAGAAAATCCTTCTTTCTGTCTTCCACTCTCCTGCCTCTTTGCTGTGAAAACTGCACGCATGTTCAGAATACCCACCTTTCTGTTTCTCCCTCATCTAACCCCCTAGTCCCCATCCCTTCAAACTGACATTTCCCCAAACCTCTCCAGATGGTCCCTTGTGCTTTATCATCCCATCTCTACCTCTCTCATCATTCAGCCCTTGGAGGTAAAGGACCTCTGCATAACAGAAGTTGGTTTTGAAATATTTCAGAATTTGACTCTTCCAGACAGCTGTCTTTGTGGCAGGCATGATCCTAGGTCTCTGGGGACACAGAGGAGAACAAAACAGAAAATATCCTTAGCTCCTAGAGCTGACTAACATCCTGCTCTCAGCTCAAGGGGGTAAATACCTGTGGCATTTCTACTCACAATCAATTGGTTTGTTTATTGACTGTTGCCAAATTTCGGGGGTTTTTTAAAACTGAACTTCCTTGACAGTAACAAAGCAAGACTTTGTATTTATTAATATACTTTAAAAAATTAAGGTGGAGAAGTTTTTTCAATATGTTTTAACGTATCCGCAATGAGAACACATGCGCAAGCAGTCTATTGAGAACTCAGAGGTCAACAAAAGAAGGTTGAACAAATGTTTGGATTGTCAGTGTCATCCTGCAGATGGATCTGCTCTCCAGATGAATTTTTAATACAATCTCAGGTCCTTTTCATTGGAAAATTATCTTATTTTACACTGATACATTTATCTATGCATCTATTTTTTTTTTATTTTTTTAGAGATGGGGTCTTGCTCTGTCACCAAGTTGAAGTGCAGTGGCATGATCATGCATCCTCGAACTCCTATGCTCAAGCAATCTTCCCACCTCAGCCTCCCAAGTAGCTGGAACTACAGGCACGCACCATCATTCTTGGCTGATGTTAATTTTTGTAGAGACAGGGTCTCACTATTTACCCAGGCTAGTCCCGATCTCCTGGCCTCAAGCGATTCTCCTGCCTTGGCTTCCCAAAGTGCTGAGATTATAGGTATGAGCCACAGTGCCTGGATGACTTTTTATTGTTTTAAAATTTTTTATATACATTTATTTTTCCATATTATGAATGTAAAATGTAAGTAAGTTTTTAAGGGCAGAAGACAGAAGAGAGAGTACATGTGTTTTCAGTTCTTTGGTCTGCTAATTGTGTGAACTCAGAGGTGACAGGCAAATAGTTAAAAACAGGTGTGGCTAGACCCTGACTATGCAGAACAAGTATGGATTTATGGGCTCATACCAGCTGAATATGAGGCCTGGAGTGACATCAGAAAATGGTTTCCTCTCAGCTAAAAGGGGCCTATATTGAATATTCAAAAATTAGTAGTCTGCAGACAAAGATGAGCCTCAAAGTTTTAAGCCCAGTATTATTGATTAGAGTACGCATTCTCTAGTTTGCCATAGGCCTCGCCACTCTCTATTGCGCACACCCTATTTTCACAATTGCTTTGCATACATTTATATAACCAGCCATGACACATAGATGTCTTGCCTATGAAGGTATCTGAGTTTTCAGTCCTTGAATTGGAAGCTTTCCTTGGCTCCCCTATCAGAGCTCTGACATTTCTGGTTCTTGTTCTTTCTCAACACCCTCTTCGTGTTGTGCTGTTTCACCAGGACTTAGCAAGTGCCGTGGGAGACAAGGGTCTTAAATATAGTGTATTTAATTTAGATGTCTCTTAAGCTTCATCCTCTATTTGCTCAATGATTTGGATTCTGGTTTCTGTTCAATTTTATCAGTGGGGGAGAGGGGTTTGGTGGGGATGCGGGGAGAATCAGTTATGAATTTTTAAACAGATTTGAAATGAGATATTTAGATAGAAATGAAAATATGGGCACAGAAATGTCTCCCCTCTCCTTGTCCATCTAGAGAAAGGCAATCTTGTAATCATTTAGACCCAGTTGTCTCCAGATGGTTGTGTGATGTGTCACTCTAAGACAGAAGGCAGGACTCAACTCCAGGACCTTAAAGAATTATTGGTCTGATTTGGCTCACTTCTTTTTTTTTTTTGCGACAGAGTCTCACCCTATCCCCCAGGCTGGAGTACAGTGGCATGATCTTGGCTCACTGCAACCTCTGCCTCCTGGGTTCAAGCGATTCTCATGCCTCAGCCTCCCGAGTAGTTGGGATTACAGGTGCCTGCTACCACACCCGGCTAATTTCTGTATTTTTAGTAGAGATGGGATTTCACTATGTTGGTCAGGCTAGTCTCGAACTCCTGACCTCAGGTGATCTGCCCACCTCGGCCTCCCAAAGTGTTGGGATTACAGGCATGAGCCACCATGCCTGGCCAGCTCACTTCTTAGGGTATAGTTTTGGGGGCTAGGGATGAAAAGAGAAGGGGGAAACCATCTAGTTTCATATCTTTTTTTTTGAGACAGGGTCTTGCTCTGTCACCCAGGCTTGAGTGCAGTGGCACCATCTGAGCTTGCTGCAACCTCCATTTCCCAGGTTCAAGCTGAGCCACCAAGCCCATCAAATTTTTGTATTTTCAGGAGAGATGGAGTTTCACCGTGTTGATCAGGCTGGTCTCAAACTCCTGGCCTCATGCGATTCGCCTGCCTTGGCCTCCCAAAGTGCTGGGATTATAGGCATGCACCTCCGTGCCCAGCCTCTCATTTCATATCATTTAGAATTCTGTTGTTGTGACCTGAGCCATCACATGGGACAGCCCAAGGGCATCCTCAAATTAAAAGAGTGTTTCTCAAAGTGTATTTTCTGCACCACCTGACAATAGCATATTGGTCGGGCATGGTGGCTCATGCCTGATATCTCAGCACTTTGGGAGGCCAAGGCAGGCGGGAAGACCACTTGAAGCCAGGAGTTCAAGCCCAGCTTGGGCAACAATGTGAGGACCTGTCTCTACAAAAAATAATGTTTTAAAAATTTGCTGGGCACAGCAGCACACACCTGTAGTCCCGGTTACTTGGGAGGCCAAGTCAAGAGGATCGTTTGCGTCCAGGACTTCAAGGCTGCAGTGAACTGTGATCACCCCATTGCACTCCAGCCTGGGTGACAGAGTGAAACCCTATCTCTAAAAAAATTAAAAAATAAAATGCAGATTCCTACTGATGTTCTCCCCTTCATCCCTATGACTTACCTCATAGTTTGCCTGCAGCTAGATGGTTTCTGTACATGAATCTCTTCTCTATTTTGCCTGAGGGCTTTCCCTGGCTCCAGAGAAATTTTTAAGTGCCAGGGAATTCATGCCTAGCAAGACAACCATCAACTAATAAAGGAAAGGAGTTGGTGGAGAAATACCCCAGCTTCTCTGTCTCCCTCAGTAGGGCAGTTCTAAGGCTTGCTTTTCATAGTTCCTCAGACGATCCCTAGTAAGGTTGAGCCCTAGTTGCCCAAGTCTACAACCTGCTCATCAGTGCACATGTTCCCTGCCTCATCTCTCTCTTGTTTGTGTTTCTGGGGCCGTCACTCTAATAAACTGCTTACATCCATGTCTTTGTTTTAGGGTCTCTTTGGAGAGCTCAAATTAAGGAGTGTCATCTCAGACAAGAGGCGGTAGAGTCATGATGGACAAGAGGCTTTGGAGCCAACTGCCTGGGTGTACTCCAGGTTCCACTACTGATTAGCTGATAACTAGCTAACTAGTTGTTAACCATTCAAAGTTTCAGTTTCCTCATCTGTAAAATGGGAATAATAACAGTAGCTACCACATAGGGCTCTTGTGAGGATTAAATGAATTCATACATGTAAAGTGCTTATAGTAGTGTCTGGCTCATAGTGAATGTATATAAGAAATGCTATTATTATTGAATAGATCAAGGTCTCTTGGGTGGGGCCCAGAAATATACTTTTCAAATAAGCTCTCCAAGTGATTCTCATGCACAATAAAATTTGAGAACTGCTGAACTAGAGACACACCCCTTGGCATTCCTATTTACAAAGAAAACATTTAAGGAAGCCTATTCTACTTCAGTAAGTAAGCAAACACCTTCTGCATGGAAAGTTTTTGGGGTAAAATAAAAAGCTGTGTCACTGCTCAGAGTGCAGGAGAGAATAATGACAGGTGATTGTACCCTTGAGGCTCACCAGGTTACTGGATTCATCCCCCAATTTAAACCTTTTCCCCATATTAGGTAAAACAAGTTCTAAAATACATTAGTTCTTTGAAACCAGTGATAGCCCAAAGTATGGTCAGACTGGCAGCATCAGTATCACCTGGGAAATTCTTAGATATGTTATTCTCAGGTTCCATCGCAGGCTTCCCCACTGCAATGGTATTATTTTTCCCTTTCCATAATATATTCATTGGAACTAAGTCACTACTAAATCCAGCCCACACTCAGGAGGAGGAGAATTATGTTTCAATTTCTAGAGGGGGCGGTATCTACATTAATTAGAATTCTTCTGCGCAAAAGATGTGCCCCTCCTCCCCTCATTTATTTATTCATTAGTTTTTATTGATGTGTACTCAGGGATATTTAATTTTTTAGTTTATAATCCTATATTATGACTATTTATTTTCTTGCTCAAATCGTCCTGAGCTTTGGCCATTGGGAACTGTTTCAGGTTGGCTCCTGTGTCCTTTTGACATCCCCAAGCTCATTTTTCCTGTCCCAGCCCCAAAGAGCCATAGAATTGAGAAACCAAGATCTGGACACTAGTTGTGTTTATTGATGCTGGGTGTCATTACTTCTAGGCCCTGTCATCTGACACAGCAAGGAAATATATGTGTGTATTCTAATACATGTATGCACACATATCTATGTATTTTTCTGAATCTGGCTACCTGCATGCATATGTACGAAAATATATTAAAATACAGATATAAAATAAACATAAGTTTATACTGGTATCTCTTACTGTAATTCAGCAGCATAGGGGACATTCTAGCCTTCTCGTCTTGCACATTTGTAACTCCTTCCTCTAAGTTGTATTTATTTGTTCAACTCTAGTATATATTGCTAACCAGAAGCCCTGAAGAAAAAAATTTACCAACTTAGGTAAGGTGTTTATACTGAGTTCTTTTTGTCTTTAGTCTTACAGTCTCCAATAAAAATAGCATTTTTAAAAGTTGCTGAGGTCAGCTCCCCACCCCTTTCTGTGAGGTTATTGTATACATTTGAAATATAGTTAAATGTATTTGTTGCAAACAGAGCTCCATTCTGGGGTGGGATAGATTTTTTATAGTCCATTTGCTCAAGGATTTATTGAATATCAGGACTCCTAGCAACCATAAAATGCTTTATATGTTTTCAGTATACTTTGTATGTATGTGTGTAAGGCTGTATATAACATTCTTCAAAGAATACATGTTCACTGGAGAAAAATATCCAAAACTACAGGAAAGCAAAAAGAAAATAAGTCACCAGGCAGCCTATTGCCTGGAAATAACCATGATCAAAATTTTATGATATATTCTTCTAAGCTCTTCTAGATGAACAAAGTTGGCATTATAAATTCACATTATTTTGAACCTGCTTTTTACCTTTACTACATCATAAACATAAGATAGTATTTGGATGTAAAAAATGCAAATTTAAAAAATATTTTCTCCTCCTTTTTTCTAGGGATTTCAGATTAGTAATCAGAGATGCTAAGCAAATGCTAATACAGGCATACCAATAAACAACTGGGACTCTTCCTGGCAAGGGGAACTGATTAATAAAATGGGTGCAAACATTAATTGATGGTGTAAATTAAGAATCAAATCCCTGTTTTAAACATGTTATACACACAGTGCAATCAAGAAAAGCATTTAACCAAATTTGTTCATGAATTCCATTGTGTGCTGTTGAATAGCTAATTTATAATTGCATTTGTCTGTAAAATAATCTATTAATAAAATTGGAGAAAATTGGGCATAGATTCATTATCTCAGTCAGTTCTAGATGCTCACTGAAGAACGTTTTCCCTGCAAATGAGGTGGAGACCTCATTATCATGCTCAGCAGACTGGGAAGCACATATCTGTCCTTTATTTCTCCAGTGTTGAGTAATGTTCCAGAAACCCAACTAATTCATTAAAGTTAGCAAAAAACTTGTGTTCATGCTTAATCTTCTTTGGTGTTAATTAGAGTTGTCTGTGGCTTAAAAAATGTTTTATAATTTACTGAAACGAAGAATAAATTGCCTATCAGCTTTGTAAAAGTATTTGTGCTTTCTGCTGGTAGTTCTTGTCCTTTCTGGAGAAAAATGGTTTGAAAAACGTTTTATAAACTGAAACGAAGAATCAATTGCCTATCAGCTTTATAAAGGTATTTGTGCTTTCTGCTGGTAGTTCTTGTCCTTTGTGGAGAAAAAGCTGGGCCCTTGAGTCACCCTTCCTTTTCGGAATTTTTGCTTTCCCACTGCTCTTTGGACTCATGAAAGGTCAGGGTAGAAAAGACTCAGAGAAGTAATCCAGAAACTACTGTCAATATTAAACACAGAGAAAGTTAGAAAGTCTACAGCTAAATGGGCAGGAATAAAGAGCCTGTAGTGAAGTATTCATTTATTCATTCTTTATGCAATCAATTAACAAATCAACAATCATCGATTAAGCACCAGCTACATGCCAGGCAGCATGCTAGGCTTTGTGAATATACAAGTTAAAGGTCTGGTCTAGGGTTGACAAGAATGTGGGAAATAAACACTCTAGTATACCGTTGTTGGTAAAGCAAATTAATACACCTCGTCATGAAGTGGGGTGGATATATGACAGAATCTATTAGTACTTGAAGTGTATATACTCTATTATTTAACAAGCCCAATTCTGAGAATGTATGTATCCTATGAAAATTCAGTTGATCTCATGATTTGTGAATTTGCCTGTTCACTAAAATTTATTTATAACTCCAAGATCATTACTCAGAGCATTTTCACAGTCATTCGTGAACACGTAGAGCATCAAAAGCTTTGAGGATACATATTCCCAGCTGAAATTGAACAAGGTAATGTGTTGCCTTCTTGCTTCACCTCTTATACTGCAAACAAGTACCCTTTTCATGGTCTATTTAGTGCCACATTTTTCACATTTTTGTGCTTTTCGTTGGTCATTTCACTGTTAAAAATGGTCCTAAAGCATAGTGCTGAAGTGATGTCAACCTACATCACTGTACCTGTGATAAGGTACACCATAGTTCAAGAAGGCTGTGATGTACCTTACAGAGAAGATATTGTTAGATAAACTTCATTCAGGCATGAGTTATAGTGGTGTTAGCCCTGAATTTACTGTTCATGAATCAACACTATATATTACAGAATATGTCTTTAAACGGGAACACACGTGAGCTGAATGTCTGTGTCCCCCTCAAATTCATATGTTGAAGCCCTAACTCCCAAAGTGATGGGGTTTGGAGATGGGGCCTTTGGGAGGTAATTAGGTCAGAGAAGGTCATGAGAGTGGGGCCCTCATGATAGGATTAGTACCTTTGGAAGAAGAGACACCCCAGAGCTTGCTCTCTCTGTCATGTGAGGACACTGCAAGAAGGCAACAAGCCAGGAAGACAACCCTCACCGCAACCTGACCCTGCTGGCACCTTCATCTCAGACTTGTAGCCTCCAGAACTGTGAAAAATAAATTCTTGTGCTTAAACCACCCAGCCCATGGGATTTTGTTAAGACAGCCTGAGCAGACATAGGCATTTGGAATTCATCTATGAGGCAAACAGAAAAGGTACTTACCCTTGCAGAGCTTACATTCTAGCAGTACAAGGATTACTGCAGTGGCCACCAATAGGAGACTGATAGCTTGTAGCCCCAGCAATCCATCTCCTAGGTGCATTTCAAGAGAAATAAAGGTGTATGTCCAAAGAAAAAAAAAAAAGACATATACAAAATAGTTGTTAGTGGCTTTATTCATAAAAAGTGGCTAGTCAACTAAGCACAGTGGTTTGTGGACCTGTAATCCCAGCTACTTGGGAGGCTGAGGCAGGCCGATTGCTTAAGCCCATGAGCTCAAGACCAGCCTGGATGATACAGAGAGACTATGTTAAAAAACAAAAAACAAAAAAACAAAAAAAACAAAGCAGCTAGTCAAATTACTTGTATATACTAGGGAACAGTCTACAGATGCTGAAAATGTTATGGATGCATATTTATTGACATAGAGCAAATCCAGGACTAATTGTGCTGTCTAAAAGTAATTATTTTTTATTGATGCATAATAATTATACATATTTATGGAGTACATGTGATATTTTGGTACATGTATACAATGTGTAATGATCAAGTCAAGGGCATCAGGATATCCATCACCTCAAACATTTATCATTTCTTTGTGTTAGGAATATTTCAGATCTTCTCTCCTAGCTATTTTGAAATATACAATAAATTATTGTTAACTATAGTCACCCTCTGTGCTAGCTAACACTAAAGCTTATTCCTTGTATCTAATTGTGTGCTTGTTCTCATTAATAAACCTTTCTCCTCCCTCTCCCCGTGAAACACCCTTCCCAGCCTTGGCTGACTGTCCTTCTATTCTCTACCTCCATGAGACCAACTTTTAAGCTCCCACATATGAATGAGGACATGTAATATTTATCCTTCTGTGCCTGGCTTATTTCACTTAACATAATGATCTTCAGTTACATCCATGTTGCTGCAAATGACAGAATTTCACATTTTAATGGCTGAATAGTATTCCATTGTGTATATATATCACATTTTTAAATTCATTCATCTGTTAATGAACACTTAGGTTGATTTTATATCTTGACTATTGTGGGATAGCACTGTAATAAACACGGGGATGCATTATTCCTTTGATATACTGATTTTTCTTTCCTTTGAATAAATACCAAGTAGTAAGATTGCATGGATTACTATCATGTAGTAGTTCTATTTTTAGTTTTTTGAAGAATCTCTATACCGCTTTCTATAACGGTTGTACTAATTTACATTTCCATCAGCAATGTGTATGAATTCCCTTTTCTATGCATCCTCACCAGCATTTATTTTTTGTCTTGTTGATGGCCATTTTAACTGGGGTAAGATGGCATTTCATTGTGGTTTTGTTTTCCCTGATAATTAGTGATATTCAGTATTACAAAAATATACTTGTTGGCCATTTGTTTATCTTCCTTTGAGAATGTCTGTTCAGATCCTTTTCCCACTTTTTAATGGGATTATTTGTTTTTTGGTTTTTGAGGGGTTTTTGTTGTTGTTGTTGAGTTCCTTATATATTCATCTTGTCAGATGAATAGTTTGCAAATTTTTTTCCCATTTTACATCTCTTCACTGTTTTTTCCTTTGCTCTTCAGAGCTTTTTAGTTTTATGTAGAACCATTTGCTTTCTTTTGCTTTTGTTGCCTTTGCTTTTGAAGTCTTAGCCATAAAATCTTTGCCCAGACCAATGTCCTGAAGTATTTTCCCTGTTTTCTTCTAGCAGTTTTATAGTTTTGGGTCTTACATTTAAGTCTTTAATCAATTTTGAGTGGATTTTTGTATATGGTGGGAGATGGGTGTCTAGTTTTATTCTGCATATGAATATCCAGTTTTCCAGCACCATCTATTGAAGAGCGTGCCAGGACTAATTAATTATTGACTGAAAGATAACCAGTTGCAGAACAGCATGTACATTAGGCCTCAAGTTTGTGAAAATGTGTAGCTATATTGCACGTATATTTATGTGTGTGTGTGTGTATATATATATATTTGTATAGAACTATTTGGAAGATGTTAATAAGGTTTTTCTCTTGGTAGTTGGATTTCAGAGAATTTGTACATTTTAAATATTACTATTCTGTGCTTTTTTTTTCAATTATTTTCTTTTTTAACCCTGTATATGAGAATACAAAAATAGTCCCATTTACCACCACAAATCTGTAGTGGCCATGCTTTCAAGGATTTACCAGCCAGTCTTTTCCAAGAATCTCCTGCCTCAGAAATTTCCAGGCTCCCCCGGGGATCACACATCTGTCTTTCAAGGAGTCCTTATTTTACTGCTATGTTGCTTCATATTATAGAGCAAGAAGCCTCACACATGTCCAGGAACCGTCTGCAAATGTCACTTCTCACCTGCCCTGTACCCACTCCCTCCCCACAACCCCCAGAAAGTGACACTCTCATTAAGCTGTGTGCACAGGCTGACCTCAGTTTCTTCAACAGCCACCACCCTAGGGAGCAAAACTAGGCATCAGTTACTGCCACTTCCCTGTGCCCCATCCCCATCCTCTACCAAGGGGGCAGCTCAGCTCCCGGGTGTTCTTTAATGTTGGAAAGTAGATATGAGGGAGATTATGTTCCCTGGCCCCCCAGCCAGCAAATCCAAGCTTCAAATCAAACAGCTATGTCTATGTTGAGAGAGGGTCGATGCCTTACTCTGCTTTGCAGAAGCAGGTGAAAATGGCCTCTGATACATTGGTGATAATTGAGGGGGTGTGAACAGGGGATTGGTCCCAGAACAGTTTGTGATAATATTTTTAGCTGTCGTGTTAAAAACTCATTCATTCATCTGTGTGTGTGTGTGTGTGTGTGTGTGTGTGTGTAGGTGTGTTTAGTGCTACTCAACCACTTTTCCAATCATGAATGGGGGATTTTTTGCAAAAGGCAGGGCCATGGCTCACCCTGTAAATTTATTATGAAAACTATCTGGTAAGTAGATAGACAGAAATACTTATATTTATTTGTGTTGTCTTATCCTTAAAATGTCTGCTTAGCTATGTAGTTAAGATAGGCAGGTCAGCCTTTTAGCTAAGATCCATATTCTGAAACATATTTGCACTATTTGTGAAGCAAAGGTAGGGGCTTTGAGGGAGCATGCTGCACCTCCCATTGCCTTGGAGGCATCAAGATTTACAATTGTAAGGCCATTTCACTCTTCTTGCTTGCCTCAGGCAAATGCAGGTGACTGATGGGGCTAAAGAGAAATGCATTTGCCTGAGAGTCTTCACTTTTGAAGCAATCACCCAGGTCCTCGGTCCTAACACCAAATTTCTGGGGATTCTTGAGCACTGGTTCTTAAACTTGGCTCCGTGTTGTAATCACTCAGGGTATTTTTTTCTTTTGTTTTGTTTTTAAATATTGAGGACTGTGTTCCTCTTCCAGAAAAAATCTGATAAACTGGTCTGGGGTGCACCCTAGTCACCTGGAGTTTTCTAACTCTCCAGTTGACTACAATAGGCAGCAAAGTTTAAGACTCATTGTCTTGCAGATGGGAGTGATAACATGTGCCTGTAGTCCCAGCTACTTGGGAGGCTGAGGTGGAAGGATCACTTGAGCCCAGGAGTTCAAGGCTATAGTGAGCTGTGATTGCATCACTATACTCCAAGCTGGGGCAAGAGTGAGATTCTGCCTCTGAAAAAAAAATTTGCATTACTCTTTTAGAGGGCGCATTGTGGGAGTGGATTGTATTTGGGGGATACATTGGTTTCTCAGAGTTGCCTTTGACTCAACCAAATTAGAAATTTATCTTAAAAAATCCCTATTCAGAGAGACTATAGAAATTAAGAGGATAGCTTCTTATAACCGTGTTGTTCATAACACAGAGGCAGAGAGACCAACAGAGCATAGGGAAAGCCTGCAGCAAAAAAGTGGTAGCTAGGTTGCCCCTCACCTCCTACCAGGTAATCTTAGTGGTACACCTGACAGGGAACAAAGCCAGTGTCACATTCAGGATATCCAAGGCAAAAATGTTCCATGGTACTGTGGAGCTCATTGATAACTTGTACAAAATGGCAGTTGGCTCCAATTATGGTAGAAAACTAATCAGAAAGAATGCCCTCCAAAATAGTTCTCTATGCCTCATGCATTGTTGTAAATACAATCTTCTATTTCTCACAACTGATGCTTCTTATTCCAGTGGGGCTGCATTTAGCCTCAAGATGCTGGGTGGAATACAGGCCAAGAAGCACGCTGTGTAGAAAAGGAAGATCTTTCTTTCTTTCTTTCTTTTTTTTTTTTTGAGACGGAGTTTTGCTCTTGTTGCCCAGGCTGGAGTGCAGTGGCACGATCTCGGCTCACCACAACCTCCGCCTCCCAGGTTCAAGTGATTCTCCTACCTCATCCTCCCAAGTACCTGGGATTACAGGCATGCGCCACCGCACCCGTCTAATGTTTTATTTTTAGTAGAGATGGGGTTTCTCCATGTTGGCCAGGCTGGTCTTGACTCCTGACCTCAGGTGATCCGCCCACCTTGGCCTCTCAAAGTGCTGGGATTACAGGCGTGAGCCACCGCGCCCGGCCCTGGAAGACCTTGCTTTCATCCCATTGGTCAAGAGTCTCCCCACACTACCTCTGCAGCTCTGCCTTCCAGGCAACCAAGGGATTCTAAAGACAATACCTGTAGTTTCTAATTAGCAGACACCACCTTATATCTGAACTTATATTTGACCCATGTCAAAGACTCACATACAGATTTCTAATTGCTGTCATCATTCTAAGGCAGGGAGTCATTTTGTTCCCTTTTCCAAAGCAGTTTCCCAAGGGCCAGGAAGGCCAGGCTTTGACTTTCTCCCCAACAGCTGACCCATCCCTCATCAATTCCAACGGATGCAACAAAATTAGCTTTGCTATAACTTAATCTCATTTCAAGCACCCCGCCCACCACATCCTTAGTAACGTACAACAGTAACATCAGCAATCATGTACAAAGGTTTTCCCAAGCTGGTAGTCTTATGCTAGACACCGTCATAAACACGGAGGCTTCATGTGGGCTTAAATGCAGTTCAAGGGTTATGACCAAGAGAAAAACAAACTTCAAGTCCATCTTCTTTGGAATCAGATGTTACAGTGGAAACAAGGTGCTAGTTAATGGCATTTGGCTCCAAGCAGAAATCCTTGAATATACTCATCCTGGCTACTGGTGCTTTATCTCCTTTTACCTTTTCCTCCCACATTTTCCTTGATGGGACATTAGGAATCAGCAAGTACTTGAAGTTCCCAAGTTTTACCCTTAGAACATCCTCTTAGGCATGGTTCACTTTGCCTGTAAGTCTCTCTCTGGAGATCATTTGTTTTAGGCAGAACTTTTCCTCACAATTCATAGGCAAACTCCACTTGACCCGGTAAGATCGCAGGGGAATCAATTTAGAAGAACAATAAATAATGTTCAAATGTCATGCAATATTTCCCCTATTCCCATAACTGCCTCGTGTTTTTAAAACCTCTCTTGACACCTTCTGTTAAACAGCTTCAGAGAATAAGGCCCTTGGCCATATGTTATTATTTGACAAAGGAATAAGAGTCTTCATTTCTGGCCTAATTCCCTTTTCCTTGACTTGTCTGCTGATTTCTGGCAGAAATGGGGAAGAGGCTTCTTTCTGGGGAGGACATCAAGGCTGGCTGTTAGTAACCGGATTTAAAAGGTGAAAGGGGCCAGGTGCAGTGGCTCACGCCTGTAATCCCAACACTTTGGGAGGCTAAGGCGAGCAGATGACTTGAACTCAGGAGTTTGAGACCAGCCTGGCCAACGTGGTGAAACCCCATTTCTACTAAAAATACAAAAATTAGCCAGGCGTGGTGGTGTGCGCCTGTAGTCCCAGCTACTCGGGAGGCTGAGGCAGGAGAATCACTTGAACCCAGGAGGCGTAGGATGCAGTCAGCTGAGACCATGCCACTCTACTCCAGGCTAGGTGACAGAGTGAGAACCTGTCTCAAAAAAAAAAAAAAAAAAAAAAAAAAAAGAGTGGAAAGATCCAATCCATAAAGGACAGGAGCTATTTCCAGAAAGTGAGACAAGAAGGAGTCTAGGGAGGAGGGGACACAGGATCGTACAGGCCCTCTCTGCTTTAACCAGTTAGTGAAACACTGAGCAGCTGAGGATAAGAAAAGGACAGTACTAATCCTGCTTACCCACCCTCATTCCAGCCTAGGAATTTATTTTTCTTTTCATAGTAGGCCAATACATACAATACAAAGGTAGGTATCCTACCTGAGTGAGTCAGAAGAAACTGGATTTCAAGGCAGTCAGAAGAAACTGGATTTCAAGGCCTTTCAAGAGCCAAGTTCAAGGTTAAAGACTTAATTCTCCAGAATCCAAGTGTGTGTAGGAGACCCTAATCCATCAAAAATATTGGGGGCCACACAGGAGGCAGGGTTAGCTTTCTAACTTTTCCCACAAGACAACTTCAAGCACAAATACAACATTCCTTGCTTTATCACTTAGCACCGTGCTGCCTGGCCAACATGTCACATGTCAGATTTCCTTGGTTCTAAAAGATGATCATGATTTCCAGTTTCCATCCCCTCCTGAGAGGAGGAGGAGAATAGCTGAGTTCAGGTTATTCACATAAACATTGAACAGCTGTGCTGTGCTAGGTATAATTCATCCCACCATATTCATTAAGACTTAGCCAATGACCTCAGGGGTGCCAACCAACTTGAAACGTCACTGGAAGCTCAGAACTCTCATTTGGGTTCTTAGGGTCAACTCATAAAACACAAAACCATAAAAAGTTAGGGCTGGGGCCATCGTCAAGGACATCCAGCCTGCTTTCCTACTAGACTGATGAATAAACAGGCCTAAAGCAATGATGTGAATGGGTGAGCCAGTTTCACAAAGCTGTTGGCATTGCCAGGACATGAATCACGATTTCCTGACTTCTGGACCAGAGGGGTCTACTGCTCTTTGGTTTTCTTCACAGAACATCTAGATTGGCATTAATGACCAGGGTACCTCTTTGCGGTTATGCTGTTCTTGCCCCTCTGAAATGCTCCCTTGCTGTTTTTCTTCATCTCCCTACCTCCTATCATCCTTCAGGATTTAGTTCAAGTGTCATCTCCTTAAGTCTTCTCTGGCTCCTAGTATGAGATAGGGGACTCTGTGCTCGCTACATTCATGGTATTCACAGCATTGCTCCAGAACCCCCAACTAACCTGTAAAGTCTTGGAGAGCAGAGATTATGACCCTGTTGAATTTATACAAAAACCATGCCCAACACAATGCCTGCCATGTTGCACATTCCTTTTTGATGAATTACAGTATGAACAACGTTATTATCAGTGCATTACACTGATGATGTGTAATGTGAGTTAGGTATATGGTGATGCTAAGCTCTACTTTGTGGACCCTCCAGAATCTTGTGGTCTACATAGATGGCAATAACAATAAATTATTTTAAAAACAAAGAAAAAACATACAAATATGTTAAGTGAGGTCCTTGTATTGTGAAAGCTCATTTTCTCCTTTTCCAGATGAGGAAAGGGAAGGGGAAGCCTTGAGTGAGCCAGGGTCATATTATAGCTTAGTGGCAAAAACTGGATTTCAAGTTTCTTATCAGGGATCCATGCTCTTTCACTAAATTTGCTGCCTCATCATCACTTAGAAAAGAAAGTTTTTTGTTTTTTTGAGATGGAGTCTCGCTCTGTCACCCAGGCAGGAGTGCAGTGGCGTGATCTCGGCTCACTGCAAAATTCGACTCCCGGGTTCAAGCAGTTCTCTGCCTCAGCCTCCTGAGTAGCTGGGATTCCAGACACTCACCACCATGCCTGGCTAATTTTTGTGTTTTTAGTAGAGATGGGGTTTCACCATCTTGGCCACGCTGGTCCTGAACTCCTGACCTCATGATCCACCCACCTTGGTCTCCCAAAGTGCTAGGATTATAGGCGTGAGCCACAAGAAAGGTTTTTTTTTGTTTTTTGTTTTCTTTTTTTAAATCAGTAGAGTCTTATCTTCTGTCCTTTAGAAAGGGGCAGAGAAGAATATGGGTTTTACTGATCCTGTACCCAATGTCTTATGGTCTCAGCAGCCAGAGTTAAAGTACAACCAAGCAGCAAAGAGTTCTTAGGCACTTATCACTGAAATCATCAGCTTTGGAGGCAGAAATGGGCCCAAAGACTGCATGGACGTGAAACTCATGAGTCATGCTGTACCCATTAGAGCTATGTTAGGTGATGGGTAGAAAGAAGGGATGTCTTCCCTCCCTGGATGGGACTGGGAGAAACTGTTGGCCTCTCCAGTCCTCTTCCTCTGCATTGACAAACTCTGTCAGGTAACTGGAAAGAAATGTCTGGATTAGGACTAAAGTACTGTGTGAGTACAAATGATTGTTATTAGTAATAAGTATAAATTGCAATTTGTTAGTTACATAGTAGTTAATATTAATAGTTATTAGTATTTATTACTGGAATCTACATCAGACATAGGTGAAGGTGGAGAATAAGGTTTGGAAAGAGCAGTGCTCACTACTAATCTCTGAGGATGGATGGACATCTATTTTTTTTGTCAATTCTGCATCCTGCAGACCTGAACCTGGAAGGCCACTAAATGCCACAGCCCCCTGCTGGCCACACGCTGCAGTGACACCTCAGAACTTCCTGGAACAAAGGCCCACCCATTCCATAATTCCAGAGGTAGACTCAGAATCACAGAGGTGGGAAGAGCCTTAGAGACCATACAATGGAGAAAGAGTAACTTAGTAAATCTCCCATCGCTTATTACAGGCAGAGCCTGAAATAGACACAGCCAGGTGTTCCTGGGGCCCTCTGAAACCAAATGCACAAATACTGATTGAAAGTCCACTGCATGTACCTGCACGTACACTGTTGGGTGATTTCTTTGAGATCAAGATGGCTGTAATAAACAGCTTAAAGGCTTAGAATTTGTCTTTAAAAATTATCATATCCTAACACCCTACTTCCTTTTGTTATTTTTTTCAAAATGTCTTATTTTTTTGCCAAGCAAAATATAATAGAAACCTAACTCTAGTGGTAATAACTTGCATAGCAATATCAGCCACATGAGTACATGTGGGAGCTGGGAAGTGAGTAAAAAAAGTTTTAGGCATTATGTTCAAATACAAGAAACTGTATTTAATTTTCACTCAGGGTTTAAGTATGAAAAACTTCACTATATGATTTTCTGATTTCCAACAGGTCAGAAGAAGGGGAATTAATAGCAAATAAAATGTCTGAACAATTAGCATTAGGCATACTGTCACAGGAAAAGGAGGAATAATGACAAAAATCCTCTTTAAAAAATCAACTCAATAACTAGAATGCAGCAATGCTGGGTTATGAAATGCCCAAGATACCTCCGAGAGGTAACCCTTGAGCAGGGCTGGACTCAGGTTTTGTGGCTTATATAACTTAATAGATCTTTTTAAAGAAAAAGAATACAGGCCAGGTGCGGTGGCATATGCCTGTAATCCTAGCATTTTGGCAGGCCGAGGCTGGTGGATTACCTGAGGTCAGGAGTTCGAGACCAGCCTGGCCAACATGGTGAAACCCCATCTTTACTAAAAATACAATATTAACGGGGCATGGTGGCGCATGCCTGTAGTCCCAGCTACTCAGGAGGCTGAGGCAGAAGAATTGCTTAGGACCCGGGAGGCAGAGGTTGCAGTGAGCCGAGACCATGCCACTGCACCCCAGCCTGGGCAGCAGAGCAAGACTCTGTCTCAAAAACAAAAACAAACAAACAAACAAACAAACAAAACACCAAACCAAAACAAAAAACAAATATATAAATAAAAATTAGGTACAAAAGTGAATATTTATTTATAATGGGAAAATATACACACACCAAATTCCTGGAACTCTGGAGAGTTAGGTCTCTTTCTTCTGCAATCTCTCTGCAATTTACCAGAAACATGTACATGGAAAAAATTCCGTAATGCAGCCTTGTTTCCCCTTGCCACTTAGAACATGCTACACTTTCCTCCTAGAGCCTGCCCTTATGGCGCTGTGCAGACGAGGAGTCACGGTGCTTAAGCTTCATTAGCTTCTCTGTAAAACTGCCTCTACCCAGGGGGACATCAGTCGCCTGCTCCTCAAATGAATGTCTCAAACCCCACGAAAGAGGTAAAATCATATGCACAATATCTCGTTGAGGAAAGCTGGGACATTCCCCACTGCCACACCTGCCTTTTTTTTTTTTCTAATTTAAAAAATTCTTCCAACCTGCTGTAAACACTAAGGGAATTTCCCTTTAAAAATATTCCCATAATGTTTCCCTCAAAAGATGCAGAAATTTTTTCCCTTAAAATTTTTTTGTCTTAAAAATTATCATACAGGGCTGGACGTGGTGGCACATGCCTGTAATCTCAGCATGTTGGGAGGCTGAGATGGATGAATTACCTCAGGTCAGGTCAGGAGACCAGCCTGGCTAACATAGTGAAACACTGTCTCTACTAAAAATACAAAAATTAGCCAGGTGTGGAGGTGCAACACCTCTAGTCCCAGCTACTTGGGAGGCTGAGGCAGGAGAATCGCTTGAACCTGTGAGGTGGAGGTTGCAGTGTGTTGAGATCGAACAACTGCACTCTAGCTTGGGTGACAGAGCGACACTCTATCTCAAAAAAAAAATTATCATAAGTAAAATTGATTAGGGGTGGTATACAGTTCTGAGAATTTTCACACTGGTATATGTTTGTGTAAACACCACCATCATCAGCATATAAGTTAGATATATCACTTGCAAGACATTTTTCATGCAAAAATGTACAAATTTTAAAATAATATTAAAAGCGGTAATTTTTGTTAGCTGTGACATTCATTATTATGGAATACTTCGTTCCCCCAAACGATGTTCCACAGAGGAGCTACTCTAACAGGAATCCACTAGACGAAGTGCAGGTGCACTTCAGGAACCACTGTGTAGATGATATTCTAGACTTTTTTCCCCACTTGGTCAAAGTTCAGCCTCTCCTTTTTAACTTAGCCTTTCTCAGTTCTGTGTGTGTGTGTGTATGTGTGTGTGTGTGTGTGTGTAAGACAGAGAGAGAGAGAGAGAGATATGCTTTGGGTATGTCCCCACCCAAATCTCATCTTGAATTGTAGTTCCCATCATCCTGATGTGTCCTTGGAGCAACCCGGTGGGAGGTAATTGAATCACTGGGGTGGTGACCCTCATGCCGTTCTGTGATAGTGATTTCTTATGAGATCTGATGGTTTTTAAGGGACTTTCCCCTTCCTTCACTCATACTTCTCCTTGCTGCCACCGTGTGAAAAAGGATGTGTTTTCTTCCCCTCCACCATGACTGTAAGTTTCCTGAGGCCTCTCCAGCCATACTGAACTGTGAGTCAATTAAACCTCTTTCCTTTATAAAGTACCCAGTCTCTGGCAGTTCTTTATAGCAGTGTGGGAACAGACTAACATAGTGTGTGTGTTTTGTATGTTTGATTTATAACTTTCTTCTGAAGATGGTATCTTAAAAAATTCTGTGTTCTCCAAGAAAATCAAACCAGGAACTCCAAGTCTGGCCACAGAAAGAGAATGTCCAGATGAGAACATCTGTAGACAGCCAACCAACCTTGACTGTGCCTTCCTTTGCCAGGTCACCTTTGGTGTTGTCTCACTTGAACACTGCCTTACTGTCACCACAGTGGCCTCAAGGCACTCTGATCCCTCTGTGTCATTTGGACCCAACTGTAAAAATCCAATTCTCATGGACTTCCTAATTATGCTAAAAAGGGTATAGTTAATATCAAAGAAAACCAAATAGGAAAAATATGTAAGTAAAAAAAAAAAAAAAAAGCAGAAACTATACAGTTTCTGCTCCAACAGCTTGTGGGTTTCATCCCCTAGGTTAGGTTGCTGCACCCCAAATCCAAAGAATCCTGCCTATACCAATGCAGCAACAATATAGTAGGGAGTTAGGAATTTGGGTTCTGAAGGGAAATTACTCACATTCAAATCCCTACTCTACTGCTTACTCACTGTGTATCCCTGGAAATGTTACTTAACCTCTCTTTGCCTCAGCTTTTTCATCTGTAAAAAGGGATATTAATAGGATCTATTTCAGATGTTGTTGTAAGGAATATGTAAGCTAATACCTGACAACCATTTAAGATGAAGCCTCACACATGGTTAGTATGTGATAGATGGTAGCTATTATTTTTACCTGGGGACACTGATCTCAGTTGAAGTTCTAAAGGATGTTTGTGTTCCTCAAGTAACTACAATAGAGATAATCTTATTCTCTAAGTGAGACTCCTCCACCCCTGCCGACTCCATCACATCTATTACAGGAGGTGGGCTTCTCCCCAGCATAACTCCTATCAACACATTCTGATAATAATACTGTAGCCACAAAGCAGCTGTAACATCGAAATTAGATTTAGAGAAGCCGTACCAAGACAACTGTTCTCCCTTAGATTTCTATGTCTCTTGTCCTTTTTTGATAGGGATTTGCACAATTGCTCCTAATCGGCACCATTCATCTATTATAGCAAGTTCCTTTTGAACTTCACCACAGAGCATGTTTCCCATCTCTTAGACTGAAAAGAACATGGAAATTTTTTCTGGCCAATGTTATCTAGCCAGAGCTGTCTAGCAACCATGGACTTGGGCACAACTTAAGAACAAGGGGGGCTGTGCATTGTGGCTTATGCAAGCAATCCCAGCACTTTGGGAGGCCGAGGCGGGCAGATCACTTGAGGTCAGGAGTTCAAGACCAGCCTGGCCAACATGGTGAAACCCCATCTCTACTAAAAATAATACAAAAATTAGCCAGGCATGGTGGCACATGCCTGTAATCCCAGCTACTGAAGAGGCTGAGGGAGGAGAATCGCTTGAACCCGGGAGGCGGAAGTTGCAGTGAGCCGAGATCGCACCATTGCACCCAGCCTGGGCGACAGAGCAAGACTCTGCCTCAAAAAAAAAAAAGGAAAAAAGGGAACCCCCAACCCCCAAATGCATCTCTCTGTAGCCTATAAAATAGATGCCATAAAGTTCTGAGCTGCCGGTGAACCCACTGTCTGCTGGAGGTAACGACTGGAAATGACAAGGCTTTCATATGTCCTTTCCTTAAAACAAGAAGGTCTGACATCTGCAAAAGAGAGTCCTACCAATAAATATATAAATAAAAAGAATTCTGTTGTTTTTTTCTGGTGCCATAAACCCTTCATGGACACTGGAAACAATTTTTGACAATGTACTAATTTCACAGGAATGAGATTATGGAGGATGTGTGATTTTCCCTCCATTTTCCCAGAATTGCGACTCAAGGGTCATCTCTAAGAACAAAACCAATGGCAGCCCAGAATCTGCCTCCTAGGATCTGCAGAGGCTGGGCCCAGCTGCCTCACCACAGGGCTTCATGAGAAGGGCCGGGCTCGTCAAAGGGCCAGCAAAATGTTCTCCACCCTCCCACACACCCTAGTCCACACGAGAGGGGCCTGAGGAGAGGCACCTTTGGAGGAGGGGACATGATGCATTTGTGAAGTTATTTTGCCTCCTCTTTTCACAACTCAAAACCCAAGTGTGGGAGGGCATCAGAGAATCACCCTGATGTTTGGGGCCCACTGACATCGTGTTCTCTTCATAGCCACCAGGCACTCAGGCCTGCTGGTGTGCTGTGTTAAAAGAAAAACTTCAGCCGAATTAAATTTACTGGAGTTTAATTGAGCAATGAACGATTTGTGAATTGGGCGGCCCCCAGAATCACAGCAGATTCAGAGAGACTCCAGGGGTGCCTTGTGGTCAGGATAAATTTATAGACGAGAAAAGGGATGAGGAACACACGTCCAAGTGAAGAAGAGATGGCCAGGGCCAGAAGATGATTCTGTGTTACGGCCATGTCTAAGACCACAACGGCATGGGCAGAGGATGCTGCCATAAGCTGGAATGCGGCCAGACAAAGTGGCTGAATTTTCAAAGGGGTCACTCATGGAGAACTGCTTGGGGTGGCCTCTTGTCATCTTGGCCTATGGGAACTTACAGATAAGAGCTAGGTCAGGGGATTACAACTCTGCCTTGGGCAATTGCCATTCTGCCATGTCCCATTCACCGTTGGCTCCCGGCCAGTAGATTCTCAAGTCTAGTATATGGAAGATGGTAAGGAGTCAAGATGGTTGAGGAGAAGGAATCATTTGAACAAGAAACGAGACTGAAGTGTTAAATGAACAAGACTGGCCTGGCGTGGTGGCTCTCACCTGTAATCCCAGCACTTTGGAGGCCAAGGCAGGCAGATCACCTGAGGTCAGGAGTTCAAGACCAGACTGGCCAATATGGTGACACCCCATCTGTACTAAAACTACAAAAATTAGCTGGGCGTGGTGGCGGGTGACTGTAATCCCAGCTACTTGGGAGGCTGAGGCTGGAGAATCGCTTGAACCCACGAGGCGGAGGTTGCAGTGAGTGGAGACTGCGCCATTGCACTCCAGCCTGGGTGATGGAGCGAAACTCCATCTCAAAAAAATAAAGTAAAATAAAAATAAACAAATGAACAGGACTGAGTTTTAAAACCAAATGAGTCATTTTTCAAATGAAAGGAAAGGCTATATTGTTAGATGAGGACTCAACCTGGCGGAGTCAGTGGAAATTATGGGGCAAATATGTTATTATAAGATTCTTCAACATACCAGGTACATTCTGGTTCCAATCTCATTTACCAAAAGGATAGATGATAATTTCTAATAAAATCACAGCCCCGCCAGGCACAGTAGCTCATGCCTGTAATCCCAGCACTTTGGAAGGCTGAGACGGGAGGATCACTTGAGTCCAGGAGTTCGAGACTAGCCTGGGGAACAAAGCAACACTTTGTCTCCAATACAATTTTAAAGTTAGCTGTGTGTGGTGGTGTGGCTGCAGTCCCAGCTACTCAGGAGGCTGAAGTGAGAGGATTGCTTGAACCCAGGAGGTCAAGGCTGCAGTGAGCTGAGATCATGCCACTGCATTCCAGCCTGGGTGACAGATTAAGACCCTGTCTCAAAAAAAAAAAAAAAAATTCACAGGTCCAAAATGGCTAAAAAAAGGTATATTGTAATATTCCTAATAAAATATTACATTTTATTGTATTTTTATTACATATTTTATTACATGCTTGTAATAAAATATATTGTAATAAGACCTGCTGAATAAGGAAAATAGTATTTGGGGCCGGGCACGGTGGCTCACGCCTGTCATCCCAGCACTTTGGGAGGCCAAGGTGGGCAGATCACCTGAAGTCAGGAGTTCGAGACCAGCCTGGCCAACATGGTGACACCCAGTCTCTACTAAAATATACAAAAAAATTAGCCAGGCGTGGTGGCGTGCACCTATAATTCTAGCTACTTAGGGGGCTGAGGCAGGAGAATCGCTTGAAGCCGGGAGGCGGAGGTTGCAGTGAGCCGAGATCATGCCACTGCACTCCAGCCTGGGCAACAGAGAGAGACTCTGTCTCAAAAAATAAAATAAAATAAATATAAAAAACCAGGAAAAAAAAGAAAAAAGGAAACTAGTATTTGGAACATAATATGTAGCTCAGAACTTCCAGCAATTATATGATGTCCACTGTCCATTAGTAGAAAAAATAAGCCACAGTTCATGAAGAAACAGAAGCTTTTCCTGGTACTGAGTTCTCAGAATCTATCACTAGACTCTTACTTATTGTAATGAAGTCTCCCACAGCTGTTTTTACAGGAAATGCAAACTTGTCTCCCATGTGACTTTGGCGAAAGACCCAGTAAACAACAACAGTCCTGAAAGCACAAAGCTACAGGAATAAGTCCTCCCAGCCCTATCCTCTACTCAAGGTCTGAATGCAACACACCTGTGGCTTGTTTCTGGCTCAACAATAATCTTTTCCTCACAAAGCAGCTCTTAAGCACTAAGCAGGGCTTCCTGTCACTAATCCCCAAAACATTTCTATGGGATAAAAACAGGAGACCAAGGGTAGACTCCTGCTAATTTAGAAACATTTTAAAAGATGGCTTGGGTTCAGTCTGCTCATTCCTCCCTGCCTCTACCACCACAAACCTAAAGAAAACAAAATTCCTACAGAAAAGCAAACTGTAAAACTCACAACCGCAGCATGAAATGAGGAAGCAATGGGGTGCAGCACAAACTGTAATGTGGAAATGCTACACAGCGTCTCTCTGCTGCCTCCCACCAGCCAGGGCCGGGCTGGGAGCCAGGTCTGAGAAATAGTAGCACATGCTGCCACTCTTTTTGTGGATGGTTGCCATGGCAACCTGCCTCTGTTCAAATGCTGAGCATCTTTCAGCAGTCTCATCCTTATGCTCTTCTGGCCTGGAAGGGAAGTATTAGAAAGAAGGTAGTATGGGGGGGTTGGGGGAATACCAATGAGGGTATATGAAACAAATAGATTGTTGGAGGATCAGGTAAGATGCCTCCCGTTATACTGGAAGTCTCAAGAAAGGGGTGGAAGATGGGTGGGCTCTCGATGTAGGTCCCACCCTATTTTCTGCAGCAATTTCAGTCATTCATTCATTTACCCACTTGCTCATTCTTACATTAAACTAATTTTATGGAGCACCAATCATACTCCAGGCATTATACTGGGCATTGGAGGTTTAATGATGAAAAAGATACCATCCCCCCCCCCCCCACAGGGAGCTCACAGTTCACATGGGAGATAGGAGATACACACACACACATGCGTGCACACACACACACTCAATTAATCATGATATAATGTTATAAGTGCAGAAATAGACATACATAAAAAATATTACAGACTTGAAAAACCAAGTGCAATTAATTCTTAGAGTTGAGTGTAAGGAGCTGATAAGAGAAAACTGCATAGAAAGGTTAATACTTGAGTAGGGTCTTGAAGGAGTTTGTTAAATGGAAAAAAAAATTGTCCAGACAGGGCACAACACAAACACTTGTGGTATGTTCCACATGGGATGTATCAAACAACCACCAATAATAACAGCACTTGCAGAGTGCTCAGCTACTGTTCTGTGTGCTTTATATGTATTATCTCAGCTAACCCTCACAGTGACTCTGTAGAGGAGGTATTGCTGTGCCATTTTACAGAGGCACAGATAAGTAAAATAACTTGCCTAAAGTTACACTGGTATTTGATATTGGGTGGGAGAACCAGGCTTCTGGCTCCAAAGTTCATGTGCTTAATCTCAGCCTTATGCTTATCCCATTGTTCTGGGAAGGCAAGGTCACAGGATATACATGGGGAAAGAGGAGAAACAACAGTTGAGACTGCTGGGAAACAAAGATGAGGGGTAAATTATCATGCCCTCAAATGCCATTTTAAAAAATCTGAAATTTGTGTTTTGGTCATGAGAAGCCATGATGGTGTTACAATGAAAATGGTATTATTATGGTGATTCTGGAATTCACGTGTAGGATAGAATGGAGGAGAAACAGACTGACGATTTCAACAGCAGGAACAGGAAGAGAAAGGAAGGGGAAGATCGCATGTAGTTTAAAACAAGGCAAGGCCCGTGTCATTTGGTTCATCACAGAGCCTGGTATACCACAGGCATTCAATAAATATTGGTTAAATAAATGTTTCAAAGTTGTCTTATTTGGCTTTACCTGAAAGCAAATTCTGAAATAAAAGTTCCCATATGAGAGTTTATTTAGGAAGTGTGGGGAATACCAGCAGATTAGAGAAGTAAGACAGGGAAGGAAAGGCAGCCAATAAAGGCCGGGCACTGTGGCTCATGCCTGTAATCCCAGCACTTTGGGAGGATGAGGCAAGTGGATTGTTTGAACCCAGGAGTTTGAGAGCAGGACGAAATGATTAAACTTTTTCTCTACAAAAATACAAAAATTAGCTGGCTGTGGTGGTGCATGCCTGTAGTCCCAGCTACTCAGGAGGCTGGGTGGGAGGATTGCTTAAGCCTAGGAGGCGAAATTTGCAGTTAGCCAATATCGTGCCACTACACTCCAGCCAGGGTGACAGAGTGAGACCCTGTCTCAAAAAACAAACAAACAAAAAACCCCAGAAAACAAAAAGGAGGTATAGAGACAGCTTAGTGTTTGAGTTATTTGAACATGTCTGTGATTGACTGATCCCTGGCTGCTGTCACTGGCTGAGACTCAGCTATTTGTTATAAAAGTATATTTCTAAGTTAAGCTTTCAGTTAGTTTAAATACTAAGTTGGTTGCAGTTTGTTCAGTAAGGAGTCAAGTACTGAGGCATCTTCAGGCCAAATTTAGTTTAATTTAACCATTGGGGGAATGTGTTCTTAGTGGTGAGAAGTTGGTGTTTTAGACTCTTGGATTTTATTATTTGGGTGAACTCCAGAAAACTTCCCAAATATTATGGGTGGCTTTTGTAGAAGGTTAATTATATTATTCAACGTTGAAAGCTGAAACTCCATCAAGTAATATTTATAACAAAGATTGAGTAGAAAAGACGGAGGAAGGAGAAGGAAGAGGAAGAGAAAAAAGTGAAGGGAGAAAGAAGGGGAGAGAAAGACTACTACTAAAATCGGCATCACAGGTCCCAAAGCCAGCTCTTGTATCTGAATGTGCAAAACTTGACTAGTGTCTAAAGTTTCTAAACAGTGAGAATGAGATATTAACACGCGATTTGTTTTTCTGGCTAATCATGAAGTTCTCATCTGAAGAAAAATTTCTACTCATTCCCACCTCCCCTCCCACCCTACTCATCTCAGCATCTTTCCCACCTTCCCACCCCACTGAGATCTTGTCTACCCAAGATTTTCTGTTTCTTATCACAATTGCATTCTATGAAGGTAGGTCTTCCTCTATTTCCCAATTTGAACAGATAAAAAGTAATGATTCCTAAACTTGCAATGCAACTGTGTCTGCCCCAGGGAAGGATCAAAGGAAATTAGCCCACAGAGTCTGTTCTGTTATACAAAAACCATGGGTTTTTGTTCCAAAGCGTGACTCTAGGGGTACCGCAGAGACTGATGCCATGGCTATGTGGTTAGAGCATGAGTAAGTACCTCAGAAAGCATGATGTCATCAATGCACTTTTCAAGCCTTAAGACAACCTTGCAGGTATAGCCCCCATGTCTAACTTGTCAGAACTTTATCAATGGCAGAATGGCATAGAAGGAAGCAGGTGGCTAACCTGTTGCCTGGAGTCACATGGGAGCTTCAGAGACCTGCTGAAAGGAGAACTGTCTTAGCATTGCTCCCTTAGTCATTGCATGCCTCTTTTGGCAAACCTTGAAATTCCCTCTAGTAACCTTATAAGGAACTGAAAATTATAGCCAACATCTAAACACAAGTGGATGTATTTAACAAGTGAATATCGTATTCAAACCTGTCAAAACAAAGATAACTGAAAATCATGTGAACACCACAGTGTGAATAAAAATTCACCCACTTTCGGCCGGGCACAGTGGCTCATGCCTGTAATCCCAGCACTTTGGGAGGCTGAGGCGGGCGGATCACGAGGTCAGGAGATCGAGACCATCCCGACTAACACAGTGAAACCCTGTCTCTACTAAAAATACAAAAAATTAGCCGGGCATGGTGGCGGGTCCCAGCTACACAGGAGGCTGAGGCAGGAGAATGGCATGAACCCGGGACGTGGAGCTTGCAGTGAGCTGAGACTGCACCACTGCACTCCAGCCCGGGCGACAGAGCGAGACTCTGTCTCAAAAAACAAAAACAAAAAATTCACCCACTTTCAAGACATGTCACTTTCCAGACATTGCCTCATTGACTCTTTCACCTCAAGAGAGAGGAGAGTTATGGCAAGCTATGAATATTTCTTGTCCCTGGACAGAATGGGAAAAGTATGGAAATCTTGCCTTTTGAAAAGCATAGCAGGATTATTAAAAACATCAAGAACCACCAAACTAAGGTGAATGCAAAAAGAAAGAAGCAGTTATTGTGAGACCACAGGTATCTTTTGAGAGTAGACAGTGAGAAACAGTCTTTTACAGAGCAGAGTATCAAATGAAGCTCATTAGGCCTGGCAAGGCACATTAAAGAGACATTCAGACCAGGCACTGACTCACTGAAGGCAGCTCAGGTGTGGTCCAGGGTACTAGGTTCTCCCTGAGGTTGTGACTACCAATTAGATGGTGATGGAAGGTATGGTGAGCTATCTGTCAATGTCTTCAAAGGCCTCTGGAGCAAAGCCACAGTGTTCTAACCAGGTGCACACAGAGAATATTTTTCTGATCCACAGCCAGAACATGGTGTAGGCCTGAAAGATAACCTGTGACTGAGCAAGTCAAACTGTTGCAAATGGGTGAGTACTATGATCTCCCTAGATGAGTAAGTGCTCTACCACTACTATTTATTTATACTTCAATTCCAACAATTAGCAAAAAGATAAAAGAAATTGGGAAGACAATATAGAATATGGTTAAGAAGGCCGAGTATGGTGGCTCACACCTGTAATTCCATCACTCTAGGAAGCTGAGGTGGGTGGATCGCTTGAGCTTAGGAGTTCAAGACCAGTCTGGGCAACATAGCAAAATCTCATCTCTACAAAAAATAAAAAAATTAGCCAGGCATGGTGGCACGTGCCTGTAGTCCCAGCTACTCCAGAGGATGAGGTGGGAGGATCGCTTGAGCCTGGGAGTTCAAGGCTGCAGTGAGCCGTGATTGCGTGCCTGGGTGACAGAGCAAGTCTTTGTTAAAAAAAAAAAGAGAAGAAGAAGAAGAAGGTGGTTAAATTCGGACTGCCTGAGTCTGAATCCAAGGCTCTGTCACTTATTAACATTAAATCATGGGCAAATAATGATTCTAGGCCTCAACTTCCTCATTCACAAAATTGGGATTTTTCAGGGTTTTGGTAATGATTAAATATGGGAACAGACGCAAAGAACTTAATACAATACGTCTCAGTAAATGGGAACTATTATCATTATATTAATAAAACATATATCTGAAAGAGTAAAACTGATGTGGAAATTGAAAATTAAATACAGAGGTGTGTGTTTTGGGAGGAGGTGGTAAATGCTAGTTATTTTATTAGCCCTAGTTAGGCAAATATGATTACTTTGATTGGACGTTATATTTAGCTTTGAGTTTCCTAAAATCTAAGGAAAAATAAAAATCATTATAGACCAAATTATTCTCATTTTGTTATTAAACACAACATTAATATACAGTTAATTCTCAATCAACTTTTGTGGAATGCCAGAATAATTGCTGCTCAATAGAATTCCCTCAGCCAGTTGTCTTACTTTTCTACTTGCCTCTTTTTTTCAACTTTAACCTTAAGACATTTTGAAAATTAATAAAATTCAGGAATCCACTAATACCTGTGCCTTCCCATTGTTCAAGTACTTAGCTTTAGTTTTATTTTATTTTTTGCTTTTTATAGAAGTCTTAATGGCTAGTTTCCTTTATTTTAACTTAAATAAACACGAAATCAAAAGCATTCTTCCTTGAGACTTCCAGAATGGTGAAATAAAAAGTCTCTCTCTGGCAAAACAATTTAACTTGTGAAAATAATTTTTAAAAAATCATTTAACTTTGGGAGGCTGAGGTGAGAGAATTGCTTGACTCAGAGTTCAAGACCAGCCTGGGCGACAAAGTGAGACCCCATCTCTACAAAAATTAAAATTAGCTGGGCATGGTGGTGCATGCCTCTAGTCCCAACTACTTGGGAGGCTGAGGCAGGAGGATCTCTTGGGCCCAGGTGGTAGAGGCTGCAGTGAGCTATGATTGTACCACTGCATTTCAGCCTGGGCGACAGAGCAAGATCCTGTCTCAAAAATAACAGCAGCAACAACAATAACCATTTAAAGTCTCTGAAAATTGGCTGGGCGCGGTGGCTCACACTTGTAATCCCAGCACTTTGGGAGGCCGAGGCCCGCGGATCACGAGGTCAGGAGATCGAGACCACAGTGCAACCCCGTCTCTACTAAAAATACAAAAAATTAGCCAGGCGTGGTGGCGGGCCCCTGTAGTCCCAGCGACTCAGGAGGCTGAGGCAGGAGAATGGCGTGAACCTGGGAGGCGGAGCTTGCAGTGAGCTGAGATCACGCCACTGCACTCCAGCCTGGGTGACAGAGCGAGACTCCATCTCAAAAAAAAAAATAATAATAAAAATAAAAATGAAAAATAAAATAAAATAAAGTCTCTGAAAATTGTCTCAAGAACATATAGCAAATGAAGAAAACTCACTCAAGAAAGTCAACTGGGAATCTCAGTAAGAGTGTCTGTGGCATTTCAGCCATGGCCTGGCCTGCTAACCTTTCCTGCAGTGCCATGTTACCAAAGCTCTACCCTGAAAGTGCTGCTCCTGGCAGGCACAGATAATGAGATAGGGGCTCCCTTGTCCGTCAGCTCCCATTCTGGGCAATGGTCTCACTCTAAGAGAGGTGGACTGCCAACATTTCTCAAATATATACATTTTATCCTGTTAGTCTGCCTGCTGTAAATTTATTTCATAGTCTCAGTTATTTTTTATTATTATTTTGAAACAGGGTCTTGCTCTGTCACTCAGGCTGGAGTGCAGTGGTATAATCATGGCTCACTGTGGTCCTGAGTTCATGAGTTCAAGTGATCCTCCTGCCACAGCCTACTGAGTAGCTGGGACAACAGGCATGTGCCACCACATCCGGTTAGTTTTTTTATTTTTAATTTTATTTTTATAGAGACAGGGCCTCACTATGTTGCCCAGGCTAGTCTTGAACTCTTGGGCTCAACTGATCTTCCTGCCTCAGCCTCTCAGAGTGCTGGGATTACAGGCATGAGCCACTGTGCCTAGCCAGTCTCAACTATTGAACCCTCAGAGGAGAGAGGGAAATTATTAAAAACTTTGAGAAGAAGGAAAAGAAAAACAGGACAAAACATATGTTATGTAGCTAAAGCAGTGCTCCAAGATAAAATTATAGCTGTAAATGCCTATATTAACAAAGAAGAAAGATCACAAATCAATCACCTAAACCTCTACCTTAAGAAACTAGAAAAAAAGAGCAAACAACCCAAAGTAAACAGAAGGAAATAATGATTAGAGGAGAATAAGTGAAATAGGGAATAGAAAAACAGTAGAGAAAACCAACTGATATGGTTTGGCTTTGTGTCCCCACCCAATCTCACCTTGAAATGTAATCCCTGGGTGTTGGAGAAGGAACTGGGGGGAGGTGATTGGATCATGGGGGCGGTTTCCCCCCTGCTGTTCTAGTGATAGTGAGTGAGTTCTCATGAGATCTGATGGTTTTATAAGTGTTTGGCCAGTTCCTCTTTTGCTTGCTTCTTCTTCCTGCTGCCTTGTGGAGAAGGTGCTTGCTTCCCATTTGCCTTCTGGCATGATTGTAAATTTCCTGAGGCCTCCCCAGCCATGCAGAATGGTGAGTCAATTAAACCTCCCTTGTCTATAAATTACCGAGTCTTGGGTAGTATCTTTATAGCAGTGTGAGAATGGACTAATACACCAACAAAGCCAGAAGTTGGTTCTTTGTAATGATCAACAAAATTGACAAATCTTCAGCTGGACCGAACAAGAAAAAAAAAAGAAGACTCAATTTATTAAGATCAAGAATGAAGGGGTAGACATACCACCAACCTTACATAAATGACAAGGATTATCAGGACTATAAGGGAATATTATGCCAACAAATTAGAAAAGATATGTGCAATGACTTTGCTTATAATGGAAAAAGATCAGAAGCCATCCCTATGTCCATAAATTGGGGACAGACTAGATGCATACGTAAAAATATCAATAGACCTACATGATATACTGTTGAATTTTAAAAAGCAAGTTGTAGATAAATATGTTTAGTATAGTATCTTTTTTTTTTTTTGAGATGGAGTTTTTCTCTGTCATCCAGGCTTCAGTGCAGTGGCATGATCTTGGCTCACTGCAGCCTCCACCTCCAGGGTTCAAGCAATTCTCCTGCCTCAGTCTCCTGAGTAGGTGGGAATACAGACGCCTACCACCATGCCTGGCCAATTTTGTATTTTTAGTAGACGCAAGGTTTCACCATGTTGGCCAGGCTGGTCTTGAACTCCTGGCCTCAAGTGATCCGCGTGCTTTGGCCTCCCAAAGTGCTGGAATTATGGGCGTGAGCCACTGCACCTGAACCAGTATAATATCTTTTATGTAAATATACACTGAGTGATATTCTGAAGTTTCTATGGGTAGGTGTAGGGGTGTGTGTGTGTGTGCGTGCATGCACATGCACGTATAGGGAAGGACGTGCACCACAACTAATAACCGAGTTTACCAGGGAGAAGGTGGTGAAACACCAGGGCTGGGAGTTAGGGGTGGGGGAAAAAGGAGGAAAATTGTAGCTTTATTTATAATGGTTCATATTTTTTGAAGGAAAATATATTTATGAATAGTTTGTGAAATTTGAATTGTTTTTTAAGAAAATAATAGCTTAATAAATGGTGTCAAAATCTTTGATTCATTTAGGAAATTACAAATTTGGTGGTTTTACATAGATATGGCCTTGGATAAAAATGAACATTAAAAACATTTTTCTGCATTTGCTTATACATATCAGTATATCTGCCACTGTCAGGTCTAAATGAAAAAGGCTTTAAAAACAATATTATATGAAAAATAAAGATTAAACACAAAAGATAAAAATAAATGCTAACAAACATAAGGCTCATTTGAACCCTGACATAGTTCTGAATCTCTAAAATATCTATTACTTCATTAAAGACTCAAATGTAATGTCTAGAGAAACAAATTGCCTTATAGTTTAAAACAACAGACCAGTGAATTTGCCTAGTTTCCTAGACCCTAATGATGCAGATGCTGAGTGTAGCTTTAGGCATTTTTCAACACCAAGCCTTCAGTATGAAAAAGTACATGGCTCATTGCCAAATACGTTTGCCAAGTCCCAATTTACAAGCACTATTCAGCTCATTTGCACTTCTATCTTGATCCTGAGTGTTGGTTATTAAGAAATAATAACATCATGGCATTGTTCCTTGGGTAGACAGAGCCATGACCTTGGTATATCTCATCCCCGCGAACAAAAATATCCAGAAATGTCTTTAAGTGTCTTTAAGCTCTCATTTTCTATTGAATTGAACACTTTCCTATGGGGACCTCTTAGGTTCATCCCAAAAGGCAGGATTTCCTCATTGAGATAAGTCATGAATGCCAGAGTCTCATTCTTTCTCAATTATTTGGTCAAAAAAAAATCATAGCTATTAATAGTTAGAAGAAAATAGTTCAGAAAATAGAAGAAAATAGTTCAGTCCTAATTTCACCTTTCATTCTGAATAGAGGAGGAATTGCTAGTGCTCATTTCCTTGAGTGCTTGAATTAATCATCCCAAGTGTCTCCTATCAATAAAAACTAGAATAGACTTCTACAGGCCGAGAGTTAGGGTCTAAAGTTAAGGATAAGTTATATGTTCAAGAATCTCTGGTACTAGTATAAAAGAATTATGAAACTCAGGAAAGGAGTTAATAGGAGCCATCATCAACAGATTGCTAAAGGAAGAGATGACAGTGAACCTCTGTTGTTTTTGTCTGCTTAGAATCCATTCCTTTCTTCTGGTGATAAGATCCTGAGTCCCTTTGCAGAACCATCCCTCTTCCACTCTCAGTTCATGAGGTTCAGGTTGGACTATTATGACCACCTGGCTCTAGGAGTAGGCACATGACTCAGATCGGGCCACTAGAGAATTCTATACCTCAAGTTAAAGTAATAGATTCATAGATGAGATGGCCACTTGACCCACACCAAGCTAATGAGAATCCAGGAAGTTTCTGGCACTGCTGGAGAAAACGTGCTATATCTTGTGTTGGTAGAACTTAATTCTGAAGCTCTGCATAGTCCTGTTTACAGAGACTGCCTACCAGAAAATAAAGCCAACACTAAGAAGAGCTAGGCCAAGGGAAGGAGAGAGAATCCTGATGGCATTTTGTGAGACCTGAAGTAAGCATCACACCTTGAACTTCTCCGTTACGTGGATAATTTTAATTTCCTTTGTAATTTGAATGAGTTTTTGGCCACTGACAACCAAAAGAATTTTGACTGATACACGAGTAATGCAGTGTATTTAGGTGTTAAGCAAGCCTTTCCAGAGGTTGCCCTTCTACTGTGCTTATCTAAGTCCTATTTTTTTTCAAAGACCAATTAAAATATAGTGTTATCCTTGCAGCCTTTTAGAATCCCATCAGACTTTTGTGAATCCTTCCTCCTTTTAATTTCCCAAAGCATTTGTTTCCAATTGTCAATTATTATCCCTCCTTGTTTGTTTTAAATATATTCACACATCCTCTCTCTTCACATTGATTACAGTAAAATCCCAAGGTTAGGAACCATGTGTAGTAATGCATTCCTTTATCTCGGTGCTTTGAGTAGATTAGGGTTTCAGTAAATATTTGCTGATACATTTTAAGGGCTGCAGTATCTGTGATCCAGTTTTGTGTTCCATCTCAACTAACCCCAACACATGCCCAACATATACACTTACCCTCAACCAAACACATACACACTGTGTACACAGACCCCTAAACATACACATATTCTGAAGTCACTGATGCAGGGTGAGCTCCTTTTTATGTATTGCCATAAAGATCTATTTGGCAGAGCAAAGGGGGAGTGGGGAGAGGGAGAGCATCAGGAAGAATAGCTAATGCATGCTGGGCTTAATACCTAGGTGATGGGATGATCTTTGCAGCTAACCACCATGGCACACGTTTACCTATGTAACAAACCTGCATATCCTGCACGTGTACCGAGAACTTACAATAAAAGTTGAAGAAAAAATAAAAGATCCTATTAGGGAGAGGACAATTCCAGTAACTAAGTTCCTTAGGATTCAGAAATGGCTGAATGACAAGGATAGAAGTGTTTGGTTTCCTCACCCCCATCTCAACTGAAATGAAAAGGAGTGGTGAGGGGAAAAGCCATGTTGAGGAGAAAGGTGAGTCTGACTGAGTAATCTCTAACCCAGGAGAAGGCCTGTGCCCCGTAGCCAGCTTTAGAGTAAAAACAATAAAATGATTTTTTGCTGCATCATAAGTACATGTTACAACACCCAGGCACAGGCCTTGAAATAAATTATACAGGACTTGTAAGCAGCAGGATCTGGGTGGATGAGAATTTTAATAATAATGAAAATATGACTCAGGTCTTGGCTCTCCCCTAAGGCATTTCCAACTCTCTGACCTTGGTTGCATCATTGCTCTGCTGTGTGGAAAGAAGAGAGTGAGCGGAGACCCATGGAGCGAAGTGTTTTTCCTTTCCCTTTCTTCCAGCTTCTCTGGGTGAGTGGGGTGAAAAGTTATATAAGGTGATGTCTACCAGAGTGGTGAAAGAGAAAATCTTCACCAAAAGAGAAAAAATGAGGCTGGGCATGGTGACTCACACCTGTAATCCCAACACTTTGGGAGGCCAAGGCAGATGGATCACCTGAGGTCAGGCGTTCGAGACCAGCCTGGCCAAAATGGTGAAACCCCTCTTCACTAAAACAAAACAAAACAAAAATTAACCCAGTGTGGTGGCAGACGCCTGTGGTCCCAGCTACTCAGGAGGCTGAGGCAGGAGAATCACTTGAACCTGAGAGGTAGAGTCTGCAGTGAGCTGAGATTGTGTCACTGCACTCCAGCCTGGGCAACAAAGTGAGACTGTCTCAAAAAAAAAAAAAAAAAAAAAGAAAGAAAGAAAAGAAAACAAAATGAGTTTTAAAAAAATTTAAAGAATACAGTCAAGAAGTGAGAACACTCAGGGTCTTGAAGTCACTGAGGGGAGGTGTTTCAGTAGCTACTACTATTGCAATGAGTATCAAAGAGAGTCTTCTTGGTAGAATTTCACAAACAGTAATAGAATAGCTCACCTTTACTGTAGATGTATGATGTGCTAGGCACTACATTAACACTTTACATTTGTCTCCTCACCCAACCTCTCCTTACATGTGTGTTAGGCTGTATCAACATTCTGATTTTTACAGATGGGGAAACTGAGGCTTATAGAGAGTAAGAAGCTCTTCTAATACTGCACAGCAAGTGAGCAATGGAAATAGTCTTAGAGTTCAAGATCCTCTTATTCCATCCTTTTAACCTCTCCAAAATATGAAATAAGATGGTACTCAGAGAAATACCTTTGCTCTTTTCCTGGCAAAAAATCTTAGGGAAGGTACACCATAAAGAAACAAACACAGAAGTTCCTCCTGGTGCCTAAAACCCCCAAGTGCCCAAAGTCTAAATAGAGTGTAAACAGTTTGTCCTTACCCACAGTTTTGCTTTCCGAGGTTTCAGTTACCTACAGTCAACTGTGGTCTGAAAATATTACAGTATTTTGAGAGAAAGAGAGATATGACATTCACATAACCTTTTTTGTTTTTGTTTTTTGAGACAGAGTTTTGCTCTTGTTGCCCAGGCTGGAGTGCAATGGCGCGATCTCGGCTCACCACAACCTCCGCCTCCCAGGTTCAAGCGATTCTCTTGCCTCAGCCTCTGGAGTAGCTGGGATTACAGGCATTCACCACCATGCCTGGCTAATTTTGTATTTTTAGTAGAGACAGGTGTTTCCATGTTAGTCAGGCTGGTCTAGAACTCCCAACCTCAGGTGATCCGCCTGCCTTGGCCTCCCAAGGTGTTGGGATTACAGGCATGAACCACTGTGTCCGGCCTTTTTTTTTTGGAGTGCAGTGGCAAGATCTCAGCTCACTGCAACCTCTGCCTCCCAGGTTCAAGCAATTGTCATGTCTCAGCCACCCAAGTAGCTGGGATTACAGGCATGTGCCACCAAGCCCAGCTAGTTTTTATATTTTTAGTGGAGATGGGGTTTTGCCATGTTGGCCAGGCTGGTCTTAAACTTCTGGCCTCAATTGATCCACCTGCCTCAGCCTCCTAAAGTGCTGAGATTACAGGCATGAGCCACTGCACTTGGCCCACATAACTTGTATTTTAGTATATTGTTATAATTGTTCTATTTTATTATTAGTTATTTGTGTTAATCTCTTACTGTGCCTAATTTATAAATTAAACTTTATCATGTGTATCTATGTATAGGAAAAAACATAGTATACATAGGGTTCAGTATTAGCTGCAGTCTCATCCACTAGGGATCTTGGCACACATTCCTTGACGATAAGGGGGAACTACTGTTTAAGTGGCTTCAAGTGACTTTTACAGATCAGTTGAAACCCTCAGCTCCTAGTATATATCCACCCTGGCTTCTTCCCTCTTTGCTTTGCTTGGAGCTTGCTCTGAGTAACTTGTTTTCAGTCATAACTTTTGTATTAAAACAGATGAGGGTGGCCAGGCCAGATGGCTCATGCCTGTATGCCTGTAATCCCAGCACTTTGTGAGGCCAAGGCAGGAGGATCACTTGAGCCCAGGAGTTTGAGACCAGCCTGGGCAACATGGTGAGACCACATCTCCACAAAAAATAAACAAAATCAGCCAGATGTGGTGGTGTGTGCCTGTGGTCCCAGCTACTCAGGGGGCTAACAAGGAAGGCTCTCTTGAGCCTAAGCAGATGAATCTGCAGTGAGCAGTGTTTGTGCCACTGCTCTCCAGCCTGGGCGACAGAGCAAGACTCTGTCTCAAAAAACAAATGAACACACCCACAAAAAAACCACCCCCACCGCTACCAAAATAAACAGATGAGGGTGTGGGACACCCTTTAATTTTGTTTTTCTTAAACTATCTCTACTTCGAGTTCTGGGAACTTGAATAATGTTTTCTCTCTTCCAACTGCACTTAGGGATCTTGTGATCCAGTTCAGTCATAAGCCACTTACAAGCTTATGTGAGATAGAAGCTCCAGCACGTTCATGAAGGCAGCTCATATAACCAAGATCACCCCCTTCCCTTTTCCTTTTCCCACATGCTGACTCCAAGTAAGTTTTTTGTTGTTGTTTTGTTTTCATTTTTTAGAGACAGGGTCTCACTCTGTCAGCTCACTACAGCCTGGGCCTCCTGGGCTCAAGCAGTCCTCCTGCCTCAGCCTCCTGAGTAGGTGGGACCACAGACACATGCCACCACACCTGGCTAATTAAAAAAAAAAATTGTGTGGAGAAGGGGGTCTCACTATGTTGCTCAGGCTGGTCTCCAACTCCTGGCCTCAGCAATCCTCTTGCCTCAGCCTCCCAAAGCAATGAAATTACAAGCATGAGCCACTGCACCAGGCTGCCAAGTGGTTTTTACTAGGAATCAGGACTTTTAAGACTGACAGTGACACAGAAATTGACACTTGCTTTACCCTGCTGGAGCTCATCAAGGACAATGGCAGCCTGTTGGGCATGCTCAGCATGCCAGACCACAGACCAAGGTCTCAGCTTCCCTCTGGAACTCCACTACAAGCAGATCGTATCGGTGAGTGCTTAAACACAGTGGCATGAATAGAGCAGCCCACTGTCTCATTACTTTAAGCACCACGCTTGAGAATTCCAAGCCAACAGAAGAACTCGACCTGTTCCCAAGCCTTTTGTTGCCGTCTCCTAAATCCTGCAAGTCCTCCTCCTTAAACTAAAGGGCTGGGGATTTCAGAAAGGGTGAAGGAAACAGTGCTCTTGAATCAGAAACAAGAACAAGGCACACAGGAACTTTTTCCTGACCTTCAACTTAATCACTTGCCTACCAAGGAGCTAAAAGCATTCACATTTTAATTTTCAAGGAAATGTTTGGTCTCAGTTTTCAGGTTCTTCCTGCTTGACTGGGTGTCCTCATTTCTCTCAGAAAAAAAAAAAAAAAAAAAGACAGTGATGACACAGATCTGCCTGCCCTCTAGTGGGCAACGAAAAGAATTTAAAGTATGACGAAAGACGAGCCTCCAGGGAATTAAGATGACTTTTTAACTTTGCTACATTTCCCCTAACTGACTAGCAGATTGAGTTTTTGCCAACACTGCTCAAACAGAACCTGCAGACCATGTCTACAAGAAGTTGAACTTTTTCTTGATAAAAACAATGACTGGTGGGAGAAAAAAGAGGTGACATCAGAAAACGGGGAAATCACTGGGTTTGGAATGAGCTGTGCATGGCACTGAAGAGTCATGTGACTAGATCTCACCAATCATCAGCTATCTCATATGTCAAACTGGGATAATAGTACCCATTATCATACCAGTGCGGTGAGAATCGAGGACATCTGGAACATATTATTTGTGTTAATTGTGCTTCATCAAGCCATGTGACTTTGGCTAGAGTGCAGTGGCACCATCTCGGTTCACTGCAACCTGCACCGCCTGGGTTCAAGTGATTCTCCTGCCTCAGCCTCCAGAATAGCTGGGACTACAGATGCCCGCCACCACCCCTGGCTAATTTTTGTATTTTTAGTAGGGACGGGATTTCACCATATTGGCCAGGCTGGTCTCAAACTCCTGACCTCAAGTGATCCACCCGCCTTGGCATCCCAAAGTGCTGAGATTACAGGCGTGAGCCACCGCCACCGTTCAAGCCTCGTGACTTTAAAGAGAAGATACCATTATAAAATGAAGGCAGAGGAAGGGTGAAAACAAAGGCACCATCCTGGCTAACACGGTGAAACCCGGTCTCTACTAAAAATACAAAATATTAGCCGGGCGTGGGGGTGGGCGCCTGTAGTCCCAGCTACTCGGGAGGCTGAGACAGGAGAATGGTGTGAACCCGGGAGGCAGAGCTTGCAATGAGCCGAGATCGCGCCACTGCACTCCGGCCTGGGCAACACAGCGAGACTCTGTCTCAAAAAAAAAAAAAAAAAAAAAAGAGAAAAGGAAACAAAGGCACTGAGAAAGAAGCTCAAGCCCACCCACAGAGAACCCTTAAAGACACAAATTCATGTTTCTTGCTTAAATCTTAATTCAATCTGATTCCACAAATAGGTTTACTCTGATACAATTATCAGCAGTACAATTGAAATCTAAAGAAAGAAAAAATGACTTTCCTTCAGGTGTCTGCAATGTAAATGAAAATTAAAGCCTGGATATATGATTGTCTTTTCTCACTTAGTTTGCAATGAAATCAGCCCACCAAAATATAAACTTTTACCTAGCACTCTTTTCAAAAAACTTTTAACACACACATTTTAAAAAATTCTCTCACCTCCTACTTAACCTGAAATCTTGCTTAGAAACAAAGCTAAACTTGGAGTGATAATGGCTTTTCTTTAGCTACAATTCCTAAGGTTAAAAAAAAAAAACAAAATTAAAAACTACTGATGTATGCTATTTAAAAAAATAAAAAGCAGCCATCCTCCCATCTGCCTGCAAACCCCAATGTAAAAAAATAAATAAATAAAAATAAAAAATAAAATACTTTTCTAAACTCTGAAAGAAGATCTAAACTCCGACACTCTGGCCTCAGGACCCAATGTTAAAAAATAAATCTTAGAATTCAATCTTCTGTGACTTTTTTTTTTCTCAAGATTATCTAAATTTGGCTTATTATGAAGACAAGGACAACCATTCAATACTTATTTATTCCCCAATTAATTCACTCAGACATGCCAAAGCTCTGTACACATGATAATGTCTGACATTTCTTGCTTTCTATGGTATAACAGGAAACTTGACATCTCAACAAAAAAGATAAAATGAGGACATATATCATAAGACTATTGAATTCTTCAGGAAGGCAATATTATTTTAAGATTATGCTTCAAAGAATTATAAGCAAAATGAAGAGGCACCATTTCAAAAGCACTGATAGTAAATTAAACTTAAAGGAATAATATTCTGAACACTTATAATAATGTAACTCAAAAACCAATCTGTTCTCACAGAAATCTCCAGGACGTCTAAGATAATTTTAAGAGGTGCAGTGAGCAGTATTCTAATGATAGTAGATGCTGTACTAATTTTAACAGAGTAGGCAATTGTTTTGACTCACTCTGTTTTTCAAATACATGTAAAATTCTTGTTGCTCAAGCTATCAATATTTTACAACAGAAAAAATCTAAGTTGTAATAAATATAGTAAAAGCTAAAATTGTAACAAAACTATCATGCAAGATAAGTTCAGATATATAATAAAGGCAACTTGTATTCAATTGGTGAAAAATTACTGCCTGAAATGTTAGGACCAGAACACCTGTCTGTAAACCCCATTATAAAAAATCAGATGAAGATAACATGGGTGTTCACGTTCATATACCTTCTTTTGGCTTTTCGTAGACTTCAGAATTTTTTTTTTTTTTTTTTTTTTGAGACAATGTCTCGCTCTGTCGCCCAGGCTAGAGTGCAGTGGTGAGATCTCGGCTCACTGCAAACTCCACCTGAGGCAAGAGAATTGAGGTTCAAGTGATTCTCCTGCCTCATCCTCCCGAGTAGCTGGGTTTACAGGCAGTGCCACCAAGCCCAGCTAATTTTTGTATTTTTAGTAGAGGCAGGGTTTCACCATGTTGGCCATGCTGGTCTTGAACTCCTGACCTCAGGTGATCTGCCCGCCTTGGCCTCCCAAAGAGTTGGGATTATAGGCGTGAGTCACTGTGCCCGGCCCAAGAATTATTTAAAATTATAATTGGGGGTGGTTGTTAAAGCCAGGAATATGGAAAGTATGTCTGCCTTCACCATTCTTTTCAGCATTATTCTAGAGGTCCTTAGTCAGTATAAGAAAATGTGAAAAGGGATTAGAAAGAAAGAAACTGTTATTTGCCAATGGTATTACTGGTTACATAAAAAACTAAAAACAATTTACAGAGAAATGTTAAGAAAAAGATAATATAGCAATATGGCTGGATATAAGATAAATTGCATTTTTGTACACCAGTAACAGTTTTAAAATGCAATTTAAATACATATAAGATTTAAAAAAGCAAGAACAAATAAGATAATTATGAATAAATTTAATAAGAGGTGCATAGGATATTTATGAAGAACATTTACAAACTTATGGAAAGAAGTTTTAAAAGATTTATAATTTTAAAAATGCTGACTGGGCACAGTGCCTCATGCCTGTAATCCCAGCACTTTGGGAGGCTTAGGTGGGCTGATCGCTTGAGCCCAGGAATGTTAGATGAGCTTGGGCAACATGGCAAAACACTGTCTCTACTAAAAATACAAAATTAGCCAGGCATGGAAGTGCATACCTAGAGTCCCAAGTATTCGGGAGGCTGAAGTGGGAGGATTGCTTGAGCCCAGGAGGTTGAGGCTGCAGTGAGCTGAGATCATTCCACTGCACACCAGTCTGGGTGACAGAGGAGACTCTGTCTCAAAAACAACAACAACAACAACAAAAACCAACTAACCAAACAAAAAACACATTAAGGGCTTGAAAGATCTAACATCATGAAAAAGTCAATTCTTCCCAATTTATCTGTAGACTCAATGCAATCTCAATAAAAAAATATATTCAGAGCTTTTTAAGGAAATCAGCAAGATGACTCCAAAATTTATACGAAGAGAAAAGGGCCAAGAATAGCTAAGACACTATCAAAGCAGAAAAGAGTGGGAGAGAGGATGACTAGTCCTATCTGATATGAAAACTTATTAAAAAGTTATAGTAATTAGACCAGGCATGGTGGCTCATGCCTGTAATTCCAGCACTTCAGGAGGCCAAGGCAGGTGGGTCACTTGTGGCCAGGAGTTCAAGACCAGCATGGCCAACATAGTGAAACACTGTCTCTACTAAAAATACAAAAATTAGCTGGGTATGGTGGCTCATGCCTGTAATCCCAGCTACTTGGGAGGCTGAGGCAGGAAAATTGCTTGAGCCAGGGAAGTGGAGGTTGCAGTGAGCCGAGATTGCAACATTGCATTCCAGCCTGGGTGACAGAGGGAGACTCTGTCTCAAAAAAAAAAAAAAAAAAAAAAAAAAAAGTTATAGTAATTAAGACAACCCAAGGATAGAGAGAAAAAGAAAACAGAATATAAAGTCAGAGGTAATATTTAAAGGTCAGAGGGAAGAATTTTATCCCTGTATTCTCCAAGAAAGTCTGCAATAACATTTCCCATCCTACATGCTCTTCCAAAATCTTGACTGTCTTTTGAACCTGCATGGGTCCTTGAGACTGCCACAACCAACAGATGCAGTGACACTGTGGAACTTCCAAGGGAAGATGATAAAGATCAACATAGCTTCTGTCTAGAACACACGCTCTATCTCTTGAGATGCTCACCAGTGAAATCTAATTACCATGAGAAGCCACTTGCAGAGAAAGTGAAGCCCCTAGCCCTTGGCCCTGGCTAAGCTCTCAGCTGACAGCCAGCACTAACACTTTAGCCATATTAGTGAGCTGTCTTGGAAGCAAATCTTCTAAACTTCAGTTGATCTTACTTAGGTAAAGCCACATGGAGCAGAGGTGAGCTTTCCCCCACACAACCATGCTCAAAGTTCTGTATTATGAGCAAAATAAGTGATAAGGATAAAACACACTTAAGCCAACAAAAGTGTGAAAATGGTAAAAGGCCAGCCTGTGCAACATGGTGAAACTCTTTATCTACAAAAAAATGCAAAAAATTAGCTGCCATAGGCAGCTATGTCCTATAGTCCCAGCTACTTGGGAGGCTGAGGTGGGAGGATCACTTGAACCCTGGAGGTCAAGGTTGCAGTGAGCTGAGATCGAACCACTGCACCCCAGCCTGGGTGACAGAATGAGACCCTGTCTCCAAAAAAAAAAAAAAAAAAAAAAAAAGGGAAAGAAAAGAAAAGAAAAGAAAATGGCAAAAGGATAATCAGCACAAAGTAAAACATCAGTGAATACAAGATGAAAGGAATAAAACCAAATATGTAAATTTATTGCAATAAATGTACATGCATGGATTTCAATAAATATACATGAACAGATAAATGTACATGAACAGATAAACAGATTTATCAAAAGATATAATTTTTAGTTTTTGTTAAAAAACTAAGTGCAGCAATTTTTAAAATAGAAAAAATATTGAAAACAAAGTGACAAGGAAAGAGTAAAATCGAAGATAAAGATATTCTAGGCAAAAATAAAAAAAGTAAGAAGAAACCAAAAGTGACAATATCAATATCAGATAAAAGTGAATTCAATATCAGATGCATTAAACAAAGCAAGAAGCATATTTGTAAAAATAAAAATACAATCCAAGACAAAATCTAACAACTATAAGCCTTTATGCACTGAATAATATGATTCCATTAGTTAGGATAACCTAGGTGATGCTGTAGAATAACAAATAATCATAAAAACTTCAGTGGACTAGCACAGTATGTTTATTATTCAAACAATGTCTGTTGCAAGTCTGGGAAACTTTATAAGGCAGCTATCCCCCATGTGATACTTCTTTATCAACACATATTTTCATGATTACCATTAGGGAGAAAAGTACAGTAGCAATCAAACAATCCAGAAACATATTGGTCATAACAAGGCACATTGCCATGCCAAACCTCAACGTGGGAGTTAGCAAAAAGTACTGCTTTCTCATGTGCTTGAAAGGATCAGAGATGTTGGTGTGAAGCACTAACATTTAGTGAAATACATTAAGGAAAGATCTCTGAAAATACAAGGCAAACTTAACTAAAACACCACAATTTTAGAAATTTTGAAAGTACATTTTTAAAGAATTTGGACAATCATGTAAACAGAAAATAATGAAGGACAGAAGGAATTCAAATAACATAAATAGCAAATTTGATTTAATATCCCTATATACAATTTGTAATCCAGAGAGACTGTTTACTCTTCTCTACATTTATGGATTAATTTTTTATGTACTTACACACCAATAAAATTTTATTTTAAAAAGTAACTATTTTCCCCGGGCGCGGTGGCTCACACCTGTAATCCCAACACTTTGGGAGGCTGAGGCAGGACAATTGCTTGAACTCAGGAGCTTGAGACCATACTGGACAATATAGTGAGAACCTCATCTCTAAAAAATAAAAAAATTAGTTGGGCTGCACACCTGTATTCCCAGCTACTCAAGAGGCTGAGGTAGGAGAATCACCTGAGCCTGAGATTGAGGCTGCAGTAAGCTATGATTGCACCACTGTGCTTCAACCTGAGTGACAGAATGAGACCCTGTCTCAAAAAGAAAAAAAGTAACTATTTTCAAACAACATTCTCTGATAATTCAATAAAATAAGAAATTAAAAATTCCTCCTGAAACTGACTTTACAAATTAAGAAACATTCATATAAATTTATAGAACTTAAGAAGAAGACAAAATACTAAATTTTGACAATGAGTAAAAGATTTAACTAGATACTTCCCGAAGGAAAATATATAGAGAGGAGGTGGAGAAAGATGGTAGAATAGAAAGGTCCACCGATTGCCCCCCAAGCAAGGACACCAAGTTAACAACTATCTACATAGAAAAAACACTTTCATAAGAACGAAAATCAGGTGAGCACTCATAGTACCTGGTTTTAACTTCATATCACTGAAAGAGGCAATGAAGAAATAGAAAAAGCAGTCCTGAATCACCAATGCCACCCCTCCCCTACCTAACTCTGGCAGCTGCAGTGGGGTATGGAGAGCACCTCTGGGCACTGGGTGAGGGAGAAAGCAGCAGCTGTGAGGTATTGAACTCAGTGCTGTCCTGTTAGAGCAGAAAGGAAAACCGGACCAAACTCAGCTGACACCCACCCACAGAGGGAGCATTTCAACCAGCCCTAGCCAGAGGGGAATCACAGATCTCAGAAGTGGGAACTTGAGTTCCCACAAACCTCACCACGGAGGGCCAAAGTACTCTTGGCCTCTAAGTAAGCTAGAAAGGCTGTCTAGGTCCTAAGTACTGCAACTCTTAGGCAAGTTCTAGGGTGGAAGTAGGTCCAGAGACAGCGGACTGCGGGTGGAGGGCACGTGATGTACTGAGACACCAGCTGGGGCAGCCCAGGAAGTGCTGGCATCATCCCTTCCCAGGGTACACAGTTAGTGTCTCCAAAAGAAACCCCTTCCTTCTGCTTGAGGAGAGGAGAGGAAAGATTGGGGAGGACTTCGTCTTCCATCTTGGATACCAGCTCAGCCATAGCAGCACGGGGAACCAGTCAGAGTCATGAGGCCCCTGTTCCAGGCCCTAGCTCCCAGATGACATTTCTAGACACACCTTGGGTTAGAAGGGAACCGGCTGCCTTGAAAGAAAGGATCCAGTCCTGGCATCATCCAGCTAACTAAACAGCCCTACATCAAGGGCCTTGGGTGAGCCTCTGAGACTTGCTGGCTTCAGGTGAGACTCAGCACATAACCAGCTGTGGTGGCTTCAGAGCAAAACTCCTTCTGCTTGAGAAAAGCAGAGGGAAAAGTAAAGAGGGCCTTGTCTTGCACCATAGGTACCAACATTGCCACAGGAGAGTAGAGCACCAAGAGGGCTTTGGGGTACCCTAATTATAGGGCTTGACTCATGGACAACATTTCTGGACCTGCCTGGTGCCAGAGAGGAGCCCATTGCCCTAAGGGTGAGTCCCAGGCCACCGCAAGCTGACTTTAGAGACCTTGGGCCTTAACGGAACATTGGTGGTAATCTGGCAGTACTTCTTGTAGCCAGGGTGGCAATGGCTATTGGTTGAGGCTCCTTTGCCTTTGGAAAAGGGAGAGAAGAGTGGGAAGGACTGCATCTTGTGGTTTTGGTTCCAGCTCAGCCATAATACAGTAAAACATCAGGTAAAGGATGGCACTTCTAGACCCACCCAGGGTTTGGGGGACCTCTCCACCCTGAGGGGAAGGACAGAGGCCTAGCTGGCTTTGGCACCTGTGGATGGTAGAGCCCCAGGACCTTGGTCAAACATAGGCAATATCCAGGGAGTGGTTACAGCAGGCCTTGGGTGAGACCCAGTGCTACACTGGCTTCAGGTCTGGCCCAGCACAACCATAGTGGTGGTGGCCACAGGAGTGGTTGTGTCACTTCATTCCCAGCTTTAGGTGACTCAGAACAGAAAGAGACTGTATGTTTGGGAGAAAGTAAGGGAGGAGAACAAGAGTCTCTGCCTGGTAGTCCAGAGAATTCTTCTGGATCTTGTCCAAGACCATCAAGGTGTTGGTGGTCCACAAGTCTGCAAGAAACACAGTGTTACTGGGCTTGGAGTGCCCCTTAAAGCAGAAACAGCTTAGATCACAGCACCCAAGTCCTTTCAAATATCTGGAAAGCCTTCTCCAGAACGACAGCTACAAGTAAGCCCAGACAATGAAGACTACGATAAATACCTCTCGTCAATGCTCAGAGACCGAAGAACATCTACTAGTATCAACACCATCCAGGAGAACATGACCTCACTAAATGAACTAAATAGGGAACCAGGGACCAATCCTGGAGAATCAAAGGTATGTAACCTTTTAGACAGAGAATTCTAAATAGCTGCATTGAGGAAACTCAAAGAAATTCAAGATAACACAGAGAAGGAATTCAGAATTCTATCAGATAAATTTAACAAAGAGATTGTAGTAATTAAAAAGAATAAAGCAGAAATTATGGAACTGAAAAATGCAATTGGAATACTGAAAAATGCATCGGAGTCCTTTAATAGCAGAATGAATTAAGCAGAAGAAAGAATTAGTGAGCTTGAAAGGAGGCTATTTGAAAACACGCAACCAGGGGAGACAAAAGAAAAAAGAATAAAAAACAATGAATTTAATCCAAAGAAGACTACCTCAAGGCATTTAATAATCAAACTCCCAAAAGTCAAGGATAAAGAAAGGATCCTGGAAGTAGCAAGAGAAAAGAAACAAATAACATACCACGGAGCTCCAATATGTATGACAACAGACTTTTCAGTGGAAACCTCACAAGCCAGAAGAGAGTGGCGTGACATATTTAAAATGCTGAAGGAAAAAAATTTTTACCCTAGAATTATTTATCTGGTGAAAATATTATTCAAACATGAAGGAGAAATAAAGACTTCCCCAGACAAACAAAAGCTGGGGGATTTCATCAATACCAGACCTGTCCTACAAGAAATGCTAAAGGGAGTACTTCATTCAGAAAGAATGAAGTATTAATGAACAATAAACAATCACCTGAAGGTACAAAACTTACTAGTAATAGTAAGTACACAGAAAAGCACAGAATATTATAACACTGTAACTGCGGTGTGTAAACTACTCTTATTCTAAGTAGAAAAACTAAATGATTGAACCAATCAAAAATAACAAAAACAACATTTCAAGACATAGTATAATAAGATATAAATAGAAACAAAAAAAGTGGGGTAACAAAGTTAAGGTGATTTTTTATTGGTTTTCTTTTTGCTAGTTTGTTTGTTTTTGCAAATAGTGTTGTTATCAGGTTAAAATAATGGGTTACAAAATAGTATTTGCAAGCCTCATGGTAATCTCAAACCAAAAAACATACAATGGATACACAAAAAATAAAAAGCAAGAAACTAAATCATATCACCTGAGAAAATTATCTTCACTGGAAGAAGACAGGACTGTAAGAAAGAAGGAAGAAAAGACTACGGAACAATCAGAAAACAATTAATAAAATGGCAGGAGTAAGTTCTAACTTATCAATAATAACATTGAATGTAAACGGACTAAACTCTCCAATCAAAAGACATAGACTGGCTGAATGGATTAAAAAAACAAGACCCATTGATCTGTTGCCTACAAGAAACACACATCACCCATAAAGACACACATAGACTGAAAACAAAGGAATGGAAAAAGATATTCCATGCCAACAGAAACCAAAAAAGAGTAGGAATCACTATATCAGACAAAATAGATTTCAAGAGGAAACCTATGAGAAGAGACAAGGTCACTACAGAGTGATAAAGGGGACAATTCAGCAAGAGGATATAACAATTTTAAATATATATGCACCCAACACAGGAGCACCCAGATATATAAAGGAAATATTATTACAGCTAAAGAGAGAGATGGGCTTCAATACAATAATAGCTGGAGAATTCAACACCCTACTTTCATCATTGGACAGATCTTCCAGACAGGAAATCAATGAAGAAATCTCAGGCTTAATGTACACTGTAGACCAAATGGATCTAATAGATATTTACGGAGCATTTCATCCAAGAGCTGCAGAATACACATTCTCTTCTTTAGCACCTGGATTATTCTCAAGGATAGACCATATGTTAGGTTATAAAACAAGAGTTAAAACATGTAAAAAATTGAAATAATATCAAGCATCTTCTCTGACCATAATGCAATAAAACTAGAAATTAAGAGGAATTTAGGAAACTATGCAAATACATCGAAATTAAATAATATGCTCATGAATGACCAGTGGGTCAATGGAAAAATTAAGAAGAAAATTGAAAAATTTCTGGAAACAAATGATAATGGAAACACAACCTATCAAAACCTATGGGCTATAGCAAAAACAGTACTAAGAGGGAAGTTTATAGCTGTAAGTGCCTACATCAACAAAGAGGAAAAACTTCAAATAATTTAATCTAAAGCAAATCCCAAATCAGTAGAAGAAAAGAAATAACAAAGATCAGAGCAGAAATAAATGAAATTGAAATTTTAAAAATACAAAAGATCAATGAAACAAAAAGGTGATTTTTTGAAAAGTTAAACAAAATTGACAAATTGGCCTTTAGCCAAACTAAGAAAAAAACAGAGAAGATTTAAATAAATAAAACCAGAAATTAAAAAGGAGACATTACAGTTGATACTGCAGAAATTCAAAGGGTCATTAGTAGTTATTATGAGCAACTGTATGCCAATAAATTGGAAAATTTAGAAAAAATGGATACATTCCTAGATACATACAACCTACAAAGATTGAATCAGAAAGAAATCCAAAACCTGAACAGACCAATAACAAGTAATGAGATCAAAGCTGTCATAAAAAGTCTCCCACTAAAGAAAAGCCCAGGACCTGATGGCTTCACTGCTGAATTCTACCAAACATTTAAATAACTAATATCAATCCTACTGAAACTATTCTGAAAAATAGAGAGGAAGGGAACACTTCCAAACTCATTATAGAAGGCCAATATTACCCTGATACCAAAACCAGATAAAGACACATAATAAAAAACCGCAAAAAACAAGCAAAAAAACCCCCACAGCCCAATATCTTTGATGAATATTGATGCAAACATCCTCAACAGAATACTAGCAAACTGAATTCAACAATATATTAGAAAGATCTTCATTATGTCCCAGGATTTATCCCTGGGATGCAAAGATGGTTCAACCTACTCAAATCAATCAATGTGATACGTCATATTAACAAAATGAAGGATAAAAAACATATAACCATTTTAATTGATGCTGAAAAAGCATCTGATAAAATTCAACATCCCTTCATGATAAAAACCTTAAAAAATCCGGGGATAGAGGGAACATACCTCAAGATAATAAAAGTCATATATGACAGATGCACAGCTAGTATCATACTAAATGGGGAAAACCTGAAAGCCTTTCCTCTAAGACCTGCAACATGGCAAGGACACACAATGTCACCAGTGTTATTCAACATAGTATTGGAAGTCCTAGCTAGAGCAATCAGACAAGAGAAAGATATAAAGAGCATCCAAGTTGGAAAGAAACAAGTCAAATTATTCTTGTTTGCAGATGATATGATCTTATATTTGGAAAAACCTAAAGACTCCACAAGAAATCTATTAGAGCTGATCAACAAATTCAGTTAAGTTGCTGGATATGAAATCAACATACAAAACCAGTAGCATTTCTATATGCCAACAGCAAACAATATGAAAAAGAAATTAAAAAGTAATCCCATTTACGATAGCCACACATAAAATTAAATACCTAGAAATTAATCTCACCAAAAGACTGAAAGATCTCTATAATGAAAACTATAAAACACTGATGAAAGAAATGGAAGAGGACCCCCAAAAATGAAAAAATATTCCATGTTTATGGATTGAAAGAATCAATATTGTTAAAATGTCCATACTATTCAAAGCAATCTGCAAATTTAATGCAATCCCTATCAAAATGCCAATGATATTCTTCATAGAAATAGAGAAAAAAATTCTAAACTTTATATGGAACCACAAAAGATCCAGACTTGCCAAAGCTATCCTAAGCCAAAAGAACAAAACTAGAGAAATCACATTACCTGATTTCAAATTATACTGCTACTGGCATAAAAAACAGACACATAGACTAATGGAACAGAATAGAGAACCCAGAAACAAATCCACATACCTACAGTGAACTCATTTTCAACAAAGGTTCAAGAACATACACTGGGGAAAAGACAGTCTCTACAATAAATGGTGCTGGAACACTGGATATCCATATGCAGAAGAATGAAACTAGACCCCTATCTCTTGGCATACACAAAAATCAAATCAAGGTCGGGCACGGTGGCTCACTCCTGTAATCCTAGCACTTTGGGGGGCCAAGAGGGGTGGATCACCTGAGGTCAGGAGTTTGAGACCAGCCTGGACAACATGGTGAAACCCTGTCTCTACTAAAAATACAACAATTAGCTGGGTGTGGTGGCCCGCACCTGTAATCCCAGCTACTCAGGAGGCTGCGACAGGGAATCACTTGAAGCCAGAAGGCAGAGGTTGCAGTGAGCTGGAGATCATGCCACTGCACTCCAGCCTGGGTGACAGAGCAAGACTCTGTCACAAAAAAAAAAAAAAAAAAAAAATCAAATCAAAATGGATTAAAGACTTAAATGTAAGACCTCAAGCCATGAAACTACTACAAGAAAACACAAGGAAAAATCTCTAGGACATAGATCTGGGCAAAAAGTTTTTCAGCAGCACCCCATAAGCACGGGCACCCTAAGCAAAAATGAACAAATGAGATCACATCAAGTTAAAAAACTTCTATAAAGCAAATTATACAATCAATAAAGTGAAGAGACAACCCACAGAATGGGAGAAAATATTTGCAAGCTACCTGTCTGACAAGGGATTAACAACCAGAATATACAAAGAGCTCAAACAACTGTATAGAAAAAAATCTAATACTCTGATCAAAAGATGGGCAAAATATTTGAATAGACAGTTCTCAAAAGAAGACACACAAATGGCAAACAGGCTTATAAAAAGGTACTCAATGGTCAGGTGCAGTGCCTCACACCTGTAATTTCAGCACTTTGGGAGGCCAAGGCAGGCGGATCACCTTATGTCAGGAGTTTGAGACCAGCCTGGCCAACATGGTGAAACCCCATCCCTACTAAAAACTCATAAATTAGTCAGGCATGGTGGTGCACATCTGCAATGCCAGCTACTCAGGAGGCTGAAGCAGGAGAATCACTTGAACCTGAGAAGCGGAGTTTGCAGCAATCAGAAATCATGCCACTGCACTCCAGCCTGGGTGACAGAGAGGGACTTCATCCAAAAAAAAAAAAAAAGTGCTCAACATTATTGATCATCAGAGAAATGCAAATCAAAACTATAATAAGAATAAGAATATAATCTCACCCCAATTAAAATGGCTTATATCCAAAAGCAGGCAATAACAAATGCTGGCAAGGATGTGGAGAAAAGGGGACCCTTGTATACTCTTGGTGGGAATGTAAATTAGTGCAACCACTATGGAGAACAGTTTGGAGGTTCCTCAAAAAACTCAAAATTGAACTACCGTATGATCCAGCAATCCCAGTATATATCCCAAAGAAAGAAAATCAGTATATTGAAGAGATATCTGGACTCCTATGTTTGTTGCAGCAGTGTTTACAAAAGCTAAGATTTGGAAGCAGCCTAAGTGTTCATCACCAGATGAATAGATAAAGAAAATGTGGTAGATATACAAAATGGAGTACTATTCAGCCATAAAAAAGAATGAGATTCAGTCATTTGCACCAACATGGATAGGACTAGAGATGATTGTGTTAAATGCAATAAGCCAGGCACAGAAAGACAAACGTTGCATGTTCTTACTTATTTGTGGGATCTAAAAATCAAAACAATTAAATTCATGGACACAGAGAGTAGAAGGATGGTTACCAGTGGCTGGGAAGGGTAGTGGGGTGATAGTGGGGAGGTGGGGATGGTTAATGGGTACAAAAAATTAGAAAGAATGGATAAGACCTACTATTTGATAGCACAACAGGGTAACTATAGTAATTTATAACAACTGTACATTTTTAAATAACTTAAAGAGTATAACTGAATTATTTGCAACTCAGTGGATAAATGCTTAAGAGGATGGATACACCATTCTTCATGATGTGCTTATTTCACATTGCATGCCTGTATCAGAACTGCTCATGTACCCCATAAACATATACACCTACTATATACCCACAAAAATTAAAAAGAAAATATATAAATAGCTGATAAGTACATGAAAAGATACTTAACATCATTTGTTATCAGGGAAATACAAAATGAGCTACAATGTTATACCACTACACATGCACTCAAATGGCTAGAATTAAAAAGACTGACCACACCAAGTGTTAGTGAGGATATGAGGCAAGTGGAACTCTCATTCATTATTGGTGAGAATGTAAAAAGTTACAATCACTTTGGAAAACAGCTTCGTGGTTTCTTGTAAAGTTAAATATACATTTACCACATGACCCAGCGATTCCAATCCTTAGTATTTACCAAAGAGAAATGAGAACATATGGATCTGCATAAGAATATTCATAGCAGCTTCATTTGTAACAGCCCCAAACTGGAAACAACCAAAATATCCAAACGAGTGAATGAATATACAAATTGAATATATCCATTCAATGGAATATTACTCAGCAATAAAAGAAAACAAATTATTAATAGATAGAAAAACATGGATGAATCTGAAAAACTTTAACCATAGCAAAAGATGTCAGATTAAAAGAAAAAAAAAAGCAGCTAGATAGAAAAAGGCACACATCTTACATAATTCATTTATATAAAATTTTAGAGAAAATTAATCTAATTTAAGGCAATAAAATGCAAATCAGTGGTGGCCAGAGGCAGTATGTGGAGATTGGGATTTGACATGAGGAAATATTTTGCACTGTAACTGAATTAGTTGACTTGCCTATTGGGAAGTTTAAGTGGAGCCCATGTCTTCTCACTGCTCTAATACTGCCAAGCATGGGCGAGAGACCTATGTGCAGCCAGTTGGACTGCTCTTTCTTCACTTTAAATCTTGAAAAAAACTATTACACAGATAGAAGAAAATATTCAATAGTTTCCTATCCTAATGCTAGGCCTGGTTCTTCAGACTTTGTCAATATCCTTCCAATAAATTCCCTCTTGTGGTTTAAGAAGACATTGTTTTAGAAATCCTAGCTACAGCAGAAAGAATAGAAAACAAAGTAAGTGTTAATATAGTAGAAATAAAGACACAAGATGACTTTTATTTGTTTTTGGCATGATTGACTATTTAAAAATCATAAGAAACTTTGTAGAAAAGATTAATTTGAAACAAATTAATATAATTTAGATGACAACCCCTGCCCTTTTTTTCTTTTGAGGTGGAGTAAAAGAAAGTTATAAAATTATTTTAAAATCAAAACTTCTCCCAAGTTTCAGCAAAAGATGATTTGGGGGTGGAGTAGGGAAGGAGGATATTAAGATACCATAAAGCTATAGAGGTCAAAACAGTAATTTCATAAATATAATAGGTGGAAACTGGAAGCTACAGATAAGTAAACCTGGAAGCCACTAGATCAGTAAATTATGGTATGTTTACACAATGAGTGTGAATCATCTACAACTTTATGTGTGCTATACTCTGAATGTTCCTCGAAATGTATGTGTTGAAATTTAATCCCCATTGTGGTGGTATTAAGAGCTGAGGCCTTTCAGGGAGTGATTAAGTCATGAGGGCATGAATTAGTGTCTTATAAAAAGGCTGGAGGGAACCAGCTTAGGCCCTTTATTGTGCTCTTCTTCTCTTCTGCCCTGTGAGTCCACAGCATTCACCCCTTTTGTGCTTCTGCCTTTCTGCCATGTAAGCACACCCAGACAGTACCATCTATGTGGAATGAACCCTCATCAGAGACTGAACCTACAAGTAGAATGTTCTTGGACTTCCTAGTCTCCAGAACTGCAAGAAATAAATTCCTGTTCTTTATACATTACTCAGTCTCCAGGTATTCTGTTATGGCAGCACCAACAATGACAACGCAAATATATATATTTGTGTTGTCATTATATATATATTTTATATATAACATATATATAGTATATATATATACCATTGAATAAACAAAAATATATATTGAATGAAAAAGGCCAGATACAAAAGAGAGCACATTACATTATTTCAATTATATAAAGTACAATTATATAAAGTGCAAGCACAGATGATACAAATCGGTGCCATTAGAAATCAGGATAGTGGTTACCCTTGGCATGGGAAGTAACTAAAAGAGAACATGAGGATAAGTCCAGGGTACTGGTAATCTTCTTTTTATTAAATAGATTACATAAGAGTGTTGTTTGTCAAAATTTAGTAAGCTATAAATTTATATGTACACTTTTCTGCATATATAATTGGTAACATATATAAAGTTTTTTTATGCTAGAAGAAAATGCTTGTAATATATATTAAATGGTTCCTAAGCATTACAGATAAAGAATTATTACAAATCAATAATAAAAATAAAATCACATAGGAGAAAATAGGCTAAGACTACAAACACATTTTATAAGGAGGAATGCTAATGGCTAATATACATATGAAGAGATGTTTACCTAAAATTATGAGTTTTGGGTGTTAGAAAGACAGCATTTAAAACCTGTCCGTATGACCTGCTAAAAATTACTTGATCTATCTAAAGTTTAGTTTCCTCCTCTAAAATGGAGAAAATGATGGTGCTTAACTTTGTAGGGTTGCGAGAGTTAATCAATAAAAGACAAAGTTTTGAAAACTATTTCTGCTACATAGTTAGTGCTCAGTAAAGGGTAATAGCATTTGGAGTGGCATTAGTAGATGTAGGAGAAGCACCACCAGTATTAAAGAAACAAATATAAATCTAAAAGGCAGCGCCATTTTTTAATCCATTAGATTAGCAAAAATTTAAAAGACTGATACCATTCAGAGTGTGGGGAAATAACCATGTCTTTGGTAGATGTGAGAATGGCTACCTCATTTTAGATAGTAACTATATGTTTTTAGATAGTAACTATATGTATATCTAATCATTACATATTTTAATATTAATTATACATTTTAACCTATATATGTATAATGATTAAAATAAATAATTTTAAGTTTTTTACCTAATAATTCCATATTGGAAACATACCCTACAGGAATAAATTAATAATAATTACTCCATGTGTTTATGTGGTAAATTCTCATTTTTGAAAGATTAAAGCACACCAATATTGAAACGATATTGCAATGAAACTTGGGGATGGGGGAGGAATGAATGGGCAGAGCGCAGAGGACTTCTAGGGCAGTGAAAATACTCTGTATGATACCATAATGATAGATACGTGTTATTCTGCATTTGTCCAAACCCACAGAATGTACAACACAAAGTCTGAACCCATGGACTTCGGGTGATTTTGATGTGTCAATGTGGGTTCATCAATGGTAACAAATGTACCACTGTGGTGGGGGATGTTGACAGTGGTGGGAGTAACGCGTGTGGGATAGCAGGGGTATATGTTAAGTCTCTACCTTCCTCCCATCTCTGCTGTGAATCTAAAACTTCTTTTAAAAAAATAAAGTCTTAAAAAAAAAAAACCTTAGAAAATGTGGCCAGAAATGTTAAAATGAAAGAAGGAAAGGAAAATTTCCTTATGCCTTCCCACTACTTTTAGGGTTGAGTGTAAACTGCATAAGAACCCAAAAGGACCTGCTTACTTCTCCAATCTCATCCCTCGTCTCTTCACTCCACATTGCAGATAACTAACCATATTGGGTTTCTTTCACTTCCTCAATGGCACCCTGTAATCTTACATATGTGGGTCTTGCATGTGCTTTTTCTTTTCACGAAAACATCCCCTACAAGCACCTCTACTGTCTTTCACCTGATTCTTTGTCTGGGTCTCAATTTAGATGTCTTTCATCCAGAAAGCCTTTTGTGACCTCCTTTCTGTATCATTTCCATTTCATCTCACCACTCGCACTGCTCCTGTGCTTCCGTAATACCTTAATCTTCCTATATCATAATACTTACCTTACTATGTTATAATTTTCTAGTACTTGATTGATTAGTAGGCTATCACCTCAAAAGTTTTCTCATGCTCCTTTAAAATACTTTCCCCATAACTCTCTGTCAAGCCCCAAGCAACCAGTGATCTGTTTTCTGTCACCAAGGAGCAGTTAGTATTTTCTATAAATGGAATCATGTATTACATAGTCTTATTTGTCTGTTTTCTTTTACTTAGCTTAATTATTCTGAGATTCATCCAAGTTGTTTCTTGTATCATAGTTCATTCATTTTTATTACCAAGTGGTATTTCATTCCATTGATATACCTCAATTTGTCTATCCAGTCACAGGTTAATGGACACTTGGGCCTTCTCAGTTTGAAGTCATTACAAATAAAACTCTGATGAATATATTTGTAGCGTGTTTTTTCTTGTTGTTGTTTGTTTATTTTGAGATGGAGTCTCACTCTGTTACCGAGGCTGGAGTGCAATGGCACGATCTTGGCTCACTGCAACCTCTGCCTCCTGGGTTCAAGCGATTCTTTCCCCTCAGCCTCCCATAGCTGTGATTACAGGCATCCGCCATCATGCCTGGCTAATTTTTGTATTTTTGTAGAGATGGGTTTCACCATGTTGGCCAGGCTGTTCTTGAATGCCTGACCTCAGGTGATCCACCTGCCTCAGCCTCCCGAAGTGCTGGGATTACAGGCCTGAGTCACTGCGCCTGGCCAGAAGTGTTTTTATAGACATATATTTTTGTTATTTTGGATAAATACCTAAGAGTAGAATATGTGGGTCACAGTCAGTATTTATTTATCATTTTAAGGAATTGCCAAACTGTTTTCCAAAGAGGTTGTACTATTTTATATACCCTCCAGCAGTGTATGACAGTTCCGGTTCCTCCATATCCTTGCTAACACTTGGTATTGCCAATCTTTAAAAACTGTAGACATTCTAAAATTAGGTACGTAGTAGGGTCTTTTGTATCATTCAGTAGTTTTATTTTTTTAATTTTTTTTATTTTTTGAGACGGAGTCTCACTCTGTCACCCAGGCTGGAGCGCAGTGGCGCAATCTTGGCTCACTGCAAGCTCCACCTCCCAGGTTCACGCCATTCCCCTGCCTCAGCCTCCCGAGTAGCTGGGACTACAGGCGCCTGCCACCAAGCCGAGCTAATTTTTTGTTTTTGTGTTTTTAGTAGAGACGAGGTTTCACTGTGTTAGCCAGGGTGGTCTCGACCTCCTGACCTCGTGATCTGCCTGCCTCGGCCTCCCAAAGTGCTGGGATTACAGGCCTGAGCCACCACGCCCGGCCATCATTCAGTAGTTTTAATTTGGATTTCCCTGATTATCAGTGACGCTGAACATCTTTTCTTGTGCTTGTCATCCTCCATATGTCTTCTTTGGAAGGTGTCTTTTTAAATCTTTTCCTCATTTTTTATTGAGTTGTTTGTTTTGAGTTTTGAGTGCTCTTTATATATTCTAGATTCAAGTCTGTTATCAGATATGTGATTTGCAAATATTTTCTCACATTCTGTGACTCATCTTTTTAATCTCTTACCAATGTCTTTTAAGAAACATAAGCTCTTACTGTTGATAAAGTCCCATTTATCAATATTTTCTCTTTATGGATAGTACATGTGGTGTTAGACCTTAAAGAGCTGTTTCTGACTAAAAGTCACAAAACTTTTCTCCTGTTTTCCTCTATAGGTTTTATAGTGTTAACTTTTACATTTAAGACTATAACCATTAAGTCAGTTCATTCTAAACTGATACATGTATATGATGTGAGGTATGAATGGCATTTGGATATCCAGTTGTTGCAGCACCATTTGTTAAAAAGACTATGCTTTCCCAGTGAATTGCTTTTGCACCATTTTGAAAATCAGTTGTGATGGTCTCCATCTAGACAATATTCAGTTCCATTGCTTTATCTTAATGCCAGTTGCATACTATCTTGATTACTGTAGTTTTATAATAATTCCTAAAGACAATGTAAGTCCCCCAACATTCTTCTTGGTTTTTTTTTTCCACTTTTTTGACTATTCTAGGTTCTTTCCATTTCCAGAAAAATTTTACAAACAGCTTAGCAATTTCTTTTTTGGGGGGATGGGGTTTTTCTCTGTCAGTCACCCAGGCTGGAGTGCAGTGGTGTGAATATGGCTTACTGTAGCCTCACCTCCTGGGCTCAAGTGATCCTCCCACCTCAGCCTTCCGAATATCTGAGAACACAGGGGTGTGCCACTGTGTCCAGGTAATTTTTAAATTTTTTTGTGGAGACAGGGTCTCACTGTGTTGCTCAGGCTAGTGTCAAATTTCTGGGCTCAAACAATATTTTCACCTTGACCTCTCAAAGTGCTGGAATTACAGCCACCACACCAGCTTCAAAATTTCTAAAAAAGAAAAAGCCTTAATGAATTTATACATCAATTTGGGAAGAATTTATTTTCTAACAATATGGAGCCCTCTGATATGAACACAGTGAATCTCCCTATTTATTTAGGTCTTCTCTAATCTCTCTAAGCAGTGTTTTGTAGCTTTCAGGGCGTAGATCTTGCACATAATTTGTCAGGTCTATACCTAAGCATTTCTTATTTTTGATGCTATTAAATAGTATTTTTATTTTAATTTCTGATTGTTTGTTGCTAGTATATAAAAAAATTGACTTTTGTATATTGATCTTGTATTCTACAACTCTACTAAAATTTATTAGTAATGGCCTTTTTATTGGATTTTCTCCGTAGATGATAATGTTATATTCAAATGAAGTCCATTTTACTTCAATCTTCCCAATCTAAGAGCCTTTTATTTCTCTCTCTTGCCTCATTGGCCAAGCTAGAACCTCCAGTATAATGGTGAGTAGAAATAGAGTCATCTCATCCCTGATGTTAGGGGGAAAGCATTCTATCTTTCGCCATTAAATATGATGTTAATTCTAGGTTTATCAAAGATGCGTTTTACCAGGTTGAGGGAATTCCCTGCAATTTCAAGTTTGGTTAGAGTTTTTGCCCGGCACGAATGTTGGATTTTGTCTAATACCGTTTCTTTTTTTGTTTACACAAACAAAATGTATTTTGTTTAAAAATATAATTTACATATATATACACCCACACAGGGGAAATAACAAAATGGTAATACTAGCTAATTTCTAGAGTTGGCATATTAAGTCAGAGGGGTATTGATGAATAGATGTAGTTTATTAAATTTTTTCCTGTATTTCCTAAATTTTCTATAAGTAACTTGTAGTTTTTATTTTTTTTTTATTTTTTTTTTTGAGATAAAGTCTGGCTCTGTCGCCCAGGCTGGAGTACAATGGCCTGATCTCAGTTCACTGCAAACCTCCGCCTCTCAGATTCAAGCTCTTCTCCTGCCTCAGCTTCCTGAGTAGCTGGGATTACAGGTGACTGCCACCATGCCCGGCTAATTTTTGTATTATTAGTAGAGATGGCGTTTCACCATGTTGGCCAGGCTGGTCTCGAACTCCTGACCTCAAGTGATGTGCCCTCCTTGGCCTTCCAAAGTGCTGGGATTACCGGCGTGAACCGCCGTGCCTGGCCTGTAGTATCTTTATAATAGGAAAAAAATGTTACTTTAAAAAACATCGCATGTACTTTCAACGTAGACTAAATTCAAAATATTTACACTTACTTATTGTCATCTTCACTGTCAAAAGAAAGGAGGCTACTGTTTTTTATTTGTTTTTGTGAGTTCTTTTTGACTGAGTCCTGATTTATTGCATCTTAATTTGTCTTCTTTTTGGGCTTGCTTTTAAACCTGAATATTTTTCATCTGAGGGGCACTTGACTGGTGCTTTACTGGTTTTTGATACATGATTCTTCCCTCAGCTGGAGCTGGTTCTTTATCTGCTTTGGCAGCCTTTACTTCTGCTTTAATTTTCATGACTTCTTCAACTGACAGGTCTCCCTTTTTAAAAAACATCACTTGAGGCTCTTCATCTTTGTCACTGTGATCCCCATTTTCGTCTGGGAGATGAGGCTGGATTCTCTTGGTCTCTACGGTGGGCTCCTCCCTATAGCCAACCCACTCCTTGAAGCGAGCCAGGAATGCTGGCTCGGCTGGCCGCACGTCTTGTCCAATACTTTTTCTGCGTCTATGTAGACAATAATAGTTATTCACTTTTAGTCTATTAACATGGTGAATTACAATGATTAATTTTTGAATGTTACATCAAATAATTATCTCTATTGTTTGTTGCTGGTAACTTAAGATTATTATGACCTTTTGATAAATTTATCCCATTATCATTATTAAATGACCAGTTTTATTTTTTAAAATCTACTTTGATAGTAACATAGCCACTCTAGCTTTCTTTTAGTTAGTGTTAGCATGTTATATCTTTTTTGCCTTTTAAATTTTAAACCGTGTGTGTCCGTTTATTTATTTATTTTGAGACAGAGTCTCATTTTGTCTCCCAGGCTGAAGTGCAGCGGTGCGATCTCGGCTCACTGCAACCTCCGCCTTTCAGGTTCAAGGGATTCTTGTGTCTCAGCCTTCTGAGTAGCTGGGACTATAGGTGTGTGCCACCACACCTGGCTAATTTCTGTGTTTTTTTAGTAGAGACGGGGTTTCATCATCTTGGCCAGGCTAGTGTTGAACTCCTGGCCTCAAGAGATCTGCCTGCCTTGGCCCCCCAGAGTGCTGGAATTATAGGCGTGAGCCACTATGCCAGGTCTATGTCTTTATTTTTAAAGTGGATTTCTCAGGTGGGAGGATTGCTTGAGGTCAGGATTTCAAGACCAGCCTGGGCAACATAGTGAGACCCTGTCTCTACAAAAAAATAAAAAAAATTGTCTGGGCGCAGTGGCTCCTGCCCGTAATCCCAGCACTTTGGGAGGCTGAGGCAGGTGGATCACCTGAGGTCAAGAGTTCGAACCAGCCTGGCCAACATGGTGAAACCCCATCTCTACTAAAAATACAAAAATTAGCCGGGTGTAGTGGCAGGTGCCTGTAATTCCAGCTACTCGAGAGGTTGAGACAGGAGAATTGCTTGAACCTGGGAGAAGGAGGTTGCAGTGAGCCGAGGTCACGCCATTGCACTTCAGCCTAGGCGACAAGAGCAAAACTCTGTCTCAAAAAAAAAAAAAAGTAGCTGGGCAGGTGATACTTTGTTGGTTTATTAGCTATAATTCTTTGTTGTGTTATTTTAGTGGTTGCTTTAGGGTTTGTAGTAAACATCTTTCTCCCATGCTGGATGCTTCCTGACCTCGAACATCTGACTCCAAGTTCTTCAGCTTTTGGACTCCTGGACTTACACCAGTAGTTTGCCAGCGGCTCTCGGGCCTTCGGCCACAGACTGAAGGCTGCACTGTTGGCTTCTCTGCTTTTGAGGTTTTGGGACTCGGACTGGCTTCATTGCTCCTCAGCTTGCAGATGGCCTATTGTGGGACTTCACCTTGTGATCATGTGAGTCAATACTCCTTAATAAACTCCCTTTCATACACACATCTCTCCTATTAGTTCTGTTTCTAGAGAACCCTGACTAGTACAGTTGGGTTTAAATCTACCACAGTATTATTTGTTTTCTGTTTCTTATTCATTTCCTTTTCCTTCTTTTTGTGCCTACTTTAGATTAATTGAATATGTTTTATGATTCTTTAACTTATCACAGTTTGCCTTCAAGTGATATTATATTATACCACTTGATGCATAGGGTAATAACTCAGTTAATATGCTTCTGTTTCTCCCCTCCCAGCATTTGTGCTATAGTTATCACATATTTTACTTCCATGTATGTTATAAACACCACACAATTGGATGAGGGCCGCTAGAAAAAAACAAACAAACAAAAAGTAACAAAATCTTTTTTAAAAGAAAAAAACCTAGAATATCTTATTATTTTTGCTTTAAACAGTCCATTTTCTTTTAAAGAGATTTTAAAAATAAGAAAACAAGTATTTTATATTTATATTTTATATTTACCCACGTAGCTAACATTTGTAGTGCCCTACATTTTTTTAAGTAGATTCAAATTTCCATCTGGTATCATTTTCCTTCTGCCTGAAGCATTTCTCTTACCTTTTTTTTTTTTTTTTTTTTTTTTTGTAGCTTAGGTCTCCTGATGATGAATTCTTTTAGCTTTTGTATGTCTGAGAAAGTAATTTTACCTTTGTTTTTAAAATATGCTTTCCTTAGGTATAAAAATCTAGGTTGATGGTTTTACTTATTCTTTCAGTACTTCAAAGATGTTCTAATGTTATCCAGCTTACTTATTTTTTGTTATCATTTTTATTAGGTTGGTGCAAACACAATTTAGGTTTTTTCATTAAAGGTAATTGCAAAAACCGAAATTACGTTTGCACTAACCTAACCTAATATGTTTGTTCCTTTGCCCAGAATGTGTCCTTGTCCCCCTGACTGTTTTGATGTCTTCTTCTCTATCACTGGTTTTAAATAATTTGATTAAGATAAGCCTTGGTGTAGTTTTCTTTGCATTTTTTTGTGATTGGTTTAATTGAACTCTTTAGATTGGTGGATTATAATTTTTACCACATTTGAAATATTTTGACCTTTATTTTTTCAAATATCTTGTCTGTACCCTTCTCTCTTTCCTCTCTTTGATGCACTCCAATTACAGGCATGTTAGGCTGCTTGAAATTATCCCACAGCTCACTAAAGCTCTGTTTATTTTTCTCCAGCTTTTTATTTTTGTGTGTTTTATTTTATATCCTTTCAATCTCTATACCTCCAGGTTCACTAATCTTTTCTTCTGCAATGTATAATATGCCACTGATCTCACCAAGTGTTTTTCAATTTCAGACATTTGTAGTTTTTATCTCTAGAAGTTCAATTTGGTTCTTTTAAAAATATCATCCATGTCTCTACTTACCATTCTCAACCTTTTTTCTAGCTTTTTGAGCATATGAAATACAGTTATAGTAACTATTTAATATCCTTGTCTACTAATTTTATCATCTGTCACTTTGAGTTGGTTTTGATTGATTTTTTTAATCTTATTGTGGGTCATATTTTCCTGCTTTTTTGAATGTCTGGCCATTTTTGATTGGGTCCTGTGCATTTAAAATATTTTTTGTTCTGTGCTGGTTGTTAGTTTTATTACTATACATATAACTTGAGCTTTCTTCATGGATATAGTTAAGTTTCACTTCTTGTTTATAAGCCTACTTAGATTAAACCAGAGCAGCATTTAGTCCAGTACTACTTTAGCTCACTACTGAAGCAAGACCCTTCTGAGTTCTTTTCCTGATACCTCATGAATTATGAAGTTTTCCACTTTCGTGAGTGGGAAAGGGGACAATCCTCAGTCAGGGTAAATACTGGGTATTAATACCTCTCATCCAGTAGTTCTCAGCTGGGATAATTTTGCCCCATAGAGGTCATTTGACAATGTGTAGAGACACTTTTTGTTGTTACAACTGGTGGGGTAGTGCTACTGGCATCTAGTTGGTAGAAGTCAGGATATTGCTAAATATCCTATAATGCAGCTCCCACAATATAGAATTTTTTGCCTCCAAATGTCAATAGAGCTGAGGTTGAGAAATCCTGCCTAATCCTGTGGGCTTGGGGTATTTTCTTCACATGCGTGTGCTGATCAACACTCAGGTGGAGTTGAGGAAGACCCTATTCACTTCTCTAGATTTTTCTTTCTGGGCAGGTCTCTCCTCTCTGGAACTCTGCTCCAAAAACTCTAGCCATCTTGGCCTCCTCATCCTTACAGTTTTGTCTCCTCAAATCAAGAAGACTGCTGGGCTTTGTCTGGGTCCCTATCCCCATGCTAAACTGAGGCCTGGAAACTCTCCAGGCAGTAAGTTGGAGAAATATTAGGGTTTTCCTCATTCATTTCTCTTCTTTAATAGATTACTATTTTACATTGCCTAATGGAAGCCATATATATATATATATATATATATATATATATATATATCTGGTTATATATATCAGATATATATATATCTGATTTTTAGTTTAGTTTTTTTTTCAAGCAGAAAGTTAATTCATATCCCTGTTACTCCATCTTGTATTAGAGCAGAAATCTGCTTTTGACATTTTTTTCTTTTTTTTGAGACAGAGGAGTCTTGCTCTGTTGTCCAGGTTGGAGTACAGTGGCACGATTTCGGCTCACTGCAACCTCCATCTCCCAGGTTCAAACGATTTTCCTGCCTCAGCCTCCCAAGTAGCTGGGATTACAGGTGCCTGCCACTGTGCCTGGGTAATTTTTGTATTTTTAGTAGAGACGGGATTTCACCATATAGCCCAGGCTGGTCTCAAACTCCCAACTTCAGGCTATCTGCCTGCCTTGGCCTCCCAAAGTGCTGGGATGATTACAGGTGTGAACCACCGCGCCCGGCCATGCTTTTGACATTTTTGAAATTCAATTAAAATCATAGCATTGCTCTAGATCAGTGGTCAAAAGCTTTCCGTAGTGAAATCTTCCTCACAGGAGTATTTTGGTTATTTAATTTTTTCAAGTAGGGTGCCAAAACTGAAAAGTAGGGGGATTTTCACATAAAAACCCAAATTTTTCAGCTATTCTTGAAACATCCTCTTTGGGGAATCTCAAAACAACTCGAGAGTACTTAAGAGTACTCTCAAGAGTATCCTTTAGCAGTCAAGACATTGGAGGGTGATAGGTGGGCTGGATTTCTTCTTCATTGCCCCCAAGCTTCACCCTTCATTCTTTTCTGTCCTGCCTTGTGCCATCCTGCCTCCTCTATAGAGGAGGCTGACCTCTATGACTGCATCAAGAGATTGTTTAGCCCTTTGGATTCTCACTGGGTTCAGCCAAACAGGGGCACTGAGGGGATTTGAGGGTGGAAGGAGAGAGTCTGGCCTCCTTCTTGCTGGTTTACTAAAGGTTGGTCAAGTTCTTCCTAAAGCTGCAGCCTTTGTCAAATGGTCTTATCCACACTACTCTCTCTTTGGATCTGGCAACCTCGCCTATGTACAAGAAAGCTGGCAAACACAGAGAAACCAAATACCTCGTGGACCTTATTGCCAGGTTAAGAATGTGACTCATACATTTTTTTTTCCCGAAACTCCGATGGGAAATAGGGCATTGCAAGGCTTGGAAATGTTTGATTGTCCTTTTCCAGTGAGTTTGTTTTTGTTGAGAGGGAAAAAGGAATGGGAGAGAGTTATTTTGAGGCATGTATCTCCAGATTAAGATTTAGTTGTATTTCTAGAGACTCTCTTCTATTTAAATTCTGTTTTTCAGTTATGTGTTTCATCAATATCATTATGATCACCTTCCATAGTCTAGTCAATTCACAGAATCTGTTTTGACAGCTCTGAACAGAAAAGTCCCTAATGGAAATATTAGATACCATCTTAACCATTTTCTCCAAGTTGTATTCTACACTCTGTAATCTCAGCTTAATGTTATTAGCTCTGGGGCACAAATACACACTCCTACATACAAGCATGTATACACATTTTTGCACACTAACTTAACTCATGCTTCTCTGTGCTCTTCTATAACAGCTATGTAGTCTGTGTCTGTGGTCTTCTAAATATTTAGTGATGAGCACAGACTATTGGTTAATTATATCAACAACAAGCCTTTTTACCAGAGGAACTTGAATCCTGAAAGAAGTAAAATACCAAAGATCATTCTTGGGTTTTAGATCTGTAAGATAAAGACAAAATTTGCCTGCCAAGATTAAGAAAACCAGCAAATATGTAGGGTGAAGAACATATATTCTGTGGATTCACTACCCCAAAGCTATATAGGCCAAAGTGTGCAATGAAGAAGGCACCACTCCATGATAGGCTTAAAAAAAGGCTGAGTGTGGTGGCTCATGCCTATAATCTCAGTGCTTTGGGAGGCTGAAGTGGGAGGATTTTGAGCCCTGAATTGCAAGATCAGCCTGGACAACATAGTGAGAATCCATCTCTACAAAAAAACTTTTTTTAATTAGCCAGGCATAGTGGTGTGCACCTGTAGTTCTAGCTACTCAAGAGGCTGTGGTAGAAGGATTGTTTGAACCTAGGATTTTGAGGCTGCAGTGAGCTATGATTGTGCCTGGGTGATAAAGTGAAACCCTGTCTCAAAAAAAAAAAAAAAAAAAAAAAAAAAGAAGAAGAAAAGAAGAGGAAGAAGAAAAAGAAGAAAAATTAATCATGGATACATTTGGATTTCAAATATTGTTCATCCTCTGAAAAACATAAACAATAATAAAAACTATGCTTTTGAATTTAACGTTTTCATGACTAAACATATTTCCCAAGCCTCTGAAATATTGTATGTCCAAAGTATAGGGTCTAACCCATGATACACTGCCAAACCAATGAGTTCCTCAAGGGGCTTGGCAAACCACAAAACCATAGTGATACTTGGTTCTTGCCTCTGTATAGTGGGGTTTATAGAACTAGAGCAGTCTCTAAGGTGCCTCCCAGCTCTCCAATTCGGTGACTCAAGGAATGATGACTGATTTAGGGATTTAGGAAGAAGTGCTAGTTAACAGAAGGCTATATACTTATGGCATTAATATTGAGTCATTTCAAGAAGAAATGGTGGCAATCTAAGACCTTTGCAGGAAACATTCTGATTGCCTGAAGTTTTGCGGAATAGTCTACAATTTGGTGTCTGGGACGAGGAAGGGAACAAGATGGTGGCAATGGTATCTACATGTTCAAATCTACCCTTGTTATTCTTTGAATTTCCATGATGGTCTCTCTCAGTAACCAACTCCATTCCAGTTCTAGAAGTTCTAGGCTGTGAATTGTGGATAGTAACTTGGACTTTCCCCCGACCTTTCTCTCCCTCAGATTCCTCCCTCAATCATTTCCAAATAAAGTGGTAAAAAACCACTTCTCTTGTGGTAGATGAAATCACTCCCCTCCCTGCTTAACAACCAAATTATTTAATAGTCCTTTTTTTAGCACTTATGATTTCCATATGATGCTCCTCCTTATGAGTTATTGAAATATATTTTTAAAGGCATCAGGAAATTGACAATTTGCCCTGAGAGTAGAAAAACAGATGGAAACCTACTTTATCACTTTGATATGCACTGGTTTAATGTGATTTCTTAGCAATTTGGGGCATATTAGACTGTCTTAATAAATATGTTTCATCCACTAAGTCTTACCAATTTATGCATTTTGTCCATTTTACACCTAGGTTTCTGTGTCTCATGTTCCCCAGAAGGCCTCTCTGTTTTCCTGTGATGATATATAAAGAGCAGAGATCTTGGCTTTTTGGCTTACTCTGTTTAATGTCACATTCAAAGTGTCATTGAGTAAAATTTTCTCATGTATATGTAATTGATAATAATAGCTGTACTGGAATTTACCTCCTTTGCCAACCCCTTAATGAAATAGTGGGTCTAACTGACAGTCATCAATGTACAAAGACCTGCCCCCAAAAGAGACAACTGGACATCATGAGCCTCCTCATGGAATATTACCACCTATAAAATATTATTACTAAAAAAAAGTGGAATCTAGATCAGATCAATAAAACACCACTTTGTTGGAAAAACAAGAATCAGAGGACTATGTTAACACTACTGAACTGCAATCAGCAAAACCAGAACCTGGAAAACTAGACAGAACAAATGCCCCAATTTCTTCAATAAATTGCAAGGAAAAATAAAAGAGAAAAGTTGAGAGGGGAGAGTTCTAGACTGAGAGAATTAAGTGATACATCAATCACATGTGTGGGACCTGTTTGGATCCTGATTAAAACAAACAACTGTAAGGAACAAGCAAACAAAAAGAATAACAAGAACAACTTTATGAGACAACCAGAAAAACGTACCTGGATATTTCCCGATATTCAGAAATGATTGTTGATTTTTTAGATGAGATAATAGCATGACAGTTATATATATATATATATATATATATATATATATTTTTTTTTTTTAAAAGAGTCCTTTTCTTTAAGGGCTGTGTACGGAAATAATTGTGGATTAGAGGACAGGAATTTCGGGATTCGTGGCAGAAAGAGTGGAGTGGGGATTACAGGAAGAAATAAGAGAGGCCATGGATTGATGGTTATTGTAGCTGGTAGTGGACACATGGGGGTCCATTGCTCTCTACTTTTTCAAACTGCATAATATTTGTAATTATTTCTGAATTAATAAAAACTTTCCTTTGCTAATGCATCTAAGTTTACTATCATACATGTTATAAAATTAGTAATTAGTGATACCTACTAATATTCGGAACTACTCAACAGTTTACAAAACAGTTAAATTTATAATCTCATTTCTTCCTTCTCAGTACTCTTTGCCGGGATAGGTGCTGTTGGAATCCCCACTTCACAGATGAGGAAATGAAGTTCAGTGAAGCTAAAGACAATGCCGCTGTAAGGGGCGGCGGACTAGAACTTAAGTCACAGAACTCCAAATTCCAGGCTCCTTCCCCTACACTAAAAAACTTTTAAAGAAGCGTAGGAGTGTGGGGCTCAGCGGCTCACACCTGTAATCCCAGCACTTTGGGAAGCCGAGACTGGTGGATCACCTGAGGTCAGGAGTTGGAGACCAGCCTGGCCAACATGGTGAAACCCAGCCTCTACCAAAAATACAAAAATCAGCCAGGTGTGGTGGCGCACGCCTGTAGTCCCAGCTACTCGGGAGGCTGAGGTAGGAGAATCACTTGAACCCGGGAGACGGAGGTTGCAGTGAGATCGCGCCACTGGGTCCTTTTTTTTCTTTCTTTTTTTTTTTTTTTTTTTTTTTGACGGAACTGTTCAGGACCTGACAAAGCAGCAGCTTTAAGAGTGGAGGAGCTCTCTTCGGCTGGGGAGATCCTTACTCTCCATGGCCACCAGATGGCGAAGGCTGCCCGCGGCCCAGAAGAGAGAGGAGCCTGCAGACCCGCGCGGAAACTCTGCTGCGGGACCTGGAGGCCAAGGGTGAGGCGTGGGGTCCTCCTCCACTCCAACTGTGTGGGGAAACCTGGGTAGAACTTAAAGTTACAAAAGTCATTGTGCAAGCCCTGCTGTCCCCACAAGGGCTTATAGGAAGGGGTTCGGAGCTTTTCAAGGAGGCAGGGGAAAATTAAACTCGTGTCTCTTAATGTGTATTTGGTGGGAGGGGAATGCTGCCTGAAATAATGCATTGCTTCGGCGGCGGTCAGAGATCCATGTGACGCGGGGGCACTTTAGGGACCATTGCTGAGGGCCTGGTTAGCATTTGGGCAGCTGAATCCTTCCCTTGGCGAACTCCATACGTGCCCTCGGCGACACACAGAGGACTCCCAGAGTTGAAGAAGGGGGTGGATGTGTGTGTGCGCACTCGCCCACGTCTCGTGTTTTACTTTTCATTTAAGTCGTAATAAGGAGAAATTCGATGACCAGCAAGGCTGGAGTCCCATCGTCTTGTTGGGGGAGAGGGGGGAGAAGAAAAAGGTGCCTGTAACTTCAGACTGTCCAAGATATCGCTTAGCTCCTGCGCCCGGAAGAAAATCCAGCGCAGGTCGGGTTCCGGCGCGCGGAAGCCCTGCGAACCCCAAATGTGTGCGCTGAGCCGAGGCCTCTAAGCGGTAGGAGAGAATCTGACCTCCGACATTCTTTTCAAGACACGCGCCGGTGGACCGGGTCCTGGGATTGGCTTACTCCCGGGCTGGACCTTGGGGTTCGCATATTTGAAAGCGTAAACTTGAGGAATGACGGCGGGGTGATGGGTATTTTATAGAGTGGGACTCAATCGTGCTCAGCAACAGATTTCTCCAAATTCCCTTTTAAAAAGAGCCTCCCAGAGCTGTCGAAATCTCCGCGGGGTGAAAGCTAAACTTTTGGAGTCGCTGTGTAGCCGGGTAGAGGACACGGCGGCGCGAGCCGGAAAGATAAGTGTCCAGGCGAATGGGAAAGGAAAGATCTTAATTTTTGTTCCTACTGTTAGCTGAATGTCCATAAAAATCAAAGGGAATGCGGGGAAGTTTTTATTCCAGAGCGTTTCCATGACACCCGCAGAGATTTAAAAAATTACATTCCTCCCCCTACGCAGGTTTAATTCGGAAAGAAGAGACTGCAGAGGAGAGGGAAGACCGTGAGTCTGCTTTCACCTAGGTTTAAAGCGAATCAAAGACGGCTGTAAAAAGGGAAACCGGGACCAAAAACAGATTTGGAGCCTCGAAACTCTCCATTGAAGGTTTGGAAGATACGTTGCTGCAGACTTGAAACCGGCTCCAAATCCGGCCCAAACATGGGCTGAAAATATGGCGCGCTAATCTGCTGCTTCCCCTCCTCCTCAAGTTCTTTCTGACTCTTCCCACCTTTCCCAGTTTCCCTTCCAGACGTCTGCGGCTCCCCACTCCACCCCCAGGATAGCTACTCTACATCCCGACAATTCCCAGCTTCTACACCCAGGAGGAGGAATTCTGGAACCACCCAGAGCGAACTCGTGCCGGGGCGGGGTGGGGACCGGAGGAAGGTCCTGCTCCGAATTCTCTCCAGAGCAGAAAAGAATTCTAGAGGCTACATGTGGGCTGCTTTCCCCCCTTCTTCCTTTTTTCCCTCGCAAACCAACAACCAAAAAGTGTTTGGTGATGGAAAGAACACCAGTGGAAAACGGCAAATAACAGTATTTCCAACTCCGAGTCAGGTCCTCTTTGCACTGCTTTTTCCTGTTTCATTGCAATTTATTGATTTTATTGTGGTTTTTTGTTTATTTGGGGCAAGAACGGAGATGTGAACCAGGACGAGCCAGCAGACCCCCGAGCCAGTATCTCCTCCCTGGGCAGGGAACACCGCCTGCACCGGTGCATACTAGGAGACCCTGGCGGAGAATGTAAACAAACCGGGCGCCGAGCCCTTGATCTTTATTTAAATAGAGGCTTGTTTATCGGTGTCATCCTAGGAGGATTAATTAGATACATCTCTTCACAATTTGGTGTCTGACACTCCATCTTAGGAATGCCTTATCATAAGGTGTTAATTGGGGCCACTCAGCCACTTACGTTTCTATTAAACACTGTGAGGGACTTTTCACAAGTACCAGGTTCTTTTTTACTGTACGATGCAAAAACATACAGGACCCGAAATAGACTAGGGCCAGAATCTGCTATATCCCGGCAGTGATTAGCACTTTGGGGCTTTCTAGAGGGCAGAAATAGGAGAGCACTGTTTTCGAAATTCCATCGCATCTCCCAATATTCGGTGGTTGGATGCAGATGTAAGGGGGCTGTTGGGGGTGTGGGGAAGGCGCTGACCAGGATAGGGGGGCTATGAGTCTCCCTTCCGGAATCTAAATCAGTCATCCACAGTACATATATCTTAAAAAGCACATCTTCAACGCTTTTGTCCTTGGCTCCCCGGTAAAGTTCGGGGCGCCTTTGCCAAAGTGTTTTGAGTAGGCCGTTCGGAAACGCGGAGCAGGAGTTCGAGCCCCCAAGGTCACGGGTGGCGCGGGAAGAACTCGGGCCCCAGAGGGACGGAGGGGAAGGGAGACAGGACAGTCGAGGTACAAGGTCCTGGCGGCCTTAATTGGGCGCAGAAGGGGAGGAGGTCTCGGCTGATTGCTCGCCTCCCAGCAGCTAATCCTCTTAGCAGCTGCATTTCCGCGCTACACAGTTAGCAGAATGATCCTCCCAGCTAGACCTTTACCCCGGGAGGGTCCAGGAGGGGGCTGGAAAGGTTTGCAATCTGGGCCTGAAGCCGTCTGCAGATAAGCCTGGCGGGACGTCTGGCTGGGGGGACAAAGGGGACCCTCCACCCCACTCTTTGGACCTCCCAGGGTTCAGCCAGGGGATGGGCTGTCCTTCGTCTTCCCGTGGAGCGTGGGCCAAATAAACGGAACTAAGCGCAAGGTGAACTGCTCCAAGGTCACTGTTTGCAGAGCGGCAGTGCACGGAACGACTGGAATCCTCCTTTGTAAGTGCCACGCCCGTCCCTAGCCTGCGCCTCAGACCGAGTCCGGGCGGAGTTTGACTGCAGCTACTGAGGCCGGCAGCCGGCGGCGGCGGGTGCGCAGCGTCTGGGTTCAGAAGAAAGCCGCAGGTGGGCGCAGAAGCTGAGCTGTGTGCAGCCCCCCGCTCCGCCGCGCCCCAGGGACCCTGAACTGGTGGGCGCTCAAAGGGCCACGGGGGTTCCCAGGGAGCCTAGGTGGGCCTAAGGATGGGTGGCCCCAAGTAAGCCTAGAAAAAAGCCCAGAGAACTTAGTGGCCAGGCGCTCTGACAGAGCCTGGTCTCCAAGAGCCAGAAGCGGAGGTTTTCGAGGCTTGGTTAAGTCTGATGTGGGCAATCGGCAGCAATCTTCCCTCCCCCGTTCCCCCGCCCCCCTCCCCCGCCCCGCCAACACCCATTGTCCAGACTTCCCAGTGGGGTAAGGAAATAGCCCCATTCCACTTCAAGGAAAAAAGAAGATAAACAAAACATCCCCACCCCCGCATGACTACAGTATCCAGTTAGAGATTCTAGAGCCTTCCGTGGAGGTAGGGGATGGGTGAGGCACTGTTAAAGCTGAAAACGATACAGGAGGAAGCAAAATGAGATCTTTAAAGCAAAGATGAAAACCCCAACAGCACAGAAGACAGAGCTATGTCCGTTCCCTTACTGAACCACATTTATTAAAAATGACTAAGACTGTACATAAAAATCCAAGATCTCTAAAATGCCTATAGGAGCTGTGGTATCAGGTTTTAGTTTCTTCACATTACCAAGTTAGGGAGAGGGGATGGCGCAAGAAGAGGATGAAATAGGAGTTTTCCTTAAACACGGTTCAAGTTAGTACATAGTAGCTGAATACATTCTTAACTATCTAAGAAGTAAACAGAATATTCCCAAATATCATGGGGATGATGAAACTCTCCCCTTGCCCCTGCAGCTGTTAAGTGATTTGCAAATTCTTTACAAAGCCAAAGCACCAGTTTTACATTATCCCAGACACCTATGTAGACTATTTGTACAATATATACCACATTATTCTATAGTGTATCTAAACACACAACTGTACACTTTTAAATTCTCCCTTTTTTTTTTTTTTTTTTTTGGTGACTCCTTAGCTTGCTCTCTCCTGAGTCCCACTGGCCACCCCAGCACACAGCAGAGGCCTAGCAAGTCTCAAGTGAGGCAATCCTGGACTAGGGCAAACATGGCTTGTTCCAAAAGCCGGGGGTTAAGGAATCAAAGTCAGGTGAAACTATCACTTTCACAAAAGCTTTTCTTGACTCCTGGGCCTAGTATCTTTTGCCCCTGGCAGAATGTAACAGCAAAATGTCTCCTTCTGAAACGGAAGGCACAGCCCTCTTTCAGAAGCAAAACACCTTAACACTCGGCTTCTATTTGCTTAAGAATTTACAAATAGAAATGAGAATCAAAGGTTTTAACTCATCTGATAGCACTGGGCACCCAATGTTCACAGCCTGCTTCTTTGAAGGGTTAGTGTCTCCCCAATAAATAAATACAGAACCTTGGATACCCTTCGAATTTTAAAATACCTTAAAGTCTTCCATTAATCTTATTTTTTAAAAATGCTAGGTTTGTTTCAGTTACCTGCAGCAATCAAAAAGCTTTGGCACCTTCTTTTAGAGAATTGCACAAAACAGGATGCATCAAGGTGGAAGGCAAACATCTTTTTGGCAACCTAGGCAAAGAAGACAACAAAAAACACCACCAAGTCCATCTGCAAAAAGTTAGCTAATTTTTGAGGTTAAAATAACTCTTTAGGGAGTTGTGTAAAAAGCATAATACCCTCCCATGCCTTTTGAGGTGTCTTTACTATACTCTTCAGCATTAATGTCCTCACACTTTATGGAGGGTGAATTTTCATTACTGGAGTTGCTAGGAGACAGCCGCCTTCGCTTACAAGCACTGGTGTATACTCCTGAATCATTGGAATCTAGAGATTTGATGGAAGGGGGTGTCTCTATCCAAGAAGAGCCAATTTCCTCTTTCACTTTCTCCTTGGAGAGCTGATCTTCAGAGAACACAGTGGGGCTTGTTCTGGAGGTCCATGGTAGTCCAGCTGCCATCTTCCTCTGGTAAGAACCTCGACCTCCCCACCCTGCCATTGCAGGAAAGGTTGGGTCTGGGTAATACCCCAGGGCATGGGATGTCTGAAGGGGCAAGGATTTAATGCCATATGGGAGCAATGTGCTAGAAGTATATTCAGATTCATAGGAACTGATGTCTAGTTTGTTGGTCCCAGGTTGCTGGACAGGCGTGACAAGCCACCGCTGGGGAGGGTTGGCCACCTCTTCGCTCTGTTGGGGTGAAAGGAGGCCGTTGGTCTGTGGCACGGTTCTCTCGCCATTATAATAGCGGGCTTGAGGTAAAGTGTTGACAAAGGGCTCCGGGAAGAAGGATTGAACGCCGTACCGACCTCCAGGGACAATCTGATGGGATCTAGGAGAATCCGTGGGAGATGGAGTTAACCTGTCATTTTCTGAAGCGGTGTACATGCTACAATATAAAGAGAAACACTTAAAAAAAAAAAAAAACCCTAATGTTGTCCCCAAACAAACCACCTCCCAGAAATGAAAAAGGCTTGTGTTGGTTATCTACACCGAAAGTGCTGGTCTGTTGGGCTGAAAGAACAGAGGCAGGAGATGCACTGGCCCATTTTAGCTGGACTCTTGGCTTATTGGGAAAAATTTCCCACCATGCAAGAAAAAGTTTCCTCCTAGGCATCAAGTATTTAAACTATAGAAAATCTACCTTTACTAGTCCTAGAACACGAAAAACTCAGATCAAACCTCCTTTGTCAATGTGATGGAAAAAACACTGGCTGTGGCGGTAGAAAACTCAGATTTTAAAAAGAGCAGGGCCTTGCTATTTCGTGTTGTGAAATTACATCCTCTTAGTTTCAGTTTTTTCTTATGTTAAAAAAAAAAGTGGGGGTGGGGGAGAGTAATAATATCTGCTCTTGGGAGGATAAAAAAATGGATCAAATGAAAAGAAAGGTATATATAAATGCAGATTCTTAAAATTTCAAATCTTCACTCAAATGCTAAAAAAACCTCTTCATTTTTAAGTCCTTAACATTTCTTCAGAAATTAACACAACCTTTCTGAGAAAAATCTAAAGCAAGATTAGTAAAGGAAAAAATTTTGGAAAAAGAAAAATATGTAAAAATCCCAAAGGTAAAAGCTCTTCCTAAAATACATTATCAGCAAAGTGCCTGTTGATGTATGTCCTGCTCAGAGATGATCAGGCAAGTGTGGATAAAAGCTGCACTTACGAATCATAGTTGTCTCTGAAGCCTTTTGCAAAGGGGTTATGATCAATCTTTAGTTGAGTAATCTAGATAGGGGAGAAAAACAGTCATTGAGTGATTTATCATGCTGGACCTTAGCTTTAGAGATTCTTGAGATGTCTGGGACACTCACATCGGTGTTTTGGTAGGCAGTCACTGCAATGAATTGCGTTTCTGAGAAGGTAAAAGTCTGGGTCTTTGAGGGCTCATTCAAGTCCTCCACGCCATCCTCTGTAACTTCAACAATATGCAGTCGGGGTTGGTATTTGTGTAAGGATTGTAAGACTATCATCTGGAAAGAGTACAGAAAAAAATTGCTAAATCTAAAAAGCCTCTTAGTGGTTCAACAAAATTAGATTTTGACAAATTATGTATTTTGGTATTGGACTTCTAAATGCTCCTCACTAACAGCTTTGTTTATTGCAAGTTTAAAGGTCTCATTATTGCCCCCCCCCTTTTTTTTTGAAATTTAAATCATAGCTGGGTATGTGGTTGTGATAGATATGCTTTCCTCTTGGTTTCCTAAATTCCCAAAATACTTCGCTATTTCTGTTCTTAATAGTCAACTCACTGTTATCGAAATCCAATAAGAAAGTGAAGATGAGAAAGGTCAAAAGAACAAAAATGGTTAGAAATAGGCGAGCAAACAGGTCACAAATGCAAATATTATAAATACAGTGAAAAGAGTAGGGACTCTTATTAGAAAAAAGCCTTATAGTCAAAGCCAGAAGATATCCCCTCCTGCTCTGTCACTCTACCTGGGTGTTGTTGTTATTTGCGCCTTTGTTATTGGTGAGTTTTAATTTCCCGAATGAAATCTCCTGTCTCATCCAGTGGGAACCAGTATTAGGAGACTCTGGGTGAACATACATTTTGTTGCCTAAGAGAAAATGAAACAAAACACAAAACCCAAGCATATAGGGCTGTTTACAAATGGAGAAAGCGGAGGGATGTCTCTTAGCTATGAGCAAGATATAAGAGCTAGACTTACAGTTGGTCTCCCAGTAAAAGTTGCTTAAAGAGGCCAGTGGAGACCAGCAGGACTACATCCATATCCCTCCCAGGCCCCTGTGCTTCCAACCTTCCTTGCACTAGGGACTCCCCTGAATGGCATTTCAGAATTTAGAAACGGAGCTAACAAGAGATGACTCTTGAAGGTCAATTTGGGGCCTTCTAAAGCTGTAAGGGCAACATCCGATGGAAGACAGTTGGATATTTATGGGTGAACTAAACTTTGGCTGGGCTTTCTCAAGTGAACATTAGAATCCCAGGAGCCCTTCCCACCTGGAGAGCTTATGACTACTGATTTGTTAAACGTAGGGATTGGGGGGTGGGGTGATGTCTTAGTTAAAGGTTCTAAATATCTACATATTGGCAGACAAGAAATCTGACTTAGCAAACTCTCCTCTCCGTCAAACAAGCAACTCAAAGACACTCATACTAACACCTCTAGGCCTCAGAATGGAAGGGGAAAAAAAAAGTGCTACATTTAAATGTGAGTTGTGTGAGTCGAGGGTTACGATTTCTTCCCGCCCGTTCCTCCCCGGCCCGAGCCTCTTCTCTGCTCACCCTGCATGTTATTGTCGGCTTTGCCACAGGTCACCCATTTGCCCCCCTGGAAGCGCCAGTGGTTGGGGTCCGCCAGCACCACCTCTACGAACACATTGTAGTGGGCAGTGGGATTGAGTCCGTTTATGTTGAAGCTCAAGAAAGGAAACATGCGCCTGTGCAAGGGAATAGAATCAGAAAAATCGATTTTAATTGGGATGTCCTAGAACAGGCCCAGGCCCCAGCGGGTTCCCCAGACACCTGGGATAGGGTCGGAACACATTTAAAAGTTTGCAGTGAACAGAATGCTGGTAGATCAAGTGGTCTGAAACTATGTAAAATATTTTTGAGTTGGCAACTCTTGGAACCTTTCCGTCTTTTCAAAAAAAAAAAAAAAAAAAAAAAAAAAAAAAAAAAAAAAAGCTTGCCCCAACATCGGTATATTCCAAATTCGCGCGTGCTTCCGAAGGCTCATATTCTCGGCCCTTTCAGACGCTCTTAAAATTTTTCTCCTAGAATGTTAAAAACTACTAATTTTTAAATGCACCATTTTGAAAAGTACCAGAGAACAATATTAGGTTATTCTTGTTAAAAATATATATTAAAACTTTAGGCTAAAAGTCCCCTTTGAGTGCCCCTCTCTCAGCACCCACCCCTCCCTTTCCCCAGAAGTAGCCAGTGTTAGCAGTTGGATGTATATCAGAACTTTCTCGCGCACCGAACCCGAGCCAGGTCTGGCTCCAGGGCAGATCTAACCACCTACTCCGACCGAGCTTCCGAGGCCGGCGCTCTAGCCTTCATGCCCACCTCCCGGAGACGCCCCGTGGAGACCCTGGCGCCTAAAACTGCGGGAGCCCATCTACTGCGCTCAGGTGGCCAGCTCTTGAGCCTTCCCTATCCGTGGCTCCTTGCCGGCATGCAGGCATGCACAAGCATACCGCCGAGCAGGAGGATCTAACGAATCCAGCTTGTGGACATGCCCTAATTTCCATTTCCGCCTCCTCCAGGTCTGTTCAGGTGAGGATGATGGGAGGGAAAAGCGGTGTACAGCCGTAACATTGGCACCCTGCAAGAGCCGCCGGGGCACTGACACAGAGGGACACCGCATTGGAGATGCGGTGTCTACGGAGATTTATTGCGCGCGGTGAAACACTCTAAGCACCGCGCGGAACAACTGGGTTCAGCTCCCTCATCCCGGACCTTCCCCAGGACCACACGTCACCCTTTATCCCCGAACCCAGGGGCCCCTCCACGCTGCGCTCACCTGCCCTGTTTCGTAATGATCATCTCAGTTTGGTGGCGGTGGAATTTGAGCCACAGAGGCCGGTTGCACAGGTAGACGTGGGCACGGAAGCCAGAACCTGGAACCCCCAGGCCCCCCAGTCCTCCGCAAGATCCCGCCGCTGCGGCTCCAGGGTACGGCCCGTAGAGCGGAGCCCCCTGGCTGTACTGATAGGTGCCCGGGCCGCCGCCCCCGCCGCTGCTACCGCCCGCGCCACTGCCCGCACCGGCTCCTGGGCCGAACTGCGCCCTCCCGGGTGGGCACACAGCCGCGGGGAAGCCGCCGGGGGGCAGCATGGAGCCGTAGGGGTAGCGCGCCCCGTTAGGAGCCGGGTACACAGGTCCGTGGGGCGCCCCAGCCGCCGCCTGGTACGGGAAGAGTGAGCAGGGCGCAGCCAGCTCCGACCCCTGAGGACCGGGGGACTGGAGGTAGTACCGCTCGGAGCTCAGGCTGTCCATGGAGTAGCGCGCAGTGGCCGCAGCCGCGGCGGCGGCGGCGGCGGCGGCTGCAGCGGCGGAGGGCAGCTCCTCCTCCCCGCAGGGGGAGCCCTTGCGGCCGTCCGGGGGCCCCGGCTTGGCCACTGCCGCAGCGCTGGCAAATGCGTCCCCGGCGTCGGTGTCACTAAGCATGGCCGCGGGGGCCCCTGCGCTGGCGGCTGCGGGCTCCCCGCTCACCGCCTCGCAGGAGAGACTGCCGGAAAACTTCTTGGACGCTTTGTCTAAGTCCAACTTCTGAGGAGAGGGGGCCGCGCTGGGGAGGTGGCCAGCGCTCCCGCCGCTGCCGCCTCGCGCACTCTCCAGCGGGTAGAAGTGCGCGCCAGGCAGGTTCACTGAGCTCACCAAGAGCTGCTCCCCTAACTGCATGCTTTGCAAAGCGCAGACGGCAGCTGGCTGCTTCCTCTCCTCCGGTGGCCTTATTATAAAGGCAGGATGGGGGAGCCAGCGCCCTCTTCCGAGGGGAAGGTAACTTCCCCTTCCTCCCGCGCCGGGGCTACCCACCTGCCGACTCGCGGGCCGCTACTGCGCGTACTGGCGCGCCCTGAATCCAGCGTCCTTTCCGGAAGGAAAGCGCCGTGAGTTGGAAAGCAGGAGGTGGAAACTAACCCAGAAGCCCTCTCCTTTTCCTTCCTCGTACCTCTTGCTCCTCAGGACCCCCACCCTCCTCCCAGGCTCACACGCTGGAAGAAGGTGACTTAGATCTTTGTCCCCATCCACCCACTAGCCCGCGCCTTTCTGCCCTTTTTCAATTGCCAAAGCATCGGTCAAGTTGACCACTTGGAAACTTATGGGCTGTCACTAGCTGCTTTATATATTTGCGGCCAGGGAGGGGCTTCCCGGCCTCACAGCCCGGAGACCCTCCTATTGGCTGGTGGAGGTGACACTAATTCAATTAGGCATTTACTAATTGGATCAAGTCGCCTGTGACTTTCTTTTCCTTTTTTTTTTTTTTTTTTTTTTTTTTTTTTTGAGACTGCGTCCCGCTGTGATAATCAATCCTGGTGTCTGTAATTTCGCCGGAATTTAGGGGGACAAAGTTTGGGGTCTCCATAGCGGTGTCCACCCTTGGCGCATTAGTCATCTCAGCCCTCCGCTGGAGGAATGAGATGGCTGGAGCAGATTTTAGAGGCCAGAGAGAGAAAGACTCTTCAAGCTGATAGCTTGCAGGGAAGCGCCCGTCCCGGAGGCTGGGGAAACTGGGGCAAGTTGGAGACAGGCCCAAGGAAGTCTCTTTCCTCGTCGGAAGCTGTAACTTCAAAGCACACCTTCCTCTTGTCGAAGGCAAACTCCCTGGCCTTCAACGCACAGAACCACTTTTTGTTTGTTCCCATCCTTTTACCCAGTGGGAAAGGTTTGTAGAGAGGAAACTCGCGCTAAGCTTTTGGGATTCCGGGGACGGCCAGAGCACATTGCCATCCTGGAGGACCTAAGCTCTCAGCTTCTAAATCAGAAGCTTGGACAGGGTACTGGGGACAGGACAAGAGTGAAACTAAGCGAGCTAACACCAACTTCATACTCACGCCAACACAACTGCTTTCGGGGAGACAGTCACTTTTATTCCCCACAATTTAAAATCCTTTCTGCTCAGTTTTCCTGATCCCGGATTCCGTCCCTTCACCACCATCTTCAGTTAGGCCTGACACCAAGAAACAAAGCTTCCCTAACAGCCCCACAGTTAGGATTCCCTGCGCCTCTGCTCTGCGGCAAATACAGAAGGTAGAATAATTAGTGAAATAATCAGTTTGATATTGAATTAAACTCCAGCTGCTTGTTTCTTCGCTGCGTTTCCTCAGATAGATTCAAGAGCGGGGCCGTCATATTTTATCGTTTCATTATTACGGAAGCGGGGGGCACGTTTCGTTGCGGATAAGGAGAAGCCTGAATATTCGCTGTTAATAAGCAATTACAGACGCCGCCAGTAATCGCTCCGGGAGCGCATTTTCCGGCTGAGATGTCGGGACTCTGCTTCCCCAACCGAACGCGATCACACGGGAAACTCTTCGCCCACAACAGATGAGATGGCCAAAGGATTGCTGAGTGCGCACACGCAAGTGTAGAACAGTGCGAAGCTTTCCAACCCAGTTTTCCAACCACAGCAGCACCAACATCGGCATGTCTGGGGTCTCCGAGAACGAGGTCCTTAATGCACTTAGACTCTCCAGGGCATTTATCACGGTTTTTTTTTTCTTTTTTGATGTGTGTGTTCGCGCGCTCGCGCGCTCGCGTGTGTGTGGTGGTGAAACCCAGGAGTGCGCGAAGATTTTCAGGGTCAAGGCACAGCCACAGGGGAGGGGGCAAGTTGAGACTAGTGGGCTGGGGCGGTGGCCTTGTAGGTCCTGGGACAGAGTGGCCAGGAGCAGATCGCCAGAAAGCTGGTACTGAGCGCGTTCTGCCCTGCGCTTCCTGCGTTTTGTGTCATCAGTATAGTTAGTGTTTGGCACGGCTGTTTTGATCACTACATTGTCCATGCCTTCCTCCCCTGCTTTAGTGTTATTTTGACCCAAGGAAGTCTAGAACATTGATTGTTCAAGTAGTATAGCTCTGTGAATACCTCATGACTGTCAACGTGAAGATCCCGTGAGGGGTACGCGAGCTCAAGGAAAGAAAGAGGCCGTGCAGCTTGGGCGGCTTGGACGACGTATCTATCCCTGGGCTAGCGGGTCCTGATTACTATTCGTAGGATCCTCCACATTATCCTTTACCTGAGTTGCAAGATATCTAAGGCAAAAGTAGGGATGAGAAATCTCCCTAATGTGAGACCTAATCTCACGTTATTTGGAGCTAGGGTGGCCAAAGGTACATGACAGTTTTGCGCTTTAACAAAGCAAGAAGCGGGCCTCGGCGTCCCTTCAAAATGCTTTTGACGCAGCCAGGGAAGCGCTTCGCGTGGCAAAGTGCCATCGCAGGCAACAGGCATCGTTCCGACCCACTCTGGCGCGAATAACGCGGGCCAGCTGTCCCCCGAGCCACATCAGAAAGCGTTGATTTTATTCCAGCCCCAGAGCAAGCTTTTGAAAGCGCATGAGTTCAGTATGAGCACCACCTAATTATTAAATATACACACGATGTATATAATTAGAATTTGTATTGATTCTTGGGGACAGGAAATTTTGGTTGATATCTACCCACTTCCCCAGTAAATCTATTATTTTTCCCAAACTTCAACACATTTTACATATGGAGGAGCAAAGACAAATTCAAAGAGAATAAAAATTCAGTTTCTATAAAACTACTCTAGGACCCAGGATTTTTGGAACATGGAAAATATGTACATAATATTATATTACATATTGTATTACATTACATTTGTAAGTATATGTTACAAATTCTCTTTAAAATAATGAAAAGCACTGTTTCAGCTACAGATCTTTTTTTTTCTGGCTGAAGATAAAAAATCTCATTTAATGGTTCCTCTGTGTTAATTAGCTAATCACATTATTATTATTATTATTACATTTAGAATATACTAGTCTAGAATGCCTGGAGAGTTATAGATGAGCAAGTCTGTGATTTCCTGCTTGAAATGGGCTTTCCTTTTGCTGGCTCAATATTATAGCCAGGGGAAGAGACATAAAAAATATTTTCACGTGTCCCAGCCACACTTTAAAATCCAGGCACTCCTTTCCAGAAGTAGGAATAGAAAAGAAAGCCAAAGCAGTGGCTTAAGTGAACATGTCAGGCAGCACCCTCCTTAGACTGGGTGGGCAAATAACAGAGCCTTCCAGCCTGTTTGCTGTTTGATTTCAATTACACCCCAAGCTTCATGAAATCCAAATGAGACATTTATTGAAAGGTGCCTGGTTTTATGTGGCTCAACTGACAGTGTATTGGAATACATTGAACAAAAACATCAACACTGGGGAGGAAACATGGAAACCCCTTGAAACCCCAGACCCAAATACCTGCTGGATTAACTCAAATCTTGTACCTTTCAGCCTGAGATGGAGCAAGCAGGAATCTTTAAAGGCTACCAGGAAGCCAAGGCCAAGTCTGTGTGTGAACACATTAAAGATCTCACGCTCTATTGTTCTGAGGAATAATACCAACTTCATACCACTGTCTTGGTCAAAGTTATTGCCAACTTGACCAGATGACCTCTTTATCTCTTTCTCCCCCTTAAAGGTAACCACTAGCCATGCATTGATCTTTTAAAAGCAAAACTGAGAAGCATTTGGTTGGAACAGGATTATTATATAAGAAATACATTTACACACATATGGGTATGTTACAGAGGTGAGTTATAGATGAGTGCAATGATATAAGGTTTACCTCTCCCCATGTGCCACCCACCCCCCACAACCAAGGGGGCCCATATAAATGTCCCAATAAATACTATTATTTTCACCCCCACTAAAAACGTGTTATCAAAACACTGTCCATGTTATTCAAACACTTTGTAAATTCTGAGCAGACTTGCTGCCGGTTCTCCTTTTAACCCTAGGAAAACATTCCAACATTAACCGGTCACCAGCGCTTCGCCTGGACTCTGGGAAAGCGTCAATGGGTTTTTTGTGGTGAGTTGGTCCTTTTACTATTTATCTATGGCCCTTTCTTTGTTGATGTTACATTTTATTTCACCAACTCAGGTTCACTCTTTGGCCCTTTGTTCTCTGATGGCCAGATCTGCCACCTCTGCTGTGCTTTCCAAAGAGGGAGGGAGCTTTAATCACCGTTAGGTTGTTCATGTTTCATTTTTTTTTAAGCAAATGTCCCGTAAGATAAAACATCTTGGCAAAGACAAGCAGTGTTGATTCTGCTGACAAGAGCAAGATACTCCCACCAAAAGTTTCACTTTTATAAGAATTTTTAGAATTTATATTTCACCATGACACTGAAATACACTGACCACTTGCTTTACAAAAAAACAAAAACAAAACAAAACAAAAAAACCCCAAACCAGAGCTACACATGTGTGACGTGAAGTGTTATATTAAACCCATGGTATTTTTTTCAACAAAAATGACCAATTTAAACTATTATCTTTGCTTTAAGTCTATATATCTACATTGCTAATGCACTTTGTGGTTCACTGTTAAAATATGAGGAGGTGAAGGAATCCTGAAATGGAAGTTAATAAATAAACACACTAATAGTTGCTTATTACAAAAGATAAATTATCTTCTCCTAAAGATTGAATCAAGAGTCTTTGGCAACAGCACAAAATCATGACTTACCTTTTTTATGAAAGTAATTTTTAAACTGCTAATGAATTTCTGTATTTAGCTGCTGTTTTATCATCATCATTATCATCATCTTTTTCTTCTTCCTCATCATGTATATGGGAATATATAATAACAAGAAAAGCCACATTAGGCAAAGAAAGTAAAACACTCTCAAGAAAGTGTATTTTGGGAACGTTTGGCTAATTGTTGCTACACTATATACGAAAGTTATACGGGGCTCCATCTATCTTGCTCATTTTTCTACCCTGAAAAGCCTGGAGCACAGTAGGTGCTTATCAATTAAATGAAAAGATTTACTAAACCTGTGTGCTGGAACAGCTAACAGAGGTCAGGGACAGTGTCAGGTCTTAGGCTTTATAACCACAAGGACTAAAGTTTTTTCCTAAGAGAAAAAGAAAACAAAGATCTTTCTAAATTAAAAGACATGATATTTTCATCTTTTTCAGACTTTAAAATATATCATTTTTAAGACCTTTTCTATCTCAAGGTTCTTACATTGTGGCATGGCCTTTGTCTGTATGTCCATGCTAAGCTTCTTCCATAGCAAAATAGAAAAAAAGAAGTTAGTGCTGGAATTGTAGTACAGCTGCTAAGGGAAGCAAACACCATGTCACCAAGGAGAAATGTTAATCTGAATGTAAATCAATTGTACTTTACTAACAGAGTTGACAGAGTCTATGAAAATTAATGTTTCAACAGAAGGCACACCTATGATACAGGTGCAGCAAGATGTCTACACAACAGGTGGGCAGAACCCAAATCCTGTTGACCAAGGCTTCAATATGACAGGGGTAGCTGGAATTCCCCAATCCAGACCCTATGTGAGAAAAGTAGGGAGAGGAAGTTTGGGTTGGGGGCAGAAATAAGTAAGCCCATAACATAACCAAGTAAGAAACAGTGAGAGGGAAGGAGAAAGGAAGGACAGACAACAGGATAGAAAACCGTCGCAGTCATTCCTTAAAGGTCTCCCTTTCCAGACTTCTAAGAGAAAACAGAACCTTGTATCAGAATTGTATGTATTTGTGGCTGTAACCTTTACTATCTTTGTGAGTCTGGGAAAGCTCTTTAACTTCTGTGTGCCTCAATTTCCCCACTTGTATAACAGCATAATTAATATGAAGCAATTAGAACAGTACCTGGCACCTACATAGGAAGTCTTTCCTACTACTCGCCATTACACTTAGACTGAGCTTACTTTTTACCGTTCTTACTAAGATACTGGAGCTAAATGAGGATGAATAAACCTTAGTCTTTTTCCTCCCGGGGATTCCCAGTCCGATGGGGGAGGCCAGGAGCAAACAGGTCAAAAGCAACGTGAACCAGGGGTAGGAAGCAGGAGGGAGTCAGTCAGAACCAAAGAGAGTCCCCAGTTACTCTAGCAGCTCTTCTTTATTTCCCCGAAAGGGGAAATCAAGTGCCCTCCCGGTGAGCTCGGCTGGAGAGGTGCACTTCAAAGCGAGGCGGCTGGGGCGCCCTAACCAGGCTGTGCCTTCCGCCCCCTCCAGGCGGCCATTAGCATTCTGTTTTTCCCAAGGCCTCCAGTATCTCCCGCCACCCGCTGGGATTTTGCCGTTCCGGCCGATTACTTGTCAAAGAAAGAAAATAGGGTATTTAGCTCAGCTTTTGTTCTCCACCTACTTGGTTAAACGCCTGACCACGAAGGAGTTAAGTGAGTAGTCGGAAGCCTCCCGCAGGGTTCTCGCTCCAGGAGAAGGCACCCTTAACTGGATGTCCAGAAAAAGAGGCCATCTGGATCCACTCGCTGTGGGTCCCTGCGGGCCTCAGTGGCGGCATCTGCAAATTAAGGGGACAGAGCAAGTGCAGAGCAAGATCTACCGCAGAGAGCGGCTGTCGAGGGAAGTCCGGAGGAGGCCCCGAAGGCCAAGCCGGCCTGGGCTGCTTAATCACTCGGTAGGGGCCGGGACGGTCCCTGGAACTCCCTCCCCCCACAGAATATCAAGGAGCCATAGTAAAGGCGTATCCAAGGGGCAACAAAGAGCAGCTAGGATCATTTTTCCACCACTTAGGGCTGACTTTTCAAGAACAGAGTTTATCTGCAAATTCACAAAAGAGGAGAATAAGAAAAGCAGCAGCTGACTTTGCTCTGCTTTACTTGTATAATCTTTTAAAAGAAAAAGCACCCTAAACTGTTATAATCCCATTTTACAGAAGAGTAAAGTGATGCTTAGAGAGGCGAAGACCCTGGCTCAAAGCACCCAGCTGAAAATGGTAGCCTGGGGATGTGAATTCGAGCGGTCTGGGCTGCGGGGCTCCTAGTGGGGGGATTAAGTACGTGTGAATGGTGGCAGGGCTGGGTCATTGTTTTCTTTGGGGGGGACAGATGTAGGCTATGGAACGGGGACCCTGTGAGTCTTCGGAGCAAGCCAGTGAACGGCATTCAGTACCCATCTACAGCCGGTGGACCTTCAGAATGAGTCTCTGGAGAAAACCGGGCTCCATGACTCGGTTGCAAATCCCAACTTTGCGGTAGAATCGGTCATCCTTGCTTGGCATAATCATGACATGGGTTGTCCACTCTCTAAGTGCTGGGGCTGGGCCAAGCCCTTGGCATACATCATCCCATTTAGGCTCTCACTCCCACCTCTTGAAGGTAGGTGCTTTCAGCATCTTCGCTTTACAGTTAAGAAAATCCAGGCTCAGAGAGATAAAATAACTTGCCTGAGGTTACACAACTTGTGAACCTTAAGTCCAGGAGGACCTAGAAGATGGAGAAGGCGGTACCTTCTGCCTGGAACTCTGAAACTTTTAACAGAAAACTGATCCCTCGGTCCCGAAGAGAGAGGCGCGGCAAAGCAACAGCCAGTTCTCTCCCTCATCCCCTTCCAGATAAATTTCCTTTTCTCCTACTCCTCGCTGGGGTTTGCGGTGCCCCTGCCTCCTGCATGAAAGCGCGCTCTAAAGCTAGGGTTTTTGGACTTTAGGAGCGCTTCTCGCCTCCCCCTAGACGTTTGAAGCCTTCCAATTGAGCAAGGGCTGGGAAGCGAGAAGGCTCCTCTGGTCTCTCCCTCCTCTGAGCGCGGGACCTCGGCGGACACCCTAATCCCGAAACACTCCTCTCTGGGACTGCGCACTTGCCAGCACGACAGCCAACTCCGCCTCAGAGGAGTCTTTTAGGGCTCTGAGCGAGTGGCGAATGCTCCCCCGGTGATGCACTATCGCTCCCACCCACGCCCTGGTACGCGCAGCCCGGGAAAAAGAAAAAAAAAAGTCCACGTAGGGGCTCAAACCCAGGCGTCAGGCGCTGCAGTCAGGGAAGGCTCCCTTAGGGGCTGGGTTCCTGGCGCTTACGACGCAGAGAAGGATAAGGGCGATGGTTTCGCAATCCCACCCCCTCCTTTGTCCTCCTCCCCACCTCCCAGCCTTTGGCGGCTTAGATCTCCAAATGCAGTCTGGATGGCACTCAGGTATTCGAGCGCCCCAGTTTATCTTATCACCGCCCCCTACAAATACACATCCATTCCAGATTGGCTTCTGGGAAAAGATACGGGGGTAGGGGATCCCACATATTTCCTCTCACCCTCCCTCTTTGGTCCTTGACGCCGAGAGTCTTCTCTGTTTCTCCGTACCCTTAGGTCATCGTCCAGGGCAGAGGTTAATTTAGACATCTTGACTGCAACAACTGATAACACTTACATACATGTATGAATATATCAACAATACATTATATGTAGTATATATTATATAATATAAAATCAATATATACTTAACGTACTTGCATGAGTTAAAAAAAAAATACCCAGCAACCCAAAAGCCACCAGATTACCAACTCTTGCGCCTCCCAATTCCTCGAAGTGAAGGCAATCACTATTAGTTTCTCCTGTGTATTTCTGGGGCTATAATGTTATGTTTGCACCAGCAAGTACGTAAGCGCACCTGAATTTCTCTTTATCTGTCCCCCACCCATCTGCACGCTTTTATACACTTTATTAACCACCTTGCTTTTTTCACTTATAATATATCTTTAAGTTAGTTCCTTGGAGACGTCGGAGTTTTTGCTAGCTTGACATCCCGGGCTCACAACTGGCGGGAAATAGCTTAAAAATTATATTGATGCTTTGAGGCCTTTCCTTGCAGCTGCTTGCGCCCACAAGCTGCAGTCCTTTCCCCGGTCAGCAGCCGGCTGTCCCGCACCCCCCGGCAGAGCGCAGAGGGTCGAAAGATTTGCGCCGCAGAAGACGCAGCGTCCCCTTGCGCTGCGTGTGCGGAACCCCGCTGTGAGAGTTTCCCTTTCACTGAGACTCCTTCATTGTTTGTCCTCTGAGACCCCCAAAGCAGGTAAACAAGCACTGATACCCTGCCCTGTGATCAGAAGCTCTTGGGCCAGGGAGCGATCTGCTAGATGGTCCCAGTGCTGCCTTAGGTCAGATCAAAGCGGAGGACCTAGAGGGAACCGTCAGCCCCATTAACATCCCGCTCTGCTTGCCAGCTGGGGCCTGAAGAGGGTTGGGCAGGTGTGGGCCAGGAATTGCTTGTTACCTAAGGTCCAGGGAGCGACCCCATCTGAAACACTTCCTGAATTCTCCTCGGCCCCAGTGGCAACTCTTGGAAGATGCTGAAGTTCCTTACATTTCTCAGAAGTCGCACTGTAAAATTCAGTTGATTCCACAATATTAGAAAACACTTGTTGACCTAGTATGTGTGTCAGACATTGCACGAGGTGCTGGGGTACAAAAGTGGATGATGTTGGATCCGGACAACATCAAGTCAGCAAATAAGAGAGTATCAGAATATCGAGGTATCAGTCAAACGGGGTAATGCGGTGGTTCCCAATCTTGGCTGCATATTAGAATAATCTGGAGAGTTCTTAAAAATCCTAATGCCCAGGTAGCACCACGGAACAATTAAATCAGAATTTCTGGCGGTGAGACAAGGCATCAGGATTACTTAATGATCCCCAGGTGGTTCCAATATGCAGCAAACTTATGGGTTGGTGGAGGCTCTTTATGGAGAGTTGACATTTGAGCTGAGACAGCAATAGGGAGGTGGCAGTCAGGAGAAGGCGTGTGGGAACACCCCGCGACCAGCCCTGAGTCTGCTGATGCTCTGGGATTGGCAGTGGGGGAGGGAAAAAGAGGACATTTGACAAGTAGAAGGAAATATGTGATGCAGAGCATCTAGTCACAGTTCACTGCATCCCTGGGAAGTCTCTCAATTGCCCAATTCCATAGGAAAGCTTTAAACAACACTAAAAAATATCTACCTTAAAATGATGGATTTTTACATGCAATTTTAAAACTAAATAATGCATAAAAATATATGAAAAATAGAATAATGCTAGAAAGCTTTTAACAGCAACTTCGTGATGTATTACGTGAGGACATTTCAACAAATCTAAGATGCCATCCATTGATATGCCTAACTGATGTGTTCACCACAAAGAAAACAAAAGCTGTGTCCTAGAATTTTAATTTTGTGCTTATTGAAATAATTTTTTTTTTTTTGAGATTGAATCTTGTTCTGTTGCCCAAGCTGGCGTGCAAGATCTTGGCTCACTCCAACCTCCACCTCTCAGGTTCAAGTGATTCTCCTGCCTCAGCCTCCCAAGTAGCTGAGATTACAGGTGCATGCCACGATGCCCTGGTAAATTTTTTTTTTTTTTTTTTTGTATTTTTAGTAGAGACGGAGTTTCACCATGTTGGCCAGGGTGGTCTCGAACTCCTGACCTCAGGTTATCCACCTGCTTCAGCCTCCTAAAGTGCTGGGATTACAGGTGTGAGCCACCATGCCCGGCCAATAATTGCTTATTTAGAGAAAGTATTATTTTCGTATTTCACTCATGCACACATAAAATGGACAATAAAAGCTGTATTCACAAGCAGTGACAGCTATTTCAGAACTGCCATCTGATCAACAGTAGTGGTAAGACACCATTGCTTGTAGAATGTATCTTATTTCTAAGAAGTTAAAAGATGTGTCATAGAATTAATGCAAGTCAGTGTTGTCCAATGAGCTCACTACTCTCAGTGCTTTACATCTTTTAGTTCATTTAGTCCTTACTATGATATGATATGAGGTAGGAACAATTATTTATTAACAACATTTATAGGTGAGAAAATTGAGACATTGAAAGCTAAGTTACTTTAAGTCAGACCATTACCAAGTTGCAGAGATAGGGCATAAACCCACCGAGGGCTTAATTACAATAGGAGCCTGAGAAAATTGTCCACATGAGCCAACTGAGACTCAGAAGTGTTGAAAGGAGGGGTACAGGGTGAGAAGTGAGAGAAAGGGTTTGAGAACTCAATTAAGTTGTAGGTTGGGATCTGCTTCTCTGCTTGATCTGTCTCATAATATTTTAGGAGTAGAAGGAATCATGTGGTAAGACAATACTATATAGCCAAGAGTATTCTTATCCATTAAAATAAGAAAGAGATGATAAAATACACAGTTATCATCTTATTTCTTAAAAATAAGAAAGAGATGATAACTATATTTTCAGGCCATAATTTTCAAGTAAACTTTAAAAAATAAACCTAAAGTAAATACATACAAAAAAGTACAAGTATTCTAAATTCACAACTTGATATGTTTTACCAAATTGAACACACTTGTATAACCAGCATCCATGTTAAGAAATCCATTATTGCCCAAATTCCAGATGCTTCACATTCTTCCTTCTGCTCACTGCTTCCCATGAGGTAACCATCATTTTGACTTTTGTAACCATTGATTAGTTTTCCCTGTTTTTGAGTTTTATATAAATGGAATCTTATACTGTGTTCTTCTTTGTGTGTGGCTTCATTCACTCAACATGTGTTTGGGATTCACTCATGTTGTACTGCATACGTGCATTTGTTCCATCTCCTTGCTGTGTCATATCTCATTGTGTAAATATATAATTTTTCCATTCTGCTGTTGAAGACATTTGTGTTGTTTCTAGTTTTTGGGTTATTATATATAGGGCTGATATGAACATTCTTGTACATGTCCTTTGGTGAATATCTGTATAGTCTTTCTGTCAGGCCTGTACTCACAGGAGTGGGATTGCTGGGACACAGAGGTCAGACTATATTTTTTAAGAGAGTTAGTAACATTTAAAAATTTTTGGCTATTTGAAGATGGTACCTTATACTCTTAATATTTAAATGTAATAATTTTATGGAGTATTAAGGGAAGGGATATCAAGTTAAAGAAAGCAGCAAAAATGAAAAGGAGATAGAAAGATAGAAGCTATGCTGTAGCATACACTTACCTTTCTGTATTCTTCTGTTCAACACTAAATACTTATAAATACACTTCCTCCACAAATTGTTGAGCACCCACAGAGAAGCATGTTGGCAAAGCAGACAGGGATTAGGGAATATTGAGAATGCAGAGGAAGCCCCTTGCTTACATTTCATCTTCTAAATTTATGACTTTAAAGCAATTGCCTAGGTTGAACATTTCTAGCATGTGAACATAGAGTTACTGATATCAGCACATTTTCAAGTCTAGATTTTCCACTGATTTTTAAAATAAAAATATATTATATGTAAATATATACTAAAATATATAGAAATAAATATATTATTATATATAAAAATAATATATTATTATAATAAATATATTTATTTCTATACAAAAAATATAATCAGGGAAAAACTTTCCCACCTGATGTTATAATGTTATATGATCTTTGTAAAAAAAAAAAAAAAGCAATTAAGAGCCAGTAAAAACAAGGACAACAAAACACAATCTATAATCCAATCCCTTAGTGATAACCACTCTGAACAATGGTGGTCATAGGACACCAATGGGTGCCTACCTAGTGTCTCCCTCATTCCATTCGTTTTTCCTAAAATAATTCCTGTTTTATTTACGCATCCATCCCTCTCATAAGACTCTGGGAAAAGTGATCCCAGCTGCATTAAGGAGAGGTTGACAATCAGTATGTGTCATTTCCTTGCAGATGCTCCTGGCCCAGATGGAAGGGAAAGACTTAGAGTCAATGCTTGGGACAGAGTTTTTCTCCTTCACCTTCCTACTTAAGTAGAAAAAGCAAGCAAGTAGTGTGATTGCCTCTGGCACCATCTTGGGACCATGAGGGAAATCTTTTTAGGGGAACCCAATGGTCAAACAACAAATCAAAGACAGGGAGAGAATCTGGATCGTTGAGGATTTCTTTGAGCTGCTGATGGTTGGGCCTGCCCTACATTTTGAGGCAGTAATTACCTTAATATCTAAAATGATGTGAATCAACATCCTAACTATGGAGTTATATGTCTTTCCAGATATGATTGAGCATGGAGTTACATAAATATCCATTTGCATAATGTACTACATTCACATATATGCCATATACATATGTAATATGTAAGTATACAAATATTAGTTCAGTTTTTTCATTTATAAGCGACACCACACAATGAACATTCTTGCACAAACATCTTTACATACTTGCCTTACTATTTCATTAGAATAAATCCTTAGAATTCATGGCTCTAGATTGAAATACATTTGTGTTTCAAATTTTGATACACAGCAGTAGATCCTCTTCCACAAATATTATACCAATTTACACTCCCAATAAAAATGTTTCCATCCTCACCAAACCCAGCTATTATTATTAATCCTCTAGTCTTCGTCAGTCTGGCCAGGGAAAATATGCCAATACTGCTTTGCATTTTTAAAATTGTTGATGAATTTCTGTGTCATATTTAAGTTTAGTAAGAGCTTTTTGGATATCATATATACATATCTACTATGTTGAGTGTTTCAAATATTTTCTCCTCTGTTATCATTTGTCTTTTGATTTAGTTAATGAGATTTTATTCTGTACAGAAAGTTAAGTATCTTTCCTGCTGCATGTTGGGGTTTATGTGAAGCCATAGAAAATCCTGCTCTCCTTCAGAGTTTTTCCAGTGCTTTCAAACCACATCATAAATATTTGACACATTTGAAATTAATTTTGAGGGAAAGAACAGTTAGAAATTCATCTTTATGTTTTAGCAATTATCTAACCAGTTGTCCAAATACCATTTACTGATTATCCTTAATTTGAACACTTTTAAAATATGTACCACATTTCCCTGCATACTTTGGTTTAATTTTGGACTCCATTAGCTGCCATTGAACTATTTGTCTTTATCACTACTAGCAACATGCTATTTTAATTATCTTAGCTTTATAATATAGTTTTCCCCCCATAGGACAAAATACTTGCCACTTAAAAAAAAGTCTTGGCACCTCTCTTTCTGTCTCTCGACAAGGACTTGCTCTGTTGCCCAGGCTGGAGTGCAGCAGTGCAATCTTGGCTCACTGCAGCTTTGACCTCCTGGGCTCAAACCATCTTCCCACCTTAGCTTCTGGAGTAACTGGGACTACCGGCTCGTGGCCTCCAAGGCCAGCTAATTTTTGTGTTTTTTGCAGATACTGGGTCTCATTATGTTGCCTAAGCTGGTCTTGAACTCCTGGGCTTAAGTGATGCTCATACCTTGGCCTCTCAAAGTGCTAGGATTACAGGCCTGAACCACCCCGCCCAGCCTTAAATGGTATATTGTTTGTTATAGTAAAGCTATTGATGAAAAAAAAAAATCTTGTGGCTGGGTGCAGCGGCTCACGCCTGTAATCCCAGCACTTTGGGAGGCTGAGGCAGGTGGAGATCAGCCAGAACAACACAGCAAAACCCCATCTCTACTAAAAATACAAAAATTAGCCAGACATGGTGGTGTGCCCTTGTGGTCCCAGCTACTCCAGAGGCTGAGGTGGGAGGATCACTTGAACCCAGAAGGGGAGGAGGTGCTTATAGTGAGCAAAAGGAGCAAAGGTCGTGCCACTGTACTCCAGCTTGGGCGACAGAGTGAGATCACGGCTGGAAAAAAAAAAAGTTAATGACTACCTATCTGAGTTTTCTTTTGACTTTGAGTAGCTTTGCACTTGATTATTGTTTTATAACATCAACTGCTTGGATATGAATATTTTCCTAAGATATGATCCATAGGGTATGATAATTTTCTTAGTTTTTTCATTTAATTCTTGAATATTGAACCATCACTCAAAATCAATGTGAAATCTTAGTGCTTATGTTAGTCTGTTTGGTCTGCTATAATAAAATACCATAAATTGGGTAGCCTATAAACAATGGAAATGTATTGCTCATAGTTCTGAAGGCTAGGAAGTCCAAGGTCAAGGGATCAGCAGACTTAGTATCTCCTGAGGGTCTGATTTCTGGTTCATGAATGGTGCCCTCTATGGTAGGCTCCATTTGTCCTCACATGGTAGAAAGAAACAAGACAGCTCTCTGGGGCCTCTTCTGTAAACACTAATCCCCTTCATCTGGGCTCCACCCTCAAGAACTAACTACCTCCCAAATGTTCCACCCCTAATATCACCATTATGTTGTAGACTAGGTTTCAACATATATAAATTTAGGGAGCATACAAATATTTATACTATAGCACTGCTGCTGCTAATATCCTCCTCTTGTACCTGACTTTAGTGGGAATGCTTCTAGTGTTAAATCATCTAGCATGGTGCTAAATTTTGAATACGTGCACACACACATACGCATCTATAAAATATAGGTAATTGGGCCAGGTGCAGTGGCTCATGCCTGTAATCCCAGCACTTTGGGAGGCTGAGGCAGGCAGATCATGAGGTCAGGAGTTCAAGACCAGCCTGACCAACATGGTGAAACCCCATCTCTACTAAAAATACAATAATCACCCGGTTGTGGTGGCACGTGCCTGTAATCCCAGCTACTCAAGAGGCTGAGGCAGGAGAATCACTTGAACCCAGGAGGTGGAGGTTGCAGTGAGCCAAGATCACGCACTCCAGCCTGGGCGACAGAGCGAGACTCCGTCTCAAAAAAAAAAAAAAAAAAAAATATATATATATATATATATATATAATATATGTATTTAAAATACATGTGAATGCCTTTGAAAATATATATGTAGTGTATGTATTTTGTGGACATATACAAAATTAAAGAATTCACAATTTATTCTTATTTTATCTGAGATAATTTTTTTTTTTTTTTTTTTTTGAGACGGAATCGAGCTCTGTCACCCAGGCTAGAGGGCAGTGGCGTGATTTCAGCTCACTGCAACTTCCGCCTCCCGGGTTCAAGTGATTCTACTGCCTCAGCCCCTTGAGTAGCTGGGATTACAGGCACGTGCCACCACACCCGGCTGATTATTGTATTTTTAGTAGAGACGGGGTTTCACCATGTTGGCCAGGCTGGTATTGAACTCCTGACCTCAAGTGATCCACCCACCTCAGCGTCCCGAAGTGGAAAATGTTGCATTTTTAAAAATATAAAATCTATTTGTTCAAATGAATTATTATTACTATTGTGACTAAGTTTCACTCTGCTGGAGTACAGTGGCGCTATCTCGGCTCACTGCAACTTCTGCCTCCCGAGTTCAAATGATTCTCCTGCCTTGGTCTCCCGAGTAGCTGGGATCACAGGCATGCGTCACCATGCCGGGCTAATTTTCTTTATTTTTAGTAGAGACAGGGTTTCACTATGTTGGCCAGACTGGTCTCAAACTCCTGACCTCAGATGATCCTCCAGCCTCGGCCTCCCAAAGTGCTGGGAATACAGGCGTCAGCCACCACACCCAGCCTACATCACTATTTATACGGTCTGTTTTCTCTTAGTTAGGTTTTGATAGCAATTGTGTGCTAATTTTGTAAAAATAATTTGGGAAATTTGTTTTATTTTCTATGAAATGACTTAAATACAAGTATCACTTCCATAAGACTTTATGTGTGAAATGAATAGGGCCTGGAGATACTCTCAGCATATTAAAAAAATTTTTTTCTTCCGTTTATATTGGTCTATTTAATTATCAGATTGTCAAATGTTTTAGCAGAGACGTATGCCAAAGTTGTGTATTATAGTAATCTATTTTACATAGTAATATAGTCAGTCATGTTTTATGTTTAGTCTTAATTCTGCCATCTTATTTTATGTTTTTACTTCTTTCTTGTTGCCTTTTTTGTTATATAGTCTATATTTTTTGTTTCCCTTTCTCTCTTTCTGTACCGTATTTGTATTTCTGAAAATACAGCTCTTTCTTTCTTTCTTTCTTTTTTTTTTTTTTTGAGACAGAGTCTCGCTCTTTCGCCCAGGATGGAGTGCAGTGGTGCTATCTCGGTTCACTGCATGCTCCGCCTCCCGGGTTCGCACCATTCTCCTGCCTCAGCCTCCCAAGTAGCTGGGACTATAGGCGCCCGCCACGGCGCCTGGCTAATTTTTTGTATTTTTCGTAGAGACGGGGTTTCACCGTGTTAGCCAGGATGGTCTCGATCTCCTGACCTCCTGATCTGCCCGCCTCGGCCTCCCAAAGTGCTGGGATTAGAGGCGTGAGCCACCGCGCCCGGCCAGCTCTTCCATTAATAATTATTTTTTAATGGATTTAAACAATATAATGAGCCTAAAGAAATTTCCAGGCTAAGAAACAAAACAGCATGTATAAATCTCTACTGTGAAGAGAGGTTTATACATGAACCAGCTAGAATGTAAACATCATGACAGAATCGATACTGTCTGTATCATTTACTGCTGTATCCTCAATGTTGGGCACAGAACCTCAGACATAGCAGATATGTGATAAATATAAATTGTTTGGGTAAATAAATTTATGCACTTCACTGACTTTCACTTTTGAACTTTTGACAGCAGTCTTTGAGATTTAGGTACAAGTCCATTACATCAATGTTATATTCTTATGCTTTTCATTACGTTGTTTTCCCTTAAAAAAAAGAATATTTAAGACTCATTTCGTAACTCCAATTGCTATCATGATTTGCCATTATTTATAATTATATGAATTCTGATCTCAGTGCCAGTCTTTCTGTGTACTGTCCTCCGCACTTCCAACCTCTTTCGCATGCCGAGATTATGGTATTATACGAATTTTTCCAGAAAAGTTTTGCAGGTGATATTTTTCTTTTATCTTCTATAGTACTCAGGGTTTCCAGAGAAAGAGAACCAATAGGATATGTGTGCTTGTGTGTGTATGTGTGTAAGATATAGGAAGTAGAAGAACTAGGACCAAAAATAGAAGTTCCAAGGAAGCTGATTGAGCTGGAAGCATGAGTAAGTTTAAAAAACTTGATTTCACTGTCAGTTAGAATGTCCAATTCAATAGGATCTCAAAGCTATATATTTCCAGGGATTACTCAGTGAGTCAGTCTTAAGTCCCTGCTTTGGTTGCCTGTGTTCATTACATTAAACAACATAAGAGGAAGGTCTTTGTACATATGGCACTAAGTAAACTGTAAACCAGAATTCAATTTTGAATTCTAGGAGATTTTTCTGGGATTGAACCATTTAAACAGTGCTAGGTCCCCTCGTTTAACACAAATTTGTGAAGGACTTCCTATATGCCAGGCTGTGTGCTAGCCCTGAGAATACCAAGGTTAATAAGGTTAGCTCCATGACTTTGAGGAGTATTGAATCTATTGGTTCTCTGTTCTCTAACATTGTCACTCTTACTAGAGAACTTCCAAACATTACTAGTAATACAAACTTAGCCAACCAAGGCAACAATAAAAGCAAGATAATTTAATGTCAAAGAAAAAATCCCACTTTAAAAATGTTATCTAGAAAGAGTGAATGTTTTAGTTAAATAAAATAATTATTACTTATGGATTGATTGTTGCTTATTGATTTTACATGCCTAGTTCTTTAACGGTCTAGTGTTACAATTGCTGAACATAACAATTAAACTTGTGACTCTCAAGAAGAGGAATGAGGCTAGGCACAGTGGCTCATGCTTGTAATCTCAGTGTTTTGGAATTATGAAGAAGGAGTGTTGCTTGAGGCCAGGAGTTCAAGACCAGACTGGGCAACATAGAGAGACCCTATCTCAAAACAAACAAACAGACAAACAAAAAACCCAGAAAATAGCTAAGCACGGTGAAGCATGCCTATAATTCTAGCTATTCAAGCAGCTGAGGTGGGAGGATGGCTTGAGCCCAGGAGTTCGTGGTTATGGTGAGCTGTGATAAAACTACTGCACTCTAGGCTGTGCAACAGAGCAAGACCTTGTCTGTAGGGGAAAAAAAGAAGATGGGGGGAACAGATGTCACTTTAATCAATGTACTTCACTTGTAAATTTGGGAGGTAACACTGTTGCCAGTATGGTCTGTTTGTCTAGGAAGGACAAAACACTTTTTTTTTTTAGATGGAGTTTTGCTCTTGTTGCTCAGGCTAGAGTGCAATGGCGCGATTTTGGCTCACCGCAACCTCTGCCTCCCTGGTTCAAGCGATTCTCCTGCCTCAGCCTCCCAAGTAGTTGGGATTACAGGCATGTGCCACCATACTTGGCTAATTTTGTATTTTTAGTAGAGACGGGGTTTCACCATGTTGGTCAGGCTGGTCTCGAACTCTCGACCTCAGGTGATCCACCCACCTCAGCCTCCCAAAGTGCTGGGATTACAGGAGTGAGCCACTGTGTCCGGCTGACAAAATACTTTTAACTACCTCCCTGTATGTAGGAGTTCATTGTATACACATTAATACAAAATGCTTATGGGAAAGAGGATAATAAGTACCCCAAATTTATGAAAATGGTGACATTCCTCTCAGATTTTTCTTTCTAAACTTGAGGAAAGTGGCCAACTATTTTTCTTTTGAAGATTCTCAGATGTTATAGAGTGTGACAACCAGAAGAGTAAAGCCATTTCCTCATTTAGAATCACTATTAAACTCTTATTTCTTTCCTCTTAAAAGCTTTATTGACGCAAACCATAGAGGAAGAACCACAGAGGACATACCTGGGTTTTATTCTTATCCTCACAATGAACAATGGGCAAAATATAACTATTAGATGATGGACATTTAAACTATTATTTACCTGTAAAGATACAGCCTTTCGGGCCGGGCACAGGGGCTCACGCCTGTAATCCCAGCACTTTGCAATGCCGAGGGGGGCAGATCATCTGAGCTCAGGAGTTGGAAATCAGGGTGGCCAACATGGCAAAACCGCATCTCTACTAAAAATACAAAAATTAGCTGGTCGTGGTGGCGGGTGCCTGTAATCCCACCTACCCAGGAGGCAGAGGAACAAGAATCACTTGATCACTTGATCCCGGGAGGCAGAAGGCAGAGGTTGCAGTAAGCTGAGATCGGGCCACTGCATGCCAGCCTGGGCAACCGAGCAAGACTCCCTCTCAAAAAAAAAAAAAAAAAATAGAGATATAGCCTTTCTGTCTGATAACAGGCCGCAAAGCGATCTGACAACATATAACTGAAATGAGCGGTACTAAATCTAAATGATTTCTAAGCATTTAATTAAATTTTATAAAAATTGTATATACTTTTCCATAAACAAAGCCTCATATTTCTTTTTCCAGTCCAAAATAGTTAAAGTTACAAGATCATGCTTTTTGAAGACTGGGACAAAAATTTAAAGCAGCAATACAAATTTGAATATTTTGAACTGTTACCACTTGGGAATTTATAAAAAGCAAACCAATCACTTTTTGATAACATTATTGGCTCTAAAGAAAAATGTAGAATACAATTAAAATATGTTTAAAAGAGTAATGACAACACATAAACAGCACATATCTAAACTATTGGGGTGCAGCCAAAACTATAGCTATTGTAGGTCCTTTACATATAAATTTTAGAATTAGCTCATCAATATCTATAAAGCTATGCCTTTAAATGAGTTTATAATACAAATTAAAAGGGGGAATAAATTAACTAGAAGTTTCAATGAATATTTTTTTAAAAATTATGCGTTTATGTGTATCCTCATTTATAGTTAGTAATTTCATTTTATCGTTGCTTTCTCTATTAAAAAATGCCTGCTGGGATTTTGATTGGAATTATATTGAATTTAATTCACATTTTAACAACATCAAAGAAAAAGGCAGAGTCTTTCTCAAAAGGCTCCAGCTTTTCCTCCAGTCTCAGAAGACTGAATTGGGAATTCTGCTCATCACTGAAGCAATCTCTGCCTAAAGAGATGGAGGCACTCCGGGACCTGGGAAAGGCACACAAACAGCCTCACAAACTTAGGGCTGTAAGGAATGGGGAAGGGTAAAATGAATACTAGGGTGATAACAAACAACAATTCACTGCATAAGACATAAGCATAAGGATAGAGATACTGGGGAAGGGAACTGGCTTGCAAACTTGGAGACTCCTAATTTTTTTTTTTTTTGACAGAGTCTTGCTCTGTCACCCAGGCTGGAGTGCAGTGGTGTGATCTTGGATCACTGATACCTCTACTTCCCAGGCTCAAGCGATTCTCCTGCCTCAGCCTCCTGAGTAACTGGGACTACAGGCGCCTGCCACCATGCCTGGCTAATTTTTGTATTTTTAGTAGCGAGAGGGTGGTTTCACCATGTTGGTCAGGCTGGTCTTGAACTTCTGACCTCAAGTGATCCACTTGCCTCGGCCTCACAAAGTGCCGGGATTATAGATGTGAACCACCATGCCTGGCCAAAGACTCCTAATTGAACATTCATTCATTCAACAACTAGTTATTGAACTCTTACTATGTGTCGTTGACTATTCTAAGTACTATGTTTATGGTAAGGAAGACAGACAAGTCTTTCCTTTGAAGAAATATATAAAAGGAGAGACAGAAAACAAACAAGTAAACAAATGTATATGGCAGTTTCAGACCATGAGGGGAGTGATGATGTGAATAATGCAGGGTGGTATGGAAAACTGCCTGGGAGAGCCACTATGGACAGGGAGCTCAGGGAAGACCACCCTGAGGAGTTACAGTCCATGAGTCTCAAATGATGCACCAGAGCCGGAATCAGAAGGAAGCGCATTCTCAGCACAGTGGCAGCAGGTAGAACAGCATTGAGGGGTAACAAGTTTAACGTATTTCAGAACCTGACAAAGGATTGGTGTGGCTGAAAAATACCATGAGATAAGGTAGGTGAGAGAGGTGGGCAGGAGCCAATCGTACATGGCTTGGTGGACCCTGAATAAGTATTTTACATTTTAATGTAAATATAGTCAGAAGCTATTAGAAGATTGTAAGCAGAGGAGAGATAAGATTTGTTTTATGGTCCAACAATGATAGACTGGATTAAGAAAATGTGGCACATATACACCATGGAATACTATGCAGCCATAAAAAAGGATGAGTTCATGTCCTTTGTAGGGACATGGATGAAATTGGAAATCATCATTCTCAGTAAACTATCACAAGAACAAAAAACCAAACACTGCATATTCTCACTCATAGGTGGGAATTGAACAATGAGAACATATGGACACAGGAAGGGGAACATCACGCTCTGGGGACTGTTGTGGGGTCGGGGGAGGGGGGAGGGATAGCTTTAGGAGATATACCTAATGCTAAATGATGAGTTAATGGGTGCAGCACGCCAGCATGGCACATGTATACATATGTAACTAACCTGCACATTGTGCACATGTACCCTAAAACTTAAAGTATAATAATAATAAAATAAAATTAAATTAAAACAAAACAAAACAAACAAACAAAAATTTTTACCAGGATATTAAAAGAAAAAAAAGGTTTGTTTTGTGTTTTTAAATTATCCCTCTGGCTTTCATATAGAAAGGGAAGAACCAGGCAAGAATAAAAGCAAGGGAACTTGTTATGGAGCTTCTGCACTGGTCCAATCAAGAGATGAAAGTCGTTTGAGATTGAGGAGTTGCAATAAACATGAAGACCACTGGTTTCAAGCGATGTTTTGGTTAGAGAATGCTGGACTTATTGATTAGATGGGTGATATATATTTGGGATTGGGGTGGGACAGTGACTACAGATGGAACTTGAACTGGATCCTGTGCAGAGTCTTGAAATCTGCAGAAACTTTAGGGGATAAAAATAATGAGAGAGCCACCACTAATGAGTATAGAGAAAAACTTCTTAATTAAATGATATTGGAAATCTAGGTTAGTGGTTGTTGGGAGGGGAGACTTCATTTTAAATCCATACCTTAAATGACATGTAGAAATAAATTCCAGGTGACTTTAATGAGAAAAATGAAAAATAAGAATACATACTTGAATATTTATCATATTTTAAAGAGAGTGCTTATTTTCTAAATTTAGAAAAGATGTTTTTATAATTACCAAGGAAAAGATAGACAAATTTGACTGTAAAAATTAGAAAACTTCCATAATTCAAAAAGCCAGAAACCAAAATGAAATAGAACAGTGGAATAAGAAATACTCATAATAAATATTATATGGTAAAGAAGGGAATAATCATGTTATATTAAGTGATAATGAACAAAACTGCTTGTAAGAGAAAATAATACTCATAAAATTATATATAACTTGCTAGTAATTTAAGAATGCAATACAAAAATAGCAAAAACAAACCAGTGAGTAGCTTTTTTGCCTAACAGAAATAAACATTTTTAAAATGACAAAATCTAATGTTGGTGAAGGTATCAACTGTGGTGTCATAAATGGGTTTAATCCTTTGAGAACCAAATTTACCCATGGGAATCAAAGACCACAAAAATATTAATATATTTTACCAAAATCTGAAGTTTGCCTCAGTAACCTCTCAACCCCATTCCCTTCAACACCTCTTCTCCAGCCAATGCAGTAGAAATATCTGTTTTTTTGAAATTCTCTGGGTTTCTAATTTTATCACTTAAATGTAACTATGTATAAGAAATGTATGCAAAATCAGGATAGGAATACCTAACTTTGAGAATTGTTGTGTTGCTTCAGTCCAATAGGTTTTTAAAAATGGCATACTGTTTAAATTTGAATTTAAATTAATTAACGTCAAGTTGAGTATCTTTTCATGTGTTTATTACCATTGCATTTCTTTTTTTAAAAAATCAACTATTTGGGCCCAGCGCAGTGGCTCATGCCTGTAATCCCAGCACTGTGGGAGGCCGAGGCAGGGAGATCACGAGGTCGGGAGTTGGAGACCAGCCTGACCAACATGGTGAAACCCCGTCTCTACTAAAAATACAAAAAAAAAAAAAAAAAAAATTAGCCAGGCGTGGTGGCGGGCGCCTGTAATCTCAGCTACTCGGGAGGCTGAGGCAGGAGAATTGCTTGAACCTGGGAGGCAGAGGTTGCAGTGAGCCGAGATTGCGCCACTGCACTCTAGCCTGGGCAACAGTGTGAGACTCTGTCTCAAAAAAAAAAAAAAAAAAAAAAAAAAAAAAAAAAAAAAAAAAAATCAACTATTTGTAATTTTTAAAGTGGACAAAATCTTATTTTATTATTAATCACTAACAATTTTGTCATTGGACATTAATCATTCATAGTATTCATTAAAACACATTCATTTTGCTTAAAATGAGCCTTCTCAACTCTTATTACAGTTGGTTTCCTAGACCCATAGCTGGAACAAGTCAGTTACTGGGGTGTCAAAGAAATCTTCAAAATTAAGGAGTGCTAAATCCTGATTGACTGGATTTGCTTGCAATGTGATTGGTCCTCACATCTATCAGTAATGCACAGAAGGGAAGGCTGGAGGATTTTTCTTCTGTTTACATATAACATAATTGCTTTTATTTGTTCTCAGACAATCTGTACTTTAGTGGATTTTCCCAGTGAAATGCTCAAATGTTTCACAGAAGTATGGTTGAAAACACTCATATTTATATTGTAAAGTTGACAAATCCTTACAGGCATGAATGAGGTGGGAATTGTTTCCCAGTGCTTCCTTTTTGGCATTCCCTATTTGGCCTGAGAGGTTGTAGATGGGGTCTCATAGTGCCTGGTTTATCTATTAGTCAAGATACCTTTAACTAAGACAGTGGCCCAAGATCCATCTAGAAGAGCCACACTTAGTTGCTTCCCTAATTGTCAAGGAACATGCTAAGAATGGAAATGGGTGCAGGTAAGGATCAAAGTGGGAATGAAGTAAAGCCATCTGGGTCTATTTCTGGGGCCATCTGGGTTGCCTTGTACTTTTCTTCTTGGATATTGGCCAAACGTCTGGAGAGTGATTTGGCTTAGCTGCAGTTAGAGGCAAGGGCTGGGGCAGACACTGCCACCTGGTTTCACATAAAAATATAACATATATCTTTTTAAGGTTTGAATAGAGTGCTAGGAATCTTGTTTTCTGGAGAGGAGCTCTCTCAAGGTCAGTGGCACAGTGTGTATGTTTGTGTACACGCACAGGGAAGAGGAGCGGTGGCAAAAAGCAGTCAGGAAATCTAATTAAGAGGCCAAAATGCAGAGAAAAGAGCACCTATCCATGCTCTATCACTTACTGGGTGACGTGGCCAGTTTTCTAACTTCTCTGTGTCTCAGTTTATCTGTAGAGATAATAATTCCTACTTTATAAGGTTGTTGTGAAGATTAAATGAGCTAACTCCTGAGAAGGAACCTAACACATAGTAAGTCATCGATAAATGTTAGCATCGCTGGGATTGCCATCTTTAAGAAGGTCTCTGAGGTCCATCTGGGATAGACTTTTTTTCTCTTAATTGAAATTCCTGAAGGTGGGTGTTCTCAGTTCTACGAACTTTCTTCAGCCAGACTGTTTTCCCAAAGCAAAAAGTAAATGCAGTTCACCTCATTTTTTCTTTCTCAAATATGGGGTTACACTTTATTTTGTGTTCTCCAGCTTTGTAAAACCCAGAGATCAGGTCACAGGGGTGAGATAGGCAATGAAGAGACACAACTGGTAAAATTCAAATGGATTATTTCTTCCCCCTTGGAAAAAAAAGAAGAAAAGTGCCCTCATTTTAACTTTTCTTTTATAAGATTGGTGGTGTCAGAACTGGAGGGGTAGTGCACCCTTTAGGGACTTTGGAGGAATGTGTTGTTGGTATTCAATATTTGGAAAGAGGAAGAGAAATGACACTGGGAATTAGAAGATACAGTGGGTCTTGGCACTGGGTTTTCTTGATTATAAGAGTAACCTCTCTTCATGGCTAAAAGAAAAAAAACCATTGTCTGAGTTTCAGTTCCTTCAAAAGACAAAGACAAATGCAAATCATTTATTTGGGATATGATGGTACCATTGGAAGGGAAGTGAGGGAATAGGACATGAAGTACAGGCAGCCAGTAAGGTTTGTACAATCAAGCAGTTACTACTGTGGTTAAGTAAAGCTCTGAAAGAAAGTGTAGGGCCTGGGCTGCAGAGCTATTGTATTGGAAGGGAGAAAGAACTGGGGTATTTATACACCAGCTGTCATCAGTCATTTGTTCAGGGATGCAACCAGTGAGCATTGTATTCCTGTCATTTCTGCCAGCTCTGTGGTTGGCAGTGTGGGCTCCAGCAGCAAGAAGTCCTCAGGCAAAGAAATGCAGGGGCTGGTAAGTGGAACTTGGGCCAGTGTGCACTGAAGTGGAGAGAGAGAGAAAGGCAAAATACATTGTATTCCCGATAAAGAGTAGCAAGCAAAATTACCTTTTATCCCACAACACACTGGTAACACTGTGCTACCAGAGATAAACACTGGTAACATGTACTATAAATGTATTTCCTTCCAGTCTTTTTTCTTTTAATATGCCTATCTGGTTCTATTCTACTATTCTCTCTACAGCTTTCTATACATTCTTAGACATATTTTCGCAGATATGAATTAGAACCTAGCAGTGGTCTACCTGTAAAGTGGTAGGCCAGAATTTTCCTGGGGATTGAGAAATTGACTGGAAAAATCAGAATTACTCATTTATAGCCCAGGTCCATGGAGAAGAGTGGAGGTGGAACCAGGCAAGGAGGCAGGCAGCAGAAGACAGAGATGAAGAAGCCAGAGCCAGGGAAGACTGGCTGGAAAAAATTCTAACACATAACAGGAATAAACTCCACAGTTCCCTTTTCTTTGGTAGTTGTTTGGAAAAATCAGAAAGATCTACTAACCTCTGAATTATGGTGCAGTTTCTCCTTAGCTTGCTCACAAAATATAAAATCCCGATTGTGAGATGGTTTGGGGCAGTCAAAAAATTCTTGACTTAATAAAAGGACACCATCTTTACATTCATCAGGCAGGAAATGGAGGAGACCTCTCTAGGGTGGGTTAGGGTTAATAGTGAGTTCCAAGCCCAAGGTGTGGAACCAAATTTTTGAGGTCATCTTTTCAACCTCATGCTCCCACAGCCTTAAGAATGCTGGCTAGGCTGGGCACAGTGACTCATGCCTGTAATCCTAGCACTTTGGGAGGCTGAGGCAGGAGAATTTCTTGAGCTCAGGAGTTTGAGACCAGCCTGGGCAACATAGCAAAACCACATCTCTATAAAAAAGTACAAAAATTAGCTGGGCATGGTTGTGTGTACCTGTAGACCCAGCTACTTGGGGGGCTGAGGCAGGAGAATCACTTGAGCCCAGGAAGGTGAGGCTGCAGTGAGCCGTGTCCTTTCCATTGTCCTTTCCAGCCTGGGTGACAAAGTGAGACCCTGTCTCAAAAAAGAAAAAAAAAAAAAAAAGAATTCTGGCTAAATAGTAGATGGGTTTGCAGTTATTTTTTGTCTTTTTTTTAGGGGGGGACTGGACTAATTATTAAGTTAGAAGATCATGCAGTGTACCTCCAAAGGAAAAGGGTAAAGAGGCCAGTAGCATAGCAATTCACTTCAGTTTGAGTCTCACTTTGGAAATGATGACCCAATGAGAAAGACACGTTTAAGCTTTAAGAAATTTTGGGAACTAGTAGGCAAAATTTAATGAGAATGAGGATATTCACAGAGCCTAAATGTATCTCCACATAAGATATTTATTAATGGTAAGTATAACAAAGGCAACTTTACAGTAGAAAAACCTAGCTGACACTACCTCTTATCTAAGTCCTCAAAGTTAACAACATCAATCATGGGGAAAATAGATGTACATTCTGATATGATGCAGTGAGAAAGACAACACCACTTCTGTGGAATTCTGCCAAAACCACAAAAAGTGAAGCTAATCATGAAGAATCACTTGTCAAATCCAAATGCAGGGACATTCTACAAAATAAATAGCCTGCACTTTTTGAAAAATGTCAAGGTCATAAAAGACAAGGATGATTGAGCAACTGTTTCAGACTGAAGGAGACTAAAAAGATACGGCAACTAAATCCAAGTTTTGATCCTGGACCATGTTTTATTTTTGTTACTTTTGAAATAAAGGGTATTAGTGAGACCATTGGGAAGATTTAAATAAGGTTTGTAGATTAGATAATCATATTTTATAAGTGTTAATTTTGCAATTTTGATAATTGTGCTGTGGTTATATTATACATAAATATTCTCAGTTTTAGGAATACACACTGACTTATTCAGGGTAAAAGAGCATAATTTCTGTGTATGTCTTCTATGGTCTGGAGCACTGGCTTAGCATCCCAGCACTCTACAATCTTAACATATGAGTAATATAAAGTAAAAAATAAATGCAGCCAATGAAGTCCTATGTGCACTATGATTCATTTTGCAAAACATACACAAATATGCACATTTGCACGTGCATGTGTGCACATGCACACACTTATGAAGGAAACCAGGAATGAAATATACAAAAATGTTAGCAGGCTAGGTAGTGGAGTAAGGAGCGATATTTGTTTTTTCTTTATATTTTTCTGTGCTTTCTAAGTTAGTTACAATGAACTTAGTTGTAACTGTAAATGAGCATTGATTCTAAATTCTAAATGAGTTGATTTTCCATGAGCATTTGGAATCAAACATAAATTATTTAGAAATACATTAGTGGAACTACTATACAAAAATAATGAATGAAATGCACACTTACTTTTGATCCCTCTAGAAAACTTACTTAAAGGAGAATAAATGAATTTTGTTTTTTTTTGAGATGGACTGTCACTCTGTCGCTCAGGCTGGAATACAGTGGCACGATCTTGGTTCACTGCAAGCTCCGCCTCCCGGGTTCACGCCATAAAGGAGAGTAAATGAATTATTTTTAAGGATATAAACATATGAGGTCAAATAGAATAGGAATGGAAAGCTGAGAGTCCACCAAAGTTATACCACTGAACTCCAAAGGCTCAGAAATTGATTGTGCCAACTACCTGTATGATGAGAGGAGGGGGAAACAGGGCCTAAAAGTGGGAAAATTGGTTGAAAGTAAGGTTGTAAATGCATTAGTCCATTTTCATGCTGCTGATAAAGACATACACGTGACTAGGCAATTTACAAAAGAAAGAGGTTCAATTGGACTTACAGTTCACGTGGCTGGGGAGGCCTCATAATCATGGCATGAAGGCAAGGAAGAGCAAGTCATGTCTTAACGTGGATGGCAGCAGGCAAAGAAATATTTTGCAGGGGACTCCTCTTTTTAAAACCATCAAATCTTAAAACCATCAAATCTTATGAGACTTATTCACTATTGGAGAATAGCATGGGAAAGACTTGCCCCCACGATTTAATTACCTCCCAGTGGGTCCCTCCCCAAACATGCGGGAATTCAAGATGAGATTTGGGTGGGGACACAGCCAAAACATATCAATAAATAGGTGAGAGTCTCTGATGCCCCCTCTACTCCTTGCACTAGGTGACAGTTCCTCTCCAACCCAGCCAGAAGAGGGATGGTTCCCTCATCAGACACATTCTCTGGACTGGGGATGCCAGATAGAAGGAGGAAGAAGTGAATGCTTATATTCTGAATTTTGAGAATGCCGGTCTTTTTCTTCTATCTTATTCCAGAGACTTGCAGTCAGGCCCATGTCCATGAGGCAGGAGATTTGTCACCCCTTCTCTGAGGAATCAGACTACATCAAATATTAGGATAGAAATGCTAAAAGTTTTGATGTCAGGGGTTCTCCCTATAAAACATTCCAGGCCTGTAACTCTACAGTGATCCTTGTAATACATACACCCTGCCAGCTGACTTGAGCCTTACAATCAACTATTGTTTGGTCCCTAACTTCTGAATATAAGATAACCAAAAATCACCATTCACATGTACCATAAAACATGGAGACTAAAACTTTCAAGAAGACAAAAGCAACTTGAAGGAAACATAGAAGGAAAAAAACAGAACAGCAACAACAACATAGCCACAACTCAACTATCATCTATATCCTCTGAAAGATATCATAAATCCGTGAAACAACAGGATGATGCTATAAAATTGGAGTATTGTAATATGCAGAAAAGGAGTTTGAATTCTTAGAATTTAAAAACACTAGTGGCAAGGAAGCAAAGAAGGCTTGGAGGCCGGGTGCGGTGGCTCACGCCTGTAATCCCAGCACTTTGGGAGGCCGAGGCGGGTGGATCACAAGGTCAGGAGATCGAGACCATCCTGGCTAACAAGGTGAAACCCCGTCTCTACTAAAAATACAAAAAATTAGCCGGGCGCGGTGGCGGGCGCCTGTAGTCCCAGCTACTCGGGAGGCTGAGGCAGGAGAATGGCGTGAACCCGGGAAGCGGAGCTTGCAGTGAGCTGAGATTGCGCCACTGCAGTCCACAGTCCGGCCTGGGCGACAGAGCGAGACTCCGTCTAAAAAAAAAAAAAAAAAAAAAGAAGGCTTGGAATGTAAAGCTGAGACACTTTCTCAAAATTTGGACAAAAACGAACATATAGAAAAAAGAAGATAAGATACAAAATTGGAGGACCAGTCCAGGTGGTCCATTTGAATATCATTTGAATTTTAGGAAGAGAAAGTAGAGAAACTGAAGAGAGACCACCAATGGAATAATTCAAGAGAAGTTTCCAGAATTGTAGGACATGGTTTCCTAGGCCAAAAGGACCCGTTGAGAGCCCAGTACAACGTATAAAATAGACCCATATGAAAGCACATCTTTGGGCACTTTCAGAACACAGGAGTCAAAGATAAGATCCTGAATGCTTCCAGAAACAAATACAAATCACAAACATAGGATCTGAAATCAGAATTTCTTTAGACTTCTCAATAACACTACTGGAAGCTAGGCAGGATTAGAGCAATGCTTTCAACATTGTGAAGGAAATTTATTTCCACTCTAGGATTCCATACCCAGTGAAATTATGACTTAAGTAGGAATGTCAATTAAAGATTTTTCAAATATGTATGCTCTCGAGAAACATATGCCCCATGTACTTTTTTCTCAGAAAGCCACTGGAGGATGTGGGTTAGCAAAACAAAAAAGTAAACAGAAAAAAATGCATGTCATAGGTTTCAGAAAACAGAGGATCCAACACAGAAAAGAGGCAAAGTGAAACCCAAGATGGTGATGAAGAAAGCAGAGGAAATGCTACATGAGGCAAGATGGCAACCAGTTTATTGTGAACTGGGTCAGAAAACTCCAGGGGAGATTCCTGTGAGAAAATAGAAGTAATACAATACTTGCTGTATCTGAATGTCTTATGAGGAAATTTAGACACCTGGAAGAGAGATAGGGGTTGAATTGGAGGAAAACAAAAACTTAGGCAGAAAAGAAAAATTTGTCACAATGTACTGCATGGCCCAGCAGTGAACTTCAAATACTGAGGTAACCAGGCAGGGTGCGGTGGCTCACGCCTGTAATCCCAGCACTTTGGGAGGCCGAGGCAGGCAGATCACTTGAGGTTAGGAGTTCGAGACCAGCCTGGCCAACATGGTGAAACCTTATCTCTACTAAAAATACAAAAGCTAGCTGGGCATGGTGGCGCACACCTATAATCCCAGCTACTCGAGAGGCTGAGGGCAGGAGAATGGCTTGAGCCCAGGAGGCGGAGGTTGCAGTGAGCTGAGAGTGTGCCATTGCACTCCAGCCTGGACAACAGAGCGATACTCTGCCTCAAAAAAAAACCAAAAACCAAAAACCAAAAAACAAATATGGGAGTAACCAAAATTATGACATTGAGAGGCTGAGGACATGGTGGTGAGTGGGGGGTGGGGTGGTTGGGGAGGGTAGGGTGGGTCAGACTAGGAAAATCAAGAATAGTTATTTCAAGATATGAACCTGGGAGGCAGAGGTTGCAGTGTGCCGAGATCGCAGCACTGCACTCCAGTCTGGGCGACAGAGAAAGATTCCATCTTAAAATAAAATAAAATAAGAACCCAAATATTAAAGTTTAAAAAGTCAGGGATAAGAAATATTGAGGTGGCATTAATATTTTCCTCTTGTACTCCAGTGTATCATATTTTACATAAAAGTCCTGGACCCAGGGTCTCATACTTCTTGGGAGGCAACTGGATTGATTGATTGATTGATTGATTGATTGTACTTTAAGTTCTGGGTTACATGTGCAGAATGTGCAGTTTTGTTACATATGTATACACGTGCCATGGTGATTTGCTGCACCCATCAACCCATCACCTACATTAGATATTTCTCCTAATGTTATCCCTCCCCTAGCCCCCCACCCCCTACAGGCCCCCTTGTGTGATGTTCCTTTCCCTGTGTCCATGTGTTCTTATTGTTCAACTCCCATTTATGAGTGAGAACATGTGGTGTTTGGTTTTCTGATTTTGTGATAATTTGCTGAGAATGATGGTTTCCAGCTTCATCCATGTCCCTGCAAAGGACGTGAACTCATCCTCTTTTTATGGCTACTTAGTATTCCATGGTGTATATGTGCCACACTTTCTTAAGGGAGGCAACTAGTTTAAGCCAATTGCAGTCATTCCATTCCTCTTGTTAGAGATTGCTATAGGTCGGGGCATGTGAAGCAGCTCTGCCTTTCAAGATGTTAAGAAAAGGCTTATTGAGAATTTCTGAGAAGTTTTTCCTGGCTATAAAGACGGACACAAGACAGGTACTTTTCCCTTCTTGTCTTTAGCTGTTTTCAAATGTGGACATGATGCTTGACCCTGCAGTGGCTTTCTTATGACCATGAGAAGAGAAAACTGGAGGATCACAGAGAAACAGTAAGAGCACTGACATTGTTGAACTGCTGAATTAACCAAACCTGGAATTTCTCCTTCCAGTCTCTCTTTTGTATGAGGTTTAAGGGCATTAAATGGAACTTTTTCTTCTTCAGTTTCAGTTATGGCATGAAAACAATATTCAAAGCAGGTGGCGAAGATCTGATTATAAGTTCTTGAACCCCTTACATATCATGGATATATAGGGTTAGTGAAATATATTTCCTAAAGAGAACGGGTAAATATTGCTTCCTCCTTTACCTCTAGTCAATATAAAGGGTCTTTAAGAAGATCTAGGCACGTGTCCCCTGCAGCGAGGGGAACAGAGGGCCAGTGGCTGCTCCTGATAGGACAATTGAAAATGTGAGAGATGAGCCCCACAGTAGAGGTGGTCAGAGTTGGCATGGGCCTGCAGTCGCAGAGATTTTGGGGCAAAAGGAAGAATGAGACTCTCCCAAGTGCTATGGTCTGAATGTCTGTGACCCTCTAAAATTCATATGTTAAAACCTAACCCCCCAAGGTGATGGTATTAAGAAGTAGGGCCTTTGGAAGGTGATTACATCATGAGAGCAAAACCCATGTGGATAGGATGAATACCCTTTTAAAAGAAGCCTGAGGGAAGTTGTTTTTCCTCTTCTACAGGGGATGGAGGGGGATGCATCATGAAAAAGCCATCTATGAGGAACAGGCCTTCAGCAGATGCTGAATCGGCTGGCAAAGTGATCTTGGACTTTCTAGACTCCAGAAGTGTGAGCAATAAACTCCTACTGTTTATAAGCCACCTATTTTTTAAAAAATTATTTTTTTATTAAAAATTTTTTTTGTGGAGATGGGGTCTCACATGTTGCCCAGGTTGGTAATGAACTCCTAGCCTCAAGTGAGTCTCCCATCTTGGCTCCCCAAAGTGCTGGGATTACAGGCATTAGCCACCATTCCCAGCCCCAAGCCACCGAGTTTATGGTACTTTCTTATAGCAGTCTGAATGGACTGAAACACCAAAGATTAGATGTGGGTTATACAAGAGAGAGAGAAAGAGATAGGGAGTGGCAGTGGGACGGGGTGAGCTATAGGTGATAATCTGGAGTCTGGGGCCATTCTAAATGTGTCCAAGTGAGGGCCATCTGGAAGGGCAGTGGGACCACAACTGAGAGAGACCGTGAGGAATGGCTGATGAAAAATTCTGAAGCAGAGAAAAATGGTCAGAGGGAGAGGAAAATGCTTCACCTACATCATAGGAAGTGCCTGTTTTCATTGGTGGTTTCTGAATAAACTATGAAAATCCCCAAGAAGAAGACTCACTTTTCATCGATGGTCAGATCTCATGTAATCATGTGAGAGTAACAGTCACAGTGCCAGTCAAGTAAGAATTATTCTCTTTTCCTTTACCATCTTCTCTCCCAGCTGCTCAGGCTGGTTTGGCCCTGAAGAAAGTCAACAAGCATGACCAGTAGGATTAAGAAGGAGGGACGGAGATGAAAGAGGAGGAAGGACAGCAGTTTGTGCCCTTTCTCCAGCTTCCTGCCTTCAGAAGCCCCCAGCATTAGGAAGGGAGAATGTCGTAACTTAAAATCGTATTCAAAGCTGTGATTATTATCTAGGGTGGGAAATGTTTAATTATGAAGCTTGAACAAGTTTTCAAACTTAAATGACTCTAAATCATTTATCTATCATCTATGTATGTATGTATGTATTTATGTATCTATCTATCTACTACCTATTAATTTAGCCTAAGAGTTGTTAGAAATATCATGAGTGCCTGAGTGTCTGAGTTTTCATCCAGTGGCATGAACAAAAGTTTCCATATTGAATACATCTTAATAAGAGACTAAAATGCCTTTAAATAAAGGTACTGTCTAATTACACACCTTACGGTCTCATTGCTCAACATACTGGTTATTTATTTTATACCACAGTTAGTTGGAGTTCTGTGGCTAACAGCTAGAAGCATCCTAATTAATATGTTGGTTTTCCCATGGGGTTACCACATAATAAAGAAATAATATTATAGTCCACACTATTGTATTTTAAGCTGTAACGTTTTATTAGATTATTATTTATTGATAAGTATTACTTAATGATAATTGAGTCATGTCAGGAAAACAGAGTTACAAAGTTATCAAGTATTTTAATCTTAATAACGCCAAAAAGGAAGTAATAGGATACATAGGAAGTATAAAATGCTTTAATGCCTTAAGAAAGAAGGATATGAGCTATATGAAGACAATTCTTCCTAACAGGATTGTACATGTATATTGTATTGTCCACATTCATACTACATATTTTATTTCTGTGTCATTGCTAGTTTTGAAGGATTTATAATTGACAGATGGTACCAAATGCAGCTTTCTCCCCTTTGCCTATTGTGAAGAGGAGACCTTTGCCAAAATTTCACAATATGAAAATTGCTCCTGTTTCCTAAAGGGCAAAAATGAATCACTTTCTTTTTGGATTAGAAACAAGTTCAGGATGGCACAGAAATACATTGACATGAACTACTTGCCGGAGTGCTGACATCCAATGCTGTATATATTTTTGGGAGAAGATTTCTGGCTTTTCACCATAGAATCACTGGTTACCAATGTGTTAAAATTGGAGTCAAGGCACTTTAGGTCTTCTTACATGGAGTTAAGAAAATTTAAAGCAATTTTGTAAATGAAGAATTTCACAATGCATGTCTATTATTGCTCTTTCATTCCCAATCTAATCATTGTTAAAGTGTTCTAAGTTTCTTCTACAGTAGTCGAAGAAAGGAATAACTTGGTTTGAAAGGGAATATCAAAACACTAGCTCAGTTTCTTTTCATCTAAATTCTAATTGTCTTTTAAGACCCATACAAAGTACCACTTCTTCCAGAATTTTTTACTTTTAGCAATGCATACTGCTTTGGTATTTGACTTTTATTTTCTTTCTAATTAATTTTGTTCTCTGTTTAATTTATGTAGCATTGCCTTCTCAACGTGTTTGTGTGTATTACAATTTAGACATAGCTATTTATGATAGAGATAGGGTATCATAAATATATCTGTGTCTAAATTATGATAGACATCCTCATAACTAGTACCATATCACATCAGGCATATTTTAAGTCTTCCGTGAAGTTTAATGTGGTGGTGCGCACCTGTAGTCCCAGCTACTTAGGAGGCTGAAGTGGGAGGATAGCTAGAGCCCAGGAGTTGGAGGCCACAGTAAACTATGATTGTGCCATTGCACTTTAGCCTGGGCCACAGGGTGAGATCCTGCCTCTGAAAAAAAAAAAAAGAAGACCTCAGTAAGCCCTGATTTTGAAAGTAATCCATTTTCTAGGGAATCAGTTCTGATGAGGAAATGTTATTAATTCAATAACCATGCTAATGAAATAGTTCATAAGATAGTCATGAGCTACCATTTTTTTTTTGCCCTCAAATTCTGCTAAAAGCTCTCATTGTCTCCCTGTCTGTCTCAATCATGCTGCCTTTCAATCAATCCTCCACACTGAAGCCAGCATTTGTTTTTAAACCAGCAAACTTGATTACGCCACTCCTCTGACTCAAACCTTCCAGTGGCATCTCATGATCTTCAGTATAAAAATCAGAGTGTTTGGCTGCCCCCTAAGGCCCTGTTCTCTGACTCATTTCTTTCTCCAGCAAACACTTCAGCCTTGCTGTGGCATCCTTCTTCAGTGGCTATATAGGCATTTACTCTGCCTAGCTGACCTGTCCCTCCCTGTTTTGGGGCTGAATTTTGTCCCACCCTGCCACCCAATTCATTTGTTTAAGTCCTAACCCCCAGTACTTCAGAATGTGACTATATTTGGAAATAGTGTCATTGTAGATGTAAATAGTTAAGATGAGGTCACACCAAAGTATCACAGGCCTCTAATTCAATGTGACTGGTGTCCTTATAAAAATGAGAAGTTTGGACACCAGGGTAAGCACACGGAAGACTGCCATGTGAAGACTGGAGTTATGCTGCCATAAGCTAAGGAACTACCAGGAACTAGGAGAAAGCTCTGGGACAGATTCTTCCCTAGAGCCTATAGAGAGAACATGGTGATGCTGATACCTCTATTTTGGAATTCTGGCACCCAGCATTGTCAGACAATACATTTCTATTGCCCTGAGCTACCCAGTTTGTGGTACTTTGTTATAGCAGCCCTAGGAAATTAATATGCCCTCCTTCCACTTGATTAACTTCTACTTGTTGTTCAATAGTTGGCTCAAATATCATCTTTTAGGAAGCCTTTCCTGCCATCTCCAGACACCCTGGGGTCCCCTCTGTTTCTCTCTTTATATGTCTTGCGTTTTGCCCACTGGTTTCTTTGTTTGTGTCTCAACATGATCTGTGTCTTGTTCATCTCTTTATCCACAGACCCTTGCATAATTGTCTCAATACACGTTATTGACTTTAGTAACATCTCTATGGAGAAACTCGTAGGAATACGGTAACATTTATTTTATAAAGGGAGATCCAGAGGTATAAAAAGCTGGAGTGAAAGTAAATTAATCAAGGTCATTTGACATCTCTATGGCACAGCCAAGAGCAATCATCTACATCTGGAGTTTAAAAATCAGGAGATTTTGGAGACTTCTAAAACCTCTCTTTGCAGATGTGAAAGCTGAGATCCATTCTGTTAGATATAAATGGCTCCTTATCTGCATAGAAGAGTCCAGGATAAAAAGGAGTTCATTCCTGAGGATGCATATGAAACTATTAATAATGTTAGGAAATTCTGAGAAATTTAAATGAAGACTCAGAATGTAGACTTATCCCCTAATGTAAATTCTTTATTATTTGTTCCTTAGAAACCCAAAGAAGTGTGGCTAAACATCATTTAGAATGACTGTTAACATGCTATTTTTCTCAGCTTTCACTGGTCAGAATTTAGTTAACAACTTTATAAGACAGTAGAAAGCTCAAATGGTCATTTTAAAGTTGCAACTAGAATTTAAGAATCTAATTGGTCCAATTTAAGGCTTTTTTGATGATAATACTAATATTGATAATAATATGAATCAGAATTCTAATGTCTCTTAATACAAATTAGTAAAGACTCTGGCTTTCACTGGGTACCTAAGAATTTTCTGCTTTTGGTCTGTTGGCCTCAGGAAATTCACTATGGATCTCGTTGAAAAACAAAATGGAGAAGAGTAGAGGATCACATTTGTGTCATAAGCAAATCCTTTATAAATCATCAAGAGACTGCATAGATGGCCACAAAGAGATTTTGTAAAGGGTTTTATACAACTAAAATCAATTCATCCACTTTATCTGTTTTGAACATACTAGGGATGCAACTAGAGATGTCACTAAGAGTTAGAGCTGCTTGGAAACTTTAAGGTGTCAATTGACCATATTTTTAGGTGCAGAAATGTTACATGGACACACCACAGATTCACCAGTGATTTACTTTTTTAAATCTCCAACAAATGGACCCAGGAATCTACAAGGGAATAAAAATATCATGAGAGCAAAGCTGAGTTGAAGCAGGGTAACTCAAAATCAATATTTTGCTTTTAAACTCTTAAGGGGAGACCCAGGAGGGCTGCACTCACTTTGTCCTCCTTACTTATTATCCTCAGAGGATGGGGTAAAAAGTGACAAGCCTGCTCCATACTTCAGGCAGGACATTCTTCACTAACAAGCCACTTGTTAGAATTCTGAGCTTCAATTTCCTGACGAGTGGCTTTTTAATAGCTATGCTATCAGTTGCTGGTTAAAAAAAAATCACACTTACTTTCTATATCATATAGGTGGCATTTTGTATTTTGGGAGTAGGCAAAGAACAGTCAGCAGCAAACGTGATGGGAAAAGGGGGATCATCTTGTTAAGCTACACCTGTGTAATAAAGGCAGTGGAAACACCACCCAACAGCTTGACTGAGTTTTTTGCTAGGAATTAGAATTCCCTGTTATTTAAATCAAACGATTTTCTGTCCTTGTACACTGAGAAGCAAATACTTTACATTTTCATTACTTTGCTGGTGCTTTCGATTGAGTCAAACAGTAAATTGAGGAGGCAGAGGATTTTCTTTAAGGGACAACCTGGGAATAGGTTTTATTCCAAGTAGATGACATTTTTAAATTTTTCTCCTTAAAGAGCCTAGTTTTAAAAACAAAACCAGGCCGGGCGCGGTGGCTCATGCTTGTAATTCCAGCACTTTGGGAGGCCGAGACGGGTGGATCACTTGAGGTCAGGAGTTCCAGACCAGCCTGACCGACATGGAGAAACCCCATCTCTATTAAAAATACAAAATTAGCAGGGTGTGGTGGCACATGCCTATAATCCCAGCTACTCAGGAGGCTGAGGCAGGAGACTTGCTTGACGGGAGGCAGAGGTTGTGGTGAGCTGAGATCGCGCCATTGCACTCCAGCCTGGGCGACAAGAGTGGAGCTCCATCTCAAACAACAACAACAACAACAACAACAACAACAACAACAAAACAAAACCAAAGCCATGTTAGCTAACTTCTGAACTATTTAGAAATCAAAGCTGCAGGTCTTGACTTGGTGTGAAATGTCCCCCGAACACCTAACTCCTCGACCCATTGCCTTGCATGTAGTGCTTGCTCCATATGGACTTAGCAATTTTCTTCACCAAAATGGTAGGAACAGATGAACTCACTGGCTCAAATTTTCCTATTTTCAAGAAGCATGGAGCAAAATGGGTAAAGAACAGATCAAAGTAAATTTATTTACATATAATGAGATTTCGCTGTGTAGCAGTCAGAGTCCAAGCAGGAAAACAGAAACTATAACAGTTATGCTAATGGAGAGAATTTAATATGTGGAATTAGTTTTACAGATTTGTGCAACTGAAAAAAAGCGGAAAGTAATAGTTGAGGTAATGCAATGATTGTAACTCCAAAAAGCAGCCGTGACCCGTCAGACTGAGGAAACAAAGAGATGTGGTTAGGGTTATTTATTGGAACATGGAAACTTGAAAGAGAGGCCCTGTGATATTGAAACCTGGATCTTTGTGAGACAGTGGATATGCTGACAGAAAAGAGGGCAAACAGGAAGGAAGCACTCTCACCCCTACCCCTTACACTCCCACCTTCCAGTCTTTCGGTGTCTATCATATTGGCAGAACCTAACAGGCAGCCAACCTGGAAAGAAGAAAGGAAATCTCAGGATCTCTAGGCCCAGCGTCACAAAACATAGTTTAGAGTAGTAGGTTTTAACTAAAGGACAATTGCTTAATAACTGGCCACTTCAATCCTAGCATCTAATCCAACAGGATAGACATATTATGCTGCAATAAACAACTCCTGGACCTCGATGGCCTCAGACAACAAAGGCTTACTTTGCAGTGACACTTCTCATTCATAACTCATGGGCACAGGCCAATGCAGCAGCCACCGCCTGAATCATTGGTGGTTTTGATGGCAGAGGTAAAGTGAGCAGTACTGTGTTGTGCGCTGGTTCTTAAAGCTTCTGCTCAGAAGTGACACGTGTCACTTCTGTTCAGATTTCTTTGGGCAAAAGAAGTCATATGGACATTTCAGATACCATGATTGAGGGGAAGTGCAGTCCTACTACTTAGAAGGACCAGAAATATTCGGTTGATAGGGGAAATCGATATGATTAGGCAAATTTTAATAACAGAAACTTTTGTGTAGTTGACTTATAAGATTGAAAAAGCAAGTCAAGCAGTAAGATACTTCTTTTGCGTATAAGGACCATGTAAGGTAAATTTTCAGATGTAATAGAAATGAAAACATACAAGTTTTGTATTGAAATGAAGGTAACTTAAAACCTTTTAAAACCGTTTCTAAATCTAGAAAATTACTAAACTACAAAGAGTTACAGCAATAGTTTTTAAAGTACATTCAATTACTTTGCCCTCAACGTAAAACCTTTTTACTCTCAAGCGTGTAAAGCAATTTTTTCTTTTCTTTCTTTTTTCCCCAACTTTTAAACAAACTGAAATCTATTAGCACACTATTGGAAAAATGAATTCAAATGTATTTATTGGTTTGAGTGTGAGATAAAAATAATTTGGAGACAGCAGATCTAGAAAAAACATAAACAAGTAAAAAAACCTCTATTCTGTAAACTTCATGTGGGCAGGAAACAGATATCTAATTCACTGTGTTACAGGCAGCCTCTTGTTCAGTGTGTGGCACATGGCACATAGTAGATAGTCAATAACATTTGCTCTGAGACAGTGTCATAAACGTTATGAGCATGAAGCTTCCAAGGTATCGTGGAAGTCCACAGGAGCACCCAAAGCTGATCTGTATGGGTAGAGGAGAATCCTAGAGGGACTGGGAAGAGGAGGAGGTAAGTAGGTGGCCACAGCTGTAGGAGAAGGAAAAGCCACCTGGAATTTTCCTGATACGTGCACTGAAAGGACACTAGGCTGTTGGGATGGGGCAGGAATGGGGAAAAGGAAGGGTAAGCTGGGCCATGGTCAGTGACACACTCAGGATTTTAATTGCTTTCTGAGTTAGCCAGCAATTTATATTTTACTGAGGAACAATTTATTTAACAGAAAAGCTAAGTAGTATTCACCACTACATACTGCTAAGATGTGCATAAAGATAAAAATATTTCAAGACTGGATTGTTGAGTGAAACGCAGGAATAGAAAAATCACGTGGGAATTTTTAAAATGGCTAAAGTCCATCTATGGCATCGAAGTGTATGTATAATCCACAATCAACATATGTAGAGGGATTGTGTAAGAATTTAAAGAAACTAACGCATTTTTCTATTTATTTTATTTTTTGAGACAGAGTATCACTCTGTCACCTAGGCTGGAGTGCAGTGGTGTGATTACGGCTCACTGCAGCGTCAACCTCCCCAGGCTCAGGTCATCCTCCTACCTCAGCTTCACGAGGAGCTGGGACTACAGACACGCACCATCATGTCTGGCTAATTTTTGCATTTTTTGTAGAGATGGCATTTCACTATGTTGTTCAGGCTAGTCTCAAACTCCTAGGCTCAAGTGATCCTCCCGCCTTGGCCTTCCAAAGTGCCGGAATTGCAGATGTGAACCACCATGCCTGGCCCAATTTATTTTAAATTACTATATAATACAAATGGATTCATTTTCTAAAACTATAAACAGTACAGACAAACTAAAGTTCTTTAGCCACCCCACATTGAAATTCCATTATAATATAAACATTGTTATGAGTCATTTATCTCTCTAGGTTTTTCTATGCATTTGTAAACATACAAGTAAACTTACAGAAAAATAGAGTTACAATGTGTTTTTTTCAAACATAAGTTACATCCCACTTGTTTTTTCTCTTCAAGTTACTCTTTTCCCATTTAACATCATGTCTTGGAGAATGTTTCATGTTAGCAGTCTAGATCTGTTTTAATCTTTTAAATTGTGAAATATGAGTGTGACATCATGTATTCCATTCTTCCACTGTTAGAAATCGAAGTTGTTTCTAGTATTTAGCTATTACAAACAATGTTAAAATGAACAAACTTCTGCGCTTAAAGAATTTACATTCCAATTGGGAAAGAGACAATAAAAAAAATGAAAAGTTTTTTTAAAAAAGGATATTAGAAAATTGCAAGTTTTCAGAAAATAATAGATGTGAAATGTCAGATTTTGTGTGCAGGGTGTGTAGTTACATTTTAGGTAAGGAAAAGTTTGCTTGAGAAATGATTGCTGATAAGATTTGAAGAAAGTGAGGGAATGACATGTAGCAAGGCTCTGTGTCTTTCCTATTTGGCTGGGAATCCTTACCATCTCTGAAATCTCATCAGCTTCACTGGAATTATTTGTAAGCTATAAATAAGGGCCAGTTTAAGTATTTTTAAAGTACTACTCTATTATAATAAACATGGTCTTAATCTTTGCCAAATTTTGTTTTTTATGATTATTACTTTTTCAGTTTTTTGCCTTGGTTAGCCACCATTTGTCAGCTCACCTTATTTATTTATTTATTTATTTTGTTTGCTAGATATGCCTTTCCAATTTTGCTAAGAATAATGAGCTTTTGGATTCCCAATTGAGATCTGTGTCTAGTGTTTTTTGTTTGTTAGTTTGTTTGTTCTTTTTTTTCTCAGACAGAGTCTTGCTCTGTTGCCCAGGCTAGAGTGCAGCGGCATGATCTCAGCTCACTGCAACCTCTACCTCCTAGGTTCAAGCGATTCTCCTGCCTCAGCCTCCTGAGTAGCTGGGATTACAGATGCACCAGCACCATGTTTGGCTAATTTTTGTATTTTTAGTAGAGACAGGGTTTCACCATGTTGGCCAGGCTAGTCTCAAAATTCCTGACCTCAACTGATCCGCTCACCTCAGCCTCCCAAAGTGTTGGGATTAATAGGTGTGAGCCACTGGTACCCGGCCTGTGTGCAGTGTTTTCATTTCAAAGGTGTTTCTACCTATTTGAGGTTGGCCAAAATAATTGAATCATATACTTGCAGCATATATATTCTATCCATTAATCTAGGAAACTGGGTCTTGACATATTGGGTCACAGACTCCATTGAAATCTGATGAAAAATACGGATAATCTCCTTGAAAAATATACACATTCTCACCCCCATCCTCTCCTCCCCACCCCAGATTTTGCATCTGACATCAACAAGTTCAGAAATAATTAGAAGTCCAAACAGATCAGGGTCCAAGGACCTTATGTTAAAATCCAAACCAAACCAACGAGAAAACTTTTCTGAGACTCTAAAATCTATCTCTATTATAAAAGGGACCAGTGGAGAACTTTGTAGCTGAATCACATGTCATGAGGCCTTTGAATGACTGCCTTATTTTACCTGTGTTTTAGCATAAAGCTGGAAGCTTATAATGAGAAGTGAGATTTATTCATTTATGTATTTATGTATTTATTTATGTATTTATTTATTTATTTATTTTTTAGAGATGGGGTCTTTCTCTGTTGCCCAGGCTGGAGTGCAGTGGTGCGATCTTGGGTTACTACAACCTCTACCTCCTGGGCTCAAGTGATCCTCCCATCTCAGCTTCCCAGTAGCTGGGACTACAGGTGTGCGCCACCACTCCCAGCTAATTTTTTGTGTTTCTGGTAGAGGCTGGGTTTCACCATATTGCCCAGGCTGATCTTGAACTTCTGAGCTCAAGCAATCTGCCCGCCTTGGACTCCCAAAGTGCTGGGATTACAGGTATGAGCCAACACACCTGGTCTGAGAAGTGATATTAAAAAATATTTTTTTAAATCCTTTGGTAGCTCATTACTGTGTTTACTATAAGGAAACACATGAGTTTATAGTAAAAACATGAGTTTTATAGTAAACTCATGTTTTGTTGTTAAAGTCCATGGGAGAAACTTATTTGCCTAGTCTCAGATTCAGGAAAAATTATTATGCTTTTCCTGAACAATGGATTTAATTTACAGCATCTACTGTAAACCTTATTATCTGTTGGCTGCTGGAATGCTTAGATTCAATGTGGGGTCTCCCTTTACTGTGTGAGTAAGTTACAATAGAAGGTCTCATTTATTAAAAGCACGGTTTGATAGACATCCTGGTAAATATAAGAATTTTCTTGCTTGTTCTTGATGGCAGGGCTATGACATAAGTGCTCTTTAAAATCTCCATTTTATAGAGGAGAAAACTCAGGCTTAAACAGGTTAAGTAAACTTATTACAGAAGGATAACAGAGCAAGAACTAAAACCTTGTTTTGTCTGACATCAAATGATCTTAACTACTCTGTAACACTTTCTCCCACAACTTACATTTTGGGTTCTAAACTCTCCCCTTTCTCTGTCTTGCTACTCTACCTTTATTCTCACTTAGTCTAATTTTCCTTGTTTGCTTTATATTTATTTTATCTTAATGTAGTTTCTATTTTCTCATAAGTTGCTTTAAATTATATTTGGAAAAGGGAGAGTATAAATACATAAATGCAGATATTTCCAGGTATTTATTTAATTATGCACTGATTAGACTCAGATAAAAATTTACAACTATTCTCTTATTTATTTTTCCTCTGCCCCAGAGTGCTATTATTAATACTTAGATGCCTTCAAAATCTTATCTAATTGAGACTCTGAATAGTTTATTTCATTTTTTAAAATTCCAGGGCCCAGTTTTTCTTTTCTATTCTTTTCTTAAACACATAATTCCTGTCATTACCTCATCCCCTTTGAGATATTGTGCCTAAAATCTCCTTCTTTCAAGTTTTCTTTAAGCCTGCATTCCTCACTGCCTTCAGTCATCCTGTATAAATTACTAGACACTTTTCTGAGCTATCGAGCCCGCCTTTACAGAAAAGTGGCCCAATAAATTGGAATTTAAAATATTGGCTGCTTAGCATTTCTTGGAGGTTCACTGCTGGATTGGGTATGTTTGTAGCAAATTGCTTAATTTCTCAGGGCCTCGACCTTGACTTCTAGGAAGTGATGATAGTGACATTTACCCTATTTTTGTCAGAGGAAAGTAGTAGTTAAAGATCAATGGGACTTTCTGAATGGGCAGGAAGAGGTGATGGGCACCCAGGGGAGTGGAGCTCAGTGCTGTCTCTGGAAGATCAAAGCCTTGGGCTTTCTCCTCAAGCCTCTTCTTCCTTCTGTTATTGCACAAACCTGGATAGAGGCCGTGGGCCAGAGAAGGAACAGTGGTGGAGACAGGGGGAGGGCAAGAAGCTAGTGCATGTGTGTTTTCAAGGAGAAAAGACTTTGGAATGGGAAGCATACAAATGTATCACCTTCTCGGCCATAGTTAGGAAGGATCTGAATGTTTACACCCTTCAGGATGGTAATGATGCCTTCTGGATGCTTTTTCTCCACATTTCCAAGGTTGCAGAATTGCTTTTATGCCCTTACCTGTATCCCTCTCTTCTCTTCTTGCACCCTGGCACATTCCCCTCAGGGCTGGTAATGCTTGGAATTCTTCAATGTGGAGTCTTCAACTTCCTACAAAATCCACTCAGCAAATGTTTCCTGCAGCTCTTACTTGTTCTATGTTCCTGCATTATAAAGTTACCCAAGGAATCTCAGTTAATTTTACTGTCACTTGGAATATTTTCCTGTTTTTTGTTTTGTTTTGTTTTGTTTTGTTTTGTTTTAAATTTGCTACCTCTCTAGGCATTTTTCTCCCACTTGGGAGAGCTTGATCAGCCCCCACTGCCAGTTCTTGCAGAAACCCTTCTCCTGGCCTTGTTTTGAACAAAGAAGCACAAACTCTTAGCAAAACTTCAGCACTTTGGGAAGTGCATGCAGAATGTGGAAGCTGGTGGAGAAGTCATTTTTTTTTTTTTTTTTTTTTGAGATGGAGTCTCGCTCTGTTGCCCAGGCTGGAGTGCAGTGGCACAATCTTGGCTCACTGCAATCTCTGCCTCTCAGGCTCAAGGGATCCTCTCACCTCAGCCTTAGGAGTAGCTGAGACTACAGGCATGAGCCACCATGCCTGGCTAATTTTTTGTAAGTTTAGTAGAGATGGGGTTTCACCAGGTTGGCCAGGCTAGTCTCGAACTCCTGACCTCAAGTGATCCACCTGTCTCAGCCTCCCAAAGTGCTGGGATTACAGGCATGAGCCACTGGTGCTCGGCCAAGAAGTCAGTTCTTTAATGAAGGCAAGTGAGCAGACTTTTCTTGTCTGGTGTGTGAAGCTCTAGAAATAACTACACAGCCTGCTTTTCACAGTAACCCTGCCTGTTTCTGCTCCAGTCCACCTAGGACTTGTATTTCAAGTTTTGCATTAAACAACAGCACAGTTCTCTCTCGATGGCAACGGCTGCAGCCTAGTAGCCTGACATGAGTTTGGTTTACTTTGCTTTTGCTTTTGTTTTTATTTTGATAACTGCAGGCTTGCTGCCTCTGGAGCCATGATTTATGGGGCTATGTGGATTAGCATCTTCCTCCTGATGGCAGTCTTGCCACCCTCCCTGCCCCCCTTAAGTGGCTTTGCCAGTTTCTCTGCTCCACATGGTGGGGGAACTGTTCCAGCTTCTCTTCCACATGGCGTGTCTGTGCCTGGCCCCCGATCCCTCCTCCAACTGCTTAGAACTACAATAATTACTGTATTTTCTTTCTCTTTAAATTCTCTATAAGAGCAGTTTTCAGGATTTACTAAAAAATACAGAAATAAACTGAAAAAGGGACTAGCCAGGGAGACAGGCAAGCACCAAGGTCATCAGAATGACTGAATTTGGCAGAACTTCCATGGCGAAAAATAAGTGGGTAAACAAAAGATGTTTTCTCTCTTCCTGTACCACAGGGCGGCGACTGGATCTCCTTCTCCCAGATACTTATTTTTTGTTTTCCTTTCATTTGAGTCAAGAGAGTGAGTACTTGAGAAGTTTGGTGTGCGCAGGTTTCCTGGTAGTTATGGTTTATCAGTCACGCATCCCATGGCTGGGTAAGGCGGGGATCCAGAGTCCAGAGCTGTAGGGAGAAACGAGCAGCTAGAAGTCAGGGCATCTGTTAACGGGAATCTAAACCAGATGCAACTTGGGGAGAAAGCAGCTAGTCATGGGCACTGGTGGCTTCCTATGGAGTTGTGACCTTCAGGGACTTTGAGAAAAATTGGGCCTTGAGCACGCTTGTCTGCTTGAGCAGTCAAGAGCTGAAGTTGAGGCTGATTTTATTTTTCAACTTATTGAGCCCCACAATATCAGAAGGTGACTTCTAGGGAGAGATTTCTGCTTCAGTGTTTGATATTGGGTGGGTGAGAGACAGTGTGGGGGGTGGGATGCGTACTTGGTTTGCTTATGTTGATTTCAATTCTGCTTCCATAGCTTCCAAGATTCTCATTATGCCTTACTTTCTTTTTTAATTTATTATTTTATTTTTATGTTTGGAGATGGAGTCTTGCTCTGCCACTCAGGCTGGAGTGCAGTGGTGCAATTATAGCTCACTGCAACCTCAAACTCCTGGGCTCAAGCCATCCTCCTGCCTTAGCCTTCTCAGTAGGTGGGATCACAGGCACATACCACCATGCTTGGCTAATTTTTTAATTTTTTGTAGAGATAGAGTCTTGCTATTTTGCCCAGGCTGGTCTCAAACTCTTGGGCTCAAGTGACCCTCCTGCCTCAGCCTCCCAAAACGTTGGAATCAGAGACGTCAGCCACTGCGCTGGCCTATGTCTTCCTTCCTGTCTCTGATCACCATCTCCCTTAACATCCTGAATTTCTTTTTATTTTTATTATTATTATTATTATTATTATTATACTTTAAATTTTAGGGTACATGTGCACAACGTGCAGGTTAGTTACATATGTATATATGTGCCATGCTGGTGTGCTGCACCCATTAACTCGTCATTTAGCATTAGGTATATCTCCTAACGCTGTCCCTGCCCCCTCCCCCCACCCCACAACAGTCCCCAGATTGTGATGTTCCCCTTCCTGTGTCCATGTGTTCTCATTGTTCAATTCCCACCTATGAGTGAGAACATGCGGTGTTTGGTTTTTTGTCCTTGCAATAGTTTACTGAGAATGATGATTTCCAATTTCATCCATGTCCCTACAAAGGACATGAATTCATCATTTTTTATGGCTGCATAGTATTCCATGGTGTATATGTGCCACATTTTCTTAATCCAGTCTATCATTGTTGGACATTTGGGTTGGTTCCAAGTCTTTGCTATTGTGAATAGTGCCGCAATAAACATACGTGTGCGTGTGTCTTTATAGCAGCATGATTTATAGCCCTTTGGGTATATACCCAGTAATGGGATGGCTGGATCAAATGGTATTTCTAGTTCTAGATCCCTGAGGAATCGCCACACTGACTTCCACAATGGTTGAACTAGTTTACAGTCCCACCAACAGTGTAAAAGTGTTCCTATTTCTCCACATCCTCTCTAGCACCTGTTGTTTCCTGACTTTTTAATAATTGCCATTCTAACTGGTGTGAGATGGTATCTCATTGTGGTTTTGATTTGCATTTCTCTCACGTCCTGCGTTTCTAAGGTTATCTTTTAAGTGTGAAATGGAGACAGAGGGGAAGCATGATCAAGACAGATAGGGTCAGAGGGAAGGACTAATCTTATTTATGAGATAGCTTACATTTACTATCTTGTCTTTGTCTTTCTTTCTGCCCATTTGGGTAGAGATCTCTGGGGTCCTGGGTACTTGAGGAGTGATTTAAAAGGATCTGGGTGGACACATCCCCACGGACCACAGACCCCTTGCCCCATGGAGAGTTGCATGGCTGAGGAGGGCCAGACAGAGTTTTCGAAAGCAATGCATCTCCAACTATATGTGGTCAAGGTCCATTTCTTTCACATTTATAATGGTATTAGAAATAACATGTAATGTTGTGGACTGATAATTTTGTAAAATTAAAATCATATGCTTGAATGTTGTGACAATGTCAGGTTGTTATAAAAGTTTCTGAATACTTATGCTTACTTTCTTATGTGTATTTCCCTTGTGGCAGATAGGTACCTAAAAATTCCTCAACTGGCACTGCTCTGTGGATCACACATTGAGGAGCTTTGCTATAAAGTGGGGATCTCAGTGCAGGAGGCCCTCTTGCCTGCCTTAAAGGTGGGTGCTGACACCTGTTATCCTAATAATAAATTCCTTTCTCATTCAAAAATGTATGGCTTCTGTTTTTCCAACCAAAAGAGTACAATAATGTGTGCGGAAGGTGGCCAGTTCTTTGCTGTATTTTATAGGGCTCATAAAAGTAATTCATCTTATCTTTTTATATACATGATGCATTCCTAAAACTAAACTCTCATCAAATGATAGTTTTGCCTGTTATAATGAAATTTTTATCTCAGAGAGATAAAATCTAACATCCTTTATTTCATCTCATGTTTTAGGCATAGTCTTCAACAAGGTATTTCCAGATACTATGTATATTTTTTAATTGTGTCCTTTTTAAAGAAAATTGTGGCTGGGAGTGGTGGCTTATACCTGCAATCCCAGCACTTTGGGAGGCCAAGGAGGATGGATCACCTGAGGTCGGGAGTTCGAGACCAGCCTGACCAACATGGAGAAACCCTGTCTCTACAAAAAATACAAAATTAGCTGGGCGTGGTGGCACATGCCTGTAATCCCAGCTACTCAGGAGGCTGAAGCAGGAGAATCGCTTGAACCTGGGAGGCGGAGGTTGCGGTGAGCCGAGATGGCACCATTGCACTCTAGCCTGGGCAACAAGAGTGAAACTCCATCCAAAAAAAAAAAAGAAAAAAAAAAAAAAGAAAATTGCACACATTGTCAATAAGCTGAAATTCTTCAGCATCTCATTAAAGGTAAAACTGTTTTTGAGATACTGAAAGGTTTTTACCTTTGTGTCATCTGTATTAATTTGTAATACTTATGCTACATAAAAGCAGTGCCAGCACTTTTATTTTTCTGAATGGGATCATTCATCTCCAAAATGTTTATTCATCAAACAGTATGAGAGCATCCATATTTGGGCATACATATATACAAATATACAAACGTATCTATCTATCTATCTATCATCTATCTAGCTACCTTTCTATCTCTCTCTCTACCTGTCTACCTGTCTAGCTATTTATGTATCAAACTAATGAATAAGTATTGTGGATATACAATGTTCAAAAGTCTGAGGCTGCTCAAAAACTGAATAAGTAACATTTTATAATAGTGGCTAATTAGAAAAAAAATGAAATATTGCAAGTAAAATAAGATATCTTGAGAACTGTGCCATAGCATAGTTAAGAATATAGCAATGCATATCTACATAAATAGTTCAAAGCTTTTAATTCAATTATTTAAGTCTATTATTTTCTTAAAATAGTCATCCTAGAAGCACCTTCCACTTATGCTCTTCTCCTTTCCTGTTCCAATGTCATCTTCCCTCCTCCCCTCACTCTCCTTTTACCATACTTCCCTCAATTTCTTTATTCCTTCCACAATTATTTACTAACTGTCTATTTCTGGCTTTGCTCAGTGTTAAGTGTGGATATGGCAAAGTATTAGCAAATGGTCCTTGCCATTTGTAAAGTCATCAGGGAGACCATGTACATGCAGCTCTGTATGAGTTAAGCAGCTGCACATGAGTTAAAGAAACAGATCAGATATTTGTAGTAGAGATATCTAAGGGCAATGTACATAATAAGAGGCCCCAAAGAATCATTCCCATTAAAGGCTATGAGCTCACCAGAGGGGAAGAAAAGGTTCTCTGAGGACTTGAGTAGACAGGGCAAGACTCTTTGAGAAAGTAAATCTTGAGCTGAGCCTACAAGGATTGCTAAGAGCTGGATGAGCAGAGAAGGCTGGGCAGGAAATTTAAGAGGATGATACTGGCCAAAGCAGGCTGGTGTTGCAGAGTTGGAGCATAGGAAAGTCTAGCTAGAGCAGAGAAAGACTCAAAAGACGAGGTGATGGATATGACTGAGGATCCAAATTGAGTTCTTGCTATGGGCCCATTAATTACCAGTCTAATGATCTAGTCCCAAGAGGATTCTTAAACTATGGCTCCTTGTTAGGGGTTCTCCAGGGCCAAATCTGAGTGCCCTATCCATATCCCCTTGGCATTCATTTCTACACATGGATAGCTATTTATACCTATAAATTTTGCCTGTGGAATCTTCCCCCTACTAGATCCCTAGCCATAGGAGCATGCTTGGTTGGTACAAAGGACAGGCTAGAAGTGTCAGAGAGGTAAGCCCCTCAACCAATGTTGTATGGGGACTTGGTGGATACTTATTCCACCTTCATCTCTCAGTTGGGATAATACTATGGCTTGTTCTTCATTGTCTTCTGGAGTTACCCATCAGGAATGGGCTCCAGTTTCCCACAGTGGACACTGTGGTGGTAATGCACCATTTATTGGCTCCCTTCCTTTCCCTATCTCACTTTCCTACTTTTTTACTGGTGTTTCTCGGTGTCACTTTCCGGATAAACTATTTGTGCTTGAATCCATGTCCCAGAGACTACTTCTGGGGAATCCAAACCAAGATACAAAGTTTCCTCCATTTCTGTATATCAATTCTACTTATTGAAATTGGGCCAGGCATGGTGGCTCATGCCTGTGATCCCAGCACTTTGGGAGGCTGAGGTGGCCAGATCACTTGAGATCAGGCATTTGAGACCAGCCTGGCCAACATAGTGAAACCCCGTCTCTACTAAAAATACAAAAATTAGCTAGGCATGGTGGCAGGCACCTGTAATCCCAGCTACTCGGGAGGCTGAGGCAGGAGAATCGTTTGAACCCAGGAGGCAGAGGCTGAAGTGAGCTGAGATTGTGCCACTGCACTCCAGCCTGGGCAACAGAGCGAGACCCCATCTCAAAAAAAAAAAAAAAAAAAAAAGAGAGAAATCTGAATGATTCTCTTTTACATGCCAGACACCTCACTCACTCTTAGAAGACATTTCAGTGGATACAAAGATGGTGACTTTCAGATCAAATGGAAACTTTGATGTATTCGTGTCTAATGCTAGATGTTATAATACCTAAAGCCCCAGTGGAAGTTTATTTCTCACTCATCTAACACTCCAGTGAGGCTTTCTTCTGGACAGCCAGGCAGTTAATTAGGGACTCAGTGTAGCGGAGTCTCTGCCATTGTCATTGTCTGCCATTGCCATGTGACTTCCAGGTTTTCCTGAAGGTCATCTTCACCTCAGCTGGTGGGAAGGAGGAAAGAGTGTGTGGAAAAGTGCTCATGGGAGGGATTTTTGTTTGTTTTGTTTTGTTTGGCTCAGACCTACAAGTGGTACACATCCCTTCCACTAACATTATATTCCACTCAAATTCAACCATGTGGTCAAATCCGAGGGCAAGGGAGGCTGGACAATGTAGTCCAGCTGTGTTCAGAAAGAAGAGGAAATAGGTTTCAATGTACAACAGTCTTCGCTAAAAACGACATATTAATTGAGGTGATGGGCAAAAACAAATGTAAAACCAAAAATAAATATATATTTAATATATGATATGCTTTTAAAAATATATTTTATTGAAAAAATAAATATTCCATAAGGGCAGGGAATGGTGTCTGCCTGGCCCATCATTGTACACTCAGCTGCTTGCACAGTGCTTGACACAGGCAAGGCAGTAAATATGGGTTGAGTGAATGCCATGTCTCACCAGTTCTTCCCTGAAGGGCTACTTTGGGTCCCTACTTGTCTATTACTTCCGTGGTTCCCCTTGATGCTTACCTTGGGGTCTCAATTCATGTGACAATGAACTGGGAGCTGGTGGCATTTCTGTACTGAGGGAGTGTTCAGACCATACTGTCTAAAAGAAGAGAGACTTTCTTTATTTTCCAGACTTCGGAGGTTCAAGTATGATTCTTATTTAGATAGAGAGGTCATTAGAAAGGTAGAAAAAGGGAATGAAGATGTTTATTTCCTAACAAATGCTATATATACCTTAACTGAAATACTGAACTTATCTAAGCTCATGTCACATTTTTCATGCCTTAAATAGAACACACTTTCAAAGCTCTCCCAATGCAAAATAAGCTGACTGTTTGCTGGAATTTTGGAGGAATATTCTTCTAATCCTGATTAATATTTAAAACTTTTCATTGAAGTAAAATACGTATATCAAAAGTCTATAGGTCAATGAATTTTCACAAACTGACCACACGTGTGCAGCCAATGCCTAAATCAAGAAGTAGATATTACCTTTACCCCCAATGCCAACCTCAGGCTTCATTCCTGTCCCTACCTCCTCCTGAGGGGTAAGTGTGATTCTGGCTTTTATCAACATCACCAAGAGTTGCCAGTTTTGTCCTCAGAAAAGTTAAATAATGCAGCATGTACTCTGTCCTGTCTGGCTTCCTTCAGTCAACAGCATATTTATAAGATTCACCCATACTGTTGTACATAGTCTTCATTGCTGTATGGTATCCTGTTATTCAAATATATGACAATTTATTATACAGTTCTACTTTTTGTGGGCCTTTAGGAAGTCTTTGGTTTGGGGCTATTGCAACTGGCTAGTACTGATTAAGTTTTTAAAAAGTAGTTCTTTGTTATGAAGCCAATATACATTCAACCAGTGATTTGGTCACCAGATTCTATTAACAGAGTTATGTTATTGTAAGTTATTCCTTTTTCAGTGCTTAGACTTTTTTCCTATTAGTAAAATAAATGCACCAGGTATGGTAGCTCACACCTGTGGTTCCGGTGCTTTGCGAGGCTGAGGCGGGAGGATTGCCTGAGCCCAGAAGTTTGAGACCAGCCTGGGCAACATAGTGAGACCCTCATCTCTACAAAAAACTTAAAAAATTAGCTGGGCCTGGTGGCATGTACTTGTAGTCTTTACTACTCAGGAAGCTGAGGTGGGAGTATTGCTTGAGCACGGGAAGTTGAGGGTGCAGTGAGCCATGATCGTGCTGCTGTACTCTAGCCTGGGTGACAGAGCCAGACTCTGACTCTACAAAACAAACAAACAAACAAACAAACAAATAAATAAGCAAATAAATAAATAAAGGGCATAGTAGGGAGAGAAATAAGGGAACTAAATAAATTGTTATTTATTGCTGCACAGTAAAGAACCTCAAAACTTAAGGCTTAAGAAAATAACAGTTTTATTATTTCTCACAGTTCTGCGGGTTGACTGGGATCCGCTGAGCAGTTCTTTGGCTTCACATGGTGCAGCTGAATCCCTCATGTGGCTGAAAACCAGCCTGGGAACATCCACGATGACTTCACTCACATGTCTAGAGCCTTGTCTCCACGGTTGGAGTGGCTGAAGGCTGCTTGCATCACTCTTTCTCTCTACGTGATATTCCGTCAGTTAGGAATTGAGCCCAAGTTTCATTATGTGGTGGCTGTGTCCCAAGAGAGGAAAAATGGAAGCTGCCTGGCCTGTTGAGGCCTAGGCTCTAAAACTCAGAGAACATCATCTGTATTTTGCTAGTCAAAGCAAATCGCAGAGCCAAACTCAGATTCAAGATGAGGGGAACTGGACTCCTCCACTTGATGGAGAAGCTGTGTGTCAATTGTTGGTAGCCTTCTTAGCTGATCATCTACCACATAATCTGTCTTGTCCCCTGCCAAAACTTGGGGGAGGAAGGAAGGCTGCCAAGTCTTGCAGGTTTTGTGGAGAAATGAGTCGATATGGAGAAAGGGTGAAGGTGATGGTATAGAGGAGGAAGGGTTGCTACACAGGTTGGGAAGTGGCAATGGGAAGTCAGGATAAACATAACATCTCCTGCTCTTCATTACTTTGGATGTATTCATTCATCTAGCAAATATTTAACGTGGGAGCCTTGAGGCAGTGTGATAGACTGACAGGCAATTTCTGGAAGCAGCATTATTCTAAGAGGCTGCCTGTTCAGAGGGTGGTAAACATTTGGAAATCAAATTGCTCAACCAGAAAACAGAGAGAGGCACTGAAGTAGGGATCCAAATGACATTGGGACACACAAGTGTCAGTAAGTAAGGTGGTTACAGAAGCCATAGAGTGGGGAGGGCCTGAGGCGATTCCTGAGCTTCTCTATGGGCTGCAAGTGACTGGCAGGTTCCTACACATTTTTCATGTGGGTCCAATTTAAGGAGCTAAGTTGAAAGTGTAGGAAATTTCAGTATTGCTGTGGAAGTAGAAAAAAAAAGCAGTCTGTGAAGCTGCTAAGTCAGTGTGTTGGCTGTAGGTGATGGTTCCAGAGGGCTGCAAGGAACTTGGCCATTGGCCAAATTACTGGAGAAGGGTTCGAGATTAGGAGAACCTGGTCGTCATGTATTTTTGTAATTAAATGAAGGTGAGACATAGTTTGGAATCAGTAGTCCTTAAAGTTGCAGTCAATTTCAGGTGACATCACTGGTGGTTACTGGCTCAAAAGGGATGTCAGGGTTCCAGGGTCCAGAAAGAACTGGTCAGTGATAGTGCAGTCGCATTATTGGTGCAGCACTAATATCACCCCTGTACCACTTTAGGGCACCCCAGTCTATCAACTGCCAGCACCTGATTTTCTTTGCCTGAGGGCTCTATCTTGTCATTGGAACCAGCTCTGCCACCAGAATAGACAGAATATTAATGTTTCTCTCTTGTCATCCCCTTACCAGTGACTGATAGGATTTTATGTGTAAATACCCCAAATTCCCTTGCCCCTCAAAGGAATAACTTTGAGGTGTATGTTCTGTTCTGGCTCTAAGTGAAATTAAATTCCAGTAGCTCACATTGGTAGTTGGCTTGAAAATATACCCTTTAGTGACTGCTTTTACTTTTGACTTTCTTTTAAAACATGATGAATTACTAAAAAATATAAGTATAATAAGGACAACAGATCACGAGATGATTCCTATTGTAAAGATAGTTTATTACTCACAGTTCCAGGAGGAGGGGGCATGCCATCCCAGCAGGGGAAGGAGGGTGAAGTATTGGGGGTGGTCAGGAAGCAGAAGGAGGGAGGAACTGTAGGTTTCTGAGGAAAAGAATGGGTGAGGCAGGGTAAACAGGACTGGCTTATTTGAACAATTTCAAAGGGCTCTGAGATATAGGGGCTACCCCATAGTTGTCTGGTATCTGGCTCTGGAATGATTAGACCAGATGGATTATGGCTGGGAATGTGACAGCCTAATAAAGGAGGTGTTTAGGGTGTGGGCTGTGGATTGGTGGGTTTGTATTTGAAAACTGCATTCATAGGCAAGTTGTTAACCATCTCCAGGAACTGGCTAACCCTGCGCGTGGCAGAACTTCCAGAGTCAGCCAGGCCCCAGATGTCAGAGCATCACAATTCAGAAATAGAAGGCATGAGTAATACAGATGCTTGCTTCCCTTCTCCCATGTGAATGATTCTGTCTCCTCTCAAACAAACTACCCGAATTCAAATCCTTTTCTTAGGCTGTGCTTCTGGGGGGAAATCCAAACTAATCTAGACAGTGATGGTGTCTCTTTTAATAATCTGGATTTTAGGTGACTAAGGTGGTGGCAGTAAGAATGGAAAGAAAGGGATTCTCTAGAATGTGTACAATATTTTCAATCTTGGAACATGTTAGTTGAATAGAAATATATATGATTTACATGTATATATTCCTCTAAAATGAATTTAATCCCAGTCATTATTATTAGCTGCTTAAGAAGTGGGCTGGTGCCAGGTTGTATCACCCCTTGAGAATTGATTACTAAATATCCAGAAAACTTGAAAGCTGGTAGTTAAACTTTTGGCAGTTTGAAATTTGCCATGGTGAGAGTATTTACACAACCAAAACTGGCAAATGCTGCAAATCAGAGCTTTTCTCCACAGAGAGATGCTTTACCAGCACACTACTGCAATTATGGCAAGTTTATGAATAAAAGAACATATTGTCATGGAATTTTGGTGTTGAGAAAGTCATCGGGAATCATCTAATCAAAAATCCTGAGTTCAAACAGATAATGACACCCAGATAAATTTAAGGGAATAAATTGCCCAGAATGAGAATTGGTGGCAATGCATAGGCTAATACCAGTCTCTTGGTAAATAAGAATCCTCACAAATGTACTACCTGGGCTGATGCATTAAATCATTATAAATATTACTAGTGTTGGCATTTTTAAATGTTCACATTGTATTTACAGAGTAGTGTGTGTGTGTTGAGGAGGAAGAAGAGGAAAAGAAAAAGGGGGAAAGTTTTTCACACTATTGACAGTGCAATTTAATAAGGGTATTTTGTAAAACGCTGAAAGAAATAAATAAAAATTCCCTGAGCATTCATTGACACTGTAAATATGGAAAGTCTGTTATTGAACAACAGTTAAATAGATGCCAAGGGAGAACATTGTGACAAAATCTCAACAAAATATCGATATGAACATATTTCTGTTTGTGTGAAAATATGTTCTCTCCATATGGGAAGGGAAACTGTAAGGAGAGAAATGTAAACAACACATTGAAGAAATGTTGAGTGGAGAAGCTGTTTATCTGCCAGAGCAAAGCACTCCTCTTCATTCTGTGAATTTTCCTAGAGAGGTTGTCATAAAATTTATTTACACAAATAGGAAGCCAATTCTTCCATTCAAGGAAAAATGACAGATTTTAAGGGCTGTTACTTGGTAAGGATGAAAACACACACAATATGGTTATATTCTGAGCAGGTATTTTAATTGAATCACCAGAACTTTATAAGCTCCAGAGAAAGATTAAATGATTTTATTTTTAGAGAATTATGTATAATAACATATTAACCTATAGAAATTTATATTTGGCATCATTGTTCGTGTTCCCAAGAGTCCAGCATGTCTTAAACTCAGGAGGTCTAACTGGGAATTCAGTCCACAGTTTAAAATATTTCATAACAGGTTCTAGATTAAGAAAAATCGGAATACCATCTTCCTAACAGTTTTCTTCTTCTTTTTTTTTTTTTTTTTGAGACGGAGTTTCACTCTTGTTGCCCAAGCTGGAGTGCAATGGTGCGATCTGGGCTCACTACAACCTCTGCCTCCCAGGTTCAAGTGATTCTCCTGCCTCAGCCTCCTGAGTAGCTGGTATTACAGGTGCGTGACACCACGCCCAGGTAATTTTTTGTATTTTTAGTAGAAATGGAGTTTCACCATGTTAGCTGGGCTGGTCTCAAACTCCTGGCCTCAGGTGATCCACCCACCTTGGCCTCCCAAAGTGCTGGGATTACGGGCATGAGCCACCACGCCTTTCCACTAACAGTTTTCTTTTTTTTCCAAATATAAAACATATTGCTATAGACTGAATGTATGTATTATCCTCAAATTCATATATTGAAACCTCATTCACATATTATGAAAGTAAGAATATAAAAATTCTTATGAAGATAAGAATTAGGTTTCAAAATATGAATGTGTGAGAGCATTTGAAGATAGGGCCTTTAAGAAGTCATGAGGGTAGAGGTTTCATGAATGAAACCAGTGCCTTTATAAAAGAGACCTCAGAAACTCCTTTACACCTTCTGTCATGTGAGAACACAGGGAGAAGAAGGCTGTCCATGAACAAGGAAGCATGGTTGCTAGATACTGAATCTCTTGGCCCTTGATCTTGAACTTCCCAGCTTCCAGAATGGTGAGAAATACATTTCTGTGGCTTATAGGCCAGGCGCGGTGGCTCATGCCTGTAATCCCAGCACTTTGGGAGGCCGAGGCGGGTGGATCACGAGGTCAAGAGATCAAGACCATCCTGGCCAACATGGTGAAACCCCGTCTCTACTAAAAATACAAAAAATTAGCTGGGTGTGGTGGTGGGCAACTGTAGTCCCAGTTACCCGGGAGGCTGAGGCAGGAGAATCACTTGAATCTGGGGGGTGGAGGTTGCAGTGAGCCGAGATTGTGCCACTGCACTCCAGCCTGGAGACAGAGCAAGACTCCATCTGGAAAAAAAAAAAAAAAATTCTGTTGCTTATAATCTATCCAGTCTATGTTATTTTTATTATTGCAGCATGAACAGATTGAGATACGTATTATTGAGACTAATTAAAAGGAAGAGATCAAGCTAGCTAGAAATATGAAAAATAAAACATCTCCAAACACATTCTACTAGCCTAGCCATGAGAAATACCTCAGACAAACTCGGGTAGGGGGACATTCTACAGATATCTGACCAGTATTCCCCAAAACTCTCTAGGTCATCAAAACAAGAGTCTGAGAAACTGTTACGATCAAGAGAAGCACAAGGAGACAGGACACCAACAGTAATGTGCTATCCCAAAAGGGATCTGGGAACAGAAGAACAACATTAGGGAAAACTGACAAAATCTAAGTAAACTATGGACTTAAGTTAATAACATATCAATGTGGATTCATTAATTGTGATAATTCTACCAGGCTAATATAGGAGGTTAATAATAGAAAAAACTGGGGGTGGGGAATACAGGAATTCTGCAATAATTTTATAAATCTAAAACGGTTCTTAAAAGTTTATTAAAAATGAAGCAGAAGCTTACATTTGGGGAAAATAAAAGATGTTCATTTTAGCTTTTGTTTTTTATGCACTATTTATGTACAGTCTTATCACACTGCTGTCATAAGAAACAGCCATGTGCTTTATGCAGGGAATGGAGAAATAAGAGGAGTAAAGAATATAAAGGCAAAAATCAGCGATGACAATTGAGGACTCTGCCACTGACAGTGTACGGTGGGGGTCAGATGAGCTCTGATACGAAAATTACCCAGTATCCCAACCACTGGGCACCTTATGCCCATGAACCCTTTTATTCTCAGTGAATAACTGTGTTAGCAGGAGGTATCTTGAAAAAAAAAAGAAATCAAGATGCAAAGTTCAAAGATCTTTATGGAGCCCTGGTGGGGGAAAAGAGGTCCATTGACAATTAAGAATGCTTTTCACACCTATGTTTGTTTCCTGTGTGTAACCTTTTTTGTAGTAGGCAGTCTCCAAGGATGTCCACCACCAGTTTCTTCCCTCTATGTATATACATGCTGCTCTTCACATTAAGAGTCAGAATCCGGCTGGGTGTGGTGGCTTATGCCTGTAATCCCAGCACTTTGAAAGGCTCAGGCCAGAAGATTGCTTGAGCCCAGGAGTTTGAGACCAGCCTGGGCAACAGTCTCTACAAAAAATAAAAATTAAGAAATTAGTCAGGCATGGTGGTGCATGACTGTGGTCCCAGTTACTCAAGAGGCTAAGGGTGGGAGGATCCCTTGAACCCAGGAGGTGGAGGCTACAATAAACCATGATCATTCCACTGCAGTCCAATCTGGGTGACAGACTGAGACCCTGTCTCAAATAAATAAATAAATAATAAAGAGTTGGAATCCAATCTCTCTTCTCTTGCATCTGGGTTGGGCTGAGTGACCTGCTTCACTAATAGCATGTGAAGGAACTGACATTTTGAAACTTCTGAGGTTGTATCATAAGAAGCATATGGCTCCTCCTGGGCCACTTGGGAGGCTAGCTCGTGTTCTCAGGATTCTCCTTGGAAACCAACTACCATACTGAGAGGAGAGCAAGCCACATGGAGAGGCTATGTATAGGTACTCTGGTTGAGAGTCCCAGCTGAGCTTCCAGCCTCCAGACAGCCAGCATTAGTTGCCAGCTATGTGAGTGAGCCATTTTGGATGTCCAGCCTGTCAAGCATCATATGATTCCAGTGTTCCATACGTCTGTATGGAGATCCCAAGGACTAATATCTCAATGTGCACAGTCGACCCATGGAACTGTGAGAGAAAATAATAAATCATTATTTTAAGCCACGGAGTTTTGGGGTGATTTGTCAATCAGCAATAGATAACTGGAATTCTCCCTAAAAAAAGCAACCTATCTAGATATTTTCCAAAGTTTGACCAGTAGATGAGTTAGGCTTCTGAGATCCAATCTGCACAGTCCCTGTAGTATGTAGCACTATTGAAAATCAATCACACTTAGTTAAACATAGCATACACTGAAAGTATTTAGCACTGGTGTTTGACAATAAACAAGACAGATTTAAATTCTGTTCTTATAAATAAGTGGAATAAAGCTATTAAGGCTCAAAAAAGGTTATATCTTTAACAATTTTTTAATTGGCTATATTTCCCCTCAGTTTTAATACCTCTTTCACTCCCTTAGGATTATAGAACTGTATGTAAGAGTAAGAGCTAGAAAAATTTTTTAAAAAATTAATTGTTACTTTTTTTGGGTCACCCTTAAGTTACAGCATTTTTTGTGTGTTCAAAAGAAGGAAAGGAAGAAAGCAAGAAGGAAAGGAGGGGAGAAGGGAAGGAGGAAGGGAGGAAGAAAGGAAGAAAGAAAACCAGCAAGCACTTCGTAGTTTGAGTTGACTGCCTTCTATGTTTTATCCTTCTATATCTCTGCATATGTTTACCAAAGGAAAAATTATTTATCAAGTTTTTGCTACATACCCTAGGTATTGTTCTAAGTGTTTCATGCATATTAGCTAATTTAATAGCCACAACAACCCTGTGAGTTGGGTACTGTTATCATCTTTACTTTAGAGTTAAAACATACTGAAGCACAGAGTGTTTAAGAAATTTGCCCGGGATCGGCTAGTTAGCATTAAAAGGGGATTTCACACTGAGGGCATCTGATTCCAAGACTTGTTTTTAATTGTCACTAAACATCTGCAAAGTTTAATAAGGCAGATTTCAATTTTAGTTATTTATATTATAAATAAATAATATAAATAAATAAATACAAATAAGTATATTTAAGGCACAGTTACAGTTAGCTATGTATTTCCACCTTTGGTTTATTATCAACTCAACAGCTCAAGATAGCTACTTTTGCAACACTTGAGTAAGGAGACCTGCATTCCTTGTGTGCATGAATATGAACATGTATCCTCTTTCAAAGTTTCAGCTTTGATAGACAAAAGTGTTGGAAAGCAGCAAAAACAAGAACAAGCCACCGCCAGAAAAAACAAACAAACAAAATCAAACCATAGGGTCAGATAGACTTGGTTCTGCACCTTGACTCTAGCTCTTGGGCAAGTTATGAGACCTCTGCTTCATTTCCTCATCAGTGAGGGGGGCCCTAATGGCACTTCACCACAGGGTCACGAGGAGTAAATGCATTTCTGTACATTTAGTACCTGACACATTGTAGAAGCAGCTAAGCACAGTGATTAAAATCTTGGGGTTTGGAATCAGAGAGACTGGGATTGGAAACCTATGCCTGGGTTATCTATGTAACTTTGGACAAATTACTTGATAATTACTGTGAGGAATAAATGGGATAATGTTTGTAACACATCTGGTATACAATGAGAGCGCAGAGTCTAGTTATGGTGATGCTAATGTCAGATCTACTCTGCCCTCTCTACCTCCTTCCATTCCACACCCTCTCATCCTTCAGTAGAAACTGGCATGGTTGTGTCAATGGAAGTTGTCTTCCTCACTTTGTTTTTATTAAGGAATAATCTAGATACAGTAGCTTTACCATTTTTAGTGTACATTTCCATGTTTTGATAAATGCATACAGTTGAGCACAACAAGATGTCATATTCCATCATCCTCCAAAATTCCTACCTACTACTTTCCAGTCAACTCCTAGCTCAATCCTCTTGGCAACCGCTAGTTTGTTTTCTGTCCCTACCATTTTGCCTTTTCTAGAATGTTATATAAATGAAGTCATAGAGCAGGTAGTATTTTGAGTCTGATGACTTTATTCACTTAATATAATACTTTCAGATTCATCCCCAATAGATTTTAGTTGTTTTTAAAAATATACTTTTTTTCTCTCTGTTGCATCATGCTGATTGACATAGATGAACTCATTAAGGGTGGAATCTCAAGAGTCTTTCTTTCACTCAGAAATTATTCATTCTTTGGTTCACTGAAATACCGGCAAACAAAACAAAAACCAAAAAGCACAAAACAGCACTGGGATACGAGTTTCAACAAACTTAAAATAGTATACCATGACAAGAAAAATATAATATCCCCCCCTTTCACAATTAAAAGTTAAAAAAGGAAAAAAATCATTATTCTGATATCCACCTTCCCTAAGTTTTCCCTTCGTTATACAGGAATGCTTTCTTTAGTGACTTGACCACACAAATCTGCTGCATCTCATTTGACTTCAATGACTTGAATACCATTTTGAGGCACTTACATCTTCTGCTTTTAGCCATAATGTGATTTATACATTCATGCTGACTCCATACATGCTAGTTGGCAATGGATTGAAATGAAACCTGCTGAGGAGAATCCGCTGACAGTAGGAATTCAGGAAGATGAACAGGCTTAGGAAAAATGGCCATGATCTTTTCCCATGCTTTTTTCTCATTTTAACTCTTGGAGAATTCAAATCTTGGCTTCTCAGAACTTATTGCAGGTCTTAAATAAGGACATAGAGAAAAAAAGGACATATGAAATTATGTTTTTTTTTCCTGGTATTGGGATGGGGAATGAGAAAAAGAAGGTTAGAGATGATTAAAATGGGATGGCTACAGCAGAATTTGGGTGAATTAAAGCTATTAAACTTATCATCAATTTAGTGCAATAATTCTTCCAAACCATAATCGTAAACTTGAAGTGCATTAGTATTTCTAAATCTTTAGTTGACATTTCTGTTACAGAAACTGATAGTTGATCTCTGATATCCATTCTGATGGCAATCTAGTAGCCCAGTTTGTTCATTCCACAAATAATTTTGAGTGCCTACTAGGCATGATACTAGATATAGGAGTTCAATGGTGAGAAAAACAGCCAGCTCTTGTCCTTATGGAATTTACAAGCTTGTATGCTGATGATAACCTCCCAAGATTTCTAAGAATGCCATGGTACAAATGTACTCACATAACCATCCTCCAAAATATGGCAGTCACTTTGATAGGAGGAGGAACATATGAGAAGTGGTATGTTTGGTTTGAAAAATAAAAGAGCAGGACTTTAGAGACTTTGAAACTGAATATTGTCAGCCAAAGAAATTCCTGGATACACAGAAGGTGTAAAACCTATCTTTATTTTATTGTACCTTATTATTTTCTTACAATGGCACTTTTAAAAAAGATTTGATATGACTATGAAATAGAGAATTACAGCCAGGTAAAACACACACATACAAACGACAAAAACAACAAAGCAAAAAGGGAAAAAAGGCAATTTCCCAAATGAATTAGAAGAAAATCAGGATAGATATTTTGAAATATTGGAACAAAGTTAAAGTGAAATTGTGAAGTTAGAACCCTAAATGCATAGTATAAGAAATGCATTCCCTACAGAATGTATGCTTGCTAGAGGCAGATCACAAATTTGAACCTCCTCTGATTAGTAGCAGGAAAGTATTGATCCCATGATTCACAACACAAATATAAAAGCAAAGAGCTGCTTAGAAGAAGCAAAACTATTCTTGGTACTGAGACACAGGAGACATTTCTTCTGTGAGTCTTTTGAGGAAATGGTAAAGTTGGTGTTAATAAAAGTAAATATCCATTTCTATTGTTATACTTATTGCCTGTGGTAACATGGACACAAAGGGTTGGAAATAAGACATTTATGAATTTTCCTTGGTTCTCTGATAATGCCATGTGTTCCCATATGGAAGATGTATCTAGATATTTTCCTATAAACATAAGGGATGTGTTCTTGCGAGCACCAGAAGACTGAGAACTCTTCGACCTCCAGCCTGGCTCCAAGAGCTCTGCTGTAGGAGGCTACTCCCACCAAATGCTCTTCCTGCCTGTGTCCCAGGGCTTGAGACCATTGGCTACAATGCTGAAGGTGATCCCAGCCATCTATTGTCCTCTTCTATTCAAGGGACCTCCTCTCCTTCTGTCTGCTGCTCCTGACATTCTGCTCGTGTCTTGGTTTCCATGAGACCATGCTTTCTGATGGTCCTCAAAACTTTTTCTTTGGTCTCCGTCTCATGTCATCCCTCTTGACTCATAAGTTTTGGCTTGTTGGTCAGCATTGACATCCCCCATGGGTCATGAAATTAAGGTTCTTCTCCTTTCTATGCTAAATTCTGAAATGAAGCCAGAAACAAATTATCTTATTCTCCTAACTTATTGAAGTCCCTTTACTGGTAGACTTTTTCATTAGCTTGATTGTTAAAGCCATGAAGTCTTTTCTTCTTAGTAACTAGGGTCAAGATTTTTGAAGACTTATCTAGAAGCCAATTTAGTTGCAGAAAGGACTGTTCTGGATCTAAACTGTTTTTTCCCCAAAGCTCAGCCAAAGCTAGCAAATTGAACTTAAGGGCCTTGACCTTCCTTGGGACAGGGACTATCACCACGGTTTTCCTCCCATCTGCTTAGGGATCTTAGCCCTAGAGTTTCTACCGTCGCTCCCAACTAATTCAGTTATTTCGTCTTTTAGGAGGCTCATCAATTCCATATCTCAATAAAATCATAGCTAGCCCCCTTCATCTGCTCACCCAGGTAGGCCAGGACATGCTCAATTCAACCAGTTAGGCAGTCAGTGAATAGTTTTTGAGTGCCTTCTATGTGCCAGGTGCTGCTCCAGGCACAGAATAAACTGGCTTGCTTTCTTCTTTTAGAGATAGTAATTGAGTAATACTTTCAGTGAACAAGCAGATTAGATTCTCTCTGGGACCTTCACTGAATTTTCAGGATGGAAAATTCTTCCACTGTCTTTTTAGTCTCTTATGTAGGCAAGTTCACTTTTTTTTTAATTGTAATTAGACAAGTATACATAACATCTTTTTATATAATTGCCAAAAATATATCATAGCTTCATTTTAGTAGCATTTTCCACTGCTTGTTAACTCTGTCTCATTGGCAATACATTTTCCTTTTTTATGAAGGGCTTTATTATTCTTATGTTACATGTGAGGAGATCTCAGGCACAGCAAGGCGAAATGACATTTCTGAACTCACCTCCTTATAAGAGGTAGTATCAGGAGTGGACGATGTATTTATCCACTTTGTTGTCTCAACAGGTGATACATTTTCTATATATTCATATCCCTTCTCTTTCCTGATGCCTGTTTCTTAGAGTCTGGCTGGGTAATGAGGATGATAACTCAACATCCCTTACAGAAAGTAATAGTTAGGCACATGTGTATGTTGTAACCAGAATAAGAATCCTGGCTACTGCAAATAACCTCTGGATGAAATTTATTCATCCTTCCTAGAACTTAGTTTTTTTATGTGTACAATGGGTAAAAATAATTGCACCCTCTTTCCTCATGAGATAAAAGCAGTCAATAAATAATCTCCATTATTATTACTTAATAGTAACTATAACATAGTAAAATTAAAAAGGATGTTAGAAATAATCTATTGATACATAGTTGATGCCATCTTTTGACATAATTTTTCTTCAAGTTAAACAAAAGTTTTCCAATTACACTTTGCATTTTGGTCTGACTGCATAGATTGACGTGAATATTTGGGATTGAAAAATATTGGAGACCTAAGTAGTTTAAAAATTAAGTTTGGAGCCAGGTGTGACGACCCATGCCTGTAATCCCAGCATTTCGGATGCTGAGGCGGGTGAGTCTCTTGAGCCCAGGAGTTTGATACCAGCCTGGCAACATGGCAAAACCCTGTCTCTAGCAAAAAAAAAAAATACTAAAAATTAACCAGGCATGGTGGTATATGCCTGTAGTCCCAAATACTCAGGAGGTTGAGGTGGGAGAATTGCTGGAGCCTGGGAAGTGGAGCTTGCAGTGAGCCAATATCACACCATTGCGCTTCAGCCTGGGTGACAGGATTGAAACCCTGTCTCAAAAATAAAATAAAATAAAATAAAATAATAAGTTTGGATTTGGCACCTATTAAAAAAGTTTCCTGATTCAATGAAAATAAAAATAGCTCTAAAAGAGTTATTCGCCCCAAGTTGATTCATATCTTAGTTAAGAATGATTACAATAAGGCCAGGTGCAGTGGCTTTCGCCTGTAATCCCAGCACTTTGGAGAGCCAAGGCCGGTGGATCACCTGAGGTCAGGAGTTCAAGACCAGCCTGACCAAGATGGTGAAACCCCCGTCTCTACTAAAAATACAAAACTTAGCTGGATGTGGTGGCCTGTACCTGTAATCCCAGCTACTCAGGAGTCGCTTGAACCCGGGAGGCAGAGGTTGCAGAGAGCCGAAATCACACCACTGCACTCCAGCGTGGGCGACAAGAGCGAAACTCCATCTAAAAAAAAAAAAAAAAAATCACAATGGTTATACCTATCATTTACCTGGTTTCTATTTCAGTTAGGAAATGGCTTGAATAAGGAATATTCTCATCCATCTTGTTTCTCATTTGGTATCGTATAGGACGTTACAAGGCTGGACTGGGACTGTGCCAAGGGGAACTTCCAGAGAAACAGTAGGCTGCCATCTAATTCAGTCTAAGAAGCTTAGCAAGAGTTTATGTGGGAGATACCAGAGATGAAGGGCTTGGTTACAGAATATAGTTGATGTTAAAGAGCTATGTCTCTTGGAAAACATACATGCTAATGGGTATCTATGAAAATTGAGACGGGGGAGACACCATATATGTTACACAAAGTTTTAGACTGATGACCGTTTTCTTTCTGCGTATTTTTCTTAATATTTTTGTTGCGGTGGTAAAATACATGTAGCATAAAATTTATCATCTTAACCATCTTTAAGTATACCATCCAATGGTATTAAGAACAATCATATAGTTGTGCAAACATCACTACCATCCATCTCCATAACTCTTTTCATCTTGCAGAACTGAAACTCAACACCCATTAAACAATAACCCTGCATTCCCCTTGTCCCCTAGTCCCTGGAAACCACCATTCTGCTGCTTCTCTCTGTGGTTCTGACTACTCTAAGTACTTCAAATAAGTGGAATCATATAGTATTTGTCTTTTCATAATTGTCTTATTTCATTTAGCATAATGTTCTCAAGGTTTACCCATGTTGTAGCTTATGTTAGAATTTATTTTCTTTTTAAGAATAAATAATATTCCATTGCATGTTTATACCACACTTGATGTGGAGCGATGGGAACTCTTATATACTGCTGGTGGGGGTGTAATTTGGTAAAACCAATTTGGAAAACTGCTCAACAGTATCTACTAATGATGAATATAAAATCAACAATTAAATAATTCTACTCTTAGGTATATACCTTACAGAAATTTGTACCTGTGTGTACCAAAAATCACGTATGACAATGTTCATAGAGTTTCTATTCATGATAGCCCCAGACTGGAAACTACCAAAATGCCTAATAGTAGAATAGGTAAATAAATTGTTGATATATTCATACAATGGAATCATTTATGGCAATGAAAATGAACAAACTGTTAGTACATGTAACAACACGAATGAATGTCACAAATACAATATTGAGTGTAAGAATCCAGTTACAAAAGAGTACACGCTGTATAATTCCACTTCCCTGAAGGTCAAAAACTGACAACTGATCTATCGAAATAGAAGTCAAGATACTTGTTACCTTTGGAAATTTGAGTATTGATAGGGAGGGGTAATGAGGAGGGCTCTTCGGTTTTTGTTAGTGTTTTGTTTGATCTGGGTACAAATTATGTGAGTATGTTTAGGTTTGGAAAATTTTTGAAGCTGTATACTTAAGATGTGTGTGTTTTGCTGTATGTTTTTAAAAATAAAGATGTGTACTTTAAAAATAATGATTAATAGCCGGGCATGGTGGCGCGTGTCTGTAGTCCCAGCTACTCGGGAGGCTGAGGTAGGAGAATCCCTTGAACCTGGGAGGCGGGGGTTGCAGTGAGCCAAGATCGTGCCACTGCACTCCAGCCTGGTGACAGAGCGAGACTCCATTTCAGAAAAAATAAAATAAAATAAAATAAAATAAAAATAAAAAAAGGATGACTGAGGCCGAGTGTGATGGCTCACTCCTGTAATCCCAGCACTTTGCGAGGCCGAGGTGAGTGGATCACCTGAGGTCAGCAGTTTGAGATCAGCCTGGCCAACATGGTGAAACCCTGTCTCTACTAAAAATACAAAAATTAGCTGGGCTTGGTGGCAAGGTGCCCGTAGTCCCAGCTGCTAGGGAGGCTGAAGCAGGAGAATCGCTTGAATCTGGGAGGCAGAGGTTGCAGTCAGTGGAGATCGCACCACTGGACTCCAACTTGGGTGACAGAGTGAAACTTGGTCTCAATAATAATAATAATAATAATGTAAAAATTATGACTGAATTTTAACTATCATGTGTGTTATATGTAAGTGTTCATGGAGCACATGCAGTTATGTGTCTATTACCTGAGTGGTAGGATTTTTGAATGTGTATCTATTTATACCACCATTTTTACAATATTATTAGTGCAACAGATAATTAAAATTAAAAAGAGACCATTTGATATTTATTTGCCTTTAATTTATCCAATTTTTTTCAGGGAGATAGCTTAAATAGTAGAACAGAGGAGAGACAAGCTAGAGCGGGTGATGACTAGAGTAGAAGATAATGAAAGACATAATCATATCCGTTTTTAAATAAAAAATTACTATGTTGCCAGGCGTAGTGGCTCACACCTGTAATCCCAGCACTTTGGGAGGCCAAGGTGAGAGGATCCCTTAAAGCCAGGAATTCAAGACCAGCCTGCCTGGGCAACCAGGCAAGACCCTATCTCTCCAAAAATAAATTTAAAAATTAGTTGGGCATGTTGACATATGCCTATAATCCTAGCTATTTGGAAGTTGAGGCAGGAGGATCACTTAAGCCCAGGAGTTTGAGGTTGCAGTGAGTTATGATCATGCCACTGCCCTCCAGCCTGGGTGAGGCCCCACCTCCAAGAATAATAAATAAATAAATAAATTACTATGCTTACTTTTCATTGAACTACTGAAAGCAAAGCTGCCTATCCAAGAATCACAGGGCTTTAGTTATGAAAAGGGCCTTAGAGTTTACAGAGTTGATCTCCTTTGCTTCATAGATTTAAAAAAGTCAAAGCCACAGTATTACACAGTTTGATGACAGCAGGATCAGGACAAGAATTCAGATTCCTGACTCAGTCCAGTGCTCTTTTTTCAGATCAGCTGCTGATTGATCCACAAAGCTGTGACAGGACCCAGGACCAAGTGGGGAAAAACAAATCTCACTGGGAAGATAGTCAGAAAAAGTTAGTAATTCTCCACTCCTTCTTGAAGTCATATGCCTTTGCAATATGACTTTAAAAAGATGAAGTACCTTTTTGACCCCTTGAAGCTGAGCTTGGCCATGTGAGTTGCTTTGACCAATAGAATGAGGCAGAAATCATGTTGTGCCAGCTGTGAGTCTAGGCCTCCAGAAGCGTGAGCGATTCAGCTCTGTCTCTTTGAAGCCTGCCAGCTACCAGGTCAACAAGCTTGGACTAGCCTTTTGGAAGCTGAGAGACCATGTGGAGCAGAGATGAATTGTTCTAGCCCCCAGCAGATTCAGCAGCTGACCATAGATGCATGAGTGAGACCAGTCTAGGTCAGAACATCTCAGCCAAGCCCAGTTCAAATTGCTGACCAATAGAATTGTGGGTTAAATAAATGATTTTGTTTCAAGCTACCAAGATTTAGGGTGGTTTGTTTATAGCAAAAGTGAATGGATATCACATCAATTGATCATATTAAGCCATGTCTCATTCATCTTTCGTGTTGCAAATTAGTGTTCCTTCCCTCTAATTTTAAAAAAGAAAATCTCTTCAAATGAAAGATACAAATTGTAAGGAGGCAAAGGAAATATTGGCATTTACAGCATCTTTTCAAATTAGGCCTGGACACTTGCTCCCTTCTCTGGAAAGACCTCCTGAGGACATTTGACATTACATAGCATTCTGTTGTTCATTAAATTCTGTTCTCTTTCTTACTCCAGACAAATAAATTCAGATACTGTATGTTGCTATCACTTTCTCTTTCTTCTTTATTATCACTCAGGGATGACATAGCTCTATCCCCTTCAGAACCCTTTTTATTGCAGTTGCTGTTACTTGTCAGCTAGAAGTTTAGCATTCTGCTCTCAGAAGCTTTTGCAGGTTTGGCAAATGCCTTGCAGAGATGTCCTCTGTTCCTGCAGACAAAAAATCGAGTTAAGGTATATTTCTTTCAAGAGAAATAAGCGTTCATTCTGACCTTTTCCTGCTATTCTGCCCACTCCTAGAGCACTGTGTGTGCTCTGGTGGTGACCATGGCCCTGAGCCAGAGGGAGGGAAGTCTCACCATATTGTTGTCAGAGTAGATAATCAGTGGGGCACATGAAAGGGAAGTGCTCCAGGATTTGTGGGCTGCTTAGGCTCAAAGATGCTCTCTTCTCATCCAGCTAACGGGGACTAATGGAAGCAATAAAACCCATGTTCATTAGTGAATCTCAGGCTCCCAGCACCCTGGTGGGAGGGTGGCTGAGCAAGAAGCCAACTATAGTGGCTTCTCCTTCCTTCTTTGGAACACACATGTGCACACACACACAGACACCCAGCACTCTCACTTAAAAGGTGTGACAGCTTTCGGGAGTAGAGTTGTAGCTATATAAGATTAATGAAATATGGTTATCAGAGGCTTTGGTTCCCATACTTTATTATTTGTTAGTTTTTTCTTTTTTCATTTTCATGGCTGCTTCATGCTTTTATTTTCACAGACAAACCTTGGTGAAGCACCTACTCTGTGCAAGGCAATGTGTTAAGTACTACCATGAGGACACAAAGGAGGACTATAAACTGCCTGTAAGATGGTAAAAGTCTATTAAACAGGAGCGCACCATAAGTAAGTGAAGAAATTAATCATAAAAACTGCTAGTCAAAGAAGAAATACCACGGTAGATTAGAATGTTTCTTTTCTTTTCTTTCTTTCTTTTTTTTTTTTGAGATGGACTCTTACTCTGTCACCCAGGCTAGAGTGCAGTGGCACAATCTCACTACTGCAACCTCCACCTCGTGGGCTCAAGCGTTTCTTTTGTCTCAGTCTCCCAAGCAGCTGAGATTACAGGCTTCTGCTAACACGCACAGCTAATTTTTGTATTTTTAGTAGAGATGGGGTTTCATCAGGTTGGCCAGGCTGATCTCGAACTCCTGGACTCAGGTGATCTGCCTGCCTCGGCCTTCCAAAGTGTTGGGATTACAGGTGTGAGCTACCGTGCCTGGCCAGAATGTTTCTTTTCATGAGAAATTCTTATTCTGTGGATCTATGAACTTTTGGTTCTCTTCCTGAGTATAGTGACTTTTCTCCTTTCTTATTGGTTGGAAACTGCATTCTCTGCCAGTCAACTCTGTCACACCTGAGGAGATAGGGCTGCATTGGACTAGATGGCTGCTGGGAACAAAGAGGAGTGCTTACAATAAAGGAGTGAATGCAAACACTGCCTGAGACACACTGTTTAGGGAGAAAGCCAGAGAAACAGAATTGGTCGCCTAATATATATCGAGTAGTCCCTCTTTATCTATGGTTTCACTTTCCATAGTTTCAGTTACTTGCAGTCAACCATATTCCAATTATATTATCTGGAAAATTCCAGAAATAAAGAATTTATAAGTTTTAAATTGCACGCTGCTCTGAATAGCACAGTACAATCTCAAGCTATACCCTACTCTGTCTAGCCTGGGATGTGAGTCATCCCTTTGTCCAGTGTATTCACACTGTCTACACTAGCCACCCATTAGTTACTTAGCCATCTTGGTTATCAGATTTACTGTCTCAATATCACAGTGCTTGTATTCAAGTAACCCTTATTTTGCTTAGTAATATCCCCGAAGCACAAGAGTGGTGATGCTGGCAATTTGGATATGCCAAAGAGAAGCCATAAAATGCTTTCTTTAAATGAAAAAGTAAAGTTCTTGACTTAAAAAGGAAAGACAAAATGTTGTATCCTGAGGTGACTAAGATCTATGGAAAGAAGAAATCTTCTATCAGTGAAATTGTGAGAAGAGAAAGAAATGCATGCTAGGTTTGCTGTAGCACCTCAAACTGCAAAAGTCACAGCCACAGTGTGTGATAAATGCTTAATTAAGATGGAGAAGGCATTAAATTTGTGGGTGGAAGACATGAACAGAAAATTTTCAATTGATGGTAACATGTTGCGTCAGAAAGCATTGAGCCTATACGAAGACTTCAGCAAGGCATCCCCTGAAACGAGTGACAGCAAGTCATTTACTGAACGTAAGGGATGTTTATACAGATTGAGAAATAGGTTTGAACTGAAAAATATAAAAAGTATTGCAGTCTGCTGAAGAAGTTGCTGCCACATTTCTGGCAGAGTTGAAGAAGTTGATTAAGGAGAAAGAATAGTATCCAAAGCAAGTCCAAATGCAATGAAATCGAGCTCTCCCAGAAGAAGATGCCCAATAGAACCTACATTCATAATGCAAAGGAGGCACCAGGGCATAAGGCATGGAAAGACAAATTAATTCTGGTACTAGGTGGCAATATTACAGGACACATGATAAAGCCAGGTATAGTGTACAGAGGAAAGAACCCATGCATTCTCAAAGACAAAAACAAAAATTATCTGCTCATGTTCTGGCAACAAATCAGAAAGTATGAGTGCCACCCATCTTGATTGTGGAATGGTTCTACCAATGTTTCATCCTAGAAGTGAAAAAAATAATTGGAAGAGAAAAAGTTGGAATGTAAAGTGCTATTAATAACAGACAATGCTCCCTAGCCACCCTGAATCTGTTTGCTATGAATATGAAAATGTTGAGGCTGTATTTTTACCTCCAAATATAACCATGTCATTGTTTCAGCCCCTTGACAAGGGCATCATTTGGTTTTTCAAGGCCACATGCAACCAGCAGGTACGTGATTGCATTTGATCAGCAACTGACACAGACTCTAATCTGAATATAATGCAGTGCTGAAAATCATTCAGTGTTGCTGATGTAAAAACATTCATTAAAATGACAATGGATGAATTAAAACCAGAAACTAAATGCCCACTGGAAGAGCTTATAGAGTGACGCTGTGAATGATTTTAAAGGCTTCCTGGGGATTGATGGAGAAGTTAGGAAAATCATTCATGCAGCATGACAAGTTGGTAGAGAAGGATTTGTCGACATGCTTGATGAAGTGGAAGAACATATTGAAGACCATTGAGAAGTGTTAACAAGTGAGGAATTAGGAAAACTTGTCATCTACAAAGGAAGAAGAAGAAGAAAAAACTGAAGCAGAAACAGCAATGTGGACATTACCAAAATTGGTTGAAGACTTTCAAATTGCAGGGACATTAAAGCACAAAATTATGGAATATGATTCTCATGTGGGACAGTGTCTTAAAGTCACTGGTATGATGATGAAAAGATTACAGTCTCTGCAGCAACACTTTGATGAGTTAAAAAGAAAGAGACAATAACTTCCGATTACAAAGTTCTTTCAGAAGTTTTCTGCAAAAACCTCAACTACTGAGGATCCCTGACTATTGACATTGTCTGTTCCTGACATCAAGCCAATGGTATCATCATGGCCTCACGATCCAGGATAACCCAAAGCAAATAATCCTTTTTCTAACAACATGTCAGAGGGTCGATAGTAGCATCATAATGCCTATATCACTCACCTCACTTTCTGTTTTTTTATAGGGTCTCACTTTGTCACCCAGGCTGGAGTGCAGTGGCATGATCTTAGCTCACTGCAGACTTGTCCTCCTGGGTTCAAGCAGTCCTTCTGCCTCAGCCCCCTACGTAGCTGGGACTACAGGCATACGCCACCACACCTGGCTAATTTTTTTTGTATTTTTTTGTAGAGGAGGGGTTTTATCATGCTGCCCAGGCTGTTTTCAAACTCCTAAGCTCAAGCACTCCACCTGCCTCAGCCTCCCAGAGTGGTAGGATTACAGGCATGATGCAATGGCCATGCCCGGTCTCATTCACCTCACTGCATCTCATCATGTAGGCATTGCATCATCTCACATCATGACATGAACAAGGGTGAGTACAGTACAATCAGTATTTTGAGAGAGAGATTACAGTATATTGTTATAATTGTCTTATTATTAGTTTTGTTGTTAATCTCCTACTGTGCCTAATTTATAAATTAAACTTTATCATAGATACATACGTGTGTATAGAAAAAAATATAACATGTATAGGGTTTGGTATTAACTACAGTTTCAGGCGTCCACTGAGGGTCTTGGAACATATCCTCTGGGATAAGGATGGACTAATGTCAACCTAAAGGAAGCAGCTGAGGCACAAAATGTAATTTTAAAGAGTTTGCTTGAGCCCAAATGAGCACAGGGGCTGGGAAAACACTTCCAAGTTGCCTTGGGAAGTGCTCTGCTCAGCCTTTGTTACAAGCAGGTTTTCAAAGGCAAAAGGGAAGAAGGAGCGGGCTGATACAAAGTTGTTTGACAGGAATCCTCATTGGTTTACAGATATAACATTGATTAGTGATTGGCCATATATGATTGAACTATAGGATATGAGTTATGGTGTCCAGTGTATGGCATTGTTAGGTTAACTTTGTGGCCACTTGGCATTGGTCAGCCTAGAACCCTCATGGTAAGTGGCTTCAAGAGGTAATGACTTAGCTCAAGGGGCAGAATGAGACTGATTGCTGTCACATTTCAATGCCTCTCTCGGCTTGATAATTTAAAGGGGCTTGCATTTTTCAGATTAAAAGTTTCTTTTCTTTATCACTACTGTACTCTGGATAAATGAACGTAAACTTTGCCCTTGTCTTCAAAATTTATCTTAGCTGCTTTTCCTTTCTGATTTTTGACTCTTGAGCTACTTCCTTCTCTTTCATGCTACGGGTCACACTTGGGTTCATCTTCATGAGGTGTAATGGCGCCGGGATGCGCTCTCCTCTTCTCATTTGCCAATTTATTGCAGATCCCTCCTCAAAAAAGTTTTGGGACTAACTCAGCCCCATGGAGATCAAGGTGAATTAGAAAAACAACAAAACAAAACAAGATTCATTTTAACATCTCATTTTTCTATCTCCAACTTTCCCTCCCCTCCTCCCACCCCAGGAAGAAAAGACTACGTTTGTTTCTGGTGATACATTCATTGTAGGTGGGTGGGTGACTTCTAGAAGAGGAAAATCAAGAAGATTTGGAGAAGGAGTCTTGGAAGCTCTGGTGAAGTTTTCCAAAACTGGGAAGGACAGAGGTATGTGATTACTGGCATCCTGCCGCCGCACAGTGCTCCCGGGAGGAGGGGGAGTATCAGAAGGGAACGGCTGGCTGGACCCCCTTTGCAGAGGCTTCCAGAATTGGCAGTCTTTCCTGTGCTACAGCTTTGCACAGCAGCATTGAGGTGACATGTATTTTTTGGACATTTCCAGAGGAACAATTTACACTTGGTCTATGGTGAGTGGTACCCTCTGGAATTGTTTATCGTAGCAGTCCTATTAGGAACCAACTGGACAATGAACTCGTCGGTAGAAACCAGGGCAGAATATCGCAGTGACCTAACACTGCAGGCTGCCTCAGACCCCTGGTGCCTCCTTAAGTTTCCTGAGGTGGTGGCGGAGGTGGTGGCGAAGGTGGTGGTGGTGAGTGCTCATAAAACCCGGGAATTTCTCTACAATCCAGCAGGATGAGCACTTAAAGGAGGCAAAATTTGAATGATCAGAGTAAAAAAGATGATATTTATTCCTTTTAAGTTTTCCAACAGAACAAAATTCACAACGACCTCCATGTGTTTTACTTAATGAGAACTTAAAATGATTATTTTGTTTCCATTTTTGCTGCGGATTCAGAGCAGATACTCATTGGCTAATGACTAATTCAGAGACACAACCATCCTTTTTCGTAGTCACAAAAAGAAACACCGGGCCGAGTGCAGTGGCTCATGCCTGTAATCCCAGCATTCTGGGAGGCTGAGGCGGGTGGATCCCCTGAGGTCAGCAGTTCAAGCCCAGCCTGGCCAACATGGTGAAACTCTGTCTCTATTAAAAATACAAAAAATAGCCAGGTGTGGTGGCACATGCCTGTAATCCCAGCTACTCGGGAGGCTGAGGCAGGAGAATTGCTTGAAGCCGGCAGGTGGAGGTTGCAGTGAGCCGAGATCGTGCTAACCTGGGTGACAAGGCGAGACTCTGTCTCAAATAATAAAAAGAAAAAAGAAACACTGGATCACTTGGTGAAAATGAGATTACAGGAAAGCAAAACATGCATGAAAAGTAAATAGTAGGGCTTCCACATCTCACCCCCCAGGATTTCACATATTATTGATGTTTTACTGCTTCCAGTTTTCAGATATTCTTTTCTGTGGTTAAAAATAAAGAATTAAAAAAAATTTGCCGGAGTTCAGTATAGAGAATGTATTTCCTAAGGGCACTCTATCTTAGGGTGGTTATAAGTCATAACAATAGCAGCAGCAGAAGCAATGGCTATACAAGACAGTATGTTCACCATACAATATGGAGTGTTAACTTCCTTTTGTAGTTAATCCACATGCTGTCTATTTAGCACCTTACTCCATTTATTTCTGATTATTTCATCTTCCTAAACACAGAAAAGCAGTACAGATTACATCCAATTCACTCATCTTTTTAATTTAGTTAAACACTCAAGTTAGTTATTCTAGGATGCAGGACTGGATTATTGCCACCTACAAGCTAATTGTGCCATTGTAACCCTTCAGGTCAGCCTGAAATAGTATAAACTTCTCCCAGCTACCCCTGGGAGGGAGAGATTTCGGCAAACAGATGTCACCTACTGTGGAGGCTGCCCTTCAAGCCAACAATAAAAAACAATGTTGGTGATCTGTATGTTTTGATGGGGTGCAAAAGAGACATGCTGCCGTGCAGATGGGGCCCAGGGGTTTAGAGGTGAGCAGGAGTTGGATCTTACAAATTCTTCTACTGCCAGTTTTCTCGATCTTGGACACTATTGACATTTGGCGCCAGATAATTCTTTGATTGGGGAGTTTGTCTGCGTATCATAGGATGTTTAACAGCCTTTCTGGCCTCTAACTACCAGATGCCCTTATGCAGTACCCTGCCCCAGTTATTTCAGCAAAAAAAATGTCTCCAGTCATTGCCAGTGAGGAGGTCAAAATCACCCCAAGCTGAGAACCACTGTTCTACAGCAATACCTTTCAAACCTAGTATTAGTTGGTAGCTGTGCTATAAGTCCCAATAAAGTGATAACATTTGGGAAAAAAAAAAGAACTCTGAAAATTTAATTTTTATTATTTTTTAATTTTTTTTTTTTTTGAGACAGAGTTTCACTTTTGTTGCCCAGGCTGGAGTGCAGTGGCATGATCTTGGCCCACTGCAAGCTCTGCCTCCTGGGTTCAAGCAATTCTCCTGCCTCAGCCTCCCAAGTAGCTGGGATTACAGGCATGCATCACCACACCCAGCTGATTTTGTATTTTTAGTAGAGATGGGGTTTCTCCATGTTGGTCAGGCTGGTCTTGAGCTCCCGACGTCAGGTGATCCACTGCCTCGGCCTCCCAAAACGCCAGGATTACAGGCATGAGCCACGCCACCAAGCCCCACTGAAAATTCAATTTTTATGAACTAGACCAAATGTATGTTTATCCCTCTTAGAATGTTGTTGGTAGATACCAACAAAGATATTTCTTGAATGGAAGAGACGGTGGAAATGGAAATGAGATGTGTGCATGATATATTTTTTCCCTACTCCAGCCTGCAGTGGGTTACCAGAGATGAATCACTCATGGCTGTGATGTTATGGGGAAGTGCAAGGCTTTGCTTGCTGTCTTTAGTTCTGAGAATTTGTGAAGATCTGGTCACCCCAGTCACCCCCACTGGTTTCTCATGAAGCCATCGCCTGAGTTGCAGCAGACATAAGAAAGCTTGAGTAAAAACTGCTGATCCATAGCCCAAACAATTATTCGTCTGACACAGCCAACTGGAATGAAGAACTTTTTTGCTTCTTTTCCTACCTCTGTCTCAACTAGCAGGAGAATACCATATCTCATGGGAGTAATGTATCTTGCTGACCATTTCAACTGAGCATATTTATGCAAAGAATAGTAACTAACCATATGGGAGCTAAACTTAATCAGGCAAATTTGTTTAAAAAGTTGGAATTGAGTGTCTTCCACCAATCCTATTAAAAAAAGATACTTCATCCGTATTTATGCTGCTGTCTCTACTATGATGCTTGCTCAAAGAATGAGCAAGTTCAATCTCTTTGGAATACCTCTCTATGTTAGCAATGAGTGTCCTTGGCACCAGTAGGTAAGAAAGCTGAGAGAAGAGGGCTTACTTATACCCAGTGATAATTATGGTGATAGTCTTTCCTGAGGACTAAATTCCATGGTTCTTCAAGGAGCAGTGGGGTGCTTGCTCTGTCTTTTACCTTGAATGCCTCTAAAGCCATGACTCTCTGTGCTCAGCCCCTAAGGTTTTGCGGAGGCAGGCCTGGATCAATGGTTCCCAGGCCTAGCTGAGCATTTATTCACCCAAGGATCTCAGAAGAAATAATCAAGATCATACTCAGTTCTAATATGGTTTTGGGTGTGGGATCTCTGAATATGTATTTTTAAGAATTTCCTCAGGTTTTTCTGATATGCAACTACTTTGAATACCTCTAGAATAGTGAAGATGATGATGGTGGCTATGTTGATATCTACAGTGTATGGAGCTCTTACTGTGCTCCAGACCTGTGTTTAATGCTTCCCATGCATTCACTCATTTCATCCTTCCCAAATCTCTATGAGTTACTAGTATTGTTCCCATTTGAAGGTGAGGAAACTGAGGGTCAAAGAATTTAGTAATTTTTTCAAGTTCATGCAAGTCGCACTTGGCATGCCTCCGGAGCTGGAGTTTTTAACCATTAAACATTTTTTCCTCCCTACCATTTTTTTCAACTGTAAGGGGGGTGGGGGTTAGAATAATCAAGACACATGCAGATCATTGGGGGAAAAGATCTCTCTGAAAATGTCTGGAATTTCTGTAGGCCTCTGAATCTGGGCCTTTTTCTCAGAGTTAAGGAGCCGTTGGGCTGACAGGCACATTTAGGTGTAAAGTTGATTTTGTCATATCTCAGACAGGGAGTCTTGCAGCTCCATAAACAGGGAATGGAGGCTACAGAACTGCCTGAGGGAAAGGGTTCATAAAAATGATATTTTTACTAAGCACCAGAAAGAACATTTTCGTCTTTAAATATGCAGAGACACTACAGCAAGTATCACAAATTCATTCTGGTGATGCAATCAACAACACTTAATTATCAGCTCCACAAGCAAATTAGGTGAGAAAATTACTTGTCTTTTTATATTTATATTATTTCTAAAAGAATTCAAAGAAGATAAGGATTTAACTACCACAGCATATTACTCATAAATGCCTTCTCTTCTTTAAATGTTGTTTTTTTTCTCTCCCTTTGCTTTAGCCACAGGTCTGCCTGTTCTTTTGCTTTGCCATTTGTGTGGATACCTAGTAGAGCAATTTGGGTGCCATTCTTTGAGGAATCCATTGGATCTGTCAGAAAGCTGAGGTAGAGACAGTTGGTGTTAGGGTTAAGTACCAGGACTGGAGATATGTTCCTGAGTGTCTCTGTCTGAATCCATCTGTTTACAACATATGAGGCCAATTTTCTAAGAAGACTGAGCTGCCCTGCCAAGACTGTTTACCAGAGGTGGCTTTTAGGTGATATTTGTGCAGCCATTGATGCTAACTCATAGTCTGCAAATCCTAGCTCCACATTTTCTTTTTCCTGTGAGATATTGTTTTGAGGATATGGAGCTCTGTGGCCTAAGAAAGCCCACAGAGTTAACTCTGCCCATGGAGTTAGGCAGGGCAAAAAGAAAGCCCACCACTCCCCAGCAAAGTCATATTCTCCTCCACTTTCTCACACCTCACATGGCTCTATTCCCAAGGGATCTTTCTGAGATGCTTCTAGAGGGGAAGCTATCGCTTCCTCCTTAGTATTTTCTGAAAGCAATGAAGTCTCAGCTATTTTACTAAATATGCTTGCAACAGTTAGAGGCCAAAGCTTGGTTTCTTCTAGTTTCCCTAATTTGTAAACCTCTATGTTCTCAGTCTGCTCAGCCTGTGTTAGTGGAGAAGAGGGAAGGAAACTGGCTGGAGGCCGCTGGACCCACAGAGGACAATAGACAATCTCCTGCTGTAAGTCACTTCTGGTCCCATCATCAGTTATGCCCCCAGCAATTTGGTTCTCTATCTCCAAAAGCTAGAACAATTAGAGATTCTAGAATTTGTCTAGTCTAGTGTTTCAGAATCAAATGCCAGGCCTGAGGTGGCCAATGCAAAAAAGTGAAGTGAGTCAGGAGGGGACTGTGTGAGCTGGAGAGCACATACCTCAACTGCAGGAGAAGCTGCCTTTAGCTCCATCAGACTGTTGTCAGGAGGCAATGTGAACCCAGGGTGCCAGATCTTTCCAAAAGATTTCATAAATCTGAATTTTTTAAAAAGAAATTTCATAAATTTTTAATGTTAACAAATCATTCATTTTTTTTCACTTATTTTATTTTTTATTTTTTTGGAGATGAGATCTTGCTCTGTTGCTCAGGCTGGAATGCAGTGGTGCAATCACTGCTCACTGCAGCCTCTACCTCCTGGACCCAAGTCACCCTCTTGCCTCAGCCTCCTGAGTAGGGTCACCACACCTGAACAATTTATTTATTTATTTATTTATTTATTTATTTATTTATTTTTGTAGAGACAGAGTCTTCCTATGTTCTCCAGGCTGGTCTCAAACTCCTGGGCTCAAGCAATCCTGCTTTGGCCTCCCAACGTATTGAGATTACAGGCATGAGCCACCATGCCTGGCTCTGAATTTTTAAAAAACTGCTTTGTGGGCCAAACAAAACATGTCTGTCAGATATGGTCTGAGGGTCACCAGTTTGCAACTTCTGCTCTAGTTCAACACTCTTTTTTTTTGGAGACGGAGTCTCGCTCTGTTGCCCAGGCTGGAGTGCAGTGGTACAATTGCAGCTTACTGCAACTTCCGCCTCCTGGGTTCAAGCGATTCTCTTGCCTCAGCTTCCCGCGTAGCTGGGACTACAGGTGCATGCCACCACTCCTGGTTAATTTTTTGTATTTTAGTAGAGACCAGGTTTCACCATGTTGCCCAGGCTAGTCTTGAACTCCTGAGCTCAGGCAATCCGCATCCCTTGGCCTCCCAAAGTGCTAGGATTACAGGCGTGAGCCACTGCGAAAGATGGATCTCCCAGAGGGCACATGGTGTGTCAGCCATTCACAGAATCAGAACCGAGATCTGATGTCTGAACTAGAGGTCAAGCATTCTTTCCTTTACATTTTATCCTCAATTCTCTTGATTTTCATCAACTCAAGGATTCATTTCAACTAGTGATGATTGAATACTTTCCATATACAAAGAACTGTGCTGTTTGAGATTACCAGAGAGTTACATAAAATAATCATCCTTCCCTTCAAGGACTGGTAATTTTCTTGAGAAAGGGCAGAGAAATATGATTTATAATGTGTCTCCTCTGTGCCAGGCACTTTATATCCAACATTTCAAGGACTTTTTAAGAAATTCTATGAAATCAGAATTGTTTACCACCTTCTTTTGGTTAACAATATTACAGATCAGAGAGATTAAGTAACTTGCCCAGGGTCACACAGCTAGAAAGATACAGAGCTGGGTATTGAACTCATGTCTTCTGACTCCAGAGCCCAGAATTTTCCGTTCTTTTTTTTTTTCTCCTTATGAGAAATTGGGGCTGGGCGCAGTGGCTCCCGCCTGTAATCCCAGCACTTTGGGAGGCAGAGGCAGGTGGACCACGAGGTCAAGAAATCGAGACCATCCTGACCAACGTGGTGAAACCCTGTCTCTACTAAAAATGCAAAAATTAGCTGGGCATGGTGGCATGTGCCTGTATTCCCAGCTACTTGGGAGGCTGAGGTAGGAGAATCTCTTGAACCTGGGAGGTGGAAGTTGCAGTGAGCTGAGATTGCGCCACTGCACTCCAGCCTGGTGACACAGCAAGACTCCATCTCAAAAAAAAAAGAGAAATTGGGAGTGTTCATTTAATGCATGTTAATATTTTCCCATGCTTTTCTACTAGACCATACAATAATAGAGTCACCAAAACACAGTATTCAAGAATGCATAGAAGAGTTATTATCACTCTCTAGAAAACTAATTGTAAAGAATATGCAAACTTGCAGAAACAACACGGAGGGGTCAGAGTGAGAAAAAGTTTGACTAAGGAAAGTGTTAGGTTGGGTACAGTGACTCACACCTGTAATCCTGGCACTTTAGGTTCGCTTGAGGTCAGGAGTTGGAGACTTGCTTGGGCAACATAGTGAGACCCCTCAACTGTACAAAAAATAAAAAATTAGCCAGGCACAGTGGCATGTGCCTGTAGTCCTAGCTACTCCAGAGGCTGAGGTAGGGATATCACTTCAGTCCAGGAGTTCAAGCCTGCAGTGAGCTATGATCATACCACTGCACTGCGGCCTGGACAACAGAGGGTGACCCTGTCTCACAAAAGTAGAAAAAAAAGGGATAGATTCCGAGTAGGTGAGCGTTGAGAATGCGGAAAAGAGCTAGCATTGGGTTGTGTGTTCTCAGCCTTTGAATAGGTCATATAAAGAAAATCTATTTTGCCTATTTCTAAATACAGTTCATGATGACTCAGAATCTAGGGGCAGTGGCTTAGAATCAGTTTAGAATCAGCTGAAGGTGCCCCTTGCAGCAGGTCTGTGCCCCAGTAGAGGAGATGAAAGCCTGTCATTCAGAGGGACTTGATGACTTACCCATAATCACCAGGGCCCGGATGCCCTGGCTCTCAGCATACCAGCCTTCCTGTGCAGCACACAAATTCTTGCTCCTTAGCCCCAGCTTCTCACACTGAGCCAAGGCCCAATTTCCGTCTCAAATTTACTTTGTTCTTCTATAAGCATCAAACATTTGACATTTATCATGAAAGGTCTGAACTATTCATCTGACAATTAAACATCCTCTGGGGGCATGCTGAAGGCTTGGTATTTATGTTTGTGCTTTTATTTTTTCTCTTTAGTAACCCTTCCTTTGCCTCAGTAATACTTATATATACTGCTTCAGAACACGTAAAATATTAGTCTATGGAAGAACTATTTATTTTTAATTTTCACTAAAACTATGCTATATTATAGTATCATTTATTCTGTTTTTTCCAGGGTTAGAACTCTTGGGACATAGCTATCAGGGGCTCCCCCAACTTTCCCACATTTATGTGTGTATGTATAGATCCCTACCCCAGAAAACACAATGTCTTTATTTAATAGCCATTGAGTTCACAATTTCTACTTATGGGGACTTGAGAGATGGGAGGCCAAGGTAGGAGGATTACTTGAGGCAGGAGTTGGAGCCCAGCCAAGGCAACGTAGTAAGACCGTGTCTCTACAAAAAATAAAAAATAGCTGGGCACGGTGGCATGCACTTGTAGTCCTAGCTATTCTGGAGGCAGGACTACACACACATTTGTGTATGTGTATACATTCCTACTCCAGAAAACAGAGCATCTTCAGTTAATAGCCCTTGAGTTCGTGATTTCTACTTATGAGGACTTGACAGGTGAGCAGCATATAGCTTCTCCTGGCAGAGGGGTTGGGGCTGGGAAACAGACATAAGGCATGAAAATATCTCATTGGCTCAAACAGCAAGCATAACACCATTGCTATCAGTTACATGTGACCATCTCAGCTCAGGGTTTTTCCACTGATTTGGTGTGCTAACAAAGTGTCTTGGTGATTCTAGAGAAATGACAAACCAGTATCTTGAGTAAAATAATGACTTGGACTGTAAGAAATTAATTAGAAAACATCTGTGCAATGTAGTGGAAGAAAAAGAAAATGAGACCCAGAAGACCCAAATCACAAATCAAAAGGACCTCACAGAAGATTCTACAATTGAGATTATTTATCCTGGGTAAGACTAGAATTTTTGTCTAAGGATATGATGAGAAAACCTTCAGGAGACAACTTTGTCTTTTCTGCTGGGAAATCTGAGAAGTGGCTCAGAGTCTCAGCAGGGGCACCTCCAGCAGTGGTAAGCAATTCCGTGACAAATTGCTCAAGAGGGAAGTCAGTGCTCCTGTCTGGGATGTGTTTTGTACTGCTTTTCAGTTAAATAAAGAGTTCAGAGCAACTAGATTTCTTTATGCCAGTTAGGCAGAAAACCAGGGTTATATTAAGAATCAAATGATAATAGTCGAATATTTGTCGAAAAGCGTCTGACTGTACATAGGTACATAGAAGTTTTTATGTAGTCTGAACTTGATTTCAATTTTATATTAGAGGTCAGCAATTGGCTTGAATGATGGTTTTATTAAGTGGTTATATTTTTAATAAAAAACACATATAATGCATTTTTTATTATACTTTAAGTTTTAGGGTACATGTGCACAATGTGCAGGTTTGTTACGTATGTATACATGTGCCATGTTGCTGTGCTGCACCCATTAACTCGTCATTTACATTAGGTATATCTCCTAATGCTATCCCTCCCCCCTCCTCCCATCCCACGACAGGCCCCCGTGTGTGATGCTCCCCATCCTATGTCCAAGTGTTCTCATTGTTCAATTTCCACGTATGCGGTGTTTGGTTTTCTGTCCTTGCAATAGTTTGCTCAGAGTGATGGTTTCCAGCTTCATCCATGTCCCTACAAAGGACATGAACTCATCCTTTTTTATGGCTGCATAGTATTCCATGGTGTATATGTGCCACATTTTCTTAATCCAGTCTATCATTGATGGACATTTGGGTTGGTTCCAAGTCTTTGCTATTGTGAATAGTGCCACAATAAACATACGTGTGCGTGTGTCTTTGTAGCAGCATGATTTATAATCCTTTGGGTATATACCCAGTAATGGGATGGCTGGGTCAAATGGTATTTCTAGTTCTAGATCATTGAGGAATCGCCGCACTGTCTTCCACAATGGTTGAACTAGTTTATGGTCCCACCAACAGTGTAAAAGTGTTCCTATTTCTCCACATCCTCTCCAGCACCTGTTGTTTCCTGACTTTTTGATGATTGCCATTCTAACTGGTGTGAAATGGTATCTCATTGCGGTTTTGATTTGCATTTCTCTGATGGCCAGTGATGATGAGCATTTTTTCATGGAAAACACATATAATGCATTTTAACTTGAGCTTTCCGTGCCTCAGGAAATCCTAACTATTTTAAGAAACAGAATTACCTGTGTTTTCCTTGTCTCCTGGTGGCAGCTACCTACTTAAACGCATTTATTCCTTCCTAGCTAAGAAGGAATCAGTGGCCTTAAGAAGACAATCTTGAAAAAGGACCTAAGTGATGGTAAGCACCAGATTCATCTTCCTTCTTGGCACCACTCTTGACTCATTAAACATAATGTGATGATAGCCAACCTTCAATAGGATGTAAGCTCCATGAAGGCAGGGACCATCCTCTGCTTCATTTGCTGCTATATCTCAGGTGCCTAGCTCAGTGCCTGGCTTGTAGCAGGCATGCACACACATGCAATGCTTAAAGAAATGAATGACCAGGAGTCAAGAGCAAGACAGAATTTTAAGTTTCCAATACTGAAAATCTCATCGTCAACATTTCTTCATTTTCCTTTTTGTTTGTTATTTGCCTGAAAAGCCTTCTGTTAGTGCTGTATAAATTATATATGTTGCCTATTTTACATCCTAAGGCTATGAACATTATCTGTTCAGCTTACAACTGATAAGTGCTCACCACAAGATAAAGTGATATGTGTACCTAAAAAATTCCACTTGATAAAAATTAAACCCTAAGCAAAACAAGAAAATTAAATTCTGAATTTACAAAATTAGGAAAACACTAGAGGCTGCCTACAGCAATGTATTATAACTTCCTGGCTTCTTTTCATTAGTAGTGAGAAATTTCTCAGGTCATTTGTTGCTAAAAATAATCATAGCAAACATTTAATTATTTTTCCTGTGCCACATACATAGTGCAAAGTGTCAATTATATACGTTATTTTATTCAAACCTCTCAACAGCCATTTTACAGATGAGAAAATGTAGGCTTTGAGAGCTTAAATAATGTGCCCAAGGTCACCCAACTAGGAAGGGCTGGAGTGGGGATTAAGACTCTGTTAGTCACTCCAAAGCCCAATTCCAAACCACCAGGTTACATTTCTCTACATATTGCTCAAAGTGGTTAAAATACTGGAATTAGTAAACGAGATGCTGTTTTTATAAATTAGAGTTGGGTTTTTCTAGATTCTTGTCTCTCTTAGTCATGCGCAGTTTTATTTGCTTCTGGAGTGGAAGTAAAAAGGCGACGTTACACATGGAGTATGGGATCAGTGTATGTCCACCTTATGTGAGTCCATACTTGGCAACTGCTTCTGAGGTACACTATTAAATGTTGTGGCAGTTAACCCCCAAGTGCGTGGGTGCACCTTGAATGATCCTATGTCTTTTATTTCCTCTAAAATCTGTTTCATCCAAAGAAACATGAATTCCTATTCCAGAGTCTTAAATGAACGTGTGTACTGAATTCTCCATAAGAAGTAACAAAGTGAGAAATCTACGCTGCCGCTTACAGCAAAAATGTTGGCACATTCTCTTGAGGTGACTCTTTCCTCGAAGGTCCCCCAGGCTTAGGAGCTCCATGTCTCTCTCTCTCTTTCAAAGTCCTGCATGGCTCTTCTAGACTTTTCTTTTGGGAAATGGCTCCCTGGCCTTTTTTAAGGAAATCAACCTACCAGCTTTTCCCAGCAGCCACAGTTCTGTATCTCTACCTAACTCGTACCCTCTTTCTGGTACAAGTCCCAAGTATGGTGACTACCAGTTTACCAAGGATCTGGACAGGTCAGGATACTGTGTAGGGGAAGGGGGCATGAATAGTTATACTTAAAAATGTCTATTTGTGTAATCAGGGTATTTTTTCCCCTCCAAACCTGAACATCTCCAAAGGACTGTGGCAACTGCATAATATGTATCCTGGGGTTAAAGATTGAAAGCCGTGTATTCAGAAATCATCGTATTTTTAAAAATTACTAAAAAAGCAAAAAGGCTAATATTTGAAGTCATCTTGCCAAAATAGCAGTTGGTCTATATATACCTCTTCGCTTTTCAGTGTGATTTGGTGGTAAGATGAAAAGGCCTTAGTCAAATGTAGACATACTTTCAAGTCTCAAAACACCCTTTTACAGGACCCAGGCTCTATTAAACTTCCCAGCATGCTTTCCTCATTCATCTCCACAAATGCTACATTACAGATTATAAATAGCTCATTTACATGTCCTAATGAGCCATAAGTACATTAACAAGTTAACAAACTTTTGTACAATGTTAATATTTACTCCACCTTATGAGTCCCTGGAATCAAAATCCACACATCTATCACCACTGGTTACATATGAAGGGCACCCGTGCAACTTAGTGGGCATGGATGTGGACGCCTGCAATCCTGTACTGCCTGAAGGGCTGCAAGACCGAGTCAAGCATGTTCCCTATGTGCAATGTGTCAAGGATGATATGTCAACCCATTACCCATGAAAGCCATTTGAGGTTTGTTAGCAAATAGTGGCCTGATTATGAATGGGTGTAGAAGTGCTTTGTTGCATAGGGCTGTTTTGATACTGCATCTTGATGAAGGCAGCTTTCAACAATCCAGCATTACCTAAATTACACATTACTTCTAAGTTAAAGGACACAATTGAAGCAGATGTATTTGAAGCTCTAGAATTGATTCTTCCTATTAAACAAAATACAATGATATCTGAATAAGGGCTTATGACTTTTACAAATATTTATTCTAATATTAATGTGTTAAATATATTTTATCTCAGGATGCTTCATGAGTACATATTTTAGTGAGTAGAATTACATACACACACACAAACACTCACATAAATTACCCAAAGTTGATAGCTTTCGCAGGTCAATTGTGTAATATTAATTAGGCTAAAATTATAATATGTATCTATATATTTAATATATGATATTTGAGTGGGTATAAATGAATAAATAGATAACCGTCACTGTAGAAAGAAGTCTGATTTCCAAATGCCTTTTAAATTATTATTACATGCTATTTGGTTGTTTTTCAGGGGAAGAGATTATATTTAGGTCCTCTTCACCAAATTATTCAAGCTATTTTGAAGAGTTTAAGATAGCAATGTTTAATCTGTATATTGGCTAAGAATTCCGATCACAAAAGTATCTAACAAGGAACTCATATTTCCATTTGAATGTCTCAAAGGAACCTCAAATGAACATACCCAAATCAAATTTATGATCTTCCCCCAAATTTGGTTCTTAGGTTTCCCATCTCAGGGAACATCAGCACCATTCATCCAATTGCATAACCAGAAAGTAGGGAAAAATACCTCTTCTTCCTTCACTCCCAAATTGCAACCAACACCAAAGTCTGTTGATTTTGCAATCTAAGTAATTCTCCAATCCAGCCCCTTCTTGTTATCACTCCAGATATTCCCCAGCCCAATCTGCCATTATCTTCTTAGCAGTGTCTTCTTGCTCACATGAAAAAGCTACTGACTAGACCCTCATCAATCTCTGCAACCTTGTCTCTCATAGGCTGCCCCTTTATTTCATTTCTTCAACCACCTGGTCCTTCTCTCAGTCCTAACAAAATGCATTATGTATCGTGGCCCTTTGTGTTCTAGGTCTTCCAGCATGCTGATCTTTCTTCCCTATTCATCTGCAATTCTCCCAGTAAAGTCCCTTTAGATATCAACCAATACATCACTTTCTTAGAGCTAAGTCTTCTCTGATCTTGCTAGTCTTGGTCAGTTTTGTCAAATACATATTCATAGTACTCTGTGGCTTTTTCTAATAACATTTTAATGTAGTCTTACTCATATATTCAACTGTATGATTATTGTGGTTAAAACCTGTATCTCTCTCTGATTTGATTATAATTTTTCCAAGACCCCAATCTATTCTACTCACCACTCTATCCACAGTAATCATAGGACCCGGAATGAAGTACCTATCCCTTACATTTTGCTAATTGTATGAGTTAATGAAGAGCTATGGATATCAGATATTAAACAAATCTGTTAAGGAATTGAACAGAGAGAAAGACTACTGAGTGACAACTATAGAATTTCACTGTCTTGAAGAAGAGGTTTCCAGACCAGATAACTTCATTAGAAAGTATCTCTAATTGTAGGATGTGACAAATCTCTTGAATTCCTTAGATACAATTACTGTGTGGTGCATCATGAAGTAGGGCAGAGCCTTCCTGAAGCTGCCTTGATATCTATTTCTTTTCTGTTGGACAAGTAGTGTCTTTGCCTCTTTTTCTTGACAAGCAGAAAGTTTTGAACAGCCAAATGGCAAGATACTTGGCAGCAGAGAGCAGGTTTGGGGTGCTAAGCCTCATAAACATGTGGCTTTTCTTTCTCCCTAGTGAAGGCCCAGCCTCATGCATTATAGTTATAGCTCTGTCAATATTCTGAACACTTCATCACAAAATGTATTATAGACTAAGTGAGCTTTGCAAAAGGAAAAGTCATCTTCTTTAAACTACCTCTCAATATGGGAATGCTTGCTGGGTGCAGTGGCTCATGCCTGTAATCCCAGCACTTTGGGAGGCCAAGGCGGATGGATCACCTGAGGTTAGGAGTTTGAGAACAGCCGGACCAACATGGAGAAACCCTGTCTCTACTAAAAATACAAAATTAGCCGGGCATGATGGCACATGCCTGTAATCGCAGCTATTGGGGAGGCTGAGGCAGGAGACTCACTTGAACCCAGGAGGCAGAGGTTGCGGTGAGCCGAGATTGCATCATTGAAATCCAGCCTGGGCAACTCTGTCTCAAAAAAACAAAAAAACAAACAAAAAAAAAACAAAAAAATATGGGAATGCTTTCTAAATTATCTCTAAGAGAAAACAACTCTCCATTATGTATTGCTTAAAGATACAATAAAATTTCTTTCACTGGAAATTTCTTCCTTTTGGTTGGAAGTCTTAGATGATAAATGTAATCCCTCTTTCAAGCCCTTCAAATACTTTGAGGCTGATACAAAAGCTGTTCCTTTAGTACTACATTTTTTCCCTCTTTGTGTTTTTCTGTTTCTCAGTGAATGTTGGATTGTTCTACTTTGAGATATTTTTTCTATTATTATTAATATAGGTAGACTGCAAATTTAAGACAGATGTTTTTGGCATTCCTAAATTCAGAGCCTAGATTCACAAAACCTTGCTGTCTTCCAAAACTTACTCACCAATCTGTGCTCATCTTGTTCTGTAAATTCTTAGCAAGGTCCACTTGGTAATTACACATACACTTAAAATTCTAGTAACATTTTACACATATTTTTTCTTTTCTGTTAGATTTATAGATTGTTTGTATTCCACACTAGCATTGCCTGTTGAAAGCTTATTTGCAATAGGTAATCAACAGAAACACATTGTTTAATTGATCTACGAGTCAGAAATCTCAAATTGTAATCCCAATGGTGTTCAGACTCTAATATTGTTTGGACCTACCTCAACAAACCTTGATTTTTCTCATTTGTGAAAGATATCAAGTCTTAATTTCAACAACTTCATAAGGCTACTTTGAAGATAGATGGAACAATATTCTGAATTTAAAAAAAAATTTAAGAGGTTTAATTTTATTTTCAAACTCCCTGACAATTCCCATGGGATTGTGATTCAAGCTCACACCTCCCCACTCAGTTGTATTTGCCTCTCTGTGTCCCTTTTTCAGCATGAAGATAGACCTGGCAATTGAACTCCTCAGTTGCATCGGGACTGTTGCAAGACCCAGAGTTTTGAGATCATCTGGCTTTGGGGAGAACATTTGACATGTGTCTGCAGATAGTATTACAGGGATCCAAGGGTTGAAGTCACATTGGGCCTGCAGTGTCTTTTTTCATGGGCATAATCAGCTGTCTATATGACCAGATTAAAAAATCAACATGGAAGGATGAGTGAAATAAATATGTGATTTTGGATGACAATCTTTGGGGAGGATTAGGAAGAAGGAAACCAGATTCATGATTGGAGATGGTCAATCTCCATTTTAGAAGGCTGGGACTGCCTGCAGGGCTTTTAAATGCTGACAAAGGTCTATCAGGCTTTAATTGGGCAGTCTAATGTTTTCTTCTTTTACCTTGTGCTCTGATGGAATATCAAAGGGATGATTCTCTCCTGGATTTTGAAAAACAAAATAAATGAATACCAATTGCTCTTCAAGACCAAAACCTATATCCACTTCTCAGAACCGTCAAAGTGCCTTAGGAAGCGGTTTTTGTTTTTAAAAGAAGCCGTCTCTTAGAAGTGTTTTGAGACTGGAAGGAACTACACCAAAATGATAATAGTGGTTGTTGTTTGAGACCTGGGCCTGTAGACAGGGTTTTGTTTTGTTTTGTTTTTCTTTGTTTTCCTATTCTTTTTGAATAGCCTGTTATTGTATTATGACTTTTATTTAATTTATTGTTTTATTTGTATAAATTTAGGGGGTACAAGTGCAGTTTTGTTACATGGATATTGCATACTGGTAAAGTATTATGACTATTTAATGATATAAGAACATAACATAAGAATAAAATATAATATAAATGTTATACATAATATAAAAATAATATAGTATACGATAAAAAGAAAAGAAAAACAACAAAAACAAAGCCACCCCTCCCAAACAAAAGCCCTTCTAACAAAACTAGTTATTCTACCCTTTTATTTTACCGCTTTCAGGGTGCTCTCTTTAATATATGGAAAACATTTCTATTTCAGCTGGACACCAAACTCAATAGCTTTTGTTTAATTTTTATCTCCTCCCTATTCCCAATAAGTCTTTCCTTTATCAAAGTTTGGATTTCAGCTTAACTGAGTATGTAGGACTCGGAAATTGCTCAAAGATGGCAATGTGTAGAATTCCATTTTTTCCCTCCATTTTAATTTCCTTTAGCAATTTAGCACTTCTTTTCAAATCACACATATAGAAAAAACAGAGAAATTTCTTAACACCTCTTTGGCAAGTCACATGGAAAAAACCGCCACTGTTTCTATTTACATGCTTTGGGCAAGTTATATTTCAAATAAAGAGCTTCAACCAAGAACCAAAGGAGAATTTTTTAAAGTCCTTTTTAAGCAACTAATTCCTTCAGACAAGATGTACTATGAAAAGCAAAACACAACCTAGAATTATATACAACAATGTAAGAAGGATGTACAACTTAAGTGTTTATAATACTAAATATTATACTTCAAACTATTGATTTTTAGAGAAAATACAATGTAAATACAAAGTACACTTTATATTTTTCTTATAGGATATTAATACTGACTTTATCTGGAATATATATTTTTAGTAAAAATAAAATCATATGTCCCCAATTGTGCCTCAGATGAAGCCTTCAAATCTTATTGTTTATACTTACTTTCAGCAAAATACCACATTTGGCAGCTCCAGTAAGCTAAAAGAAAGGGCACAATCCTGTATTCACCTAGTTTTTGATTAACATACTTTTACAATATTCACTTCCTTATAAAGCTCGCTTTTGTTTGGGAGGTAAATTATAATTTACTCAAGGAAAGAAAATATGAGGTCAAGGAAAAGCAAATATTGTGTTTAATAATTAAAGCAAATTATTACATTATTTGCTTTAATTTAAACAATTGTTAGATAATTAATTTAAACAATTATTTATTATATTTTATTTTTTTCATATGGTAAATGTATATTTTATAAATTATCGTTATTATTTTTGAGATGGAGTCTCGCTCTGTTGCCCAGGCTGGAAGCGTGATCTCTGCTCACTGCAGTCTCTGCCTGCCGGGTTCAAGCAATTCTGCCTCAGCCTCCTGAGTAGCTGGGACTGCAGGTGTGGGCCACCATGCCCGGCTAAATTTTTGGATTTTTAGTAGAGACTTCACCATGCTGGCCAGGCTGGTCTCAAACTCCTGACCTTATGATCCACCTGCTTCAGCCTCCCAAAGTGCTGGGATTACAGGCGCGAGCCACTGCACCTGGCCACTTTTTTTTTTCTTTTCTTTATTTTATTTTATTTTATTTTTTTTGAGACGGAGTCTCGCTCTGTCCCCCAGGCTGGAGTGCAGTGGCGCTATCTCAGCTTACTGCAAGCTCCGCCTCCCGGGTTCAAGCCTCAGCCTCCAGAGTAGCTGGGACTACAGGCACCTGCCACCATGCCCTGCTAATTTTTTGTATTTTTAGTAGAGATGGGGTTTCACCGTGTTAGCCAGGATGGTCTTGATCTCCTGACCTCGTGATCCGCCCACCTCGGCCTCCCAAAGTGCTGAGATTACAGGTGTGAGCCACGGTGCCCTGCTAACTGGCCACTTTTTAATTATATTTTAAGTTCTGGGATACAGGTGCAGAACGTGCAGGTTTGTTACATAGGTATACATGTGCTATGGTGGTTTGCTGCACCCATCAACCTGTCATCTACATTAGGTATTTTTCCTAATGCTATCCCTCCCCTAGCCCTCCACTCCCTGACAGGCCCTGGTGTGTGATGTTCCCCTCCCTGTGTCCATGTGTCCTCATTGTTCAACTCCCACTTATGAGTGAGAACATGCGGTGTTTGGTTTTCAGTTCCTGTATTAGTTTGCTGAGAATGATAGTTTCCAGCTTCATCCATGTCCCTGCAAAGGACATGAACTCGTTCTTTTTTATGGCTGCATAGTATTCCATGGTGTATATGTGCCACATTTTCTTTATCATTGATGGGCATTTGGGTTGGTTCCAAGTCTTTGCTATTGTGAACAGTACCGCAATAAACATACATGTGCAAGTGTCTTTATAGCAGAATGATTTATAATCCTTTGGGTATATACCAGTAATGGGATTGCTGGGTCAAATGGTATTTCTGGTTCTAGATCCTTGAGGAATTGCCACACTGTCTTCTGCAATGGTTGAACTAATTTACACTCCCACCAACAGTGTAAAAGCATTCCTATTTCTCCACATCCTCTCCGGCATCTGTTGTTTCCTGACTTTTTAATGATTGCCATTCTAACTGGGATGAGATGGCATCTCGTTGTGGTTTTGATTTGCATTTCTTTAATGACCAGTGATGATGAGCTTTTTTTCGTAAGGTTGTTGGCTGCATAAATGTCTTCTTTTGAGAAGTGTCTGTTCATGTCCTTCACCCACTTTTTGATGGGGTTGTTTATTTTTTTCTTGTAAATTTGTTTAAGTTCTTTGTAGATTCTGGATATTAGCCCTTTGTCAGATGGATGGATTACAAAAATTTTCTCCCATTCTGTAGGTTGCCTGTTGACTCTGATGGTAGTTTCTTTTGCTGTGCAGAAGCTCTTTAATTAGATCCCATTTGTCAATTTGGCTTTTGTTGCCATTGCTTTTGGTGTTTTAGCCATGAAGTCTTTTCCCATGCCTATGTTCTGAATGGTATTGCCTAGGTTTTCTTCTAGGGTTTTTATGATTTTAAATCTTACATTTAAGTCTTTAATCCATCTTGAGTTAATATTTATATAAGTTTCTGTAAGGAAGGGGTCCAGTTTCAGTTTTCTGCATATGGCTAGCCAGTTTTCCCAACACCATTTATTAAATAGGGAATCCTTTCCCCATTGCTTGTGTTTGTCAGGTTTGTCAGAGATCAGATGGTTGTAGATGTGTGGTGTTATTTCTGAGGCATCCGTTCTATTCCATTGGCCTATATATCTGTTTTGGTACCAGTACCATGCTCTTTTGGTTACTGTAGTCTTGTAGAATAGTTTGAAGTCAGGTAGTGTGATGCCTCCAGCTTTGTTCTTTTGGCTTAGGATTGCCTTGGCGATGCGGGCTCTTTTTTGGTTCCATATGAACTTTAAAGTAGTTTTTTCCAATTCTGTGAAGAAAGTCATTGGTAGCTTGATGGGGATGGCATTGAATCTGTAAATTACCTTGGGCAGTATGGCCATTTTCACGATATTGATTCTTCCTACCCATGAGCATGGAATGTTCTTCCATTTGTTTGTATCCTCTTTTATTTCCTTGAGCAGTGGTTTGTAGTTCTCCTTGAAGAGGTCCTTCACATCCCTTGTAAGTTGGATTCCTAGGTATTTTATTCTCTTTGAAGCAATTGTGAATGGGAGTTCACTCATGATTTGGCTCTCTGTTTGTCTGTTGTTGGTGTATAAGAATGCTTGTGACTTTTGTACATTGATTTTGTATCCTGAGACTTTGCTGAAGTTGCTTATCAGCTTAAGGAGATTTTGGGCTGAGACGATGGGGTTTTCTAGATATACAATCATGTCGTCTGCAAACAGGGACAATTTGACTTCCTCTTTTCCTAATTGAATACCCTTTATTTCCTTCTCCTGCCTAATTGCCCTGGCCAGAACTTCCAACACTATGTTGAATAGGAGTGGTGAGAGAGGGCATCCCTGTCTTGTGCCAGTTTTCAAAGGGAATGCTTCCAGTTTTTGCCCATTTAGTATGATATTGGCTGTGTTTGTCATAGATAGCTTATTATTTTGAAATACGTCCCATCAATACCTAATTTATTGAGAGTTTTTAGCATGAAGGGCTGTTGAATTTTGTCAAAGGCCTTTTCTGCATCTATTGAGATAATCATGTGGTTTTTGTCTTTGGCTCTGTTTATATGCTGGATTACATTTATTGATTTGTGTATATTGAACCAGACTTGCATCCCAGGGATGAAGCCCACTTGATCATGGTGGATGAGCTTTTTGATGTGCTGCTGGATTCGTTTTGCCAGTATTTTATTGAGGATTTTTGCATCAATGTTCATCAAGGATATTGGTCTAAAATTCTTTTTTTGGTTGTGTCTCTGCCCGGCTTTGGTATCAGAATGATGCTGGCCTCATAAAATGAGTTAGGGAGGATTCCCTCTTTTTCTATTGATTGGAATAGTTTCAGAAGGAATGGTACCAGTTCCTCCTTGTACCTCTGGTAGAATTCGGCTGTGAATCCATCTGGTCCTGGACTCTTTTTGGTTGGTAAACTATTGATTATTGCCACAATTTCAGCTCCTGTTATTGGTCTATTCAGAGATTCAACTTCTTCCTGGTTTAGTCTTGGGAGAGTGTATGTGTCGAGGAATTTATCCATTTCTTCTAGATTTTCTAGTTTATTTGCGTAGAGGTGTTTGTAGTATTCTCTGATGGTAGTCTGTATTTCTGTGGGATCGGTGGTGATATCCCCTTTATCATTTTTTATTGTGTCTATTTGATTCTTCTCTCTTTTTTTCTTTATTAGTCTTGCTAGCATTCTATCACTTTTGTTGATCCTTTCAAAAAACCAGCTCCTGGATTCATTAATTTTTTGAAGGGTTTTTTGTGTCTCTATTTCCTTTAGTTCTGTTCTGATTTTAGTTATTTCTTGCCTTCTGCTAGCTTTTGAATGTGTTTGCTCTTGCTTTTCTAGTTCTTTTAATTGTGATGTTAGGGTGTCAATTTTGGATCTTTCCTGCTTTCTCTTGTGGGCATTTAGTGCTATAAATTTCCCTCTACACACTGCTTTAAATGTGTCCCAGAGATTCTGGTATGTTGTGTCTTTGTTCTCGTTGGTTTCAAAGAACATCTTTATTTCTGCATTCATTTCGTTATGTATCCAGTAGTCATTCAGGAGCAGGTTGTTCAGTTTCCATGTAGTTGAGCGGTTTTGAGTGAGATTCTTAATTCTGAGTTCTAGTTTGATTACACTGTGGTCTGAGAGATAGTTTGTTATAATCTCTGTTATTTTACATTTGCTGAGGAGAGCTTTACTTCCAAGTATGTGGTCAATTTTGGAATAGGTGTGGTGTGGTGCTGCAAAAAATGTATATTCTGTTGATTTGGGGTGGAGAGTTCTGTAGATGTCTATTAGGTCCGCTTGGTGCAGAGCTGAGTTCAATTCCTGGGTATCCTTGTTGACTTTCTGTCTCGTTGATCTGTCTAATGTTGACAGTGGGGTGTTAAAGTCTCCCATTATTAATGTGTGGGTGTCTAAGTCTCTTTGTAGGTCACTCAGGACTTGCTTTATGAATCTGGGTACTCCTGTATTGGGTGCATATATATTTAGGATAGTTAGCTCTCCTTGTTGAATTGATCCCTTTATTATGTAATGGCCTTCTTTGTCTCTTTTGATCTTTGTTGGTTTAAAGTCTGTTTTATCAGAGACTAGGATTGCAACCCCTGCCTTTTTTTGTTTTCCATTTACTTGGTAGATCTTCCTCCATCCTTTTATTTTGAGCCTATGTGTGTCTCTGCACGTGAGATGGGTTTCCTGAATACAGCACACTGATGGGTCTTGACTCTATCCAATTTGCCAGTCTGTGTCTTTTAATTGGAGCATTTAGTCCATTTACACTTAAAGTTAATATTGTTATGTGTGAATTTGATCCTGTCATTATGATGTTAGCTGGTGATTTTGCTCGTTAGTTGATGCAGTTTCTTCCTAGTCTTGATGGTCTTTACATTTTGGCATGATTTTGCAGCGGCTGGTACCAGTTGTTCCTTTCCATGTTTAGCGCTTCCTTCAGGAGCTCTTTTAGGGCAGGCCTGGTGGTGACAAAATCTCTCAGCATTTGCTTGTCTGTAAAGTATTTTATTTCTCCTTCACTTATGAAGCTTAGTTTGGCTGGATATGAAATTCTGGGTTGAAAATTCTTTTCTTTAAGAATGTTGAATATTGGCCCCCACTCTCTTCTGGCTTGTAGGGTTTCTGCTGAGAGATCCGCTGTTAGTCTGATGGGCTTTCCTTTGAGGGTAACCCGACCTTTCTCTCTGGCTGCCCTTAACATTTTTTCATTCATTTCAACTTTGGTGAATCTGACAATTATGTGTCTTGGAGTTGCTCTTCTCGAGGAGTATCTTTGTGGCGTTCTCTGTATTTCCTGAATCTGAACGTTGGCCTGCCTTGCTAGATTGGGGAAGTTCTCCTGGATAATATCCTGCAGAGTGTTTTCCAACTTGGTTCCATTCTCCCCATCACTTTCAGGTACACCAATCAGATGTAGATTTGGTCTTTTCACATAGTCCCATATTTCTTGGAGGCTCTGCTCATTTCTTTTCATTCTTTTTTCTCTAAACTTCCCTTCTCGCTTCATTTCATTCATTTCATCTTCCATCGCTGATATCCTTTCTTCCAGTTGATCGCATCGGCTCCTGAGGCTTCTGCATTCTTCATGTACTTCTCGAGCCTTGGTTTTCAGCTCCATCAGCTCCTTTAAGCACTTCTCTGTATTGGTTATTCTAGTTATACATTCTTCTAAATTTTTTTCAAAGTTTTCTACTTCTTTGCCTTTGGTTTGAATGTCCTCCCGTAGCTCAGAGTAATTTGATCGTCTGAAGCCTTCTTCTCTCAACTCGTCAAAGTCATTCTCCATCCAGCTTTGTTCCGTTGCTGGTGAGGAACTGCGTTTCTTTGGAGGAGGAGAGGCGCTCTGCGTTTTAGAGTTTCCCGTTTTTCTGTCCTGTTTTTTCCCCATCTTTGTGGTTTTATCTACTTTTGGTCTTTGATGATGGTGATGTACAGATGGGTTTTTGGTGTGGATGTCCTTTCTGTTTGTTAGTTTTCCTTCTAACAGACAGGGCCCTCAGCTGCAGGTCTGTTGGAATACCCTGCCGTGTGAGGTGTCAGTGTGCCCCTGCTGGGGGGTGCCTCCCAGTTAGGTTGCTCGGGGGTCAGAGGTCAGGGACCCACTTGAGGAGGCAGTCTGCCCGTTCTCAGATCTCCAGCTGCGTGCTGGGAGAACCACTGCTCTCTTCAAAGCTGTCAGACAGGGACATTTAAGTCTGCAGAGGTTACTGCTGTCTTTTTGTTTGTCTGTGCCCTGCCCCCAGAGGTGGAGCCTACAGAGGCAGGCAGGCCTCCTTGAGCTGTGGTGGGCTCCACCCAGTTCGAGCTTCCCAGCTGCATTGTTTACCTAAGCAAGCCTGGGCAATGGCGGGCGCCCCTCCCCCAGCCTCGCTGCCGCCTTGCAGTTTGATCTCAGACTGCTGTGCTAGCAATCAGCGAGACTCCGTGGGCATAGGACCCTCCGAGCCAGGTGCAGGATATAATCTTGTGGTGCGCCGTTTTTTAAGCCTGTCCGAAAAGCGCAATATTCGCGTGGGAGTGACCCGATTTTCCAGGTGAGTCCGTCACCCCTTTCTTTGACTCGGAAAGGGAACTCCCTGACCCCTTGCACTTCCCAAGTGAGGCAATGCCTCGCCCTGCTTCGGCTCACGCATGGTGCGCGCACCCACTGACCTGGGCCCACTGTCTGGCACTCCCTAGTGAGATGAACCCGGTACCTCAGATGGAAATGCAGAAATCACCCGTCTTCTGCGTGGCTCACGCTGGGAGCTGTAGACCGGAGCTGTTCCTATTCGGCCATCTTGGCTGCTCCCCGGAAGTTTCTTAATGCATTTAAAATATTATTTGCTTGGCCATCATTTTTAAGAAACAACTATTGTAAAAATTAAGATGCTCTTTTATCAATGAATGATGATTGTTTTCAACCAAGAGCTCTAGGCAGAAATTAAGTTGGAAATAAGATCAACACTACCATTTGTATAGGGCATTTATGTTTTCTTGGGCTGAAGTTTTTAAAATCTTCTTTAAAACCCTCAGAATAATGGGTAGCCTTTGTGATGCCCACCTTACCTTACTCTCAGCAGTGTTATGGAGTAAAGTTAGGTTTTTTTTTTTTTTTTTTTTTTTTTTGTCAAATGTGTCTAATGGTCTAACCAATATGTACATTCTCCCTTGTAAAGACCCCAGCTGCCCAACTACATTTCCCATCCTGGGTTCCCTTATATCCCTGTAACTACTCCCCACCATGAAATGTGAGTGGAAGGGATGGGTATCACATATGGGTTGAAGTTTTTAAGAAGCGGGTGTGCCTTCTGCATTCTTTCCTCTTCTGCCAAAGGCCCCAAAGTTCTACGAGATGGTTAAGGTGACCAACTGTCCTGGTTTGCCCTGGACTGAGGGAGTTTCTGGAATGTGGGGCTTTCAGTTTCAAAACTGGGACAGTCCAGGAAAACGGGGGATTTACTGGTCACCCTAAGAGACTTTTATGGGTGTGAAACAGGACTTTTATGTCCCATATGGGACTTTTATGTAATTGTGAAATAAGCCAGGAAAATTTTGAAGTTAATTCGTTGCTACTTACTAGCTTTATCCTAACTAATACAGATTGGAATTACTACTCAGGAAGTGGCCTTGTTCAGATAGACACATGTCAATGAGAGGATATCAAAAAGCAGAAATGCTGGCTCTCGTCCTCAGCAGCTCCATGATCTAGAATGTATTGTTGGCCTAATCTTCTAGTTGGAGTAGATTAATGGTTCTCAAAGCATGGTGTGAGAATCCACAGGGTTCCCTAAGATCTCAGGGTGTCCATGAGGGCAAAACTATTTTCATAACAGTGGCAGATGTTATTACCTTTTCATTCTCATGCTATTAGGAGTGTGCAGTGGGATTTTCAAGAGGCTACACGAGGTGTGATGATGTCATGGATCTGGTGGCTGATGGACTATGTGTTTGTGAATTATTGTGTTTTAAAATTGTCTTGGTCTTAATTTCTAATATGGTCAATATTAATAGATGTAACTCACACTCCAAAAACTCTTCAGGGTCATTAATGATTTTTAAGAGTGTAAGAACTCCTGAGACCAAAAAGTTTGAGAACTGTTGATGTGAATAATTTCTAAGGTTTTGTATATTTCTCAAAGTTTGTGAATTAGTACTCATATATACCCAAGCCAGCTACAGAACTTTCTTTTTTTTTGAGATAAGGTCTTGCTGTGTTGCCCAGGCTGGAGTGCAATAATGGCACACTGCAGCCTAGAGAGCCTGGGCTCAAGTAATCCTCCTACCTCAGCCTCCTGAGCAGCTAGAACTCCATGCATGCACCCCCATGCCCAGCTAATTTTTTTTTATTTTTTGTAGAGATGGGGGTCTCATTATGTTGCCCAGGCTGGTCTGGAACTCCTGGCCTCAAGAGGTCTTCCTGCCTCAGGCCCCCAAAGTACTTACAGGTGTGAGCCACCATGCCTAGCCTCATTACAGAATTTTTAAGTTGATATGTCTTTCATTATTTTTCCATCTCTATCTCTATTTTTTTGTGTGTGTTCTATCTCTCTTTTTTTTTGAGACTGAATCTCACTCTGTCACCCAGGCTGGAGTGCAGTAGCATGATCTTGGCTCACTGCAACCTCTGCCTCCCAGGTTCAAGCAATTCTCCTGCCTCAGCCTCCTGAGTAGCTGGGATTACAGGCGTGTGCCACCATGCCAGGCTAATTTTTGTATTTTTAGTGGAGGGGGTTTCACCATGTTGGCCAGGCTGGTCTCGAACTCCTGACCTCAGGTGATCCACCTGCCTGTCTCAGCCTCCCAAAGTGTTGGGATTACAGGCATGAGCCACCACAGCCAGCCACTTTTTTTTTTCCATCTTAAGCTGTGGTGGGGATAAAAAATGTTTTGGAATCTATTATTAAAAGATCTCTTTCCAGAAAAGTATAGACACTTCCTGTTTTATATATTAGGAATTATACAGAGTTATTCCCCTTATGATATGGGACGGTTGCCTTAAACAAATCATAAAGTAGCAAAAATTAAAGTATATTTTTTCCCTTCAGAGGAAGGACATTTTGCCGTTTCAGACAAGTAAATCTGACAATTATGTTTCCAGCAACCTTAGAGAAATAGCTGTTGTGCTCACCCAGGGTTCTGGATAAAGATGCTTAGTGTACTTTCCTTGGAAGCAAATCAAATGCAAATTTGGTTGTGTCTCTCTCTTGCTTAGACGCTTTCAGTAGCTTCCCTTGGGTCCTTAGGATAAAGCCCCAACTTATTCAAAGTCCTTTCAGGTCTTCACCTGCACACTCCCTACCCTGGTCTCCCTTCTGTGTGTTTTCTGTCTGGTTCTCTTTACTGAACCTCACAAGGGCTGACAGACGTGAACCCTGTTTCAGTTTCTGCTTAAAAGCCTTTTCTCCAGCCTGATTTATAATCTCAGTGCACCTATACTTCTAACACCTCAGAAACTCACTTGTAATTCTCTGTTCCAGGATGCCCACTGGATCCAAAGAGAGAAACTCTATAGAATTATGATCTAGGTTTGACTGACTCCTGGCAAGAAGCCCTACCCGCCAGCCAATTTGGATGAGGTGAGGGCTTTTTCTTATCCCGCAAAGGAGATGTGCAACATGCTGCTCAGGCTTTTGAAGAAATGACTCAGAAAAGGGCTGTCCTCATAGCCAAATAACAAAATGTTTACTGAAAATGCAAAAGTGAAGTCATCAAATACCTGAATTCACTGGACATTGGTAAATTTAGAAAAAGCCAAGATCTGTCATCTATTCATACACACACACACACACACACAGACATACACACACAGACACACACACACAGACACACACATACACAGACATACACACACACAGACATACACACACACACACACACACACGCACAAACACGAACACCAGAGATCAATTCAAAATCCAGATTGTCATTTGAGGAATGTATAGTTGCTAATTTATTTTGACAAATTCATGGAGTTGATTTAAATTATTTATGATAATGCTTCACAGTATATTTTATAAAAGTAATGAAAGTGTAATTTTAAAAACGTTCTTGGCTTTTACACTTTTCTTGGGGAGAAATGAAATAATGCTATTTTTTTCTTTTAAAAAGCATTGAAACACCAGAACTTATGGAGTGAAAATATGAAGGAAGTCTGTTTATATTTTAGGAAATATATATACTTCTACAAACAAACCTAGTAGAATATCTGACACAAAAACCGTACAGGCCTCTCCCAGCTCCTTATATGAACTCAGCTGCTGGTGAATGAGGAGATAATTCACCCATCTATATACATAAATTTCTGGATAATAATAATGATAATGGTAATTGGCATTTACTAAGCTCTTACTGTGTTCTGAACACCTTATTTGCATGATATCTTTGAATGCTTATAACATTCTAGAAGGTAGGTGCTGTATTGTTTCCGATTTATAAATAAGAAAATTGAGCCACAGAGAAGTTAAGTGACTTACCCAAAGTCACACAGCAACAAAGATAAAATTCAAAATGATGTAGGCTTACTTCATAGCCTAGTATTCTTTACTCCTAAGCCATACTGGGTTGTACAGTAATTGCTAAAGGAACAAATTTCAAAGTCTTCCTTGTAGGTAACCTTTCTTTCTATTTGTACAAAGGATTATAAACTGTAAGAAGTTTTATGGCATGTTGAATTAGCTCAGTAGTTCAATTGTAAGAGTTTCTCATTAATTATTTAAAGCTATTCATTTTTATTAGGAGTACCAGAGCTAGACTCAGGACAAACCTCTATTTCATTCAATTCAATTTAGCTCAATTTAGTTCATGTTATTGAATATACATTACATGCTGGGTTTGGGGAGGGAAGATTGTAACTGTAATTAGAAAGGTATTATCTCTGCTTTCTAGGAACACAGAATCACTTGTGGAATTAAGAGATAAGGACAGCAAGTAGACCAAACTATAAGCTGAGGTTCAAGGTGGCATAGGCTGGGTGCCACAGTGCTGTGTCTCAGGTGGGCTAGAAGTGCGAAACGGACAGTACCAGAAGGAAAACTTGAGGGTAAACTTGGGTTTTTTACCATTCCCAGCCTTAGGAGGCCAAAGGCTGAACAAATACTTGTCAAATGAATGATTAAGATCCCTTAAGGTACTAAGTAGGATATGAAAAAAATTCGTGGAGAAGAAAGCATTTGAAGTGAATATCTTTAAATTTTAGGGGAGAAGAGCATTACATTCTGAGATTGCAGGATATGCAGAGGGCAGATGCTTAATATAAAAGTGCTTAAAATGATGATGGCAGAAGCCTGCTGAATGATGTGGAATAAAGAAGTATGTGATAATGATTATGACTTGACTAACATCTATTATACATCTCCATTGTGCCAGCTGTTTTCAAGGGCTTAATCTTATTTGCTCTGCAGAAATTCAGTTTTGGTGGTAGACATAAAGGTGCAACCTTGTTCTCCCTTCAAAGAGAAAGTGCTTCCCAGCTGTAGGGGGTGTGGTCAGCATACAGCCTCTGTTCAGCTCTCAGCTCCTTCAGAGTTGGCCTAGGCAGCAGACAGGCACCTGGCCCATAATTGTGCCCTTTTTAGGGAAAGCCCATGTCCCATAATTGAGGAAGAGATATAGAGGTCAGGTCATTCCCACCCAACATAGACAGACTCTGTAGGGTTTTGTTTGCTCCTGAGCTCCCTCCAGGATTGGCTATGGCACTGTTAGGCTTTCATTGCTCCCTTCCCTTCCCATCACAGCTCAATTCCTAATCAATGTCTTGCTTAGTTTAGAGTCTGCTTCCAGAAAACCTAATCTGCAAGACCGTTAATCTCCCACATTGACAGGCTGGAAACTGGAACACTGAGAGTCGATGCATTTCCCCAAGGCCACACAACTAGTGAATAGCAGAGCCAGGTTTTAAATTAAGATTCATTTAACTTCTAATTGAGGTTCTCCTCAGAACCCCACACTGGCTACAGGACCAACCTGTATTTAGCCAAAGTTGCATTCTCGCACATGCACACATCAACAGGAATCTCTCCACTTGTCGGCCCAGATAGATGTTTTCTGTCAGGAGAGCTCTGAGTCATCTGTGCCCCCTAGAGGAAGCCAAAACTCTAGGTCATCTGTGCCCACTCTTGGCTTGATTACCCCTATCAATCTTTCAAGTCTTAATTCCTAAATCAAAATTAAGTTTTCTGGTTACAAGCTTTCGTAGTACCTGTCATAGCACTGGACACAATTTGCAATCACATATTTATTTTCTCCTGTTTGTTTGCTCCACTAGGCTATAACTTCAGGAGGGCATGGATTATGTTTGTTGAGTTTAGCACTAACTTCCTAGCACTTTCCCATACTTTTGGGTGTGATAGGAGCTCAATGTACATTTATTAAAGGGCTGAGTTAAGGGTGTATGATAAATCCTGGGTACTTATCTCAGTCAATATTATTTCTAGTTTTCTTCTCTTATGGAACTATATAAGATATTCACAAAAATATCATTATATTATGGCAGATATTAATTATTATGATTATGATTGTTTTTAGGCTCACACCATACCTTAGACCATTTTCAAATGACCAAGTTGGATGGTCAAAAATTAATAACTTACTCGGAAACTGTCCTTATATTTTTTTGCTGAAGTCATGTTTAATTTTCTTCAGGAGAGATCTTGATCCTAAGACAATGCTGACATTTCCCAAGAGTGGGAATTCCATGAGCTTTCTCAGATGGCTGCCCCAATGTCTGGAAACCTCTTGAAGGTGATCTCTATCATTTTGTCCACCTAGATATTTGATTCATAAACTCATTCTTTAAAACCAAAGTCATGGGTGGCACCCTTTGACCTCGTTAAAGCTCATAAATCTCCCCTTTGTGAAGATTTTTCATCTTGAAATGTGGCAAAGGTGTGAACTATTGAAGAGGTGTTCTCTTGAACATTTGCCCTACAAACTCACCCAATAGAAAACCAGATTCAGGCATTTCCGACATGGGTCACTTCTCAGAAAGGCTATTTCAACTTCACTCTATATTATGAAGATTTTATAGACTTCAGTTATGCAGACTTTTTAGCTTTTTCATTTTCAGACTAGTCCGACTTGTTTTTTTATAATTTTAAATGTATTCAAAAAAGTCATATTTTCAGACATCATATGTGTTTCCATTTGTGAGTTTTTCTGGTGTATAGAGATTATGAAATTCAAGTGGGAGGGAAAATGTTTGTTGAAGGCTCATTCTTCTAGAGTTGCTCTAAAACCAAATTTAAACTAATCTCTAACAGTTGTGACTTAGAATTAGAAAACTCAGTCTTTAGGCTCTGTTGTCTAACAGCTGTGTGTGTTTCTACAATTTACTTAACTGCTGAATCCAGTTTTTTGTTTTGTAAGATAGGAATAATAATTCCTGTTAGTGACCTAGTAGGAATGTATTAGAGAATTAAGTGAGAAACGGCAAAATCCCTTCTGAACCCCAATAAACATAAGCTACTTTTATTACCGATCTTTTTTTGGATCTTTTTGTTAGATATGAGTTCTAAATTTCTTTTCAAAGAATTAATATGTCAGTATGTTCAATTCTTTGCCGTCTACTTTTAAACTTAACTTCCTCGTAAAGCAACCTTTTTCAATCACCTGCTCCACCCTACACTCCAATCACCTGCTCCACACTAACTCATTCCAATTACCTGCTACCTGCTCTGCCCTGATTCCCGCCAAAGCACTCACCCCGTCATTCTCTTTAAATTAGCCAATCGGAATTAGTTTAGCCTGTGTGGTCTAACCCTAGCCAATAGGGGAAGGACACATTAGGGGCCACGTGCGTCAGGGATAAGAACCCCTTCCCCTCCCTTGTCCAAGTGTGCACTCACCATTGTTTCATCTGTAAGGGCGCAACTTTCTATATAGAAGTAACTTGCCTTGCTGAGAATTAAAAAGAAAATTTTATATTCGAGTGCTCTTTCTTTTGTGGCACCGAAACTTTATATATAACATTTTCTGAACAATGTTGTAGCAATGCTATTGGTACCCACCCCCCTCATATTCCCTGGAGCTTTACTATTGTAGTGCCCACAGGCCCATCTCTAATTACCAGCATTTGCCTCTCTTTGCGCAAGGACTTACTCTGACAGCCAGCTTCTGGTATATGCTCACAAAAAGCAGGCTGAAACCAGAGAATTAGCATGCCCAGATCAGTCTACAACCAATGACTGAAGGAAGTTGGTATATAAATACCTTGGCTGCCCTGTCCATCAGATGGGATTACACTGAGGCTTATAGTCTACACTGGATCTCAGTTTCCCTAGAGCTATTAAGCTGCAGGTGCCCACAGTGACAACCGGCTCAATTATACACCATTTTTGGCTTCCTGAATCATTTATTGGCTTTATTCCATTCCACTTTCTGATTTACTTCTCCACTTTCTAACTGATATTTCCTGGAATTACCTTTCAAGTTAACTACTTGTACTTGAATTCTTGTCTCAGGCTTTGCTTCTGAGGGATTCCCAAACTAAGACAGTGTTTATATGAATTACAATTGTTTTGCATGGAAGTGATATACACTTACTTTAACTCAACAGAGCTTAGATCCGAACAAAGAAAAAATCAGTTCATTGACTTATATTAATGCAATGTCTAAAGATGACAGAATCTTATTTAAGAATGGCTAGATACAGGAAACTTATACAATGCCATTGACTTTTTTTTCTCTCACTCTCTGTCTCTCTGTTTTTCTCTCTCCCTCACACACACACACACACACACACACACACCCCTACCTGTTTTCCTCTATGTACTTATTTTAGGATAGAAAAGATGGTGCTGTAATGTCACTCTAAGCTTACATTGCCTCTACAGCATGAAATAGCTGAGAAAGTAAAATTGTCTTTTGTTCATATCCATATCAATTCCAGAAAGAGTCTCAAATTGTCAGTATTTTCAATGTATGCTGACCTCTAGAAAAAATGACTGGGTCCAGGTGGCTGAAATATGCTAGGTGGTCATGCCAGGGAAGGTGACAACTCTAGCAGAGCTATATGAAATATGCGGGAGTGAGCTTGACTTTAAAATGATAAGTGCAGCAACAAGCATCCCACAAAGTAAAAAATACTATCTAGTGTTTCCATCCTTTTTTTTTTTTTTTTTTTTTTTTTTTTTTTTTTTTTTGAGACGGAATTTCACTCTTTTTGCCCAGGCTGGAGTGCAATGGCATGATCTTGGCTCACAGCAACCTCCGCCTACTGGGTTCAGCGATTTTCCTGCCTCAGCCTTCCAAGTAGCTGGGATTACAGGCATGTGCTACCACACCTGACTAATTTTGTATTTTTAGTAGAGACGGCGTTTCTCCATGTTGGTCAGGCTGGTCTCGAACTCCCAAAATCAGGTGATTCGCCCATCTCAGCCTCCCAAAGTGCTGGGATTACAGGTGTGAGCCACCACGCCCTGCTGTTTCCATCTTTTTTTTAATGATATCTTACATTTTTGGACCTTTTCATCTCAACAGAAGCAATTACTAATATAATATCACAGTTGGACCAGTGACTCCTTTCCCAGGTTCAGAATCGATGGATCAGATGTCATCATACTATAATGGAGGGACAGGCAAATAATATACTCATTAAATAGTAAAAATAGTGGTTACTGTTTGTCAAACACACATAGCATAAGTTCTAAATTCCATGCTAGGTATTTTACAAAGGTGATTCTACTTAAATCCCAGAAACAAACCCTGCGACTAGTCATAGGTGTGACTAGGATTTTTATTTAATGAATGAAGAAACTAAAGCTTAGTGAAATTAGAGACTTGCTGAAGGTTTTCTTTTTTTTTGCTCGTTGATTGAAGAGGCAATATTTGCATCCAGGTCTGTGTAGTTCAAAACCCATTTCTTAGCCACCTTGCTGCGTTGCCAGCTTGAAGCACTGGTGCTTTGAGAACATTGCTTTTGGTGGACTTATTCTAATACTCATCTGCCCTTAGGTTCCTTTGCATTCATTTTTTGGTGGAACATTCGGAGTCAATGAAAGCAATTTGAACTCTAGGAGAAGATCAACTCTTTCCTTCAAATCTCATACTTCAGGTTGCAGACTTTTTGGTTCACACTAAATCCTTGCGATCTGAGAACCTGAAAACCTTACACTCAGAATCAATGGGCCTAGAAAAACCTTTTTATCTAGCTGTAGCACAACCAGAGCTAACTAAGTTACCATATTGGTTGTCCTTTTCCAGTTAGCCTAATGAAGTCTCCTGATGGAGTAGGCAATAGATCAGACCGGATTTAATGAAAACAGAATTAATTCATGGAGTTGTTTCATCAGCTTTCCAAGACCATCTCTCTCACTCGGACTGTAGGCAGCAGTTCTAAATATCTGGCACTCTGTAAAAAATAACTCTATTTGCATTCTTTTTATACACTTTGAGATTTTGTTATTATTTAAAGATATAAGAGGTAACTGAAGTGTGAATCTAATTATCTTCATGATCAGTTGACAAATGAATTACCCACATAGTTGAAAGTGCTAAATTCTCTCATTGGTTTGCCAAATATTGATTACTCTCTTTTTTGTATGTCAGACACTATCCTAGGTGCTGGGGACATAGCAGTGATCCAGATGGAAACAAGTTGCCCCACAAATAAATATATAATTACATATTATGATAAGAATTAGAAGAGAGTTTAACAGGCAGACTTGTATCAGTCAGGCTCCAGTGAAGAAAAGAGAAAAAACTCTAGGTATTTTAAGCAGGATATGGATTAATTCAAGGAAGAGGATGTTTGTAAAACTCTTTTGAAGGGCTGAAGAGGCAGTTTAATCCTGGGTCTTCAGGGGTATTTCTCAGAACACTGCAGAGCTGGCCCCCCTGGGGAGCTCCCATATGGAACTTTGCAGGTCAAGAACACACTGCCACTTGCTTAAATTCTCTTATTGAAACTGTGTCTGAACACCTGGGTCGCTACAAAATGGATATCCAAGGCTGTGATTCATGATTTAGCAAGCCAGTCAACATGCCACGATTGCCACTAATGCCCCTGCACCCACTAAGTTCATTCTCAGGAATTTGAAAACTGGCACAGTACAGAGAAACCTCATGTTTCCATGATAGTGCTTGCTAGTAGAAACTGCCAGGTGGAACCACATTAGCATCCAGACCCTTAGCTGCAAGGGAGTCAGTAGTGCAGTTAGTAGCATTCTATCCTCTTCAAATAGGAGGAGAGTGGAATGGAGAGTGAGTGAGATGATCTACAATGTCCAGCACAGGATGTTGATTGAGTTTGAAGCTGGTGAAGACTTCTTTCAGGTAGTAATATTTCAGCTGAGACACAAAAAATGAGCTGAAGGACAGCAGCCAAGGAGTTCAGTGTGCTCCACATGGAAGGAATAACATGAGAAAAGGCCTTGCATTGGGAAGGTGTTTGGTGTGTTTGCACAGCTGGATGGGAGAGTGGTGGGGCAGAATTAGTCAGAAGGAATGGTACACAGCTGGAGAGGTGGGAAGGACCTGGTGTGTAGGCTCTTCTTGATCATGTTAAAGACTTAGGATTTTTCTATAACTGCAATAGGACCATTTAAGTAGGGGAAGAAATCAATCTGCTTTATATTTATAAAGGTTACTCTTGCTGATGTCTGACAACAGTTTAAAAGATGGTAGTTTAGAGGAGGGTGTTTTCAGTGGAGGTATTGGAGAGGAATGGAGTAATAGGAATTACATTTTGGAGGCAGAGCTAATAGGACTTGATGTTAGGCCAGTTGAAACAGAGGCAGGGGTAGGGAAGAGAAGCACCCAAGCATGGCCCCTGAGTTTCCCATGTGAGTACGTGGATGGGATGTTCATACCACAAAGTGCAATTGGTAAGATGCATAGAACATGTTCTGTGGCAAGATCAATATTCTGTTGGACATATTATGCTTGAGATGCCCCTGAAACATCCAAAAGGAGATTTCCAGCCTGTCTAGAAATGCATGCATGTCTAGATAATGATTGGTATGAACATGCAGGTGGACCTTGGGGAAGCCAGAGTGAAAAACAGGTATAACCTAAATGAGTCAGTGCAGCAAGGATTATGCATTAATCTACTCCAAAAGGAAAAAAAAATCTAAAGGTAGTACAGATGTAACTGACCACACAGTAGTAGTAGTAATAGTTCTTGTTTTTCCTCTTGCCTCTTTGTTCTCCTCTTCCTGTTTCCCCCTTTTCCTTCCGTCTCTTCCTCCTCTTCTTATTTCTCCTTCTTTTTCTCTCTTCCTTCAAAACATTCTTCTACGTTAATCTTCAGGCTGTTTCTTTTATTTTGAGCACAACCTCAACCTGTAAGAGCTTCCACAAAAAGAATTATTCTAAACTTTTAAATTGTGCTGATTCTTTGGAGGGTTGTTTTGTCAGGTAAAAGTTACATTGTTATCTGTTTTATCTTCATTTCTTTTTCTGGTTTGAGAGAGAACTGAGGAAAAGAACAAGATATTGTGTAGATTATTTTTCTTCTGGTCTTTGGGGCAAGCCAAGATCTTGGTTATAAAGAAGTACAGAAATCAGCAACAGTAATATTTGGAGTGAGGGATGTGTGAGCTGACTTTACATACAGGCCTTTTTTAAATGGAAAGAGTCAACAAAATAGAGAGCAACTTGGAAGGGGGAGAAAAAACAAACTGAAACAAAACAAAATTGCTAAGCAGAAGAGCCAAATATGATAGAAGATGAGTGACAGCTAATTAACACTTTCCATTGATTTTATAGAAGACAAAGTTTCTGTATAAAAAAATGTGGAAATTTGCAATTAAGTAGAATAGATTGGAGAGGAGAGAGAGAGAGAGAAATGGAGCAAGAACATTGAAAAATAAATATCATCCTGAAACTTGCCTTTCAGTAAAATTGAAAGGGGCCTCTCCATAGGTTGTCTGGACTTCCTCACAGCATGGTGGCTGGGTTTCAAGAACAACCATCCCAAGAGAACCAGATAGAAGCTGCATTCCCTTTTGTGACCTTGCCTCTGAAAACACATAATGTCAATTCTCCCATAGTTACAGGTACACCCAGATTTAAGGCAAAGGAACAAAGACCTTACTTCACAATGAAAGGAGTTTTAAGGCATCATTGAAAGAAGATCATGGGAGATAGGAAATACTGTTATGGCCATTCTGGAAAATATAGTTTACCACACTATCCAGAAACAGGGTGCTCTTTTTATTTATTCAAGTCTTCTGTTGTGTCTCTCTATAGATTTTTAGATTTTGTTCACAGAGATTGGGCAAATCTTATTTTCTTTTTTAATTTTTAAATTTTTAAAAAACTTTTAAGTTCAGGGGTACATGTGCAGGATGTGCAGGTTTGTTACATAGGTAAACGTGTCATGGAGGTTTGTTGTACAGATTAATCACTCAAGTATTAGGCCTAGTATCCATTAGTTATTTTTCCTGATTCTCTCCCTCCCCACACCTTCTGCCCTTTGGTACGCCCCAGTGTGCATTGTTCCCCTCTATGTGTCCATGTGTTCTCATCATTTAGCTCCCACTTATGAGTGAGAACATACGGTATCTGGTTTTCTGTTGCTGCATTAGTTTGCTAAGGATAATGGCCTCCAGCTCCATCCATGTCCCTGTAAAGGACATGATCTCATTCCTTTTTATGGCTGCATAGTATTCCATTGTGTAGGTGTACCACATTTTCGTTATCTGATCTGTTATTATTGGGCATTTAGGTTGATTCCATGTCTTTGCTATTGTGAATAGTGTTGCAAAAAAATATGTGTGCATGTGTCTATATAATAGAACAATTTATATTCCTCTGTGTATATACCCAGTAATGAGATTGCTGGGTTGAATGGTATTTCTGTCTCTAGGTCTTTGAGGAATTGCCACAGTCTTCCACAATGGTTTAACTAATTTACACTCCCACCATCAGTGTAAAAGTGTTCCTTTTTCTCCACAACCTTGCCGGCATCAGTAGTTTTTTGACATTTTAATATATAATTATAGCCATTCTGATGGGTGTAAGATGATATCTCATTTTGATTTTGATTTGTATTTCTCTAATAATCAGTGATGTTGAACTTTTTTACATATGATTGTTGGCTGCACAGATGTTTTCATTTGAGATGTGTCTGTTCATGTCCTTTGCCCACTTTTAAATGGGTTTGGTTTTTTTCTTGTAAATTTGTTTAAGTTCCTTTTGGATATTGGATATTAGACCTTTGTCAGATGCATAGTTTGCAAAAATTTTCTCCTATACTGTAGGTTGTCTGTTTACTCTGTTTAAATAGTTTCTTTAGCTATGCAGAAGCTCTTTAGTTTAAGTAGATCCCATTTGTCAATTTTTGCTTCTGTTGCAATTGCTTTTAGTGTCTTCATCATGAAATCTTTGCCCGTACCTGTGTCCAGAATGGTATTGGCTAGATTTTCTTCTAGGGTTTTTATAGTTTTGGGTTTTACATTTAAGTCTTTAATCCATCTTGAGTTTATTTTTGTATATAGTTTAAGGAATGGGTGCAGTTTCAATTTTCTGCATATAGCTAGCCGGTTCTCCCAGCACCATTTATTAAATAGGAAATCCTTTCCCCATTGCTTGTATTTGTCAGGTTTGTCGAAGATCAGATAGTTGTAGGTGTGCAGTTTTATTTCTGGGTTCTCTATTCTGTTCCGTTGGTCTATGTGTCTGTTTTGTACCAGTACCATGCTGTTTTGGTTACTGTAGCCCTGTAGTATAGTTTGAAGTCAGGTAGTGTGATGCTTAGAGGGCACATTTTAAATAGGGTATTTAGAGTTATGATGTTTCATTTGGTGCTATTGTCATGAGAACATTTTCTTTAATTGCATTTCCTAACTGATTATTGCTTGTACAGAAAAGCTAAGGTATTCATGTGCTAATTTTGTAGCCATTCACATTAGTAAATGTCCTGGGGAAGTACCAATTTGAAACATTCCTCAGTTACCAGGTCATAATGTGTTTGTGGTAAATTTTTACTGTCTTGTGACAAAGTTTCAATAGTTTACTCAAACCCAAAATACAACAGAAATAGAGAATCTTTCTTTTATTGTATCATTCACCAAAAGTGTCTCTGATTCAAACTTAGTAAATCTACTTTATCTTTGTATAAAACAAAGATATATACTTTGTCATAGATATATGCTATGCTTTCACAGATATATGCTATGACATGATGGAAGAAATAATTCTGCTTATGGACCTTTTGGGGAGCTTGTGCCTTTCAAGGTCTGCATTTTACAAAATATATGGAAGAGTTTGAAGTTGGCAATTTATTTTAATGTGGTCATAAAGCTAGATTGTAGAACATTGCTGAAGTTTCACATTGAGCAGATTCCATAGACCAAGACCTTTTTGGAATTAAAGGACAGTTTGAGACTCAACTTGCTGACTTGTTCTGGCTCAAAAACTATACCTCTTTACTGATAAAACTACAATTTTTACTGAACAAAGTAAACCTGAAGGCAGAACACTATTCTCAATCTGCAAAGAAGTAAGGGTGTTCAGATTCCAAATGAATCTATAAAGCAAATATCAATTTTTATTCTTCACTGGTAAAAAACTCTAAGCTCAATGGAATTACACTTACGTAAGGATTGCAGAGTGTATTACTGAGGGTTCTCCAGAGGGACAGAACGAATTGAATATATGTTTATATTGAAAGGAGTTTATTAAGGAGAAGTGACTCACATGATCACAAGGTGAAGTCCCATGATAGGCCATCTGCAAACTGAAGAGGTAGGAAGCCGTTAGTGGCTCAGTGCAAAAGCCTTAAAAGTGGGAAAACTTGACAATGCAGCCTTCGGTCTGTGGCCAAATTCCTGAGATCCCTGGGCAGACCACTGGTGTAAGTCCAAAAGTCCAAAGGCCGAAGAACCTGGAGTCTGATGTCCAAAGTAAGGAAGTATCCAGCATGGGAGAAAAATCAAAGCCAGCAGACTCAGCAAGTCAACTTATCCCTTCTTCTGCCTGCTTTGTTCTAGCCGGGTTGTAGCTGATTGGATGGTGCTGACCCACATTGACGATGGGTCTTCCTCTTGCAGTCCACCAACTCAAATGTTCATCTTCTCTGGCAACACCCTCACAGACACACCCAGAAACAATACTTTACCAGCTATCTAGGCATCCTTCAATCTAATCAAGTTGACACTTAATATTAACCATTGCACAGAACTACTTACAGGAAATGAAACCACAAATTTACAAGTAAAAGTGTGTAAACAAATACAGTTATGGCTGCCTTTGGAGTGCAAGCTTCAGGATGTTTCTGAAATATGTCTTGGCTTTGCAGTTAGCACTTACAACTAATATATTATATATATTTTGCTTATTTATTTTGTTTATTACTATTTTCCATTTTAACATTAGCTCAATGATTTTCATCTGGTTTTTAAAAATTCTATCTTCTCAGTACCAGATAATACCTAGCTTCCAGTAGGCATTCAATATGTATTTACTGACTGAATAATTCAATAGACAAATGAGATTGGAAGGTGTTTGAACTGAGACTGAGGTATCCACAACAGAAAGGCATATTATCTGTTGTTCTTTGGATGTGAGTATTGTGAGCTTTAAAGTTGTAATTCTACTAGATTCTGTGGAAGAACATTTTCTTTCACAAAATGAACTGAAGGTGAGAGTCACCATTAGTTGTGAAAATTTTGAGTTAGAATTGATGTATCTTAGTTGGAAGAAAAAAAAAAACCTGGAAAGAAATAGACCAACATTGACAGTAAAATGGATTGTGTGATTTTTTTATGCTCCTTCTTACTTTTCTGTATTTTACAAATTTTCAACAACAAAGATGAACTACTTTTGAAGACAGAACAAAAACAAAAAAGAAGTGGAAAACTATTGTGCCATTAAATTTGTTGTTGCTGTTGTTGTTTTGTGTTTTTTTGAGACAAGGTCTTGCTCTGCCCCCTAAGCTGGAGTGCAGTGGTGCGATCATGGCTCACAATATCCTTGAACTCCCAACTCAAGCGATCCTCCCACCTCAGCCTCCAGAGTACCTAGGACTATAGGCATGTGACACCACGCCCAGCTAATTTTCTTTTTTAGAGATGGGTTCTCACTGTGTTGCCTAGGCTGGTCTTGAATGCCAGGCCTCAAGTGACCTCCTCCCTCAGCCTCCAAAAGTATTGGGATTACAGGCATGGGCCACCACACCTGGTTCCATTAAGTTTGTTAAAAAGCAGCATCTTACTAGTAATTAATATCAGAATATATGAATTAGAAGTAAAAGATGTATAACTGCACACTTAGGCACACATAAAATCAAACCACGTTTTCTTCTGTTTTGAATATAACTACTGAAAAAATCTATATTTGAATAAATGACATATTCTTCTTTCCTTGTGTTATTAATAGTGGTTCCATGGCATCCCATCGACATATAGTTTTTTTTTCTTCTTTAAAAAAGTATAGAGATGGGATCTCACTATATTGCCCAGGCTCGTCCTGAACTCCTGATCTCAAGAGATCCTCCCACCTCAGCCTTTCAAAGTGCTGGGATTATAGGGATGAGCCACTGCACCCGGCCCCACATATAGATTTTTGAGTATAAGTTTAATTATTGAAATAGTTTTGACTATATGACCTTTAAGTTACCTTTGACTCTTATTCTCTGCCACACTAAATTGGGCTTTATTTACATCAAAGGATTGTGAAAACTAAATAACGTGCAGATATATTTTCATACATGAGAAGACACTCTAAATTATAAAGGCCCACATACGTTAAATAATATTATTTATTAATTATCGGAAAATTGGTTGGAAGAATACCTCCCAGGACCTAGTCTAGTTCTCTCAGCCTCCCCGTTGGTGGCTGTTTTCAACTTGGAGGGAGCTGGGTGGAATCTTTACTTGTCTGGGAATAAACGGGAATAAGGGAACACTTTTTTCCTGTGCTGTGAGGCATCAGTCTGTAGGACACAGTTTAAACAGAGGAGACTCCAGGCCCATAACATATGTAAATGCCTGTGCCAAGGGAGTAAGACCTGATGGAAAACTTTCCTGGAGTGTGGGGCTGCCCCAGCATGGGTCCAAAGGAGGCATTTCCCTACAAGTTTGCTAACTTGGGAAAACTCCCAGCTAAGGGAACCCAAATCAAGTTTGTCTCTTCTGGAATGATACTGGTTTGCGTTCTGTTCAGAGGCCTGCCACCCCAAATTATTGAGATCGTGGAGGGCATTCGATGGCCTGTTTTATCGTGTAGGCTCCATATTAATAACAAGAGGAAGGTGGGTGTGTCCTAGCATCCAAACAAATTATCATTTGTTATTAAATTAGCTAATATTAAAATAAAATTTTAATAAGAATAAATTACTATTATATTATTACTAGTGCTTATTACTATTAAAGCTGCTTTTTATTCTTATTTATTTTTTCTTATACATGTTTTTCAAGTTTCTATGTAATGCTTACATAATAAAATGAAATATTAATGCAAGTTACTTATAAGACATTTAGAAAATGCAGGCAAGTAAAAGGAAGAACATTGAAATTATTTGGAATCCTGCTGCTTGGAGATAAGCATGGCAAACATTTTAGGATCAGATCTTCCAGATCAGGGAGGATTCCTTAAATTCTTTAAACAAAAATGGTCTTATGCTCCACGTACTATAGTCACCCTGTTCTTTTGCTTATAAAAAAATACTGTGAGCATTTTCTTATACTAATAATGTTCTTCATATGTAACATATCAAAAACTGCATATCTAAGGCTTTTCATGCATATTAACTAGTTAGAAAAGTTGAATGTGTCCACACTCTGATCAGTGGTGTAATCCAGTGCCCAGTCCCTCCCTCACTCTCATGTCAGCCTTCCCAACATCAGCAACTATAATAATTGGAAAATCTTGGTCAGTAATGGTATCTAATTATTGTTTTAACTGGTATTTTGTTAATGACTAATAAGATTGGTCATTTTTCCCCAAAAGGTTTATTGAGCAATTGCCTTTGCCAGGATTGCTTCAAGATTCTATAGCAGTAGAGTAGTGAGAGTGGCATCTATGTGGTGGAATGAGTTTTTATATGTAAATGTTTAATATTCAAGTTGTACTATCTCTAAGCTCAGTCTCTTTTAACACATGTATACTCACTAAATCTGCCTTCTTATTCATTAACACATTTACTGATGGTCTACTCTATGGCAAGCCTTGTTCTGGGTGCTGGTAATATAACCAAACAAAATTGACAAAGTGTCTGGTGCATACATTCTAACGGGGAGAGACAAACAACAACAAAGAAAGAAAGAAAAAACAAGGTGAGATATTGCTGTAGTGGAACACAGAACAGAGTATGGGGGTTACAGAGTGTCGGAGTGGGAAGGAGGTGCTGTATATTACTGGGGGATCAAGGAAGACCTCTCTGATGAGATGATATTTGGGCAGAGACCCAGATGAAGCAAAGAATGAGTGGACCATGCAGATGTCTGGAGAAGACCATTCCAGATAGAAGGACCAGAAAGTGCAAAGTCCCTGAGGCAGTAAAGTAGTTGTTTTGATGGGGGAGTGGCTAGAGCAAAATGAGAGGTCTTAGAGACAACAATGCAAGATGAGATCAGAGAAATTGAGGGGTAGTGGAGGGCTGTTCACATAGAATCTTGTAGGCCGTATCCAGGGAGGACTTCAGATGTATTCTGAAGGAGCCCAGAGAGGAGACAAGGAGACCAGTAGGAAGCTACTGCAATGGTCCAGAGAGCAGTCAATAGTGTACATAGATATAAGCCATTTCTCCTTTATAAGCCTGCCCTTCTCTGTCAAGCTGAAGCCATTGCCCACCTCTGGTGCCACCCAATCCCTCTCCTCCTGTGGCCAGATCATGGGTAGATATGAAAGAGGTGGAGTGGGTGCCTCCTATGAGGTCTGTTGGGTGCTAAGAGTCAGTGTGACAGATAACCAAAATATCTAAGAGTGACAAGGCAGGATTAGTGGGTGTCACCCTCAGAAGTCAATTTGACAATCTTGGTCTAGCACTTATGGGTCGAGAAGAACATGCTGGTAATACTAAAGAAAAAGCAAAACAGAGGCACCATAGACTTCAGTAAGAAGCCTAAAAAAGAAGTGGCAGACACAAACATGTAGTGTGTACCAAATCACTTCATATTTAATCTCTGTGATGAAGTACCTGGAAATCTGTAAATGACAGCAAGAAGCAGCTTGACAGGCTGCTGTGTGTTCTACTTGGCAGTTACAAACTAAGTGGAAGGTTTTCTCAAATCTGAGATGTCACTTTTGAATACAAAAGTAAGCAAAGCGGGTTCAAAGTCCAAAGTCCAGGCCTCTATCTTATCCATAAACCAAATCAAAGAGCTATTAAACAAGAAGGGCAGAGAGAATAAATGGCACCATTTATTTAGCACTTTATTGTTCTAGAGTGTAAACTTCATGAGGCTAATGATATTTTACTCACTCCTATGCCCCCAATTTGGGAAACTGTGTGTGCAACACAGTAGGTACTCAATGAACAGTCTTTATATGGATGAATTTTAAATTCCTTTGGGTTATATGTATATTCTTGTAAGCCTAGTGAGGATGAGATTACATTTTATTTCTTCCCATCTTTTTCTCCTCTCCTTATTTCTCTTCCATGTTACTGTAACAGATGCCATCAGCGACCTGCCCGTATCGCCTTGCCCCACCGAGAAGTCAGGCCACAGACAGTTCCTGTATATAGCAGTGCTTCTTTTGGCTTCTGTCTGTAGGTGTTTTCTCACCACAGAAGAGTGCTCAGCCCTCTGGAAGTTCTCTAAAGAGTTAGATCTCCCAGGGGTGATCATCTATCAATGAAGGATGGGAATTGGTAAACAACTATTCCAGATTCCTTGCTTCTCAGTGGAATAATTCTGAGGTGCATTCTACAGTTTCTCAGAAGGAATCGAGCCCTAGTTATTTGCAATGGTTTCTCACTCATTAATGCATCTTTATGGCTTTACTACTTTCCGTATCTGAGGTCATCACTTTATCACTATTTCCTGGGACCACTTCCTAAATAAACTATATACACCCAAATCCTTATATCAGGGGCTGCTTTGGGGGAAACCAAACTAAGACAATTACCTACAATGCTTAGAAAAGCTGTCCATAGGCGGTTCTTGTGATGATTGAGGGAGATAATGCAAATCAAACATTTAGCACAGTGCTCAGGGAGTAAATGCTCAGCTCTCAGCCACCATTGCTGCTGTTGGGGGTGCCCATTAAGTATTTATGCATGATTAATTTTGGGGGAGGAATTTTGAGGAGGAATCAAAACAAAGACCAATGGGTAACCACAATAACAACAATAATGGTGGCAATTTATGAGGAAAGACAGAGGCAAAGATCGATGACAAAGCTAGGAAAAATGGTGTCTATACTAGGTGTTAATCTGAGTGGCACCAATAGCATAAGAAGGAAGACTTCACCCTGGGCACCAATGAGTAGAGCTTCCTGTATTTTCAACAGAATTGATGAAAGCCTCATAGCTAGCTAGAGTATAAAGATATTTACATTCAAATGGCAAGGGCTCTATTAATACAATCCTGGAGAGAAGGGTCAAAAATTTGACTCCCTTTGAAGGAACAGAAAGATTCCATAGGTCTCATTAAAGTGGAGCAAGGTGGTCCAGTCTCAGGTAAGTGTAGATGGAGAACAGGAAAGCAAAGGGAGCTAGAATGCTGAGGTTGAGAAAATCAGAAAAAGGTGAACTGCAGAGCTCTGCACCCAGAAAGAAGCATTTAAATCTTTGCCTTTTTGATATTGTATATTAAATGCTGTGTGAGTGACACTTGTGCTAACTGTATCTGAAAGAGGTCAGAGCTCATAGGGGAATTTTGCCATTAACTCTAAGCAGTGGCAGACCATTGGGATTATACTATAATGTCAACAAAGGTAAATGGTGCTAGTAATTTTTTTCAGGACTGAGGCTTGTGCCTGACAGTGTTTGATTCTGTAGAATGCTCAAAATTGGAAGTCTCTTTGAGGCACAGATAGTGTCCTATTCACTTTTAGATTTCCAGTGTCTCTCATTGTGCCTAGCATGGAGTAGGTGGTCAGTAAACATACGTAGAAGAAGGGAAAAGAAAAACAAAATCAGTGACATCGAGGTAGGAATGGAGAGAGAAGAAGAAATTAGTAAGTCCTCAATAAATGCCATAGTCTATCGCTTCTCGGTCTTTTGGCTAAGATCAAGTGTAATGCCACAGTCTGGGTTGGGTGAGCAGGTACCAGTGGTACCAGGTTGGCTGCTTTTTCCTCCACTCTGCTGGTTGGGGCAAAAATAGACCAGAGGTTCTCACTGATGTGGTTTCTTGTTAAACCACCACTATGATATACAGCTCATCCTGACCTGGTGAAGTTATGTCTTCTCACCTACTTTTTATGAAAGATGGGATTCCACAATTGGAGAGAGGATGTGAAGTAGGACAGGAAAGGAAATGTACATACTCTTGTCCATATGGAAAGGAGGCCTATGGCCAAATTAATCAATAAAACATTTAGGTGTGGAGCCCAGGCTCGAAGGGGCATCCGGAAAACAGGACTATGTGAGAGTTTGGATTCATTCTGACTCCTACGAGGAGACATTCTCCTACTCACTTTGGTCCCTTGGATTCCAAGTGTGTCTTACGGGTAATTACAGCTCATAAAGTGAGTCTCTTGTTTTATCAGTGAGATACTGTTGGTGAAAGTGCAGATACCTAACATGTTAATAAAGTTACCATCACATTTTATTTCTTGAATTTAACTCAATGCCTGAAGCCCATATGAGTTATACTTTGATTCCTGTCATGACCAATCACCTTATGATATTTGACCAAAAGCATGTATATTTTCCCCCATTTTGTTAGTTTTATTTATTTACTTTTTATTTCAATAGTTTTTTGGGGTACAGGTGGTTTTTGGTTACATGGATAAGTTCTTTAGTGGTGATTTCTGAGATTTTAGTGCACCTGTCACCTGAGCACTGTACACTGTACCCAATATATCATCCAAAAGCACAATATATCTCTTGATTGGTGTCCCATCTGAACCAGTGAGCAGAAGGAGAAGAGTGGTTCCTGGACTTTCTTGATGTCTACAAAAGTTCATGAGCAAAAACAGAAACAAAAACCCAGTGATGTCAAGCTCATGTTCTCCCAGTATCAAGGGTGTGGGCTGTGGTGATCACTTCTTCTCTGGGCTTCAGTGTCTTCCTCTTGAAATGAGGTGCTTAGATTATGTAATGTTTGAGGTTCCATCTCAATCTGTTATTCTATGATTCCGATTATATACCAAAATTAGGAGAAAAGTTAGGTGTCAGGTGCTATGGGAGATTGCATTGTTAAGGCTTTTGCCCCAGCTACCTTGCAGAGGAGAGGTTTCAGAAAGTTTTGCATTGTGTCTTTCTGAATCATTCTACTTTTAGTACCTGTGGTAACTGAGTAATTCAATGATTTGTCAATTAACTTTGCTTATGCCCCTTCAGCTGTAAAATCATTTTAATTTCTTTTTAAATTTTGTGTTCATAGGATCAAGAACAATACATTTAGAAAGGCTTACTTACTCTAAGATTATACAAATATTCTCCTATGGAATTTTTCTATAGTTTTTGGATTTATTTTTAAATATCTAAATCCTTAATGCATCTGAAATTTATTTTTGCAAATGGTGTGAGTCAGGAAATGTAACAAATTTTCTTTCCAACTTGGCCCACTATTTCTTGGCTATTTGATAATTTATCCTTTTCCCCACTGATTTGAAATACTATTTTTATCCTATACAAATTCTCATAAAAATGTGACTCTTTTAATTTCTATTTTCTTAATATTAAATTTGTAGTGGATAATGTCGGTATACCTCCTAGATCTCTTAGATCCCTTTTAATGTTTGTTTTGGAGTACTTTGGACAGAGGTGTTTGTGAGTTTTGTACCTCTTAAGGTATAATCCCAATGGTCTGCCACTGCTTAGAGTTGTTGACACCTCTCTGTTTCTCTCTCTTCTTCCCTCTCCAAATTTAACCAGTCCCAAAAGGGTTGGGCATTTAAATTGTTTTTAGTGTTTGTCTGTAAAAAAAAATGCTGCAATAAACATATTCACGGCATACTTTTGGATATTTCACTCACATATATTTCTGGAATAAATTCCTAGCAATGGCACAGCCAAACTTCCTGCAGTTTTTTTTTTTACACTATCACATATTGTAATTAACAGTGACTATTTTTTTTTTGGCAGCTTCTCCAACATTGGTTTTATAAAAACTAGCATTTTTTGACAAGTTGGAGGATTTATAGTCTATTATAGCTTATTTATAGTTCTTTTAGTATATGCTGGTATCATGGAGTTAGTTAATTCTCCAATGAAATTCATGCTTTCCTTTTCTTCTGAATTATTCCTTAGATGTGGCTGGCCAGGGAGGCCTATTTTCTACCCCACTCCCTCACCCTTTTTGTGTCTAGATGCAGCCAGATGTCTAGTTCTTGCTAGGGGATTATGAATTAAAGTGATGAATGACATTTACCAACTAAGACTTTCAAGAAATAGTGTGCTTTTTCTCATTTCTTTCTCCTTCTGCTGGTAGGATGCAGAAGAAGATCAACCTAGGACTGGCAGGGTCACAGGATGGAAAGGGCCTGGGTACCCAAATCACCACCTGGAGGAAAGCCACTTACCAACCCAGAATACTCACCTTCTACTGTTACATAAATAAGAAACAAATATTATATTAAGCCACTGAAATTTGAAAGTTTATTTGCTTTAGGTGCCAACATTACTCTTATGAATATAGGTTACTTTGTAAATTAATATAACCTACTTAAAATTTGTTTCTTTTTTTTTTTTTTTTTGAGACGGAGTCTTGCTCTGTCACCCAGGCTGGAGTGCAGTGGCGCGATCTCGGTTCACTGCAAGCTCCACCTCCCAGGTTCACGCCATTCTCCTGCCTCAGCCTCCAAAGTAGCTGGGACTACAGGCACCCGCCACCACGCCCGGCTAATTTTTTGTATTTTTAGTAGAGATGGGGTTTCACCGTGTTAGCCAGGATGGTCTCGATCTCCTGACCTCATGATTCACCCGTCTCAGCCTCCCAAAGTGCTGGGATTACAGGTGTGAGCCACCATGCCCGGCCTAAAATTTGTTTCTTGATTTATTATTTTGAACATTTATTTTTCACCCCACTATGAATGATGAGTGAATTGGTACACTTATGTTCCTCTTACCTCCCTAACCTTACCATCTCTCTATTTTTATCAGTATTCTTGTCATTTTCAGGTCTACTATTGATTTATACTTATAGTAGATTTATATTCTTACCTTATACTTTAAAATAATAATATATAGATTGATTTCTTGATTTTATTAGAGAGTATCACTTAACTCTGTGATATAAAATACTTGTTTTATACTTGTACTTCTTCTACCTCTATTTTCTTTTTTTGCTTTCTTATTTTAGCTAATTATATTTTACTTTTACTTTGCTAAAGCTTAAAACTTTTTTAAATTCTGTTCTATAATATTTATTCCCATAATGAGGTTTATCCTTCTTTTACTGGATTCAAAATTATGGCCAATTATTCAGTTTTTATTTTCCTAATTTTGTTAATTTAATTCAACCCTTTGTTATCTGAATTTTGTCATCAAATCGTTTTTGCACATTGGAGAAATTCTGTCTCTTGCTGCTAATTTTGAATGACATCATTGTAATGAAGAATTCTGAAGGCAGTTTTATTTTTCTTTCTTATATTCCATCACTTTTTTTTATGCATGCATTTATGAACTTTTAAAAATATAAGTGACTTCAACAGCAGGCCCAGTGGCTTACACCTCAGTACTTTGGGAGGCCAAGGTGGGTGGATTGCTTAAGCTCAGGAATTAAAGACCAGCCTGGATAACATGGCGAAATCCCATCTATACAAAAAATACAAAAATTAGCCAGGTGTGGTGGTGTGCACCTGTAGTCCCAGCTACTAGGGAGGCTGATTTGGGAGGATTGCTTGAGTCCAGGAAGTTGAGGCTGCAGTGAGCCATGAGCATGCCACTGCACTCCAACCTGGGTGACAGAGGGAGACCCTGTCTCAAAAAAAAAAAAAAAAAAAAGTGACTTCAGCAGTCTATGTCTCTCCCTCCCTCACTTTCTTTTTTTAATATTAAATTTTCTGAAATTTCTTGTCCCTTAATTTAAGTCTTCCATCATTTTGGGAATAACTTCTTACATAAATATTTTTCAATTCCATTAGTTGTAGTCTCTTTTTCATGAAGCAAATTGTATGTACGGTTCACCCTTCATATCCATTTATGCAATTCAACCAACTGCAGATCAAAATATTTGGAAAAAAACAACAATAAAACAATAAATAATAATACAAATAAAAACCAATACAGTATGACAAGTATTAATATTTACATAGCATTTATGTTGCATTCAGTATTCTAAGTGATCTAGAGATGATTTAAAGTATACAGGATGATATGTGTGGGTTGCACATACTATGCACATACTATACCATTTTATATAAAGGACTTGAGCATCTGTGGATTTGGGTATCCATGGAGGAAAATGGTCCCTGAAACCAATACCCTGCAGATACTGAGGAAAAGAAACAAAAGTCAAATGGTTTTACTTTGCCATAATACCTTAGAAGTTGTTGACTTCTTTCTTAATTTTTTTTAGAAAATCATTCTTGGTAAAGATTTTCCTCTGGAATGTTTTGTTCTTATCTAAAAATGTCACCTTTAATAGCATAGCGCACACAAGTCATCAATCTTAATTATGGCTCCATTTCAGAAAACCAAGAATGCAGCTGGGCGCAATAGCTGATGCCTGTAATCTCAACACTTTGGGAGGCCAAGGCAGGTGGATTGTTTGGGTCCAGGAGTCCGCGACCAGCCTGGGCAACATGGCAAAACCCTGTCTTTACAAAAAATACAAAAAGTTAGCTAGGCACGATGGTTGTGCCTGTAGTTCCAGATAGGAGGCTGAAGTGGGAGCATTACCTGAGCCCGGGGCTCAAGGCTGTAGAGAGCTATGATCATGCCACTACACTCCAGCCTGGGGGATAGAGCGAGACCCTATCCCACCCCCCCCCAAAAAAAGAAAACCAACAAAGCAAAGCAAAACTGAGGTTCCAGTCCATCATTCCTGAAGAAGGAGCCAAGGGCAGCTTTGAATGCTGTAAATCATGCTGTAAAACTCATTGGCAGGTGTTGAAAAAATCCAGTGGGTTTTGGATCAAATTCTGCACTATGAGAGTTCATTATTCCCTCTGGTGAATAAGTGCATTCATTGATAAACCTGGCAAAATTTGGAACAAAACCAATTTAAAGTGCCATATAAAAATTTGTTCATTTGATAACCTTAAAGTGATTTCAGTTCTGTTTTACATTAGTCATCAAAGATAAGAGCAAAATTGTATTTATGATGGCAGTGGCTTTCAGTATCTTGTATAAGAAAGGGGCTGTTAAGACTGCCACCAAGGAATGATGATTTCAAAGTTCTCATTATGTACTTCAAACTTTCCAACACAGTTGTTATTATTGCTATAGTAAAGAGAAACAAGAATCCAAACATTTCCTCTTTTTCCTCCTGATCAACATCTTCATCCTTTCCTTCCTTGTCACCCTCCAGGTCACAGGGGTCATCCATCTTTCCTTCTATGTGACTGGTTTGCTCTTGCATATCATGTTTTCCGGTAAGATTGACTTGGAGGTTATTTCTGAGGGGATTTTTAATATTTGCAAGTGATATTTCCATAGATTAATAACAATCTGACTTTTAAAAAGTTTTAAAGAAATCTTAGCTAGATCTCCCCACTTCACCTCCTCTTAACTTTTTCCCCTTTTTAAAAGCCTATATAAAAAAATGAATAGTGAGAACCTCCCACTAGCAACCCACATATTTTCCCTCCAAATGGGCTGCTCATCTTTTGAGGCAGTTTTTCACATGGTTTTGGCTTTCACACTTTTGGTCGTCTGTCATGTTTTGTTTACTAGAACAGGTGTAGATTTAGTTCTATCTTTACAAAGCATGTACAATGGAGAGGAAAATACAAGACTTTGCTTTATAGAAATGAAAGAGGAGGAATGAAGCCTTAGGCATACAAATAATAAACTGGAAGCCTGGAGTTAGTTTTCCTTATGCTGTCCTGACCTCTTTGATGAGTCCAGGTTTTTGTTTAGTGCCCCTGGGAAGGATCCATGTGATCGTAATTTTCGGGGAGAAGATCATCCAGCGTCTAGTGTTGTGTCTTTACTTTAGCTGTGTCTCAGTGGGAACCTAGTAATTTAAAAAAATCCATGTCAAGTCTCGGGAGGCTGAGCTGGGAGGATCACTTGAGCTGGCGAGGTGGAGGCTGCAGTGAGCCAGATTGTGCCACTGTACTCCAGCCTGGGTGACAGAGCAACACCTTTTCTCAAAATAAATAAATAAACAAATAAAAGAAAAAAATCCATGTCATTGGAGTTTTCTCCAAGTTGTTCTCTTTGTGTAACATCTAAGATGGAAGCCTCAATCCTACCACTGCCACTCCTCCAATTCACAGCCGAGTATTCTGCAACTTCGAGCTCGTAAGGACCAGTGTACTAATGGCAGCAGAACATTCAAACTCAGTAGAATGCTGCCCAGTACTGTGGCTATGGGGGCTGTGGTAGTCAACAGAAGAGGCAGTGGCTCCCAGGGAGTGTGATGGTGCAAAAGAGGAGAGTAGTTGGGGAAAAGGCAGACTGCAGATGAGCTTGCATGGGAGCCCTCTTCAAAGTACCATAGAGGAGGGATTTTTACAGGCACCTGGGGTATGCATTAGCAGGAGCTAGTAGAGAAGGGAATGGAGAGCCAGCAAACATGTGTTATGATATCTTCTGAGAATGATATCTTACCAGATTTATTTAATATTTCCCTCTCTATTGTCAGTGAAAATGTAATGGTATAAGGGGAGAGTTGATGGAAGAGTGCTTACAGATTTTGGTACTTTGGTTATCTTTGTAGTAAAATTTCCTAAACTCACAAGTAATTCATGTTCTCAACATAAAGATAACAATGAAAGAGTCTTACACTCCTGTGAGGCTCTCTCCTTTTCAGAGGGCCCCCTATAGATGCCCCTCATGCACAGTATTTCAGTGAGGTTGACAGACCATGTATTTACTTCCACTTTGACAGGGGCAACCTGAACCTTCGAGATGTGGAAGTATTTCCAAGAGTGAGGCAGCTAAGAAATGGAGGGACTAATAAACCCAGTTATTCTAACTCCAAGATCATACTCTTTCTACCAAATCATGCTCATTATATTAATTTTTTAAAATAACAAAAATGGCTTACATTAATTTTTTATAAATTTATATGAAATATACCACTGGGCTAAGCTGATTTCTATAGTTTCTATAATGTAAATAGAATAATGATACTATGTAGTAATGCATTATGCAATTTTCAAAGCACAGCAAATTTTAAATAGCATAAGAAGTTAACAGGCAAGTTATTGTTACCTGTATTTGACATAGAAGGAAACTGAGGAAAAAGGAAGTTAAATAACGTCTCAAATCTTCTGATTCCCTGTCATCATCTAAGAGTAGATTGCTTCTTAAAATTCTTCACATCATCACATAAGTAACCTTTATAACTATGATATAGCCACATTTGTATATTTACTGTCATGTTCCTAAATTTAACTCATGATTTTTCTTCCTTCATATGCTTCGTATATTGTCCTGGGCTCTCTTTTCAGGGCATTTATGGTTAACTCTGAAGCAAAGTTGCTTCCATCTGTAATTAAATAGTTCATTGATTTTCTTGGAAGCAAAATAAGATCATCTCAACAACCACATGCAAACATCCCTCTTTACCTCCCTCCCAAACCCAGCCTTTAAAAAAAAGCATGAAGCTTGTCAAAAATGTCACCTTTTATATTGGCTATGTATTAGAAAAACAAAAACAAAAATTGATTTGAAAATAATTGAGGTGTGTGGATGTCAGAGGTGTTGCCTGCTGTGCTAACTGCCTTGCTGAGACTGATTCTTGGTATCTGTTGGCCTCCTTGAGATAGCTACTGGGCTTGCACCTTCACCAAAGGAGACATAATAAAAAGTTTGCAGATATTTAAGAAGGAAAAGAAAAACAGCCTTTTTTTTTCTTTCCTATAGCAGTCAGGAAGGACTATATATTGTATATATTGCTATATATATATATATAGCAAATCAACTGGGAGAAACCACCTTCAGCATTGAGTCTGAAGCACATCCCTCCAGAATGCTAAGTTCCTTTCTCTTCAGCATCAAAAGCCAGAACACTCTTCTTGGATCCCAATCACTGAAAGAAGCTTTTCTAAAAAGAAGTAATTATGTATCGAACTCTCTACTGAAGAGAATAATTATGTAGAATAATTAAAGGGGATATTTTAGAAATTTTTCCCACTTTTTGATGTCTACTGCTCCATGGAGAAAGTTAATGTAATTCAAAGATTAGCTAAAAATTTGGCAGGAAATAGGGGGAGCTAAAACCATTGTGATGTGGATGACTGGGATGTAGACTCAGAGAGCCTTTCAATGTGTGGAGGCTTCATCCCTAAAACTGTAAAATAGGAATATGGAGAGGACAGTAGTAGTTACCTGGGGATAATAATTCATATGTAAAATCTTTGAACATTCATTGAACTGTTGTCCTCCTTCCAGTTTCAAGGAGAGGAGCCTTAGCATATGTAGCACCTGCCATATCAGGGAATGGCTATTTAGTATTGAGAATACATGGAGGTGCATTTTAAAGTCAGATGGTATTTATTTCAACTCACAATCTCTACTTTTTACTTGTACTTGGATGTGATTAGACTAGGGAGGAGGAGGAAGAAGGACTACTTAACTGAAGTTATCAAATATAAGGCTTTCCCACAGAATAACTGTAGATGTGATGGTTATGTCAGTCATGACCATTTTGGTTGACCAGAACATCAGAGACAAACCATATCATTCTGCACCAGCCCCTCCCAAATCTCATGTATTTTCATATTTCAAAACCAATCATGACTTCCCAACATTCCCCCAAAGTCTTAACTCATTTCAGCATTAATGCAAAAGTCCATAGTCCAAAGTCTCATCTGAGACAAGGCAAGTTTCCTCTGCCTGGGAACCAGTAAAATCAAAAACAAGTTAGTTACTTCCAAGATGCAATAGGGGTACAGTCATGGTATAAATACTCCCATTCTAAATGGGAGAAATTGGCCCAAACAAAGGGGCTACAGGTCCTATGCAAATCCAAAATCTAGCAGGGCAGTCATTAAATTTTAAAGCTCTAAAATGACCTCCTTTGACTCCCTGTCTCAGGGAGTCAGCTCCCAGTGGATCTACCAGCTCTCAGTGGATCTACCATTCTGGAGTCTGGAGAATGGAGGCCCTCTTCTCACAGTTCCACTAGGCAATGGCCCAGTGAATACTCTGGGTGTGGGTTCCAAACACACACTTCTCTTCCACACTGCCCTAGCAGAGGTTCTTCATGAGGGCTTCACCCCTGAAGACTTCTGCCTGGACATCCAGGCATTTCCATACATCCTCTGAAATCTAGGTGGAGGTTCCCAAACCTCAGTTTTTGACTTCTGTGCATCTTCAGGCCCAACACCACATGGAAACCGCCAAGGCTTGGGGCTTTCATCCTCCGAAGCAATGGCCCAAGCTGTACCTTGGCTCCTTTTAGCAATGGCTGGAGTTGGAGTGGCTGGGACACAGGGCACCAAGTCCCTGGGCCTGGCTCACAAAATCATTTTTTACTCCTAGGCCTCTGGGCCTCTGATGGGGTGAATGCTGTCAAGATCTCTGACATGCCCTGGAGACATTTTCCTCATTGGCTTGGTGATTAACATTGGCTTCTTGTTATTTATGTAAATTTTTGCACCTGGCTTGAATTTCTCCCCAGAAAATAGGTTTTTTCTTTTCTTTTCTTTTCTTTTTTTTTTTTTTTTAGATGGAATATCTCTCTGTTGCCCAGGCTGGAGTGTAGTGGTGTGATCTCAGTTCACTGCAAGCTCTGCCTCCCAGGTTCACGCCATTCTCCTGCCTCAGCCTCCCAGGTAGCTGGGACTACAGGCGCCCGCCACCATGCCCAGCTAACTTTTTGTATTTTTTTAGTAGAGATGGGGTTTTACCATGTTAGCCAGGATGGTTTCAATCTCCTGACCTCGTGATCCACCCGCCTCAGCCTCCCAAAGTGCTGGGATTACAGGCATGAGCCACTGCGCCTGGCTAGGTTTTTTCTTTTCTATCACATTGTCAGGCTGCAAATTTTTCAAACTTTTATGCTCTACTTCCCTTTTAAACATAAATTCCAATTTAAAATCACCTCTCTCAAGTTCAAAGTTCCATTAGAGCAGGGGCAAAATGCCACCTGTCTCTTTGCTAAAGCATAGCAAAAGTTACCTTTGCTCTAGTTCCCAAGAAGTTCCTCATCTCCATCTGAGACCACCTCAGCCTGGTCTTCATTGTTCATATCATTATCAGCATTTTAATCAAAACCATTCAACAAATCTCTAGGAAGTTCCAAATTTTCCCACATCTTCTTATCTTCTTCTGAGCCCTCCAAATTGTTCCAACCTCTGCCTGTTACCCAGTTCCAAAGTCACTTCCACATTTTCTGTATCTTAATGGCAGTGTCCCACTCCCAGTGCCAATTAACCTCATTAGTCCATTTTCACACTGCTATAAAGAAATTTATCTGAGATTGGGTAATTTATAAAAAAAAATTTATAAAATTTACTCACAGTTCCACATGGCTGGGGAGACCTCAATAAATTTACAATCATGGCAGAAAGGGAAGCAGGCACCTTCTTCACATGGAAGGAGGAGAGAGAATGTGTGAAGGAGAAACTGTCAAACACTTATAAAACTATTAGATCTCAGGGGGACTATCATGAGAACAACATGGGGGAAACCTCTCCCCATGATCCACTCACCTTCTTCCCTTGGCACATGGGGATTACAGGTCCCTCTCTGGACATGTGGGGATTACAATTTGAGATAAGATTTGGGAGGGGACACAGAGCCAAACCATATCACCCAGTAAGATACTCCATGAGAAGATCAACCCCAAGATACACAATCATCAGATTCTCCAAGGTTGAAATGAAAGAAAAAATGTTAAGGGCAGTCAGAGAAAAAGGACAGGTAACCTACTAAAGGAAGCCCATCAGACTAACAGTGGACCTCTCAGTAGAAACCCTGCAAGCCAGAGGAGATTGAGGACAAATACTCAACATTCTAAAAGAAAAGAATTTCAAACCCAAAATTTCATATCCAGCCAAACTAAGCTTCATAAGTGAAGGATAAATGAAATCCTTTACAGACAAGCAAATGCTGAAGGAATTTATCACCACCAGGCCTCCCTTGCAAGAGCTCCTGAAGGAAGTACTAAATAAGGAAAGAAAAATCTGTTGCCAGCCACTATAAAAACTCCATGAAGTACATAGACCAGTGACACTATGAAGCAACCATATAAACAAGTCTGTGAAATAACCACCTGCCATCATGATGACAGGATCAGATTTACACATGACAATACTAACCTTAAATGTAAATGGGATAAATGCCCCAATTAAAAGACACAGAATAGCAAGCTGGATAAAGAGCCAAAACTTATCAGTATGCTGTCTTCAAGAGACCCATCTCACATGCAAAGACACATACAGACTCAAAATAAAGGGATGGAGGAAAATTTACCAAGCAAATGGAAAACAGAAAAAAGCATGGGTTGCAGCCAGACATGGTGGCTCACACCTGTAACCCCAGCACTTTGGGAGGCCAAGGCGGATGGATCATTTGAGGTCAGGAGTTCGAGACCAGCCCGGACAACATGGTGAAACCCTGTCTCTACTAAAAATACAAAAATTAGTCAGGTGGTAGAGGTGCATGCCTGTAATCCCAGCTACTCAGGAGGCTGAGGCAGAAGAATCGCTTGAACCTAGGAGGTAGAGGGTGTGGTGAGTCGAGATTGCACCACTGCACTCTAGCCTGGGTGAGAGAGTGAGAGCCTGTGACACACACACACACACACACAGACACACAAAAGCACAGGTTGCAATCCTAGTTTCCGACAAAACAAGCTTTAAGCCAACAAAGGTCAAAAAAGACAAAGAAGGGCATTACATAATGGTAAAGTGCTCAACAAGAAGAATTAACTATCCTTAATATATATGCATGCAATGCAGGAAGACCCAGATTCATAAAGCAAGTTCTTAGAAACCTACAAAGAAACTTAGACTTCCATGCAATAATATTGGAAGATTTTAACACTTCACTGACAATATTAGACAGATCTTTGAGACAGAAAATTAATAATGATATTGAGGACCAGAACTCAGCTCTGCATCAAGTGCAACTGATAGATATCTACAGAACTCTCCAGCCAAAAACAACAGAATATACATTCTTCTCATCACCACATGGCACTTAATCTAGAATTGATCTCATAATCAGAAGTGAAACACTCCTCAGCAAATGCAAAAGGACTGAAATCATAACAAACAGTCTCTCAGGCCACAGAGCAATGAAATTAGAACTCAAGACTAGGAAATTCACTCAAAACCACACAACTAATGGAAATTGAATAACTTGCTCCTAAATGACTCTTGGGTAAACAGTGAAATCAAGGCAGAAATCAAGAAGTTCTTTGAAACTAATGAAAACAGAGACAACATACCAGAATCTCTGGGATGCAGCTAAAGCAGGTTAAGAGGGAAACTGATAGCACTAAATACCCACATCAAAAAGCTAGAAAGATCTCAAGTTAACAACCTAACGTTATATCCAAAACAAACAAACAAACAAACAAAAAAACTAGAGAACCAAGAGCAAACAAACCCCAAATCTAGCAGAAGACAAGAAATAACAAGATCAGAGCTGAAATGGAGACAGAGACATAAAAAAACTCTTCAAAAATCAACAAATCCAAGAGCTGATTTTTTGAAAAAAAAAAGTAATAAAATAGTAGACTGCCAGTTAGAGTAATAAAGAAGAAAAGAGAGAAGAATCAAACAACACAATCAGAAATGATAAAGGGGATATCACCATTGACCCCACAGAAATACAAACAACCATCAGAGATGACTATAAACACCTCTATGCACATAAACTAGAAAATCTAGAAGAAATGGATAAATTCCTGGATACATACACCCTCCCAAGACTGAACCAAGGAGAAATTGAATCCCTGAATAGACCAATAATGAGTTCTGAAATTGAGGCAGTAATAAATAGCCTAACAACCAAAAAGCCTAGAACCAGAAAGATTCACAGCTGAATTTAACCAGAGGTACAAAGAACAGCTGGTACCATTTCTACTGAAACTATTACAAAAAAAGGAAAAGGATAGATTTCTCCCTAACTCATTCTATGAGGCCAGTATCATCCTGATACCAAAACCTGGCAGAGATAAAACAAAAAATGAAAACTTCAGGCCAATATCGTTGATGAACATCAATGTAAAAATTCTCAATAAAATACTGGCAAACCAAATCCAGCGGCACATCAAAAAGTTTAACCACCATGATCAAGTTGGCTTCATCTCCAGGATGCAAGGTTAGGTCAACATAAGCAAATCAATAAATGTGATTCATCACATAAACAGAACTAAAGACGAAAACCACATGATTATCTCAATAGGTGCAGAAAAGGCCTTCAATAAAATTAAACACCCCTTCGTGTTAAAAACTCTCCATAAACTAGGTATTGAAGGAACATCCCTCAAAATAATAAGAGCCATATATGACAAACCCATAGCCAATATCATAGTGAATGGGCAAAAGCTGGAAGCATTCCTTTTGAAAACCGGCACATGACAAGGATGTCTTCTCTCACCACTCCTATTCAACACAGTATTGGAAGTTCTGGCCAGGATAATCAGACAAGAGAAAGAAATAAAGTGAATTCAAATAGGAAGAGAGGAAGTCAAATTATCTTTGTTTGCAGAAGACATTTTCCTATATCTAGAAAACCCTGTTGTCTCAGCCCAAAAGCTTCTTAAGCTGATAAGCAACTTCAGCAGTCTCAGCATACAAAATCAATGTGCAAAAATTGCTAGCATTCCTACACACCAACAACAGGCAGAGAGCCAAATCATGAATGAACTCCCATTCACAATTGCTACAAAGAGAATAAAATACCTAGGAATTTAGCTAACAAGGGAAGTAAAGGATCCTTTAAAGAGAACTATAAACCATTGCTCAAAGAAATCACAGAAAACACAAGCAAATGGAAAAACATTTCATGCTCATAAATAGGAAGAATCAATATCATGAAAATGGCCAAACTGCCCAAAGTAATTGATAGATTCAATGTCATTCCTATTCAACTACCATTGGCATTCTTTATAGAATTAGAAAGAAGAGTTTTAAATTCATATGGAAGCAAGAGCCCAAATAGCCAAGATAATCCTAAGCAAAAAGAACGAGGCATCATGCTACTCAACTTCAAACTATACTACAAGGCTACAGTAACCAAAACAGCATGATACTGGTACAAGGACAGGCATACAGACCAGTGGAACAGAATAGAGAACTCAGAAATAAGACCACAGACCTACAACCATTTGATCCTTGACAAAGCTCACAAAAACAAGCAATGAGGAAAGGATTCCTTATTTAATAAATGATGCTGGGATAACTGGCTAGCCATATGAAGAAAATTGAAACTGGACCCCTTCCTTTTACCTTATACAAAAATTAACTCAAGATGGATTAAAGACTTAAATGTAAAACCCAAAACTATAAAAACCCTAGAAGAAAATCTAGGCAATACCATTCAGGACATAGGCATGGGCAAAAATTTCATGACAAAAATGCCAAAAGCAATTGCAACAAAAGCAAAAATTGATAAATGGGATTTAATTAAACTAAAGAGCTTCTGCATAGCAAAAGAAACTATTATCAGAGTGAAGAGAAAACCTACAGAATGGGAGAAAGTTTTTGCAATCTATCCATCTGACAAAGGTTTAATATCCAGAATCTATGAGGAACTTAAACAAATTAACAAGAAAAAAATAAACAACCCCATTAAAAAGTGGTCAAAGAACATGAACAGACACTTCTCAAAAGAAGACATACATGCAGCCAACAAACATGAAACAAAGCTCAACATCACTGATTATTAGAAAAACGCAAATCAAAACCACAATGAGATACCATCTCACACCATTCAGAATGTCTACTATTACAATGTCAAAAAACAATAGATGCTTGCAAGGTTGCAGAGAAAGGAATGCTTTTACACTGTTGGTGGGAGTGTAAATCAGTTCAACCACTGTGGAAGACAGTGTGGTGATTCCTCAGAGACCTAGAGGCAGAAATACTATTTGACCCAGCAATCCCATTACTGGGTATATACCCAAAGAAATATAAATCATTCTGTTATAAAGATCCATGCATGTGTATGCTCATTGCAGCACTATTCACAATGGTAAAGACATAGAATCAACTTAAATGCCCATCAATGATAGACTGGATAAAGAAATTGTGAGATATATACATACATATATATATATGTATGTATATATCTCCAATGGAATACTATGCAGCCATATAAAGGAATGAGATCATGTCTTTTGCAGGGACATGGATAGAGTTGGAAGCCATTATCCTCAGCAAACTAATGCAGGAACAGAAAACCAAACATCACATGTTCTCATTTATAAGTGGGAGCTGAATGATTAGAACACATGGCCACATAGTTGGGGAACAACACACACTTGGGCCTGTCAGAGCAGGGTTGTGGGGAGGAAGAGCATCAGGAATAATAGCTAAGGGATGCTGGGCTTAATACCTAGGTGATGGTATGATCTGTCCAGGAAACCACCATGGCACATGTTTACCTATATAACAAACCTGCACATCCTGCACATGTACCCCTGAGCTTAAACTAGAAGTTAATAAAATAATATGAACATTTCAACCATAGAGCAGGGTAGGAAATAAGGAAATAAATAAATGGCAAGACAGTGTGGACTCCAGAGCCCATCAGTGGCCTATCAATCATGAGTCTACCACTTTTTAGCTCTGTGATCTTGGGTAAGTTACTTAGCCTGTTACCACATCTCAAAAATAAAGATAAGGACTATACTTATCTCACTGGTTTATTGCGAAGATTAAAAAATTGCCTACCAAATACTTAATACATTATCTGGCAAACAATATGTGCTCAATAAAATATATGCATTATTATTATGGGTAACTTTACTGTTCTCTCAGACTATAAGACCCAAACTCTCAAATTCCAAATTTATTTGTGATGGCTCCTTTTTTTTGGCACTATCTTTGCCCACCAGCCAGTAAATAGTTAAATTATTTAAATTCCATGATCTCAACCCTTTATCTCCTTTTCTAATACCTCCTCTGAAATGCAGCTCCTCATGACTTTCCTCCTAGCAACAGAAAATCTTTTCTAATTGCCTTTGTAGCTCTGAGCACATCATTTCTTTTTAAGGATTGTCTATTGCAACTATTTTATTTAATTTCATTTTATTTTTGGAGACAGGGTCTTACTCTGTCAACTGTGTTGGAGTGCAGGGGGGGCAATCATGACTCACTGCATCGACCTCCAAAGCTCAAGTGATCCTCCCACCTTAGCCTCCTGAGTAGCTGAGACTCCAGGTGTGCACTACCAAACCTGGTACAATTTTTTAAATTTTTTTTGTAGAGACGAGGGTCTTGCTATGTTGCCCAGGATGGTCTGGAACTCTGGGGCTCAAGCAATCCTCCCGCCTCAACCTCTTAAAGTGCTGGGGTTACAGGTGTGAGACACTGTGCCCTACCGCACATTATTTCTATATTTAAGATCTGCCCTTACATGACATTGCAATAGATTATAATTTTGGTCATAATTCTTCACTCCCCTGTGATAGGATTGTACATTCATACCTTTGTCTGGTAACTTTGCTGTGCCCTCCTGCTGGGTTTGTTTCCTCACCCCATGTGACTTGCTTTGGCAATGAAATATGAGTAGATGTTGCAAGAGCAAAGGTCTTACCTGTGTTTTTTTATGATTTGGCTCAGCTCTTATGCTCCAGATCCATCATGAGAAGAACATGCCCTGGATTCCTGCTATCCCTTTAGCCATGGCTCCAAAATTAACACACACAAGGAAGACCTGAGGTCAATCCACAGCCTGGATTCAAGTCACCTAATACATAGGAGAATCAGAGCTACCCAGCCACACTCAATCTACGTTAACTGAACCTCAGCTGACCTGCAGATTTATGAGTATGAGAATAAAGGCTTGTTAATGTATATCATTAAGTTTTGTGGTGCTTACTATACATCATAATTGTGTTGATACCTGACTAGCACAGATTACTTTTCCAGCTTCACCTCTGACCATACTCTTGTAAATATGCTATAGTCCAGCTAATTATAACAACTTGATGACCTCTCCCTGTGCCCTTGGCTTTTCTACCTTTGGTATCCTGGTCCTCCTCTCCGTCTTCACATGAATATATGTAGCTGGTAGTTATTGGTTCTGGGCTAAGTAATCATGGGCGACCACTCTGTAACCTTCTCCACTCTCAGGGCAGGCTGCCATGCCATTCATGATTTTGAATTTTTTAGTTTACCTTTTCATATTTGTATAGTTTGATTCCATTACTAAAGAGAGACCTTGATTTTTAATAAAGAATTATTATTTATTGAGGGCCTTTATGTTCTAGAATTCTAATTGGTATTTTATATACAATGTCCATCCATGAGGTAGAGATTATTTTCCCCAATTTTATAGAAGGGGGAGGGGAGATTCAGAGAAGTTATGGAACTTGTTCAAAATGTGAACAGTAGAGGTAAGGCTGAAATCCACTTTTCTCCTGTTTCTCACTACTATGCTTTTTGGCTGTGCCATTTTATCTTTTACAGTTATAACCTCAAAAAATTAACACGTTAATTGATTTTTTAAACAGATAAGTGATAGAAACAACAGTTGTGAAAATCTGGAACATAAAGTGCCACATCTTAGTGGTTTTATTAAAGAAATATTAATTTAAAAATTAGATTTTAAACCTTAAATGGCTCATGCCTCCATCTCTTGAGGCCTGCCTTGTGTATTGCCAATGTTTGTGTCTTCAAGTTCTATAGAACTCAAAAGGAAACCACAGAACAACCACCCCAGGATAGCAGAGAGAGTCTGACCTAAGCCCACAGAAGCCAAAAGTAGCAGGGTTGGAGTTGAAAGCTTACACTTTGTCTTCAGCTCACACCCTGACACCTTTAGGCTTTGTCTTTTTTTAACATCAGGGTGCCAGCCTCGAATTTTTAAACCTTAACTCTGAATTTCTTGACTTTCCATATGTTTAAGATACACTTTGTGTGTTACTGTTTTGAAACAGCTGTTTGTCAGAGCTAGGGAGGAGGGAGGGAATCAAAGTTTAATGGGAGGTGCTTGTCTTAGAAGTGAGGCTGCTGAGCTCGATTCTTACAAGTTGAAGGGCCTCACTCTAAATCAGGGTTTCTCAGCCTCCGCACTATTGACTTTTGCGGCCAGGTAGTTCTTTGTTGTGGACGTCCAGGTTCCTTAAATATTGGTTAGCAGCTTTCTGGCCTCTACTCACCAGAGACCAGTGACACTGCTTTCCTCAGCTGTGACAATCAAAAGTATCTACAGATGTTGCCAAATATCTGTAACCTTCCCTGTGGCAAAATTGCTCTGATTGAGAACCATTGCTCTAAATGAATTAAAAAGACTGAGATCATTTTGTTGTTATTGTTGCTGTCTTTTAGAGACGGGATCTCACTCTGTCACCTAGCATAGAGTGCAGTGGTGAGATCATAGCTCACTGCAGCCTTGACTTCTTGGGCTCAAGTCATCCTCTTGCCCCAGCCTCCAGAGTAGCTGGGACTACTGGTGTACACCACCATGCCTGGCTAGGACTGAGATCAAACTCAGAAAGGAAGGCAAAATAAAGAGATGACAGATGAACATATCTAGAAAAATTATCCTGGTACTAGTTAGATGGACTATGAATGCATTTTACTTTTTAAACAAATCTTATTTATATTATAAATATCTTAGGAAACAAAAAATCAAATAGAAGGGCCATTACTAAATGACCGTTCTCAAAAAATCAAGCAACTTGCATAGATATACCCAGTAAATTAAAGGTGAACCCTAAACTAAAACTTGTCTCTCAGAGCAGGTTATGTATATTGGTGTAGTGACTTGGTAGACTAAGAGCAAAAGTATTCTTGATCTTGGAGTTCAATGTCCGCAGAGCCAGAAAACCTGAGAGCTCTGCTATTTTTAAGCTGCTACATATTGACTGCCTCAATTGCTTCAGGGGCTTTGCTTTGTGTCTTACTATATGAGGTAGACATTATTGTTCCCATTTTACGGATGATGAATATGAGGTATACAGAGGTATCACTTGCCCAGGTTCACGGGGACATGGTCAAGAATTAAAATCAGGTCTGCCTGGCTATCAAGCTTGGGCTCTTCAATCATTATGGTTTCGGCATCCCACAGCTGGGATAAGGCCACGGATTCATTGAACTTGACAAAGTAATCATCACATTTGTTATCTCACCTCACACTGAACCCAGGCCTGCTCTGTCCTCTGATGCCTCTGCCCAGAGCTGACCACGCAAGGGCATTCAAGGAGATTGTTGTCACATAAGATTGTCTCATAGAAGTCTCTGGCTCAAATATTGCATGATTCTGTGATTCTAATGAATGTCGTCCAGAGAAAGGAAGAATGCCATGACATTATTTATACTGAGCTAGCAGGAGCTATTTGGAAAGAAGCACCCAAGTGATGCAGAAAAGTAGATCTAGTGTTTCTGTCAGGAATTCCATATTAGTGCAGGCAGTGGGATATTAGATGGTGGGATATTATATGTAACCTTGTTATAATGGGTGCAGAAGATATGGAAACCCTCTAGTAGGGAAGGCATGGGGGCCTATGGGACCAGACAAAACCAGATGTCATAATGAGGGGCTTCTTGTATTGCTGAAATTCTGTTAAGACACTTATATTCCTCGGACTCGAGCTAAACCTAGGTGTTGCTCATTATTAAACAAAATGTCAGTAAATGTACAGTATTCCAGGCATTATTGATGGTGAGTTTTATTATTTCCCTGAGCTTTACTAAGGTGTTATTGACAAAAAATTTAGATATTTACAATGTACATGTGATGTTTGATATATGTATACACTGTGAAATGATTTAATCAATCAAATTAACTTGCCCATTACCTCACACACTTAGAATTTTTTTGTGTTGAGAGATTAAGATCTAATCTCTTAGCAATTTCCAAGTATACAATACATTATTAATAATTACAGTCATCATGCTGTACAATAGATCTCCAGAAGTTATTCATCCTATCTGACTGACATCTTGTATCCTTTAAACAATATCTACCCATTCGTCTTACCTCTCCGCAGTTCCTGGCAATCAGCATGCTACTCCCTGTGAGTTTCACGTTTTTAGATTTTACATAAAGTGCGGTCACGCAGTATTTGTCTTTCTCTGGTTTATTTCACTTAACAAAATGTTCTCCACATTCATCTATATTGTTGCAAATGACAAGGATTCCTTCTTTTTTAAGGCTGAATAGTATCCCATTGTGTATATATATTACATTTTCCTTTATCCATTTATATGTTGATAGATCTTAGGTGAATAATGCTGCAGTGAACATGGGACTATGGATATCTCTTTGACATACTGGTTTTATTATACATTTTTTGGGGGGGGGTTCTATACCCAGAAGTGGGATTGCTAGATCATATGGTAGTTCTTTTTTTTTTTTCTTTTTAAGAAATCTCTACACTGTGTTCCATAGTGGCTTTACACTGTGTTCCATAGTGGCTTTACTAACTTATATTTCCACCAATAGTATACAAGGTTTTCCTTTTCTCCACATCCCCACCAACACTTGTTGTATTTTTTCTTTTTGGTAGTAGCCATTCTAACAGGAGTGATGCAATATCTCACTGCTAATTTGCATTCTCCGATATTGAATGTTTTCTTCGTATATCTGTGGGCCATTTTTATGTGTTCTTTAAAAAAATTATATTCAGATCTTTTGTCCATTTTTCAGTGGGCTTATTTGTGTTCTTGTGATTGATTTGAATTTCTTACATATTTTCACTATTAACCCCTTGTCTATATATGGTTTACAAATATTTTTTCCTAATCTCTAGGTCACTTTTTCATTTTGTTGATGGTTTCTGTTGCTGTGCAGAAGCTTTTTAGTTTGATGAAATCCCACTTATTTATTTTTGCTTTTGTAGCCTGAGCTTTTGTTGTGATATCCAATAAATCATTGACAAGGCCAATGTCCAGGAGGTTTTCCTCTGTTTTCTTCTAGGAATTTTATGATTTCAGGTCTTACAGCTAGGTCTTTTTTTCCATTTTAAGTTGATTTTTGTGTTCAGTCTAATAGTCCAATTTTTGCTTTTGCATGTGGAAATCCAGGTTTCCCAGGACCATTTATTGAAGAGCCTATACTTTCTCCATTGTGTGTTCTTTTTTTTGAGATGTAGTCTTGCTCTGTCACCCAGACTGGAGTGCAGGGGTATGATCTCGGATCACTGCAGCGTCCACCTCCTGGGTTCAAGCAATTCTTGTGCCTCGGCCTCCAGAGTAGCTGAGATTACAGGTGTGCACCACCACTCCCAGCTAATTTTTGTAATTTAGTAGAGACAGGGTTTCACTATGTTGGCCAGGGTGGTCTCAAACTCCTGACCTCAAGTAATCCACAGTGTTGGAATTACAGGCGTGAGCCACTGCGCCCACCCATTGTGTGTTCTTGGTAACTTTTTTGAAGACCAATTGACTGTAAATGGGTGAATTTATTTCTGGGCTCTCTATTCTGTTCCATTGGTCTACAAGTCTGTTTTTTTTGTTTTGTTTTGTTTTGTTTTTTTGTTTTTTAGCAGTATCATGCTGCTTTGAGTACTCTAACTTTGTAGTGTACTTTGAAATAAGGTAGTATGATATCTCCAGCTTTTTCTTTTTGCTCAAGATGGCTTTGGCTATTCAGGATCTTTTGTGGTTCCATAAAAATTTTAGGATTGTTTTTTCTACTTACGTGGAAAATCTCATGGAAATTTTGAAAGGGATTGCATTAAATCTGTAGGCTACTTTGGATAATATGAACATTAAATAATATTAATTATTCCAATCAAAGAATATAGGATATCCTTCCATTTATTTGAGTCTTCTTTGATTTCTTTCACCAATGCTTTATAGTTTCCAATGTACAGATCTTTCACTTTCTTGATTAAATTTATTCTTAAGGGCCAGGTGCAGTATCTCACCCCGGTAATCCCAGCACTTTGGGAGGCTGAGGCTGGTGAATCACCTGAGGTCAGGAGTTCAAGACCAGCCTGACCAACATGGTGAAACCCCATCTCTACCAAAAATACAAAATTAGCCGGGTGTGTTGGTATATGCCTGTAATCCCAGCTACTCAGGAGGCTGAAGCAGGAGAATCATTTAAACCTGGGAGGTGGAGGTTGCAGTGAGCCAAGATTGCGCCATTACACTCCAGGCTAGGCAACAAAAGTGAAACTATCTCAAACAACAACAATAACAACAAAACAAACAAAGAACAACAACAAAATCAAAATACCAAATTTATTCTTAAGTACTTTAAATACTGTATTTTGTTTTTTATTGTAACTAGTGTAAATGGGATTGTTTTCTTGATTTCTTTTTCAAATAGCTCATTGTTGGTACATAGAAACACTACAGATGTTTGTATGCTGCAACTTAATTGGTTTATTAGTTATAACAGTTTTACAGTTTTTTTTGGTGGAATTTTTAGTGTAACTACAAGATATGCCATCTGCAAACAATTTTACTTCTTCCTTTCCAATTTGGATGCCTTTTAGTTATTTTTCTTGCCAAATTTCTCTGGCTAGGACTTCCACTACTACATTGGATATAAAGAGAGAGTGTGTAAGTCCTTGTCTTGTTCTCATCTTAGAGGAAAAGCTTTCAGCTTTTCACTGTTGAGTATGATGTTAGCTGTAGACTTGCCATACATGGCCTTAATTATGTTGATACATTCATTTCATACCTAATTTGTTGAGTTTTATAATAAAATGATGTTGAATTTTGTCAAATGCTTTTTCTATATCTATTAAGATGGTCATGTATTTTTTCTCTTTATTCTGTCAATGTGGTGTATCACATTTATTGATTCATGTGTGTTGAACTATCCTTGCATCTGAGGGATAAATTGCACTTAATCACAGTGTATGATACCTTTAATGTGCTGCTGAATTTGGTTTGCTAGTATTCTGTTGAGGACTTTTACATCTATGTTCATCAGGGATATTGACCTGTAATTTTATTTTCTTATAGTGTCCTTGCCTGATTTTGGTATCAGGGTAATGCCGGCCTCATAAAATAAGTTTGGAAGTGTTCTGTCCGCTTTACGTTTTTGGAAGAGTTTGAGAATGATTGACATTAATTCTTCTTAAAATGTTTGGTAGAATTCACAGGTGACATTGTCAGGTCTTGGTCTTTTTTGTGTTGAGAGTTTTTTGATGATGGATTTAATCTTATCAGTCTGTTCAGATTTTGTTTTTCACAATTCAGTCTCAGTATGTTATATCAGAATTCATTTATTTCTTCTAGGTTACCCAATTTGTTGATATATAATTGCTCATAATAGTCTTTTATGATTCTATGCATTTTTGTGAAATCAATTGTAATGTCTCCTTTTTTATTTCTAATTTTATTTATTTGAGTCTGTCTCTTTTTTGCTTAGGCTAATGAAAGTTTTGTCAATTTTATCTTTTCAAAAAACCAACTCTTAGTTTCATTGATGTTTTCTACTGCTTTTCTATTCTCTATTTTATTGATTTCTGCTCTGATCTTTATTATTTTCTTCCTTATGCCAACTTTGGGGATAAGTTGCTCTTTTTCTAGTTCCTTGAGGTATAAATTACAGTTGTTTGAGGTCTTTATTCTTTCTTAATGTAGGCATTTATTGTATAAACTTCTCCCTCAAAATGTTTTTAACGTGTTCCATAAGTTTTGGCATGTTGTAATTTCAGCTTTATTCAAGACTTTTTTTGCTTTTCCTTTTGATTTTTTCTTTGACCCACTGGTTGTTTAGAAGTGTGTCATTTCATTTCACGTATTTGTAAATTTTCCAGTTTTCCTCTTGTTATTGATTTCTAGTTTTATACTATTGTCAAAACACATACTTGATATGATTTTGATCTTCTTGGATTTGTTAAGACTTGTTTTGTGCCCTAATATGTGATCATCTTGGAGACTGTTCCATGTATATGTGAAAAGAGTGTGTATTCTGCTACTGTTGGATAGAATGTTCTATATATGCCTTCTGGGGTCATTTGGTTTAAAGTATTATTCAAGTCTGCCATTTCTTATTGACTTTCTGTCTTGAAGTCCCTTACTATTGTTGTAATTCTATCTATTTCTCCTTTCAGTTCTATTAATATTTACTTATATATTTAGATGCTTTGATGTTAAGTACATATACAGTTGACCCTCTATATCTGTGGGTTCTCTGTCAGTGAATTCAACAAACTGTATATAAGAAATATTTGAAAATGAAATAGATGGTTGCATCTATACTGAACATGTACCAACTTCTTTTTTCTTTTCATTATACCCTAAAAATACAATGCAACAACTATTTACATAGTACTTACATTGCATTAGGTATTGTAAGTAATCTAGAGATTACTTAAAGTATACAGGAAAATGTGTGGGTTATATTCAAATACTATGCCATTTTGTATAACAGACGTGAACTTTTGTGAATTTTTGTATCTGCAGGGTGTCCTAAAACCAATTCCTCACAGATATTGAGGGACTACCATATACCTACAATTGTTATATCCTCTTGGTGAATTACTCCATTATCATTATATAATGACCTTCTTTCTCATTTGTAGAGGTTTCTGATTTAAAGTATATTTTATCTGATATAAGTATAGCCACTTCTGCTCTATTTTCAGCTTATGTGTGTCCATAATGCTACAGCATGTCTCTTGTAGGCAGCATACAGTTGAATCTTATTTTGTTTATCCATTCAGTCACTCTTTGTCTTTTGATTAGGGAATTGAATTCATTTACATTTAAAGTAATTATTGATAGGTAGGGACTTACTACTGCCATTTTGTCAGCTGCTTTTGACTGTCTAGTTGTTTCTTTGTTGTATTCTTCCTCTCTTGCTGTTTTTCATTGTGATTTTATGATTTATTTTTTGTAGTGGTATGCTTTTGAATCCTCTCTTGTTGTCTTATGTGTACCTCCTATTGAATACATGTGGTTACCATGAGGCTTACATAAAATATCTTATAGTTGTAATTGTCTGTTTTAAGCTGACAACTTTGACTGCATACAAAACTCTACATTTTAACTTCTCTTCCCACCACACTTTATGTTATTGATGTCACAATTTACAACTTTTATGTATCTTGTATCCATTACCAAGTTACTGTAGCTATAGTTATTGTTAATACTTTTGGTTTTTAAATTTTATTCTAGAGTTAAAGTGATTCATACATCACCATTACAGTATTAGAGTTTTCTGAATCTGACTTAATTCTTACCTTGGCAGTGAGTTATATAATTTCATATGTTTTCACATTGTCAATTAGTTTCCTTTTGAACTTGAAGAACTCCATTTAGCACTTCTCGTAAGGCAGGCCTAGTGGTGATGAACTCTCACAGCTTTTGTTTGTCTGGGAAAGTCCTCATCTCATTTTCATTTTTGAAGGACAGCCTTGCAAGGCATTATATTCTTAGCTGGGAGTTTTTTTCTTTCAGCGCTTTAAATATGTCATCCCTCTTTCTTCTGCCCTGAAAGGTTTCTTTTGTTCTCAAAATCACTGAGAGTTTCTCAAAATCACTGAGAGTTTCTCAAAAGAAACTGACAGTTTCACGTGTGTTCCCTTGTATATGACAAGTTGCTTTTCTCTTGCTGATTCCTAAATTCTCCTTTGGACTTCTGAGAACTTGATTATAATTTGTCAGATGAAGATATCTTTATATTTAATTAATTTAGAGGGTCTTTGGGCTTCATGGACCTGGCTGTTCTTTTCCCTCTTCAGATTTGGGAAGTTTTGTTCATTATTTCTTTAACAAAGCTTTATTCCTCCTTCTCTGTTCCTTTTGGAAATTCCATAATGCACATATTGATTAATTTGTTAGTGTCACATTATTTCTGTAGGCTTTCTTTGCTCTTTAATTCTTCTTTCTTTTTGTTCCACTGACTAGGTAATCTCAAATAATGTGTCTTCAGACTTACTGATTCTCTTTTTGCTTCATGGAAATATGCTGTTAAAGCTCTCTATTACATTTTCCAATTCAGTCATTGTGTTCTTTTAGCTTCAGAATTTCTATTTGTTGCTTTTATCTGGTTTTTATCTCTTTGTTGGACTTCTCATTTTGTTTTTGTTTTGTTTTCCTGAATTTGTTTAGTCATCCATTTGTGTTCTATCACATCTCACTAAGCTCCTTTAAGACAATTATTTTGAATTCTTTGTCAGGTAATTCATAAATATCTATTTCTTTAGGGTCAGTTATTAGTGTTTTATTTTATTCCTTTGGTGGTATTATACTTCTCTGATTATTCCTTATTTGTGGCCATTCATTGGTGTCTGTGTTTTTTAAGAAATAGGTACCTATTTCAGTCTTACATACTGGTTTTGGCAGGGAAAGCTCTTAACCAATCAGCTGGTTTAGAGATCTTAGTTAGGTTATATGGCAGGGTACATGGACAGGCTTGCTGCTGAAGTTTTTGGGCAGGCAGGCCTGGTGCCAGCCTGGTTCTGGGTTGGACTGGAACCGGTATCAGTGGGATCTAGCCCAGACTCGAGGTCTGTGGGTGCCAATCTGGTGCCAGGTTGATTTTGGAGGCTGGGTCCTAGGGGGCTGGCCTGGACCTGGGGTCCAAAGGTACTGCCTGGTGCTAGAGTGGGTCTAGGGCTCTGGGGCTGACCTGGAGACTAGGACTGTGGGGTCAGACTGAGTTTTATTATAATTTACTATAGCTTTTCCCAAATTGTATGTTGTATAAGAACAAGGAAGAAGTTGATCAAGGTTGGTAGACATTGGCTTGGGTAGTAATAAGGATCTTATCCAGAGTGAACACAGCAGGAAAGAGAGGTGAAATACTTGGACACATATCAATTTCATTCCTTTACTCATTCATAAAATACATTTATTGAGTATCCATTGGGTGCTAGCTACTCTGTTAGGTATTGTGATTATAGTGGTGAGCAAAACAGTGGGGGAAAGAGATGCCTTTCAAATAAACATATAATCAAATTTGCAATTAATTCCTACAATAAGGGCTCTGAAGGGAAGTGCAGGGATCCTTTGACAGGAATATCTGGTTTGTCTGAGCAGTTAAGAAAGGCTTCTTTGAGGATGAAATTTTGGAGCCAAAATCTGTGCAATGTGTAAAGTAGCTTGGAAAGGGGAATTTGGTATTAGAGGTAGAGGAAAGCTTGTGCAAAAATCCTGGGGCAAAGAGAATCTTTCATCTTTGGAAGAATTGAAGGCTGGCTTACAAGGCTGGAACTCACAGGGCAAGAAAAAGGGGTACAGGAAATTAGACTAAAGAGAGGGTAACAGGCCGGATTATGTTAGAGATTTTGTTCTTTGTCCTAAGAGGAATGTTATTGACATATTTGGATTGGCCTTCTCAAAAGATCTCTGATTACTGTGCAGAGAGGAGTTTAGGTGAACTAGAATTAACACTGAAGAAATTATCTCAATAGTCCTGACAATAGAAGAGTGTCATGGTGGTGGCAGAGATGGAGAAAAGAAAATAGACTGAAGAAATACTGAAGAGGATGAACCAGTCTCAAGGCCTTAGCCTGATTTGGAACCCCAGGTTCTGGGGTGATTATGATACCACGCTACATGATACATGTTTCCCGTGGTCATTAAATGTTATATTTGGGCATCATGTTCTCTGGGTCTTTCATTTTATAGATAAAGAAGCTGAGATCTGAAAAATGAAGTGACTTGCTCAAGGTCTCATGATAGTGTCTGCACCAGACTAGAACCAGGTATACCAGATCAGCCACCTGGGATTTCTTGGGACACCAAGGTCAATGAGCATACATGTTCCTTAAAGTCATAAAAATGTATTTAAGAGTGATTGGGAGGTGGGAAGAGGTGGCACCCTGAACCCCATTTCTGGTACATGGTAGGCTTTATATAAGTATAAGCCTTCCTTAAGTGTCTTTGCTGTCTCCTAGATGGCATATTACTTTTCATAAACAAATGTAAGAGAACTTTGAAATATACCTAAGATGGGAAGTGGATAGGTTGTATGCAGGGATAGATTTTGTTATCAGACTAATAAGACCTATGTATCAGTTCATAAGATATAGAGGGCATAGAAGGAATTTGGATTTCTCAGTACATTAAGTTAAGGATTGATTACCATAGGGTTCTTTGCTTACAAACTAGAGAAGCATACTCTGACAATTTAGAAAAAAAGAATAAAACAAAAACAAAAACACAATATACAACAAAAAACAAATGAAAAACCATCACTCAACCAATTTACCAAAAAAGCAAAAACAACAAAAGAGGAAATTATTAGGCTATTAGGGATTTAGAGAAACAACAAGAAGGATGATGGAGAACTGGATCTGGGAAGACACAGGGATGAGGGTGGCACTGGAGGTTGGGAAGCAGGAATCAATACAACACTCTCTCGCTGGAAACCATCTTGACAGAACTTTTCTGCTAGAATGACTATAGCCACAACATTGTCATTCTCTTGTTATTCTGTTCAAGATTTATATTTCAGGAGAGACAGCTGATTGGCCTAGGTCGTGTCATATGTCTGCCCTTTGGCTAGAAGAGTGTGTGATCCCTGAACATAGTACCTGTGATATTGTAATATAATAGGAAAGATATATTTGATCTTCTTCCCTGGTTCTTGGCTCAAGAGCTCCTGAAACCCTTGCAATTTTCCGAGTGATAGAAGTGTGAAGAGCATCTTTCATTATTCATAATAAGCCACTTTCAACTATTTCTGAGTTTTTGTTAATAAGGCGACTCTGGTGGGGCCCTAAATAGCTTTAGGGTAAGGGCTGGTCACCATAAAGATCAAGGCATGATTAGACAATTGGGACATTAAGCTCCACTCACCTCGTCCAGAGGGGAGAGAAGCTAGAGGTGGAGTCAATAATCAATGGCTAATGATTAGCCAAGCTTATCCAACCTGCCTTATTTTGTTGTTGTTGTTGTTCTGTTTTGTTTTGTTTTAGGCTTTTAGCAGCTTGAAGCCATGGTTTTTAGTTTCTGTCTAGTGATAAGCAGAAAAGAGGGATGAGGAATGGGCTTTACTGGCCCAGCCAGAAATAGAAACTGTAAGAACCCATGACTGTATTCTCTCCCTTGGATACCCATGAGTCCTGCCCATGCAATCTTGATAAATACCCTAAATGATGGGGTTCCAAGTGCTTCTAGCTTAGTGAAAACATTGAGGTACTGGGAGAGTAGCAGGCCTGGAGAGGCCCTGGAAGCTCTTGCCTCCCCTCCCCACATGCCTTGCCCTGTGCATCTCTTCCATTTGTCTGTTCCTGAGTTGTATCCTTTATAATAAACTGCTAATAGTAAGTAGTCTGTTTTCCTGAGTTCTGTGAGCCATTGTAGCAAATTATCAAATATGAGAAGGTGGTTGTAAGGAGCCTCAATTTATAACGGGCCACTCAGAAGTTATGGAAAGCAACCTAGGACTTTTAACTGGCATCGGAATAAGGCGCAGTCTGAGGTGGGGGTAGTCTTGAAGGATGAGCTCTTAACTTGTGGGGTATGACACTAACTCCATGGAATTAAGTCATTGGACACCCAGTTTGTGTCTGGAAAATTGGTTGTTGGTGAGGAAAAATCCAACATTTTTGGTATCGGAAGTGTTCTGTGTGTAAAACAGATCATAGTATTGCCTCTGGAGAGTATCCACATGGGGAGAGCAAAAGCAAACTTACAAGTGTCATCAGAAGAAAAATTCTCATGGCAAGGTTTAGTGTCAGGCATATTGTTTCTTAATAAGCCACAGGGAAAGACCCTCTTTTCTTCTTTCTATTCTGTTTTCTCACCCCATCTCTATGGTGTCTTCAGGAACTATGATCAGAGACTGCTCCTACCTCTCTCAGGTCAGCAGAAATTGGGTGGAGAAAAGGCACCAGCTTAAAGTGGACACCCAAGCCTAAGTGGTTTAGGACTTAATTACAAGGCACAAAGCTGAAAGGAGGTAGATGTCAGGGGGTCATTGGGCAGATAGATAAATGGGATGACTAAATATTATAAACAGTGGAAAATGAAGGGTGAAAGATGAATGTTAAAGCCAGGCGTGGTGGCTCATGACTGTAATCCCAGCACTTTGGGAGGCCAAGGCAAGCAAATCACCTGAGGTCAGGAGTTTGAGACTAGCCTGGCCAACATGGTGAAACTCTGTCTCTACTAAAAATACAAAAATTAGCCAGGTGTGGTGTTGCATGCCTACAGTCCCAGCTACTCAGGAGGCTGAGGCAGGAGAATCACTTCAACTTGGAAGGCGGAAGTTGCAGTGAGCCAAAATTGCACCATTGCATGCCAGCTTGACCGACAGAGTAAGACTCCATCTCAAACAAGCAAACGAGACAAACAAACAAAAAACAAACAAGGAAAGATGAATGTTAAGGAATGAGGGAGGTCTGTAGTGCATTTCTAAAGGCTCAGGGACTACAGTTAAGGTCTCCTATCCTGCCCTAGAGACCAGGAAAGTGAGATGTTTGTTACCTTTATGGAAACTGCAGCAACCCTGACCCTGTATGATTTTGAAACATAACCTAAATCTTGAATAAATAATTTTCTATTCTTTACTCAAGAATAGAAAAGTTATGAGTCAATGTTTCTTGAACAGACTGAAAAAGCAGCCTCCCTACCATGTAGTTTCCACAAGCAGTCAGTAACTGTGTTCATTCTTGATTAAACAGGTTGGGCAATGTTCTTCCGATTGTTTTATTACTAGTGGATTTTCTACCTAGAATGAACATTAGAACCACTTCAGGACCCTTTTAGTATCTTGATGCCTAGTCTCCAATTTCACAATATAAGTTTAAGTGATTTGAGGTTCAGGATTAGTGTTTTTTTGTTGTTGTTGTTTTTTGTTTGCTTTTTGTTTGTTTGTTTTGTTTTTTTGTTTTTTGACAGAGTCTTGCTCTGTCACCAGGCTGGAGTGCAGTGGTGTGATCTTGGCTCACTGCAACCTCTGCCTCCCTGGTTCAAGTGATTCTTCTGCCTCAGCCTCCCAAGTAGCTGGGACTACAGGCGCACACCACGATGTTCAGCTAATTTTTGTAGTTTTAGTAGAGATGGCGTTTCACCATGTTGGCCAGGATGGTCTCTACCTCTTGACCTCGTGATCTACCCACCTCGACCTCCCACAGTGCTGGCATTACAGGTGTGAGCCACCGTGCCTGGCCAGCGTCAGTGTTTTTTAACACTCCCAGGTGAATCTAACATGTAAAGTTAGATTCTTGAGGGTTGAGAATTCTATGTGCATTTTTAAAAGGGGAGATGTTGTTAGCATTTTTTGACACTATCAGTGTGGAACACTGCCATTGGGCAGAGCCACTTCATCCAAGCCCCAGCACATTAATGGTTGCCTCTGGCTGACACTGTAGTGCCTGGGCTGACATAACTGGGCCCACTGAGATAAAAACAGCAACAGAAGTAGAAAATATTAATGGATACCTATGACAAGTTCTGGGGCTTCCTAGACTCCTCCTCTAAACCATCTGATATACCAGGTCACTGGGATTCTAATAGAGTGCTCTCTATTAATTAATTAATACTGCATTAATACACTGTGCAATGCCTAAGAGTAAGATGAGCACCTCACACCATCCTCTGCATTCCTAATGTAGACCCATCTCAACCCAGCAGCTGCTCTTGGATGCTATCACCAAAGCATTAAGTAAGTCCTTCTCACTCTGGATTTCCTAAAAGGGAATCAGACTCCAGTACACAGTCTGCTTTCACTTTTTAAAGTGTAAGCCAAGCACCAGTCCCCAGTATGTCACAGTTCAAGGATTTCCAAGGAGTCCTTCTGAAGACCCATTATTATGCCTGGGGTTTAACAGAAACAACTCTCCTCTAATTTCCCCCCAAAGCAGCATGGTGGGGGCAGGGGACTCAGAACTACAAGCCTTCTATCCAAACAATCCTCTTAACCAGTGTTCTGGTTACACTGTTCCACCGAAGTGCCCCTCACTGGACTTGAGGTGAATAGGTACAGGCCTGCCCCCTCCTCCCCAAATAGGCTCTTGGCAGAGAGGTGCACACAGGGCTCACAGCAGAATTTTCCAGTGGTAGCCACTTTCCTCTTATCTGTGCTGGTAAATTCTAAAGTGAGACTCTAAAGTAAGAAATTGTGCCGTGCTGCCCTAACCAAAACATAGTTAAGGACAGGCAGACACTGACCAGAGATTACTGGCCTTGCATGCTCCATAGCTAAACTCTCGAGGTTTTCCGGAGAAACCCTAAACAGCTAAAATTGTGTCTTTTGATACTTCCGTGGGGCTTATTCTAATACAAAATGTCCATTCTAACCTCTCAGCTAGCTGTCAGCTCATTAGTTTACCCAAATATGTTCAAACAAGATGACCTGTTTTTATACTCTACTGGCTCTTCTTTCCTCTCTTTTCTTTCTCTAAAATCACGTTTTTGCCTTTGATCTTTGACTGCATCTTTTATTCAACTTCCTCACAGATGAGTTAACAATTTGCATCCTTAATAACAAACAGTAAGAAACTGTATGCAACATAACCATAAAAGGTCTCTGAATTATTCTTTGATGGTGCCTCAATCAAAAAAATGAGGCAGGAAAAATTCTAATTATCATATCCTGTGATGGCTCAGTAGGCAATTGTGGCAGAGGCTATTAGCTATCCCCCAATATCCACTTTCCTCTTATGTACAATAGTCAGTTGTCCCCCGCTTTATCTATTGTTTTGCTTTCTATGGTTTCTGTTGGCCATGGACAACTGAGGTCTGAAAGTATTAAATTGAAAATTCCCGAAAAAATTTATAACTTTAAAATTGCATGGTCTTCTGAGTAGCATGTTATAATCTTTTGCTGTCCTCCCCTGTCCCACCCATGATATGAATCTTCTCTTTTTTCAGCATATCCACGCTGCATATACTACATGTCCATTACTGTATTTAGAAAATTATGTGTATAGGATTCGGTACTCTGCAGCTTCAGGCATCCACCTGGGGGGTCTTGGAACAAACCCTCCATGAGTAAGAAGGGACTACTGTATTTTAGAAGTTCTGCTTTTTAGGTGGCATATGACATTGTGAAGAAAGACCCTCTTCCCCCATGAAGAAGGACTCTTCCTCCACCCTCTGATGGTTCGATAACTGATTCTGTTAAATAAACTGACAAAAGGGAGATTTATAGGAGAAAAAGCATACAAATTCATCACGCGCACAGGAGCATCGCATGAAAGAAACGTAGATATTCAATAAACAGGTGAGATTCGGGAGCTTATATGCCCTCTTCATAGGGGAGAGGAAAGGAGGGATGCAAGCAACTTAGGGGAAAGTAAACGATTTGGCAGAAAGATGAACCCTTAGAAAAACAGAAGAGAGTCTGCAATAGTTAGTGACAAAGATTGTCTAGGTGGGGTATCAATTTCTTGTCTCCTCTCCTGTGATACGAGTTAGTCTTTCCAGATTGATAAAACTCCCAGAAAAGAGACTGATGATAATCGAACTCCTTTGGAGGGTCTGTCTTCAGGCTGCAAGGGGAGTTCAGTGAAAGTCTCTCCCTGTGTTACTGGAAAGGGGTCCTGATCCAGATGCCAAGAGAGGGGTCTTGGATTTTGCCCAAGAAAGAATTTGAGGTGAATCCATAGAGTAACGTGAAAGTAAGTTTATCAAAGAAGTAAATGAACAAAGGAATGGCTACTCCATAGTCAGAGCAGCAGAGTGGGCTACTTGACTAAGGATTCTTATAGTTATTTCTTGATTATATGCTAAACAAGGGGTGGATTATTCATGAGTTTCCCAGAAAGGAGTGGGCAATTCATGAAACTGAGGGTTCCTCCCCTCTTTAGACCATATAAGGTAACTTCTTGACGTTGCCATGGCATTTGTAAACTATCACTGGTGCTGGTGAGAGTGTCTTTTAGCATGCTAATGCATTATAATTAGCATATAATGAGCAGTGAGGACAACCAGAGGTGACTCTCATCGCCATCGTGGTTTTGGTGGGATTTGGCCGGCTTCTTTACCACATGCTGCTTTATCAGCAAGGTCTTTGTGAACTGTACCTTGTGCCAACTTAGAATGCTTAACCTCCTGGGAATGCAGCCCAGTAGGTCTCAGTGTCATTTTACCCAGCCCCACTCAAGATGGAGTCACTCTTGTTCCGAGACCTCTGTCACCTTCATTTGCTGTTTTCCAAATGCCTTCACCTCAAAGGAATTAGTAAAACAAAGCAGCATATTTTGGTATGGCATTTCCTAAACTCCATCCCTTTATAACAATCCTTAAAAAACCCAGGAAGGATTCTAATTGGCCTGGCCTTGGGTTGTTTACTTTGCAATTAATCAATATGGCCAGAGGATAAGATTAGGACAAATAGTCCCTGTGAGAACCACATGGTTAGCCTGGAGAGAGAAGCAGTTCTCCAAAAGAGAGTCTGTCTGTTCCTATAAGAAGAGAGAGGAGATGGGCAGATAAAAGAGTAGAAGTTCACAGTAGGGACTTTAAAAATTTCTGAGGCTGGTGCTTCCTGTTTGGATCACATAGCGCTTCTGTGGTCATTGTGGAAGGTGGTCTAGGCTAATTGCCAATTTGATTCTAAAGTAAGAAGGCTGAGTGTTTTCTTTGATCTTGAACTTGCTTTTATTTCTCGCTTGTGCTGCCCTGATAAATCTACTTATTATCACTTTCTCTATTTTGCCCCATATTCTGCCTGGTCTCTGTTATGTTTCTGTTGAAAATCTTATTCACACATTTGTGTGCTTGTCTTGATTATAGAAAATTTCATTTTTAATGCCTCCCTGTCTTTGCTTTACTTCAAGCCCACAGACTCAATCATCAGGTCACACACATGCATCATGCAAAAAACAATCTTGAATGACAGGAAGCAAAAGTGAAAGCTTTAATACCATGTGGAAATCAAGGCAAAAGCCAACTTTTTGGATAAGCAGACCCATCTTAAAAGCATAGGGTGTGTGGTTGTGGCAGGTGGTGACGATGATAGGGAAACTTTAACTCCCACATTAGGGAATTAATAGGAAATGGCTAAAAGGAAAATTCAAGTTGGACTATATTATTTAACTATTTGAAAGCAATGACAAAGGAGACAGCGAAAGCAGCTAAGTGGTTGATTCTGAGGAGTAGGAAGGAGTGGGAAAAAGAATATGGCCCCCAAGGGGCTAACTTTCATAATAAATCTTGTTGAACTATAATATACAATTATGTGCATAACTTGATAAAATAGAAATAAAATGAAAGGAGCCCTAAATCTGAGCCAAGGCTCTTCAATTCTGGCCTGCCTTAGCTGATTGCTCAGATTTTCTCTTTCCTTCTCTTATGAGTTGTCTTTCCCGTATTTATTCTTCTCTTGGTTTAATCTCTTAATTTTTTAATTTTTTTTTATTTTTTGAGACAGAGTGTCTCTCTGTTGCCCATGCTGGAGTGCAGTGGTGCGATCTCGGCTTACTGCAACCCCTGCCTCCTGGGTTCAAGCGTTTCTTCTGCCTCAGCCTCCCAAGTAGCTGGGACTATAGGTGCGCGCCACTACCGCCTGGCTAAATTTTGCATTTTTAGTAGAGAAAGGGTTTCACCATGTTGGCCAGGCTGGTCTCGAACCCCTGACCTCAAATGATACACACGCCTTGGCCTCCCAAAATGTTGGGATTACAGGCATGAGCCACCGCGCCCAGCCCTAATCTCTCATTTCGATGGTGTGTCCTATAATTGTTTCCTGAGAAAGGATATAGGAGATTAAAATGTTAAGCTCTTACATATCTAAAAGTGTCTTTAATCCACGCTGACATTTTACTCCTTGTCTTGGCATAGAATTCTAAATTGGAAACTATTTTCCCTCAGAATTTCCCCATTTTTCTGTTAGTTTCTACTGTTTTATTGAGAAATCTACAGCCATTCTGAATCTTGGTCCTTTTAATGTAAGCATTTTTTTTTTTTCTTTTCTGAAAGCTTTGGGATTTTGTCTTTGATCCTAGTGTTCTGAAGCACTACACTGGTGGGCCTCAGTGAGGATTTATTTTTAATTTTTGTGGTGAACCTCAATAAGACTTTTAATTCTGAGAAATTTTCTTAAGCTGTAATATTGATTATTGTATCTGTTTTCTTTTCTAGAATTTCTTCTACTTAGATGGTTAGTCTTCTGGACACTCTCTAAGCTCTAATTTGCAAATTTTTTTTGCTCTCATTTTCCATGTCTTGGTCTTTTTGCTTTACTTTCCAAGAAATTTTTGTAAATTATCTTCTAGCACATCAATTGAGATGTTCATTTCTGCTTTCAGGTTTTCATTTTCTAAAACTCAGTCTCGTTGTCTGCATGTTTGGTTTTTTAAAAATAGAATCCTGTTTTTATTTCATGCATATAATATCTCACTCTACCACCCAGGCATGATAATAGCTCATGGTAGCCTCCAAATCCTGGGCTGAGGTGTTCCTCCTGCCTCAGCCTTCTGAGTAGCTAGGCATATGCCACCATGCCTGACTAACTTTTGTTTTTTGTAGAGATGCGGTCTTGCTATGTTGCCCAGGCTACTCTTGAAATTTTGGCATCAAGCAATCCTCCCGTCTTGGCCTTCCAAAGTGTTGGGATTACAAGTGTGAGCCACCACACCCAGTCTTTTCTTAGACTTCTGACTTTCATGTTGTGTGTTTCCTCAGATGTCTGGTGATCAGCTTTCTTTGGTCTATTTAGTCAGTCAGTTATGTGCTCTTCTGCATTCCAACTTCCAAAATTTTATCACTATCATGAAAGGAGAGATTTCCTCAAAAAGAGAATTCCATCAATGAGGAAAGAGATATTGTCCCATTCTTCTCCTTGTCAATGTATGCCATTTAGAGGAGAGGCTGGGCAGCAGTGTGGAAGCTGGATAGGGAAAAAGTACTATTCTTGCTCAACTGTCCAGACCAATTTGCCTTTAATCCCAAACTTATGTTGGGGCTTAGAACACAATACCCCAAATATGGCACCTTGGTGTGCTGAGTACTCTGAACTGAAGGACACATGGAGGGCCTCAGAAACAAGGTCTGCCTGACCTTCTCCCATCCTCTGGTTTCCTGCCCCTCTTTCTCTTCAAAAGCAAATCACAGAAACCAGAATTTCACTTTTGCAAGGTGGGTCATAGAAACTAGTCCTCCTCTCACCCAAAGCAAGCCATAAAAACTAAAAAGGTCACTTTTCCCCTTCTCCCTTCTTACTTGAAGACCTCATTCCGAGGGCCCTGTCCCATATCCAGGAGGAAGGAATGTTACACAGAGAAGACAAGAAGATTCTGGAAAGGCCTTGCTGGGTTTGCCACCTATTATCATTAGATCATACTCTTTTGTCCAATCACATTTCTACATGGCTGTCTATTCTTCATTGAACCTAAAAAAAATAGACAGTTTTCCCTGGATCTCCCGATCTTCATTTCTAAAGGCACCCGTGTCACATAAAACTTTGATTAAATAACTGTGTTATGCTTTTCTCTTGTTTACCTGTCCTTTTTATAGGTGTGTAGGCTTGGATCCTATGACTGCTGAGGAAAATATCACACCTTTCCTCCCCTAAGCTTACTCAACCCAGCACAAGAAAAGCTCTGTGCCCAAATTTCCCATCCCTTCTTAGAAGGCAGCTTGAGCTCTATCTATCTCAAGCCTCTTTGGAGGATTAGTTCTGCCCCTTCTTTTTCTTCCCCTAAGCGGCTTGGTAAAGCAACCCACATGTAAGTCTTTTCTGAAAGTGGTTTTGGGAAATAGCATTGTCTTCATTGTATTTCATTTCCAGTGATTTTAGTGCCTTGTAAATGCCAGATGACTCCGTCTCTTTTTTCCTGCCTCTGCTTTCTTGCTACCCAGCCCAGTCTCAGTCTCCTCCTCTATAAAATGGGGGACATACTACCTCCCTTACTGCACTCTGGTGAGGAAGAAGTAAAACAAGGTAAATTGGAAAGCCAGTAGTCAGAGCCTGCCACTTCAGGAGCTTCTTGGCCTTTGACAGCTCTAAGAACTATGAGCACCATGGGAATATCTTCTCCCAATGTCTCCTTTACTAGGGGGCCCTTGATGAGGGTTTGCAGTTTTCTCCATCAGGGCTACAGTGTTTGCAAAAGTGAAAGTAACTTTAAATCCCTCGCGATCAAAACATAAGGTGAAAAACACCCAATAACTAAATTCTCACCTTAACAACTATTGCAAGTAAAACCGAGGAGGGAAGAGAAGATATTAACCTCCCTAGACCTACATGCAAGCAACAGGGTAAGTAAGCAGCATCAGTTCTCTGCACAAACCCAGAGAAGGTGTGAGACACTGTGGAGTCTGCTGCTTCTTTCAGACCCAGGGAATGTCTGCTTGACACCTCTCTTTCTGCCTCCCCGCACCCCACTTCCTTCTATTTTTGTAACTTAGAGAAGAACAGGAAGGGGTATTTTTTTTAATGTTTTTAAGCATTCAGGGTATGCCTGTGTTCTAGAAGCTGGTGAAGCTGTGAACTTGCCACAGAAAATGATTGTGACCCAGGACAAGGGCTTCAGCGTCTCTACCTTGTCAAAGGAGGAGCTGATCCTACCTGGTTGGAGAAAATTTTGTCATCTCCCTCAAGCTGGTGCAGGGAGTTCTAGCACACACTACTGTATGATATTCAAATCCAAAGTTAAAAAAGACTCCAAGATTGTTTTACTTAATCAGTGAAAGGGAAGGCAGCAACAGAGTTGAGTTTCGAGAAGGTGGCCCCTGAGCCAGCCTGCCAGATCAATTTGTGTCTCCTGGGAGAGACCTTTGGTGCTGGCTTTTCCCTTCAAGGGCTGGTAAAACCCATGAGGACCCATTGATTAGGCAATGACAAACTGATGACCGAGGCTGCTGAGATTATATTCATTGCTCAGTGGTTCAAATATGTCCACGATTTAGAGTGGAACCCTGTATAAAAATAAGAAACAGAAAAAAACCGTATATGGTTTTCAAATAAAATATATGCTGTCAGGATAACTAACTGGGGATTGGTTTGCTTAGTTGTTTTTCTTCGCTAGCAACCACTTCCAACCTACTCTCTATTTCTTGTTTTCCCACTTAGCTTCCAGTTATATTTTTTTGCTTTGTCCTTTTGTCAGATTAGTTACAACTTTGGATAGGTTTACCATATTTAGAAAATAAAAACATAGTTAAATTTGAATTTCAAATAAACAACAATTTTTTAGTACAAATCAGACCCATGAAATATTTGTATACATTTATAGAAAAAAAATATGTATTATTTATTTGAAATTCAGTGGGACAAACTTATACTAAAATATTATTTATTGTTAAGTTTTCAAGAGTTTAATTTAAAATTATTGTGCATATTGTGACAACTTTCTTCTTGATACATCGAATAATAATGGTTTTATATTTAATGGCTTGGATTTGGTAAAACAGCATGGAATTTTACTATTAAAATAATGCATCATTACACATAAAATTGAAGGGCCTTTCTTCTCCCCTATCACTCACTGTCATGTTCACCTGTGTCATTTTTCTTCATTCCCTTGAGGCAATTATCTAAATTTGGTGTGTATTTTTCAGGACATAATTTTACATAAATCTATATACATATATGTTTTTCTTAATATATAGTATTATTCTCTGTTTTATTGTTCTATATATATTGTTTCACATCTGTCTTTACTTGCAATTATGTTTTTAAAAGTCTATTCATGTTGATCTATGTAGTGATATTTCATCTGCCGAATTACATTTCGGTGTATGCATATACTATAATTAATCTGTTTTCCTGTTGATGGACATTTCAGTTATTTTCCATTTATTTTTCCAGTTTCATACTATTATAACCAGGGATTCTCTAATACATATTAAGAAATGGAATCTCAAGGTTGTAGAGTACTTTTTTTTAACTATTTTCAATTTATCTTTAATTTAAATAAGCCTCATTTAGTGGTGCCTTTAGGTTTACTGAGTGAAATCTGAATTTGTTACTGTACAAAGTTTGTTTTTTTTTCTCCTCAAAGGAAAGCCCTTTCTATTTTGCCTTTCACCCACCTCATTACCAGCAATCATAACAGTAACAGTGATAAAATCACTCTCTGTAAAATGTCACCTTTGAAAGTTCTTTTGTGATGATTTGTGGGCCATCAGTCAACTGAGCCACCTACACTTCCCAAATCCTTTGTTGTATTTCCAAAGACTATCTGCTTGAAAGAACATACAAGGCCCCCCTCAGGCTTATATGTCAATCTCCTGGTGGTGGAGAGACAAGTAACATCAGTGTGAATTTTAAGGAACTGCCAGTAATATGTGTCAAGGTCCCAGGAGTCGGCATCCTCATTTGGTCCAATAGTGCCACATTTAGGAATTTACTGTAAGCAAATAGGTAAATATATGCACAAAAATAGTGAGGTATTAACTACAAATAAAATTTTAAAAGTAGAAAATTAGAAACTCCCTTAGGATTCTATAATAGAAGGTTATATAAATAAATCAAGATGGGTTTCTACAAAAAAAAATTGACCCAGAAAGTGTTAATACGATGTTAAATGAAGAAAATGTGATAAAGGCTGGTTTGAAGAAATACGACTTTAAAAGATATATATATATATGAATATATATATGAAAGATATATATATATGAATATATATATGAAAGATATATATATGAATATATATAAAAGATACATATATGAATATATATAAAAGATATATATATGAATATATATAAAAGATATATATATGAATATATATATAAAAGATATATATATGAATATATATATAAAAGATATATATATGAATATATATATAAAAGATATATATATGAATATATATATAAAAGATATATGAATATATATGAAAGATATATATATGAATATATATGAAAGATATATATATGAATATATATGAAAGATATATATATGAATATATATATGAAAGATATATATATGAATATATATGAAAGATATATATATGAATATATATATGAAAGATATATATATGAATATATATGAAAGATATATATATGAATATATGTAAAGATATATTCATATATATGTAAGATATATATATTCATATATATAAAAGATATATATGAATATATATGAAAGATATATATGAATATATATGAAAGATATATGAATATATATGAAAGATATATATATGAATACATATATGAAAGATATATATATAGATGGAAAAATATCTGGAAGGATATAACTAAAGGCATTAACAGTGACTATCTCTGGAGTGTGGAATTTATAGATGGAGTTTCATTTTCTTCTTTTGTCATGTATTTTTTCTAATTTTTATACAGTGAACATATATTATTTTGGCAACAAAGATAATTAAATGTAGATATGCCAGAATTTTGTTTACTTGGGTCATGGTTATGTGTGGAGAATGAACACTAAGAGATAGGCAGGTTGGTAGGAGAATTTAGGAGCAAGATGAGATGGAGAAGTAAGTTTAATAAAACACGTTATCTGGGAACAATTTTGGATTTTTCTTGGACATTTTTTTCACCCTTGTTCTCCAGACTTTTTAAAGGATTCTAAAGCATAAAAGTCCTGAATGATTGGTGTCTAGCAATGAATAATCTAGATTTCCTTTTGTTTCTGAAATATGTCTGCACTTATTCCTTCACTGTAGTAAATTTATGCTCCCAGTAAAGACCTGCAGAAAAGACAGATTTGATAGCCTTCCTTGATAACAAATTTAAGAAAGATATCTAATGCTTCTTTCATTATTTTTAAAATTTAGTTTGGAGGAGATCAAAATCTCTTCTAGAATAACATTCTTTTTATAGCTTCAATATCCCTTCCTTGAATCACCAGTGTGGCAAAAATAAAATAAAATAAATACAAAATAAAAATCACTTGGTTAAGGCAAAAACTCTGTTTACTATCAGTTTCTATCAGCCTCAAAATGTCCAAGTTACAGTATACAGAAAGAGAGTATGGTTCCATGTAGATGGATTCTTTAATGGATGAAGATACACAGATGCAAATAACCTAAAATTGGTACTATACTAAACTCATCAAAACAACAAAAAATGATAAAATCTAATGCTGTCTGGTATAAAGCTTATGGAAAAACCAGCATTGATGATAGCACTTAAAACTGGTTCAGTATTTATGGAAAGAATCCTAATAACATGTAAGAATTATCAAAAGGTATTTTTTTTTACTCTCCCTAAAAAGAAAACGTTTTTTGTATAAGTATCTTTCTCCCAAAGACCATTTGCTTACTACCCTGTCATGATGTAACTTTAGAGGAACTGTACCACAAAATAGAGCTTGAGATCCCTAACATCACAGAATTTTAGAGAAGGAAGCTTGAAAATGTAATTTGCTGGCTTTAAAAGCTTCTAAGATTTTCCTAAGTTCCCTCAGCTAAAAACTGAAGATGCTGAGCTTGCTGTTGATGACTCTGTAATTATAAGTTATGAGTCTTTCATGCAAAACCCATGCCCTCAATAATGAGGCAGCTCCTAGGGACCAGAAGGGAGCTGTTGGTCTAGGCAGAAGCAAGTGTTGGTTAAAGAGTATATACGGCTTGCTTGCTCTGCATTCCAGACAGACAATTGCTCTGGAAGTGGTGTGAATTGCACCCCACCCCCACAATTAACCTCAAAGATGTGTTAATTTCTCAGTCAAACTGAGGACCATTTAAATTCAGGCAGTGTCAGAAAACAAGCATTTATTTGGAACCAAAAGAACAATTTGTCTCTTCTTTTTCATTGTCTGCCCATTAATTTTCCCAGAATAAAACCTCTTCAAACAGACTTTTCCTGCTCCTAGAATGTCCCACATCCCAGTCTAGGCAAACAGGATTTTTTCAATGAGAAGAAAAATTACTCCCTCATTGTTTGGTGAAGAGAGAAGAAAGAATGGATGGTTGCCTTTAAAGAGGACCATTTCTGGAAAACAAAGCTAGGACAGTACACACTTGTTCTTTTGAGCATCCTCTTTTATTAGAGATATGATGACGTCCTTCCAGAGTCCATAACACTTAGGAAAGTGTGGACACTTTTCCTCTCAAACCACTGGTTTTGTTTATGACCACATGATTATGATTTTGGGTGATAACTTTACCTACCTTTTCTTCATCTCATGGTTTCTTAACCTGGGGCACTACTGACATTTTGGGACTGGATAATTCTTCAGTGGAGAGAGAGGTGGGGAGGAAAGGGGGGCAGTCCTGTTTTTATAGGACTGTTAGCAGTATCCCTGGTTCCTCCCTCCTGCCCCCACCCCTGCCATTTATGAAAACAGAAAATGTCCCCACACATTGCCAAATGCTAAGTATCCTATATAATAGCAATATCAACTATGTATTGAGTGCAACTATGTGCCAGGTTCTGTACTATGCACCTTATATTCTCATAACAACCCAGACAATTAGGTACATGTTGTCCCCGTGCCACTCAAATGTAAGATCCAGGAGGACAGGTACCATATGTCTAGCTTATCAATGTACCTCCCAAGCTTTTGCACAGTGACCAGCACATACCTGTGTACACCACAATGCCCAGGTAATATTCTTTAAAATGAATCAGTGACTGAAATTTACTAAAGAAGATCATTTACTTCTTCCTCTTGTAAACCAAGTTTTCAGCACATTCTGTTTTCTCCACTTTCCAAATATACTCAGAATGTATTCATCTCCCATCACCTCAAAACTACCACCCTGGTCCAAGCCAGTATGATCTATCACCTGGATAATCGCAGCAGCCTCCTAATTGGTCCCCATGCTTTTGCCCTTACCCTGCTGTAGTCTATTATTAACCCAGCAATGAGGGGATCCTTTGAAACATAAGACAGATGAGATAACTCTACTCAATACCTTCTAATGGCCTCCCATCTCAGAATGAAGTCAAAGTTCTTTCAGTGGCCTACAAAGTTCTGCATGATGTATTCCCTGTTACCTCTCTGAATTTATTTCCTTCTAGTCTCCCTTACACACTCAGGTCCTTCTACATTGGCCTTCTTGTTGTTATTTAGATATGCCAAGCACACTCCTACTTCAGAGCATTTGCATGAGCTGCTCACCCTGCCAGGAATACCCTTCCCACAGCCCTCTCTTTTAAATCTTTACTCAAATGTCATCTTCTCTGTGAGGTCTTTCCTGGGCACTCCAAACTTGCACTCCTCCTGACTCTCTTTGCTACTTAATTTTTCTCCATTGTCACCCTCCAATGAACCAGAATGTAAGCTCCATGAAGAGGGATTTCTATCTGTTTTGTTTGCCATTAAATCTCCAGCATCCAGTATTAGGCATACAGTAGGTGCTCAAATGTTTGCTAATTGTTAAAAGAAAGAATGAATGAGTGAATAAAGACACAGAGATGTGAAGTGGCCAGAGGCTGACAGCCTCTAAGTCCTATTCTTCCAGTGATTCCCAAATTTGGCTGTGCATCAGAATCACTTCGGCGAGAAGGGTATGATTGTTAAAATGCAGATTCCAGGGCTTTGTGCTGGACCTTAGGAGTCAAAATACAAAAGAGGAGGGTTCAGGAGATTGTAGTTTACAAAAACTCCCTGGAAAACCCTATGCAGCTCATTTGCTGGCTCAGTGGATCTATAAATGGAAACTTAAGGAGTGATCTGGGAGCCACCTGCAGCAGAACCGGCTAGGTCAAAGTCTGGGACCTCCAGCCAGCCTCTCAGGCTGTGAATCCTTACTCCCCTGCCTACTAGCCCTACTACTTTTCACTTTTATTTTTCCTTTCTTTCCTTTTTTTTAATTTTTGGTTTTTATTTTTTGAGATGGAATCTTGCTCTGTTGCCCAGGCTGGAGTGCAGTGGCATGATCTCCACTCACTGCAACCTCTGCCTCCAGGGTTCAAGCCATTCTCCGGTTCAGCCTCCAGAGTAGCTGGGACTACAGGGGCCTACCACCACACCCAGCTAACTTTTGTATTTTTAGTAGAGATGGGATTTCACTATGTTGGCCAGGCGGGTCTTGAACTCCTGACCTCAAGTGATCCACTAGCCTCGGCCTCCCAAAGTGCTGGGATTACAGGTGTGAGCCACCTCACCCAGCCACCTTTCTTTCCTTTTTCTAATTAGAAACTCTTTGAGTCAAGGACCTCAATATCTAACTGTGCTACATTTTCTCATAGTAGAATCCCTTGTCTGTAATTTCTAATTGGATGACATTGGTCAAATTATTTAACTTCTTTATCAGTTTCTCAGTCGGTAAATTGGGGATAACACTAGTCTTGATCTCATAGGATCACTGTGAGGATTTGAAATTCCAGAATAGTCCCTGATATATAGCAAACATACAATAAATGTTAACTATTATTATTGTTAACACCACTCATTTCTAGGCTCTAGCCCAGATCATGAGATCAGCATCTCTGGAGGGAGGGCTCTAGGACATTTAAAATGAGCATTCCATGTGATTTTGGTGCACACAGAGGGTTAACCTGCCCTGCCTCACTCCGCCCCATGGGGAGTAGGAGCTACTGTTCTACAGCCTTACAGCCAAATGTTCAATAAATGCTGGAAGCAGCAGTGATCTGACCCCTTGTGGAACACAAGAGACTCCTGGTCTTGCTAGTAATAAGGCAAGGTCTGGAGTGGCAAAGTAAGCTTGAAGATGATTTAGCCTAAACCCTCATTTTCATAAATAATGAAGCAGGCCCCCAAAGTGATTTCGTAACTCATGTGCTAATACTTCAAAAATGAAGGAATAGGATTCCCCTATAGCCTTGTTATTCAGTGCAGTCCAAGGACCAAGAGAATCTGTATCACTGGGAAGCAAGTGTGTCAGATATGCAGAATCCCAGTCCTATTCCAGAATTACTGCTCCAGAAACATTGGTCAAGACCCCTGGTTCTCAGACTCACTGCACAGTGGAATTATTTGGAAAGCTTTACAAAATACTGGTATCTCAGTCTCATCCCTGGAGATGCTGATTCATTCAATCGAATGTAAGAATCGTACTACACGTATATTTATACAGAAATATGAATACATATATATGCTATCTCATCTCTGGCATTACACGTTTTATTTAATAAAGGAAGAGATGAAACAAGAAGGTTAAATTTAAAAAAGAGAGAAAAGCAAAAGACCTAACACCTGCCATCCAGCCACCGAACCACAACATCACTTTTCATTGAGTAATATGAATTTTAAATACTAAAAGCATATTTTTCCCCTGTTGACTTTGCTCACGCTGGTATTCATTTTCAGATCTACCAAAGTGGATGACTACATTTAGCCTTGTGTTTTTTTTCTTGTTTTCCCCAATTAGATTGCTGCTAAGGATTTTTCCCTTTATAAGCATCTTTTATAAAGAGAATGAATAATTGTCTCTTGAACTCATCCCATTATCTGTCTGGCACTTCAGCTCGCTCTTCTGTGACCCAGAGATAACTTCTAGCCTATCTTATTTGTGAGGAAAGTATATGAGATAATAAAGATGAAGACACTTAAAAAGGATAAAGGAGCTTAAGACCAGTTGAAAAGAGGAAATCTTAATATCATTTTGTTTGTTGAGGACTAATGCACCAGGCATTGGGTAGTTTAAATATTTTGCGTCGTATGTTCACACTAACCCTGCAAAGTATTACTAACCTTGTTTTATAAATGGCAAAACTGAGGCTCGGAGAGATGCAGAAACAAACTCAAGGTCACACTGCCAGTAACTGAGAAAGCCAGTTTTCAAACCTAGATTTCCCTAACCCTGACGTCACTTCTTTGAGCAGCCATTCAAAGGCATGCATATGATATTATAGACTTTGTTATTAATTATATATAATATATTATTATTTAGATATTATAGAAAGTGCAATGTCAAAGGAAAGGAATAGACAAAGGGCTATAGAATTAGAAGGGAAGGAAAATATGTTGTAAGTTGAAGTAGCTCACACTTCAGTGAGTGTGTAAATTATTTGGCAGATAAATTCCAAATCAGAGTGGTAGCCCTCTCTGACTGGCTCTACTAATTTAAAATAGAATCATTTAAAGAAATTATTAGATATTCACCAAAATTTTACAGTGAACATTTAATTTATAAACTATATTTATCTGTCTAGACATATACTTCTGAGAGGTACTGAAAATGGGCTTGTCTTAAGTTGAATATGTGTATGTCTGTATGGTGAAAGTTGACAAAAGCAAGACCTTCAGAGGAGAGGACATATCCCAACTCTCCCATTCCCTTCGCCAACTTCTCTCTCTCTTTCTCTCTCTTGCTCTCTCTTTCCTCCTTCCCCTCTCCCTCTCGCTCTCTCTGAGATATTTCAAAATGAGACAAGACAGGAAAACTTTTCTTAAGAGGCACTAGAATTAGGCTTATATTCTCAAATTTACTGGTTATCCATTTTGTCTACATGTTGGAGCCACCTGGACAGCTTTAAAAATAACCATGTTTGGGTCCTGCCCCCAGAGATTTCTGATGTAATTGGTCTGTAGCAAAGCTTGGAGTTGGGGATTTTTGAAAGATCTGGTGATGCTAATAGGCAATAGTGTTGGAGAATCACCAGCCTAACCACAAAGAAGCTGAAGCCTTGTGACTAAATTGCTTTAAAAAGTATGTAATAAAATTATACATGGTCAAAAGTACATCCGTCTAGCCAAAACTATAAGTAGAAATAGCCATTACTTTTGAGTATGACTTTAGATAGCTATAGATGTTCTGGATATACTCACAGCATGCCTTAACACAGTATTTAATTAATATTTGCTGAATATGTAGTGATTGAGTGGTGGATAAATAAACGAATGAAAAATAAATGTGTAAAGTTGAGCAACTATACTAGGAAAGGTGCATTCTTTTCAGTTTTTTTTAATTGTTTGTTTATTTCTTTCTTTGCATATAGGCAAAATTAGAAAAATCCTGGATTTGAAGTCAAGAGACTTATATTTGAATATCCACTCTGGAAAAGTCAGATAAGTTCTCTTCTCTCTGACATTCAGTTTTTTATTTGTTAAAAGAGGGAAACAATTCTAGGGCTTTCATGATAACAAACAAGATTATTGTCTGAAAAAAAAAACTTTGTAAATAGTAAAGTGATGTAGAAATGCAGGGGAATATTTTTATTTTTATGATACAATCAAGAAAAACCCAGTAAGTATAACTTTGACTAGTGGTTCTTAGACTTTAGAATGGATTAGAATCCCCTGGAAAGCTGGTAAACATGCAGATTCCTGTCCTCTCCTCCAAAGATCTTGAGCCAATACTTGAGATGTGGGCTAAAGTCCATAAACCCAAAGGTGATGCTGATGCTGCTGATCCACAGACTGTACTCTATGTAGCACTGACTTAGACAAAGTTATGGGGTGATGTTTAACCAATAAAAATATGTTTTTCCGCCTTTTTCTTTCTCCTAAGGCATCTCAACTCCTCCTTTAATTTCCCTTACCCTAACCTCAGAACCTGCTTTCTAGAAACAAAACAAAACAATATCATTCACTAATATTTGTGAGGAAATTGATATCTGTGTACTATTTCATCTTAGAATATTAACATTTTAAGACAAAGTATGGAATAGAAACTTGCTCATTTCCTTAAAAAAGTAACAGGTTTTAACCAGTAAGAAGAAATGTTATTTTATCATGGAGGGTGGTGGGAGAGAAGGTAAAACGTTAGGCTAATGTTTGAGAACAGAACAAAGATGGAAAGGGATGGGGGTGGAGTAAGATGTCTACAGGGAGGTGGAGTTATTACTTCAAAGTTTTGACTAGTGTAAGCCCTGAACTAACATAGTAATTCTGGCTTTCACTTGAGTACTCTTTTTGTATTTCTCTGAAGTGAAAGTAAATGAGAGAGTTTGGAGGCAAAATGTATATGATGGAACCCAAGTTTCAGCATAATGTTATATTATAACATCCTCCTCCTCCTCCTCCTCCTCTTTCTCCTCCTCCTCCTCCTCCTCTTTCTCTTCCTCCTCCTCCTCCTCCTCCTTCTTATTCTTCTTTGCTCCAGGCAATTAAGAAAATCTGTATTAAACCACTAGTTGAAATTTCTGTCAGACAACAAAGCTAAAGGAACAGAGCCTTCAGAGACTACTTATAACAAAGAATACAGTTGTTACAAAAATAGTTTAGAAAGGCCACTAAACAAACAACTGCAACCCATAGGAAGCAATAACCAAAAACCCCAGGGAGGGAGATATTTAATTTTCAGAGTTTTCATGATACTCAAAATTGCCAGTTTTCAAAAAAAAGTTGAGACATGTAAAGAAACAATAAACTATGACCCACTCAAAGGTAAAAAAGTAAATTTATAGAAATGCTAATGAGAAAGCATAGATATTAGACTTAATAGTCAAATACTTTAAACCAACTTCCTTTAGTATGATAAAAAAGCTAAAGGAAACCAAAGTAAAAGAACTAAAGCAAACCAAGACAATAAAGTCTCACCAAATAGAGAATGTCAACAAAGAGGATGGAAAATATAAAGAGGACCCAAATAGAAATTTTAAAACTAAAAAGTACAAGAAATAAAATGAAAAATTTATTAGAGGGATTCAACAACAGACTTTTTAGCAGAAAGAAAGAATACCTACATTTGAAGATTAGTAAAATGAAATTATCCAGTCTGCATAGCAAAAAGAAAAAACAATAAAACAACAGTGACAAACAACAATTTAAAAATAAGCAGAGCCTAAGGAACCTGTGAGACAACTTCAAGTGTACCAACAGATGTGTAATAGGAATCCCAGAGAAAGAAGAGGGGTTGAAGGGGTTGAAAGAATATTTGAAGAAGTTATGCTCAAAAACTTCCCAAATTTGATAAAATACATGAATCTATACATCCAGGAAGCTAAACAGATGCCAAGCAGAATAATTACAAACAGAACTGCAATGAGACACATAACAATAAAATTGCTGAAATATAAAGAGGGAGTCTTGAAAGCAGCAAGAGAGAAGTGATTCATTATGTACAAGTGATCCTCAATCAAATTAAAATTCGTCATCCAAAACCATGAAGCCAAAGCAGCAGTGGGATGAACGTATTTAAAGTACTCAAAGAAAAAAAAATTGCCAACCAAGAATTTTATATTTGTCAAAATTATTGTTCAAAAATGAAGAAGAAATTAAGGCACTCCCAGGTAAAGTTGAGGGAGTTATTTGCTAGTAGACATGTCCTACACAGGAAGTGCTAAAGGGAATCCTTCAGGATAAAATGAAAGAACACCAGCCAGTACCTTAAAGCCATATGAAGAAATAAAGAACAATGGTAAAGGTAACTACATAGGTAGATATAAAAGCCAGTATTACAGTATTTTTAGTTTGTAAAAATACTATATGACTCTTTTTTAACTATATTGCTTAAAAGACAAATGCATAAAACAATAATTTTAGATTTATGTTAATGGGCATACATCAGTACAGATATAATTTGTGACAATAATGATATAAATGGAGACCAATGGGAAAGTATAGAAATATAATTTATAGATGATTGACACATAGTTTGTATTAGTTCAAACTAGATTGTTAAAAGTACAATATATTGATTTTAATTTCCAAGTAATTACTAATGTAATAACTAAAAAATATGGAAAAGGAGATGAGAAGGGAATCAAAATGGTACACTAGAAAAAAATCAGTTAAACACAAAATAAGATACTAATGGAGGAATTGAGGAAGAAAAAAGATATAAGACATATAGAAAACAAATAGCAAAGTGGCAGAAGTCCCTTCTTGTCAATAATTACTTTGAATGTAAGAAGATTCAGCTCTCCAATTAAGTACCAGAGTCAGCAGAGTGGATTTTTAAAATCATGCATCTATTTGCTGTCTAAAAGAGATTCACTTTGGCTTTGAAGACACAAAGAAGTTGAAAGTAAAAAGATGGAAAATATATTTATTGCACACAGCAACCAAAAGAGAGCTAGGGTGGGCTAAACTAGTATCAGATAAAATAGAGTTTAAAGCAAAAGTTGTCACAACAGACAAAGAAGGACATGATATATTGATGACAGAGTCAATCAAGAAAACATAATAATTATAAATATATATGCACCCACTGAGAGAAACTCAAAACATATGAAGCAGAAATTAACAAAAATGGAGGAAGAAATAAAGAGTTGTATAACAATAGTTGCAGATGTCAATACCCCACTTTCAATAAAGGATAGAACAACTAGACAAAAGATCAATAATGAAATAGAGTACTTGAACGATACTGTAAACGAATTAGATCTAACCATCATATACAGAACACCCTACCAAACAACAGCAAAATATACATTCTTCTCAAGTGTATATGGAACATTTTCCAGAATAGACCATATCCAGGATAGCGACAAAGCAAGTCTTAGTAAATGTTAAAAGATTGAAATTATTAAAGTACTTTCTCTGATCACAATGAAATGATGCTAGAAATCAACAGTAGAAGAAAACTGAAAAGTTCACAAATCTGTGGAAATTAAGCAACACACTGTTAAACAACTAATGGCTCAAAGAAGAAATCACAAGAGAAGTTAGAAAAATTTTGAGGTAAATGAAAATACGAGCACAACATATCAACACTTATAAGATGCGGCTAAAGCAGTGCTCAGAGGGAAATGTATAAGTGTAAATATCTACATTAAAAAAGAAGAATAATTCCAAATCAATTCCCTAACTTTATACTTTTAGGAACTAGAAAAAGAAAAGCAAACTAAACCTAGAGCTAGGAAAAAGAATAACATATTAAATATAAGAGTGAAAATAAATAAAACAGTACAAAATAATAAAAAAATTAAACCAGAAGTTGATTTTTTAGAAACGATTAACAAGATTGACAAAACTTTAGCTAAAATTTAAGTAAGAAAAGAAGAGAGAAGACTCAAATTGCTAAAATCAGAAATGAAAATGGGGACATTACTACCAACCTTACAGAAATAAAAATGATTAAAACAGAATAATATGTACCGTTGTACAACAACAAATTAGATAACCTAGATGAGACAGACATTCTTAGAAACACGCAAACCACCAAAACTGAAGAAATAGGGAATGTAATAGACCTATACAAGTGAAGGGATTGAATCAGTACATTGCTGGTGGGAATGTAAAATGATCCAGCCTCTGTGGAAAACAGTTTGGTGGTTCTTCAACAAGGTAAACATAGAATTACAATATGACCCAGAAATTACACTCTTAGGTATATAGACCAAAGAATTGAAAAGAATTGTTTAAATAAAAACTTGTACCCAAATGTGTATAGTGTCACTATTCACAGTAGTCAAAAGGTGGTGTGTTAGTTCATTTTCAGGCTGCTGATAAAGACATACCCGAGACTGGGAAGGAAAAGATGTTTAATTGGACTTACAGTTCCACATGGCTGGGGAGACCTCGGAATCATGTCGTGAGGTGAAAGGCACTTTTTACATGTCAGCAGCAAGAGAAAATGAGGAAGAAGCAAAAGCGGAAACCCCTGTTAAACCCATCAGCTCTTGTGAGACTTATTCAGTATCATGATAATAGCATGGGAATGACTGGCCCCCATGATTCAATTACCTCCCCCTGGGTCCCTCCCACAACACGTGGGAATTCTGGGAGATAAAATTCGAGTTGAGATTTGGGTGGGGACACAGCCAAACCCTATCAGGTGGAAACAAGGCAAATGTCCACCAACAGATGAAGAGATGAACAAAATGGGTTATAGCTACACAATTAACTATCATTGAGCCATAAAAAGAAATGAAATAATGATTCATGCTACAATGTGAATGAACCTTGAAAACATTATGGAAGCTAGACACAAAAGGTCATATATTGTATGATTCTATTTATATGAAATATCTGGAATAGGTAAATTTATAGAGACAGAAAGCATAATTGTGGTTGACAGAGTCTGAGAGGAGGGGAGAATGAGGAATGGCTACTTAATGAGTATGGCATTTCTATGGGAGTGATAAAAAAGTTCTGGAACTGGATAGTTGTGATGGTTGTAAAATATTGTGAATATACTTAATGCTATTGAAGTGTACACTTTAAAATGGTTAAAATTGTAATTCTATATTGTCTGTATTTTGCCACCAAAAAAGGGAAACATGAAAAGGCATGTTGAGAGAAGTGCTTTAGTCCTATACCTGTATCTACTACTGGATCCCCTACTCCACCCTGACTTTTGGAGGTAACCATTTAGGAGTTTATTGGTTTTTTTTCCTGATATATATTTATGAAATATAACAAATACAGATATATATTCCTCTATTTTCCTCTATATAGCTCTCTATTTTTCCCCTAAAATCTACCGTGCTATGTATACTAATCAGTGCTTCATTTTTCCAATTAGCTATATATTCTGGAGATACTCCCACATCAACATAGAGAGAAGGTTCTTCTCTTTTAGAACTGCAAATCCTCTACTGTGAAAACATCCATTCCTCTGGAGACTCACTGAGTATTGTTCAGCCTCTTGAAAACAATTATTACCCTTTTGAAAAGTTTAAGACCTTTCTTCCTTTATTTCCAATCTCAGTGACCAGTTCTGCCTTCCATTAAAAGCTTGAAATATCCAAATGATCCCAAAAGCAAACTCCTTACTAGGATTCAAATACAAGATAATGAACTTCCTTGTGATCTTGTCTATACATCTACCACGGTCTTCACACTGCTCACTGCAGGAATATTTGGGGTTGGTGATAACAATTGAGAGCTCAAACCATGTGAGATTCTGCAATGTATAAACCCTAACCATTGCCATTTTAGCATTTTCTCCATATCTGAAGATAAGTGGGGAAAAAAAAAAAAAGAAATAGATCATTTGCTCCTGCATGCTTCAGAATTTCCTATTGGCACCTCCCAACCCAAACTTTGATTCTGATTCTTGAAAGTATTACAGTAAGATGGGTCAACTTTCAGAGGACTGTAAGGGTTTCAAATAGCTTCTCTCTTGCATCAAAGGAAATCAGCACTCTCACAGGTGCTTCAGTAATCTCAATCAGAAAAGAAAGTGATTAGTAACTTGCTGAAATAAACCTAATCGGGCTCTGGATTTCAGCAACCATGAAAGATTATTTTCTTCACACATATGTTTAACATAATGAGTGAAGAGATGAAAAGAAAATGAGTTTGCATGAAGTACTATGGTTTGTCTTGATTACAATTCAGCAAAGATTCCTTGCTGTAGATTCTTTCCAACTACAAGTTAAATTTCTAGTAACTTGGCATGGCTGCCTCTTGGGTGAAAACAAAGGCAGTTCTCATGTTGGCATGAAAGAGCCCATCCCTCAGCTGCCTGTCTCAATCCTAGTAGTCCTTCAAGAGCAGGACAGACTGTATGTTCTCATAGCCCTTCTGGTGATGCCATCTCACAATGACTTTCTTCTTCACTCTGCATCACTGACACTCAGGGGCATCCACAGTGTCTCGAACATAGTAGGCACTCATTAAATATGTATTGACTATTGAATGAAGGTTATTACATTCTGCATTTTAATTCTATGTAGTCTCTTGTACAATCAGTGTTCCCCAGAGAAACAGAACCAGTAGGAGACAAATATGTACATATACATATAAATGTATGCATACATACATATATATTTGTTTTATTTAGAGATTTAAGGAACTGGCTTACATGATTGTTGTGTGTCTATCAAGTTCAAACTCTGTAGGACAGTTCAACAGACTTGAAACTCAGGAGTTGATTCTGTGGTATTTAAGCAATTTCTTCTCCAAGAAACCTTAGTTTTTGCTCTTAAGACCTTCAACTGATTGGATGAAGTTTACCTGCATTATTAAAGATTAATCTCCTTTAAAGTCAACTGATTATAGACATTAACCACACCTACGAAAATACCATCACATCAACACCTAGGCTAGCATTTGATTAAATGCTTGTGTATTATAGCCTAGCCAAACTGATAAATAAAATCTAACATTGGCCGGACGCAGTGGCTCACGTCTGTAATCCCAGAACTTTGGGAGGCCGAGGCGGGCAGATCACCTGAGGTCAGGAGTTCAAGACCAGCCTGACCAACATGGAGAAACCCCGTCTGTACTAAAAATACAAAAAAAGTTAGCTAAGCGTGGTGGTGCATGCCTGTAATCCCAGCTACTTGGGAGACTGAGGCAAGAGAATCGCTTGAACCTGGGAGGTGGAGGTTGCAGTGAGCCGAAAACGTGCCACGGCACTCCGGCCTGGATGACAGAGTGAGATTCTGTCTTAAAAAAAAAAAAGTCTAACATCACACTTCCTCATCTGATTTATACCTCAAAGGCTGAAATGCAGTTATGTTGAGAGCTTAGGATATGCTTCTATTGCATTCCACCTACCTCAATTATTTCTGACCCAGGTTCCTTATTTGTTCTGAAGATACCTCTTGTATTTTAAAGCCCCAGTCTGCTTTTATTCTTGATGCAGGCTGGTTTTCTTTTTCTGGGCTATCCAGCAATATGCCTCACCTGGTCTGCAGCTCCAGTGCTCAACTTGTAGCTGGTTACTTGAATGGTATAAGATTTTGTAGCTACCTTCTATGCCATGGTTATTATGTACAGTTGTGAATGGTAACCCTAGAGTGATGCAGTGTAAATAGAGAACCCACTTGCGACCATCATTCATCTATTCATTATTATCCCATCATCATTACTTACCCCTTCAGCCATCTCTGGGAAATCTATATTCAAAACTCCTTTCATTTAAGGAGACCAAAGTGAGGTGAGATCACCTAAAGTTGCAAATACCTGAGATCAAGTTTAAAGTAAATGACCCTCAGTCATGAACTCCTTAGTGAGAGTAGGGATGGTGGCTTTTCTCTGAAGGCAGATCTTGGTAAGACTTAGATGGCCGATGTCATTCATGACAGGGTTTCAGAGTACTCATCAGAAGACAAAAATTTATGAAAATGCACTTCACAAATTTCTCTACAGTTATCCTGATCCTACTCTGCTCTTAGCACTTAGGATAAATTTTGATCATATCTCTCTAACAGGGTTACTTGAAATCCAAATCTCTCTTTAAGCTCACAGTCTCCTTCTCTTTCTACAGCTGACTTTGGCCTCAATTATGCATTCAGCAAATACTTGTGTGTTGCCTGCTATGCATCAGGCACTGGTCTAGACACTGGTCATTTTCCTGTTGGTTCTTACAGTCTAGTCTCCCATTCAAGATGACAGGCCCTGCCCCTCTTCTAGTACCTTTGAAATTCCAAAGACATTTATTATCTCAGGGCTAAGACAGAAATAAATCTGGTTCATTCAATAAGATTTAGGTCACGGGATGATAGAACATTGTCAAGTGGTGCACACTGAAGGCGTTATACAATAGACACTATCCCTAGTGCATGCAATGAGTATGGTTGCCTTAAGGAGAAATTAAAGGGCTAGTAATAGGACAATGCTATTAATAGAGGTAAATAAAGAAAAAAGAGATGTCTCTAAAAGAATTCTGTAAACTTTATGCTTCCTTTTAACAACAAGTTCATTAGGTGAAAATTAACTTTGGCTGTAAGTTTACGTATGTGTTCTTTTGCCTAGGAGTCTAGAAGTCCACAACTCCTAACCCAACGGAGCCCAGGAAACTGATCTTTTTTAGACTGATGGGTTGTTTTCTGACATGAGCAAGGTTGAACTATCTCTTCATCCAGAAATCTATATCCCACCAACACAGTTTTAAGGACTCTTACAAAATTACATGGATTGCACCAAGATTAAAAAAAAGCAGAAGAAAAAAACCAAGAGAAAGAAAAGTGAAAGAATGTCTTTGTGAGCCTAGCTTCCTATTTTCCTTAAACTTATTTGCAACAATGTTGTTTCTCATGCTTGCCACTTACATAATTTTATTTTCTAATATCCATATTTTATTCAGATTTTACATCTTAGAAACAGAAAATCCTTTTGTAAAAGATGACATCTTAGAAAAATGAAATGTAGTAAACTAGTACCCTAGAACTAAAGTCATATCTCATTTGCTAATCATCTATTTCATATGAGTTTTAATTATATTTTCAATTGCTTCCCATGCCTATATTTTGTTTTTCAATTAAAATGGTAAATCCTTCAAGGTAGACAGTCCCCAGTGGGTCCTAGTCACTTTACAGACACTGTTTTATTCTGAATTCTTTTAATTACACTGTGTGATATATTACTCCCATTTACTAACAAGGAAATTGAGGCTCAGGGAGGTGAAGTCACTAACCTAAGATCTTATAGCCAACTTAATAGCAGAATCAGAATCTCACTGATGAGCGCAGGGTTGTGGCAGTACCTCTCTGCAAGGATGTAAGGGTGGGAGTCTGTGTGGTTTTGACAAGGGTGGGCAAGAATTCACCCTGGAAATCTTGACTAAAATGTTTTTGTGGGTCTCGGGCACAGTTAGGTTCACACCTAGGAAACTCTCTGAGGGTAAAGCCACAGCTTGGTTAAATTGGGTGACTCACAAGTGTGAAGGTTCATATTTTAGCACTTGGTAATCAAAGGCAGAATTAAACTACTTAAAAATGAACATTGATGAAAACTCAGAACCTTTGCAAGAAATCCAGGCCACAGCATATATTAGACTCTGAATTGCACCTAAGGGTTGAATTACCTTCTAGCCCATCTTTGATTCATATTAAAGAAATATAAAGCGACAACCCTGGGCAGATGAGTAAGCCTTTGAGTCCTGTCCTGGGGTCATGTTCTCTGCTGGATCAGATTTGATTTCAGGAGCCCCTCCTGAAAAGCAGATTCATCATGGTATTTATTGGATAGGTTTGGAACAGGGTAATCATGAGGTCCTGAAAGCTGTAATGCAGATTTTTTAAAATCCAAGCCTCAGAAACTTACAGAGGTAAGAAAAGACAACTGTAGTTGTACAAGTGTATCTAAAATTCAGTACTTCTTTATTTTGAAAATTGCTTTTCAGTTTCTTCAGGAAAAATTACAATTGTGGGGGACAATTAAGGGGAGAGAAGGGAAAAATGTCCTACTTTGTATGGACATTGTATTCTCTATGCCTAAATTATTGAGCAAAGAATCAAAGGAGTTAGTAACCTCAGCCTACTTCATCTCACTACTTCTCTACCTGGAATAATTTACAGATTTCTCGAGACGTTTGTTTAATATATATATATATATATATATATATTTTTTTTTTTTTTTTTGAGATGGAGTCTCGCTCTGTTGCCCAGGCTGGAGTGCAGTGGCACGATCATGGCTCACTGCCACCTCCATCTCCTGGGTTCAAGTGATTCTCCTGCCTCAGCCCCCCGAGTAGCTGGGACTACAGGCGCATGCCACCATGCCTGGCTATTTATTGTATTTTTAGTAGAGATGGGGTTTCACCATTTTGGCCAGGCTGGCTACGAACTCCTGACCTCAAGTGATCCACCCACCTCGGCCTCCCAAACTGCTGGGATTACAGGCATGAGCCACCACGCCCAGCCCAACATCTCATATTCTGTTTGGGCTTCTGCCAGGGCTAGCAACTTATAGAAATGATTAAAGCATGAAAATGGGGATATTTTGTTGCCGACTTGCAGATGAAAGTGTTGGTGGTAGACATATGCTTGTAGTTAATTACTCTGCCCCTTTCGTCAGCGTTTTGGCCCTATTGGTCATTTTATGCTTCATAGATTTTTTTAAAAAAGATATTTAGACTTCCCACTTTTTACGGTTTTTCAGAACTTGTCTTTCCGCACATTTTGAGACGTTCACAGTAATAACTGAAGGTTATGCAATAACCGAAGGTTATGTATTAGTAATACAGATGCCAGGCATCCACTTTGCTAAGGGGCTCCTAGACTTGAGAAGGATTGGAGGAGGGGATTCATATATAAGGTGATAAAGAATCTTGGTGCTGGAAATTAGAATCAAGAGAAATAATAATTGGATGTTAAACTTAACCATTTAGACGGCTTATTTTTCCACTGGGCTATGACAAGCTCTATAAGTAGAACAGGTCTGGTGTTGCCCACCATTGAATCCCATATCTTGCACAGTACCTGGGACATAGCTGGGACTATATAAATATCTAGTTAATAAATTAATAAGTGAATGAAACAGGGAAAGAACCCTGCCTATCTTGTTCTTTATAGTATTCCTAGACCATAGCATAGAACCTGATGCTAGTAGATGCTCAATAAATAATATAGACTTGGATGTCTTCCTGGAGCTTAAAATATCAAAATGTTAGGTTTTGTGAAATTCAGCCGCTATTTGTTGTATGACTGGGTTGGTTTTTAGAGATCAGATGATTTTTTCAGGTTGATTGTTCTCAGAGTAAAAACGGCTGGGTTTTATCTTGCAAACGGCTCACCATTTTTTTTTTTTTTTTTTTTTTTTTTTTTGAGACGAGTCTCGCTCTGTTGCCCAGGCTGGAGTGCAGTAGTGCAATCTCGGCTCACTGCAACTTCCGCCTCCAGGGTTCAAGCAATTCTCCTGCCTCAGCCTCCCAAGTAGCTGGGATTACAGGCCTGTGCCACCATGACCGGCTAATTTTTTTGTACTTTTAGTAGGGACAGGGTTTCACCATATTGGCCAGGCTGGTCTCGAACTCCTGACCTTGTGATCTGCCCACCTCGGCCTCCCAAAGTGTTGGGATTACAGGTGTGAGCCACCGCGCCCGGCCATGGCCCACTATTTTTTTTAAAATTTCATTTTATAGCATCTCTGTAAGTACTGACACCTTGCCTGTCTTTGAAGGGGCCAACTGCTGACTTGTTTTTTCTGACTCTTTATTACGTATATCCACAATCAAATTAATTCTTGTTCTGTTACAGGAATAAGGTAGAGTGCAGAAGTCCATATAATAGAGCCATGTTATAGAAATTAGAATACATGGTAGTGCCAAGAATGCATGCCCCTGGATACAATGTAACACAAAGTGAAGAATAATGACTTAGGGGTCTGAAGGCTCTGGTTTTGGTCCCTGCTTTGCCAAAAACTTCAATGACTTGCTTAACTTCTTTGAGTCTTTTTCCTTGGTTGTGACAAGATTATCCTTTTGAAGAAACAGTATCAAGAAAATCATGTTCGGGGTAGAAAAAAATTACAGTTAGGTGGTGCATGTATGTGACTGAAAATAAACAATCAAGTAATGAGTATTAATTTGCTTATAAGTCAGTTTTTAATGACGAATTTCTGATGCTTTGTTAGAGAGCCTGGAAATTCAAATACAAGTATTTCCCCTTCCTTCTAAAGGAGCCCATAGATGCAAACTCTGAAGGCTTATTTGATGCATAAGAAAATGTCTCTTATTTTCATAAGTTGTCCTAATTTATCTCCCTTTTTCTTCCTTTTCCGGGTAAAATAATATTTGCCAACTCTATTTTAGGGTTGGATAGGATTTATTTGCCTCATTATCTATATAACGTCTGATTAAATCATTTTGAGTCAAATTAAAACATTTTCTCAATGTGCTATCAAAGAAATTCTAAACATTACACATCAAGAGCTTACAGGAAATCACCATCTTTATGTTAGAAAAGAAACAGGAAGCACTGCTTATCTCTGGCACCTCAAGATTTCTGAAGGACTTACCTACTCTGCAGAGTTTCTACTGAGGCACCAAAATCATCAACTCATTTGTGGCACTTTCTAAGACTTAACCTAGTTCTTCACAATATCTCCGGCTTGGGAAGAATTTGCCCAAGAAAACATTTCTATTACAAAAGTTCAAACGCCAGGAAAAATGGGTAGATAGTAAAGCAATTTAACATCAAATAATAATAATTTGGTAGTGTTTTAAAATATTGCTTAATATGAATGGAAGGATCTGATACTGTGTATACAATAGGACCTCAATTGCTCACTGTAGGTGGTGGGTGCAGAACATAGTTTTACGTGCTTCTTTCTGCTTATCTCTGTTATCCATATTATATACAATAAACATGTATAACTTTTTAGATCAGAATAAGTTATAGAAAGTATTATTGAAAAGTATACTAAATTAAACCATAGGCCTTTGCAGACATTTCACATTGAGAATTATAGACTTGAAAAGAGGGCATCCCAAAGGACATGAGTCTAAACACTATAACTAAATAGAGGAATAAACCAAGTCCCAGAGAGGTAAAATGACTTGCTCATGTCTGGAAGTAAAGGTGGGTGGGGAGGTGGGGGAAGCCTGAATTAGAATCTCAAGTCAGAACTCTTTGAGTGTTATCCATATAGTTTCAATGACAGACATCCTTTAACATATGTGTGATATGCAGATAATTTAGTTGTCCAGATAAAAACTACTCTGAGATCTTCTCTAGGAGTTCACTGGGAGGAAACTGAAAATTTTCTTAAAAGCATGATCAAATGTCTAGTCCCACTTGACTTGAATAATATGCCCAAATGTAAGATAACAAACTTTGTCATTCCTGGCAACAACTAACCTCAAACACATCACACTGATTGGGCTGCTCTACAAGGTGGGCTTGAAGCCCAATATTTGCCCTCTCCTATAATGACCTAAACAAATCACCAGGTATCAAAAAAAAGGCTAAGCCCAGAGATAAAGGAGAAGTGCAGTGAGTAGACCCCTCCATGTAAAGGAAAAGAAAAATCATATTTTGACACTGCCAACAGGAGCCCCAGGTGAAATACTCTGCTCTCTGTATCCATAGGTTCTGCATCTGTGGATTCAATCAATGGCAAATGGAAAATATTTTTTTAAAAATGGATGGTTGTAGCTGTACTGAACTATGTACAGACTTTTTTTCTTGTCAATATTCTCTAAGCAATACACTATAACAACTATTTACATAGAATTTACATTGTATTAGGCATTATAAGTAATCTAGAGATGATTTAAAGTATGTGGGAGGATGTCCGTAGGTTATATGCAAACACTACATTATTTTATATCAGGAAATTGAGCATCCATGGATTTTGGTATCTGCGGGGGTCTTAGAACCAATCTCCATGAATAATGTACAATAACCATTTGAGAGAGGTTTTTTAAAAAATCCATTTTATAGATGAGTAACTGAGATTGAGAAGCTAGTCTATTTGTACAAGCTCATAGCTAGTAAATATGAATGCAGGTTATCTACCACCCAGACTATTGTTTTTCCCAATTTTTTCTACAGCTATGAATCCCTAGTTATAAGTTAACATAATACCCATTGCATAAAATAGATATAATAGAATGTGAAATAGGAAGTGTTGGATCAAATGGAAGGATACAGATGATTATCACAGACTATCAGACAGGAGGCTTAAAGTAGTCAATAATCAGATAGAGTCCGGGCGCAGTGGCTCACGCCTGTAATCCCAGCACTTTGGGAGGCAGAGCCTGGTGGATCACCTGAGGTCAGGAGTTGAGACCAGCCTGGCCAACATGGTGAAAACCTGCACTAAAATACAAAAATTCGCAGGGCGTGGTGATGGGCGCCTGTAATCCCAGATACTTGGGAGGCTGAGGCAGGAGAATTGCTTGAACCTGGGAGGTGGAGGTTGCAGTGAGCTGAGGTCATGCCACTGCACTCCAGGCTAGGTGACATGGCAAGACTCTGTCTCAAAAAAAAAAAAAAAATCAGAGACAGAGCTGGGATGCATGCCCTACCAAGGTCCCCTTTACTGGGCTATGGCATTCCTCTCCCAGCTGCTATGAGTATTGACTCTGACTGGCTCACAGCTGCTTTTTTATCTAGAGAATTGCCCTCAGCTGGGGACCAATGGGAACTAATGCAAACTGCCTCATCTAGGAGGCAACCCACAGACCACAGTTAACTCATATGGAGGTGTCAAAGGCAGACCGCTTGCCTCAAGGTGAGACACACTATGTGGTACAGTTCATATTCCACAGCTCCCCATGGCATCTGATTGAGGCCTGTCCCCAGCTGAGACCACATCTTTGCTTAGCTTCTTCCTTCTGCCCCATTTTGCTTCCCCCGTTCCCTTTCACCTGAGTGTGCTCCTTCAGTCAATCACTTAAATGAGAATTAGAGTTGCAGATTAAAGAAAAACAAATAAACACATGCAAGACACTCATTTAAATTTGAATTTCAGATACATAAAAAATAATATTTTAATATAAATGTGTCCTATGCAATATTAGGGACATACTCATACTAAATCCTTCAGTGTTTAATCAGAAATTCCAGTTTAATTGGGATATTATATCTTATCTGGCAACCCTAGTAGGAATTTATATCTCAGACTCTGCTTCTAGGGAATCCAACCCACAACAATGTCTCATTCAGATTAAATATATGAAAGGAACTACTTGTGGGAAATTGGATGGATTGTATAGAAGGATTTTTATTGGAAATAGCTATGGAGTTCCAACCACCTTTCCCCAAAGTGGAAGAGTGTGCTGTGCTATCTTCTGATCCTGAGCTAGAGAGAGGGGCTGTCACTGGATCACTCAAAGTGCTTCATATCTATCCTAGCAGCTGGGGCCACGGTGGAACAATTTACCTGGGAGTTCTAACACAGCTTGAGGCAAGAGGGTTTAGGGTACAGTGGGGAAAAATTGCATTCTCCCTGATGGCAGTTAAGGAGTGTGAATTTCAGAGACTAGATGAGGAATTCATGGGAGGAATGGGACCTGGAGTCATTTTTAAAGCGATTATTTCCTAGAGGATGACCTGTTAGGGAAGGGGACCCCAATAGTTTACAAACCTGACTGAGGGGGTTTCAGGAGTAGTCAGTCAAAGGAAAAGTACAGCCTAGGGCAAGGGTTAAAAATTTTTTCTGTAAAGGCTCAGAGAATAAATATTTTAATCTCTGTAGGCCACAGAGTCTCTGTTGCAATTATTCAGCTCAGTCATCGTCACACAAAAGCAAGCATAGACAGTATGTCAGAGGATGGGCATGGCTATGTTCCAATGAAACTTTATTTATAAAAACAGGCACTAGGTGGGATTTGGTCGGCCTGCAATAGTATGCCAAATCCTGACCCTGGACCAAGTAGAGTCAATTAGAGGGGATCAGCAGGGGAAACTACAAAGAAGCTGTGAATTTGCCTAGGAGCAAGTTTTCTTTAAATGTCTAACCATTTTATGTTCATATCAGTCAAGCAAAATTATTTCTGCTCACCTTTCATTTCTTTTCTCCCCAGACTCCAGCTTTGGAAGAGTCAGACACTGAGATTAGTAAAGCAAGGAAGAGTGAGCAAAGAAGACTAAGTTAAATTTGGAGTTTTGTTAAAGGGATTAGATAATTCTAACTATTTTAAATTATTTTTAAAATTATTAAATTATTAAAATTATTTTTAATTATTTTTAAAATTATTAAATTATTAAAATTACTTAATAATTTTTAATTATTTTAATTATTGAAATGAGGTTGTAATATAAGGTAACTGCAGAATTTTCTATTAATTGTGTGACCAGAAAAGGCACAATATTCAGTCAGTTTTTATCTAGTCACTGGGAAAGAATGTCCTCCCCAGAATAAATTTTAAAGGGACAGCAAGAGACAAAAATAAAAATGAGGCTGGTCACAGTGGCTCACACCTGTAATCCTAGCACTTTAGGAGGCTGAGGTGGGCAGATCACCTGAGGTCAGGAGTTCCGAGACCAGCCTGGCCAACATGGTGAAACCCTGTCTCTACTAAAAATACAAAAATTAGCCGGGCATGGTGGCAGGTGCCTGTACTCTCAGCTATTCGGGAGGCTGAGGCAGAAGAATCGCTCAAAACTGGGAGGTAGAGGTTGTAGTGAGCCAAGAGCGCACCACTACACTCCAGGCTGGGTGACAGTAGAGAAACCCTGTCTCAAATAAATAAATACATAAATAAAAATAAAATAAAGGTGCTTTCTTATTACATTTAATTTGTCCTGCTTGTCTGAGGTACTTCTTACATTTATATTTGTAGGTCCTTGCCCAGAATTGAACCTAAAAATATTCCCAATATTGAGAAGTTTCCAAAGCAGGCACACAAAGTGGTTCTTGAGGGAAAAGGTTGGTTTTGAATTCCAGTGAGGCCTGGAGAACACAAAGCTATGCGAATCGCAGGTGAGTCAAAGCATTCCTGTCCCCTTAAGTCTTCACCCTCCTCTCTGTTCCCATGAGGAGTTGGACAGGGGAGGACGCCAGGAGCAAGAACGAGTGTGAGGGGCACTTGGAGAGTGAGAAGAGGGGAAGAGGCTGACCACACTCATTTCCCTGAAGGCAGTAGTGGGCTGGTGGGTGGGGTTAGAAACCTCATCTTTGTTCAAATGTGACTTGATAGTCCACACTTTAATCTCTCAATTAAAACTGTTTGTGACTTACGATGACTATAGGACTTTCCAGTATGTAAGAATTAACAGAAAAGTCATGTGACTGCCTTACTTTGCATCCAGAGGCGGAAAAAGGCTATTCTCCTGGAACAAGACTGAGAGACGAAAGCAAAGTTGTCTCTCTCTTCACAACCCATGAGCCCCACATGTTTAATACACTGGGTAAACAGATAAATGTGAAATGGGGCCGGGCTCTGGGAGCCCTGTGTCAGGGGCCTTCCCTCACTCTGCAGTGCCCTGCTCCCCAAGACCTCCCTAGGAAACCCAGGGTGTCAGGAGGCACAGTTTGCCAATCACTGCGGCATATCTAGCTCTCCCTTAATTCGGAGGCCTGCAGAAAACAGCTTAAAACTGACTAAAAGTGTGATGATACCAATGAATTACTTCTCGGTGTTTTCCTTAGGATGTGCCACAAACTGACATCAGAGTGCATTCCAAAATAATAGCATAGTTCAGGGTCAGAAAACTTTTCCTTCAAAAGACAAGATAATAAATATTTTAGGCTATTCAGGCCATATATTATCTGTGGCAACTACTCAACTCTGCTGTGGTTCTTGAAAGTAGCTGTATATAATGCATAAACATATGAGTGTGATGATATTCCAGTAAAACTTTATTTACAAAAACAGGGATCGTGGACTATAGTTTGCTAACCCTTGCTGTATTGTCTCGAAGCATCCATGTCTTGTTTTTCCAATAAGAGGCCCCATTTTCCTCCAGAATGACCCCTATACCACCAGCTCTACTACCCAGTCTGTGTGGTTCAGGGACAGAGGCTCGCAAATGTCACAAATGTCAAAGCCCTCTCCTCTAAATCCAGGGGAGGACATGTCATTCAGAGCTGGACAAACATGGTATGCCTCCTTGTGTCAACTACTATTGACTTAGGGTGAGTACCTGAGCCAAGGCAATCAAAGTCAAATTAGATTAAGTGAAGGGACTTTTGCTTTAATAGCTTTGGATTTTAGGCTGGAAAGAGGTAAGCTTGAAATATTGGGATGAACAGGGAAAAGGAATCTGCCTGTCTTTGGTGGGATTCCCTAATACAAAGATTTGTTTCCAGGGAAATCTGAGGGAGATATGGGAGTCAGATTGGGAAAGCAGGGAGACCAAGCAAGGATGCAATATCAAGAAAAGCCCCATAAATGGCAGCTTTGGCTAAGTTCTGAGGGAGGTGGGAAAGCTTTGGGGCCAATCTCAACTGTGAAGTTGTTCTCATCAGGGAACTCTGCCCCTGCCAGTCATTGGTTAAGGTCTACCCCTGGAGAACTTAAATTCCTAGGCTATTCTAGCATTCAGGGCAGTACTTGCCAATATTGGCTTTAGAGCATGAAGGCAAAGCACAGGTGCTATCTCTCAGAAGAGAAAGCATTGCTAGGTTAAGGTGTATGAGGATGATGTGTAGAAAACGGACAGCTTCTGCTACACTGCTAGAGAGAGAAGTGAATTTTAAAAAAGTAAAAATAAGAGATGGGGAGAACCTGAGGGCTTATGACAATTTTTGACCTCTGTGTCCAGCTATTCCAGAAACACTAATTTACCCCTGGATTTTAAAGTGACTTGCGAGGAATAGGGGGAGAGGAGGAATCCCTGTAAGTTTTCTATTACTTGCAAGCGAAAGTGTCTTAATGGAGAGAGACACACGATTGATCAGACTTTGCCATAACACAGAGTAGGAAGAAAATAAATCTTAAAAGGTGGCATATTGGCCTGTGGACCTCAAGTCTTGGAAGTAACTTCTCTCAGTGGAGCTTTCGTGTCTCTATTTCTATTCTTAATAACAGCCCAATTGTGGAACTGCAGGGGTAGAAGTCTTTCACACCCTTATAAAAATCCAACTTCTGAGAATGAGGGAGGGCCTGAAAAGTCTGACCCCCATTGGGGACAAACCCCAGGTGTACTCAAGGCCTTAATAAATAATGGAGCACAAGTAGAAGAAAAGGCAAGAAATGTGGGAAATGTGATATCGCAGTTCCAAGGCCCAGTGGACCAACTTGGCAGTCTTGGATAGAAACAGATTAAGTGTGAGAAATCACTCATCCCTAATATATAGTTGTTTCATGGACTTTGCCATTGTGAGAAGCATTCAGCTTCAGTAAGTCACAGACAACAAAATGTGCATTTTTTCACTTCAGAGGATTTAGCCAGTTGATTAACTACAAAAAGAAGGAGCTTCGTGGGTAAAAGACTGAGCTTTCACTTTAGGGAATTCTGGTTGAGCCCTCCAAGAAACGGAGTTCACGTCTCAGCTCTGGGACTCTCAAGGATAATAGCTCACATCAGAAAACCACAGTAAAGGATTTGGCAAGCGGGGACCAGGGCAGGCAGTTGGATGGGCAAGGAATTATGGGAAGTCTCTCCTCCCATCCTCCCAGTTAGGGAAATTCTTAAAGAGATGGCAGAATAAGTGGAAAATATTATAAATCTAGCACTAAGTCTGATTTGAAATTGCCTCATATTTTTAGAAAAACAAAGAATGTGTGGTGCTTACAAAGAAAGATGATGGTCATAAAAATATTCTTCCTCCCTATCTCTGTATGTTTGTTCTTTTTCTTACTTTTAAGGGAAACTACTTACCAATGGGATAGGAAATCAGAAAAGCACAGAGGCTCACAAATGTCCATGTATTCAGGACTGACCTTACCAATAGGCAGATTAGATTAGGTGTAACCAAAAGAAATCACTAACATTTGACAACTTTTGACCTACAAAAATGACAGTTTCATATGACACAGCCTAATAATTTTGATATTGGGAAAAGAGATTCACTAAAACAATTTGATATTAAATAATTCAAAAAAGTATTGCAGCAGCCTTCATAGGAAAAACCAGAATGTTGAATGTTTTTGTGTTTTCTGTTATTTACTTTATAGTTCAGTATTGCCTTTAATTTGAGTTACATGTTGAAGGTGAGGTAGAAGCAGAATAAATTTTTCAGAACTTGGGTATATAAAGATCCCATCTGATCCCTGGTTACATTCATCATATGAATCTCTGCAGGTCTTTCTCTTGTAAATGTTATTATTCCAAACACCTAATAAAGGACCCTGACTCCACCATTTAGTAGTTGTATGGCTTTAGATCACACGGATGTAAGACCTTATATCTTTAAGTCCCAATAATCCCTTCTGTTGAAACATAAGATAATAAAATATATTATTAAATGAGATAATCCATGTAAGGTACCTTCACATCCTAAGCACTGAATAAATACTAGCTAGGATAATACAAGTTATTATTTTTATTATTATTGTCATTATTACTAGGGCAGGTCTGGACAAACCAGAAAAAGCAGGAAGCCCATTTTCCATTTTGTCAGCCTTCCAAGTTCACCTTTCTGAGCATTAATCTCCGGCATTGGCAACAAGGAAAGAATCTGAATGTGAAGTTAAAAATCTGGGCTCCTATCTCTGCATTGCCACTTCTCAACTGTATAACCTTAAGCGAGTTACTTAAAAGTCTCTGAGCCTCAACTTGCTTATCTGTAAAGGTGAGGAATAGCCATCTGATGAGTTCGTAGTAGAGATTAATATAAAATATTGACCCTGTGCCTGATACATAGTAGGCACAGATTAATATCCTCCCTCTTTCCTTCCACCCAGTGACTCCTTGGATGTCTAATGGCCCTCTGTCTGATAGGGCCTGGTCCTTCCCTCTCTGTCTCCCTGTCCTTCCTCTTGCACAGTCAGAACCTCAGTTCCTCAGCTCTTGTTCTACTCTCTTTCAGTCTCATAGAGCAGAGCAGTAAAGGTAGTAATGACATTCATTGACTCAGGAAATGTTCTTGATCACCCACTAGGTGCCAGCCACTGGGGGTACAACAGTGAACAAAACAGACAAAAATCCCTGCCCCCAGTGAACTTACTGAGACAGGGTTTGAGTTGAGTTTTCTGTTACTAGTAGACAACAAAGTAAATGGCATATATAGCATGTGAGATGGTGATAATTTGTAAGGATAAAAATATAAAGTGGAAAAGAGGCATAGGAAACATGTGTGTGTATTTTAAAGAGATTGCCTAGGAAAGGCTGACTAGGAATTTAACTTTGAGTATACCCTTGAGGAAGGGAGGGATATTTGTGGGGAGAGGTGACTTCAAATGCTACAATCCTATTGTATAATACATAATCTATGTGACAGTGTTTTTATATCCAATTCACAATTATTAGCTTTCACCCCTAAATCCATTCCAAGGTTTATTCACCTTTGACAATCTTCTAATACTGCGGATAGGATTAAAAACTGGTATTGGGCAAGCCAGGTTAATAGTTACCTGGTCCTGACATGATAATGTTACAGAAATGTCCATTTCCACTTAATTACCAATGAAGGCATCTTGATTTTCAGTGTCCACCTCTTCTCCCTTTGGTCAAGATTCTTTTGTCCTGAAAATGTTTTCAGTCATATCAAACTAGTGTGCTGCTCTACAAGGCCATGGTCCAGAGGCATGCTCAGTAGTGATTAGAACTCACCCATGAGGACAGCCAACACACAAAGCTTACAGTGTGCTTGGCATGGGGCTAAATGCTTTACATGTATTATCTCGTCTTATCCTCTCAACAACTCTGATGGAGGTTTCTTAATTATCATCATTTTCCAGATGTGGAGAATGAAGAACAGGAAGGTTAAGTAACTTGCTCAAAGCAATGCAGTTTGTAAAGCAGTAGAGATGAGACTTCAAACTAGTTGTACATTTAACCACCATATCATTGGTTTCTAAACTCTAGCATGCTCTAGAGTCACCTGTAAAGCTTGTGAAACCTAAATTGCTGGATTCCACCCGAAGAGATTCTGATTCAGCAGGTCTGGCATGGGACCTGATAATTTGCATTTCTTTCCTTTTTTTTTTTTTTCAAAGCAAAAGCAAGTTTATTAAGAGAGTAAAAGAGCAAAAGAATGGCCACTCAGGCAGGGCGCGGTGGCTCATGTCTGTAATCCCAGCACCTTGGGAGGCCGAGGCAGGTAGGTCACCAGGCATGAGCCACCGTTCCTGGCCCATCTACCACATTCTAGTGGTTAAAGCAATAAGCCAGCTCAGATTCAAGGGGGAAGGGAAAATAAATCCCACCTCTTTATGGAAGGAGTGGTAGCATCACATCACAGAGGAGTATAGACACAGGGGGATGGCTCTTTGGGGGCCATTATTTTAACGACCTACCTTCTGTGTGTCTGCTTCTGTGGACCCCCCAGAACTCTCAGATTCCTCTGATCACATTCTGCCTTTAAAAGTACTGGTGCCATTGTTTTATAGGCACTGGATTGGGAACTCCTAAAAGGAGCTCAGTGCCAGTCAAACCGAACTTAGCATAAGCACCCTGGTTCCCCAGTTTGTTATCAATAAACACAGTGAAAGTTTATTTTTAAGGACAGAAATATTTTTTGTCATATCATCTGAAAAGTCAGTCCCTTCTAGATTAAAGAAGTATAATGCAGCAAAGTGCACATCGCTCCTCTGTGATGTGATGCTACCACTCCTTCCATAAAGAGGTGGAATTTATTTTCCCTTCCCCTTGAATCTGAGCGGGCTTATTGCTTTAACCACTAGAATGTGGTAGATGGGCCAGGAATGGTGGCTCCTGCCTGTAATCCCAGCACTTTGGGAGGCCAAGGCGGGTGGATCACCTGAGGTCAGGAATTTGAGACCAGCCTGACTAACATGGTGAAACCCCGTCTCTACTAAATACAAAAAAAAATTAGTCAGGCATGATGGTTCATGCCTGTAATCCTAGCTACTTGGGAGGCTGAGGCACAAGAATCGCTTGAGCCCGGGAGATGGAGGTTGCAGTGAGCCAGGATTGTACCATTACACTCCAGCCTGGGCAACAAGAGCGAAGCAAAACTCCGTCTCAAAAAAAAAAAAAAAAAAAAAAAAGAATGTGGCAGATACACAATGTTCAAGTTCTGGAGCCTGCATCTTAAGAGCCCTTGCGTTTTTTTGCTCTTGTCCTCAGAGATCATTGCGATGAAGCCCAGGCTAGTTTACCCGCTGGGGGCATGTAATGGACAATTGAGATGCCCTAGCCACAAGCCAGTAGGAGGAGCCACAGACAAGTTTTCAGAGGAAGTGATCAAGAAAGCTTGCTGGATTTTCCTTCCAGATTGGCGGTCTCTGCCTGCTCCAGCCCACTCACCAGCAACTACTGAGAAACTCGTTACAGATTTCAAACCCACTGCCTGCCTGGCATTGGAAAGTCCCATCTTAACCTGCAGGTGGGTTCCCGTATCAGGGTGTTCCTAAGCCTGAGTGCTGTGTTTCCCTACGTGGACCATGAATGTGGGGTCATGACATTATCATAGTATCATATAGAGCTTTTTTTTCAATTATCTTATAACCCTTCTGGTTAGATCAAGAATAATTACACTTGCTAAACAACCTTTAGATTAGCACAAGGAGAGCAAGCTTTGGGCAAAGAACTTTGGCAGCCAACAGTATCTATCCAGGATCTAATAACATCATTCTGTTCTTATTGAGCGTGTGTGCTAGTGTCATTTATGTATAGTGATCCTGGTTTTTCATTTGTGTTTGTGATGCGAAATTTCCTTTTCAAACAAATGTAGTAATTTTAAAACTATATTCGTGTGTAGAGAAAACGTATGATAAATGATAGCATTGGAAGTAAACATACACGGCAAAGCTGTGACAGCAGTAAATAAGCCCAGGCAAGGTTCATGAGGTTGGCTCACAGGGCTAAGACAAGTGTTCTGTCACCTCACAGACCTCCAGCCCTCCTGCCTTGCCCTTTAGAGCATGTGACCCAGTGGTCATGGGACAACTGGCCTGGCTCCCTGTTTGCCTTTCTCTACATTTTCTTCCCCTCTTCATTCCAGGTCCTTGGAGAGGGGCCCTTCCAGGTTTCCAGAAGAGTTGGGGAAAGTGAAGTACTAACTCCTGAGGAAGTGGTCCCCCATCTCTTGTCTCTTCTTTCCCCAGTTAGCATTAGGATCTGACTGTATAGTCTCTTTAGTGAAAAGGTTTCTTAGCCCCTCAAGACCTTTTATTTTCCATTTTTGAAAAATGGAGGTGCTTTTGAGGGCTGGGTGTGTTTTTTTGTTTGTTTGTTTGTTTTTGGGAAACTCCTAGGACTCTAAAGAGCTGAGAAGGCCTGGTGACTTACAGCTGGTTCTAAGCCCTAGGCTGTGAGAGAGAGTGTTGTCAGGGGCCTTAGAGTTTCATTTGATAGCCTCAGGCCATGCTTACCAGGATGGGAAGGCAGCAGGCACTTAGAATGAAATCCTAGCTCAAGACTATAGATGGAACATTTGCAAGGATCTCTCTTACGGAGTATTTTGGTATCTAAAAAGAAGGCATATATTCAGCAGGAAAGCAAAGGAGGCAGGAATGCTCAATATTTAAGCAGTTTATATTTAACTTTTTGTATGTGCCAGCGACTGTTTAACATACTGGGGATACAGAAGTAAATGAGACAGATAAGGACCCAGTTGTCATGGAGATGGCATTATAGTAGGGGAGACATAATATAAACAAATACATGAAACAATATACTGTATAATACCAGGTAGTGATAGTAGCTATGAAGAAAAATTAAGCATCTTAATGGATGGAAAATACGTATGTGTCTGTGGGGTGTGTGTGTGTGTGTGTGTGTGTGTGTGTAAGGTTCTAGCCCTCCTTAGGGACTTTAGTCTCCCAAAGACACTCCCATAAAGGTATAGATTAAAAATTGAGAGAACTTAACTCTGCTGCTAAATATGGTGGTTATGGGGTTGGGGGAAACATTCTGGAAGAAAAAGGCTTGGCTAGGACATGGGGATGACAATGAACAGGGGACTATCCCTTGTGACTGGGATTCCCCTTCCTCCAACATTACCCCTCATCTTACCCCCTGCAATGCCTTAACTTGTTTTTTGTTTTTTTTTTTTTTTTTTTTTTTTTGAGACAGAGTCTCGCTCTGTTGCCCGGGCTGGAGTGCAGTGGCGCGATCTCGGCTCACTGCAAGCTCCACCTCCCAGGTTCACGCCATTCTCCTGCCTCAGCCTCCCGAGTAGCTGGGACTACAGGCACCCGCCACCACGCCCAGCTAATTTTTTGTATTTTTTAGTAGAGATGGGGTTTCACTGAAATTTCCTCTCTTACAATTGCATTTTTATTGAAGGTAAAGCAAGCAGCTCCCAAGGCAGCCACTTTGGGAGAAACATTTGGTTCTGTCCTCTGTTCTTGGAAAGTTTTGGTTGATGCTAAAGAGGAGAATGGGAGTACTGTTTTGAGTTTTCTGTTTCTCTTTCCTTGCTTTGTCAAATGCCTCAAAAAACCTGTTGATTAGTGGTCCCCAGTACTCTCCGCATGTCAGTACATTGTCACTTGCAGTGTTCCTATTATCTATTATTGCGTAGCCCACACATTTAATATCCTAGTTCAACAATTTATTATTATCTGTATATTCTGTGTGTTGGCTGGGCTCACCTGGATGGCTCTTCTTTGGGGTCGTTCATGCAGTTGCAGTATGATAGGGCTGAGGCTGGACTTATCCAAAGGCTCAACTAGGCTGGATGCCAAGGTAGTTTCTTCATTCATATATCTGGTGCTCCAGTGCCTCTCCTTGTGACTACTGGTCAAATTCAAGGCAATGGAAGAATAGACACAATCTTCGGTGGTAAAGTGTCATGCACGTACTAGGAAGGAAGGAATTGGTGACAATCATGTAGACATGATACTTCAAGCAGCACATGGGGGGGCATCCTCCCAGCGCTCAGGCAAATTCTGACAATATCAGGTCACTAAAGGGATTTCTGAGGTTTGGGACTTCTGGGGTTATTATTCTGAAGGATATTAGGGGTTACTACCCCTAAAAATATGAGACAACACTATAGGCATCATTAGCATCAGTCAGCAACAATATCTGGTTAGCCCCTGCTCCAATACACTCCAGATCTCCCACCCCCTGAAAAGAATATTAAACTCTACCTGCCAACTGAATGTCTCCTAAAAGTTCTCTAGAGTGGCTGTGAGACATGGGAAAAAGCATGGTCTTGGCTCCACGTGAGACATGGACTTGCCTTTAGGTTCTGCCACACAAACTCACTTGGCAAATTATTTTTCTGAGAAACATTATCTGCAAAATGAAGACAATCATACATAATGTTGCTTTAAGGATTAAATGGATTAACCAATGTCAAATGCTCATTGTAGACATTGAGTAAATCGTTGCTGAGGCATTGATAGAAAAACTAGTTCCCTCAAACGAAACTTTTAGAAAGAGCCTTGTCTTAGGATTAGGTTAAGTTTTTCTGGTGACAGGAAACCCAAAAAATCTATAGCTGAAGTTAGATAGAGCTTTACTCCTCTACCACATGAAAGAAATCTGGGAGTAGGCAGTACTAACCGATATTGCAGTTCCATGTTAATTGGGGACCCCGGTTGATGTTACTGTGGTGTTCTAATGTTGTTTTCTTTCCTTTTTTCTTTTATGCTTATTAATTGAAATTCTTCTGTAAAAAAGTGCTGATCTCTTCTTCCTCATTTATTTATTTAATCTTTTAAACATGCCCCCATATTTTTTTTCTTTTTCTTTGAATAGCACTTCCATACTTTATGGCACCATGAGAGGCTTCCAGGCTCATCTTGTATTTTCCATGCCCTAAGACTGGAATCAAACACTTCTCCAAGGAGCCCTCCTTTTCTTGTAGAATGGTATTTATAAACCAAGATCTGAGTGTTAAGTATGCTCATTGCTACTGGAATTTCACTGCTTCTGGGACTTATAAGCAGACTTGACTAGGAGAGACAGACAGGTAGATGACAGGCAAGCATGTGTCTATCTAACTATGTATGCTAATTCATGCATATACACAAATCTATATTTATTTATGTTTCTCTATGCATGCATACGTACTTACGCTAGTATATGTATACATACTTAATCACTAGTATATGCTGAAACCTCCCTCTCTAAAGCAGCACAACGATGTTCTTCCTATAATTCCCCTTTTTGTTATTTGTAACTTCTTTTACTGATAATGAGAAATCTGGCCCTCATTCATTCTCTCTCTCTCTCCATCCATCCATCTTTATTTGTTCAATTCTGGTACACATGTAATTTTAGAATTGCTAATATGTACCTCTGTTGGAAATAGATTTACCAACTAGGGTACAGTGTTTACATACTGTTCTTTTGTGTTTAACCTTATAGTCAAAACACTGTTTTCCAAAGTTATTTATAAGATACTTATACTACTTTTTTTTCACAATAGCTGTAGCATCTTGCATTTCCAACAGCAGTAAATGAGGGTTCTAGCTGCTTTGCATTTATATCGCACTTGGTATTGCAGATTTTTTAATTTCAGCCATTTTAATGTGTGCAGTGGTATCTCATTGGGGTTTTCATCTGCATTCCGCTAATGACTATTGATGTTGAACATCTTTGCTTATGCTTTTTTGCCATGTGTATATCTGCTTTGGTGAAGTATCCAATTACCTCATTTGCCCATTAAAAATTTTTGATTTTTAAAATTCAGTTTGTTTTGTATTTTTGAGTTATGAGAGGTATTGATATATTCTAGATACATGTCCTTTAAAAGACATGATTTGTAAACATTTCCTTTCAGTCTGTGGCTCTTGTTTCCACTTCTTTAAAGTGTTTTTCATGGAGCAAAAGTTTTTAATTTTGATAACATCTAATTTATCATTTTTTAGTACTTTTTTTTATTCCTATCTAAAAATTCCTTGCTAAATAATACAAATTATGCACATTTTCTCCCATTTTTTTTCTGGAAGTTTTATAGCTTTATATTTTACATTCAGTCTATGATTAATTTTTTTGTTAATTTGTCATGAGGTGTGAAGTACATGTAGTTTTTGTTTATCTGTTTGTTTTAGTTTTGTTTTTGCTACATGAATATCCAGTTGCTTCAGAATCATTTGTTGAAAAGACTGTCCTTTTTCCATTGAATTGCCATTGCACCTATGTCAAAACATATCTTAGCTATAGTCTCTTGTAGAAGTTGCATTTATGATGATTCTACATAGAGATGTTTTATTATTATTTTCTATTTTATATAGTATTTCATTATGATTTATTTCCGTTTTATTTCTCCTTTATATTATAATTAGGACATTATTGATTCTCTAACTTATATGTAAAAGCAGATTTAACTTTATTTAATATTGCTAAAAGGGGCTTTACAAAAAATATTTTTATAGAGAGTATTGAGTAAAACAAGTTTAGATAACCAGCAAGATAATCCTTGATAGGCTATTTTAAGGACTTTGGATTTTATTTTAAGTATGAAGGAAAGCCTTTGTAGAGCTGCAAACAGAGAAGTGAAATCATCTGTTGTATTTTTAAAAAATATTATTCTAGCTTTTTCATGAAGAATAAGTTATATGCTGGGTGCGGTGGCTCACGCCTATAATCCCAGCACTTTGGGAGGCCAAAGTGGGCAGATTACTTGAGGTCAAGAGTTTGAGACCAGCCTGGCCAACATGGTGAAACCCCGTCTGTACTAAAAATACCAAAATTAGCCAGGCATGGTGGTGTGTTCCTATAGTCCCAGCTATTTGGGAGGCTGAGGTGGGAGAATCGCTTAAACCTGGGAGGCGGAGGTTGCAGTGAGCTGAGATCGCGCCACTGCATTCCAGCCTGGGCGAAAGAGTGAGACTCCATCTCAAAAAAAAAAAAAAGAATAAATTATGGAAGCAGAAAGGATAGGAGCAGAGGAGCATAAGGAAGAAATTTAATAAGCCAAGTGACAGATGATTGTGGTTTGTAGCAGTGATCAGGGTGGAAGGGATCAGTATCAAGTTGTACACATATTCCTGTTGTAGACACAATAGTACATTTGCTGTTGGATTAGCTGTGAGGAGTAAAAGCAGAAGCAAAGTTGAAACCAAAATTTTTTCGTCTGAGCAACTAAAAAAATGTAATTTTCATTTATATAAGGATAGGAAATTATGCTAGAGGAATGCAGTGTTGGGCATTTAATTCTGAGATGTCCATTTGACATCCAGCTGGAGATATTGGGCAGGCAGCCATGTTGGGCATTTAAGTCTGGAGTTCAAGGGAGAGACGCAGGTAGGAGATAGAGATTTGAGAAATTTTAGTACTTAAAAAAATGATAAATTCTTTTCTGTTTTTCTTTGTTCTCTCTTTCTGAAATTCTTATTAACCAGATTTTGAACATCTTAGATTGAGTTTCTTAATCTTTGCTTTCATATTTCTAGTTTCTTAACTTTTTTGGTTCAATTTTTTGAGGGGTTTTCTTGACTTTTTCTTCCTTTATTTTGTTATAATAAGTTCCATTTTTAATTTTTTTTTGCTTTTAATTTCTCTTCTAATATTCAGCTCTGGTTTCATCAATTTAGGATTTTCTCATATTTTTCTAAAGTTACTTATTGGTATCTTTGAAGTTTTTCCCTGTTACCTAAATTATTTTTTCTTTTGGATTTCTGTGAGTGAGTGAGTACATTTGTGTTGGAAGAGCTTTCTTTATGTGTCTAGTGATCTTTAATTGCCATGATTCCAAGAAATCACTAAAAATCTTCAAGAAGCTGTTACAGGCTGAATTATATTCCCTCCAAATTCACATGTTGAATTCCTAATCCCCAGTACCTCACAATGTGACAGTATTTGGAGATATGGTTTTAAAGAGGTAGTTGAGTGAAATAGAAATCATTAGGATGGCTCTAATCCTATATGACAGGTGTCCTTATAAGAAGAAAAGATTAGGACACCCATGCAGAGGAAAGACCATGTGAAGACACAGGGAGAAGACAGCCATCTATAAGCCAAGGAGAGAGGACTCAGAAGAAATCAACTATCCTGACACCTTGACCTTAGACTTCCAGCCTCTAAAACTATGAGAAAATACGTTTCTGTTGTTTAAGGCTTAAGCTTTAAGCCACTCAATCTGTGGAACATTGCTATAGCAGCCCTAGCAAACTAACACAGAAGACCTCAGGCTTGAGGCTGTCTTCATTTTTGGTGCTTTTCTAGAGAACTGGCTGTTTGATTGCTGGATACTCCTTTCCCTAACAAACATACATACAATTTCAGTCTATAGTGGTCATTAACTATCTCTGAAAATGAATCCTTCATCTTCCTCCCTGGAGGTAGACACCTAGCTATGTAAAGGTTTGAATCCATTCAGCATGCATTTTTTCATTTGACTATTCCGTCATTCTCTTTGCAATCTTGTACCTCAGTCCTACCTTCTGCTGTGGTTGGTGCTTCTGAGTACAATCTTGCCCTTTCACTTACACTGGAGAATTAATGATTTGCAGTGATGGGGAGTGGAGGCATTTGGCTGCTGGCAGCTCTGCATGGGGGTGGGGGAAGGTGGTATATAAATGCACATCGTTTTTTTTTTGTTTTTTTTTTTTTTTTTTTTGAGACAGAGTTTCACTCTGTCACCCAGGCTGGAGTGCAGTGGCGTGATCTCGGCTCACTGCAACCTCCACCTCCCGGGTTCAAGCAATTCTCCTGCCTCAGCCTCCTAAGTAGCTGAGATTACAGGCGCATCCCAACATGCCCAGCTAATTTTTTTTTTTTTTTTGTATTTTTAGTAGAGATGAGGTTTCACCATGTTGGCCAGGCTGGTTTCAAACTCCTCACCTTGTGATCCACCCACCTCAGGCTCCCAAAGTGCTGGGATTACAGGATTGAACCACTGTGCTCGGCATGAGTGCATATCTAGAATGTCAAGTCATTCATATGCCTTTTTACTTTAAGTTTTCCCTTGTGACATGTGTCATGGTAGTTGCTCCTGAGTTCTCTAGGGCAAATAAGTCCACATCTCATTGGTATCTCCTCGGTATGTATTTTAGATTGAAGCTCATTCCCCTATCATGTCAGTCATTACTCAACTCTCTGCTTTTTTTTTTTTTTTTTTTTTTTTTTGAGAAGGAGTTTCACTCTTGTTGCCCAGGCTGGAGTGCAATGGCACGATCTCGGCTCACGGCAACCTCCACCTCCCAGGTTCAAGCGATTCTCCTGCCTAAGCCTCCCTAGTAGGTGGGATTACAGTCATGTGCCACCACACCCAGCTGGGTTTTTTTGTATTTTTAGTAGAGACAGGGTTTCTCCATGTTGGTCAGGCTGGTCTCGAACTCCCAACCTCAGGTGATCTATCCGCCTTGGCCTCCCAAAGTGCTGGGATTACAGGCATGAGCCACCACGCCCCGCCTCTGCTTTACATTTTCTAAAAATGTAATCACGCCTCTCCTTTTCTTGCTGGGTTATATTGTTTTTACTCCTTTATTGCTATTTTATTGGAGTGATAAGTCTGAGAGGAGATTAAGGAATGTATCCAATTTGTTATTTTTATCTATCTGGGCAACTTTTCTAAAAGGAGGAAGATAAAATGATTGTAAAAATATATATTTTTTAATCAAATTAGAGTTGGTAGATAAAATAAAATTCTGAACACTATTTTTTTTAAAAGTTGCTTAAATTAAGTCAGCAAATTGGGTTAGCTGTACTTAATCTCTTTCCATTTTAGTTTTCTCTCCTGTGAAATAATGGGCTCCCCAATCCAGGTGGTTATTAGAACCAACTTGGATGCTTTTTTATAATCCAGATCCATAGACAACAGGCCCAGAGATTCAGGTTCCACCTATCTGGAGTAGAAAGCATGAGGCCAAATCACCTCTTAGCACTCTGGGCACTTAAATATTCTGTGAGTTTGATAATTTCATTTCTATTCCTTGATTTCCTTTTTAACTGGGAACTCTTTTAGGAATGACAACTTTTCTAAATAGTTGGATAATAGTGGACTCATTTAGAGCCTTAAACTGAAATTCAGTATTGCATAAATCACAAATTAACAAGTGGAATCATGCAATTGATTATTAGCTGGGAGGGCCAAGATGGAGTATGAGAACATGCTGTATAATTTGAGAAAAAATATTAAAAAATATTTTTATATTTGGAAAATCAAACACCCCTTTTCTTACAACAACTTCAAAATAAAATGCAAAAATTTTTCGTATCTGACATGGTATGTCAGAAATATAATTTATTTTCTGCATACACAAAGCTCTGGGTGGCGGTGAAGGGAATGGTGTCATGAGATTTTCAGTTTATCCAAAGGGGTCATGGGTTTAAAAAGGTTGGAAAGCACTGCAGTAGTGAGATGGATTGGTTTCTGAAGAAAAGTGAGAAAATAAAACCATTAAGTCCAACTGTCACTCTTCCAACTGAATATTGAAACCACTTGGGAAAAAAACTTGAGTGAGGTTTACAGTCATAAGCAACTTTGGTATTTTTGAGGTTTGCCTGTGAATTGCCATTTAACTGTACCACATACTTCCTAGATATGTGATTAGTTGCCATATTTTAAAACTTTCAAAAATGTTAAGTTGCTTGCTATACTGGGCTAACTTATTAAAAGGTTTCTGTTCATTTGGATTAGAGGATCTGTGTGTTTTGGTATGGTTTATGGACAGAGGATTCAGAGACTGGGATTTCTGTTCTACTTACACAATAATGTAGTGTATGAACTGGAACAGGTCACTTAGTATGTTATCTTTAAGTCTTTGTATATCATACATTGCATGCAAGGGTGATTTGGCTCAAAATTTGTCACCCATGGACTGCCAGGCTCATTTGACTGACTGATTCAGCCAGCTAGGTAAGTGTCTTCTTCCTCCTTGCCTCTTTATATTGTTGACAAATAAGGACGTGTAATCTAAAATGATGTTGTTACTTAGTGTAGCAATGGTAGTAACAGTAGCAGTTTTTCTCCAGAAGAGTAAGAGGTGAAACTGGTTAAAGAGACTAGAATATTAATATTAAAAGCAATGGATCTAGTGACAAGAAAGCTGATTTTGAGTCCTGGTTCTCCCAGCCCCATGGACTTGGTTATGACAGTTTAAGATTTCCGAGCCTTAGTTTCTTTGTTTGTAAAACTGAGATTATAATAGCTATCTGATATAATTGTTTTCAGAACTAGAGGAAATAATGTTTTCAAGGGCTGAGTGCCATGGTTGGCATTTTGCCTGAAGATAATTGCAGCACTGCACCTTTTTAAGTAAAAGGATGATATGATTAGATTAATGTTTTAGAAAGTGTGGAGGATGAGTTGGAGGCACATAAAACTGAAGGGCAAGAGATTTGAAGCAGGTGAAAAGCTTATAATAATACAGCTGAAAAATTATACAATCTAAAATAAAGCAGAAGAAGAGGAAATGGAAAGGATGAGACCTAGTTGAGTGATAAGAAAGTAAGTGTCTTGAAAATAAGGCCCGTGTCTTATTCATCACACAATGCTTGCCATGGAGTAGGTCCTGGGAAAATATTTCTTATTTGATCATGGAATTGACTCAGTTTGATTGAATATCACCAAAAAGGTAATAAGATGAGAAAATTTAAAACTCTGATACTTTTCTTCTCATGTTCTCTATTACTCCTAACTTTATCCCTCCTTTTCTCTATCTCCAATTTGGGAAGCTAGGTGTTTTGCCTTCATTTCTTTGGGTAAAGGTTGCCATAGGAGAAAGTAAACTTTAAGATATGGTGAAGTTTGTAACTTCCATTTTTCAAAAGAGCCTATGGCTATTTAGAAGAAAACATGATGAATCGGAGTCGATATTTCCTTCACGGAAATGAACAAGATTCCCTATGCTGAAGGATGGAGATATTCTCAGAGGACGTGATGAGCCCTGGTGGCTTTCTGAGGTTGTAGGGGTTGGCTGAGAGTTGAGGAAACTGGATCCATTTGGAGATAGGCAATCCCAGGAGACCTATGCCTCTGTCTCCGGGTAGTGCCTGGGGGTGGGGGTAGGGAGGAGGCAAGCTCCAAAGTCCCCATCACCTAGCTGGATGAGGAAGCCTAACTGTGTGTGTGATGTGAACCTCATGGAGTTCCTTGTGTTGTGGCATGGCATTGCAGCAGCAGATGGTCATAGGGCCTGAAAACACAGCAGAATTCTCCACATTTCAGAGCAGGGTCCCAGAGTAAGAATTTTTTCAGGCACAGGTGTGACTCAAAAGAGAATCAGCATCTTAAAGAAGTGTTTTTTTTTTCTTTCTTTTTTTTTTTTTTTAAATTTTGAGACAGAGTCTCCTCACTCTGTCACCCAGGCTGGAGTGCAGTGGCATGATCTCGGCTCACTGTAACCTCCACCTCCTGGGTTCAAACGATTCTCCTGCTTCAGCCTCCCGAGTGGCTGGGATTACAGGCATGCGCCACCATGCCCAGCTACTTTTGTATTTTTAGTAGAGACAGGGTTTCACCATGTTGACCAGGCTGGTCTCGAACTCCTGACCTCAAGTGACCTACTGGCTTTGGCCTCCCAAAGTGCTGGGATTACAGGTGTGCACCACTACGCCCTGCTAATTTTGTATTTTTAGTAGAGATGGGGTTTCACCATGTTGGCCAGGCAGGTCTCGAACTCCTGACCTCAGGTGATCCACCCACCTCAGCCTCCCAAAATACTGGGATTACCGGTGTGAGCCACCGCACCTGGCTCTTAAAGAAGTCTTTGTAATGGGAACAACAGAGTGGAGCAGAAGGGTGCAATACTACCAATAAACACAGAGTGAAGATTTGAAGGGAACCAGGGCATCTGCGTGGATGACAGTGTAGATACCCACTGACAGTCACGTATTGTCTCCCATTTGATCCCTAAAACCTTGACATTATAAGTTCTGTGAACCTATGGCTCCAGAATTTTGATGCAACTCTGAGGGAAACTAAATTTAAATTGACTCATATTAAGTCTCTGCCACTCACTAGCATGGGAACTCACAATATAAATTGAATTCAGTAATAGAAAATATAAAGAAATTAAAATTTCTCATATTGTAAACTGAGGTTCAAACTCCCTATACAAACAAGCTTTTTTTGGAAATATTAATAAAAGTGGAGTAGGTGTTGATTGTAAATTGCTGCATGAACGAACACATTCTATCTTGTACAGAGCAGAGCACACATGAACACTGTTTAAACGTGGCAATCAAATTTGCAAAAGAGTATTAGCAAATTGGAGCCTGATGAGCATGGAAAGAGAATAACAATCATGCAGCAGGAGAAACAGTACAAAGATCTGTGATCCTTAGGTGAGACGATAGCAGTTGTTTAGTGGTATTCAAAGAGAATATTGAAGGGCAAAGGTGGAATGATTGCTAACCTTTATATGGCACTTACTATTTTCCAGACACTGTCCCAATCATTGACATGAGTTAACACTTTTCACAATAGCTCAGAGCATAGATACCTATTATTATCACTATTTACCAGGTGAAGAAATGAAGGAGTAGAGAAATTAAATAATTCACCTAAGCTCATACAGCTGATGAGTGGTAGAGCCAGGATTCAAACTCACTTTTGTTTCAGAGTTCTGAATTAGTGAATCTCAGAACCTGCCAGGTTCTGAATTAGTGTAACAAAGACTTCTTTACAGTTAGAGCTGTTCAGAAAGGGAATGCTGGCTCTGGAAGCAGTGACTTATTTCACTGGGAATGAGTTGGGCAGGTGTCATGGATGGTGCAGAGAGATTTGAGATTTCTGCTGGAGGTGGACATTAGGTGGAATGACTGTGAGTTCTCTGATTTTGAACTTCTAGGAGGTTATTTTTTGTGATATTTCATTTGTTAGTTAAAATTTTTAAAAATTTGGTTTAAAGTAGTTTCTCCCCTTTAGGTGGCATGTGAGATGTACTCAAGAAAAATACTCAGTAAAACTCTACCTTAGGTTATATAGCACTCATTCTCTGTACAAGATTGTTAATTAGAAGTATCCCACTTAAAAAATGGCAGACTTAGTAAGGAAAAATATTTTATTTATGTAGCTACAGATCTAACTGGGATGATTTACTGAAATTATTTTCATTCTTCTTTTATATTCTGATGTGCCTATGGGGTGTGTGTGTGTGTGCGTGCGTGTGTGTGTGTGTGTGTGTGTGTCTTTATCTCTTGGTGATTCTGTTGGCTGAATTTCTTGGGGTTAGTTTTCCCTGCATAGTTTGGCATTTGTGTTTGAGAGCTCATTTTGGGTGGTCTTCCACCCATCCTCCTTTCTCCAATCTGTGCTCACTCCTGTCTGTCTGAAATACCTGGGATTATCATGGTGGATTCAGCCTTCTATTCCACTATGATATTGGGAATGTCATGTTTGGTGGCCCATAGAGACCTATGCCTTAGGAAAGTCAAGAATTTACAGTACTTTTAGAATGCATTGAGGAAGTGGATGTGTATCAGATGAGCCTAGATTGCAGCTTGTTTTACATATCCACTGACTTTTTCAAGTGTGCCATAACATAAAAATCAAGAGAAGATTGTACTTTGGTTTAGGCTGAACTTTATCAAAAGTTGTTTACCATTGTGGAATATCACATTACTAACAATTGTTGAACTTAGGGTTTTGAGTTGTCACCACCACAGACAACCCACTGGTCTGAATTTGTAGCTATTTTGTTCATGGTGTTCAATATCTAACAACTTCACTATACCTTTTAGTGTGACTGTACCAAGCATTTACATATTGAAATTATAAATTTCTTTCATTCTGTTTCTCCTTTATATTAAAGTCAGAACATAATGTTGATTTTTAAAAATCTGTGTGTGGGGGTTAAATTGTTATAAATTTCATTCAGAACAGAACACAAGGCATTAGAAAATATTTATTGTAAAATGGAGGTTTGGATATTTACAGAGCTTTCATTTTGTTTTGAGTTTCTCTTACCTCCAAAATCTCAAAATGAAACCAGGCCAAAACCTCCCAATTTTAAAACCAGGGACTTCCTTGAATCTTGACTCAGGTTTACTAAAAGACTATATGACACTTCACAAAAAGTGGTGGGAGGAAGGGTTTCTGTGGAAGGCAGTGTGAGGCAACTATCACATTCAGGAAAACCCATTATGATCATAAAATTTTACTTCCTCAGAATATTTTTGGAAACTTTCTATTTACATAGACATGCTCTAAAGAGCAAATTAAATAAGATACGAATGCTGTGATAAGACTCCTGTATTGATATGCATTTCCACTAGAGTACGTGTAAATTTTATCCTTCCCTAATTTTTTAATCTAGCTTATTCAAACCAGAAGACAAATCTAGCTTTAAGATAGTAGAGATGAGAAAAAAAAAAAAAAAGATGACTTTCTAAAACACAACCTTATTTTGGGCCTAGGGAGCATCCCTTCATTGGGTGTTTTTTTGTTTATTTGTTTGTTTGTTTTTCACCTTTGTTTCCCTTTGTGGAATATCTTTTGTCTCTTTATCTCTGTACTCTGAAATCTGATATTATATTTCTGAAAAAACAAATGTGCAAAAATATTTTATGAAAAAAGAGAACCAAAGCATAAAGAGTAAAGATTCATTCTCTCAGATAATAAAATGTGTTATAAAGCTATAGTGAATAAAATAGTGTCGGTGGTAAACAAATAGACACATATAAAACATTCCAGAAACAGACTCCAGTATATGAAAAATTTTTCAGAAATGACTAGAGAAAAATTATTAAATAAAGTGTGATTACACAATAGACAAAATTTTGGGGGAAATTCAATTCTTAATATGTATTATGGATCAACATAAATTTAACACAATTAAAACATTTTTAAATATTAAAATAGCAGAAAATATAGATAATTAGTGCCATAATCTCAAAGGTGGAAACAACTCTATAAGGAAAAATCAAATGCAAAACTTATGGAGAAAATCATAAACCATAGGTTGATAAAATTAACTACTTTAAATTTTGTTTTTAATAATAGTAACAGTAATGCCCATGTTGATTAGTGCTTACATTATGCTAGTGCAGTGGTCTCCAGACATTCAGAATGTGTGTCTCCAACAAAGGAACATGGCTGCTGCTTATGGATATCCAGGATGTGTCCTATACAAGGACAAGATAATTAAGATAATGTCATTCATATTGTAGACAGGTTTAGTATTTTGAACCTTTTAAAATATTTTATTGTAATTTTTTAGGTTTCAAAGATAGGCTATTTGTGTATTTATTAGGACAATTCTCTGACCAATCAAGTAAAGTGTCATTCATAGCAGAGTAGATAGATATTTTGCTTTAACTCATGAAGAAAGGAACAAATTCAACAAGCAAAAGATTTTATTGATGTAACAATAAACAATGTTTCTAATATTAGAAGTTATTTTTCATTCATGTACTCCTGAGAAAATACCTTAAAATAAAGAAAGAAAAAATCCTTATTGGTAATATTTTACTAAATTTTGTGTTTCATTTATTAGTTCATAGCATTTGGCATTTATTTTACTAAAAAGATGCTGTGGCATTTCCAATTTAAGTTTAAGAATACTTTCATAGTATTATGATGTAAATTATGCTATAATAAGTAACGTTCCTTTACCATTACCACAAAATAATCTAATTATAGCAATTATTTATTGGTAGCTGTGAAAATTTTCTCACAAAATGTTAATTGCTATTAAAGTTTAATGGTTCATTATATAAATATAATTTAAATATATTACACATTCCAAGATAAATGTACTACACAATCACATTATTTCTGCCCAAATATTTGAAAGATAAGAAAACAATATATCATGATCAGGAAAACTTAAAATGAAAAGTCACGAGTGAGAAAAAATTATTTTAATCATTGAATGCTAGGAGTGAAAAGGAAAGGATATAACTAGTCTCCACAGAATTTAGTATGTACAAACAATTCATAGAGGGGACAATGGGTCAATTTATTCTCTACTTCCATGTCAATAAGAATGGATGAATTCCTTAAAAAACACTGAGAGATGAATGGATAAACAAAATGTGGTACACACATACAATGACATGTTATTCAGCCTCAATAACAAAGGAAATCCTTTCATTTGCAACAATATGGATGAACCTTGAAAATATGCTGAGTGAAATAAGCCAGTCACAAGAAGACATATACATATACTGTATTATTCCTCTTATATCTAAAGTAGTTCAATTCATAGAAATAGAAAGTAGGATGGTGGTTGTTAGGGGTAGGAGAAGGGGAAACCAGGAGTTGCCATTTAATGGGTATAGAGTTTCAGTTTTGCAAGATGAAAAAGTTCTGGAGATCTGGTTTACAACAGATCCTTTTTGAAATGATTCAAGTCATTGTTCATTTAGCCCAGAAAACTCAGGGGTCCTTAACCCACTGCACTCTCAAAGTGCAAGTACTTCTTATCTTGAGCTTCTTTTTCTTTCTTCTTTTGCCACTGATAGCTGCAGTCAGCCCTTGCTCTTCAGAGCTTTCCCAAGGGTGAATCAAATACTGCTATGTGTGTTTACCAAATTTCAGAGGACCTTAGCCAAGCTATCGCAGTAGGCACTATTAACATTTGCCACTTGATAATCTTTTGTTGTGGGAGGCTGTCCTGTGTGTTGTAGATATTAAGCAGTATCCCTGGTCTCTACCTCCAAGATGCTAGTAGCATCAACTCCCAGCTGTGACAACCAAAAATATCTGCAAATGTTGTCAAATGTCCTTGGTGGGGCAAAATTGTCCAGGTCCATTGACCTAAAGGAATTATTTTTTTACAAATCTCCCTACTTCCTAATGACGTCTTTACCTTTTCTTTTTTAGGATGAAGTGGAATAATGCTGGCAAAAGAGCACCCCAAATGCAATTTCTGTATAGATGGTTTAGTTCCTTGCTTTAGAGTGGCACTTGGCATCCTGTAAAACCTCATCCTGTAAAAAGGAAGAGTTGTATTTAACACCTTGTCCCACATAAAATAATAAAAAATACACAAGTGATGAATGAGAAAGCACACTAAAATATTATCAGTGTTAATATTTTATTCACCTTGGAAAGGTGAAATCATTTTTTTCTTCATTACAATTTTAATCTTTTATGCAGTGGATTTGTAGTACATGTTTTAAGATAATTTAAAAAATCAAGACCAAGCAATTCCTAGCAATTTCCAAGACCTAACTCAAATGCCATCTCTTCCATGATGCCCTTCAGATTACCAAACTAACAATATTTTCTTTCTCTTCTGTAACAACAATAACAGCTGACTTATATTGAGTAATCTAAGGCTGGACTTAGATTACCTTATTTAATCTTCATAGTCACTTCGTTAAATAGAAGTTTCGTTATTCCTGTTTTGCAGATGAAGAAACTGAGCTTATAGAAATAAATAAGTAGCCTAACTTGCCTAATATTACAAAGCTGTTAAATGGCAGAGCTATCATTTAAACTTATGTATATTTATTCGGTCCATTTCCTTCTTCCCTTTGTATTGATCACCAGGCACACCGCACTTATTGGTGTTTTTAGTGGACTTAAACACTACTAAGACATTTTTCCTTTGTCTACATAGTATTCCCCAACTAAATGATAAAGAGCTTTCTTTAAGGGAAAACGGTATGGAGATTTCATTAAATATCTTCATCTAGGGGGCACCAGACAGGTGGATTGTTGAAATAGTGCCTTAGTAAAACAAGATGGTGGATGCTTTCTCTATAAATACAAGAGCAACCCATAGTTTTCACCACAATCATTTAACATCATTTTTCAATGAAAATATCATAAGTCATGAAGATTATTCAACATGTAAACACTAACCTGAAGATATCTGTTTACACAGATGACCTACTGCCTAAATACTGGTGTCATTTATATTCAAGCAAAAGAAGAGGCAATGAATATGTACCACAAAGAAGGACATTGCTAGACATACTAAACTGATTTTTAGAACAAAATTACCATGTAAATTGAGCAGCTTCATTGTACTAAATTATCTGAAATGCACACTCAATGTAATAGTAATGGCAGAGCCCCTGATGATTAAAAGGAAGAGGTTACCACTGAGGAGGCACAGAGCTGAAGGGGATCCATGCCAAATCACCAGATTTAGGGTATTAAGACCAAGCAACATGGTGGAGATGAGGCTCCTCAGATATGACCAGGATTGGGCCCCAGTGGCTCAACATCTGGCAGAGTAGTGTGAACAGGCTGCCAGTTTTTGACTCTGTAAGTGTGTAGGGCTGTTAAAAGCAGGGACTGATATGTGTGCCTTGGAAAAGTTATTTCTATTATTGTGGCCACAATAAGCATATCTAGTCTTTTCTGTTTGAAAAACTTATGAAAACAGCAAAGTTAATGGTAAAATTCAAAAAGAGAAACTTTGCACAAATGGTATTCAAAAATATGGTCCACGGAACATCAATTGGGAGCTTGCTGGGTATGCAAATTCTTTTTTTTTTTTTTTTTTTTTTTTGAGACAGAGTCTCGCTCTGTCACCCAGGCTGGAGTGCAGTGGCACTATCTCGGCTCACTGCAACCTCTGACTCCCGACTTCAAGCAATTCTCTCCTGTCTCAGCCTCCCGAGTAGCTGGGATTACAAGTGTGCACCACCACATCTGGCTAATTTTTGTATTTTCAGTAGAGACAGGGTTTCACCATGTTGGCCAGGTTGGTCTCAAACTCTTGACCTCAAGTAATCTGCCTGCCTTGGCTTTCCAAAGTGCTAGGATTACAGATGTGAGCCACCATGCCAAGCTTGGAAATGCAAATTCTTAATCCTTATGCCAGACCCAATTAATCAGAATCTTTAGAGTTGGGACCTAGGAATTTTCATGTTAACCTACCCTCTAGTGATTCTTCTGCATATTTGAGAGTCACTGGTGTATATCACTCCCACTACATTCACCACCTGCACAACAGGAGAAACCTTCAAGAGTCCATTTAAAATAAAAGTTTCTAACATTGTGCTTTCGAAGACAGTAGCCAGTAGCTTTGGTGACTATTGAGCACTTTAAATGTGGCTGGTCCACACAAAGATGTGCTGGAAGTATAAAATCCACATTAGATTTCAAAGACTGAGTATGAAAAAGAAATGAAAATACCTCATTAATAATTTTTATATTGATTACATAATGAAATAATAATTCAGATATATTAGATTACATCTATTCGGTTACATAAAACATATTTAATTTCACCTCTGCCTTTTTATATTTTTTAATGAGACTACTAGGACATTTAAATTTACATATGAAGCTTGAATCATATAATATTTCTATTGGATAGCACTGTCCTAACTAATCTGCTTAAAGTATGACTTATTTTTTAGTCTACATTTTCTAGTTCTAAACTAGCCAGGGCTTTTTTGAAATAATAACAAGAACAGCAGAAATAAAGATTTGTTTTGTGTTTAATATATGCCAGACCCTATACAAAGCATCTTACATGGATTATTTCAGGTAACCCACACAATCATCACAACAGTTCTATGAAGTAGCTACTGTTATCCTCACTTTAGTAATAAAGAAATTAAGGCTTAGAGAGTTTAAGTAGCTTGCTCAAGGATACCAGGTGGTATGTGACAGACACAGAATTCAACTCAGGGCCATCTGACCCCAGAGCCGTGATTTTATGTATTTCCTTATACTTCTTCCCCTTGTTATGCAATGAGCTAAAAAAAAGTTATTTTTAATGACATTTCTGTACAAAATGATGTACTATTGAAGTCTATATCAAAATATCATTAAAAAATAATGTCAGAAGCAACCTCATGTGTAATGTATGAATCCACAGGTATTTAAGATGTAAAGTCATTCAGGAAGCTTGAGACGATATTCCTCAGCTTTGCATCTGATAAATGGGTAACATTTCCAGTAGTTCCTGATAAAACTCATAAGGCAACTGGTCACATGGCTGAGAAAACTCTCCAAATTTGGGTGGCAGCACCTAGTTCAGAAAAAATCTAAGAAAAAAGCAGCAATTTTATAACTCTGTATTATCACTCAATGTTATATCCTATTAGCTTCAAAGCCCTGAACCAACTTAAGTCACAGATCATCTATTAAAGATAGGGTGAATTCTTGTATAGATAATTCTATTCACTAGAAGATCTGTGATGAAAGACCTAGGTGATGAAGATCTATGATGAAATGAAATTTAAAAAAATGTAAGCATACGCATCATCTTTTTAGATGTCCAACAGAGGAGCCAGGAAGCTTACCACCAACATACTCACTCTTCTCATTGGGAGAAGGCATCACCACGGCAAGCCTCAAAATCAGGGAGCAGCAGAACAATAGAAACATCTGACAATAACCAACAGATGTTATTATCTGGATAAGTCCTCAGAGATGAGTAGAACAAGATTTCCATTATTCATAAACTGCAAGAATGAGAAACCAGAGTATGGAGCTAGGTGCCAAAGGATGGAAGGAAGGAGAAGATCAGAACCAATGACTGAAATTGTAGTGGTGTACCTTATGACACCTAATTCCATAAGCCTCCTTATCAACTGGGATTGACTTGATTTCTTATGATCAATAGAAATATTTCTATCAGCTTTATATTAAATGTCTTTGGTTAATAATAGGGTCAGTAAAAATTGATGTTGTGAGAGGTTGTTTTTCACTAATAGCTGACTTGAGTTGACGACTGACAATTAATGCCAAGGTATTCACAACCTTAATGGTGGACTGCATAGAGCTGTGGGAATTATTCTGGTGGTTTTTGGATCAAGTGTCCTGTGAGTTTTAGGACTAATTGGACCCTTTTCACCAATGACATCATCAAGGATATCTACAGGTGGACAGCAGAACTTTATAAATTAGAACTTCTAAAATAGCGTCTGCCTTCTTTACAGTGTTTACTGTTTCCAATTTTACAACCTCAGACTTCGCAGGTTCTGAGTTCATGGACAAGACATTTAAAACCAAAGAAAATCCTGCTACTTCACTTTTAGAGTCCTCAGCCCATATACATTGGTAATACCATCAGCAATAAATAAAACAAGCCTAATCTCTTAAAAATCAACAGGGGTCAACTCCAAGAATATAATCCTCAAAGTTGAATCATGAAAGTTTCTTGTTGCAATAAAGGCTGACTGCCAAGGCACTTTTTTTTCTTGGAGATCCATTCAGCAGGGTTGGAAGAGGAGTTGGAAATGACAGTGGCTACATGCATATAAAGCATTTTTGCAGCTTATCCTTGGGTGACTTTGAGGAAGCTACTGTCCGTGGACTTCTACGAGCTTTTTCATCAAGTCCTTAGGAAAGCCAAATTTCAATTGCCACTTGGAGTTCCCAGAGCTTGAATATGCCAACTCCTATATTTTCATAACTCACTCAGAATCTCATTCAATATAAAATGCAAGGGACTAATGTCTAATGACAGTTTTTTCCACCTGGTAAGTACTAGCTTTCATGTGCTTGAAAAGTTCAAGATGAAGAGGAAACAAAGCTTTCCTCTTGATAGCAGAAACTCATGGAAATGTGACTCCCCTTGGTCTAGCCAGCGGTGAAAAGCATCAGCATAGCTCTAGCCTTATACCCAAATTAAAACCATCAACTCAACCTGACTGTGATGTGGCCATAACATTTCACCACATTAAATGTGTGATAACTGTGCACTGGCAGGTAATGTGATCTGACAGTGTCACCATGGAGCTGTCATGTCTGAATTGTTTTCTCAATCCCAAATGTCAATGTCCATCATGGATCTTTATGCCAGTTTACATGTATTGTGATGGTAATAATATATGTAGTCATGAAAGAATTCAAGACAAAAGAAGCAAATTAATATTTATTGAGTACTCACTGTGTGTCTGTGGCTGACAGACCCTAAGGTGATCTCCAGTGATTTTCCACTCCGTAATGTGTACTCCTTTGTGTAATCTCATTCTCTGGAGTGTGTGCAGGACCTGGGACTTGCCTCTAACCAATATAATATGTCAAAAATGATGGGATGTCACCCACTTGATTAGGTTACACTATATGGCAAAAGTGAGAGATGTCACCCCTGTGATGATGCTATGTTACATAAGACTTCTTAGCAGAGATCCTCCTTGCTCACTTGAAATAAGCAGCCATACTGAGGAAGCCATATGGCAAAAAAACTACTAAGGAGTGCTCTGTCATCCCCCAAAGATCTCCAGTGGGATTGAGATCCAGATGCCACAATGATAACCTGCTCCCTAACACACCCTAAGATGAGTTTTTTTCACCCTTTTCATCTTATTTCCTGATATGGTTTGGCTCTGTGTCCCCACCCAAATTTCCTGTCAAATTGTAATCCGCAGTGTTGGAGGAGGGGCCTGTTAGGAGGCCATTGGTCATGGTGGTCATTTCTAATGGCTGAGCACCATCCCCCTAGTGCTGTCTCATGACAGTGTTCTCATAAGATCTGGATATTTAAAAGTGTGTAGCTCTCTTCCCCCTTTGCTCTCTCTTCCTCCTGCTTTGGCTAGGTGAAGATGTGCCTACTTCTCTTTCACCTTCTGCTATGATTGTAAGTTTCCTGAGGCCTCCCTAGCCATGTGGAACTGTGAGTAGATTAAACTTCTTTTCTTTATAAATTACCCAATCTCAGGTAGTTCTTTATAGCCATGCAAGAACCGACTAATACACTTCCCAACTCTCATCAGTGGTGGCTGGAATCTCCTTCCATATAAATGATTTGAATTTATTCTTTTTCTTATGGTCTGCTTCTAGGTGAACCCAACCATAGAGGTAGGGGCACTTCAAGTTGGATGAAAATTTATTAAAAATCTTATCAAGAAAGACAGAAACAAGCACAGAGATTGTTTGAAGCAGTGTCCTTAAGAATGTTTTTGGCCAGGTACATAAAAAAGGAGAAATAAACTTACAAGAAACTGCTGGTTGTGTTTGTCAGAGTCAATATTCACTAGCCAAGCTTTGACGAATAATTTGACCCTTAAATACTTTAATACTGGGTAGGCAGTATGCTGGATAATGGACACTGGTGTTCTTTCACTGGATAAGGTATCTCCTCTTTTGTGAAATCACATGTTAGCATTCTGATTTATCTATTGGTCTCTCGAGTTTGGTTAGTGTGGGTCAGTTTTGAGTCTGGCAGAAACTGCTGTGATTAAAGGATCAGACTCTGGAACTGCCACTCTAGAAGGCTGTCCTGGGCAGGCAAGCATATTCCTTTATATATTTGTCACTTGCCTGAACAATTTTTATTATGCTATCAAAACTATGCATTTGTTATTTAGGAAATAAAAGCATATTCTGGCATTAAATTCTGAAACAAATTCATTGTCTGCTTATAAGTGGTGTAAGATAACATAATGATCATTATTCAAACTTCCATAAAAGCTGAGTATAACATATTCAAGTATAGCAGAGTGAAGGTGTTTTCGCTGGGGCAAAGCCAAGGAAATGAAAGCCTTTCTGATCTAGGAGTAGTGATTCTCAACCAGCGTCCAAAGTACTCATGCAGACCTCAGTAGCTTTCATAAGAGTTTCTTCACCACATATTCCCAACAGACTGAATAAACAGATCTCACACAGATGTGTATGGCTGTTCTTGCAGGTATAGGTGAAGTTTTTTATTATAATGCTTTTGAACTCATGGTGGTGGGTGGTGTCTTTGATGACTATGTATTTTCTCAATGGTTACTAAATAAAACTACTATCATTTGGGGAGGGCCTTGATAATTGTTTAGGCTTATAAGGAATCCTCATATATTAAAAGATTGAACCATGATTTGACTATCTGTCTTAAGAATCCATTTTTTAAACTGGTTTTTGAAATGTAGGATAGAGAAATTAGGGAGTTCAGTGTTACCTTCTCTGGTGGCCATTGAATTTAGAGCTTCTGTGCTTTTGCCTAAAGTGAATCCCTGTGCTGTGGAGTAAGGTTGACGTTCTGTTATGAAAATTCTTAAGCCTGACTGATATTTATCTCTGAGTGTGGCCTCTTTTATGACCTATGCAAGTAGTATTAGGGTATAGGGAAGGAGGAAAAATGGCTCTACCTAAGGAGTATTGCAGGATACTGGTCAAGACAGAGTAATTTCCCCACAAGATATGGAAGAAGACAGTTCAACCCCAGGAGGCGGACTTGGTTCAACCCTGATGTCTCAAGATTTCTCTGGGTTTATAGCCTATATACCCAGTGAAAACCTACTTCTCTAAGCCCACAGATGTGAATTTCAGGAGTTCACAGGACTCTTCAGAATAATGATCTTTCTCATTACTATTGTACTTTACAGCTTTGTACACATTTTCTTTGGCCTTTTTCTGAAACCCTGTGAGGTAAGAAGGGTAAGATTGTCCTATTTTATGCATAAAATAAACATCCTGTCCCACATAGGTTGCTTTTGTGAAGGCCACTTAGCTAACATAGGGAAGAATCATAACAAAGACCTGAGCCTTTCTGAAACCAATCTAGAAGACAATTGCATAATAGACATAAAATAATATACAATCATGCACCACACAACAATGTTTCAGTTAACAATGGACTACATATATATATATGTATATAATAGAGTTCCCATAAGATTATAATACCATATTTTTACTGTATCTGTTCTATGTTTAGATATGTTTAGATGCTGATATGAAACAGGAAAAGAACTAAGGCCCAACAACTCTAAGAGGAATTCCCGGAAGAGTCCAAGAGTTCCCTGTTTTACACTCAGTTTTCATATACTCTTTAACAATACACTCTCACAATATAGCCCTTGGATAAAGTTGCTTTAAAAAAATAAGGGCAACTGGCATCTTGTTTAAGAAATGTTCCCATCACAGTTTGACTGAGCAACTTGGTAGAACCAACTCGTTCATCTGGAGTTGAAGGGACATAAATGAACAGATTTTTAAAATAATTATTCATAAGATGTCAACTCTCGTAACACTGTTTCTTGATTATCTGCCGACCTGAGGGGCTCTTACTACGCTCTCAGAATAATGTGTGACATGCTGACATCCAGCTGGTCAATGGTAGTGAGATATTCACTGAGTTAGAGAGAAGGGACTGATAAGTCTAGCCCCAATTCTCCTTTGTCTGTGATCTGGTCAGACACTTCATAGAGAATTTAAAGGGGTATATGGTGAAATATATGGAAAGTTGGGATTCTAAGATACTAAACATTTATGTACTAGGTGATAGGAGACAAAGGATAAATAGTGATCCTAGAAACACATAGATTCTGTTGAGGGAACTATTTAGACATTAGGTAGAATGTGTAGAATAAGAGAAAATGGTAGTCAGGCAAATTACAAGTCCCTCCCCTACCAGCAATCTAGCTAAGTGACACCAAACAAGTCAGTTAAACTCACAGAGCCTATTTTCTCTTCTTAAAAATGAGGTAATAATGCCTTAGAAGACAATAATGATGATGAAATGTAATTATATAAAGTATCTTGCCCATAAAAATATTCAAAATGATATTAATGATAATTTAAATATTAAATAGCATTTAATTTAATATTAAAAATTATTTTTCTATTTGAACTGGATTAGCAAATATGTTTTGTTGAATATTACATTTTATGTGGCTTGTGTGCTATTTTAAAGGTACACAGTAATATCCTTTAAGTACAAATTCTAATTAGAGAAAGATTTTGTGATTCTCACTAGGCAACTACAGTCATGCATTGCTTAATGATGGGTAGATGTTCTGAGAAATGCATCATTAGATGATTTCATCATCTGAACATCACAGAGTGTACTAATACACACCTGCATGGTATAGCCTGCTACACACATAGGCTGAATGGTGTAGCCTATTGCTCCTAGGCTACAAACCTGTATAGCATATTACTGTACTGAATACTGTAGGCAGTTGTAACACAATGATGGGAGAGGTAGCTGAAATTTTCCCTTCAAGCACCTGCTCAGGCACAGTCTACACCCACCCCCAGGAGCTGGAAGTTGGGGCAAATTAAGCTATCTCCTCCAAACACATTGAATACAGACAATCCTACTTCAAAATAAACATCAAAGAGAAAAGTTCATAAATATACACACTGAAGCTAGTGTGTGGAATGTGAATGGCCCGCTGCTTTGCTCTCAGCCTGCGATGGTGATTCATAGGTCAGTCGTAGCCATGAGAATCCCTCTTTGCATTCTTACATGACAGCTGCAGTGGAAGACAATCAGGCCTGGAAGTCAGGTCACATGTCTTACGGACTCAATGACCCCAGCATTGTCATTTATCCTCCTTGAACTTCAGTCTCCTCTTCTGGTATGTGAGCTGTTATTTGATCCCCATAATGACATGGCAGTGAAGAAGCAGGGAACTGAGGACACTCAATCTGTAAGGAGTTAAGTGACTCTCCCCAAAGTCGCATAGTTAGGAATGGCAAAAAGAAAGGCTTAAACTTGGGTTTTTGGACTGTGAGCCTAGTGCTACTTCCTCTTCATAATTACAGAGCCTGTGCATTTATATGATTTATATGACTCAGGTCTTCTTTAGGAGGTTGAGAGCACAGACTTCTAGGCCTGGGGTTACCAATTGTTCTGGTTTACCTGGGACTGAAAGCTTCCTTGGGCATGAGACTTACAGTTTTAAAATGAGGAAACCTGGACAAACAAGGACAAATTGGTCACTATAGCTGGTTAAAATTTTAGGCAGTGGTTGTCAATTGTGGCTGCAGAATAGAATCACCTGGATTGCTTAAAAATACTGATACTTAGGCCCATGCCCGGCAATTGAATCTGAATCTCTGGGAGTATCTATATAATTTTTTTTTAAATCTCTAAAGTTTATTTTGATGTAAAGATTGAGAACTACTGATTTAGAATACAGTATCAATGAACTTCCTCCTTCAGCAGACCACACATAATTGCCCACAATCAAGGTGGGGGAAGTGGCTCACCAAAGTCTTTTTTTTTTTTATATTGTGTTTTTATTTATTTATTTATTTATTTATTTATTTAATTATTATTATACTTTAAGTATTAGGGTACATGTGCGCAATGTGCAGGTTAGTTACATATGTATACATGTGCCATGCTGCTGTGCTGCACCCATCAACTCATCATTTAGCACTAGGTATATCTCCTAATGCTATCCCTTCCCCCTCCCCCCACCCCACAATAGTCCCCAGAGTGTGATGTTCCCCTTCCTGTGTCCATGTGTTCTCATTGTTCAATTCCCACCTATGAGTGAGAACATGCGGTGTTTGGGTTTTTGTCCTTGCAATAGTTTACTGAGAATGATGATTTCCAATTTCATCCATGTCCCTACAAAGGACATGAACTCATCATTTTTTATGGCTGCATAGTATTCCATGGTATATATGTGCCACATTTTCTTAATCCAGGCTATCATTGTTGGACATTTGGGTTGGTTCGAAGTCTTTGCTATTGTGAATAGTGCTGCAATAAACATGCGTGTGCATGTGTCTTTATAGCAGCATGATTTATAGTCCTTTGGGTATATACCCAGTAATGGGATGGCTGGGTCAAATGGTATTTCTAGTTCTAGATCCCTGAGGAATCGCCACACTGACTTCCACAATGGTTGAACTAATTTACAGTCCCACCAACAGTGTAAAAGTGTTCCTATTTCTCCACATCCTCTCCAGCACCTGTTGTTTCCTGACTTTTTAACGATTGCCATTCTAACTGGTGTGAGATGGTATCTCATTGTGGTTTTGATTTGCATTTCTCTGATGGCCAGTGATGGTGAGCATTTTTTCATGTGTTTTTTGGCTGCATAAATGTCTTCTTTTGAGAAGTGTCTGTTCATGTCCTTCACCCACTTTTTGATGGGGTTGTTTGTTTTTTTCTTGTAAATTTGTTTGAGTTCATTGTAGATTCTGGATATTAGCCCTTTTGTCAGATGAGTAGGTTGTGAAAATTTTCTCCCATTTTGTGGGTTGCCTGTTCACTCTGATGGTAGTTTCTTTTGCTGTGCAGAAGCTCTTTAGTTTAATTAGATCCCATTTGTCAATTTTGTCTTTTGTTGCCATTGCTTTTGGTGTTTTAGACATGAAGTCCTTTGAAAGGCACATTGGAGAAGGTTGCTTTCTTCAAGGTTGTAACAGCTGGAGCGAGCCCTCAATTGACTAAAGCAACAAATTGTACTACTGAGGGAGCTGCAAGGACCACAATTCCATCTACGGCCCCAGGACTTGTGTGGAAAGACAGACACTGCTTCTTGAAAACCATCTTCCATAGACTGGCATTCAGTCCCCTTGGCTTACCGCAAGGAGGAGGGAGAGGATGCCAATATGGTGTGATGAAAGCAAATCTCTGCGTGTGGGAGTTTTCTTCTAACTACCAAATAAAATGACTGCTTTTGACTAGGTTTAATGGATCTGACTTTTAAAAAATCAAAGAGTTTAGAAAGCCTCAAGGTAAATAGTTATAAGAAAATAAAAATCATTTCTGCATTAAGCTTCAAATGAAATAGGGAATGTCACTTGGTGCCTATGACACCTGAGTTGCCTTGCTCTTCCTGATCCTGTGGCATTCTGCGTCATCAGCTGTCTTTTGAGAATAGACCAGAGTTGAGGATAACTTCTCACCTATGCATTTAAAAATGGCACATCAGAGTCCTGTGACATGATTTGCCCATGGCCATTTACAATGGCCAAAAATGCCAAAGTAGAATTTGTATTAGCCTGCACATTGTTTCTGATCACTGTGGGGATTTTCTGGTTCTAAAAACAATAGTGCTGAATATAATTTTGAGAAAAAATACAATAATCATTCCCCAATAATTTCCCAGCAAACATTTTTATGTTTGTGTTTTTGTGTCTGTCTTATTATCAAATGATAGTACCAATAAGAAGATAATAAGAAACCAGGATGTAATACTTATTAAACCTCCCTGGAATAAGATGACATTATAAGTTTTGAAGCAATGGGAAAAATGACAAATAAGAAAAACTGGCCAACGTGTTTAAAAATTTAAATCTCTCTGAACATACTCGTGTGTGTGTGTGTGTGTGTGTGTGTGTGTGTGTGTCATGGTCAAGTAGCACTTAGGATCTTATGCCATCTCCTTTTCATGTGCCTTCCAATACATCAGAGGTAGAAAGGTAAAAATGGATATTTCCCAGGCTCCTTTGCAGGTAGGGTGGTAGATTCAAAATAGATTCACCCATTAATGCATTCCTGTGAGGATTTAGAGGCAGAAGTGTGCCAGATGCTGCTGTTGGCTCTTCATTTTTGGTTTTAGGTACAGCTGTGGAGATGTGAGGTCTAAAGTAACATTCCAGGGTCTCATCCCCACCTTTGTGGTTGTCAGGAGACATTTGGGCTGGAACGGTGGGGACTTCTTATTCCTTTGGTCTCAGCTGCAGTGGCGTGTTCTTCCTGATGGTGGCAGATGTATTATAGCAGCAGCTTTTAAGGACCAGTTCTGTGATGATTTAGGAGTCGTTTTTAGGGGGCCAGCCTAGAGCCTGCTCCTATAGAATTTCCAGGGATTTTATAGGCATCTAATTATCTGTGTTAAATTCCTTTTACTTAAAATATTTACAGGGGTTTCTACTCTAAATTATGAAGTATTGATAAGAAAAAAGAAAAGAATAAAAAATATAAAAAGGGAAAAGTTAACAAAATGAACAACTGGTTCACACGAGACGAAATGCGGAAAAATAGAAAGCCCCTGAAGTGGATCTCCTTTTAGGAGTTGCCCTGTGGCAAACTCACCCAAATGGCTAACATGAAAGCAGCCGCCCACACAATGTGATCCCTCTCCTTTCCCCCTATGAAAGAGATTGTCTTGTAAGTCCCTTCTTCAGAAACTTGACATTGGATTTAAAATCTCTTTTATATTTTTCCAGGTGCTGAAATACAGATGTGTAAAATTTTGCCTGTGGACTGAGACACAGAGAAAGCTGATTTGTAGTGAGAAAGAAAATTAGGCAAGGGAAAAGGAAGGAACTGAAAGAAGTAGGAATAAGAAAGTGGTGAAGAGAGTGAGAAAGATCCCCTGGTTTCAGTTTGTTCCTGGGGTGCAGGAATAAATTTCTTATTTTGCTTAAGCATGATGTGTTTTTGGTTACTTGCAAATAACAATAACAATAATTCTAACCAATATCTTTGCAATAACAGAAAATTGACTCAAAGATCACTAATTCCAAAAATACTTATTGGGCATCTTGTGAAAAGGAATTGAGGAACAGGGCTTTGAATAAGACCAAGCCTTCATATTCATGGAGAATCCAGTTGAGTAGGGAAAGAGATACTGATCAAGTAATTATAGAGAAGTATAAGTTTTCTCAAGAGTGTACACCAGGATTGATGAGGACTTGCTAAGTCATTTAGAATAGGTGATTAGCCAAAATAATCACTTCTTTATTCATGATTGGGGAAATCTCTTTTAAGTGTTTGTGATGCTTTTGTCCACTTTTCAGGAAGAGCGCCTTTTTACTAATATGACCAAATACGAGTCAAAAACTTGTGGGATAGAAATATGAAGAGCTTAACAGCAGAATCTGAGACTCAAAGTTGTGACTTTGGGCCTGTCATGGGCCTATTTACCCCACTAATGGGAGCTGTTTATGAGTGTCCTTCCTTCCAGTGACATAGATTAATTAACTCAACAGGTTCAAGTCAGAAGCTTATGAACCACTGAAAAACTATTAGAATTCTCATACACATACCTATGTTTCCTCCTACGTGGCCCTGCTTTGATTACAAAATCTACATTCAGAGATATTTATTCACATTTTCCTCTGTGAGAACTCATGCTAAGAAGATTCTGGAGAGAGATATAAACACGGTTGCATGGATATTTTGGGGTTACCAAAAAAATACATGGTTTCTTTAAGATGTTAAAAGATATTCTGTGATTTCCAGGCCTGGCTGAACACTGCTTTGACCTGATGTGAGATGAGGACTCTAATACTGAGATAATATGTGTCTATGAGAAATGCATCTGGAATCAGAAAGACTGACGGCATCCTGACTCTATTTGCAAGTTGTATGGTCCTCTAGGCCTTATTTCTTTATCTGTAAAATGATATTTTTCCAGCTCTACTCTGTGATTCTCCGTTGACCAAGACGTGACCGAAAGGATAAAAATGCAAAAACACACACTGAATATGGAAGGAGAGTATTTTGTACAATGGCTGTATTGCTGGCAGGCTCTAAATTGGTGTGAAACCCTGAACTTGAGGGAGCGGAAGATGAGCCAGGCTCAGCTCACACCAACAAACATGTTACAGCCAGAGGATGCTTCACCCTGGTTAAATACCAGATGAATTAAAGGCCATTGCCAGCAGCTGTGGAGAATGTCACTGGGATGCTGTCTGATTGCCCAATGAGTGCTATGAGTGAAGGATGTCAGCTCCTACGGGAAGGTCAGCTGCATTTCCAATGGTTCAAATGCAGGGTTTGGCTGGAGGCACCTACAGACACACAGGTGCCGAGAAATGTCTCTTCCTTGCAGTGTGCACTGGGACAGACCAGCTCTGTGCTGTCAGATGAAGTGTAGCATAGACAGCCTGGGCTACGATGGGAAAAGACAGTGAATCTAGGGCAGGCAATGGGCTATGGGGAGCAGAGGAGTGAGTCTGTTAGGACTTCTTTTTCTTTCTTCTTTTTTCTTTTTCCCGAGAAGTCTGTCCTGCCACCTTGACTACTGGTTTTTATTGTAAACTTAATTTTTTAAAAGAGTATTGGGCCAATTTAGATTTCAGATTGTGTTTCTTGGAATCCTGGTGGGGGCTGGAGGAATGGGGTAGATTCGTTAGTCGCTTCAGGGTTATTAGCTCGGGGCAAGCAGGTGGGCTAAGGATTCCTTGACTCTCTTCAACCAGAGTTGATCTAATTTCACTTTTCCTCCTTTTTCTTTTTGCTTTATTGTATAAATTTAAGGTATATAACATGATGTTTGACATACACATACATAGTGAAATCATTACAATTAAGCAATTTAACATATCTATCATCTCACATAATTACCCTTTTCGTGGTAAGAGTCGCCGTTTCATACAGTAAGTTCAACTGTAAGATGATCGTGAAATGATTTCAGTGCTTAAAATGAATCAATAGGTGAAATTTAATCCCACCAGATCAGAGCTTCTCACTTTGATGTATATATCAGTCATGTGGAGATTTTGTTAAAATGCAGATTCTGGTTCTGGGGTGAGGCCTAAGATTTTGCCTTTTCAGTTTTTTTTTTTTTTGAAATCCAAAGATCTTTATAAAGAAAATGATAACTTTGCACAACAGAATCTATGTCTATGAAAAGTTGTGGTAACTAATTTAATATTCTCCGTTTAATTAATTAATTAATTCTACCTCTTAATTAATTTTGAGGTATCATCAAAAATGTGCTTGAGAATTTTTAACTTGCTCAGAACAGATTTCTCTGATGATTAGCGATGTTGAACATCTTTTTATATGCCTGTTTGCCATTTGCATGCTTCTTTCAGAAATGTCCATTGAAATCTTTTGCTGATTTTTGATTGAATTATTAGATTTTTTTCCTATAGAGTTGTTTTAGTTCCTTATATATTCTGGTTATTAATCCCTTGTCAGATATGTAGTTTGCAAATATTTTCTAATTCTGTGGGTTGTCTCTTCACTTTATTGACTGTATCATTTGCTGTGCAGAAGCTTTTTAACTTGATGTGATCCCATTTGTTTATTTTTGACTTGGTTGCCTGTGCTTATGGGGTACTGCTCAAGAAATTCTTGCCCAGATCTTGCCCTGGAGATTTTTCCCTAATGTTTTATTGTAATAGTTTCATAGTTTGATGTCTTAGATTTAAGTTTTTAATCCATTTTGATTTGATATTTTACATGGCAAGAGGTGGGGTCTAGTTTCATTCTTCTGCATAAGGATATCCAGTTTTGCCAGCACCAATTATTGAAGAGACTTGTTTATTTTTCCCCAGTGTATGTTCTTGGCACCTTTGTTGCAAATGAGGTCACTGTAGGTGTGTGGATTTGCTTCTGGGTTCTCTATTCTGTTCCATTGGTCTAGGTGTTTTTTTTAGGCCAGTACCACACTGTTTTGGTTACTACAGCTGTGTAGTATAATTTGAAGCCAGGTAATGTGATTCCTCCAGTTTTGTCCTTTTTGCTTAGGATAGCTTTGGCTATTCTGGGTCTTTTGTGGTTCCATATAAATTTTAGCATTGTTTTTGCTATTTCTGTGAAGAGTGTCATTGGTATTTTGATAGGGATTGCATTGAAGCTACGGACTACTTTGGACAGTATGGACATTTTAGCAATAGTGTTCTTCCAATCCATGGACATGAAATGTTTTTCTATTTTTTGGTTTCCTCTTCAATTTCTTCCGTAAGTGTTTTACAGTTTTCATTACAGAGATCTTTCACTTCTTTGGTTAGGTTAGTTCCTAGGTATTTAATTTTATGTGTGGCTATTGTAAATGGGATTACTTTTTAATTTCTTTTTCACATTGTTCACTGTTGGCATATAGAAATGCTACTAGTTTTTATATGTTGCTTTTGTATCCTGCAAGTTTACTGAATTTCTTTTATCAGTTCTAATTGATTTCTTATGGAGTCTTTAGATTTTTCCAAATGTAAGATCCTATCATCTGCAAACAAGGATAGTTCACCTTCTTTCTTTCCAACTTGGATGCTCTTTATAGCTTTCTCTTGTCTGATTGCTCTAGCTAGGACCTCCAGTACTATGTTGAATAACAGTGGTGACATTGTGCATCCTTGTCCTGTTCCAGATCTTAGAGGAAAGGCTTTCAGTTTTTCCCCATTCAGTATGATACTAGTTGTGGGTCTGTCATAAATGGCTTTTATTATGTTGCGATATGTTCGTTGTATCCCCAGTTTTTTGAGGGTGTTTATCATGAAGGGATGCTGAATTTTATCAAATGCTTTTTTTCGGCATCAATTGAAATGATCATGCAGTTTTTATCCTTTACTCTGTTAATATGACGGATCACATTGATTGATTTGCATATGTTGAACCATTCTTGCATCCCAGGCATAAATCTTACTTGGTCATGATGAATGATCTTTCTAATGTATTGTTGAGTTTGGTTTGTTAGTATTTTTATTGAGAATTTTTGCATCAATAATCATCAGGAATATTAGCCTATAGTTTTTTTCTTTGTTTGTTTGTTTGCTTTTTGAGGTGTCTTTGTTTGGTTCTGGTATCAGGGGAATACTGGCCTCATGGAAAGGGTTCGGAAGTATTCTATTCTCCTTTATTTTTCAGAATAGTTTGAGTAGGATTGGGATTAGTTCTTTAAATGTTTGTTAGAATTCAGCAATGAAGCCATCAGGTTCTGGGCTTTTCTTTACTGGGAGACTTATTTTTTATGGCTTTGATCTCATTACTTGTTATTGGTCTATTCAATAACAGACCAATAATAATCTAGGTAGGCTGTATGTATCTAGGAATTTGTCCATTTCTTGTAGATTTTCCAATTTATTGGCATATAGTTGCTCATAATAGCCACTAATGATCCTTTGAATTTCTGCAATATCCGTTGTAATGTCACCTTTTAAATTTTTGATTTTGTTTATTTGGATCTTCCTCATTCAATTTTGGTAGGTTGTATGAACCCAGGAATTTGTCCATTTCTTTTAGATTTTTCAATTTATTGGCATGTTTTATTCATAGTAAACACTAATGATCCTTTAAATGCAATATCCATGATAATGCCCGCTTTTTCATTTCTTATTTTATTTATTTGGATCTTCTCTCTTTTTTTTTCTAATTAGTCTAGTTAAAGGTTTGTCAATTTTAACTTTTCAAAAAACCAACTTTTTGTTTTATTGATCTTTTGTATTTTTTTTTCATTTTAACTTCATTTATTTCTACTCTGATCTTTATTATTTCTTTTCTTCTATTAATTTTGGGTTTGGTTTGCTTTTGCTTTTCTAGTTCTTTAAGACACATTATTAGACTGTTCATTTGAAGTTTTTCTTATTTTTTGTTGTAGATGCTTATAGCTATAAACTTCCCTATTAGTACTGCTTTTGCTGTATCCTATAGGTTGTAGTATGTTGTGTTTCCATTATCATTCGTTTCAAGAAATTTTTCAATTTCTTTTAAATTTCTTCTTTGACTCACTGGTCATTCAGGAGATTGTTTAATTTTCATGTATTTATATAGTTTCCTAAATTCCTCTTGTTATTAATTTCTAGTTTTATTCCACTGTGGTCAGAGAAGATGCTTGATATTAGTTCAATTTTGAATATTCTAAAACTTGTTTTGTGACCTAACATATGGTCTATCCTTGAAAATGATTTGTGTGCTGAGAAAAAGAACGTTTATTCTGCAGCTTTTTAATAAAAATGTTCTGTAAATATCTATTAGATCCATTTGGTCTATAGTGCAGATTAAGTCTGATGTTTCTTTGTTGATTTTTTGTCTGGAAGATATACCCAGTGTTGAAAGTGGGTTGTTGAATTCTCCAGGTATTATTGTATTGGGACCTGTATCTCTCTTTAGCTCTAATAATATTTTCTTTATAAATCTGGGTGCTGCTCCCATGTTGCCTGCATATATATTTAAAATTGTTATATCCTCTTGCTGAATTGATCCCTTTATCATTAAATAGTGACCTACTTTGTCTCTTCCTATAGTTTTTGACTTGAAATCTATATTGTTCAATACATGTATAGTGACTCCTGCTCTTTTATGGTTTCTATTGGCATGGAATGTCTTTCTCCATCCCTTTATTTTCATCTATATGTGTCTTTACAGGTGAAGTGTGTTTCTTGTAGGCAACAGATCAATGGGTCTTGTTTTTTCATTCATTCAGCCAGTCTATGTCTTTTGATTGAAGAGCTTAGTCCATTTACATTCAATGTTATTATTGATAAGTAAAGACTTCTGCCATTCTGTTATTTGTTTTCTGGTTATTTTATAGTCTTTTTCCTTCTTTGTTTCCTTCCTATCTTCCTCTAGGAAAGTTGATTTTCTATGGTGATATGATTTAGTTTCTTGCTTTGCTTGTGTGTGTGTATTCATTGTATGTTTTTTGGTTTGAAGTTACCATGAGGTTTGCAAATACTATCTTATAATCCATTATTTTAATCTGATAACAATTTAACACTATTTGCACAAACAAACATAAAGAAAACTAATACAAACATTTTACCTTAACTCCATCCCCCAACTTTTTAACTTTTTGTTGTTTCTATTTACATGTTATTGTACTGACTATGTCTTAAAATATTGTTATTTTTGATTTTTGTTATAGTTGATATTTTGGGTTATTTTGATTTTTGATTAAAAAGTTATTATTTTTGATTGGTTCATTGTTTAGTCTTTCTACTTAGGATAAGAGTAGTTTACACATCACTTACAGTTTTATAATATTCTGTGTTTATCTGTCTACTTACTATTACTGGTTAGTTTTGTACCTTCAGGTGATTATTTTTTGCTTATTCATGTTTTTTTCTTTCTGACTGAAGTACTCCCTTTAGCATTTCTTGTAGGACAAGTCTGGTATTGATGATATCCCTCAACTTTTGTTTGTCTGGGAAAGTCTTTATTTGTCCTTCATGTTTGAAGGATATTTTCACTAGATATACTATTCTAGGATTAACTTTTTTTTCCTTCAGCACTTTCAATATGTCATGCCACTCTCTCCTGGCCTGTAAGGTTTCCACTGAAGTCTGCTGCCAGACATATCAGAGCTCCATTGTATACTATTTGTTTCTTTTCTCTTGCCACTTTTAGGATCCTTTCTTTATCCTTGACCTTTGGGAGTTTGATTATGAAATGCCTTGAGTTAGTCTTGTTTGGATTAAATCTGCTTTGGGTTAAACCTTCTTGAACTTGGATGTTGATATCTTTCTCTAGGCTTGGAAAATTCTCCATTTTATTTCTTTGAATAAACTTTCTACCTCTATCTTTCTCTACCTCCTCTTTAAGGCCAATAACTATTATATTTGTCTCTTTGAGTCTACTTTCTAGATCCTGTAAGTCTGCTTTATTGTTTTTACTCTTTTTTCTTTTGTCTACTCTGATTGTGTATTTTCAAATAGCTTGTCTTCAAGCTCACCAATTCTTTCTTCTGCTTTATTCATTCTGCTATTAAAGGACTCTGATGCTTTCTTCAGTATGCCACCTGCATTTTTCAGCGCCATAATTTTTGCTTGGTTCTTTTTAATTATTTCAATCTCTTTGTTAAATTTATCTGATAGAATTCTGAATTTCTTCTCTGTGTTATCTTGAATATCTTTGAGTTTTCTCAACACAGCTATTTTGAATTCTCTGTCTGAAAGGTTGAATTCTCTGTTTGATATCTCTGTTTCTCCAGGATTGGTCCCTGGTGCCTTATTTACTTCATTTAGTGAGCTCATGTTTTCCTGGATGGTTTGATGCTAGTAGCTGTTCTCTGGTGTCTGGGCCGGGCATGGTGTCTAACACCCATAATCCCAGCACTTTGGGAGGCTGAGGCAAGTGGATCATCTGAGGTCAGGGGTTTGAGACCAGCCTGGCCAATATGGTGAAGCCCCTTCTCTATTAAAAATATTTTTTTAAAAATTAGCCAGGCATAGTTGTGGGTGCCTGTAATCCCAGCTACTCAGGAGGCTGAGGCAGGAGAATTGCTTGAACCTGTGAGGTTTAAGTTGCAGTGAGCCAAGATCGCATCACTGCACTCCAGCCTGGGTGACAAGAGTTAAATTCCATCTCTCTCTCTCTCTCTCTCTCTCTCTCTCTCTCTCTGTGTGTGTGTGTGTGTGTGTGTGTATATATATATATACACACATATATGTATACATATATATATATGTATATTTTCTGTGTCTTGGCATTGAAGAGCTAGGTATTTATTATAGTTTTCATTGTCTGGGCTTATTGGTAGCCATCCTTCTTGGGAAGGCTTTTCAGATATTTGGAAGAACCTGGGTGTTGTGATCTAAGCTGTATCTGCTTTAGGGGGCACCCCTAGTCCAGTGAGGCTGTGGTTCTTGCAGACTCATAGAGGTACTATCTTGATGATCCCTTCAGGGCAGTTGGCTCCCCTTTGGCTCAGGGAAGGTCCAGAAATACCATCTAAGAGTCAACACCTGGAATTGGGGACCCCAAGAGGCCATTTGGTACTCTATCCCTGTGTGGCTGTGCTCGTATCTGTGGTGCAAAACAAAGTCCCGTTTACTTTTCCCTCTGCTTTTCTCAAGCAGAAGCAGTTTTGCGTTATAGCCATCACAGCTGGCAGTGTGCTGAGTCTCACCTGAAGCCAGCAAGTCTCAGAAGTTCACCCAAGGCCCTTGATGTAGTGCCTGGGTATTACTGCTGGTCATTCAGGGTTCAAGAGCTCTTCAGGTAGCAGGTGATAAGTGTCTTCTTTCCTTCAAGGCAGAAGGTTTCCTTCTGGCCCAGGGTGTGTCTAGAAATGTCATCTGGGAGATAGTATCTGAAACAGGGACCTCATGACTCTGACAGGTCCTCTATTCTACTGTGGCTCAGCTGATATTTAAGATTTAACACAAAGTCCTCCTTATTCTTACCTCTCCTCTCCTCAAGCTGAAGGAAGAGGTCTCACTTGGAGATGCTAGCCGTGCATCCTGGGGTTAGGGCAGGGGTGATGCCAGCATTCCCTTGGCTGCTCCAGCTGGTGTCTCAGTATGTTGTGTGCCCCCTCGGTCCACTGTCTCTGGGACTACTTCAGCACAAAAATTGGCCTAAGAGTTGCAGTCCTTATGATCTAGACTGCTTTTCAAGTTTACTTGGAGACAAACAGTGCTGTAGTTCTCGTTGGCGAGGTTTGTGGGCACTTAAGTTCGGAACGCTAGTATCTGTGATTCCCCTCTAAATCGGCTAGTTTGAATGCTTCCTCTGTGGGTGGGCATCAGCTGAGTTTGGTCTGGTTTTCCTTTCTGCTCTAACACAACAGCACTGAGTTCATTGCACTCCAGCCTGGGGGACAGAGTGAGACTGTTTCTGAAAAACAAACAAAAAAAAGAAATCCACCAAAAAACAGGAAAAAGGAATTCCAAATAATTAGGATAACAGAAGAACATTTCAAAATAACTATTATAAGATGAGAGATAAAATAATGTGTGAGAACTTTCTCCAGAGTAAGAGCGATTCAGGAGGGAACGCTGAAAAGATTTGAAGACTGAGAGGGACTTTACCCATTGTTGCCTAAGGGGAACCACATGGAAAGAAAGAGAAGGGATGCAGAGGAGATTAATAATAAATGGTGAGATGGTATAATCAGTAAATAAGAAAGATATTTTGGCTGGGCGAGGTGGCTAAAGCCTGTAATCCCAGCACTTTGGGAAGCCAAGGCGGGTGGATCACCTGAGGTCAGGATACCTGGCCAACATAGTAAAACCACATCTCTACTAAAAATACAAAAATTAGCCGGGCGTGATAGTGTGCACCTGTAATCTGTACTCGGGAGGCTGAGGCAGGAGAATTGCTTAAGCCAGGAAGCGGAGGTTGCAGTGAGCCAATATCACGTCACTGCACTCCAGCCTAGGCAACAGAGACTCCGTCTCCAAAAAAAGAAAAAAAAAAAAAAAGAAAGATATTTTGACAATTGGGAATAAACTATTAGAAATTGAAAACTCAGTAGAATAATTAAAATACAAAGAAATCTCATAGAAAATAAAATAAACAAAGAAATGAATACAAATATGTGAAAGATGGGAAAGCAAATATGAGAACATTCAAGGGTTAATTTAAGAATGTGGCATTCCAATATTAGGAGCTATAGAGCCAAAATTGGGAAAATAGAAGAGAGAAAATTAAGAATGGTTATAAGAAAAACTTGCAAAGCTAAAGAGCACGACTACAGACTGAAATAGCCCATCATAATAAGTGAAAAAGACACACCAACATTTATTGTTATAAAAACTTGAAATGCTGGAGATGAAAAGAAAATGCAAAAATATGACTAAACAAGGAAATGGGGATGAAAATCATATTGCACCTCTTAATTCAATACTAGATGCTAGAAAATAGTGGACCAATGCCGTCAGAATTAAGGAATACTAATTTATAAACTAGAATTCCATATCTAGCTAAACTATTCATTAAACATACTTAAAAATTAAGCTATTTCAGACCTATAAGAGTCTCCCATTTATCCTTTCAGGGGAAATGTTGGAGAATGTGCTTCAGCAAAATAAGAGAGTAAAACAAAAAATGAAAATGTGAAACAGTAAACATAGGATTTTATATAGGAAAAGTGTGAAAAGAAGCCTCTGAGTAACAAGTATAAAATTGGCCTAAAGAGCAAACGATCCAGATTGAATAGAGCACTGGAGAGCTGTAGCCAGGAAATTACTAGGACAGAAGTAGAATGAAAAGATTGTTCATCGTGCTTCAGTGATTACAAAAGAATTGGAAAATTTCTGACAGAATTCTTGGAGCATTTGGAAAATCATGGACTTAAATACACAGACTACAAAACAAAAGAAAATGGCAAGACAAATATTAACTCCAGAAAAAAAAACTTGCACAGGAAACAAAACATGATACGACTAGACAGCAAACTATATTTACACGGTCATATTGTAAATGCTGACTAAAATTTAAGCCAAAATTATAACATAAGAGGATTTTGAGTTGTATAGAGTTTCTGTAATAGACCATAGCATAATAATAGAAGTAATATAACTTCTAGAACTTCTCATACAAGTTAGTAGAACTGTAAGGAATAATTTGTCAAAAGTTTTCATTAAGTTTCAAAAGAAAAATATGTGAAGAACCAAACTTAAAAAACTAGACAGAAGGCCAGGTGCGGTGGCTCATGCCCATAATCCCAGCACTGAGGCAGGCAGATCACATGAGGTCAGGAGTTCGAGATCAACCTGGCTAACATGGTGAAATCCCGTTTCTACTAAAAATACCCCAAATCAGTCAGGTGTAGTAGCATGCCTTTAATTTCAGCTACTTGGGATACTGAGGCAGGAGAATCCCTTGAACCTGGGAGGTGGAGGTTGCAGTGAGCCAAGATCGTGCCATTGCACTCTAGCTTGGGCAAAAAGAGTGAAACTGTGAAAAAAAAAAAAAAAAACCTAGAAAGATGAAAAGAACTAAAGACAGCAGAAGGGAAGTAGGGAAGTATTAATAAAGATAAAACTGAAATAAAATAAAATACTAAAAACATACTCAATCAAGATAACCAAAAACTTGTTCTTGTAAAGCCCAACAGGATAGTAAAATGTTGGGCAAGTCTGACCAAGAAAAAAGAGAGAACAAACAAATAAGTAATATTAACAATAAGAAAGAGAAAATAATAACATTGAAATACCACTGAAACAGGAAATGATAATAGGAAGGAAATTGTGAGAGGATAACATATATCTTAGTACCAAAAAAGTCCAAATCTAGATGAAGCAGATGATGTTTTAGCAAACTCAAGGGCTAGACAAATGAATATGTGAAAGGTAATGACAAACTGTGTAGAAAGCCCAGATAATTTTCAAGGTCATTTTATTTAAGGTCCAAGAGAGATAATTCCTATTATTATATAAAAACTTGTAGTGCTCTCCAAGTTTTTATTGCTCTTCAAGCGATCTCATTTGGGAATATAATGTGAATATGAAAATAAAGCATGAACCAAATTCAACATTATACCAAAAATAACCAACCTTCCTTCCTCTTCCTTCCTCTTCCTTCCTTCCTCTCCCTTCCTTCCTCTCCCTTCCTTCCTCTCCCTTCCTTCCTTCCTTCCTTCCTCTTCCTTCTTTCGTCTCCCACCTTCCTTTCCCTTCCTTCCTTCCTTCCTTCCTCTTCCTTCCTCTTCCTTCCTTCCTCTCCCTTCCTTCCTCTCCCTTCCTTCCTCTCCCTTCCTTCCTTCCTCTTCCTTCCTTTGTCTCACACCTTCCTTTCCCTTCCTTCCTTCCTTCTTCCTTTCTTTCCTTTCTTTCCTTTCTTTCTTTCTTTCTTTCTTTTTCTCTTTCTTTCTTCTCTTTCTTTCTTCTCTTTCTTCCTTTCCTTTCCTTTCCTTCCCTTCCCTTCCCCTTCCCCTTCCCCTTCCTTCCCTTCCCTTCCCTTCCCTTCCCTTTCCTTTCCTTTCTTTTCCTTTCCTTTCCTTCTTTCACAGGTCTTGGCCTGTTGTCCAGGCAAGAGTGCAGTGGCATGATCATGGTTCATTGCAGCCTCGACCTCCTAGGCTCACACAATCTTCCCACTTCAGCCTCTTGAGCAGCTGGAAGTACAGGCATGTGCCACCAGGCTGGCTACTTTATTTTAGTGATAGCGTCTCCCTGTGTTGCCCAGGCTGGTCTGAAAATCCTGCGCTCAAGCAATCTTCCCACCTTGGCCTCCCAAAGTGCTGGGATTATAGGTGTGAGCCACTGCACCTGGCCTACATTATTTTTTCTTTTAAACCAATAATCTGACATTAGTTTAAATTAGAAAATTCACTAATGTAATTTATGTAATGTAATTCACTACATTTCATTTAAAGTAAAAAAATAGTGATTACATAGATAATTTTAAAAACTTATCATTTTAACATCTGGTTCTAATTCTTAAATTTTACTAAAGTGATCTATTGGAAACCTTGAGCAAATATCATAGTTAATGGTAAAATATTTGAAACATTTCTATTTATATACATATAGTATTCAATGTTGTTTTTGAAGCTTTAGTCAATACTTGATTGAGATAGGTAAATAAAATAAAAGGACAAATACAAAAAAAAAACAATTATTATTTTTAGTTAATATGGTTGTCTATAGATGATCAATTTGCTTATAATTGGTTTACAAGTTTAAAAATTGCAATATGTTTACAAATTTAAAAATTAAAACTAATAAAAGAGTCAAGTTGGGTAGATGCCTAAAAGATGAATAAGCCAAAATTTATACTTTTTTTTATAATGCAGAAATAAATAGTTATAAAATATAACAAAGTTGCCTTTTTATACATAGCAAAAGTAAAAATCATAAATTATCAAGGAATATATGTAACTGAAAATGTGGAAGAACTACAAATATCCAAGATCTATTAATATATAAAGATTTTCTGAAGGAATTAAAGGAAGACCTAAATAAATTGAAAGACAAACTTTGTTCTTAGATAAGAATAATCAAAAATGTTTTAACTATCTCCAAATTATTTTATAAATTAAATACCAATCTCAGTTGAGAATTCTCATTACACATGTGGCTAACTCCTTCACCTTCAAGTTTTGCTCAAATGTCCCCTTCTCAATGAGCCTTTTCCTAATCATCTTATTCAAAATTTCAACTGGTTTCCTCACCAACTACCTTGCTAACTCTTCTGCTTTTTCCTTTTTTCCATAGTGTACCTACCTTCTAATTACTAGATAATTATTTATTGTGTGTACTATTTATTGTCTGCCTCACTTTGTTAGAATGTACATTCTATAGGAGAGCAGAAATTGGGACCTCTTCAATGAGGTATTCCCAGTACGGTATGTTTGACGCATGAAATTGCTCAATAACTATTGCAAATATTTTTTGACACTGTCAACTGTTTTCTAAAATTCTGTTTATGATATATTTGCCATCACTTTTTGGTTTGTTTTTAGTAGTAAAATCTATCAAATTTTACTTTTATGCTTTCTGGATTCCATGTCAATCTAAAATTATATAATAATTGTATATATTTTGGTTTTGTGCTTTAATCATTTCTAAAATCAAAATGGAATTGATTAAAATTAAAAACTTAAAGTTGTTTTTAAAACTAGAAAACTGAAAAATTATACTGTAGGTTTAAGTATGATATAAAAGCCCAAATTCTTTTTTTCTTCAACTTTTATTTTAAGTTCAGGGGTACATGTGCAGGATGTGCAGGTTTGATATATAGATAAACTTGTGCCATGGTGATTTACTGCACAGATCATCCCATCACCCAGATATTAAGCCCAGCATCCGTTAGTTATTTTTCTGATGCTCTTCCCCACCACCAGCAGGTGCCCAGTGTGTGTTGTTCCCCTCAAAACAATGTGTCCATGTGTTCTCCTCATTCAGGTCTCACTTATAAATGTGAACATGTGGTGTTTGGTTTTCGGTTCCTGGATTAGTTTGCTGAGGATAATGGCTTCTAATCCTATCCATGTTCCTGCAAAGGACATGATCTCATTCCTTTTTATGGCTGTATAGTATTCCATGGTGTATAAGTACCACATTTTCTTTATCCAGTCTATCATTGATTGGCATTTAGCTTGATTCCATAACTTTGCTATTGCAAATAGTGCTGCAATAAACATGCACATGCATGTATCTTTATAATAGAATGACTTATATTCTTTTGAGTATATACCCAGTAATAGGACTATTGGGTCACATGGTATTTCTGCTTCTAGGTCTTTTAGGAATCGCCACACTGTCTTCTGTAATGGATGAACTAATTTACACTCCTACCAGCAGTGTAAAGGCATTCCTTTTCCTCTGCAACCTCACCAGCATCTGTTGTTTTTTGCCTTTTTATTAATAGCTATTCTGATGGTTGTGAGATGATATCTCATTGTGGTTTTGATTTTCATTTCTCTAATGATCAGTGATGTTGAGCTTATTTTCATATGTTTGTTGGCTGCATGTATGTCTTCTTTTGAGAAGTGTCTGTTCATGTCCTTTGCCCACTTTTTAATGATCTTTTTTCATGTAAATTTGTTTAAGTTCCTTGTAAATTCTGGATATTAGACCTTTGTCAGATGGATAAATTGCAAAAAATTTCTTCTATTCTGTAGGTTGTCTGTTCACTCTGACTTTTGTGCTCTGCAGAAACTCTTTAATTAGATCCCATTTGTCAATTTTTGCTTTTGTTGCAATTGCTTTTGTTGTTTTTGTCATGAAATCTTTGCCCACGCCTATGTCCTGAATAGTAGTGCCTAGATTTTCTTCTAGGGTTTTTGTAGTTTTGAGTTTTACATTTAAGTCTTTAATCCATCTTAAGTTAATTTTTGTATGTGGTATAAAGAAAGGGTCCAGTTTCTATTTTCTGCATATGGCTAGCTAGTTCTCCAAGAATCACTTATTAAATAGGGAATCCTTTCCCCATTGCTTGTTTTTGTCAAGTTTGTCAAAGACCAACTGGTTGTAGGTGTGTAGTCATATTTCTGAGTTCTCTATTCTGTTCCATTGGTCTATGTGTCTGTTCTTGTACCAGTACTATGCTGTTTTGGTTACTGTAGCCATATAGTATAATTTAAAGTTGAATAGTGTAATGCCTAAGGCTTTGTTCTTTTCGCTTACAATCGACTTGGCTATTCGGGCTTTTTTCTGTTTCAAATGAATTTTAAAATAGTTTTTTTTCTAATTCTGTGAAGAATATCCAACAGTAATTTAATGAGAATAGCATTGAATTTATAAATTACTTTGGGCAGTATGGTCGTTTTCCTGATATCGATTCTTCCTATCCATGAGCATGCAATGTTTCTCCATTTGTTTGTATCCTTTCTGATTTCTTTGAGCAGTGGTTTGTAGTTCTCCTTGATGAGGTCCTTCGCTTTCATTTTTAGCTGTATTCCTAGGTATTTTATTATTTTTGTAGCGGTTGTGAATGGGAGTTCATTCATGATTTGGCTCTCTGCTTGCCTGTTGTTGGTGTATAGGAATGCTAGCAATTTTTGCACATTGATTTTATATCCTGAGACTTTGCTGAAGTTGCTGAAGAAGCTTTTGGACTGAGATGATGGGGTTTTCTAGAGATAGAATCATGTCATCTGCAAGCAAAGATAATTTGATTTTCTCAGGCCAAGATAATATTTTTTAAAAAGAAGAAAATCACAAAACTTGCCTAATTGATAGCAGTACATAATAGAAATTTGCAGAAATTAAAAAGTATGGTAATGATGTGAGAATAGACAAAATAATTAATGGAGAAGAACAGAGAAACCAGACTTTGACTCATGTGATGAGAATTGAGTATATGATTAAGGAGGAGAAAATATGGATAAATTAATAAAGTTATTGCTGGTATAATTGATTATACAGTGAGAAAATACAGTTATACCGCTCCTTTTATCACAAACACAAAAAATCTAGATGTATTTTAAAATGAAATGTATTTTTAAAAATTAATCAAGTACTAAGCCCAAATGTAAATGATTATTACATAATCTTAACAAGAATAAAAGCACTGTGGAATCCAGAAGCCATAAAGGCAAAATTTGATAGATTTTACCACTAGAAACAAACAAAAACAAAGCAAAACTTACTTCCATATGGCAAATACAATATAAAAAGATAGTCCATCAAAAATATTTGCAACTTTTATACGACAAGGGGTATAAACATCTATACTACCTAATGAGCTTGGGAAAACTAATAAGTAAAATCAAGCAATCCAAGAGAAATGAAATTGCAAAAATGTATTACAAGAAAATAGATGTGTGGGCATAGTCTTTGAACCAAACTTATGAGTCATGTTTTACTCAGCATTAAAACCAGCCTAGGAAAAAAGCCATAATTATACTCAGCTAATGATTATCAGCTGAGGAAAAACATACAACGCATAGAACATGACTCATTTGTGAGAGGCAGTCACCATCATTTTACAACACAGTGACTGGAAAGTGATTAAAGATGCATAATGTGAATGATGCCTAAAATTTCCACCCTTACAGAAGCTGCCGTAAAATGCCATACTCTAGTTAAGCTTATGGAGAGGGAAACTAGCTCTAGAGAAAAGTACTAAGATTATTTGTGCTTTTAGCTCTTTTGTCTCAGAAGGGTGTCCTCTTATACTTCTGTTTTCTCACAAAAAATGCTCACCAAAATTGTAATCTGCTTAGAATGTAGTTGAAATGCCTCACTGGAGGAGCCTGAAGAATTGGGTTTCTTCTTTTTTTAGTAGATTTAATTTTTCAGAGCAGTTTTAGGTTCAGAGCAAAATTGAATGGAAGGTACAGAGATTTTCCCTATACTTCCTCCCCCGCCACATACACAGCCTCCCCAACTATCACCATCCCCAATCAGAGTGATACATTTATTACAATTAATGAACTTACATTGACACATAATTATCAAAGTCCATAGTTCACATTAAGGCTCACTCTTAGTATTGTACATTCTATGGGTTTGCACAAATTTATAATGGCATGTATTCAACATCATAGTATCACAGAGTAGTTTCATTGCCCTACAAATCCTCTGTTCTCTCTGCTTCACATATTCACTCTTTCCTTCCACTTAACCCCTGAATTTTTACAGTCTCCACTGTTTTGCCTCTTCCAGAATGTCATATACAGTAGCTGGAATCTACAGTGTATATGATTGGTTCTGTTTTTAAAGCTGCAATTTATTACCTGTGATTTGTGAAATGTTGTTAACTTACCTAAGCTCCTTGGATGTTGATTTCCTCACCTGTGAAATGGTGACAGAGGACTTGCTCTGTCCTGGGACAGCTGTGAATGTTGGACCATGCAGCAGTGCTTTGGAAATGGCTGCACTCTAATAAAGACCACAGGGAGGAGAATAAACACAAGCTTTTGAAGATGATAAAAGTCACTTCTAAAGACTGAAATTTTGTGGTCTGTTGGAAAAGTTTGGACAGGATAGGGTATACATTTGTTTCCTGGTTTATACAGAAAAACTGGAATATAGAGATTGAGATAACTTACTTAAATGCATACACTGGGTCACTTTTCATGTGTACATTTTCTGTAGACTATTCTAGCAATATCTATATTCATTAAAACAACAAAAGGAAGCCAGTCATTGCATCTTTACTTTTCAAATCACATTTTATTTGGAAGGTGTTGCAGGCTGAATTGTCTCCTCCAAATTTACAAGTTGAAGTCCTAATCTCTAGTACTGCAGAATGTGACTATATTTAGAGATAGTGTCTTTAAAGAGGTGACTAACCTAAAATGAGTCCATTGGGGTGGGCTTTAACTTAATACGACTTCTTTTTCTAAGAAGAGAAGATTGCAACATAGACTTGTCCAAATTACCCAATCTGTGGTACTTTGTTATGATAGTCATAGCAAACTTATATGTAAGGGTCCTCGTTGTTTTTTGTTTTTGTTTTTTCCATCAGTAAAATGTATTGAGCACTTACAATGCATCCAGTGCTGTGTTCAATGTTTTATATGCATTGCTTTATAACTCTTCTGTAAGAGATGTTGTTATTAACACCAATTTTACGTTGTTAGTTTTTAAGGGGCTACCTTTACCAAGCTAAAACTGCACGAACAGGGCAATGATATCACTTCATTTTACAGAATTAGGAAAATCATTCTTTATTGTGAATCAGATTCACACCTCGAAATGGACTTTCTGAGCCCAGGATATGCAGTTTCTGATTAACTGGAGATAAAGAATAGAGAATACATTACTCAGCTGATGGTAATATTTTCTATAATTATATGTCCTGGTTAAGCACACTCATGGACTTGGCATATTTTTGTAAATCATCAGCTGTGTATGCCCCATTAATAAATAAGTGACATGCAGAGAGATGACAGTGATGCGAATTAGAAATAGGCTGTCTACACCCTGGAGACAGGGAAGGAATGGAGGCAGAGGATTTGATAAGTCAAACCATGGTAGTGACAGTAACCACTCCATGGCCAAGCACCACGGAGTCCTTTCACTTGAACCACATTGAACTTCTTGGAAGCTTGTAAACTTGAAATGAGCTTCACATCATAAGCCAGGGAAGAATGTCTGTAACTATGCTCCTGAAATTTAGTGTACATATGAGTTCCCTGGGGTCTTGTTAAGATGCTGATTTTGAATCAGGCAGGCCTGAGGTAAGGTATGAAATTCTACATTTCTAACAAGCTTCAAGGTAATGCCAATGCTACTGGTTTGGGGGCAATTCTTTGAGCAGAACGTGCAGTAGCAGGAGAACAAAGGGCAAAGGAAGGTAGGTAGACTAGAAAGGCATCAAAAGGAATCTTAGAGACCCTCAGCCTCATTTTGAAATTAAGGAAATACAAATTAAAGTCATGGAATAGCATGTCCTGCCTATTTCTTTGGCAAAGCTCTGAAGACTTGATGAGGCGTGGTAGGAAGGAGTATGTGTTTCTCTCATGCATCACTTGTTGAAGTGTTAATAAATACAACTTTGAAGATGGGAATTTGGCTTTATCTGTTAAAATGGAAAAGGCACATACTTTTGAGCCCAGTATTTTTATTTCTGCAAATATGTCCTGTAGATATGCTCATATTTGTGCAAAAACACAGTCTATATTTTCTGTTAAAGAGTTATTTATGTGTGAGTATATTTATACACTAGAACATTTGTAAAATATCTCTGGATAACTATAAAAAAAAGAGATAATAGCACAATCTCTGACAGAGGAGAATGTTCAAGGAACTAAGAGTTTTGGGATAGGAGGTGATTTACTTGTCACTTTTGTATTGGGAATTTTTTTTTTTTTTTTTTTTTTTTTTTTTGAGACGGAGTCTCCTTCTGTTGCTCAGGCTGGAGTGCAATCTCGGCTCACTGAAACCTCTGCCTCCCGGGTTCAAGCCATTCTCCTGGCTCACCCTCCAAGTAGCTGGGATTACAGGTGCGTACCACCATGCCCACCTAATTTTTGTATTTTCAGTAGAGACACGGTTTCATCATGTTGACCAGCCTGGTGTTGAACTCCTGACTTCAGGTGATCTGCCTGCCTCAGCATCCCAAAGTGTTGGGATTACAGGTGTGAGCCACCGTGCCTGGCCAATTTTTTAAAAAGCCATATTCATGAATTAATTTTATGTTTTAGTTAAAAAAGGGAGTGGAGTGAGGTGGGAGAGATAATTTAGAGGGCTCATGAAAGAGAGAATTAGGACCAAGAAGGTGATGCTGCTTTCTTTTCCCTCTGAGGTCACACCAAGGAAGCCACCATCATTGTCTGCTCATAAAAACAACTCCCACCAGTTTCACAGATCCCTCACTGCTGCCTGCACAGGGTTCAGCCTCTTGGGTCACCCAAAAGTCATTTTGTGCTTCTGGGGCACTTTAGATTTCTAGAGAAAGAGAATCATGCAGGCCAGTTTCAGAAAGAGCGGAATTTATTGGACTACAACTGGAACGTCTTCGGGTATCAAATCTATCCTAGAAAGCAGACATGCTGTCTTTCTGAATCTCTTTGTGAGTCAGCCTCTCTCTGTCTGTCTTTCTCTCTTCCTCTCTCTCTCTCTCTCTCAATATATATATATATAGTCATATGACATAGTGTATGTATGTCATATAATGGCATTTTATATACTTATATAGATAGATAAATATATGTCACACACACACACACACACACATACACACACACACATATATAATGTCACCACCTTCTCCACTACCCACTAGCAAGCATTCCCACTCACCCCGGACTGTGTATTTTTTCTTTAGCTTATGCTACTAGCATTTCTGTCCTGCTCGTAACTTGGAACTCCCTATTGTCTTCATAGTCCTACTCTACCCTGTATCTCAGTTTCTGATTCTAAAAGGTTTTACAGTTTTTTCAGTGTTTCCATATTCCAGTTTCTGAGAGGTGGACTCTGAACCAGCTTGACCATAATATGAGTGATTGGGTAGGAATCACAGGGCAGAATCGCTCCTGCATCCCCTGCAGAGGCTGTTGGTTTGCTGCTTCATATAAAGAGGGGAGTTTTATATGGAGTAGAAACCATGACTGACATTTCTAAGACCTTTTTGCAAACTCACCTTCTTAAAGATCCAGGCTTGATGTCTAGGGACAAATAAAACTTGATTACTTGCAATTCTCCAATCTTCTGTGGCATGTCACTTATCTTTCTGTTGATAAACCAGAAAGTCTGACTCCTCTGCAGAGCCCATTCTACTTACAGACCACAGGCAGATTGAGATGGGTATCATTTTTCCATTTACTAAAGATTTACAAAATGCAGACAGGATCACACCCCAGAGGCTGAGAAAACAGCACTCCTGTGAATTCCTGAGAGAAAAACTTTTTTTTTTTCTTTTAGTGGTGATTCTTTATAACTCACTAGCTTAAGGAAGTACAGAAACTAAAGAAATAGACTGTAACAGCTGGATGTTTTTCAATACATTTGAACAAAATAATTTACAGCGTTCTTCCCCTACCCATTCCTCCACACTTGATTTACATGTATATTCCTTAGCCTAGAAAGAATATGTTTTCGCTATAATTTTTTCAGATTCATAACCCCCACCCCATTCTTTGCAGAGACTTAAGACTAGGAGCCTCAAAATATGCAAGGAGTCGAAGGCCCAGAGTAGTATCTTTAGCTTCCCCTTAATCTGACCAAAAAAAAAAAAAAAAAAAAAAAAGCTTGGAGAAAAGCGATGCCTGGTCTCCTTATGCTAATGCTATTGGCATCTCTGCCATCATGCCACACAGCACCTGTTCAATGTCCTCAAAAAATTAGAGATTCTCGATAAATAAAGACTTTGGCTACTTCCACGACTACCTTAGGAGGCTCTTAAATGAGCTTTCTGTGTCCTGGTAATTACATTTCTTCTGGCCCTGATGCTACCACCCCTTCAGTTGCAACCCTACTTCCCTTTCATAAGTGGTTTTAAAATTTGTTTTTTAAATAAAATGTAAGTGTTTAGATAGATGGTGGCACAAGATGCAGCATAGGATCCAATTAGCTTTTAACCAAAGCTGGGAAAGAGTTCAACAGAGCTTTTAAACATTAGAGGCAAGTTATCTCCCTGCCGCTCCAGGCAGGAAAAAGGGGTTTTCAGCATGGGCTGTTAACAGATAGCCAGTCTAAATGGTAGAAAAGCAAAAAGCAGAGGAGACAGTTAACATGCAATGAAGAACATTTGGGGGAACAAAGCTTATTCTCTAGGAAACTGGTCGACCTGCCAGTCTTTTTTTCTGACTTTTGCACTTTTCCTGACTTTTTCTGACTTTTTTTTTGGCCAGGTAATTAACTGGCTAACCAATTATTTAGCCAGGCATGCTGGCTACAAAGATAAATCCTATGACTACAGTATACAGTATAGCCACCTTGCCTCTCTGTCTAATACTCTAAATATAGAGAAATGTATGTGGATGTTCTTTCTTGTCAACATAAGAAAATTATGTCAGATTCCACTGTTCAAAATATAGCCCATCAGCTCTAGAGTTAATACAGATCATATAATGATTAAAGATTCCAACTACGTCTGTGTGAGATAGAGATAGAGCTTGATCTGTGTCCTTGTGAACTCGTGTGTTGGAAGCTTATTTTCAAACTTCTAAGAAGGAGCCAGATTTTTAAAAATAACAACATTGAAAAGAAAATCTCTAGTCCCTTTTGCTTTATCCCTCCCCAGTTTTCAATCTTTATCTTTTGTTGGCATTGTTGTTGTCATCTTCATTTTTCATTTTTCCTAGTCTTGGTGGTTACTTTTCTTTTTCTCTAAATTTCCTCAAACAGAGATAGATCAATGGAAAGACAAAAAGACCTCGAAACAAAGCCAGAAAACCGTCTTGAACTTGGAAGGAGGGTACTGACTGAAACTGAGGAGGGTCCTGGGGGCACAGTGGGCTCTCCGAGAGGAAAATCGGTTATGATGACAAAATTTGTTCTGGTAGGGATTTTGCTAATGAAATATTCCCCTTCCCAGAGCCACAGGAAGACGATGAATTGGAAATGGTAGCTCACTACAGACTGTTTTATTCTAAACGTTTCTCTTCATTCACTCTTTGAAAGAGTAGGACGTCCATTTGCTAGAACGGGACACTTCTTTGCAGTCCCCACCTCACTGGAGGCTCAGAGTGCTTGGACCTAATCAGCTCTCCAAGGCCCAAGTCACACTGAATTTGGCCAAGTAACGATTGTCTGGGAATGTCATTTTCTTTTAGTTTTCAGATTCAGAAGCACACACAGGAAGAGTCCCAAGCTGCCACTTGGGCGGGTGAGATGAATATGACTATGTTAGACAGATCATTAATTTAATTCACATGGGTGGGTGGTGGTAGTTGAGAAATAAGCATTAGTGGTTGGGGCGAAGCTGTGATGAATAAAAGGCCCCATCCTTGTGTCAGTAGGGCTGAGTTTTAGAGCCGTCTTCTTACTAGCTAAGTGCTTTCGTTTAATATACAATCATTTAACAATTGAAATATACCCTAAAGTATCTTTGAGTTCTTTTCTAGCTTTTTGATTCTATGTCACACTGATCCTTGAGGCCAGGGACACTGAAAGAATGAAGTTACAGGGTAATTGTATGAGAGAAAAATGGCTGGAAACAGTTGCTTATCTCCACCTCACAGCTTTGTGTGCCAGAAAATGACACTGAACATTTTATATGAGATTCCGCGATGTTGGTGACATTTCTTCTTCCATCTATGTTATTCTAGTTCTTAGTCTGGGAATGTCTTTTTAAAAATCTCTGTTCCCTCCCTTTTTCCATCTCCTACATACAACTACCAGTTCAATTGTTTTTTTCTCACCAAATGTGCCCTCATGTGACCCCACCCCCACACACAAGTGTGAAAAATAAGTTGGTCTGAACAGCCACTTACACAGCAGGTAAATTCCATGGTGGTTGGATAGGAGATTTCCTCTTGAATGTTCTATTAATAATGATTCGAACTAATTTCCTTTCCAGTATTTTTTCTTCCTCAAGCTTGTAGAAGTAGCTGTCACTAACAAGACGCAAAAGGAAAATGCAGTCTCAGTGTATGCTTTTAGGATTTAGGTTTTTTCCTAAATTTGTTTCATCATTAATGGTGGGTGTCTCATACTATAAGAGATAATTTTTTTTTTTTTTTGAGATGGAATCTCCTTCTGTCACCTAGGCTGGAGTGCAGTGGCATGATCTCAGCTCACTGCAACCTCTACCTCCTGGGTTCAAGCAATTGTCCTGCCTCAGCCTTCTGAGTAGCTGGGATTACAGGTGTGCATCACTACGCCTGGCTAATTTTTTTGTATTTTTTAGTAGAGACGGGGTTTCACTATGTTGGCCAGGCTGGTCTTGAACTCCTGACCTCAAGTGATCATCCCACCTCGGCCTCCCAAAGTGTTGGGATTACAGGCATGAGCCACCGTGCCTGGCCAAGAGAAAAATTTTCAAGTGGTCTTCTAAAAAGTTAGGCTGTTAATTTGCTAAATTTTTATTGAGCACTTATTGTATGTCTAGCACTGTAATAGGCACTATGGAAGAATATAAAAGAACTATGCACATAGCAGTGGCAGAGCCTTCCAATTTCCTATTCAGTATCTCTTTAATCATTTTTCTTGTACTCCAACCATTAGCTCTACTATTAGCAAATTATGTCAGCCCGACTTTAAAATAGATACAAAATCCAATTACTGAGTCATCACATCTTTTACGTGGATTATTGCAATAGTCTCCTAATTGGCCTCCCAGTTCCTTTAGGGTATTCCTATTGTCTACTCTCTACAAAGAGCCAGATTAATTCTTTTAAATCAAGCTAGCTCATGTTATACTCCTCTTAAGTTTCACCAATGGCTGACTCAGTGGAAAAGGCATTGGCCTAGTATCCTTACTCTCTGTCTTCTCACTGCTACTCTGACTTCATCTCCTATGTTGGGGCTCAGAGAATGTTATCCCAAAGTATTTTGAATGAAAGAGATTGGGAGGGCCTCAGAAGCAAGAAGAAACCTTCCCGACCTTTCTGTGTAGGAGATGGCCATAAAGAAATTATCTAATCTAGCTTGCCTGAAGGTAGGTCATAAGAACCTTCCAGAGAAGTTCTTCCCTATACCCAGGGAGATGGAATGCTACACAGAGAGGTCAAGAATCTAAACAGACAGGCCTTACTGGGTTTCCCCCAGCTCAGTCTATTACCATTAGATCATACCCTTTTTATCTAATCACGTTTCTCCATGACCGTCTATTTTTTTTTGGAAACAGGGTTTCTCTCTGTTGTCCAGGCTGGAGTGCAGTGGCACGATCTCAGCTCACTGCAACCTCTGCCTTCTGGGTTCAAGCAATTCTCCTGCCTCAGCCTCCCCAAGTAGCTGAGACTACAGGTGCCCACCACCACGCCCAGCCAATTTTTTGTATTTTAGTAGAGACAAGGTTTCACCATGTTGCCCAGGGTGGTCTCGAACTCCTGAGCTCAGGCAATCTGCCTGCCTCGGCCCCCCAAAGTGCTGGGATTACAGGTGTGCGCCACTGTGCCTGGCCATAACTGTCTATTCTTTATGGAACCCAAATGTAAAAATAGGCAGTATTTTTTACTTTACATAAAATTTTGATTTTGGTAGTAATGAAGACCTGGGTCTTTGAGTCTTCATTTCTGAAGCCTCTCATGTAAAATAAAACTTTGATTAAATAAATTTGTTATGTTTTTCTCTTGTTAACCTGTTCTTTGTTATAGGAGTGCCAGACATGACTCTCATGATAGGTGAAGAAAGGTATCACAGTCTTTCCACCCCCAGATCTCTCCCCTCTCTGCTCCAACCACACAGGTCTTATTAATACAACATGTCAGACATTCTTCTGCCTTGGGGTCTTTGCACCTACTCTTCTCTTTGTCTAGAATGTTGTTCCCTGAAATGTCTGCACAGATTCTCTGACACTTCTTTCAGATCACTACTGAAATATTGTCTTACAAGTGAAGAGTTTCTTGATTACCAGTTTCCTGGTTTACTTGCCTATTTGCTCTCTTCACACATTATTACTGTGAGATCCGTAAGGGAAGGACCTTTGTCTGTTTTATTCATTGTTCTAGTCCTAGGACCTTAAATAGTGCTGGGCACATAGAATATGCTCAATAAATATTTGTTGAACCAATTTTCTGCTTTCTCCTCACTAACAAAACACCGACTTTATTCAAAATAGTAATAAACCCATCTAAAATACTATTCACACTCTACTTTGTGTCTAAGAGTGATTGATTTGATTTAAGCCTAAGTCATTAGGTGGCTAGGGGGTTTGGGGGCAGTCTTATGAAAGGGAATGATGCATCTGGGAAACACATTATTGTGTGCTTCCCTGTTTTTTCCTCATTCCTAGCTGGCATATGAACTTGATGGCTGAAACTCCCACAGATGTATTGTGTCAATGAAGAGATTCTAATGATTATAGCCACAGGCTAAAGAAAGTAAAGCAAAAAGGTAAATCGAGTCTGAATCCCTTTTATGGATACCAGTTTGACTGTTTGCCTTCTAATTTCTTTATACTAAGAGAAAAGAAAATTCCACTTTGTTTAAGTCACTGTTGTTTCAGGCTTTTGTTATTGGCAAACAAATATAATTCCTAACTGATAAAATGGCCATTTTTTTTCAGAAGCTTATATCATTTAAAAAGAGAAGCTAAAAATACAAGGAAATATAAGTAGATACAGTAATAGCACCAGAAGCAGACATAACAAATTGCCTCAGGGATGCTCTGATGTGCAGTTACAAATTCAGAGAGGGCAAATATTGAGAGACTCCACAGAACTGGTAAGAAGTTGGTTGAAGAGGAAAGGGGCTGACCCAAGGTTGGGATGTAGAAGATACTTGGTATGTTGCAAGGATAGCTTATCTAGGACTGAACAGAATACTTGCTCATAGGAAATTGTTAGAAAATTACGTTTTGAAAGACTGTTGGGATTTACTTACAGAGAGCTAGATTGGTGGTAGTAAAAAAGGAAAATAAACCGTGGAAATGAGAAAAGCTACCAAGAATTTGGTTGTGGGAAACAAGAGTAAAGGTGGTCAGAGTGCACTGAGAGGGACTGGAGACAGTCATAAAAATGGGGAGGCCAGGATGAGTTTCTAAGGAAAGGGCTTGGCTTCAGACATTTTAATTCAATATATCAGACCAATATAGAAATGGAACTGTCTGGTCAACAACAAGAGATGCAGAGGTAGGGCTTGGGGAAGAAGCCAGGGTTGCAGAAGTAGATGAAGGAGATATTCATATAGAGAAGATATAGGAAGTTATATTCATAATGGATTAGGCATCTGTGAATAGGTTCAACTGTAGTTGGAAGAAGAGGATGTAGCAAACAGATAGACCAATGAGCAAGCTGGCAGGGAAACCGAAGGTCAAGGGGACCAATAGAGAGTGATTTTAAGAATGAAGGTGGACAATTTGTCAAAAGCAAAACATTTTTTTAAAAACCCAAAATATTAAAAGCCAAAGCAGATAGAAACTTAGAGAAGACAACTGGGTTTGGCATCTAGTTGCCTGGGAAGCTTTGAGAGTACAGCTTCAGTGATGAGAAGCGAGACTGCAAGTAGTACAGGTGCAATTGGCAGTGAGGAAAGGCAGCAGCAGAGGTAAGGCACAACTCGAACAGTTTGGCAACAAGAAGAAAGACCAGAGCCTGATCAGTCACAGGGTTGAGCACAGTTTTGCTTTATTTTGTGTTTTTAAAGGAGAATAACTTTTTATGTTTTAAGGCAAAGGTGAAGAAACCAGGAGAGAAAAGACTGTTGCTGAAGGAGATTAATGCAGAGAGAATTAATTTCAAAGGCTTCTTATTTTGAGGCTAGCGAGAATGTGAAGGGTATTTCAAGGTGGAAGATGAGGAATCTCCTTAGGATGGAGATCGATTTATTTATTTAAATAAAAGGTGAACATTTGCTGAGAACTGAGGTAAAGGGAAATGGAATTAAATCGAGAAGTGGGGGAAGTTTTTTATGGCTACTGGGAAGTGTGTTTTGGCAAAGGTTTTAGTGTTGTAGCTACTAAATAGTCTGTGGTGATGATGATAATGCACATAAAAAGGTAAGAAAAGTAACTTTACATTGAAACAGGAAATCTAGTAGATTTCCAAAAGCCAGCATTAAAATTAATCTTAAGCTCTAAGTTTCATCAATGCAGAATTTTTTTTAGGGGTCAGGTAACTATGAATTCAAGTCAAGAACTAGAAAAATTCCATGCTTTGTTTTCATGCTTCCTCACCTCCCAACCCCCGAAATCCAAACATTTTTGGATGTGAAGCACTTTCCAAATCAATAAAGACTCCTTAGTCACATGAGGCTAAAAGGATCACAGCCAGAAAGCTGTGATCAGTGAGCTCAGGCATTCTGCATAAAGCCTAGATGTGACCTCCAGAGGACAGCCAATTCAGGTTCAGCTGGCCTCCACGTGGTGATAAAACCAAAATGTAAATCCCATGAAAGTAGGAACTTTGTTTACTTCTGATTCCCAGCACTTAACATAATGCAAGGCACACGCTGAGCCCTGAATTAGTATTTGTTGACCGAATGTTGAATGAATACATGAACAAGCGCTGTGTCATGTAATGATCAATGTACCCAACAACCAGTATTTAAATGGCTATTCAACTTAAAAACATTTGTTTTTCTCCAGTTGCAAGCTTAAACTACACATACACACATATACACACACTCATAAGTATTTTGTGTATTTACATATGTATTTTTAAAGCATTGAAGCGCTCCCGTCTTGAAATGAGTATCCTAGGTGCTCCTCAGTGGTTCTAAGTGGTTCTGGGTGAGGATGGTTTGTGTAGCTCCTGAATTTTAGCCTTGCTCCTGAGCTCAAGAGCTTAAAGATCTGTAGAAGCTGCAGAGTGGAGGCAAAACTTAAGAAGCAGCTCAAATCTAAAATGAAGAATTAAAAATAACAAAATGAAAATAAAGATCACCAACTCCATCCATTAAAACCTATAAACAATAATGGAATCGTACTATACATATATCCTACAACTTTTTTTGTTCCTGGCTGTTTCCATAAATGTCGATCTCCTACATTATTTTGTACTCGTGTCGTTCCATCATATTAGTGTACCATTATTTAGACATTCTCAGACATTCTGTTATAGATGGGCTTTTTTTTTTTTTTTTTTTTTTTTTTTGGCAGGATCTTATCATGTTGTCCAAAGCTGGCCTTGAACTCCTGGGAGTCAAGCGATCCTCCCACCTCAGCCTTCTGAGTAGCTGGGATTACAGGTTTAACCACCATGCCCAACCTTGATGGGCCTTTTAACATGCTGCAGTGAGCATGTTTGTAGAACTTTATGTACTTGCAATACTTTAGGATGGATTCCTAAAATTAGATTTGCTGCTGCCAACATTTTCTTCAAAACAGTACACCTGTAAGTCCTTAGCAAACAGGAGTTTCTTCTTTCCCAAAATTTTTTTCCAGCATTGGTTCTTAGCAAGCTATTTAAATTTTTGTCACTGATAAGCAAAATGGCTTCTTAGTCTTTTAAATTTGCATGTCCTTAGTTATTGCCAAGCTTTTCCATCTCTTCTATGTTTATTGGCCATTTGTGTTTATTTTGTGTGAACTGCCTGTTTAGATCCATTGCTTAATTTTCTATTACATTGACCTTTTCATATTAATTTATTTAAAGTAATTTTGTATTTTGAATATTAACCATTTATTTGTAATATATTGTGTTTTCTCCTAGTCACTTTTATTTTTATGTATTCTTTGCTTTAAAATTTTAAAAAATATTTATACAGTTATTAAATTTTTGTATTGGGAGTTTGAATTTTAAGCTTTCCCACCCCCAAGCTTAGAAACTATCTTCCATACCTTTAGTTTTCATGCTTTTATTTTTTTATTTTTACATTTAGATCTCTAATTCAGATGAAATTTATTTTTGTATGTAATACAAGGTAACATCTAACTATTTTCTTATATATAAACATCCAATTGCTTTAACAGAATTTGCCTCAATCCATTTTCCTTGGGATTTAAAATACTACTTTAGCACATATTGAAACAGGATATTTCCCTGACCCCTTCGCGGGACTCTTGACAGGGGTGCCATGTTTACTCAGCCTGTCACTCTCAACTCCTTGCTGGAGGGAGTGAGTGGGCAAACGAGGCGGGAACTGGAGTACACCAGCGCTAGAACAAGTTAGCTGCTTCAGTGTCAACAGGAGCAAACTCCACTAACTTGGACCTGCTCTATTCCACTCCTCACAGGAGGGAGTGTGCAGGTGAGCAGGTGCAGGAGCTGGGGTGAGACTTTTGGGCACCAGCAGGAGCAAACTCTGTGCAGGCCCCACGACAGCATCTGTGGGGGTACCTGTGACTCCTGAAGCCCCAGTGGGCATGTTACAGTACCCTTTTAGTTCTGCTGTCCACATATAGTTTAAGTGTCAACAGGTCAGTGGGCCCTTTTTTATCTGCACTCGCTCCTGAGCTCTTGTCTATTGTCAAGGAAAAATGAGGTTGCATGAACCAATTGAAGGATGGTAAATGCAGGGGATTTTATTGCCAGTGAAAGTAGCTGTCAGTGGGAAGGGGAGCTGAAAAGGGGACAGGTAGGTAGGTAATCTTGTTCAGAAGTCTGGCCAGAGATGGCTGGATTCTTCTCTGAAGTTACACCCTCAAGCTGTCCCTCTGAAGTCAAGCCACTTGTCTCCAGTGTCCAGCCATAGTTGTCCTGACATCCAGCTGCTTGTTCCTCTCTGCTGACTGAGTCTAGGGTCTTTATAGGCAGAGGATGAGGTGGGGTGGGGCCATGGGTGGTTTAGGAAAAGGCAACATTTGAGTGGCAAAACAGGGATTTTGGGCTGCAGTTTCAGGCTTTTCAGCTTGAGAGTGGGGCTTCACCATGAACCCCTCCCTTTTCTGCCTAGAATTTTTCTGCCTCCTGTCCCTATGAATATTAAATCTCTACTTATTCTACTCCTATAATTACTCTGTTAATGCTAATCTCCTAATTATGATACATTTTCCAAATTATCTTGGCTATTTTCATGTATTTTCCCAGGTTTAATATCAATTTGTCAAGTTAAAATTAAATACACATCTAAAACAATTGCTTTTGTAGTGAATTATCTGAAATTTACATATTTATTATTTCCATTAGATAATACGGCATATCTCTCCATTTTTTCAGACATTATTTCATGCCCCTCAGTACAATTTTAAAGTTTCCTAGATATTCTAATATTTTTGTTGCATCACTTTATGCAATAGTTTTTTCTTCATTTAATCTACCAAGGAAATAAAAATGTGCTAATAGGTTTTTTAAATATTGAATCATCCTTGAAAATGGTGTATTTTAAAAATTGTTTTACTGCATTTGATTTTACTGCACTGACATTTTGCTTAGAAATTTTTGTTTGTATATTAGTAAGGGATAAATCACTAGCACTTTTCTTTTAGTGCTATCTTTTTTTTTTTATTCTGATGTGAACATTGCATTGATTTTGTAGTCTGAATAACACAAAACTGCCTGTTTTTGGAGAGTTAGTTATACTCTGAGCCTGGAATCTTATTACAGATCTTTGACAAACTTTTCATTTCCTCTCTGGATTAGTAGTCTACTTGATTTTCTATCTTTTCTTGAGTATTTGTTTCCATTTATGAATGTCTTCTGTATGTATTCAGAGAGATTTTCTGCACAGGTCCTTAGGGATGCTTACCTCCGCCAGTATTACAGTATTTTGGGCAACTCTTCCCCCAAATAATTCTCTCTAGCACTACCCTCTGACCCTAGATCACACAATTCAATACTACCAAGTGCTTAAGAAACTTAGTATCTGAGTGCCAGTTAGATTAGTACCACCAATAAAATCATGCTATGCCTTTGTCATATAAGCACAGAAAGGAAACAATCTTGACCTCTATATGCCAGCTGGCCACAATAGGCAACCTCAAATTCCCTGATGTGGAATTTTCAAGCAATTGAAACTAAGTCTACATAATTTCCCTAGCAATCAAAGAGACAACCTCCACCTCCCCACTCCCTCAATCCTTTTTGGTTTTTCACTAACAGCCCTATAATATCACAGCTTTACAAACGTCCTGGCATTTATTTTCTTGCTGTACAGGGTAGAGACAAAATAAAATCCTTTGTGGACCTGCAAGGAAATTCTCAATTATGTTTTCTTCTTTTACTTGAAACCACCTACTCTTTTTCTTTGCATATTTTTCAGTTGGATTAAAGAAGGCTGGAGTTGAAAATGTTCTGACACTTAAAAAATAGTTTTTGTCAGGAGGGTTTTTCCCAGTTTGAAAAATAATTCAGTGTGCCTCCAAATAAACAAATGCATCACAAGAACTGGAAGCCAAGAGGCTAAAAACCAACCAACCAACCAAACAAACAAAAACAAAAACAAAAGAAACTCAACCCTAACATCTGCTTAGGTATATGTCAGTACTTGGCGGAAAAAAATTAAACTCACATCTGTTATGGCTGCCTAGATCCCTACAATGTGACATATGCTTCGATAGGTCCAACTGGAAAGCAAGACCCAGGAAGAGACAGATTCAGCTTTCAGCCAATGATTCTTTGGATTGTCAGAAATTTGGCTTTAAGTTTCAAAATCTGCTCTCGACTTTCTCATTAAATTACCTTACTACAGATAATCAGATGGTGATGTATACAGTTTCAAAATAGAGAAGGTTTAAAAAAATATTTAGTTCATGGAATTGTTTTACAAATGAGGAAACTGAGACACAAGAAGATTCATTAATTTGGTTAATATTCAACAGCTTGGTAGTAGCAGAACTCAGATCAGAACCTAGATCCCATGACTGAGAAAACATATTCTTTACTCTACATTGCACAGCTTTTATACAGGTAAAGAATGAACCTTCGAAAACAAGCTGGGGTCTCTCTTTGGTTCCATGTATACCTGAAGACTCTTGAACCTGCCATATTCCAACAGACATATAAGATTTATGCAGAGTAATGTAAGATGTGGTATGTGGCAAACTTTAAAAGATATGCAAAATTACATAACTGACACTTTAGAAGACTAAATGAGGTGCATATAAAGCACTTAACATAAAGCTTGGCACCTATACAGAGCTTAATAAATGCAGACAGTACCTCGAACATAGAGGCACTCAATTAATATTTGTTGTATCAATGAATATTTATCCATCTTCTTACTAAAGGCTCCTTCTGGGATATTCCCAACCTTCAAAATAAAGAAAACTGTCTCCCAGGATGAGTACGTTTCTTTAGGCAACAAGATGCCCCTAGCATAAATTCAACACTTTCAGCTGAGAAACCTGGGCTGTCAATCTTTAGTTACCTCATGGTGGCAGACAGTACTGGGTTCTTGTCAAAAACTGGACTTTTGTTTGATGTTGTGGCAGAGACTGCTGGTGGCCCACTGTATAAGTTAACTATTGTGACAGTACTGCTGCATTAGCAAACAACCATGAAGATTTGTGGAAATAGCTCATTACTGGAGGAGGTAAGAGAAGATGAGTCCCTATGGGAAAGGGGCAAAAAGCGAGGATGCAGGCTTTAAAGGAATATTTTCATGGAGGAAGATTATAAGAATAGCATTTTCCTTGTCTTCCTTTTAAGAACTAGAGGCATTTAATTGCATCAGAAATAAGTATTACTATGATGTCCATCTCTTCATAACACAGTGACTAAGACTACAGAGAGAAAACTCTAGTTCCTTTACAGTGCTCACCCATTGTAGCAAATGGGGAAGTCAATCACGTTTCAAAATCACGTGGATATGAGTCAGCATGCTGGTTCCTGACTTACTAGATCTTGCACAATATATCAGTAATAAGCCTAAATTTCCCAATCTAGCTGTAAAATGGGGATAATGTTAGGATCTACTCAGAAGGTTTGTGGGTATATTTATATGAAACACCTTGCTTTAGGCCTATCTTTTAATATTTGGTTGGGTCTGGCTGCTCCAGCATCAACAAGTTATACCAGGTCCTTCTCCCAAACCCTCCAAAAGGCCCGACCATACACCTGACTTTCGTGGATGGAGATGGTATCTCATCAGGACAATACCATTTAATTCTTTTTCTTTTATCTCTATTATTCTGGCACCAATTTGATAGTCACCATCACCTCACGGTTAGGACTTAGACACATAGTAGGAGTTCACTACACTGTAGTGGTTTCCCCCTCAGCAATTGCGCTGCAAGAAAATACTTAGAATTAAAAAACAAAGTAGGACACTAACTAAAAGGAACTCGAGAGTTGGCAGGTTGGTAGGTAACTAGCCATGGTGTGATGCTCACCTGAGTAAAACAATGGTGGAGAATAGCAAATAGGAAGATAGGACGAGACAATGTGGAGTGCTATTGTAAGTCTACTAGGTGAATTGCATTATTTGTAGCAAACTGAGCTGTAAAGTGAGAAATCAGTGAGATGTGAGATTTGCTGATGATATTGGATAACAATGAAGTAAAAACCAGCAATTTGGAGACTTCACCTGACTTGAACAAAATGTTTTCAAGTAGAAGTATTATGAATTCTGAGTTACAAAAAATCATTTTAGCTTTTTAAAAAATTGTTGAGTTAATTGTAGATTCATATGCAATTATAAGACATCGTACAATGAGACCCTGTGGAGCCTTTTCTAAGTTTTCCCCAGTGGTAACAACTTGCAAAGCTATGGAACAATATCACAACTAGGATGTTGACATTGATGCAGTCAAGATACAGAATAATTCCATCACCACAAGAGTCTTTTAAATTATCCTTTTATAGTCATACCCACTTTCCTAAGAGCCCCATTTCTCGCTTAACCCCTAGCAACCACTAACCTGTTCTCCATTTCTATAATTTTATCATTTATAAATGGAAATGTAACTTTTTGAGATTGGCTTCTTTCCCCCACTCTGCACAATTCTCTAGATTTTCATCTAGATGGTTGCGTGAATTGATAGTTCATTCTTATTTACTGCTGACTAGTACTCTATAAGTATGCACATATTACAGTTTCTTCAACCATTCTACCACGGAAGGACACCTGTATTGTTTCTAATTTGGGGCTACCATAAATAAAGCTGCTATATTCGTGTACAGGTTTTTATGTGAACACCAGTGTTCATTTATCTGGAAAATTGTCTACGTGTGCAGTTGCTGGGTTGTATGGTAGTTACATGTTCAATGGTTTTTTTTTTCTTTTCTTTTTTTTTTTTTTTTTTTAACAAAACCACCAAACTATTTTCTGGAGTGGCTGAACAATTTTACATCCCCTCCAGCAGTACATGAGTCATTCAGTTTCTTTCTCCACATCCTACCACCATTTGGCATTGTCACTATTTTTTATTTTAGCCATTCTGATAGGTGTGTAGTGATATCTCATTGTGGTTTTAATTTGCATTTCCCTAATCGCTAATGATGCTGAGCTTCTTTTCATATGCTTATTTGCCACCTGTATATCTTCTTTGGTGAAATGTGTCTTCATGTCTTTTTCCCATGTACTAGTTGAATTGTTTTCATTTTTGCTGCTGAATTTTGAGAGCAATTTGTGTTAGAGATACTAGCCTTTGTCAGATATATGGCTGGCAAATATATTCTCCCAAACTGTAGCTTTTCTTTTCATTCTCTTAATAGAGTCTTTTGCTGAGCAAAAGTTTTTAATTTTTATGAGGTCCAATTTATTTCTTCCCTTCTTGGAGTATGCTTTTGGTATTAAGTCTAAGAACTCTGCCTAAGAACTCTGCCTAGTCCTAGATTCCAAAGATTTTCTTCTGTTTTAGTCCTAAAAGTTTTACAGTTTCATATGTAAGTCCATTATGTATCTTGAGTTAATTTTTATGAGGTGTGAGGTTTAAGTAAAGGTTCATTTTTTTTGTCTATAGATGTCCAACTACTCCAGCATCACTTGCTGAAAAAGCTAATCTTCCCCATTAAATTGGTCTTGTGCTTTTGGGGAAAAAAATAATTTTGGCCTATTTGTGTGGGTTCTATTCTCTTTCTGGCTTTTCTGCTCTGTCCGATTGATCTATGTGTCCATCCCTCTGCCAATATTACACAGTCTTGATTACTGTAGGTATATAACAAGCCTTAATATTTGATAGAGTGATACCTTCTGTTTTATTTTTCTTTGTGAAAATTGTTTTGGCTATTCTATGGCTTGTTCTTTTCCATACAAATTTTAGAATAAGCTTGTTCTACCTACAACAGAACTTGCTTGAATTTTAATAGGAATTGTGTTAAACCTGTATATCAGTCTGGGGACAATTGACATCTCTAATATGTTAAGTCTTCCAGTTCATGAATAGAGTATATTCTTCATGTATTTAGGTCTTATGTGATTTATTTCATCAAAATTTTGTAATTTTTAGCATGCAGATTTATACTTGTTTTGTTAAGTTTATATCTAAATATTTCATTTTTTTGGAGTGGTTATAAATGGTATTGTGTTTTAAATTTTGCTTTCCACATGTTCATTGTTAGTGTTTTAAAATGGGATTGATTTTTGCATGTTGATCTTGTAAATTGATCTTTTAGAATCAATGTTATTTAAAAATGTATTTATTAGTAGTCTATTCTGTGTAAATTACATCATATCTTGGGGAATATTAAAGTGTAATTATCACTACTTATATTGTATTCCATATATGGAATAATTTTAATCCATAGATTTGATGAGATGTCCTGCAAAGAGACAGGGAGGAAGTATTGGGTAAAATGAGTCTAAAGAGTACAAGATGGGGGAAAGATTGCAGATCTAAGATTTGAAATACCTAGATTCTAGTTGCCTTCCAGATATTTTCTATGGCTCGGGTAAGCCACTGAATGACTATCTCATCTGTAAATGGTTCATACCACTTAAGTACTTTTTATTCCCCAGCAACATATTTTAGAATCCAATGAGATCATACTCATGCTTTGGAAATATAGAAATGCTACACTAAGATAAAGTTAAATTTTCTTTCCTTGAGTGATTTAAGTAATTAAGAGTCGTTTTCGACTTGGAAAATGCTTTTAAGTTTTAGTATCAAGGTGAGATGTGTATTATCAAGGTAGCCTGTCTACAAACAGCCATGCAGCCATGGTTCTGGGGAATGGGAGTTAATTACATCACACTATGTATGAGTGAGTGTCCCTTCCATCCAGGCCAACTGGGCATTATTACAAGTACAAGTAATTGCCTTGCCTTTCATCACTCGCCTAAATCATTAGAACACAAGATTATTAAACTAAGACCTTACCAATTTAGCTGCTCAATGATGAAGTCTATTAGACCATCTGCTACCTTATCAACACCAGGCACAGCAAGTCCAGGCAACTTTATACCCAACATGTAGCATCATACTGCTTCCAATAGGTCCATATACTGTTTTTAAAGTGATTGTTATTTAATTGCTAGGGCTAACAAGCAATCCAACAACTGCTTCTCAGCTGTCAGTAAGACTTGCCAAAAGTGGACTGTTTGGTTCAGAAAGAGCCATCCCACAGCGTAAGTTTGTTTCAAATCATGTTATTCAGGCTAGAGTCTGGAAAGATTATTTCAGGAAGGTATGACTCTTAAAGACACAGGATTATGACCACATCCTCCTCTCAGCTCATGTTCTCTCACTATATGAAGGCACAGTTATTTTAAGGTGAATAGCAGAAAGAAATGTGAATATAGAAAATATGCACATTTATAGTTATCTCCTCTCTCTGGTCTTTCCTCTCTGTTCTACCTCTTATCTTTACCTGAAGGCTGAAGTCACTTCTATATTGTTCACTATCATATCCAGCACCTGGTAGGTCTTTAACAAATATTTCATAAATGAGTGAATGTTATCTAAGTGAATATATAGGTACACTCACATATACAGGGAGAGAGGTGAGAGATGATGTGCACACAGAGTTTGATGATGATGTGCACACAGAGTTTGATGATGATGTGCACACAGAGTTTGATGATGATGTGCACACAGAGTTTGATGGGAGGAGGAAGAAATGCTTGCAGGAAGCCCTAGGCAGTTTAGTCACCTCTTTCTCTTTCAGGTACTACTGAGAATCAAAAAAACTAGAAGAAATGATCTGGATAACTTGGAGAACTGACATATTAGTAAAGCACTGAAAAGGAAAAACGACAATGTCTTGGGTAAAAATGGAATGGGGGCTTTGCCATCCTCTTCTCCCAAATAAAGCCTGTTGTACCATTCTTCAGTGACACAGCTCCTCCACGAATCCCTAATACCTGCAGTAATGAGGTGTAACCTACTTTCTGGCACTTAACCATATATTGCTTGATAGTGGTTGATACAGTTTGGATGTGTGTCCCTGCCCAAATCTCATACTGCAAGGTAATCTCCCTGTTGGAGGTGGGCCTGGTGGGAGGTGATATGGTTTGGCTCTGTGTTCCCACCCAAATCTCATCTTGAATTGTACCGCCATAATTCCTACATGTTGTGGGAGGGACTTGATGGGAAATAATTGGGAATCATGGGGGCAGTTTCTCCCATACTATTCTCGTGGTAGTGAATAAGTCTCACGAGATCTGATGGGTTTATCAGGGGTTTCCACTTTTGCATCCTTCTCATTTTCTCTTGCCACCGCCACATAAGAAGTGTATTTTGCCTCCCGCCATGGTTCTGAGGCCTCCCCAGCCACATGGAACTGTTAAGTCCAACTAAACCTCTTTTTCTTCCCAGTCTCGGATATGTCTTTATCAGCTACATGAGGTGGTTAGATGCTGGGGGCAGATTTCTCATAAATGGTTTTGTACCACCTTGCTTAGTACTGTCCTCATGATAGTGAGTGAGTTCTTGTAACATCTGGTCATTTAAAAATGTGTAGCACCTCCTTCCTCACACTGATGCTCCTGCTTTTGCCATGTGAGCTGCCTGGTCCCCCTATGCCTTCTGCATGATTGTAAGCTTCCTGAGGCCTCCCCTGAAGAAGATGCCACTATACTTCCTGTACAGCCTACAGAACTATGAGCCAATTAAATCTCTTTTCTTTATAAATTACCCAGTCTCAAATATTTCTTTATAGCAATGCAAGAATAGACTAATTCAGAGGTATTCACCAAAGTGTATGACAACATTATAAGTTCATCGAAAGCAAGACTGTGGTTGCATGTGTACCATAGCTGGCTAAGTACATAATACATATTGACCCTTGCAGACTGACTAATGGAAGCAGCTATGTTTTATCTCCTCAGCAGGTTGACAGAGAAGGAACATGTATCTCTAGGTCACTTCCTATTATGTTTTTCAAAGGTTCCAGGTGGTAAATCCACAACTTCAAAAATTCCCTTCTGGTACCCTTAAAAGAATTAGTGGATAACAGGGCCCCTCCCTTAAAAAATTTTCCCCTCTTATTACTTCACTCAGATTGCTTAGGATGTCAAATTCATTTGGAACATTTGAAAAAAGCGAGGGTATAATGAAAACAGTGGGTTCTTTGAAGTCAGACAAACTGGGTTCAAATCCAGTCTCATTCCTCCTTATAACTCTGAGAACAAAGGCAAGTTATTTAACCTCTCAAACGTTGTGCTTTCTTCTTTTATAAAAAGGTGGTGATGAGTGGTTGTTAGAATTAAACGTGTATAAAGCTATTAATTGAGATAATGCCTGTCATTTAGGTAATTATCAACTTTGACCTCTATGATCCTTGATTTCTCTTCCGAAGAAGAGGATAATGGTGATATTCATTTCATATGGTTAGTGTAAGTATTGAATGTACAGCCCAGAGGGAAGAGTAAAGGGGGGTGGTGGTATGTGAAAGTTACTGTTTTGAGGATATATTTTACTCCATGATAATTAATTTAAAGCATTGTTCACATTAAAGCAAACACAGAGGTATATTTAAATAGAAAGGAATACGCATGATTTCATACTAAAACACACATTTCAGAGCAAATTTCTGGTTTGCTCCAGGATATACAGGGCCACTCCTTAGATGCTATGGAATTATGTATACCCATTCTGCTGTTAAGGTAGTTTGGAGGAACAATTTGGAAAACACTAAGAAAATCATTGGTAAACCATAAAACACAAAAAATGTTAATTGAAATGATACATCTGGTGTCTGCTAAGCTTATTCAGTATGACCAAGAGGCAGGGGTCAGACACACAAATCAAGCATAAATTTGTTCTGCTACATTTTTAGCATATGCCTATATCCACCAGCTCCAGTATTCTTCCCTCTAACACTGTCCACCAAAGGTTGTTCCACTTCCCTTGGGAGACTGAAAAATTCTTTGAGAACTGATTGGCCTTGTGGATTTAATTCCCCTAAGGAGACATTAAGGTAGATTCCAGCAAGTTTCTGGGGGTTTTTCAAGTGAATCTGATTCACCGTATTCTCCCTTCAGAGAAAGTGGCAAACACTAAGTTTCCAAGTCACAGGAATATCACACTTTATACTGCCTGCAAGAGTTTTCTAACTGCTAACCTGATAATCTGATGCTTAGTTTTCTTAACAATTCATCCTATGTATATCTAAAAGTTACATATTATTGGGAAATTTTTGTGTTCAGAAAGCTATTTGTTACAAAAATTATATTCACACTTCCCCTGTCACCATCATAATAATCAACACAAAATCCTCCTGGAAAACAGCAAGTGAATATGTGATAAGCCAATGGTATAACTGGGCTACTATACCTGCGGATTATTAGTTGCACATGGTAGACAGTCAAGGTTGGGTGATTTATTTATTCATTCAACAAATATTTGCTGAAGGCCTAAAATAGGCCAGACACTTGCCAAGGCATCAGATGGATAGATGGATGAATGGATGGACAGATGGATGGATGGATGAATGGATGGATAGATACACTTATGATGATTACATCAATGAATGGATGGCTCTCCAAAATGCATGACAACTAACATCTGATTTAAACTAACATTGTAACCCTAGAAAAGAGCAAGGGTAGAGAACATTTTTTTTTTTTTTTTTTAAGAAAAAAGGTCAGGTCTATAACTACTGGGACACACACTATTTTAGATATAACTTGGGCTCTGAGCAGAATTTGTTGGGTGTTTGTGATAGTTAATCATAGGAAAAATTACAAGTAATTTCAAACTTACTAAGTAAAAGCTTTTCTTTGATTTCACAGCCAATATACAGATTCCCTTAATCCTACTTGGAATAAATATTTTGATTTTCCCCTGTTAGAGACTCTCAGCTCTAGCTTGTTGGAGAAGTACCAGCTTTCAAATCTAAGGAGAAAATTAAAATTTCTGTTATGTTTTAATTTATATTTTCAGTTTTTATAAGCTATGCTCAAACTTTGCTTTTGGAAAAATCATTTATCTTAGTGATTGCCTGCCACATCTATGTAGTACATTGATTACAAATGTCAGCTTCCTGGAAGACCAGGACTTTCTGGCTGTCTTGTTTATTTCGTTGCAACATGGTCCAGTGTAGAATGAATGAATGAATGAATGAATGAATTCAAAATGCAGACTAAGTTTTATCATTGCTGTTGTGACATTCTACCTTCCTACACATTGGACCATACCTCTCCATCACATTCTAACTCTTCATCTTTGCAGCTCCATTTTATCCTTGATAACAGGGCATATTGAAAGAAAAAAGTGAAAGCAGTAGGAACAAAGAAAATATATTAAAAGTTAACATTTATTGTATTTAAATAAAGTCAGAAAAAGCCATACGTATTGTATCAGTCATTTCTTTCTCCTAGGCCACATAATAACAGTGGTTATAACATGTTTAAAAAGTAGATATTCTCTCCTAGCAAGGTCCAAGTCTTGAAATAGACCAAGCTACCCACTTTCTCTGTTATAAGCAAAATATTCTAGAATCACATAGAAATAGTCCTAGTTGATATTTTTTCCCCAAGTCTTATTAGGGTCTGGCTTTGAGACTGTATAATTTTCACCCACCAAGACAATGGTTAAAATAATACCTGGATCCATTTATACAGAAAATGTCAAATAAATTCTATCCTCCTCAAATTACTGACAGCTTGCTAGATGTTTACCACACTTATTTATTCCATTAATAGAACTTAGGCATTATTTTAAATACTAATAATCATAATCATAATAATACCTTCACGATCTTCTCCCCAGCATATTAGTTTTGCCCAATGCTGATTCTTTTGAAATTCAGCAGATATCTTTGAAAGCTCTGGAATGAAGTACTCACAAGTATAAAATCAGAAAAAAATACCCATCTATACCACTGAAAGCTGACTTGCCAAGACATGTATGTGTAGGTCTAGCCTGTCTTGAGGCAATACTTTATTTCAATTCAGAATATTTTCCAAGGCTAGAAAAAAGACGGCTAATACATCATTTGGGACCAGAAGTGTCATGCCCAGGTTGAAGTTGCACCTGAAAGATCCTGTCTGCTATAGGCTGAATTTTGCCTTTCCTCTCCTGTCCCCAAATTCATATGTTGAAATCCTAAGCTCCCGTGCCTCACACTGTGACTGTATTTGGAGATGAGTCCTTACAGAGGTATTTAAGGTCAAATGAGGCCATATGGTTGGGCCTAATCCAATATGACTGGTGTCCTTATAAGAGTAGGAGATTAGGGCAGGCACACAGAGAGAGAGCCTGTGAATGAAGACACAGAGAGAAGATGGTCATCTGCAAGCCAAGAAGAGAGGCCTAAGAAGGAACCAACCTTGCTGATGCCTTGATCTTGTTGATCTTGGGCTCCTACGCTCCAGAATCATGAGAAAACAAGTTTCTGTTGTTTGAGCCACCCAGTCTGTGGTACCTCATCTTGGCAGCACTAGCAAATTAATAGAGTGTCTTAGAAAATCTGGAGAAGAGATGCCTGATTAGGGCAAAGGGGAAGATTAAGAAAAACTGAAGTTCTTTCAGTCTCTGAGGCAGCAGAAGTCTGTGAAATGTAACTAAAGGTAGTTGCCCGCTTAAAAATAAAGGGAGTAGACTTTAATAAAGATGAGGAACCTTTCCTTTTGGCCTACTTACATTAAGGTGAAAACTAGATTGAATTCTCCTTTGTTCCCCAAACAGCTTGCATTAGCAATGGCCACTGCCAAGCTTGGGCTGGGAGGGAAGCAGGCTTTATCAGTATGCAGATGAGGCGCTTGGGGCAGGCTGCTAAACCAAACACCCTGTGTCAGCAGCCTTTAACCTGATGGAGGAATTCAGCCTCATTTCTGGCCAGCAAATCAATTCATCCCAGAGAGAAACCTTGGGGACAAAAATTCACACACCATCAGGAATTCAAAACCTTACCTCCTGCAAGACTGGCTTCCAACAATTTGGAATAATAATACACGCCAACACAAAGACCCAAAGCAACAAAGACCATCTCAGACTGCTTAAACACACTTAAAAAGCTCTAAGCAGATGGTCAGTTCTGTCCCAAACTGAACAGGCTGCAGTGGACCTATCAAACACCATGTTAGCACAACGCTTTCATCTTTATTCCAAACTCTAATGCTCACTAAGCGTTCCCAATGACAGGCAAGCTCCATTTTCACTTTCATTTGGAGAAAGATGTGAACTAGCCCTCCCTCAACCAAATTTAGGTAAATAATCGTCTTTTTAAATCCAAAAGCAACAGCATCTTGTATATCTAAAATACCTTGTACTTTTCTTCTCTCGATGACGTACCTAGCGTACCCAATACCCTGGGTACATCATTTTTTAACACTTCCTCCTCTGTACACAAAAATTTTCAGCAATAATCATGAAATTAAATGTACAATGATCAGAAAATAGTTGTAAACAGTAAAAAATGTTATTTTATTGAACTTTATATATCTAGTCATGTTAGTGAAAAAGAATAGAATAAAATATCAAAGTTAAAAAAAGAAGAAAAGAATGGATTAATACTTTTAAATTAAATGCAAAAATTCCAATTTAAGTAACTATGAAATCATACCATTAACTTAACATTGGAGTTTTTTGCTCATTTCTTAATTAACTAACACTAAAGAAGAAACACCAATTTTAAAGATACTCAAATTTAAGTTATTCAAAAGATATTCATTATTTAAGATGTTTTATGTATAAACTAAAATTTGTACTTACCAAATGAAATACCACATCTTGCAGTTCACATCCTGGTTCACTGTTTTAAATTTAAACATAAATTAAAACTCCAAGTGATCACAAAGAAAAAGCAAAAATGAGATAACTTGAGTTCTGTTGCTTCAACTTTATTATTGTTAATTTAGGACCCACCACAGCAGTTTAAGACTCAAACTGGCTTGAAGCAAACTTGAATGACTCAGAACCATTGAGAATTCATTGCTGAAACAAACACTTGTAGTCAAGTCCACAGGTGTCAGAAGCCAATGACAAAACTGAGAATCTTCCAAATTAACTTCCATGTAGACTACCTGTTTAGTAAATGGTAATAAAAATGTGCTAATCTGAAGATTACATTTATAGCAATTGTCTAGAATCTAAACTCAAAAAGTTTGTTATGTGTGTGGGGAGAATAATCATTGATAAGTTTTAAATTGTTGGTGCATGATAATAATAAAAAGCATTTTCAGTTGCGATTTATTATTTTTAAATTCTTTACAGACCATGCCTGTGTTTGGAGAGTATCATTCCCAACACCCCACTAAGTACTCCATTGACTTCTCTACCAAAGCTAAGTATACATTAAGAGTTCCAAAGTGTTCCACTTTGTTCCCACTCATGCCATCCTTTATTCTAAAGGATAAAGGGAGAGATATAATCCCTGCTCTCAAAATCTTAACATCAGTGGTGAAGATGCTCATCCTTGGAATTAGTTTTGGTCTTCACTATTGATGCTAAGATTTTGAGAGCTGGGATTATATCTCTCCTTTCCTTGTTTCTCATGGCATAAATGCCAATTAAATAAATGAATAAACCAATTTATAAAAGATTTACTAATTTTTATTAAATGTATATATAATATCCTGGATAGTAATCCCATACATATTTTATTTAGAAACAGTTATATTAAATGTTATTTAATATTAAAAGCCTTAGGTAGATGAATCTTACCAAAAAACAAAAAAAGATTAACAAGTCAGACATTAAAAGAGTACATACTGTGTAATTCCATTAAATAAACTACAGAAACAGGGAAGCTATTCTAAGCTGCTAAATGTTAGGATCTTTACCCATTATGCTGAGCAATGAAGGGCAGTTGTGTTAATGACTAAATGGCAGTACAAGAGATGTTTGGGAGGCTCTAGTAATGTTCAGTTTCATGATCTGAATTCTGGCAGCAAGAGCGTGTTCACTTTGTAAAAATTTCCCAACCAGAACATTTCTGTGTACTTTTCAATGGGTATATTATACTTCATTGAAACTATTTTTCTTAAAGAGGAAAAGAGCACAGAAAAAATAGTATGAATTAAAGAGAAAAGATATATTTTGACTACATATAAGAAATAGATGCTCAAAATCTTCCATAGAGTTGATTATATATCTTGAATTTCTCTAACCTTCCACTATCTCCTAAAGCCTCAGGGCATTGTCAGTTTATTTTGACTAGTTACTAATAACTGCAGAACTAAAATCAGCTTTAAAAATGTGCTCAATGACAGTTTGGGTTCCAAATTCATCTTCTTTGATGCCCACACACCAGGCTGACTCTGGAATGGTCTCTTGCGACCAAAGCTTTACTCTTGGTGCTTCATTCTCCTCCTCTCTCGGCTTCTCTCACCTCTTACTTACACTAGGCTTTCTGAATATTCCAGAATATTCATATCAATACGTTCTCTCAAGTATTCTGATAAACACAGAAAAATGTTCTTACCTTGTTCTCAAACCAAGTCAATTGATCCCCCATCAGTTTCTAGACTCCCCTAAAGTTTACCAGTGATGCCCTTGAGTGTCTGAATCAACTAAAAGTCCTCACCTACTTCATTCTCATCTCCTTTCCCCTGAAAACTCCCAAACCCCTTGATTTCTCATATTTCAAACTCTTTTTCCTGAAAGGAGAATGATTTGGGAAGGAAGACAAATGTGAGGGGCAATGCCCATTACTCATGGGTAAAATGGAAACACACTAGGGGCATGAGAAAAGGAGAGGAAGAGAGGAACAAACAACAGCAAGTAGGTGAACCACAGGGAGTCAAAAGTGCTGCAATTTAACACAACCATAACAGAAAAACATTGTTTACTGGAGTTTCTCCGAATCTAGTGATAACCACAATAACAAGAACAGTATCAACAACAGCTATTATTTGTTGAAGGTCTACCATATTCCAGGCACTGGGCTCAGCAACTACTTGTTTGACCTGCACAACAAGCCAACAAAGTATGAATTTTCGTGTCCATTTTACTGATTCAACCAAGTTTGAATCTACTTTTCATATGATGGTTATCACCACACAATATGGCAAATGCAACACAGAAAATGAAGGACAGCTGTATCACAGAGTGAGCTCCAAATTCCAGAATCCATTGGAGAAATATTGTTAGTTTCAAGCATGAGTAGTCCATGTTCACATAACAGAGATTATCGTTGATCGTATTTCTTTATATTAGCATTTATCATATTTTATTGAAATTGTTTGAGTACCTTCAAACTTCTGTGATGTTAGTTATTACATTTTATTTAACTTCGTATCTGCAGCATCTTGCAGGGTACTTGACACATCAATAACAATGGAGATTATTACAGGAAATAACTCAATATTTTCATCTCTTGTCTTAATAAAATGAAATAGAGGATAATTCCTCCCATTTCAATAAATCCATATTGAGCAGCAAATCTCCACATTCTTTTATTCCCCAATCAGGTTAAAACTAGGACCCAAAAAACCAATAACTAAAATCAATAACAATGATTTTCAAACTCTGTGCCAAACACCTAGGTGGCTTTTGTAGGGGATTCCATTTTGTTTATATGTTGTTTCTGGGGACAAATTTAATTTATTCAAACACTCTGGCTCTATCTAGGTTCTAAATTGCCTCATTTCTGCTTTCTAAGTAGTTTTTCTACCACTATAAAGTTTTGTAAAACATCTTGTGGTTTGGATAAAAAAAAAAATTGCTAAGGGTCATTTGAGGGTTATTTTGTTTTTTGTTTCTGTTTTGTAAATAAAGAAAGAGATGAGTAATCTTATATGAGATCATTTCCATAAAATAGATAAGTAGCAGTGAATTTACATTATAGCTTGGGAGGGTGTGTTCATAAACTGGAAAAATATTTATTGACAAAAAAAGTGATGAACAGTACTCTAGACAGGCTGCTGATGAAGGCTATTATGTCTCCTTGTGACTCAACTGGGGTCAGAATAAGGTGGCTGCTTCAGTTATTCTAAAGAGATTTCATTCAAATGTCAAATTTCACAATAACTCATTGTATGGCAGATTTAGTGTAAATACTAATTAACTGAAAGTTATCTTTTCAGTTATACTTTGATACTAATTAGAGAAATCTTTGTTCTGGACAGCAATACCATTAGAACATTTACTGACTTAGCTTGTGTCTCTTTGTAAAATCAAAATTTTAAACATAAAATGTCAAACAAGCTTCTTCATGAACCAAAGAGATACAGACAAGTTTCTTTGAGAATGGGGCAAACATTCAGTGTCTTGGTGCCCAGACAGTGGAGTAAGAATGGGGCACAATTAATACAATTTTCTTCATGGTTTTCTCTGATCTTTCCCCAACAACTGATGGAAGAATCAACTAGGGAGTAGTTGTGTACCCTGGAGTACCACTGATCTCATTACCTGAGAATGTCTTTCTAGCCTAACAAGTGAAAACATGCTCTCTTATGATACATTCTTTATTATACCCATGTGCCTCAGAGGCAATGGTATAGCTGGGATCTACTTTGAACAAGATTCTTTTGTTGGCAAACAGAAGATGGCTCTTGTCTTTATAGAACACACCCACAAAAAATGCTATTTCTTACCTATCAAGAGGCCCAAAGTGTATCCAAGACTGGGAGTTAGAGCTATCTTTCCAGTAGCCCCTGCATGGAATAGTCACAGGTACCCACCTGCTTACATGAACATCCAAAGGAAAAACAATTAAAAAATTTGTATCAGCTCTGAGGTTACCCAGATATACAAATGGAAGTTGTAGCTGTCAGTGCTATTAATGTGAAGAGTTCATGATCAAGAGTGTAAAATACTCTCTAGTTTTACGGTAACCTGAAGCCTGGAAACACAGGCAAATGAATATCCATAATAAATGGGTTATTAGTGTTACATTACAATAAGTTATATAGTCAAAAGCATTGTACAATGTCTTCAATATGTTCCTCCTTTTTAGCAATTCATAGCTTAATGCTTTGTACGAAATTGCAATGAGTGTGGTGCATTAATGCAGAATTTCCATCAGTCCCTATATATACATCTGGAATACAATGCCTCAGGAATTTATGTCTCTAATTTTCACTAAATAAACCTGTGCCTTTAGCATACCCCAGAATAAGTAAGTGAAAGGGTTCAGATCTAATAAGCATGCAGCCCACTTCACAAGACTGTGTGGTTCAACCCAATTTACGAAATTATCCTCCACCCAGGCCCTCACCACTCTGGTGTAAGGAAATGGTGCACCGTCAAATACATCCACTCTGGTGACTTCACCTGGCCTGTCAACCTAGAATTTAGAGCTTTTTCTTTATTTTGTAATGGTGGAATGGACTATTCTTATATGGCAGTTTTCTCTAATGAACCATCGGTTATGATTCCATAATTAGAACATAACCTGTGCTGCTTCTTTACATTAATTTATTCCACAAATACTATTAAATTCCTATATGCTAGACTTCACTGTTCTAGATGTTTGAATTACATCTATAAATAAAACCAAACCCTGGCCTTTGTTAAATGTACATTCTAGCAAGGAGATAACACAATAAACAATGAACATATAAGTAAGTATATAATATAGTATGTTTGGAGGTGACAAGTAATGGGAGAAAAAAGTAAGGCACAGTAATAGGAAGTTGCATTAATATCTAGATACAGCATACAATGGGAAAAAATAAAAACAATGACAAATTAAAAAATAAATACAGAAATTTAAATGGTCAATCTATAATAATATTTGGGTATGGCTGAGTTTCAAGAGAAAATGTTGTTAAAAAGAGAAACTTCCACTGGAAAATTGGAGAGGAAACATCAATCTCTTGATCCCAAATATATCTTTGACTTTATGACATGGAGAATTCACAGGTGGAAAATTAGAGGAGATTTCGGTTTATCACTATAGTTGATTCATGCCCTCCTGGGCAAACAAACAGTAGTCTACTTAGTCAACTTTCATTTTCAACTTGAAATGTTGGAACCATTTGTTTGGATTTTCTGACAGGTAGTTGACACTATAAGCCACAAAACTCAATGATCCTAACAAGCTTCAAGTGAAGATGTAGAAGTATCCAGCTCAATGAGTTGCCATTGCTTATACTTTGATTTCCAGCACAAAATGGCTGGCCTTTGGCTGGCTGTTTGGTGAAGCATGCTTATGAGACATGAGGAGCCAGTTCTAACTTCTAATTACATGAGGAAATGCTGTTTGAACATAATGCATTTCCTGGGACTTCTTGGTGTACTCCATCATCCCTCCTCCCCATACACAAACTGTCACTCCCTGACATCCTCAAATCCATGATCCATGACTCCTACTGACTGCCCCAGGAACAATGAGGGTGCTCCCTTAGAAGAAGGCATGGGGGGGGTGGAGTGACCGTTGAGTATACTCTGATTTTTTAAAAAACTGTCATATGGCGAGATAGTGGGTTTCAATGCTGTCACCTATTCAGTCAGCCCAGATGAACTAGAATCACCATTTCAGTTATATCATAGCTCCAGGCAAGAACATGTCACCCCCTTTATTTCCAGCTTCCAACAAGCTGCTTAGGCAGATGCTAAATGTGGTCCTCCCTGCCACGTTGGGTAGAGTGGCCTTTGTGTGGGTTAATTGAGCCCCCACTCCATTTAATAGGCTGTTGAAGTCTTATTGAAACAGAGCTAGTGCCGCAGGTTAAATACATTGCAGTGCTCTTGCTAATCCTCTCATTAACAGGGCTGGAAAGCTTGTTGGGAGCTGTGAGTTTGCATATATTAACAGGGAGCTCTTCACTCAAGTGCTATCAATAAAATGACAAAGCCAGTTTGCAAATAGTGAAATCAACAGTGACACAAAGCTAGATACCTTTAAAAAAATAAACAGCTTAATAACTGATAAATCTTATATTCACACTTGAGAGAAGGTAAAGATAAGCTGGGAAGAGATGACTTTTATTGGGTCAGACTTAAGACAGAAATGTAACTGATGTCAAACCACTGCAGAGACTAGCGGATGAAGTTGAATTGAGAAATGTTGTTAATGAGCCATTGAGGGTAGACCCACATTTAGAAGCACCCAAAATGGCACAGTATGTTGTTTTTTAATAAAGGGGTGGAAAATAAAATCCTGGCACTGGCTGAAATAGGTAAGGTGGAGAGTTGTAGGGTTGCCATCTCCTAGGAAAACCATGCCGACATAACCATTTCAGAAAGCCTGTGGCATCAGAAGCAGACTCCTGATGCTGAGCCTGCTCTGTGCCAGCATGGAAGTGGGGGAAAGGGGACCCGTGAAACAGGGGGAGGATCACAGTGTGTTCAGCTGAAGACTGCCCATCATCAGTTTGTGTGTCACACAAGAAAATGGAAAGAGGATTTGGGGAGAAGAGTATCAGTAGATGGAGATAGTGTCACAAAGGACTAATAAATATGGCACAAAGACAAGATCATTGGCAAATGATCTGTGCTGTTAGCCATCCTTAATGCTTAGTGAAAAGACAAATAAATGCTCTATGATGTCAAACAGCAAAATGGAGCTTTTATGGCTGAGTGGATTTTGATTATCTTGGACAAAATGGTATCTACATTTTAGGAAAAATAAAAGTCTCCCTATGCCAACCGGTTAAATAGCAGGAGTTTACACCCTAGAGTATAATTTTAGAAAATAGCAGATGAGGGGTATTGGTGATAGTTTCCTAGGACTGCTGAAGAACAGGGTTGTTTTGCTGTTCCCCTCCCCGACTTGTTTGTGTGGAAACAAAAAACACCCAGGTATCAAAGTAAATCAAGTGTCACAGATCTGAGAGTTTCTGATCTTTAGAAAGTATGTAACTTCAAAGTTATTTTGATTTTTAAAAAGTGATTTGGACTAACTATCTAAAATTCTGTTGGTAATCAGCCATGTTTAAGTGTTATGGTGGATAATTCTCAACTAGATCCGCAATCATTCTATTGCTAACTAGCTGTGTGACCCTAAGAAAATCATTTATTCTGTCAGAACCTAAATGTCCTTGTTTGTAACATGTATAACTTGCACTAGAGGAAGTCTAAATTCCTCCTAGTTCTCAAATTCCATGATTAAAATAACAGAAGGAAAGAAGTAATTTGTAGATTTTATAAAGAAAATAATTGGTATATTTTATTCTAAAACATAAATGGTCAACATAACTGACTTGTGATAATGGTTTGAAAGTAGAGAGAAAGTAAGCAGTCTTTGATAATTGACTTCTATTTGACCTACTCATTTATCAGTTCCTAGAGGAATGGGGTTGGCCTTACATGTTTCCAAAAAGCCTTACAGGGCTTCACACAAAATTGGCTTTAAATGTTTATTTATTATTATTTCAGAGACCATTTCTTTCATTTATTTATTTATTTTCAATAGAGTGTATATTTATTATTTTAAAAATTACAGCACTGGTAAAATCAGTAATGTGGCATTAGACTGGTATTTTGTTACATTGTTTCAAGTCACATTAAAGTTTCAGAGAAAGTAGAAGTACTGATTTTACTCTACATGTTCAGAGACTATTTCTAAAGACTTTCCAAAACAATGGAAGCTAACATTTAAAAGTTTCTTTTTTTTTTTTATTATTATACTTTAAGTTTTAGGGTACATGTGCACAATGTGCAGGTTAGTTACATATGTATACATGTGACATGCTGGTGCACTGCACCCACTAACTCGTCATCTAGCATTAGGTATATCTCCCAATGCTATCCCTTCCCCCTCCCCCCACCCCACCACAGTCCCCAGAGTGTGATGTTCCCCTTCCTGTGTCCACGTGTTCTCATTGTTCAATTCCCACCTATGAGTGAGAACATGCGGTGTTTGGGTTTTTGTTCTTGCAATAGTTTACTGAGAATGATGATTTCCAATTTCATCCATGTCCCTACAAAGGACATGAACTCATCATTTTTATGGCTGCATAGTATTCCATGGTGTATATGTGCCACATTTTCTTAATCCAGTCTATCACTGTTGGACATTTGGGTTGGTTCCAAGTCTTTGCTATTGTGAATAGTGCTGCAATAAACATACGTGTGCATGTGTCTTTATAGCAGCATGATTTATAGTCCTTTGGGTATATACCCAGTAATGGGATGGCTGGGTCAAATGGTATTTCTAGTTCTAGATCCTTGAGGAATCACCACACTGACTTCCACAATGGTTGAACTAGTTTACAATTCCACCAACAGTGTGAAAGTGTTCCTATTTCTCCACATCCTCTCCAGCACCTGCTGTTTCCTGACTTTTTAACGATTGCCATTCTAACTGGTGTGAGATGATATCTCATTGTGGTTTTGATTTGCATTTCTCTGATGGCCAGTGATGATGAGCATTTTTTCATGTGTTTTTTGGCTGCATAAATGTCTTCTTTTGAGAAGTGTCTGTTCATGTCCTTCGCCCACTTTTTGATGTGGTTGTTTGTTTTTTTCTTGTAAATTTGTTTGAGTTCATTGTAGATTCTGGATATTAGCCCTTTGTCAGATGAGTAGGTTGCAAAAATTTTCTCCCATTTTGTGGGTTGCCTGTTCACTCTGATGGTAATTTCTTTTGCTGTGCAGAAGCTCTTTAGTTTAATTAGATCCCATTTGTCAATTTTGGCTTTTGTAGCCATTGCTTTTGGTGTTTTGGCCATGAAGTCCTTGCCCGTGCCTATGTCCTGAATGGTAATGCCTAGGTTTTCTTCTAGGGTTTTTATGGTTTTAGGTCTAACATTTAAGTCTTTAAACCATCTTGAATTGACTTTTGTATAAGGTGTAAGGAAAGGATCCAGGTTCAGCTTTCTACATATGGCTAGCCAGTTTTCCCAGCACCATTGATTAAATAGGGAATCCTTTCCCCATTGCTTGTTTTTGTCAGGTTTGTCAAAGATCAGATAGTTGTAGATGTGTGGTATTATTTCTGAGGGCTCTGTTCTGTTCCATTGATCTATATCTCTGTTTTGGTACCAGTACCATGCTGTTTTGGTTACTGTAGCCTTGTAGTATAGTTTGAAGTCAGGTAGCGTCATGCCTCCAGCTTTGTTCTTTTGGCTTAGGATTGCCTTGGCGATGCGGGCTCTTTTTTGGTTCCATATGAACTTGAAAGTAGTTTTTTCCAACTCTGTGAAGAAAGTCATTGGTAGCTTGATGGGGATGGCACTGAGTCTATAAATTACCTTGGGCAGCATGGCCATTTTCACGTTATTGGTTCTTCCTACCCATGAGCATGGAATGTTCTTCCATTTGTTTGTATCCTCTTTTATTTCATTAAGCAGTGGTTTGTAGTTCTCCTTGAAGAGGTCCTTCACATCCCTTGTAAGGTGGATTCCTAGGTATTTTATTCTCTTTGAAGCAATGGTGAATGGGAGTTCACTCATGATTTGGCTCTCTGTTTGTCTGTTATTGGCGTATAAGAATGCATATGATTTTTGTACATTGATTTTGTATCCTGAGACTTTGCTGAAGTTGCTTATTAGCTTAAGGAGATTTTGGGCTGAGACCATGGGGTTTTCTAGATATACAGTCATGTTGTCTGCAAACAGGGACAATTTGACTTCCTCTTTTCCTAACTGAATACCCTTTATTTCCTTCTCCTGCCTAATTGTCCTGGCCAGAACTTCCAACACTATGTTGAATAGGAGTGGTGAGAGAGGGCATCCCTGTCTTGTGCCAGTTTTCAAAGGGAATGCTTCCAGTTTTTGCCCATTCAGTATGATATTGGCTGTGGGTTTGTCATAGATAGCTGTTATTATTTTGAGATACGTCCCATCAATACCTAATTTATTAAGAGTTTTTAGCATGAAGGGTTGTTGAATTTTGTCGAAGGCCTTTTCTGCATCTATTGAGATAATCATGTGGTTTTTGTCTTTGGTTCTGTTTATATGCTGGATTACATTTATTGATTTGCGTATATTGAACAAGCCTTGCATCCCAGGGATGAAGCCCACTTGATCATGGTGGATAAGCTTTTTGATGTACTGCTGGATTCGGTTTGCCAGTATTTTATTGAGGATTTTTGCGTCAATGTTCATCAAGGATATTGGTCTAAAATTCTCTTTTTTGGTTGTGTCTCTGCCCGGCTTTGGTATCAGGATGATTTATGAGGCCAGCATTTAAAAGTTTCAAACCTTTCCCATCACCCGCTTATCAGTTGACTTATGATTGTTTAATCTCCAACTTTCTATATGAAAGCAGTTTTCCAGTCTTTCCCATTGATCTCTAAAGGAATCTCAAATCATCCCTTGCTTTCTTTCCTACTGCTACTGCCTTTCTCACGGTTCTTCCTGCTGGTCTTCTTTCCCGTACATCTGCATAAAAGACAGGTCAATTTGCCTAATGTCCACATTCAAATATATTTTTTACCTGCTTGCAACAGTTAGTGAATCGCCACCATGTGGCAGATTAATTACAGACCTGCCATTCAAAACTTTTCATAATCTGGCTCTCACCATGTTAGTCTTATTCTCTCTTACTAAACTCTAAAATGTATGCTTTATATTGAGAGGATTTGCTGAACTTTCCTTTACTTTCCCATTGCTGGGCCTCTACCATCCCAAGTGCCCCCAAATTTCCAAGCACAGCTCACACAGTATCCTAATTTCTTTTTAGTTCATGAAGTGGAAACAAAATAAGAAGCTCCTAAGGTTTGCCATAAATATTCCACCGGAATCTCACATTTTTCATTCCCACATGAAATTCTTTCTGAGATATTAGACAATAAATTTTATTCAGTACTACTAATACCTTGCAAGTTACAAACTTCAATAGGGCAGGGACATTGTCACTATTTTGGAATTGCTGCAAGGTAACTTGAGAAAACCCTTCACCTAAAAGAACAATAAACATTTATTGAATTAAGTAGAATGATTTATCAAAAATACTTGTCAATGGCCCCTTGTGAATTCTAAGCTTCTATTTAAATAAATCCTTTTAAAATGTGGATACTATCTGTGATTTATCCTTTGATACCTTAGAATCTCCATGGTTAGATTTTCCTTAAGAGCATTCATACATGTGGGTAGGCAAATAACTCCCTTGTGAAAGAGGAAATCCAGATTCCCAAGATGGCTGGTAATATCACTAACACAGCCAGTTAGTGATAGGCCTAGGACTGGAAGGGGTGGGTTTTTCTGATCTAGTTAGAGTGTGGCTCATGGGCCAACAGTATTAGCATCACTTGGGAGTTTATTAATAATGCAGAATCTCAGACGTCATTCCAGACATGCTGAGTTAGAATCTGGATTTTAGTAAGATTCCTAAGTGAATAATGTGCACATTCAAATTTAATATTATCTCTTTTCTAGCACTATGGTCTGTAAGCAAAGAAGAAAAGAGATAATTTTGTTGAAGCTTTCAGGGAACAAAATGTTTATTTTAATTGAATCTCATAGATAAATATATGTTCATCAACCCCAACCTGTCATGAAAGTAGTCTAGGACAAAAAAAAAAAAAAACCATCAAAAAAGAAATACATGGTAGGCACGCATTCTTATTTATTCAGGACCAATAATTATTATTTGGAGTCAAAATAAAACCTAAACCAGCTCACATGAAAAGGTATTAGCAACATGCTGATTCAGTTAAGACAAAGGAATGAATATAATTACCTCTTATTTCTATTCTGCCTAAGGAGTTATTCTAGTTTAGCACAGCATTTGTCAAGGCTGCAGTAAAAACATTTTGGTCACTCCAAAATTTCAGTTACCCGAACCAAGTACCCTATATTTCGAATTCAGTTCTCTATTAAGTATAAAAATACTTCTCTTTAGGAAAATTGGGGTTTATTCTGGTCTACAATCATATTGCCAGATTTATAAAGCATTATTTATACCACTTGGGGAGTAAACACATAGGAAATCCTGCAGCTAAACAATGAATATGACCAACTGAATGAATGGAAGTAAAAGAAGACTGAATTTAAATTTACTCTCTTCTCTTCCTTTCTCCTCACCTTTTTTCTACTTTTCTTTAGAAAACAAGATTTGTCAGGGAGTTTCCTTGGAGAAGCACCTTGTCATTTCACCACTCTTTAAGACAACTGTGGAATCCAAGAGGGAAATTCTACCTTAAGAATTCCCCAGTATCATGTTGCCCCAAGTTGAAACTGATCACATTTATCAAACACTATAGAAGTGCTAATGGTATGCGTTGTTATCCACAGTTAATGCAATCAAGTGAACACTTTCAGTGCTCTGGTGTTGGGGATGGAGGGTGAGTGTGCAAGAGCTGTTCTTTGAGTGAGGCGAGCAGGAGAAATTATAACATAGGCTAGTGTGAAGTTCTTTCTTTCTAAAGAAAGACATGAGGGTTTCTGTGTCAATTTGGTGAGATGCTAACAGTTCCTGATAAATTCTCTGTCATTGTTCAATGAAAATGTACATGAAAATGCAAGAAGAGAGGAAGAGACGAAAACCATTCTTCAAGTGGAAAAAATACAAGGCTATATGTTACAGACAGGAGAATATTTTTATTAAATTATAGCTTTGATGGCACTGGTCAGAGAAATATATCTTGGAATACCCATATTTTACCTTCTGAAGAAAAATCAAAACAGCATGTATGGACTGGAACAGTAAAAACAAAAGGGATGGGGGTGTTAAATAAGTCTGCTGCCTTTATTCAGCCCAAGGGCATAAATGCAGCACTACATTCAACTTAGGCACAGTCATCTAACAACATGACAATTGTTTTCCCCCTTTATTAAAAAAATGACCTTTAATAAAGCTTCTGGGCCCATTTAGTTTTACAGGAAATCTTTCCCTGAAGTTTAAAAAATAGAAAATACATGTGTTACAATAATTCGTGCTATAGCATCATAAAAATAGAAAAAAAATACTCATTCCATTTAACCTTATAAAGATAGCAACACTGACGCAAAACTGGATAAGAATCCTCCCTACCCGACCAATAAGAATACTATAGATAAATCCTATGTAAGAATAAGTAGAAAAAATACTAGATATAATAGTATCAGATGAAATTAAGATGACTGTAGTAGTTATATGAGTAGGTAGTTAGGCAGACATAAGCAGGGCAGGAGAGGCCCCCCTTCCCCACCAGAAATGTCAGGCAACCATCAGGTGATGGTCAGGCAGTTGTTAAACTGTCTCTCTAAAATAATAGTTGGTTTCAGCAAGAACCAGGGAAAGGCAGTCTCCCAATAGACAGAAAGCACCTGAAACTGGTTATCATCAGCTTCCTGATAAGATCTCAGGAGTTGGGTGAGTGGGCTCAAGCATCCGCACTAAGAGGAAAATGGCGGTTTAACTGCTATATGGTTTAACTGCTATATGACCTTCCTCTGGGAATGCTCAACTGGTAAGGAAAAAAATGCCTCAAGTGAGCATGCGTACAACTTCAGCAGACACACTGCAAATGTGGCCTCTCCCAAGTGCTGGCAGGCCACTGCACATGCAGAATGCCAGCATATAAAACCCCAACTCAAAGATCAAAACAGCACACTTGAATCTCTCAAGTTACCTGCTCAGCCCTCTTCCAAGTGTGTGTCACTTCCTTTTGTTCCTGCTCTAAAACTTTTTAATAAACTTTCCCTCTTGCTCTAAAACTTGCCTCTATCTCTCTCTCTACCTTATGCCCCCTCAGTTGAATTCTTTCTTCTGAAGAGGCAAGAATTGAGGCTGCTGCAGACCTGTGCAGATTCACCACTGCTAACAGCTACAGGTGTTTAGCCTTCCCAGAACACTATTTCATCCTAAGTATCACAGGATTATCACTGCTTTCTCTAGGAAACAGAGTCTAAAATACATGATGTTTAGGCCAGGTGCAGGGGCTCATACCCATAAGCCCAGCACTTTGGGAGGCCGAGGTGGGAGGATCCCCGGAGCTCAGGTGTTTGAGACCAGCCTGGGCAACATAGTGAGACCCTGTCTCTGCAAAAAAATTAAAATATTAAGTGGGCATAGTGGCACGTGCCTAGGGTCCCAGCTACTCAGGAGGTTGGAGTGAGAGGATTGCTTGAGCTTGGGAGATCAAGGCTGCAGTGAGCTGTGATCATTCCACTGCACTCCAGCTTGGGTGACAGAGAGAGACCTTGTCTCAAATAAAATAAATACGGTGTTTAGCAGGAAGGATGTTTGTTAAGAAGTGTGCTAGGGATCAATTTCTGTGAAAGGGAGACAGGAGAAACAGGAGCAGGAAGAGGGAGACGTTGACTTGTGATACAGGCCCCCAAACATTCTCAGCAGGGCCTACAGGAGCTCTGAGGCTAGAGCAGCCCTAAGTTGGGATGACACAATTCAAAGATTTTACTTCCACATCAATCAGTCTTTGGATATGGGTCACCCTGGGAAGGGACATGACCTTAGATGAGGCATCTCCCACATTCATTGCTGGGAAAGAAGGTCCTCTTTACTCTGGATTTGTTTCAGCTGGTCTGTTGTTAGCCATGTTTTCTGTCACACAGAGAGAGCCTGTCTATCCTAATACAAAATACAAGTGACAGCTGGAGGGAGAGAAAGACAGAGAATCAGAGAAAGTTCTGGGGTTCACAGAAAGTTCTGGGGTTCACAGGTTACTACTTGCAATCCCTGCGGCCTGATTCCTTCAACTTTTCCTTCAGTTTTCTCAGATAGTCCAGTATCTTTTCTAGCAATATAAGTGAAGAAAACTCCCTCTCACTTCAGCTAATGTGAGCTGAGTTTTTATTACCTGACCATTTGCAATATCAGGTTAACTCAGTTACCAAACCTAGGTAAGCAAAACACACACAGTTGACTAATATCAGGTATGAATATAGAATAAACCATAATAATACCATAAAAAAAGCATTAATGTTGCATATAAAAAGACTAACTCACTCTGATGGTTCCTTTTAGGTGTCAAATTGACTGGGTTAAGGAATAGCCACATAGCTTGTAAAACATTATTTCTGGGTATGTCTGTGGAAATGTTTCTGCAAGGGATTGGCATTTGAATCAATGGGCTGAGTAAGAAAGATCTGCCCTTATCCAGTCTGGGCAGGCACTATCCAACCCATTGAGGGTTCAGATAGAACAAAAAGGCAGAGGAAAGGCAAATTCATTCACTGTATTCTACAGCTGGGACACTTTTCTTCAACTAATCTTGGACATCAGAACTTCGGGTTCTATGGCCTTTGGACTCTAGGACTTGCACTAGCAGGCCCCCAAGGTTCTCAGGCTGTTAGCCTCAGAATGAGACTTACATTATTGGCTTCCCTGGTTGTGAAGCCTTTGGGCTTGGACCAAGCCGTACTATCAACTTCCCTGTTTCTTTCACATGCAGATGGCCTATATTTGGACTTCTCAGCCTCCATAATCACATGAGCCAATTGCCCTAACAAATCTTGTGTTAAGCCATTCTTGTGTTGCTATAAAGGAATACCAGAAACTGGGTAATTTATTTTTTAAAAAAGGTTTAATTGTCTCATGGTTCTGTAAGCTGTACAGGAAGCATGGTGCTGACATCTGCTAGGCCTCTTGGGGAACCTCAGGGAGCTTTTACTCATGGTGGAAGGCAAAGGGGGTGTCAGTATATCACATTGCAAAAGAAGGAGTAAGATAGAGAGTTCCGGAGGAGATGCCACATACTTTTAAACAACCAGATATCACAAGAACTCACTCACTATCTTAAGGACAGCACCAAGCCATGAGGGATCTACTGCCATAACCCAAACACCTCCCACCAGGCCCCACCTTCAACATTAGGGATTATAATTCAGCATGAGATTTAGAGGGGGCAACATCCAAACTATATGAAATCTCATCTTCTATATCTATGGATATGTATTCTGTTGGTTCTGTCTCTCTGGAGAACTCTGAGTAATACACCTGCCATAACCAAAGTCTATCCCAGGAATGCAAAGATGGTTTAATATAGGAAAAATTTGTCACCAGTCCCAGTGGCTCACGTCTGTAATCCTGGCACTTTGGGAGGCTGAGGTGGGCGGGTCACAAGGTCAGGAGTTTGAGACCATCCTCGCCAATATGGTGAAACCCTCTCTCTACTAAAAATACAAAAATTAGCCAGGCGTGCTGGTGGGTGCCTGTAATCCCAGCTACTCGGGAGGCTGAGGCAGGAGAATTGCTTGAAACTGGAAGGCAGAGGTTGCAGTGAGCCGAGATCATGCCACTGCACTCCAGCCTGGGTGAAAGAGCAAAACTCTGTCTCAAAAAAAAAAGAAAAAAAAAAGAAGAAAAATTTGTCAATATAGTTTACTGAATCATAACAACTTTCAAATAAGAAAATACATATAATCACCTTAGTAGAAGGGTGTGGTAGGCTGAATAATGGGCCTCCCCAAAATGTCTGTGTCCTCATTCCTGGGACCTATGAATATGTATTTTATATGGCAAAAGGGACTTTAAATATGTAATTTAAGGATCTTGAGATAAAGAGATGATCCTGAATGATCCAGGTGAGCCCAATGTAATCACAAAGGTCCTGGTAGAGGGAAGCAGTAGAGCTAGAGATAGAGAAGGCCATGTGACAATGGAAGCAGAGACTGGTATGATGTGCTTTGAAGAGAAGGAAGGAGTCATGAACTGAGGAGTGTAGAGGGCCTCCAAAAGTTGGACAAAGCAAGAAAACAGATTCTTTTCTCAGAATCTCCAGAAGAAACTGGCCTTGCCAACACTTTGCCTTTTGCCCTGTTAAAATGAAAACTTCAGAAAAATTAAATTTAACAGAGTTTAATTGAGCAAAAAATGATTCACAAGTTGTGCAGCCTCTGGAACCAGAATAGGTTCAAAAGGACTCCAGGGCTGCCACATGGTCAGATAATATTTGTGAACACAGAAAGGAAAGCAACATATGGAAAATAGAAGTAAGGTACAGAAATAGCTGGATTGGTTACAGCTTGGCGTTTGCCTTATTTGAAGATGGTTTGAACAGTTGACTGCCTGTGATTGGCCAAAACTTGGTGACTATTAGAAGAGCAAGTTAGTCTGTTTACACATTCAGTTAGATTACAGTTCACTTGGGATGGATAAACCTTTAGGCTAAACTTAAAATATATAAAGAGGTAGCTTTACAATAAATTTAATTTAAAAGCCCAATGAGACCGATTTTGGATTCTGACCTCCAGACATTAAGAAAATAAATTTGTGTTGTTTTGAGCCACTAAATTTGTGGTAACCTGTTACAGCAGCAACTAGAGACTAATACAGAGGGAAATGATGGTAATATTTCATATTCAATGTTGATTTTTTTTAGCATGACAAAAATTAACAGCCTACTTTAAGTAGCAGCACATAACAGTGTCATGATTATTTTGTACACATTGCTTTGGAATTTTTAGCAAATGCTCTAAGGAGTATAACAGGAATGTAGGTATTTCCACTGAAAAGAAAGAAAAGTAATTCTCTTCCTAGAAAATATAACAAGTTGAGGCTGGGCGCAGTGGCTCACGCCTGTAATCCCAGCACTTTGGGAGGCTGAGGTGGGCAGATCACCTGAGGTCAGGAGTTCAAGACCAGCCTGGCTAACATGGTGAAATCCCATTTCTACTAAAAATACAAAAAAAAAAAAATTAGCTGGGCGTGGTGGTGTGCACCTGTAGCCCCAGCTACTAGGGAGGCTGAGGCATGAGAATTGCTTGTACCTGGGAGGCAGAGGTTGCAGTGAGCTGAGATCACGCCATTGCACTCCAGCCTGGGTGACAGAGTGAGACTCTGTCTCAAAAAAAAAAGAAAGAAAAAAGAAAAGAAAATATAACAAGTTGAACTATGAAAACAGTAGAACTACTTGTCACTTCATACTTCAGAAATTCAAAAAGCTCTGAAATCAGACTTGTTTGCAAAAGTTTGGTGTCCACACTCATTTGTCATAAAGCCTGAATCCAGTGGATGTCAGGCTTTTTATAGCATTGATTTATACATTTAAAAATATTGTCAGTTTATTAGCACATTAGTACATTGACTATGGGATCCTGCCTTATACCTTACTGTAGGTATTATATAATGCATGATAAACACATATATGTATAATGCATGATATATTTGGATTATTATTATTATTACTATTACCTTTCTAAAAATTTAAACTTTAGGACTTCAGAATATATCTGTCTCCCAGGGTTTGCTATGGATTGAGGACCTATGACAGCACAGTTTGATAATGTGACAAGAAATAGGTAAATAAATATGTAAAATTGATTTTATACATTTAAAAAATCAGATAGATGTGATATTTTAAAATATGTTATTTACCCAAATGATAAAATACTTAAGTATAATCTCTCCGTAAGAAGGATGTAGGGCCCCTATGGGAAAAAAAATACAAAATTACTGAGATGTAAAATAAGCCATATAGGTAGAGAGATAAATGTAATGCCATCCTAAACAAAATCTCAATAGAACTTAATTTAGCACTTGATTTTTTTAAAAACCTCTGCAGCCTAGCCTCTCTTTTCTGCCTCCACATTGCTCACAGGCATCACATAAATTCATCAGCAATGTCTCTCCTTCTATAAGGTGAACCCCAACTGAGTACATTTTAATCTCTGCAGAGGGAGGGTAACTTCATTTCTGATATGCGCCATTCAGGGGATTTAAAGCTTTGGGATTGGGAACCACTATTCTCAAATTCAACTGATATAATAAAGATGTGCAAATTAACTTTTCAAAAAACTTTGCAAATAATAATAAGGTCTGCCAGATTGTCAAAAACACTATCAAATAATTAAATCTGTGTGGTACTAATTTAAAAATAAATCATAAAATAGAATGATTTATCTGGAATCAAATCCTAGAATAAATAAAAGTATAATACATAATAAAGTATGCATTGAAAATCAACAGACAACGAAAATATTATTCAACAGTGATTTGAGGATATTACTGCATACAAAAAATATGCTAGGACATTTGCTTATATCAGGGACATGAATTAAAAAATAAAAGGAAACAGGCCAGGCTCAGTGGCTCATGCCTATAATCCCAGCACTTTGGGAGGCCGAGGCAAGCAGATCACAGGGTCAGGATATCGAGACTATCCTGGCCAACATGGTGAAACCCTGTCTCTACTAAGAATACAAAAATCAGCTGGGCGTGGTGGCACATGCCTGCAACCCAGCTACTTGGGAGGCTGAGGCAGGAGAATTGCTTGAACAGGGAGTCAGAGGTTGCAGTGAGCTGAGATTGCGCCACTGCACACCAGCCTGGCAACAGAGTGAGACTTTGTCTCAAAAAAAAAATAAAATAAAATAACATAAAATAAATAAACAAAAGGAAACAAATGAATATTTTAAAAATCTCTGGGTGGGGTAAAGTGAATATTTAAAAAACCTTGCATGGGAAAAGTTTACCAAATGGAAAATTGCAATGGATTGGACTTTTTTGGACCTAATTAATTATTATTATTATTATTATTATTTTGAGACAAAGTTTTGCTATTGTTGCCCAGGCTGGAGTGCAATGGCATGATCTTGGCTCACTGCAACCTCCACCTCCCAGGTTCAAGTGATTCTCCTGCCTCAGCCTTCCGAGTAGCTGGCATTACAGGCGCCTGCCCCAACACCTGGCTAATTTTTTTTTTTTTTTTTTAGTAGAGACAGGGTTTCACCATGTTGGCCAGGCTTGTCTTGAACTCCTGACTCAGGTGATCCACCTGCCTCAGACTCCCAAAGTGCTGGGATTACAGGCATGAGTCACTGTACCTTGCCTGGGTCAAATTAATTAAGAAGCAAATAACAAAATACAAAAATACAGAAAATAAAAAAAGTGACAAATATTTTAGACAAAAAGTAAAAATCACCAGTATGTGCAATTCATATAAATCACTAAAAGTCACTAAGATTCCAATAAAAAATAATGAGGCTAGGACCTCACAATTCATACATGAGAAAATTAAAATTGGGTTTTTAAAGGCTACATTAGAAAACAATTGATATAAATTCATTTACTCCTTTCTTCCCTATGAGAAATTTTGTATATGAGTTGGGTTCCTTAACTCAAGTATATGACTATATATATATTTGAGTATAGGAAGTAAGCCCACAACTTTTCAATGAATACATATCTAAGAAAGCTGTAAGAAGAAAGTAATTCACTTATATAAAAGTTTAAGCATTACTTATTAGATGTACAGCATGCGCTGGGAATTCTGAAAAATACAAAAGGTACGTAAGATAAGCCATTAAGTTTAATCTAACGATGAACATGCAGTTAACAAATGGGATTCTCATTTCATGAATAAGTGCTATGAAGTCTCTTGGGCTGGGTGAATTACAACAGAAACAGCTCTATGCTAGGACACCAATAGACTAAGAGTAATAATTTTTGCAACAAAGTCTTAATTATTTTTCGATTAATAAGAAATAACTCATTAAAAAAGTCTTGATATTCTTTAGAGGCAATCTTCTGGAATAAAAAGCCTAGCAATCAGAGATATAGGGATTTATTTTTGGGGTTTTTGGTTTTTTTTGTTTAAAAACGAAAGTAGGTTTTATTATAAGATTTGACTCTCCTGGGGAAATGAGCTTAAGATAGGAACAGACTTCATTAAATTCTTTTCAAAAGAACAAAACACAAGGCAAAAATATCAATTATTCTTTCAAATTTAATAATTTCCAGCCTATGAAGGATAAAATAGAAAAAGTTAATAGAGGACATTAAGACTAACCTGCAGGGTGACAATGGAAAAGTCACTTAAAAGCTTTACATATCAACTGGCCTTATTGGTGACTTGATATTCATGATCTTTAGTATGTCTTCGGCCCCTGGAGGCTTGTCATTGACGTATTCTTGTGATCCCTTCCTGTTCTAAAATCTGACATGATCTTAGAGACCATCTCATCTTAACAGAGACAACGGAGGGGAGGAAGTGCTACGGTCTGAATGTCTGTGTCCTCTAAAATTCATATGTTGAAATTTGAATTCCCAAGGTGATGGTATTAGGAGGTGGGGCCTTTTGGAGGTGATTAGGTCATGAGAGCAGAGCCCTCATGAAGGAAATTAGCCCTTCTAAAAGATGTCCAAGAGCGACTCCTAGCACCTTTCACCACATGAGGACTCAGCAAAATGGTGTCATCTATAAACCAGAAAGTTGGCTCTCATCAGACATCGAAGCTGCTGGCTCCTTGATCTTGGACTTTCCAACCTCCAGAACTGTGAGAAATAAAGTTCTGTTGCTTATAAGCCACCTAATTAAAGGTATTTTGTTATAGCAGTCCAAACAGCCTAAGGCACGAAGTTATAAATAGGATAATTCACTATAATATCTCAGAACTGAAAGTGCTAATAGCATGTCAGCTCCAAGAGAGTTGTGATTTTATTTTCCTATGCATTTTCAGTACCTAGGCTAATACCTGGCCTTATAGTAGAAACTCAATACATATTTATTGTAAGAATAAGGAAAAAAGGAAGGAAATAAATGTGTTACTAGGTTTTAAAAGTCCATTTGGTATCCAGCAAAAAACAAACAAACAAAACAAAACAAAACAAAGGAAAATACACCCATCTCAAGGCATATCATCACAATATTTCTCAATTCTGGGATAAAGAAAAGGCCCCAAAGAGGATCCTACAGACTTCGAGAGGAGGGAAAATTAGTATATACAAAAATCAGAGATCAGAGTTGATTTAGAATTGTCAAAAGCAACACTGATAATTACAAGTCATGGGAGCTATGCCTTCAACAGAATAAGAAAAATGATTTCTAGCTCAGAACTCAATAGTCAGTCAAACTGTCAATCAAATATAAAGGTAAAATGCAGTCATTTTCAGATGTAAGCTCTCAAAAATTTACCTTAAAAAAAGTTTCTTAGAAACCAACTGGAATATATGCTCCACCAAAGTGAGAGAGTAAGCCAAGAAAGAGAAAGGTGTGAGATACAAGAAACTGAGGATTCAGCTCAGAAGAGAGGTGAAAAGAGCCTGCAGGCTGTTAGCTATGCAAGAGTAGAGTACAGTAACTCCACCTACAAGCAGGTCAGAATGTTCTTCCATTTCTATATTTTTATAAAAAGGAGAAATCGTTAAGTACTTGATACATCTAAATATCTTGAGAGAAGATTTAGATGATGAGTGGAGTGAGTGAAGATTGGATTAGTTTTTTTTTTCAATCAACTAACAACAAAGAAGGCTATTATTAATCATAGGAAAAGTAAAAAATTTATAAGGAAATAAAAGTTAGCATAGGGTACTCCATATCTCGGTTGTGAAAGGAATTTACAGACATAGGAACACTGAGAATGATATAACCAACAGTATAATACAACAGTATAAAAAGATGAGAAGCCTTCATGAGTGGGTAGAGATGGAGGTAGTGTGAGAGAAAGCTAGACCTTTTTCTTTGTTAGGGAAAGTCAATAGAGAATGTTTAAAACTGGCCAGGTGCGGTGGCTCACACCTGTAATCCCAATACTTTGGGAGGCTGAGGCAGGCAGATCACCTGAAGTCGGGAGTTCAAAACCAGCCTGGCCAATATGGTGAAACCCTGTCTCCAGTAAAAACTTGCAAAAATTACAGGCGTGGTGACACATGCCTGTAATCTCAGCTACTTGGGGGGCTGAGGCGTGAGAAGAACCAGGAGGTGGAGGTTGCCGTGAACCGAGATCGCATCACTGCACTCCAGTCTGGGTGACAGAGCGAGATTCTGTCTAAACAAAAAAAAAAACAAAACAAACATACAAACAAAACCCTGTAATATGAAAATATCAAGATATAGCAATATAAACATATTATTTTTATTTAAAGCATCAAATGAAAACAAACTTCCCACAGTTTGACTTCAAACTGTCATTTTTCCAGTATTGCACGCACAGTCCCTACTCACAGAGCTTAGGGCCTACTATGCTCCTTCTGGCAATGGTGATAAGTAACACAACATTTAGATAGTTGGCTAGACATGAGCCATTAGATTGGCTGGTGTGACAGAGTGCATGACATAAAGAAGAATGAAAACATATTTATTGAGAGCTAATGACATACCTGGCTCTGTGCTGGGTTCTCTCCATTATTTGGTTTTCTCTTTTAATCTCGTTTGTTTGAAAAAACAAATAACACTTGTCTATGAATGCCTTAGCCTGAAGAATAGAGAAGAAAGATATTAACCAACCCCTGATCTGTTTGTTTTAGAGTGATATGTGTTAAAGATGCTCACCACCAAAGCTAATGCATAAATTTCATGTTATAAACATCTGAATGGTGTATATGATTTTATTGTAACACTATACATTCTAACAGAAGAGTTAGAGGTCATTGTTTATATTGATTCCTTCTAAGCACTAGTTTACCACCTTATTTATTAGCTTAATTTTTTATTTGTACGTGCTCATTTTAAATAGGGGCCAAATCATAGAAGGAGGGTTGGTTACTATGAAATATAGCTGAAGAAAAAAAGATAAATGCAATGGGTGTATAAGACATTTAAACAAAGGGAAAATTTGGTTAGCTCAAAATGTTCCAACTTTTGGATCCTACTTAAGAATATACTCCATAGAGTTCGAGGCTTAAAGATAACAAAATTCTTAATTATATTTTATCTATTCATCAAATTGTAGCATGCTTTTCGATCACTGGTTATATATGCCAATCTTAGTTTTGATTTTCTTTAAAACAACACCTCTTGAGCTCATTGTAAGAAGCAAGGAGTACCAGTCAAACTGAAAATCATAAAACACTAAGGGGTGTGGATTTTCCCAACAACTTTAATGGGGGCTATTTAAAAAATCTAGCTTTCAGCATTTCACTGCATTTCAGTCTTGCTTTGAAGCCCACATTACTCCAACCAGTTCCTGTCACTACATGAGAACCACAAAATGTAGATGGCAAAAATTACAATGTTGGGTGTCCATCTTTTTTATATCCAGTGACAGAAAATGAAATACACTTCAACAATACAAAGACATGGACTGGTGGATATATACATGCTTATCACTAATTCAAGACAAATTTCAAAATGAAAACACAGACGATCCATCCATCCAGGTCCTCATGCACCAGGGCTTTTAAGCAGTATTATTAATGGATGTTAGGCACAAACAGAGCCAGAAAATGATGTTTCATTATTTTTAAAACAATGTTTTGTAAACACATATTTTATTATTAATTATTGAAAAGAAAGAGTTTACCATCCTCGTTAAAACTTTTATTTATTTATTTATTTATTTATTTATTTATTTTTATTTTTATTTTTTTGAGGTGGAGTCCGGCTCTATAGCCAGGCTGGAGTGCAGTGGCATGATGTCAGCTCACTGCAACATCTGCCTCCTGGGTTCAAGTAATTCCCCTGCCTCAGACCTCTGAGTAGCTGGGACTACAGGTGCGGGCCACCACCACCACTACAGGTGCGGGCCAAAAAAAAAAATATATAATTTTTTTTCGTATTTTGGTAGAGACGGGGTTTCACCATGTTGGCCAGGATGGTCTCAATCTCCTGACCTCGTGATCCTCCTGCCTCGGCCTCCCAAAGTGGAAGCTTTTTATTTTTGAGATGAGGAAATGGAGACACTGGTAGGTTGAACAACCTTCCCAAGGTTGCATGATTCTTAATGAAGAAATTGACTTTTAAGTCAACAAATATGTAATTTTGTGTTTTATTGTTTAATTATTCATTCATTCATTCAAAAATATTTTTTGAGTACCTGCCATAGGCCTGACACAGGAATACAGAGATTAAAAAAAAAAAAAAAAGAGAGAATCTCTTCATTCAAGAAGCTAATAGTCAAGTGGCAATGATAAGAACTCAACCAAAGACCACAGAGTGCTTGGTTGAAAGTGAAGGTAGGTTGGTGAGGCAAACCATGGTAAAAAATGAAATTACAGATGGAGCCAGGGGTCAGATTATAAAGCACTTTAGAGGCCATGTTAGGACTTTATGTTCCAAGTATGATAGATAGCTTGTGGGGCATTCTGAGCATGGGCATGACATGATCAGTTCTATCATGATCATTTCTATTAGTTATATCATGTTGCCTCTCTCAAACAATAGTTTATTCATAGCACTGAATGTTTGGTTTACTTAACACTATAGCTATAATTTCCTGTATTTTATTTCAAATACTTATGTCTACATTTTAGTTTGAAAGACATTCCAAACTATGTTCAGCAGAGAACTCCTAACTTTGATAAAGTTGATGCTTCACAAGCAAACCAGGCAAATTTGCTACGTTTGAGAATCAGATGTTCTATTCCTTTATTTGAAGATCTAGGTTCCCTCCTCAAGATTTCTCTCTCCTATGAATCTAAGTCGTTTTCTTTCACTCATAATTTCCAGTGATATCTAAACAGCAATAGTGACTTTTTCCAGAATAGTTTAAAACCCACTGCATTTTAAAGATGCAATTACAGCAATACTAGAAAAACAAAACCTAAAAACAACAACAAAAGCTATAGCTTATCTCCCTAGAGAGCATACATCTTGGACTTTGTGGAATAGTCCTGATTTCAAATATTTTGTCTCTATGTTCTAAAAGATATTCATACTTATTGCCTCATTATCTCCAGTTCAGAATTGATGATCACTGTACTTGTTTCATATTGCACAATAAAGTGAACTTAAATTTGTCCAAATAGCATTCAACTGACCTCATATAACTACACAGTCACTTTGGAAATATGCTCCCATCTTTTCATATCTATCTTCAATAAAAGAAAGTGTTATGAAAAAATGCAGTTCTTAAGGAATGGGTTATGACCTTTTCTTCCTTAATTTTAAGTCTGCAAATTTTAACAGTCTTGGAAATAGACACTCATCTTTGGTCTTTGGGCAATTAACAAGTTATTTTAGCTGTAGAGCATTTTTCATTAATATTTCACTAGTAGAAATTTCCAAAAAGAAGAACAACTCATAAGAGAGAGAGAGCAAGAAAGAGAAAAAGGGAACAAAGGAAGAAAAGGGGATTGGGGTGGGGGGAGAAGACAGGAAGGGAGGGAGAAAAAGAAGAAAACATTCTTCACCTACTAGCTAGAAAATATTTTATATTAATCTGAAGACTCAACACATTATAATTAACTTACTTCTATTTGATCAGCACCCAAAAGCTGCAGCTTTGTTCCACTCTTATTTTAAAATATATTTTGAATGCTGTAATTTGTTCATCCTTTTATAGTTCCAACCTGTACCAATAAAATTAGTGTGCTATGTTACATAGATATTTAGCAACATATACAACTAATTTTAATCAGATTTTTGTTTTACAAAAAACAGAATAACAAAAACATTTATTGTGAATAATCTTGACAGAAATCAAAGATGTCTCTTTAATTTAAATCCAGCTATAGTTTCAGAGTTAACCACAATGGCAATAAATTTGTCAAATGTTCTTTTTCACAAGGTAGACACTTATTCACATACAGATGTATCTAGTGAACAGCAGAACTATGAAGGAACTCATTGAGGGGACACTAGGGTTAGCCTTCACTAGAATCTCTTCAAGGCCCCCCCCCCCGACTTTTTTCCATTTGTAAGTGGAAAGGAGATATCACACATAACAAGTTTAGCACAAAGCCTGACACATAGTAAGCTCCTGATCTGTGTGAACTATTTGTTATAATTAAGTTGGCCCCCAAATTCTCCCCACAACCCTACTGTCCAAAGACAGCTGCCTTTATGCACACATCAACTGTCAGGAGACCACAGTGATTGAGAGTCGGAAAGTACCTCAGAGGTCTTCGAGTTCAACCTCCCACATTTCACAGACGAGGAAACTGAGCCTCAGGTGGTAGAATATATGGCTCAGGGGAACATAGTTATGAGATTTCCTGACTGTGTTAATTATGCATGTTTCCTGACTGCCAGACCCATTTATTTCCTGTCATTCAAGCTGAATCCAATTCCCTCTTATACAGCGGTGATGCTCCATACCGTATAGTTACCAGCATTGTCTGGGGATTTGATTGGTCTCCAGGCTGAGGCTCTAGCCCCAGGATACAGTTTACAGGGTGGGCTTCTGGTTGGAAGACTGGCATGGAGGGTGGGAACTGGAGACTGGAGTTGTGCTTTGATGCTTGGAGAGGGGAGCTAGAACTGTCCGTTTAAAGCATATATCATGTCACTCCTCTGCCGGAGTTTTTCAGTCCCTCTTATCTTACTCAAAATAAAATCCCAATCCTGGCCGGGCGCAATGGCTTACGCCTGTAATCCCAGCACTCTGGGAGACCGAGGCGGGTGGATCACTTGAGGTGAGGAATTCAAGACCAGCCTGGCCAACATGGTGAAAGCTTGTCTCTACTAAAACAAGCAAACAAACAAACAAATAAACAATTAGCCAGGTGTGGTGGTGCAGGCCTGTAGTCCCAGCTACTTGGGAGGCTGAGGCAGGAGAATCGCTTGAACCCGGGAGGCGGCACTCCAGCCGGGACAACAGAGCGAGGCTCCGTCTCAAAAAAAAAAAAAAAAAAAAAAAAAATCCCAAATCCTAACTGCGGCCTGCAAAGATGGGAATAATGTGGCCCCACTCACCTCTCTGATGTCTGCTTTTACCGCTGTCCACCTCCTCGCTCTACACCAGGCCTCACTGGCTTCCTTGCTGTAGTTGGAGCATACCAGGTACGTCCTGGCTACAGGTACTCCTCTGCCTGGATCGATCACTGTCTCCTGACATCGACATGCCTTCACTTTGTTCAAGTCTCAGCGCGAATGTCATCTTACTTGAGAGGCCGTCCATGACTTTCCCTATGCAAAACGGCATCTTTGCCCTGCTCCTCTCTTTTCCTCTCAGCCTGCTGTATTTATCTTTGTGGCATTGACCCTTAGCTGACATTCTGATGGATGCTCATTTATTTGCTTGTCGTGTGTGTCTGCACTAGAATGTGAGCTTGTGAGCTCAGGGACTTTGCCACGTTTGCCGTTGTCTTCAGAGTCTAGAAGGGTGCCTGGCATAGAGTAGGTTCATTAAGCGCACCTTAAATGAATGGAGGAAAGGAAGCAAAGAGAAGGGGTCTGTACGCTTGGCTGACTCTACCGAAAATTCTGGGCTGAGATGGAAGCATCAATATGAATGACTTTAAAGACCACAGCAGGGGATTCTCTTATGTCTTTAGGCCATCCACTTGTTTAAATATATGTGCTTATTTTTGTCGGCCTCACTCGCTCCTTTGCAAATGTCATGAGAGTAACAACTTTGATTCTCTGCTATATCTCCAGCACTAGACCAATATCTGGTACGTAGTGTTTAATAAATTCAGTGAATGAATTAATAAGTAAAGTTTTTAAAAGGGGGAAGGATAAAGAATATAATATGGATATAAAGTATCTAAAATAAGTTTTGAAAATGAGCCAGGCCTCCTATTTCCTAATAAGCTCTTTACATAATTTGGCCTCTGCAAAACTTAAAAAAATGCTTAAGAAACTGAATTCTTAAAAGTATATATATATATATATATATATATATATATACACACATATATATACACAATATATATACACATATATATACACAATATATATACACATATATATACACACACACATATATACATATATTTTTGTTATCTGTGTACCCTGTTTGCTATCAGTGAACCCTGTTTGGATGACAATTCTCTAACATTCTCTCATCTACTCGAGAAATATATTTTGAGAATCAACTACGTGTTGGTCACTGTGTTAGATGCTACAATATAATTGTGAGGGAAAGAGACATAATTCTTACCTTATTACACTCACAATCTTGTAATGAAAGAGATATTAAACAAATAAATACATTAATGGCTTCCTATCTCATTGCTGATTGCATAAGTGTTCCGAGGAAAGCGAACAAAGTTCAATAAGAGAAAATAACAGATTTATGTGAAACACATTCTGGCAAATTCAATCCATGGCTGTCCCTCCCTAGACCCTGAAGTCATAAGCTTATGTATGCCCTGTGGGTCTAAGGGGTGGTTCTAGTACCATTTACCTGAATGGAGCTCTTTACTGGGATATCAGGCTCAAAAGAGTCACCACAGGGTTCTGTTAATTTGATAAGAGATATTTATCTGAAACCTCCCAGTGCTACCTGAAACCTGTGAGATTTCATAGACATAGCATTTACTTCCTCTCTTAATATCAGCCAAAAATCTCTCAACAAAAACAATAGCAATAATTATAGGAAGCCCTTCTCTATCTCTTACTCTGCAGAGGGCAGCATTCTCAGGTTTTTACATCTGTTAATTCATGTATAAAGTGCTACTATTATTATCCCTATTTCACAGGTGAAGCATCAGGCACCAGGAGGTTAGGTGACTGGTCAAGGTTGTACAGCTGTTAGGAGCAGACCTGGGTCCTTTCATTGTCTCCCAGTTAATCATCTTTTGTAGTTCAACAACTCTGAGGGTTCTGGAGATTTTATAGGGAAAGTACAGAAGTGCTCTTTTGTCTTTTATCATAAACTCAAATTCCAAACAAGTTGTCATTGCCCAACAGGTAGATAAAGGTCTTTCAATTCTGTATTTAACAAAAGGATGAGGGCTTTTGCTGGAAATGTTAGTTTGCTGCCTCCCATTTCTAAATTCAACACTGAAATATAAACTGTGAAATATAATTTCTTTTCTCCCATCTTTCTGGTTCTTTGTGAAATATGTGGAAGCACATGTGGCTAACAAATTTCCCCACCCACTGCACTGCCATGCTGAAGCCATTCATTGACCCCATCAGGCCCTCAGATGTCCCACAAGCAGGAAAAGCACTAAGTGAAGCAATGTTCTAGTCAGTGTGACAATTTTCAAAGAGAAAATCTTCCTTGTGTTTCCCCCCGACCCTCTGCCCCCTCCACCGACAATCAAATAGGAGGCAGTATATCTGTCAAGCTAGCTTTTTTGGTCAGTACATTAAAAAAATCCCACTATCTTTGAGAAAAATTGGATGTGTGAGTCTATATCAGTGGTCCTCAACCACAGGTGATTTTGCCCCGAAGGGACACTGGGCAATGTCTCAAGACATTTTTAACAGTCACAACTTGTGGATGCTACTGGCATTTAATGGGTAAAGCCCAGAGACACTGCTAGACATCCTGCAACACACACAAAAATCCCCCTTCACCTTCCATCCCAAAGAATCATCTGGCCCCAAATGTAAGTAATGATGAGGTTGAGAAATAATATGATGAGCTTGGTCTATAATAATGTACTTGTTCTTATGTTCTAAAATGAAATAAAATAAAAATGTATTTTTTGAGCATCTCTCATATGCAGAGTCCAGTGATAGGTCCTGGGATAAACTCTTGATCTAAAAGATCAAAAGAGAGAAAAGACATAAAAAGCAAATGAAAGACTTCTGCTTCTGGGAAAATGGAATAGATATACTTTTCCCTATTCCTTCCTCCAAGTACAACGAGAAACGCTGGAAATTACATGTAAAATAAATATGAAGGACTTGAAAAATGTTAAAGAAGACGGCAGACTGTCTAGGGAACTTGAGATTCAAGGAACAACATGGTGGTGAATTCCCTGGATTTATTTTTGCCTCATATATCCCAGACTTGGTGTGAAAAAAATCTGGGAAGCCAGAAATGTTGATAGACACAGATGGGGAAAAAGCCAAAGGACCATGAAAGAGACAGCCTAGCAAGACAGAAAACATTCAGACAATACTTTCTCTAACTCCAGTCAAACACTACAGAAAAGACTACATATAGCTAGCCCCACCCACCCCATGGCAGCAAATACCAAGTGGGGAGCTTAGACTTCTATCATCAAGGCTGAAATGAGGTACCCCAGCATCTTTGCAGGGGCAGTCAGAGAAGGCCAAGTAGGGAGCCGGGATTTCCATCCCTACCAGTCAGTGACAAGGCCCCCTCCTTGTTACAGTGTCAGTGGAGTTCATATCAGGAGTCTATACTTCCACTCTACCTTGTAGTAATAAGGTACCTCTCCCTCTCCTCATCAGAGTGGTGCCAGAGGAAGCTTCATGTTGAGTTGGGACTTTCACCATTGCCCAGAAATAGCAAGGTCACTGCCAGTGTGGTGTTAGTGAAGACAATATAAGAGCTAGAACTCTGACCCATGTCCAGCAATAAAAAGGAACATCTCTCTTAGTGTTAATATAAATGTTTTAGAAAAGAAAACAGAAGAACCTTTCAACAGTTAGTATAGGCAAAGAGTTTTCAGACTTAATACAAAAAGCATGAGCTATAAATGAAAAAAATTAATACATTGCCCTTCATCAAAAGTTAAAACTTTTAATGCATGCATTTGGGAAAAATCTATACCTTAGAGACTGTATCTAATTATTCAATCAAGTCATGCTGAATGAATATGTGAATATGTGCAAAGTATCTTTTTAAACTTAACCTGCTGTATGTGATACGATTCAGTTCAGTGTTCATTGAACATCTACTGTTGGAATACACTGTGTTATGTCCTGAAGCACTGGATTTTAGAGAAGGTAATGGAGTGTGTAAATTCAGGGTAAGGAAAATCAAACACAAGGCAGCCTTTTAGATAATAAATATCACCCTCTGGAAAATGAACCAGCTCCTTCAGAACCAAGCATTCTAAAACTTTGGCATTTTTGATGGGCAAGCATATCGCAGTCATTTCTATCAGGTCTTGATTCTATAAATGAATTATAATGTTTTCAGTCAATATTGGCAGAGGCTTGGCAGGGATGCAAATTTTTTCTCTTACTATGTTCTCAGCTGACATCACTTGTGAATCCCAGCACTCTGTAGCACTGTGCCTAGACGTGGCCTCTGAGTTCACCTCAATCACATGCTCTAGGCAGTGCTTACCAACTGATCAGAGTTGATCCTTGAGGAACACCTGTCACAAACTCTGGGTCTGAAAGGTGACCTTGATAAATCATTTCTCCTGCCGTTTGCACAAGATGAATCTCTCGATAACCTTTTTATGTGGACACTGGACTCTCAGGGTTTTGGAGTTTGGTAGGGAGAGGAGATTGCAGGTTTAAACCTTCAACTGGGTCATCCTCCTTCACAGGACTGGCTCTCAAACCGAGTATTTTTCCTAGTCCTCAATAGACACGTCAGCACTCTCCTTCCCTGCTGGCTCTGGCAGAAAGAAAGGGAGAGACAGGGACAAAGGGCTGCCATGGATTCCAGGTGTCCCTTAATGCAGTCCAGCGTGGCCACTGCAGGGCTTCTCTGCTTGCCCGCAGGTATCCTTTTGAGCGTTCAATTAAAAGGGACATTTGCTGACGTCCGTAGGTGGTGTGCATGGGTCCTGGCAGTTTCAACATGTTGGCTTCAAGCATTGATGTTTATAAGATTTGGGAGACTTTTTGTATTTGTTTCAATGCAAACATTAATGTTGACAAAACCTGAGCTGTTCTGTTTATTTAAAGCCTCAGAAATAACAGGATCATATTCTTTAGCAACCTAGATAATATTTTGCAGAAGTTTTCCTGCAAAATGTTTCTAAAGTGACACTGAGAAAAGAAACTCATTTTCTTACTCTTTGAATCATGTTCTTACTCTTTGAATCATGTTCTTACTCTTACTCTTTGAGAGACCTACTGTAAGCCCTGAATTTCAGTTTCCTCATTCATAAAAGAAGGTGAATAAGACCTACTTAGAGGATTGTTGAAACAATAAAGGGAATGAGTGAATTCTTTTATAGCTTTGGAGCAGGGGAAGGCCTTTTAACAATTACTTAAAATCCAGGGGCCACACAAAAAAGACTGATACATTTAAAATATTACTCAAAATTCAGAGGACATAAAGAAAAATGGAACCATTTAAATATATTTTAAAGATATGCAAATCAAATACGAAAGAAAAACCAAAAATAGCTGTGTCATAGCACAAAGAGCTCATCTCTTTCATATATAAAGAGCTCCAAGAAATTGAGAAGAAACAGGCCAAAAAGTTCATCAATAGAGAGTTTATAGAAAAAAATACAAAGACCCCTTATATATATATATATATATAAAGGCTCTATTTCACTCATCAGAGACAAAGCAAAGTGAAATTACACTGAAATAACATTTCTCACCTATCAGATTGGCAAAAACCCAAAAGTTTAACACACTCTGTTGGCAAGGTTGCAGAGAAATGGGCACTCTGATACATTGCTGGTAGGAGTGCAAAATGGTACAACCCCTGCAGAGGGCAATTTGGCAATCTTTTTCGAAATTACAAATGCATTTACCCTTTGACCCAGCAATTCCACTTCTGGGAATTTATCCTACAGATTACACGTATATACATGAAATAATGAATGCATATTAATATGAGCCTTCATTAATAGCAAAAGATAGACAATTCAACTGCTCATTAACAGGGTACTAATGAAATAAGCCATGATGTATGCACACCACAAAATATTATGCTGCTATAATGCAAAGAATGATGGTGCTTTCTGTATGCTGACGTGGAAAGATCTCTGGCATTTATGCTGAAAACAGGAGCAGACACTATACATAATGGGCTTCCTTTTAAGTAAGAAAGATGAGAAGTTGGTGGGAGAGAATATATTTGTATTTGCTATATTTTCAGAAAGAAATATTTTTAATATCCAAAAGAAGATAATAGAAATAGTATTCCTTACAGGACACAGAGCTGGAAATAAAATGGATGAGAATAGTGGGAACAATACTGTTTAATATCTCTCTTTTTATATTATTTTGACTTTTAACCATGTGAATTTATTACCTTTTAAAAAATAAAAATTTAGGAAAAGAAAGAATTAAGTGAGTTCGTGAACATAAAATACTTAGCCAATGTTCCAGGTCCATCTAAGTGCTGATCATTTATAGAAATTGAAAACATATCCCCAGGTTATTTAATTGGTCTCTGAAGAATTCTATGGCTTTTTCACATAGTGTAGCCTTCGGACTACTGGCATCAGAATGAATCTTCATTTTTAAAAATACCCCAGAAAATCTTCATTTTTAATATGTATCTCAGATCAATACTTGGGTCCACCTCAATGCTTGCATGCATAATCAGAATCTCTGGTGCTAAGACCTAAGAATATAGATTTTTTTAAGTCTCTCCCAGTGATTCTTATGAGCCTCACAGTTTGAGAACCACTATGGTCTATCTCAGGTACACTGTAGAGGGTTTTGGAGGTAGCAAGCATGTAGAAGGACATTTAGGCCATGATTTTGATACCGTAGCTAATCTGCTGAGTTCAAAATATACTTCTCTAGCCTTGTGCTCTAAACCTGCATATACAATTTCCTGTTGGTATGGTCACTTGACTGTGTAATAGGGATCTCAAATATAACACATCTAAAATCGAACTTAAACTAACTGGATTGGAATTGATCCCCTGTTTACCCATTTATTCTCTTACCTGTTCTTTGTGTGGTCTTCTCCATCTCAGTCAATAACATCATAAACCATCCAGTTGCTCAAGCTAAAAGTTTAGACATCATTTTTTATTTTTGTATCTATCCTCTTCCTACATCTAATCCATCAGGAAGCCCTATCCTCTGCAGGGTTTGTACCATTGTGTAATGCATGAGAGTGAGCATTTCTCTACTGCTTTCTCAACAGAAATTGAAATTGAGTCTTTTTATTGGTTTATTTATTTATTTTTTTCCCTGTGGTCTATTCAGTTGTGCAAGATAATGAAGTTCTGGAGACCTAATACACAACAATGTGACAGTAGTTAACAATATTGTACTATATACTTGAAGTTTGCTAAGAAGGTAGATCTTAAGTATTCTCAACACACATACACAAAAGGTAACTATGTGAAGTGGGAGATGTGTTAATTAGCTTGATTGTGGTGAAGATTTCACAACAGATACACATATCAATTCATCAGTTGTATAACTTAAATATGTACAATTTTTAACTGTCAACTATACCTCAATAACTTTGGGGAAAAAATGTGAAAAGCAACAGGTATTTGAATATTTGCTAAAGCCCTTTCCTCCTTAGAGAGCCCTGCCCATAGCAAACTGCTAAAAGGTGCCCCCTATACACCAACCTCTGCTTCTCTCTATCCCCACTACCCTGCCCTTGTGCAACCTCTTCCTCACTCACCTGGACATTAAAGTGTCAGTGGCCTCCCTGTTCTCCTGCTTCCATTCTTGCCTTCCTTACACTCTGTTCTTCATCAAATGATCTACTTCAAACATAAGTCCCCTCATGTCACTTTCCTGCTTACAACAGCTTCCCATTTCACTCAGGATAAGACCCTGAGTTTTCTTCGCTTTGACCTACGAAGCCTGGGTGATTTTCCCCTTACTACCATTGTTATTTCATTCTGTAGCACTCTTCTTGCTCTCTGTGTTCCAGTCACACTGCCCCTCTTTCTTTCTTTTGAGTGTGCACGATGCTCACCCCTCTTCAGGGCCTTTGTGTTTGCTGGGCCTTCTGTGTGGAATGTTCTTTCTACTGAGCCTCCCTGTGCTTATTTCTTTGTGTCACTCAGGACTCAGCTGAAATCTCCTCTCTTCAGAGAGTCCTTCCCTGACCACACCAATCCATAGTGCCCCTCTACCACTGCCCCACCCCTGGAGGTCACACTATCATTTTTCCCTGCTTTGTTTTCTTTATAGCCCTCGTCATTAATCTAATATTATTTTCTGTATTTGTTTACCTCTTCATTGCCTTAATCACTCTCCAGGAATGTCAGCTCCGTGAGATGGGACTCTGCCTACTTTTTTTACTGTCTTTTCTCCAGACCTGAAGCTGTGTGTGGCACCTTAGCAAGTGCTCAATAAATATTTGCTAAGGAAATCAATGACCTGCTTCTTATGACTCATGGCATTGCCTCCACTTCCTCTTCTTCAGACCAACTCAGACGCATAGTCTTGGCTTCAGCTGCCATTGTTTATACCTGTTGCTTCACCACTTTTTTTCAACTTCACTGATGTATAACTGCCAGTTAAAAATTGTATATATTTAAATTATACAACTGGATGAATTGGTATGTGTATACATTGTGAAATATTCACCACAATCAAGCTAATTAACATATCCATCACCTCACATAGTTATATTGGTGTGTGTGTGTGTTGAGACCACTTAATATCTACCTTCTTAGCAAATTTCAAATATACAGTACAATATTGTTAACTATAGTGTCACGTTGTTGTACATCACATCTCCAGAATCTCCAGAGCTTTATTATCTTGCATAACTGAAACTTTGTACCTCTTGACCACTGATAACGGTTTGGCTCTGTGTCCCCACCCAAATCTCATCTTGAATTATATTTCCATAATTCCCACATGTTGTGGGAGGGACCCGGTGGGAGATAATTTGAATCATGGGGGTGGTTTCCCCCTTTACTGTTCTCATGGTAGTGAATAAGTCTCGAGATCTGATGGGTTTATCAGGGGTTTCCACTTTTGCATCTTTCTCATTTTCTCTTGCTGCTGCCATGTAAGAAGTGCCTTTCACCTCCTGCCATGATTCTGAGGCCTCCCTAGCTATGTGGAACTGTAAGTCCAATTAAACCTCTTTTTCTTCCCAGTCTTGGGTATGTCTTTATCAGCACCATGAAAACAGACTAATACAATAAATTGGTACCAGTAGAGTACTGAAAAGATAACCCAAAATGTGGAAGCAACTTTTGAACTGGGTAACAAACAGAGGTTGGAACAGTTTGGAAGGCTCAGAAGAAGCCAGGAAAATATGGGAAAGTTTGGAACTTTCTAGAGACTTATTGAATGGCTTTGCCCAAAATACTGATAGTGATATGGACAATAAGGTACAGGCTGAGGTGGTCTCAGATGGAGATGAGAAACTTGTTGGGGACTGGAGCAAAGATGACTCTTGTTATGTTTTACCAGAGTGACTGGTGGCATTTTGCCCCTGCCCTAGAGATTTGTGGAACTTTGAACTTGAGAGAGATGATTTAGGGTATCTGGCAGAAAAAATTTCTAAACAGCAACACATTCAAGAGGTGACTTGGATGCTGTTAAAGGCATTCAGTTTTATAAGGGAAGCAGAGCATAAAAGTTTAGAAAATTTGCAGCCTGACAATGTGATAAAAAAGAAAACCACATTTTCTGAGGAGAAATTCAAGACAGCTGCAGAAATTTACATAAGTAATGAGGAGCTGAATGTTAACCCCAAGACAATGGGGAAAGTGTATCCAGGGCATGTCAGAGGTCTTCATGGCACCCCTCCCATCAAAGGCCTGGAAGCCTAGGAGAAAATGGTTTTGTGGGCTGAGCCCAGGGTCCTCATGCTGTGTGCAGTCTAGGGACTTGATGCCCTGCATCCTAGCTGTGACTAAAAGGGGCCAAGGTACAGCTCAGGCTGTTGCTTCAAAGGGTGCTTCAAGCCCCAAGCCTTGGCAGCTTCCACGTAGTGTTGAGCCTGCAGGTGCACAGAAGTCAAGAATTGAGGTTTGAGAACCTCTGCCTAGATTTCTGAAAATGTATGGAAATGCCTGGATGTCCAGGCAAAAGTTTGCTGCAGGGGTGGGGCCCTCATGGAGAACCTCTGCTAGGGCAGTGCAGAAAGGAAACGTGGGGTTGAAGCCCCCACACAGTACTGCTACTGGGGCACTGCCTAATGGTACCGTGAAAAGAGAGTCACTGTCCTCCAGACCCCAGTATGATAGATCCACCAACAGCTTGCACCTTGAGCCTGGAAAAGCCAGAGACACTCAACACCAACCTGTGAAAGCAGCCAGGAGGGAGGCTATACTCGAAAAAGCCACAGAGGCAGAGCTGCCCAAGACCATGGAAACCCACTTCTTGCATCGGCGTGACCCGGATGTGAGACCTGGAGTCAAAGGAGATCATTTTGGAGCTTTGTTTTTGAGACAGAGTCTCACCCTGTCACCCAGTCTGGAGTGCAATGATGCAATCTCAGCTCACTACAACCTCCACCTCAAGCAATTCTCCTGCCTCAGCATCCTGAGTAGCCAGGATTACAGAAGTACACCACCATGCCCAGCTATTTTTTTGTATCTTTAGTAGAGATGGGGTTTCACCATGTTGGCCAGGCTGGTGTCGAACTCCTGACCTTGTGATCTGCCTGCCTCAGACTTCCAAAGTGCTGGGATTACAGGCATGAACCACCATGCCCAGCCTATTTTGGAGCTTTAAAATTTGACTGCCTCACTGGGTTTTGGACTTGCATGCATCCTGTAGCCTCTTTGTTTTTGCCAATTTCTCCCCTTTGGAATGGCTGTATTTACCCAATACCTATACCCCCATTGTATCTAGGAAGTAACTAGCTTGCTTTTGATTTTTCAGGCTCATAGGTGGAAGGGACTTGCCTTATCTCAGATGAGACTTTGGATTGTGGACATTTGGGTTAATGCTGAAATGAGTTAAAACTTTGGGGGACTGTTGAAAAGGCATGATTGGCTTTGAAATATGAGGTCATGAGACTTGGAGGGGTTGGGGCAGAATAATGTGGTTCAGCTTTGTGTCCCCACCCAAATCTCATCTTGAATTTTACTTCCATAATTTTCATGTGTTGTGGGAGGGACCTGGTGGGAGATAATTTGAATCATGGAGGCGGTTTCCCCTATACTGTTCTTGTGGTAGTGAATAAGTCTCAAGAGATCTGATGGTTTTATCAAGGGTGTTCATTTTTGCATCCTTCGCATTTTTCTCTTGCCACTGCCATGTTAGAAGTGCCTTTCACCTCCTGCCTTGATTCAGAGGCCTCCTCAGCCACGTGGAACTGTAAGTCTAATTAAATCTGTTTTTCTTCCCAGTCTCGGGTATGTCTTTATTAGCAGTGTGAAAATGGGCTAATACAACCATCATCTTCCCATGTCCCTTCCTCTCTGCCCCTGGTAAACACCACTGAGTTTGAGATTTTTAGATTATGTAAGTATGATCATGCAGTATTTGACTTTCTGTGACTGGTTTATTTCACTTAGCATACTGTTCTCCACATTCACCATGTTGTCCTAAATGGCAGGATTTCTTTTTTTTAAGGCTGGATAATATTCCATTACACACACACATTCACACACACACACACATAGTCCATTATGTAAATATATATAGTCCATTATATATATATATATGTTATATATGTATTTCTGTAAATATATGTGTGTATGCGTGTGTGTATATCTATCTATATATGAATATATATCTCTATATATATCTGTTATGAACACTTAGGTTGATTCCATAGCTTGTCTATTGTGAGTAATGCTGAAATGAACATGGGAATGCACATATTTCTTTGGAATATTGATTTGATTTCCTTTGCATATATACCCACAAGTGGGATTGCTAGATTATAAGGCAGTTCTATTTTTTTTTTTTTTTTTTTTTTGTGGAACTTATATACTGTTTTCCATAATGACTATAGTAATTTACATTCCCACCAATAGCATACTAGGGTTCTCTGTTCTTCACATCCTCCCCAAAACTTATTATCTTTCGTCCATCTGATAATGGCCATTCTAACAGGTGAAGTGATATCTCATTGTGTAGTTTGCATTTCTCTAATGATTATTGAAGTCTCTTTTTGTACATCTACTGACCAGTAGGTGTCTTCTTTTGAGAAATGTTTATTCAGGTCCTTTACCCATTTTTAAATTGAGTTATTTGGGATTTTGGTTTTTGTTTGTTTTTCTATTGAGCTATTTCTACTGCTTTCTATTGAGCTACATTTCTTATATTTTGGATATTAATTTCTAATCAGATACATGGTTTGAAAAATATATTCTCCATTCTGTAGGTTGTCTTTTTACCCTGTTGATTGTTTCCTTTGCTGTTCAGAAACCTTTTAGTCAGATATAAGCCCTCTTGTCTTTTTTGCTTTTGTTGCCTGTGCTTTTGGTGTGATATCCAATGCCAAGAAGCTTTTCCCCTATTTTTCTAGAGTTTTACAGTTTCAGGTCTTACATTTAAGTCTTTAATCCATTTTGAGTTGATTTCTATATGTGGTGTGAGATAAGGGTCCATTTTCATTTTTCTGTTGTGGACATTCAGTTTTCCCAATACCATTAATCAAAACTGCTACCCTTTCCTCATTTTGTGTTCTTGGCATGCTTGTTGAAGATCAGTTCAACGTGGGGTATGTAGATTTATTTTGGGGCTCTCTATTCTGTCTTTATGTCTATACATCTACTACTTAAAAAGGAAGCCAGGAAAGCAATCCTATTTATAATGGCTAAAAAAGGAACAAAATACTTTACCATTTATTATAAGTAAGTTCCTGAGGTATTTCTGATGAATCCGGCTCATCTTTTCTCTCCTGTCATAACTGCTGTCTTCATTCATGTTCCTGCACCTGATCCAATCATATGAGGTTTGTGTGTGTTTGAGTCAGGGTAGAAGAAGAGTCACGTGGTTTTCAAAAGTGCTGTGAATGAGCTGCTTCACTTAAAATGATAAATCTATAACATTAGATATAGAAGGCCTAGAACAAGCATGGGAGGAGAGGACCAGCCCAAGATAGAAAAGGGGACACAAAAGTGAGATTGAAGACAAATTTTCCTACTGCACATTCTTTCTTTTTCTTTTCTTTTCTCTTTTTTCTTTTCTTTTTTCCTCTTCTTTTCTCTTCTCTTCTCTTCTCCTTTCTTTCTTTCTTTCCTTCCTTCCTTCCTTCCTTCCTTCCTTCTTGTTTCACCCTTGTCACCCAGGCTAGAGTGCAATGGCATGGTCTTGGCTCACTGAAACCTCCACCTCTGGATTTCAAGTGATTCTCCCATCTCAGCCTCCCAAGTAGCTGAGACTACAGGCAAGCACCTTTGTGCCTGGCTATTTTTTTGTATTTTTAGTAGAGACGGGGTTTCACCATGTTGGCCAGGCTGGTCTGAAACACTTGGCATCAGGTGATCCGCCCACCTCAGCCTACCAAAGTGCTGGGATTACAGGCGTGAGCCACTGCGCCTAGCCCTACTTCAAATTCTTTAATAGCTTTGTATTGGAACCTTATCTCCATTCTATCTTCCTGGGGCCCAACTTGCTTAATGGAAAACCAAATCAGGAACAAATAGGACTGGGAGGAGTGGAAGTCACATCTTTTGTGAGCAGGAACAGATTTGAATGTGTGCATCCTAGCAAACATGGTGTCATTGTGATCTGTTGCTCTGTGCCATCCACATCTCTTCACTGTAATTAGCAGAAGAATCTAGAGTTTAACAGAAGCAGATCTCACTTTAGTGAGCCATGAAAACAATTTCAACTCTGCTTACCTTGGCTTCTTTGAATTTCAAGCAGAGGAGGTACCGCAGTCCATTTTAAGTGAGACCAGAATCTTCTTTCCTCTTGCTCATTCCTTTGTAAGCTCCTATAAAATAAAACCACCAGATTCCCAGAAGATAAAAATCCATTCTCTCCCTCCCCCTCACATAAGTGCATCCTCACGTATTCACAGGCTTCTGCAGATTTTAATAAGGTCCCCTGTGTGGATCTCTTCAAATACGGGCAAAATACTCAGAGTGAGAAAATGTCACATCTAATCAAGGGTGCTATAAATGCAGCACCCGTGGCAGGCGGACAGCTCACAAGTGGCTTGAACCAAATCACAGTCTTTCTCTGTTGGAAACCAAAATTGAAGAAACTCATTTTGGGTCTTCATTTTGGTTATTTCAATTAAATACTCAGGGTTTTTTTTAAAAGGAAAAGTATATTGGAATTGGGCAAACGGCATATCCTGCTAATGGTGACAGAACCTCAGAACTTTATTTCCTGGAGGAAAAAAAGTGTTTTAGAGACCAGTGAGTGCTCCCTTTAAACATAAACACCTAAACATAAAGGCACAACCACCCCTAGCTCCCCAATTCTTTCTGACGCTACATTTCTGCTTATATTACTGTAACTCAGTTGTCTTCACCCTGGAGTTCTTCAGTCCTATGGCTTTAAGTCAACATTCCATGTTTTGCAGATGTCCAGAGCTTCTCCCAGTATCTCTGAAAGGACTGGTTCAGGACAGTGGTTCTTAACCCAGGTGATTTTGCCCATAGAGGATATTTGTAAAAGTGTAAAACCTGTTTGATTGTTACAACTGGGGAGAAGAGTGGTGCTAGAGGTAGAGACCTGGGTTGCTGCTAAACATCCTATGATGTTCAGGATGGCACCTCACAACCAAGAATTATTGGGCCCCAGATGTTAATAGTGCCAAGGCTCAGAAACCTTGTCCTAGGGATTTGTATTTCTGTTTAGGCAATCTCCATCACAGCCATTGCAGGCTGCTTCTCTCTTATCATGAGGTTCTGTCTGCAGGCCTTGGCTTGGACCTGAGCCTCTGCTAGTTTCACTGACTGCAGCTCTGAGATTTTGTCCTGTCTCTGTGAGATGCTGCTGCCACTATGTTGATATCAGTAGAGTGTTGAGTTAGGAAACATTACAGTCCTCTTTATTAGACTTGCCCTTCATTCCCCTCTCACATAAAGGTCTCATAGCCTTTGACTGAAGTTTTGGGGTCAAAGAGGGAGAGAACTGCAGAGTTCAGTCAAGAGAACAAATTAATATATATTCATTCAATTGTCCTTTAATTTAATTTTTCTCCAAAGACATTTCCCTGCTAGGACTTTCACATGGTCTGTCTTTTCTCCTGAGAACCTGCCATGTAACTTACCTCTCCTTGCCCTCAATCTGCAGCTGTCAGTCCTGATCTTCCCAACCCTTGCATTCCCAAATCTTCCTCCTTTATTATGCTTTGATCTCTGTCTGCATAGTCCCCACCCAAACAGCTTTTGATCTATTTCTGCATTTGAAAAACCTCAGAATGGCGTTTGCTAAATCCAAAAGCCTCCAACTTCAGTATTACACACACACACACAAAACTCACAGAAACTTATAAATTACAGTATTTTCTTAAACATACTGTGGATCAAAATTTCAGTCAGGGATCCCTCTGAAACAAGTCTTTGAAGTCTGAGAGGAGAATAAAATTTTATTTTCTCCCTAATGGAGCAAGGAGAGGATATGTGGATTTTCTTTTGTTTTATATTACTAGAAGAGGAAGAGTTAGCTCCAATGACTTGTTTCCATGGCTCTATGGTTGGCCCAGACAACCTGTTAATACCTAGGTGTATCAGTATTCTATTTCTATGTAACAGATTTCCATGTGGTTAGCAGTTTAAAATAACATCCACTTATTATTTCACCGTTCTGTTGATCAAAAGTCCTGCATGACATGATTGGATTCTCTGCTCAAGGCATCACAAAGCTGAAATCAAGGTGTCAACTGGACTGAGTTCTCTTCTAGAGTCTCTGGGGAAGAATCCACTTCCAGATTCATTCAGGTTGTAGGTAGAATTTATTTCTTTGCAACTGTAGGACTGAGGTAGATATTGTCTTGACAGCTCTGCAGGGGTAGGTGTCAGCTCTTACAGGCCACTCTAGCACTTGTGGCACCCCTCTTTTCAGCAACAGAGAACCTCCTTTACATCATATTTCTATCAAATAAAGTCTCTTTGATTTTTCCTTCTGCTACTGGCCAGAGAAAACTCTCTGCTTTTAAAGAGTTTGAGAGTTAGGCTTGGCCCACCTGGATAATCTCACTATCTGGAGGTATAGTCTGTCATATAGTGTAACTGAGTCACAGGAGTATAAAATCCATCACCTTTAGCCCAGGCACAGTGGCTCACGCCTGTAATCCCAACATTCTGGGAGGCCGAGGTGGGTGGATCAAAAGGTCAGGAGATTGGGACCATCCTGGGTAACATGGTGAAACCCTGTCTCTACCAAAAATACAAAAAAATTAGCCAGGCATGGTGGTGGGCACCTGTAGTCCCAGTACACGGGAGACTGAGGCAGGAGAATGGCGTGAACCCAGGAGGCAGAGCTTGCAGTGAGCTGTGATCGCACCACTGCACTCCAGCCTGGGCGACAGAGGGAGACTCTGTCAAAAAAAAAAAAAAATCCATCATCTTTAAAGTGAGGAAGCATGTTCATCAGGGGGAAGGAAATTTAGGGGACATTTAAATATGCTGCCTGCCACACCAGGTATTGTGGAATAAATTATGCCCCAAATTCATATATGAAAGCTCTAAACCCTAATGTGATTGTAATTGGAGATAGGGCTTTTAAGGAGGAACTTAGGGTTAAATAAGATCATAAGGGCAGAGTCCAAATCCAATAGGATTGGTGTCCTTTTAAGAAGAGAGAGACACCAGGAGTGCAAACTCTCAGAGGAAAGGCCATGTGGAGAGAGCAAGAAGGCAGCCATTTGCAAGCCTCTCCAGAGGCCTCTGGAGAAACCAACCCTGCTGACACCTTGATCTTGGACTTCTAGCCTCCAGAACTGTCAGAAAATACATTTCTGTTTAAGCCATCCATTCTGTGGTATTTTGTTATGGCAACCTTAGTAAATAAATTAACTGGACAATAATATCAATGAAAACCTAATTTTTAAAAATTTGGAATTGAGATGGTAGTATTCTTTGATGAAGTTTGAAATACACAAGCCAATGGAAACACACATGCACCAAATGGGGAACCAGGATGTGAGAGAAGACAATGTGAAAATTGAGATATAATGGTATGTATCAGAAAATTATGTATAAATACAATCTAGTATAAATCAATGTTCTAAGATATGTACTAAGTGCTAGGGAACACAGAGAAAGTAAAATTGCCATCAAATGGGACTTAGATACTTTCACAGTGTAGGGCACATCCCATCTGGCAGGGTAGGAAGATCTAATCATAGGTTTAGAAGGATGTGGTATGCTTCGTGTCTATATGGTGATATGGTTTGCATCTGTGTCCCCACCCAAATCTCATGTCAAATCATAATCTCCAATGTTGCAGGTAGGGCCTGGTGAGAGGTAATTGGATCACAGGGATGGATCCTTCATGAATGGTTTAGCACCATCCCTTTGGTGTGGTTCTCATGATAGAGTTCTCATGAGATCTGGTTGTTTAAAAGTGTGTGGCACCTCCCCACAACTTCCTCCTGCTTTGGCCATGGAAGACAAGCCTGTTTCCCCTTTGTCTTCTGTCATGATTGTAAGTTTCCTGAGGCCTCCCCAGAAGCTGAGTGGATGCCAGCATCATGCTTCTTATATAGCCTGTAGAACCGTGAGCCAATTAAACCTTTTTTCTTTATAAATTACCCAGTCTCAGGTATTTCTTTATAGCAATGTGAAAACTGAATAATACAAAAAATTGGTAAAAGGAGTGGGACATTGCCATAAAGATATCTGAAAATGTGGAAGGAATTTTGGAATTGAATAATGGGCAGAAGTTGGAAGAGTGTGGAGGACTCAGGAAAAGAAAGGAAGATGAGGGAATGCTTGGAATTTCCTAGAGACTTGTTAAATTGTTGTGACCTAAATGCTGATAGTGATATGGACAGAGATGACGAGGCTGATGAGGTCTCAGACAGAGTTGAGGAATTTATTGGGAACTGGAGCAAAGGTTACTTTTGTTATGTGTTAGCAAAGAACAGGATGGCATTGTGCTCCTGCCCTAAGGATCTGTGGAACTTTGAAATTTAGAGTGATGATTTAGGGTATCTGGGGGAAGAAATTTCTAAGCAGCAAAGTGTTCAAGATTTAACCTGGCTGCTTCTAAGAGCTCATATGCATGAGCAAAGAAATGAGGTAAAACTGGAACTTATATTTAAAAGGGAAGGAGCATAAAAGTTTGAAAAAATTGCAGCCTGGCCATGTGGCAGCAAAGAAAAGTCCATTTTCAGGGGAGCAATTCAAGCCACCTGCAGAAATTTGCATAACTGAAAGGAAGGCAAGAGCTGATAGCCAAGACAATGGGGAAAAGGCCTTGAAGGCATTTCAAAGAACTTTGTGGCAGCCCGGCCCATCACAGGCCCAAAGGCCTAGGAAGACAGAATGATTTCCTGGGTCATGGCCAAGGCCTCCCATCTCCTGCTGCCCTACGCAGTCTCAGGACACTGCTGTCTGCATCCCAGCTGCTTCAGCTCCAGCTGTGGCTCAGAGGGGCCCAAGTACAGCTCAAGTGTGCAAACTGTAAGCCTTGGTGGTTTCCATGTGGCATTAAGCCTGCAGGTGCACAGAATGCAAGTGTTGAGGTTTGGCAGCTTCTGCCTAGATTTCAGAGGATGTATAGAAAAGCCTAGATGTCCAAGCAGAGGCCTGTTGCAGGAGTAGGACCCTCACAGAGAACATCTACTGGGACAGTGCAGAAGGGAAGTGTGGAGTTGGAGCCCCCACACAGAGTCCCCACTGAGGCACTGCCTAGTGGAGCTATGGAAGAGTGCCACCATCCTCCAGACCCCAGAATGGTAGATCCACTGACAGCTTGCATCCTGCACCTGAAAAGCTGCAGGCACTCAACACTGAGAGCAGCACACAACTGTGAGAGCAGCTGTGAGGGCCGGGCCCTGGTAAGCCATAGGAGCAGAGCTAACCAAGGCTTTGGGAGCCCACTCCTTGGGTCAGTGTGGCCTGGATGTGAGACATGGAGTCAAAGGAGATTATTTTGGAGCTTTAAGATTTAACAACTGCCCTGCTATGTTTCAGACTTGCCTGGGGCCTTTAGTCCCTTTCTTCTGGCCAATTTCTCCCTTTTGGAATGGCAACGTTTACCCAACGCCTGCATCTGCATTGTATCTTGAGAGTAATGTTACTGTTGTTTTTGATTTTACAGGTCCATAGGAGGAAGATACTTGCCTTGTCTCAGATGAGTCTTTGGACTTTTGAGTTAATGCTGGAATGAGTTAAAACTTTGGAATACTATTGAGAAGGGGTGATTGTATTTTGCAATGTGAGAAGGACATGAGATTTGAAGAGGCCAGAAACAGAATGATACGGCTTGTATCTTTGTCCCCTCCCAAATCTCATGTCAAATTGTAATCTCCAGCGTTGGAGGTGGGGTTCGGTGGGAAGTGATTCGATAACGGGGGTAGATCCTTCATGAATGATTTAGCACCACCCCCTTGGTACCATTCTCATGACAAAGTTCTCACGAGATCTGATTGTATAAAAGTGTGTAGCACTTCCCCTGGCCCTTTATCCTGCTCTGGCCATGTGAGATGAGCCTGCTTCTCCTTTGCCTTCCGCCATGATTGTAAGTTTCCTGAGGCCTCCCTAGAAGCTAAGCAGATGGCCAGCATCATGCTTCCTATACAGCCTGCACAACCATGAGCAAATTAAACCTCTTTTCTTTATAAATTACCTGGTCTCAGGTATTTCTTTACAGCAATGTTAGAGCTGATTAGTACATATGGTTTCTGGTGAACATTTATTATTTCTTGTTTGTTGACTAATTTAGAAAAACACCAGTCCAAATGGAGTTTTCTGTTTAAAAAGAGTAAAAGTACCCAAAGGGATACTAAGAAAGAAAGGGAAGATACTAAGAAGGTGAGAAACCTGCATTTTCTTCATTTTATATTTCTGGCCAATCTGAATTACATAGTGATTATAAATTGCTTCATAATATAGTGTTATAAAATTATATAGTGATTATGAATAGCTTAATAATATAGTTTTATAAAAGATAGAAATGAGTATTTTAAAAGACATGCATTGACAAATTAGTTTTTAATTATTTTATTTTTTGCCCTCACATTGAATAAGTGATTTCCAAATTGCAATGATGATACCCCACAGACATGGCTAACAATTGTCAGTTCTCATGTGTGCATGACTCAACATATAGTCCAATATTTGCCATTTGTTATCCAGTTCAACTCCATGAAATTTGTTCACACATTTTAGAAAAAAAAGGTCAACACTTTAAGGCTTATAATTCTCCAGTTCAATTGTTAACACCCTTAGAGGAGATATGCAGATCCAGGGCCATCTCATTTCCGGAACCTAAAAGGTAATATGGACCACTTAAAAGTTGAAGGTCCCATATTCCTGTCCTTGCATTTAGAAATGTAATCAGGAGTAAGCAAGGATCTTAGGTATTCCAGCTGATCATTTAATAAAGCAAATGTCCAGCTATAAGCTTCAGACACATTTTAGAACTCTTGCAAAGGCTAATATAATCATACATGTAAATTAGGCAGAGGATTTTTTTTTCTCAAAACTTTTGAAAAGGAAAGGGATTGTTGTGAAATTAACCATAAAGAAGGTGGGCAGGGAATGGCAAAGGTTATCCTGCATGATGTGTGACTAATCTCTAAACTAACTTCTTTTAGAAGATAGTGACCTTAACCTTGGCCATGGGGGTTGCCAGGTCTTTTATGTCTTTGAGGCACATGTTGTGTGTGAACCTATATTTCAAAGATAGAGATCAATGAGAGTGTGTTTCTGGGTGTAAGATTTCCTGCAAATGGGACTTACATACTTTCATAATGCAGGGCTATGGGAGAAGGTGCCTTGTAAGGGATGTCTTGAAGTAAGTCCCTTGAAAGGGACATTTGGATTTTCCAGTAGATTTAAAAGGCATAAACAGTTGATTTCCCAGTCAGCTTCTGGAATCTCATTGCCTTTCTCCTCTCCCAGCAGCAGCCAAAGTCCTGACCATCAATCTATAACTTGCAGAAACTTCTAAGTCTCATAAGCAAAGCTTCCTGCCTATAAATTGATGTCCCTGAGTGCACAGCTATTCTCTACATCCTATGTTTCCCAGAGGACAGTGTTTAGAGATCTCTAGAGGAATTTCTCTCATTGGGAGTCACAGTTGATCTCTTAGCCAGTATCACAGCTCTCTTTTTTTCTGGCCAATGGCTGTGACTTTAACTTTTAGCTGACACTATGAACCAGAAGTCTGAATGCATGAGTGAGTGAATGAGTAAGTAAATAAATGAATGAATGAATGCTGGCTGGTAGAAGCTCAAAATATAAGCAAAAAAAAAAAAATCCACACATTTCCATGCAATCACTTCACCAAGCATTATCATAGGGAGTTCACTGACATCTCTGTCTCCTTTCTCCACTTCAGGCATCAGACCTCATAAAAATGAAAAAGATCTTCTATTAATGAAAGGTTGGAACGTAAAATAGTACAGAAAGTTTTGTTAAATTCACTATAGCTTCCAACTACTAGTTTTTGGTAGCTTCTTTGGCATTTACACAAAGCTTTGTGTAGTATGTGTGGTGGTGGATTTTTCTGGTTTTCTGGATTTTTTTCTTTGTTATAAAATTTGTTCATTTTAAGAGCCTGTATGTTTGCATACAGGAAGTTTGTGTGGTAAGTTATATGCATGTTATCTTGAACCATTTATTACATTAAATGGAAAGAGAGGAAAAATATTTTTGTTCCTGTTATTCCCAAAACCATACAAGACAAACGGGTTTTGTCACGCACATGACAATTTCTCTCCCTTCTCAGCAGCATGGAAAATTTGAACTCTATTAACCACAAAAGCAAGATGTATGGCGTCTAAGAATTTCTCACTTGCTGTCCTTGTAGATAATTTTTTAACTGGAAGAGAGAGGTTTAAAGGACTATGACTTAGGTTCACCTGACGGACACCAAGTTTGGGAAATGGAGGGCAGATCATTCCCAACCAGGCGGGTGTCCCTTGCAGCCCTATGCATGTGACCACAGCTCTTGTATAAGGGCATCATACTGATATTGCAACCAAAGTTAACTTAAGGTTGAAACTCAAAACTAAACTTAAAGGAAACCAGAGCCTATCACAATTGAGCAAAAAAAAAAAAAAAAGGAAACAGTGGGAGTTCGTGTGGACAGAAATTTTCAAGTTTCCCACTGCTTGTATTTGTCGGTATCACATCCAAAGTCCCCACCCACCCACCCTCTCTCCCTCCATCCCAAAGTGATGCCAAGGGAAACACATACAGGAACATATGCACATATATCTATAGAAGGAGCACTGTAGGGCTTTGCCAAAGTGGTTTTGATCACAGCAGATCATTTACTTAGCTTTGTTTAACACAGGGAGTTCCCTTAACTTGCTGTCCTCAGAGTAAGTTTCAGCACCTGGCAAGTGACATTTAATTTTGTTCCTTTGAAAGGGCACACAGAGGTTATTACCACCCAGTTCCCAAGTTGCTATCAGGACTTGAACCCATGTGAGAACTAATGGCAAGCCACACAGCCCTTTACCTACCTCACACCCACACATGGAAACCTAGCTCAGTTTGGGCTCATCTTTGAGGGCATCTTATTTGAAAATCTGTCCCTGCAAAGGTATCCATTCCCCAGGATACTGTAAGAATGAAAGCACAATGTAAGTTCATCATGAGCATAATTCCTAACATTTATTGAGCACTTACAATGTGATAAGTCTTGTGCTAAATGCTGCACAAGGATGAGCCCATTTAATCCTTATAACAACCCTATGGTGTAGAGGAAACTGAGGCACAGAGAGGTTACATGACTTGCTTAGGATCATACAGCTGTTAAATGGAGAATACAGGCAACCTGACTCCTGAGCTTATGCTCTTAACAAATATATTCTTCAGGCTCCATTTAAATACTTTTGTGAGAGAGAGAGAGAGAGAGAGTGTGTGTGTGTGTGTGTGTGTGTGTGTGTGTGTGTGTGTCCAATATGTATATGAGTGGGTTTCTGGAAGGGAGGTGCAGGAGGTGACACAAGGGCAAAAAGAAATAGAAGAAGAAAGATATTCTTCTCCAAGAAGAGCCTTGGAGCAACTCTTCACGGACACACTTTTCGTTTATAGTCTAAAGGGACCCTTTTAAATAGAGTATCAACAGTAGGCTGCTGGTAAGATGTATAGCAATATCTCACTCTCTCCTAGTGGCAATTTGGGAGACCAATTCAAGAAAACATCATTTACCAATTACTGGGGTTTCTAAGGAATTTCTTTGGGAAAGGTGTGAATTGCAGCAAAAAGTAAATCCTACCATTTTCAGATCCCAAAGCTTGCTTTTTCCAGCTCTTTTCTGTGAAGGGACATGGAAGGATTAAAAAAAATCCAAAACCCAAAAACTGTATCTCCATCTCACACCATCTCTTCTTTCTTTCTTTCTTTCTTTCTTTCTTTCTTTCTTTCTTTCTTTCCTTTTCTTTGTTTTTTCTTTTCTTTTCTTTATTTTTTTTTTTTGAGATGGAGTCTCACTCTTGTTGCCCAGGCTGGATTGCAATGGTGAGATCTCCACTCACTGCAACCTCCGCCTCCCAGGTTCAAACAATTCTCCTGCCTCAGCCTCCTAAGTAGCTGGGATTACAGGTGCCTGCCACCATGCCTGGCTAATTTTTGTATTTTTAGTAAAGACGGGGTTTTGCCATGTTCCCCAGGATGGTCTCAAACTCCTGACCTCAGGTGATTTGCCCATCTCAGCCTCCCAAAGTGCTGGTATTACAGGCGTGAGCCACCACACCCTGCCATACACCATCTTATAAAAAGAAACTTCATCCTCTTGCTTTGATTTTTCTCCCCAAAGTGATTTCTATTGTCATTGAGACTTCACAGGCAACAAGGGAAGGCTCCTGTCTAGTTATTAAAACATGAGCCCTTCCTCAGAAAGTAGCTCATTCTAATACCTTATTGGGGAATTTAAGACATAATACCCAACAGTAATCTTGTGAATTTAACAGACTATTGCTTTGTAGGTTCAATCGCCATGTCTCTCTTTTGTGCTTCCTCCTTAGAACTTCTACTAACCTCAAGGAAAGTCCTATGTGGTGAAAATATAAAAGTTGAAAACAGTTTGCTGTATTATATTTCTATTACAGATTACTGCTAGAAGACCTTAGACATCATTTAATGCCATCTTCCTTGGGGTCGGGGTGGGGGTGGTGGGGGGCGGGGCAAGGAGAACAAGGCCTAAATATGTGAGCTGAATATCCTCAAAGCCACATGTTGTCTCAAGGTTTGGTCCTTCTTTGAATCCCACTTAGTTTCTCACGTTTACTGAGTATCTTATATGCCCCCATTTCATTAAGATGGCCATAGACTGTTCAATATGAAAAAGATTGTTCAGAAGTTTTCACTGAATCAATACAAATTTTGGACTCACATTCTTCTCTCTAGTGTTTTTCCAAAAAAGACCTAAGACAAAGTCATTTTAAAAAAGGTGTGACTCAGTTGGCCATACTTAAATGTTAATAAAATCCTATTTTGATTTCATAATACACTACTAGAGATAGTTTCCAAGTTAGATTAATGCAATTTCTTTACTGTACTGATCAGTAAAAGTTTTTTACTTAGTAGAATTGAGGTAAAGAGGCAAAAGTAGAAGCCAAGAGCTAATCATCAATGTGAGGTCACAGTGGTGACTACAGGCTGCGTGAGAAAAGAGAATTTGCCTATGTTATTTACCACAGTGAACTAAATATTAACAGTGTATGGTAAGTAGTAGGCAATCAACACGTTTTGGTTAAATAAATTAACAAAAAGGTGATGGGGTAAGGAGGATTTCCTCATATATTTCTATATGCTCTGGCTACTACGTTTCCCCAGTTGCCCAAAGACAATGTGTTCTTAATGGATCATGGCACATCTCATAGCTGGAACAGACCAGGTAAATAGCAGCTTCTTAAAGAAAGAAACTGAGAAGACAGTATTATTTGGTGCTTTAAACTGTGATTTATTTGCACAATGATGGGAAAGGTAGAGCTGGCTCCCAAGAATGGTTCTCAACTTCTCCACCTTATCAATGCTGTAACATGATAAGACATGTTATCCCTGGATAATATCTCCTGCTTCTCAAGGTTGCCTTCTCTAAGCCTCAGGTTCCACATGTGTGAAATGTCAGTAACTCTAATTAAAGGTTGTAAATGAGGAAAGGTGCCATTTCTGAATCAGAAATTTTGGCAATCTCTGGAAAACACAAGGAGAAACGACTGACTGATTTGAAAAAAAAATCAAAGCATGAACTGACAAGCCCAAATTGCACCATGAGTAGGGTGCAATGCAATTCTTCTCCATGGAAACTCAGCAAGGGCTGAGTCAAGTGGTGATCTCTGAGATAATTTATTAAAGAGCAGTTGAATAAGCATGGCTGTTGATCTCTACACTCATTTATCTGTCTGCCCATATTCAGCAGTTGGTCATGGTTTTCTGTCCAGGTTAAAACTATGATAATGGCCTCCAAACAAATCAGAGACTTTGTTTCAGGGATAAAAAGTGAGCATTTTGACAGGAGAGAAAAGTAAAGCATGACTATAAATTCAGGTATAAGATAGAAAGGTAGCTCCTTCTTGAAGTGCAAAGCGTTGAAGCACATTACCTCCTAAGTTTGGCAACCATGAATGAAGGTGCCATGCTCTTGGCCCTCATCCTTAGAAAAGCCTAGATTTTGTCATTCTCTGTTCACTGGAGAGAACCTTCCCAGTGAGAGCAGAGCCTACTGCAGAGATAATACTTTACTTCTGCTGAGGAAAACCCACATTAGCTGCGTGTATTAATCACCCCATGCTTGAATTTCTAAAAATGAGTATACAAGCAATAATCCCAAAATATTTGGAAAGACATAAATAATAAATACAGAAAAATTAAAATCTGGAATTCAAAATAATTAAAATAATTCTAGAGGGAAAGGAAGGAATGAAAGTACACCAAACACTTGTTTGAAGGGTGTGGGTTGTAAATATTGATTTATCTTCGATAATAGGAAAATATGTTTATATACATTAAAAATACATGGCTGGTCAGGTGCAGTGGCTCAGACCTGTAATCTCAGCATTTTGGGAGGCCGAGGCAGGCAGATCACTTGAGCTCAGGAGTTCAGGACCAGCCTGGCCAACATGGTGAAACTCTGTTTCTACTAAAAATACAAAAATTATCCAGGCATGGTGACACACATCTGTAATCCCAGCTACTTAAGAGGGTGAGGCAGGAGAATTGCTTGAACCCAGAAGGCAGGGGCAGCAGTGAGCCAAGGTCACTCCACTGCATTCCAGCTTGGGTGACAGAGTGAGACTCCGTTTCAAAAAAAAAAAAAAAAAAAAGAAAGAAAGAAAATTACATGGCTAAACATGAGCTACCTAGAAATAGGATGTAGAGATTCCAAGATGCTTTTGTAAGACACAGCACAACACAAGCACAAAACTGAAAAGGGGACAAAGACAACTCCGTCAATCCAGTGAATGAGAAAAAATTTCATATCAAATAGAAAATAAAACAAGATGACAGAAATAAAATCAAATACACATGTAATCACAACAAAAGGCAATGGCTTGAACTTCCATCAAAAACAAAGATGTTCAGATGTAAAAGGAAAAAAGTACATATGTAGTTTATAAGAGAAATACTTTTAAATTGGTTTGAAAATATTAAAAATATGAAGATTTATAAACATATATCAGGCAGAGGATAAAGAGGCAATTCATGAAAGAAGAAATATAAATCGTCTGTACCTCTATGAGAAGGTACTCAATTTCTAGCAAGGATAAGAAGATTAACTAAAATGACCTTGAGCTACCATTTTCCACCTGTAATAAGATAAGTAAATTTTTTAAACTATTGTCGATAGCCAGGGTTAATAAGGATGTGTAGAAACAGGCATTGCTAATGAAACTATTAATTGGCTGGGATTCTCCGAGTTATGGGGGGCTACATGGAAAGGGAACAAGAATGGAATGATCCCACTGACTTATCTCCAGGATAAAGACTAGGAGTCTGGACAAAGGTATCCAGAAGACAAGTTGAGTTAACAAGTCATGTCATCATAGAGGGTAGAGACCCAGACTCAGCTCTGATGCTTCCTTACTTTGTTCTCTAGGGCAAGCCTCTTTGCTAGAACATGCTTCAATTTCTCCATCTGCCTTAGTGTTCTCTTCAGATAAAATGAAATAGTATATGTAAAATGCTTTATAGAATATAAAAAACTGCACCATGTGTGACATTATCATTTTTTATAATAATAAAAATTGTATTTACATGCTCCCACAAGAAGGACAGGAAAGATTAAATGTCTATGAAATTGGACAAAATCTGGCTACCACTATCTGAATGCTTTTATCCTCCCTCAAAAATTTTAAACATTTAAAAAGCAGCAATTTCAGCATCCTTGGATAGATCCAAATATATGGTCAACTTGTTTTCTTTATAGAAATACAAGAAGATGCTCCCCTGCTCCCCCACAGCTGTGCCTGTCTAAAGCATTCACAATCACTGGGTTTCTTACAGAGCCCACTTAGGAGAAACCAAAGAAAGTGCTTTTAGCAGCTGGGTCCCAAGCCTAGGCCACAGGTCTCAGTGTAGCTCGTCAACCCTGAAGTGGGAGGTAGGGACTCAGGATTTTGGTTATACCTTCCATTGTCTGCCTTTTACTGTCACAGTTGCTGTTGTTTCTAAGGGTGACATCTGAGCAGGCTTTCAACACTGGGGAGAAAGAGATTTCTACAATCTAGGAATGACAGGGCTTCTCAGAGGAAATGAAACTTTCTTCTTTAAGACCCTTAGTATCATCTTCAAAAGTCAGCTCCTCCACAGAAAATTTTTATTAACCTAAGATATTCCATTTGAGAGTCATCGCTCTATAGAGCAGTTTTTTTAAATGGTATTGGGCAGATACCAATATACTTGAGGAATAGTTAAGACACTGGGCTGGAATTCTACATCAGCCTCTTACATCTGCAAACTTGTGTATGATAATTCAATTCCTGGTGCCTCTGATTCTTTATCTTTTCTGCCACTAGTATGTGGCAAGTACTTGATAAATGGTAGCGTTGGTCTTTGTTATTGTCTCATTAGTACTTTACTTCTATTCAGGCAGAGTCATTATTTCACTAGCAACATTAGTAAAGGAAGACAGTAGGCAAGATAACATCTAGTTTCTCACACCTGGGAGAAAAAGACCAGATGGCCTAGGCTATACTTACAGACAAAGACAAAGAAAAGCTGGGCTGCTGTGGGTAAAATTGTTTGAAAATGTTAAGACATGCTAAGTGCCTACTACCAGTTGAGTCAATTGAGAGGCATGGCTGGGAATCAGATTCAAACTGCAGTCAATCTAGATTTTAAAAGCTTCTTTAAACAAATCTAAAAGTGACAGAATGACTTCTCTTTTCTGATAGGTAAATTCAAATTCAGATCCATAACCATAAATTATATGATCTGCCAGTTCTACTAGAGTCATGTCTTTTCATGGAGGCTTTCCATCCCCTTCCTGACCCAGTTTCCAGTGGAAAAAGTGGAGGCCATTTGTGAATAGATGGGGAATTTCAGCAGAGAAATAGAAATTATAAGGCAGAGTCAAGTGGGACTACTAGAAATAAAATCATGATAACAGAAAAGAACAATGCTTTTGAAGGGCTCATTTGCAGGCATGATATAGCCAAGGAAATAATCAGTGAACATGGAAAGAGATCAATAAAAATTACTAAAGCTGAGAACACAGAGGATAAAAAAAGTGAGAGAAGAAGAAAGAACAGTGCACTCAAGAGTTATGGAACAATATCAAACATTCTAATATATAATTAATAACTCAGAAGAAGAGAGAGACTGCAGGGAAAAATATTTGAAAAGATAATGAAGAATTCTCCAAAAATAATAAAATATGTCAACCACAGATTTAAGAAATTTAGAGAACCTTAAGCTGGATCAATATGCCCTCCCCAAATACACATACACTCCCCGCCCCACACACAAAAACAGACATACCTAGACATATTAAATCCAGACTTAATGCAAAGATAAAGAGGAAATCTTGAAGGCAGCCAGACGAAAAAAGAAAGAAATACATATTACTTACCGAAAAATAAAGATAAGCAGATTTCTTGACAAACACTATGCAAGTCAGAAGAAAGTGACATCTTTAAAATACTAAAAATGAAAGTGGCTATCCTAGTATCCTGTAGCCAGTGAAAATACTTTTCAAGAATGAAGGTAAAATAATGGTCTTTCAGACAAATAAAATTAGAAAGATGTTATTACCAATAGGCTGACTTTACATGAAATGTTAAAAGAAATTCTTCAAGCAAAAGGAATATGACACTAGATAGAAACCTAGATCTACATGAAGAAATAAAGAGTTCTGAAAGTAATTTAAAATGGAAATAAATATAAAAATATATTTTCATATTATTCATCATTCTAAAAGAAGTTGACTGCCTAAACAAAAAAAATAGCAGCAATATATTGGGGGTAAATAGCATATATAAAAGTAAAATAAATGTCAACAATAGCATAGAAAAAGGAAGAGAAGAGTTGGAAGTAAGACCCTTACACTATGTGATATTCTGTTATTTAAAAATAGACACGAAAATTATATATATACATAGTAAATTTTTAAATGACTTTAACCTTTATTTTAGATTCATGAGGTACATGTACAGGTTTGCTACATGGGTATATTGCATGATGCGGAGGGTTGGCTTCTAAAGATCACATCGCCCAGATAGTGAGCATAATACCCAACAGTTAGTTTTTCAACCCTTATGTCCCTCCCCTCCTTCCCCTTCCTATAAGTCCCCAATGTCTATTTTTGCCATCTTTATGTTCATAAGTACCTAGCATGTAGATCCCACTTAAAGCAAGACCATGCAATATTTGTTTTTCTGTTCCTGCATTAATTTCCTTAGGATAATTACCTCCAGCTGTATCCATGTTGTTACAAAGGACATGGTTCCATTCATTTTTATGGCTGTGCGGTATTTGTGTATATGTACCACATCTTCCTTATACAGTAAACCGTTGATGAGTACCTAGGTTGATTCCATGTCTTTGCTATTACTAGTAGTGCTGTGATGAACATATAAGTATGTGTCTTTTGGTAGAACAATTTATTTTCTTTTTGATACATATCCAGTAATGGGGTTGCTGGGTCAAATAGTAGTTTTAAGTTCTTTGAGAAATCTCCAAACAGTTTTCCGCAGTGGCTGAACTAATTTATATTTCCACTGACAGTGCATAGGCAGCTCCTTTTCTCTGCAGCCTCACCAGAATCTGTTTTTTGATTTTTTAATAATAGCCATTCTGACGCGTGTGAGATGATATTTCATTGTGGTTTTGATTTGCATTTCTCTGATGATTCGTGTTGCTGAGCATTTTTTCATATGCTTGTTGGCCGCTTATATGTCTTCTTTTGAGAATTGTCTGTTCATATCTTTTGTCTATTTTTTTATGGAGTTATTTGTGTTTTGCTTGTTGCATTGTTTAACTTCCTGATAGATTCTGGACATCAAATCTTTGTCAATTGTATAGGTTGCAAATATTTTTTCTCATTCTGTAGGTTCTGTTTACTCTGTTGATGGCTTCTTTTGCTTTACAGAGTGCTTTAGTTTAATTAGGTCTCACTTGTCAATTTTTGTTTTTGTTGCAATTGCTTTTGAGGACTTAATCATGCATTCTTTCCCAAGGACAATGTCCAGAATGATGTTTTCTTCTAGGATTCTTATAGTTTGAGGTCTTATATTTAAGTCTTTTGTCCATCTTGAGTTAAGTTTTACATATGGTGAAAGGTGGGGATTTAGTTTCATTCTTCTGCATGTAGCAGCCAGCCAGCTATCCCAATACCACTTACTAAATAGGGAGTCCTTTCCCCATTGCTTATTTTTGTCAACTTTGTCAAAGATCAGATGCTGTAGGTGAGTGCCTTTATTCTGGGTTCTTTATTCTGTTCCATTGGTCTATGTGCCTGCTTTTGTACCAGTAAATGTATATTGCAAATCCTAAGACAACCAGTAAAATACTTTAAAAAGAGGCATAAATAAAAATCCAACAGTGGAGATAAACTAGAATCATAAAAAAACTTAATCCAAAACTAAGTAGAAAAAGAAGTAAAAAAAAAAAAAAAGACAGAAGAGGAAACAAATGGAAAATACCTAGTAAAATAGTACAGTTTAATACAATCCTATTCATAATTATATTAAACTTAAATCATTTACCTGTACTAATTAAAATATGAAAATTATCAGATTGGATGAGAACATAAAATATCCATATGCTATCTACAAGAAACACTTTAGATATAAAGACTTAAATAGGTTGAAAATAAAAGGAGGGAAAAAAGATATGCAACAACACTAATAAAAAGAAGTCTGGAGCGGCTATAATAATATCAGACAACATCGACTTCAAAAGGAAGATATTATCAGAGATAAAGAGGACCATAATGATAAAGGATTCAGTTTTCCAAGAAGACATAACAATCCTAAATGTGTATGCACCTAACAACTGAGTTTCTAAATTTATGAAGCAAATGTTTTAGAGCTGAGAAGAAAAATAGGCAAATCTACAATTGTACTTGGAGAGCTTAATGCTGCTCTCTCATCAATTGGTAGAATATGTAAGAGAGAATCAGCAAGTGTATAGAAGACCCAAGCGTCACTACCAACATACTTAACCTAATTGATATTTACCTAACACTCCACCCAATAACAGCAGAATCCACATTCTTTCCATGTGCAAATTAAACACTCACCAAGATAGACCATATTCTGAGTCGTAATACAAACCTTAACAATTTTAAAATAATCAAATCATACGAAAGATTTTGTCTACCCAGGACAGAATTAACTTAGAAATCAATAAAAAAAGATATGTGGAAATTCTGCAAATATTCAGAAATTAAACATCATACTTCTAAATAACCAGTGAGTCACAGAGGAAGTCAAAAAGAAATTAGAAAATATTTTTTACTGAACTAGTATGAATACATAACATAAAATGTATGTAAAGTTTCCAAAGCAGTGCTTAGAGGGAAATTTGTAACATAAAAATCTTTATATTATTCTTATATTAGGAAAAAGTTCACAAATTAATGATCTAAGATTTCACTTTAAGAAACTAAAAAAGGACAAATTAAACCTGACATGAGCAAAAGAAAAGGAATATGAAAAATAAGAGTAGAAATCAATGAAATTTATAAGAGCAATACAATGGAGAAAGTCATCAACAAAACTAATGAACCTCTAATAAAACTGATAAAAGAAAAAGAAATCAAGACACAAATTACTACTATAAAATGAAAGAAGGTTGAAAAGAAATAACATCACTTCAAACACTACATTAAAAGCATAAAAAAAAACCAAACTGATAGCCTTAAATTAAATAACTTAGATCAGGGACTGATAAACTTTTTCTGTAAAGATCCAGATAGTAAATATTATAGGCCTTGTGGGCCATGCACTGTCTCTATTACATACTCTTATTTTATAATTCCTTTAAAAAGTAATATGATTCTTAGCTTACAGACCATTCAAAAATAAGCTACATTCCACATTAATCTGGTTCATGGGCATATTTTGCTAAATCCTAATATACATGAAATGGACAAATTCTTTGTGCCACATTATCAAAGGTCAGTCAAGAATAGATTACTTGAATAATCCTATATCTATTAGATCAATTGAATTTGTAATTGAAAACATTGCAACCAAGAAAACTTCCAGACCCCAATAGCCTCACTGCCAATATCCTACCAGACATTTAAGGATGAGTTAATACCAAATTTTTACCAATTCTTTCAGAAATTAGTAAAGAACTGAACACTTTCCACCTCATTTTATGAGATCAGCATTACCCTGAGACCAAAATCTGACAAAGGCACTATAAGAAAACTTTAGACCAACAACCGTCTTGAACATAGACACAAAAATCCTCAATGAAATACTTGCACATTAAATTCAGTATGTATAAAAAAGACTAACACACCATAATGAAGCAAAATTTATCACATAAATAAAAAGTTTGGTTTTACATTTTAATATCGATATAATTCACCATGTCACAGAATAAAGAAGAAAATCCATATGATTATTTAAATAAATATAGAAAAAGCATTTGAAAAATTCAATATTCATTCATGATACAAAGTCTAACCACATCGAGAATAAAAGGAAGTTTCCAGTCAGGCGTGGTGGCTCACACCTGTAATCCCAGCACTTTGGGAGGCCGAGGCGGGTGGATCATGAGGTCAGGAGATCGAGACCATCCTGGGTAACACGGTGAAACCCCATCTCTACCAAAAATACATAAAAAATTAGCCAGGCTTGGTGGCACACGCCTGTAGTCCCAGCTACTCAGGAGGCTGAGGCAGGAGAATGCTTGAACCTGGGAGGCAGAGGTTGCAGTGAGCCGAGACTGCGCCACTGCACTCCAGCCTGGGTGAAAGAGCAAAACTCCGTCTCAAAAACAAAAAAAAAAAAAAAAGGAAGCTTCCACAACCTGATAGACGGCATCTACAAAAAAACTATCATCACATTTAATGATGAAAGACTGACTGCTTTCTCATTAAGAATGGGAATAAAGCAAGGATATTCACTCCCAATACTCCTATTTCAGATAAAGAGATGAAAGCTATATAGATATGAAAGAAAAAAAACACCTATATTTGCAGATGGCATGACTGTAGAAAATCCCAAAGTTTCTACTAAAAAGCTACTAAAACTAATAAGTGAATAAGGTCATAGGATACAAGGTGAGTATTAATTAATTAATAAAAATTAATTGTATTTTTATATATTAGCAATAAGCAGTTGGAAATAAAAATTTTTTTAAATCATGTTTTACAATTGTACAAAAAGACAAAAAATACAGGCAATATCTGTATAAAACTTTAATAAGAGAAATTTAAAAAGACATGAATAAATGGAGATGTATATAATTTAATTTTTATGAATTGTAAGCCTCAATATTATTAATGTCAGTTCAATCCTAAATTGTATGCAATCCTAATCAAATTATCAGCAAGAGTTTTGGTAGAAATTAACAAGCTGATTTGAAAATATATGTGGAAAGCCAATCTAGAATAGCCAAAACAATTTTGGAAAAGAAGAACAAAATTGGAGCTGTTAACATTATTTTGTTTCAAGCCTTATTATAAAGTTCTAATTATCCAAAAAGGGTGATGTTGGTGAAAGCATATAAACACAGACCATTGAAACAGAATAGACAGTCCAGAAATGGTCCCAAGCATTGTATGGTCAAATGATTTTTTGACCAAGGTCCAAAGACAATTCAGTGAATAAAAAAGTTAATCTTTTCAACAAATGGTGCTAGAATAATTTGATATCAATATGCAAAAATGTCAATCTATACCTTGAATTATATACAAAATTTTTACTTAATGCAGAGTACATGCCTAAATGTAAAACCTAAAACTATAAACTTCTAGAAGGAAACATAAAATATTTTGTAACTTGAGTTAGACAAGGATTACTTACATATGATACCAAAAGCATAATGCATAAAAGAAAGAATCTGATCAATTAGTCTTCACTAAAAATAAAAAGTTTTTGCTTTTCAAAAATCACTGTTAAGAACATGAAAATGCAAGCCTTGAATTGGCAGAAAATATTAGCAAAACTTATAATTGGTAAAGAAGTTGTATCCAGGATATATAAAGAACTCTCAAAACTAATCAAAAAGAAAACAAACTAATAAAGATGAACATAAGATTTGAACAGATACTTTGCCAAAACTTTGAGAGTCTGGGGCTGGAGGATCACTTGAGCCCAGGAGTTTAAAACCAGCCTGGGCAACATGGTGAGACCCCATCTTGCCTCTCCCCCACCACCAAAAAAGATATATTAATGGCACATAAGCATGTGAAAAGATGCAGAACTGATTAATTATTAGGGAAATGCAAATTAAACCTACAATGAGATACAACTACATACCTAATAGAATGGCTAAATTTATTTTTAAAAATTGGCTGTGAGAGTCTTATAGGTTGCTGATGTTGGGAAATGAGTATGGTATTTTCCTATAAAATTAAATATACATTTGCCTTATGACCCAGGAATTACACACACACAAGCACACAAAACCACACACACACACACACACACACCCCTGTGTTTAGAGGGTATGTTTAGAGGGTATTATTGCCAAAAAACTGAAAACAAGCCAAATGTCCTTCAACTATTGGATGAACAAACAAGCTATGGTTTGTCTATGTAATGAATGCACCCAGAAATAAAAAGTAGTGAACTAGTGACACATGCAAAAATATGGATAAATCTCAAAAGCATTATTCTAAGTAAAAGAAACAAGATTCAAAAAACTATATTCTGTATGATTCCGTTTATATGATGTCATACAGCATATGATGAAAGAGCAAACAGAGAGACAAAATAAATCAGTGGTTACTGGAAGGCTAGGATTTTGCAGAGTGACAGACTACACGCAGCATGAGGGACATTTTTGGAGTGATTACATGTTCCATATATTGATGGTGATTGTGGTTACATGACCAAAACCAACTACATCAAAATGTTCCCTGTGTTAGCCCTTCTGAATATACTGCATAGAATCGTAGTGTAATGCATTAATGGAAATGGCTGATTTCACAGGGTATTCCCCAGCATAAAACTTCGGTTTATGTTGATGGAACATCTTTCTCATAGTTGGCTTTTTTTTTACACCAATCTAGATAAGAAATCCCTTTTGGCAAGAGCTCTAAATTTATATTAGGTCAGAATGTTTGGTGACACATTGGAGAATTACAGAACTGGGGCTTCCTTATTATGTAATAAACAAGAAACCCTCAAAGTTCTGAGCATGTAATATTTCTTAAGTATCTTATATTTCTTTTTCTGATAGTCTCCAAACCATCTTTTTCAAATTAGGAAAGCAATGGACACATTACCATTTATCACATATAAAAGCTCCACCAGGAATGGGGGTGGGTTCTTACATGTTTCTAAAACCCAGTTAAGGAAAATGATCACATTTAGAAGAAAGAATGATGGAGACTTCATTCTGTTGCAAAACCACTAGTAAGATCAGCCTCCTATACATGGTCGGGGTCAATAGAAAACAATCAGTTTTCACCTAAAGCCATTTGTTTTTGAACATCCTCATTAATTTTATCTTCTGAAAAGAACTTGGCCATCAAATTTATATCAAATATCAGAAGATTGTCTTTTGGTTTTGAAAGGTGTCTGAGTCACTTAAGAATCACAGGGTTCTGTGCTTGAGGAAGAGCTACTTTGGTGTTGAAAGGTGTCTGAGTCACTTAGGATATGTAGAAAGATGGCTCTTTGCCAGCACATGGGTTATCTAACATCTGAGCAGCCCAAAGTTCATGTTGGCTGTTTGCATTAATCACCATAATTTGACTAACAAGCCTGAAGTGACAGCTCAGCATCAGGATGGCACGAGGGCCACAAACCGAACAAAGAAAAGAATTTAAAAAGGAAGAGTGGTGAAACAGAAATCCCCCATTCCCCTCCATGGCAGTTGAGAATTTCCAAAATGTCAGTAAAAGCATCAACATTTCAAGCAAAAGAGACAGTGAGGGGGAAGCCCAGGTGGGAAGAGCACAATTCCAACTTCATGTTCTCTTATTCATGGCTTTACTTCTTCCTGCAAATCTTAGCCAGTTTCTGACTTTGGGCTGTGGCTCTGTGTGAGGTGTAACCATACCTAGACCCCAGGGTAACATGGTTTCGTTTGCTACGCTGTTCAAGAATCCAGGGGGCTGGGCGCGGTGGCTCACACCTGTAATCCCAGCACTTTGGGAGGTCAAGGTGGGCGGATCACCTGAGGTCAGGAGTTCAAGACCAACCTGGCCAACATGATGAAACCCTGTCTCTACTAAAAATACAAAAATTAGCCTTGCATGGTGGTGCAAACCTGTAGTCCCAGCTACTCAGGAGGCTGAGGCAGGAGAATCACTTGAACACGGGATGCGGAGGTTGCAGTGAACCGAGATCGCGCCACTGCACTCCAGCTTCGCCAACACAGTGAGACTCCGTCTGAAAAAAAAAACAAGAATCCAGGCTGGGCCCATCTGATTGCAAATAGTCAGATTTTGCTGTTTTTCCTTCAAAAAATATAATCATTCTATCTCTAAGACCTGGATAAATTAGAGTTTTTTTATAATTTCATAAAAAATAAAAATGAACATTTTATTTACAAGAAACAGAGTAAAGCTACATCCCTCACCACCACTACCACCCTCCACCACCACACACACACCCAAAGGCATAAAAATAAATGACCATTGAGCACAGATTACTTATTTCTTAAGTAATTCAAGTCAATCGATTGGCTTAATTCCTGGGCAGTTTTTCAACTCAACCTTTTCTCTTTCAGTTTGCCTGAAGTACATCACCTGCCAAGTATTATGGCTATATCTTTTAATGAAGCATGGCCTCCCTGCTTCTTTCGAGTGGTCAACTTAACCTACTGGTCATGTGTTGGCATCCCTCCCTGAAATCAAGGAGCTTCTCCAAAAATTCTCTCCCATTTCCTGAACTGAGTTCCACAGAATACTATTTCCATGGAATGTCATTTGTGTTTAAAAACAACAACAACAAAAGGTTTATGTGGTGAGATGAGATGAGCAAATATTCATTTGTGAGAATCTGTTTTGAACAAACTTAAACAAAAAGCAGGACTCCTCAGAACCTTTCATATGTGTGTGTGCCTTGTGAATCTCCACAAGCAAATACGGCATACAAGGTTTCCCGAACTTACTTGACAAAGGAGCTCATTTAATTCTCTCATTCACAATACCTACTGTTTCATATAATACAGTTTGGGAATTTCTGTCAACCTCATAATTTCTTTTTCTAATAACAGGAAAGACTACTTCCAGTTCTAAAAATCCAACACTATATTTCATCCCCTGGTCAGAATCCCACCACCAGCTCCTAGCTGATTTGCTGACCAGGTGTAAGTGGCACAACTGGATTCCAACCTCTCCTGCCTGAGTTTACCACTGTCTCATCTCTTCAGGTGCTAGAGATGCGTCTTTTATAGAGAGTAGATTTTTGAAATTGGATTCATCACAGTTATATTTTATGATTACTTCACACATATGATAACACCAAAAAGAATGTGCTCTCACATCACCCCAAGTTAATTCATAGCCCAGGGGTATATAATGTTATCTCCCCTACCAGATAGTCAGCATGTACCCTTCTGCTCCCTCTTAACAAACTAAGTCTTTAAATCTGTTTCTTAGTGAGTAGCCATAACACATCATAAAGGATCCCGGATATTTAATGAGATAAAAATAGATATGACTATACTTTTCTTTCAAGCCATAGCTAGTCTTCTTGTTCATAAAATAAAGCCTCATTTAGTGGCTGGTGCCTGTAATCTTAGCACTTTGGGATGCCGAGGTGGGCGGATTGCTTGAGCTCAGGAGTCCAAGACCAGCCTGAGCAACATAGCAAGACCTCATCACTATTTAAAATAACAACAACAACAACAACAAAACCTTTATTTAAAAGGAAAATAGTTTCTCTTTACAACTATATATCTATCTGATAACTTTTGATTTCTGAAAACAAGAAAATATAGTGATATACTGCCCTTTTGATTGCTATTTGAACATTATTTCAGTTTTCTTCAAAAGTAAGAATAGCTGGGTGCGGTGGCTCATGTCTGTAATCCCAGCACTTTAGGAGGCCGAGGCGGGTGGATCACGAGGTCAGGAGTTCGAGGCCAGCTTAACCAACATGGTGAAACCCCCGTCTCTACTAAAAATACAAAAATTACCCAGGTATGGTAGCACCTGCCTGTAATCCCAGCTACTCAGGAGGCTGAGGTAGGAGAATCGATTGAACCCAGGAGCAGAAGTTGCAGTGAGTCGAGGTCGTGCCACTGCACTCCAGCCCGGGTGACAGAGCGAGACTTTGTCTCAAAAAAAAAAAAAAAAAAAGTAAGAATAAATTCAATTTGGAGAAGCATTTATTTTGATTAAGTCAAAAAATTCTGTACATATCTTATTCTGTGTGTGTGTTAAGTGTGGGTTCTTAGCATTTGGAAGAAAACAAAGATTGCTGAGGGTAGGAGGAGGTGTCTCCTGTTTTCACAGAGATTTCAATGCTTGAGTCATCCTTGTCATTTTCAAACTCAACTGCTTAAAACTGAGTCACAGGGGTGGGGTGAAGTGGGGATTAAACTGAGTTTTGAAATAAATCTAACAACTGCAATAGGTAGTCACCCACAACAGTCACCCAAGGAGGCCACCTCACACATTGCTCCCTCATATACATTTTCTGGTTCTTTTCCATCACTCCCTGGAAAGAATGTGTTAGGCTGTGTTCACTTCCCAAACATGCCCTCTCCTCTTGGAAATGACGTGGTTACTAGCAAAACAACTCTAAATATTTGGACTTTTATAGCTTACCACCAATATATCCTGAGGTTTTCCATATGGAACAATAGTTAACTTATTAAAACCGTTGGAATAAAAATCAACCATTTTTTATTCTTATATCTCTGCATTATTGTGAGGAATAAATGAGTTGGTATTTGTAGGATAATTTGAGTAGGGCTTAACACAGAGTGTGTGTACTTAGTAAATGTAAATAATAAATGTCAGCTATTACTACTACTATCACTACTTCTACTATTACCATTGCTATCAGTGCCTCATTCAATCTCAGAGTGTTTCCTTGAAAATTAGACCTGTGAAGTGTGTTTTAGAACCCTGCTTCTCAAAGTGTAGTTCACACGGTCTGCAGACCAGCAGTGGCAGTATTACCAGGTAGCTTGTCAGAAACACAGAATCTTTAGTTCCTTCCCAGATCTACAGAACCAGAACTTGTGTTTTAACAAGATCCATAGATTGTTCATATATACATTAATATTTGAAAAGCACTCAGACAGCAGAATATTCTGGCTAATGGGATATACAGATTATCAATTCTCAAAGACTTCAAACAAGAATACAGCAAAAGAAACTTACTCTTCTAAATTCTGAGGGACAAACCTGAGACACCAGAGGTCTGCTTAAATGCCCTGTATTCTCAGGACACTCGTTGCTAAGAAGGGAGAACTGAAAGAATGAAGGCATGGTTATCACTAGTGCTTATTGACTATCGGACAGTTCATCTTGTATATTTCTTTGGCACCTCAAATATAATATGTCCAAAATCAAACTCCTGGACTCTGTATTAGGTTGGATTTTCCAGACACACATGCTGAAATAAAGATTCCTGTGACAGTGATTTATTAGAAATGTTTCCAGAAAAATCTAGTAAGGAAGAGGAGAAGTGGAACTGGAAGAGAAAGAAGCTAAGTAAGGAAGAAATGTCCAGTGAAAGCCTGTGGGGAAGGAGAAGTAATTGTGATTCAGTCACTCAGGGGACTCTGGAGATAGTGTAAGTCCTAGCAACACAAAGTGTGGTCTGTACACCGGCAGGTCGACATCACTAGAAAACATGCTAGATGTGCAAAATCTCAGACCCCACACTAGTTCTACCAAATTGAAATACGCATTTTAATACAATCCTCCAAGTGATTCATAGGAGTGTTAAAATTTGAAAAATACTGGTATATTTCATTATATCAAAGCAGTTCTAACTAGGAGCAAAGATGGTGAAGTATTTATATTCCATCGCTGTGTCAGTCTTTGGTTAAGGGCTGGTCCCAGAGTCCTTAATTTCCTTAGTAAATTCCCTTCCACTTTCTGCCCTCTGTGCATGCAGGCAAAGGAGTTTAAGCAGGCTGAGGTCAGCCCCTGGCAAGGAGACCCAGGATCTGGCTGCGCTCAAGTGTTGGTTAAGAGTGAAAACACACCAGGAACTTGTATGCAGGGAACTGATCTAGAAATCCTAGGAGATTAGAGGCAGAAAACAAACAAGGCTTGCTAGTCTCCATTTACCTTTTTCCTCATTCTGCTCCTTCTCTGGTCTTTTCTAGCACATACATTCTTTGCCATCCATAGAACTCTGAGATCACTTTCTCTCACTTTCCAAGACCAATAGGGGACCAGTCCTCTCAGGTCTATCTCTACAAGGGTTCTCAAATCTGTCCTCCATTCTCCATCACCCTGCCACTGCCCAAGTTCAGAGCTATGGTATCTCAGACCATCACATTCCCTTTCTAAGTGCCCTCAACCCCACATTGTGTCTGCTACCTGCACACGTCTTTCAAGTTGAACATCCCCTGCTCTTCCATGCCTTTCCTAATTCTTCCAGAATTGGCCATTCTAACTTCCCATAGCAGCATTTTTGGTGTATTCTTCAAATGAAGCTGGAATGTTCTTCAAGTGAAGCATTTGTCTTATTATTGCTATTTTTAGTCATTTATAAGATCTGTCTACCCAGATAGATTCTGAACTGCTTGAAGATAATGTGATGGCACTTCCTGTGCTTAGCACATAGTAGGTGTTTAATGAATGCATATTAAATAATGAGATTATTGATTCAAAAGTGTTTTTTAAGTACTTGAGCCTATGGGCAGGTGCTTTGAATCTAAACTTAAATTTAATAAACTTCTCAAGGATACAAATGCTGAATGAAATGAAAAGGAGATGAATAAGAGATGTTATACATAACCCTTTCAAGCTTTCCAATAGATGATACCTTGCTCATTTGTCACTTAGCAGATTCTCTCTGCTGCTTTGGAAAAATGTAATTGTAATCTCTTTTTTTTTTTTTTTTTTGCAATTTAATCATTCATTTATTCATTAAGCATTTCTTGATTTGTTCTATGTGTCAGATTTCTTTTTTTTTATTTTTTTTAATTATACTTTAAGTTTTAGCATACATGTGCACATTGTGCAGGTTAGTTACATATGTATACATGTGTAATTTGTAATCTTTAATGCAAACAATTTTCTCAAGAATTGGTCACACTAGTTTGACAAAAGCACAGAACAGCTACGGTCAATCACTGTTTCTTATTTTAGCTATTAGACACTAATTTTCATATCCATTGCAGAATTGAAACTGTTTTTCAAATACAAGTCTTGAGAATAAATGCTGTTTACTTTTACTAATATCATTCCAGAACAAATGGAACATTTGTAACTTGAGTAATTAGCATCTGATCCGTTCTTTCTAAATTGTGAGCATCTCCCTCTCTCTCTCTGCTAGTGCTCTCTCTCTCTCTCTCTGGTTTAATTAATGCTAATGCATACTGCCCTACAAGAATTTGCAAGCTGTACTGAGAAATAATGCAGTGTTAGTTTTGTAATTTAGTGCACAGAGCACATTTGTGCAAAAGCTTTGTAAACTGGGCCCGTGGTCAAAAGGAGCAATTAGCACTTTGTTAGTATGCAATGATGTACTAATCTGTGCAGTCCCCAAAAGCAATTGTCTGTTCCATTTTGCCCTCATGTGCAAATTTTTTCCAGTGTATACAGCACTACTCCAAAAATAACACATTGCCTGCCTGGTGCTATAAATTGGATTCATGATGATGAAGACATATCAATTAGAAATATCTTCTGGGGGGAAAATGTACATGAGTTTGGTCCTACAGTTTTTAGCAAAATGAGGAAGTTGATGCATAGCCTTGACAAGGAGCTATAGTTTTCTGTTCCTCACTCAAATTTCACAAACGAAATTGTTTTCATCTTTATAGAAAGACTATAAGATGGGCATTTTGTGGGAAAACAAGATCTCAAACCAGAGTAGTTAAACCCAGAATCACACGGATGTCGATTTCATTAACACAACAGGACTGATTTGCATTTAAACAGATGCCATCCGTTCCTTTATTTAAATAGCACATAGGAAACATAAGAATTTTGTGCATTCTTTGGACTTCTCAAGTTCTTAGTAAAGCACATGATTATGTCAGTTGAACAATAAAAACAACAATAATACCTTGCATTTTTAGAACGATTCTCAGTTTTCCTAAGGTATTTCAGGTACACTGGCTCATTTGAGTCTCACCACACATCTGTGGGTAGGCATTTTCATCACCACTTTGCTGATGTGGAATCATGGGTTCAGAGGTTGAGTGACTTGTATAAAATCACCCAGGAGGCAGTATTGTATAGTAATTCAAAGCATGAGCTTTGAGGCCAGGCTATCTGAAGGCAAATTTCAACTCTGCTTCTGTCTGGCATGAGACTTTGGCTTAACCCTTCTGCACACGTTTCCACAATCTGTAAAATTGTAATGATAATTATACAGTAGGTCCTCATTTAACATTATCTATAGGTTCTTGAATACTGTGACTTTAAGGGAAATGACATGTAACAAAACAAATTTTACCATAGGCTAATTGATAGAAACAAGAGTTAAGTTACTACAGCATATTTCAGGTCACAAAAACACTACCAAACTTCTAACTAAAGATAAAATCACAAATCATGAGCGAACTCCCATTCACAATTGCAACAAAGAAAATAAAATACCTAGGAATACAACTTATAAGGGACGTGAAGGACCTCTTCAAGGAAAACTACAAATCACTGCTCAAGGAAATAAGAAAGGACACAAATAAATGGAAAAACATTTCATGCTCATGGATAGGAAGAATCAGTATCATGAAGATGACCATACTGCCCAAAGTAATTTACAGATTCAGTGCTATCCCCATCAAGCTACCATTGACTTTCTTCACAGAATTAGAAAAAACTACTTTAAATTTCATATGGAAACAAAAAAGAGCCCATATAGCCAAGACAGTCCTAAGCAAAAAGAACAAAGCTGGAGGCATCGTGCTAACTGACTTCAAACAATACTACAAGGGTACAGTAACCAAAACAGCATGGTATTGGTACCAAAACAGAGATATAGACCAATGGAACAGAACAGAGGACTCAGAAATAACACCACATATCTACAACTATCTGATCTTTGACAAACCTGACAAAAACAAGCAATGGGGAAAGGATTCCCTATTTAATAAATGGTGTTGGGAAAACAGGCTAGGCATATGCAGAAAACTGAAACTGTACCCTTTCCTTACACCTTATACAAAAAGTAACTCAAGATGGATTAAAGACTTAAATGAAAGACCTAAAACCATAAAACCCTAGAAGGAAACCTAGGCAATACCATTCAGGACATAGGCATGGGAAAAGACTTCATTACTAAAACACCAAAGTAATGGCAACAAAAGCCAAAATTGACAAATGAGATCTAATTAAACTAAACAACTTCTGCACAGCAAAAGAAACTATCATCAGAGTGAACAGGCAATCTACAGAATGGGAGAAAATTTTTGCAATCTATCCATCTGACAAATGGCTAATATCCAGAATCTACAAAGAACTTAAACAGATTTGCAAGAAAAAAACAAACAACCCCATCAAAAAGTGGACGAAGGATATGAACAGACACTTCTCAAAAGAAGACATTTATGTGGCCAACAAACATATGAATAAAAGCTCATCTTCACTGGTCATTAGATAAATGCAAATCAAAACCACAATGATATACCATCTTATACCAGTTAGAATGGTGATCATTAAAAAATCAGGAAACAACAGATGCTGGAGAGGATGTGGAGAAATAGAAATGCTTACCGGAGAGGAGCCAAGATGGCCGAATAGGCACAGCTCCGGTCTACAGCTCCCAGCGTGAGCGACGCAGAAGATGGGTGATTTCAGCATTTCCATCTGAGGTACCGGTTTCATCTCACTAGGGAGTGCCAGACAGTGGGCGCAGGTCAGTGGGTGCGTGCACCGTGCGCAAGCCGAAGCAGGGCGAGGCATTGCCTCACTCGGGAAGCGCAAGGGGTCAGGGAGTTCCCTTTCCGAGTCAAAGAAAGGGGTGATGGACGGCACCTGGAAAATTGGGTCACTCCCACGCGAATACTGCGCTTTTCCGACAGGCTTAAAACAAGGCGCATCACGAGATTATACCCCGCACCTGGCTCGGAGGGTCCTACGCCCACGGAGTCTCGCTGATTGCCAGCACAGCAGTCTGAGATCAAACTGCAAGGCGGCAGCGAGGCTGGGGGAGGGGCGCCCGCCATTGCCCAGGCTTGATTAGGTAAACAAAGCAGCCGGGAAGCTCGAACTGGGTGGAGCCCACCACAGCTCAAGGAGGCCTGCCTGCCTCTGTAGGCTCCACCTCTGGGGGCAGGGCACAGACAAACAAAAAGACAGCAGTAACCTCTGCAGACTTAAATGTCCCTGTCTGACAGCTTTGAAGAGAGCAGTGGTTCTCCCAGCACTCAGCTGGAGATCTGAGAACGGGCAGACTGCCTCCTCAAGTGGGTCCCTGACCTCTGACCCCCGAGCAACCTAACTGGGAGGCACCCCCCAGCAGGGGCACACTGACACCTCACACGGCAGGGTATTCCAACAGACCTGCAGCTGAGGGTCCTGTCTGTTAGAAGGAAAACTAACAAACAGAAAGGACATCCACACCAAAAACCCATCTGTACATCACCATCATCAAAGACCAAAAGTAGATAAAACCACAAAGATGGGGAAAAAACAGAACAGAAAAGCTGGAAACTCTAAAAAGCAGAGTGCCTCTCCTCCTCCAAAGGAACGCAGTTCCTTACCAGCAATGGAACAAAGCTGGATGGAGAATGACTTTGACGAGTTGAGAGAAGAAGGCTTCAGACGATCAAATTACTCTGAGCTACGGGAGGACATTCAAACCAAAGGCAAAGAAGTTGAAAACTTTGAAAAAAATTTAGAAGAATGTATAAGTAGAATAACCAATACAGAGAAGTGCTTAAAGGAGCTGATGGAGCTGAAAACCAAGGCTCGAGAACTACATGAAGAATGCAGAAGCCTCAGGAGCCGATGCGATCAACTGGAAGAAAGGATATCAGCGATGGAAGATGAAATGAATGAAATGAAGTGAGAAGGGAAGTTTAGAGAAAAAAGAATAAAAAGAAATGAGCAAAGCCTCCAAGAAATATGGGACTATGTGAAAAGTCCCATCTGATTGGTGTACCTGAAAGTGATGGAGAGAATGGAACCAAGTTGGAAAACACTCTGCAGGATATTATCCAGGAGAACTTCCCCAATCTAGCAAGGCAGGCCAACATTCAGATTCAGGAAATACAGAGAACGCCACAAAGATACTCCTCGAGAAGAGCAACTCCAAGACACATAATTGTCAGATTCACCAAAGTTGAAATGAAGGAAAAAATGTTAAGGGCAGCCAGAGAGAAAGGTCGGGTTACCCTCAAAGGAAAGCCCATCAGACTAACAGCGGATCTCTCGGCAGAAACCCTACAAGCCAGAAGAGAGTGGGGGCCAATATTCAACATTCTTAAAGAAAAGAATTTTCAACCCAGAATTTCATATCCAGCCAAACTAAGCTTCATAAGTGAAGGGGAAATAAAATACTTTACAGACAAGCAAATGCTGAGAGATTTTGTCACCACCAGGCCTGCCCTAAAAGAGCTCCTGAAGGAAGCACTAAATATGGAAAGGAACAACCAGTACCAGCCGCTGCAAAATCATGCCAAAATGTAAAGACCATCGAGACTAGGAAGAAACTGCATCAACTAACGAGCAAAATAACCAGCTAACATCATAATGACAGGATCAAATTCACACATAACAATATTAACTTTAAATGTAATTGGACTAAATGCTCCAATTAAAAGACACAGACTGGCAAATTGGATAAAGAGTCAAGACCCATCAGTGTGCTGTATTCAGAAAACCCATCTCACGTGCAGAGACACACATAGGCTCAAAATAAAAGGATGGAGGAAGATCTACCAAGCAAATGGAAAACAAAAGAAGGCGGGGGTTGCAATCCTAGTCTCTGATAAAACAGACTTTAAACCAACAAAGATCAAAAGAGACAAAGAAGGCCATTACATAATGGTAAAGGGATCAATTCAACAAGAAGAGCTAACTATCCTAAATATATATGCATGCAATACAGGAGCACCAAGATTCATAAAGCAAGTCCTGAGTGACCTACAAAGAGACTTAGACTCCCACACATTAATAATGGGAGACTTTAACACCCCACTGTCAATATTAGACAGATCAACGAGACAGAAAGTCAACAAGGATACCCAGGAATTGAACTCAGCTCTGCACCAAGCAGACCTAATAGACATCTACAGAACTCTCCACCCCAAGTCAACAGAATATACATTTTTTTCAGCACCACACCACACCTATTCCAAAATTGACCACATACTTGGAAGTAAAGCTCTCCTCAGCAAATGTAAAAGAACAGAAATTATAACAAACTATCTCTCAGACCACAGTGCAATCAAACTAGAACTCAGGATTAAGAATCTCACTCAAAACTGCTCAACTACATGGAAACTGAACAACCTGCTCCTGAATGACTACTGGGTACATAACGAAATGAAGGCAGAAATAAAGATGTTCTTTGAAACCAACGAGAACAAAGACACAACATACCACAATCTCTGGGACGCATTCAAAGCAGTGTGTAGAGGGAAATTTATAGCACTAAATGCCCACAAGAGAAAGCAGGAAAGATCCAAAATTGACACCCTAACATCACAATTAAAAGAACTAGAAAAGCAAGAGCAAACACATTCAAAAGCTAGCAGAAGGCAAGAAATAACTAAAATCAGAGCAGAACTAAAGGAAATAGAGACACAAAAAACCCTTCAAAAAATTAATGAATCCAGGAGCTGGTTTTTTGAAAGGATCAACAAAATTGATAGACTGCTAGCAAGACTAATAAAGAAAAAAAGAGAGAGGAATCAAATAGACACAATAAAAAATGATAAAGGGGATATCACCACAGATCCCACAGGAATACAAACTACCATCAGAGAATACTACAAACACCTCTATGCAAATAAACTGGAAAGTCTAGAAGAAATGGATAAATTCCTCAACACATACACTCTCCCAAGACTAAACCAGGAAGAAGTTGAATCTCTGAATAGACCAACAACAGGATCCGAAATTGTGGCAATAATCAATAGCTTACCAACAAAAAAGAGTCAAGGACCAGATGGATTCACAGCCGAATTCTACCAGAGGTACAAGCAGGAACTGGTACCATTCCTTCTGAAACTATTCCAATCAATAGAAAAAGAGGGAATCCTCCCTAACTCATTTTATGAGGCCAGCATCATTCTGATACCAAAGCCAGGCAGAGACAGAACCAAAAAAGAGAATTTTAGACCAATATCCTTGATGAACATTGATGCAAAAATCCTCAATAAAATACTAGCAAACCGAATCCAGCAGCACATCAAAAAGCTTATCCACCATGATCAAGTGGGCTTCATCCCTGGGATGCAAGGCTCGTTCAATATACGCAAATCAATAAATGTAATCCAGCATATAAACAGAACCAAAGACAAAAACCACATGATTATCTCAATAGATGCAGAAAAAGCCTTTGACAAAATTCAACAACCCTTCATGCTAAAAACTCTCAATAAATTAGGTATTGATGGGATGTATTTCAAAATAATAAGAGCTATCTATGACAAACCCACAGCCAATATCATACTGAATGGGCAAAAACTGGAAGCATTCCCTTTGAGAACTGGCACAAGACAGGGATGCCCTCTCTCACCACTCCTATTCAACATAGTGTTGGAAGTTCTGGCCAGGGCAATTAGGCAGAAGAAGGAAATAAAGGGTATTCAATTAGGAAAAGAGGAAGTCAAATTGTCCCTGTTTGCAGATGACATGATTGTATATCTAGAAAACCCCATCGTCTCAGCCCAAAATCTCCTTAAGCTGATAAGCAACTTCAGCAAAGTCTCAGGATACAAAATCAATGTACAAAAATCACAAGCATTCTTATACACCAACAACAGACAAACAGAGAGCCAAATCATGAGTGAACTCCCATTCACAATTGCTTCAAAGAGAATAAAATACCTAGGAATCCAACTTACAAGGGATGTGAAGGATCTCTTCAAGGAGAACTACAAACCACTGCTCAATGAAATAAAAGAGGATACAAACAAATGGAAGAACATTCCATGCTCATGGGTAGGAAGAATCAATATCGTGAAAATGGCCATACTGCCCAAGGTAATTTACAGATTCCATGCCATCCCCATCAAGCTACCAATGCCTTTCTTCACAGAATTGGAAAAAACTACTTTAAAGTTCATATGGAACCAAAAAAGAGCCCACATCGCCAAGTCAATCCTAAGCCAAAAGAAGAAAGCTGGAGGCATCACGCTACCTGACTTCAAACTATACTACAAGGCTACAGTAACCAAACAGCATGGTACTGGTACCAAAACAGAGATATAGATCAATGGAACAGAACAGAGCCCTCAGAAATAATGCCGCATATCTACAACTATCTGATCTTTGACAAACCTGAGAAAAACAAACAATGGGGAAAGGATTCCCTATTTAATAAGTGGTGCTGGGAAAACTGGCTAGCCATATGTAGAAAGCTGAAACTGGATCCCTTCCTTACACCTTACACAAAAATCAATTCAAGATGGATTAAAGACTTAAATGTTAGACCTAACACCATAAAAACCCTAGAAGAAAACCTAGGCATTACCATTCAGGACATAGGCATGGGCAAGGACTTCATGTCTAAAACACCAAAAGCAATGGCAACAAAAGACAAAATTGACAAATGGGATCTAATTAAACTAAAGAGCTTCTGCACAGCAAAAGAAACTACCATCAGAGTGAACAGGCAACCTACAAAATGGGAGAAAAGTTTCGCAACCTACTCATCTGACAAAGGGCTAATATCCAGAATCTACAATGAACTCAAACAAATTCACAAGAAAAAAACAAACAACCCCATCAAAAAGTGGGCGAAGGACATGAACAGACACTTCTCAAAAGAAGACATTTATGCAGCCAAAAAACACATGAAAAAATGCTCACCATCACTGGCCATCAGAGAAATGCAAATCAAAACCACAATGAGATACCATCTCACACCAGTTAGAATGGCAATCATTAAAAAGTCAGGAAACAACAGGTGCTGGAGAGGATATGGAGAAATAGGAACACTTTTACACTGTTGGTGGGACTGTAAACTAGTTCAACCATTGTGGAAGTCAGTGTGGCGACTGGATTCCTCAGGGATCCAGTACTAGAAATACCATTTGACCCAGCCATCCCATTACTGGGTATATACCCAAAGGACTATAAATCATGCTTCTATAAAGACACATGCACACATATGTTTATTGAGGCATTATTCACAATAGCAAAGACTTGGAACTAACCCAAATGTCCACCAATGATAGACTGGATTAAGAAAATGTGGCACATATATACCATGGAATACTATGCAGCCATAAAAAATGATGAGTTCATGTCCTTTGTAGGGACATGGATGAAATTGGAAATCATCATTCTCAGTAAACTATCGCAAGAACAAAAAACCAAACACCACATATTCTCACTCATTGGTGGGAATTGAACAATGAGATCACATGGATACAGGAAGGGGAATATCACACTCTGGGGACTGTTGTCAGGTGGGGGGGAGTGGGGAGGGATAGCATTGGGAGATATACCTAATGCTAGATGACAAGTTAGTGGGTGCAGCTCACCAGCATGTCACATGTATACATATGTAACTAACCTGCACAATGTGCACATGTACCCTAAAACTTATAATAATAAAAATAAATAAATAAAATAGAAATGCTTTTACGTTTTTGGTAGGAGTGTAAATTAGTTCAACCATTGTGGAAGACAGGTGGCAATTCCTTAAGGATCTAGAACCAGAAATACCATTAGACCTAGCAATTCCATCACCGGATATATACCCAAAGGATTATAAATCATTCTACTATAAAGACACATGCAGACTTATGTTTATTGTGGCACTGTTCACAATAGCAAAGACTTGGAACCAACCCAAATGCCCATCAATGATAGACTGGATAAAGAAAATGTGGCACATATACACCATGGCATACTATGCAGCCATAAAAAGGATGAGTTCATGTCCTTTGCAGGGACGTGGATGATGCTGGAAACTATCATTCTCAGCAAACTAACACAAGAATAGAAAACCAAATGCCACATGTTCTCACTCATAAGTGGTAGTTGAACAGTGAGAACACATGGACACAGGGAGGGGAACATCACACACTGTGGCCTCTCGGGGGTGGGGGGCTAGGGGCGGGGTAGCATTAGGAGAAATACCTAATGTAGATGATGGGTTGATGGGTGCAGAAAACCACCGTGGCACATGTATACCTGTGTAACAAACCTGCACGTGCTGCACATGTATCCCAGATTTAAGGTTAATAAAAAAGATAAAAACACTTCTAATATATATTTTTTATTTTATTTTACTTTAAGTTCTAGGATGCTTGTGCAGGACGTGCAGGTTTGTTACATAGGTATACATGTGCCATGGTGGTTTGCTGTACCCATTAACCCATCATCTAGATAACACTTCTAATATTAAACATTGAGATAAATGTGAGATATACATACATTCAAGAAAGATTAATAAAAATGAATAAGATAATTATTTGCCCAATTATTTCAGTTCAGGGTCATAGGCAGGTGGAGCCTATCCCAGCAGCGCAGGGCTCAACGAAGGAACCCCCACTCTGGACAGGATGGCATTCCCTTGCAGGGCACACTTGCACACACCCATGTCCACTCAGGCAGGGGCAACCGAGACATCCCGTTATCTAATGTGCACATACTTGGGATGTGAAAGGAAACCGGAGTACCCAGAGAAAACCCACACAGACATGGAGCAGATGTGCAAACTCCACACAGACAGTGTCATCAGCTGGGAATGGGTAGAATAATTATGTTGCTCAAGTACCTGTCTCAAGGGGTTATTGTGAGACTTACATATAAAGCACTTAAAATACAAATATGGGCAATATATGAATTATCCATTATTATTGTTATAATTATTTAGCATATAGTAAGTGACACAGGTAAGACTTATTCTCAGATGTGAGGACTTTCAAAGGTATCTAGTAAATATAACCATTTTTTCCTTTTCAAGGACCTATTTTTCAGACTATCAAAAGCATCAAACATATTTTTGAAGATGAAAGAGAGTTTAAGGGGAAATTAATGCTATTCAACTTAAGGAAAAGCTATTAAAGAGATAGTGAATATTGTTCTTTATTATCATCAAAGAATGCTATAATGAATTAGTAATAAGCTGAAACATGAATTTGATTTGACATAAAGAAATAGTTCTGATAGTGGAGAAGAAGAGATTTCTTAGGGAGTGTAGTAGATTGCAAAAATAACCACAATCCAGCACCTCTCTTTGTATCAGTGGCTCTAGAAGGCCATTTTGCAGCTCCTGCTATCAAGAGGTGGAGCCTGTGTTCCTACCTGATTCTAGGATATCTTGTGCCTTGCTTCAGCAAATAGAATGTAGTGGAAGTAATGGTGTGCTAGTTCTGCGTCTAGGACCCGAGACTTTATAGCTTCTGCTCTTCCTCTTGAAATACTGCCCAGTTAGCATGAGCTAGCCTGCTGGAGTTTAAGAGAGAGTCCTTGTCCCAGGCAACAGCCAGCAAACCCAAGAGGCAGTCATCTAACTTACTGGCAACTGATTGCAGGTATATTAGCAAGTTCAGCTGAGTCCAGAAGAACCATCCAGCTGAGCCCAGGCAAAATTGCTATCCCACAGAAATATGAGCAAAATAAATACATGTATTTTTAATCTGCCACATTTTGAGGTAGTTTGTTATGCAGAGAAAGCTAAATATCTGTAGGAGACTATGGCATTTTTGACCTTAAAAATCCTGGAAGACAGCATAGGTATCTCCCAGTGGAATCTATTTAGGAAAAAAACTATATGGGACAACAAGAGGAAATAGGAGACTTTAGAGGATTTGTTCCAACACACATACTTCTCTAAGTTTGTGAAATGAAGGTTTAAACTTCAGCTAGAGAGTTATTTTCCATTTGAAAGGAAACGGCATGATCTTTCATTCATGCATTCAGTAATCAGCATTGTTGAGGAGCTACTCTGTGCCAGATGCTAAGAAAATGAAGTGGTCTCTTTCCTAGAAAAAAATAAAAATTGTGGCAAATGTAATTTTGACTCTACTTGGTTTGCTATATATTATTAAAAATCAAGTTTTTAAAAGAAAGATTGCATTTCCATAGTAGTCATGTAAGCTTAATGATGATATTACATGAAAAGCAAATAAGTTACAAAGATTTTTTAGAGCACATTCAAATAGTTTATATATCATAAATGTAACAATACCTACTTGTAAAAATTTGAAATCTAGAACAGGCATTTAAGCAGAGGTCAGGCTGTTTCATCATTTGATATTCAATACAAGTTGGTAGAGCAACTCCGAACCCTGACACTCAACTTTTACCAAAGTCTGCGTGCCAGTCAACATTTCCTGTCATACAAGTCTGACACATCAAGTCTGGGCTATCTTATTATTTTTCTTCTTTTTGGTATTTGGTTACCATAATTTTACTGTAATCCTCATTTTCAAGAAATTCTTCCTCCTTTACACTTGCTTTTTTCCCTCTGTATTTGTCAGCTGTGCCACTGCCCCTCTCTCCTCTGGTCTTGGCAGTGGTGAGCTTTTCAACTGCAGCACCATGCTGGTTTGGGGACCAATACCCTTACGTTTGGGGTAGTAGGATGGTACAAAGCCCTCTCAGATTTCTTACAGAAATCTGAGGTTTCATATGGGACGTTTCATTCTCTTATAGTTGCAAAACACTTTTTCAATTTTTCTCAGTTGCCTGGAGCATAGTACATAATCCACAGTGGTCTCTCTTTCATTCATTCACTTGTTCATTAACTCAACAAATAAATATTGAGGTTGGCAATGTGCTGGGCTTGGAAGATACAAATGTGAGCTAAATATTAACTTGAATTCTGTCCTCAAGGAACTCACAGTCTAGTGTGAGAGAGAAAACTTTGTCAAACGGTTATAAAAACAAGTGTAAAATTGCCTGTAGGACAAGTGCCACCTGGTATATGAGTATTTTATAATAGCTGAGGACAGAACATGCTTCCCTAGGAAATATCACTTGAAGTGAAATATGAAGCCTGTGTAGTAAGCAAATAGGAGAAGAATGCAAAATAATACAACATGGAACGAGCAGAGAAAACTGTGAGTGCAGACACTGTGGCAGGAAGAGGCATAAAGATTTGGGACTACAAGGCAGTCAGAGTGGCTGGGATACAGAAAGTCCCAGTGAAAATGTGTGTGGGATGAGGAGGCAGAAAAAGGTGGAACAAAACTGGGTAGGCTTTGGTAAGGAATTTTACCTGTATCTTGAATGAAGAGAAAAACCAGTGAAGGGTCTTGTAGGGTACCAACATGGGTAGAGTGGCATTTTTAAAAGATTATTTTGGCTACAGTAGGCTGTAAGAACACACTGAGCTTCTGTTCCATAAGAAATTCCCCAAAAGAAATCATACGCAAGCCACAGCTGAATATTTAGACCAAGGAATGAGAAGGAGGAGCAGGTGGAAGTGGTCTAACAGAAGACAAAAACCAGTATTAGGCTAGAAAAGAAAGTAATCAGGATACTTTGGCCTCTAGTTGTAGGACCCACATTCTGGGTAGGTTTTTTTGTTTTTGTTTTGAGACAGAGTCTCACTCTGTCACCCAGGCTGGAGTGCAGTAGCGAGATCTTGGCTCACTGCAACTTCCACCTCCAGGGTTCAAGTGATTCTCCTGCCTCAGCCTCCCGAGTATCTGGGATTACAGGCACGCACCACCACATCCGGCTAATTTTTTGTATTTTTAGTAGAGGTGGGGTTTCGCCATGTTGGCCAGGCTGGTCTCAAAATCCTGACCTCAGGTGATCCACCTATCTCAGCCTCCCAAAGTGCTGGGATAACGGGCGTGAGCCACCATGCCCGGCCAGGGTGGTTTGTTAAACATGCAGATTCCAAGGCCCCTTGCCACAGCTTCTGAGTCAGAATCTGTAGGAGATGAAACTCGGGAATCTGTCTTGGTGTTTCAAGTCGACCATGACTAAAAATTATATTGTCTAAGGCATGCAGGTAAATGAAAAATGATGACGTTGAAATTATTCAAAATCCCATGAACTCCTCCACGTGAGATCTGAGCAAATAGGAAGAAGGAAAGGCACAGATACAATGAAACAACATTAGACATGGGTTTTCTTCCAGGCTTAGTCATGGCAGCTCCCTGTGCCCTGAGGTTTGTCCCTGGACCCCTCTGCCTGTTTTCTCATCTGCACCACACTGCCAAAGCCCCTTCCAGCTGTTAATGCTAAATTCTAAACTGAAGCATCTATGTTGATTCCCACCTTGCCTACAAAGTGATGTCAGGTATTTACCTTCATTTTATTCTGATTACCAATTGAGACTTGTTCATAATACTTTAAATTAGGGTTAGCAAATTATTCCCTGTGGGTCAAACTCAGCCTGTCCCCTGATTTTGTATGGCCCAGGAGCTAAAAATGGTTTTACATTTTTAATGACTGAAAAGAATCAAAAGAAGACTTATTTTACGATGCAATAACAGTATATGAAATTCAAATTCAGTGTCCACAAAGAAAGTTTTATTGGAACACACAGCCATACTCATTCACATATGGCTGATTTTGCTCCATACATAATTCACAAGGTCAGTAGTTGTGATAGAGACCATCTGGTCCACAAAATCTAAAAATTACAATTTTTTTTTAACAGAAAAAGTTTCTGACTCATGTTTTACATTAACCTCTCAGCCTTTTTGGTTAAACCACTGATAAATTGCCAAGCTTCTCTGAAGCAAATAATTAAATTGAAATGCAAATAATTGTCTCACAATTTAAATATTTTATAAATTTGACTTTTCATGCTGAATCTTCTCAAAACCTTTATATTTTTGTCTTATGACTTTTTGTATTCTAACTTACTGTTATTCAGGTGAATCAGAAATGTATGGCTTCATAAAGGATCTAACATAATTATCAGTCCACTGTACATTGCCTAGGCTTCTGTAGAAACATATCAAATTAATAAGACATAATCTACATATAGTCTCTACTTCAATTCTAATTGACTTATCGAAAACAGAATTAATTACTTTTGGCTTCAAACCCATCTCTTAGTCTTCCATTCTGGGTTAATACTGTACGTTTGAATGATAACATTTTATGAATATGAAAAATGCTTTTGAAAACAGTAAAAATCAGATAATTCACACTACTGACAAGGAGGCCCAGTACAGATTACCATATTTCTTGGGAGACAGGATTAATTGAAAAAAAAAATGGTGTAAGTTTACTGAATTACCCTGTAAACTGTGCCCAGAGAGACACACACTGTTGACAAGAATCTTTCATTAAAGATACCATAACATATTTGGTAAACATAATGGGAGTTGCACTTGCAGGAGACCTCATTACAGCTCTTGGCTATGAAATCTTGGTGGAGAAGTGGGGTGAGACTGCTGGGTTTTCTGTGAGAAGTATTGAGTTTGTGGATTATTAAAGAGGTGAGAACCAGTGAAAAAGTGGGGTTAGGCTGTACAGCACTTTTCAAGACTCATTCCGTCTTCAATGTTTAGACTGCTAGAGAGTTTTTCTCAGATTCAACTAAAGTCCAAGAAATATCTTTTAAAGTATATTTATTATTTTGTTTTAATTGTTTTTGGTACCAGGTGCTACTGTTTTTAGCAATAGAATCTTTTGAAGGAGAGGAATTGGTATCAGGGAAAGAAATAACAGACTGCTAATAATAACCTTTGGATGTCACCTTCCCTAGCTTTTCCAACTCCTAATAGGCCCACAAAGGGGCAAACAGTATTTTAAGGCCCACTGGGATAAGAAATTAAAATTGTTTCTTCTGGCATGGGCCATACCGGAGTAATCTTATAAAGAAAGCAAAATGTTTTTCTTCCCACCTCCATTCTTCAATTCACACCTTTTTTCTAATCAATTATTTGTTTATTATTTGATTATCAATTCAACAAGTATTTATTTAGCACCTGAAAGGCACCAGGTTAAACCTCTGGCAGCTCTATAGGGAGTTATAAAAAGTAGTGTCGTCTCTTCTACCTAACCAAGGTAGGAGAGCTCCGTAACAAACAATGCCAATGTCACTTTGAATTAACATAATGAAAGTTTACTTCTAGCTCATGTAACTTTTTAGTGTGGAAATTGGATCCTCCCATCTCATAGCTCTATAATATCCTAGGACATCAGGAGCCTTCCATTCCAATGGTTGGAATGGAAGTGACCAACTGGTTGGAACAACTCAGTCACTTGGCCACAGATAACTGTAATGAGAAATGTGACAAACATAGTTTAACCTTTCCCAAGAGAAGAAGGAAATGGGTTTAGGGGAAAGATAGCCAGTCTTGGCCACACTTTTCTTCAGGAAACTTACTTTCTCTCATATGCCTGTGCTGGACCACTCAGCACCATCATACTGCATGGATTGACATTCCTTTCACACCTCATGCCACCCGATGCTCTGAAACCTTCCAGCCTCCCAGAATCATTGGAGGCAGGGATAGGAAATGTGAACTTGATTGAAATAGGAGAGATTATTTGAGAAACCACTCTATGCCTTATTATTTTAATAAGTTAAGTAAATTATTTTAATCTTATTTAATCCTCTCAACAATTCTGAAATGTAGGTTTTATTAACAGCATATCACCAATGACAAACTGAGATTCAGAGAGGCTAAAATCCTTCTAGAATGACTTGGATTCAATCTCAAGTCTACTGGAGCCCCAATCTAGTATAGTTTTCACTACACCAGTTTCCCAACTTGAGTTTTTTTGTGCAGCACCTTTACGCCATGTCCTGTACTACATACTTCTAGTACTGTTAAAAAGACCTTCTCATCAAAACCTAGTCTCAGCCAAAGCAATGCTACCTATGATACACTATTATGGTACTACCTTTACACCTTAGCAATCACTTTATTGACTGTATCCTCATTACTTGTCATTTAGGATAACAACCTGATAATGCTGAGCAAAGACAAAAGACCAGCGCTGATGATCCTTTCCCTGGGATTTTTGCATTTTTAAAAATATATGCTAGGGTTTAGCCTAGAGGAGAGAGTCACTGGAATGACATCCTCAAATTGAAACAACAATGAGCTATCATTGCATAGCCACTGGAATGACTAAAAAGGCAAATTAAAAAAGCAAATTTTACAAGAATATGTAACAAGTCTCATAAATAACTGGAGGAAATATAAAAGCATATAACCATGTTGGAAAACTGGGCGGCAGTAAGAAAGTTTAACATCTATTCTTGACCCCAATTTTTCACTTGTAGGTATTTACCCAAGAGAAATGAAAACATGTTCTCACACACACACACACACACACACACAAAATATACAAAGATTCCCCAACTTTTTGGTCTTGAGACCCTTTTACATTCTTAATAATCACTGAGAACCCTAAAGGACTATTGTTTATGTGAGTTTTGTCTATTATTACTAAATTAGAAATTAAAACTGAGAAATTTAGACACTTATTCAGCAATAAAGTTAATTTTGACTATTAATATTGTTAATATTGTTAACCTAAATAATATATTTTTATGGAAAATAACTATATTTTCCCAAGTAAAAAAATCAGTGTGAAAAATAGCACTATTTTACATTTTTGCAAATCTCTTTAATAGAAGTTTAATAGAAGATGACTGGATTCTCTTAACTGCTTCCACATTCAGTCTGTTGAAATATCACATGTCATATAGATCTGGAAAACTCCACTGTACATACATGAGAGAATGAGAATGGAAGCATCAAATAATGGTCTAGTACTATCATGAAAAGAGTTTTTAATCTTGCTCTTGCAGGTCCCTGAATGGGCTGAATGTGTCTCAGAAATCCCTAGGCATCGCTGCACCCACACTTGGAAAGCCACTGACTGCCCTGGAAAACTTTCCCACATACTCAAGTGTTTAAGAATGTTTAACATGTTCAAGAATGATTACTGTGCTATAGCTTGCAATAGGAAAAAGTTGGAAATAATAAAACTGTGTATTTAAGAGAGAATTGATAAGTTTAGTATTCACAATGTGAAATAGCTCTTTGACTAGATACAGTTATGTGTATCAAATAATTAAATCTCAGAAATAAAATATTGTCTAAAAAGAGCAAGTAGAAGAATGACACATTGTATGAGACTATTTTTATAGAGTAAGAAAACATTAGGAAATGTTCTAAATGTTATTTATCACATACAAATATAGTAAACCTATAGAAGTTGCATGGGAATTATAAACTCCAAATTCAGAGTTATTTGCCTCTGGATGAGAGAGGAAAGGAGGGAGGAGAATAAGATTGGAGAGGACTAAACAGTAGATTCAGTTGTATTTAAAATGTCTTATTTTAAAATCCTAAAGAAATATGGCAAAATGCTAAGATTTGACAAGGTTGAATAGTTGTTACATGAGTAGTATTTATTTTACTTATTATGCTTTTAGGTATGATTGAAATATTTCAGAATGTTAAAAAATTATATACAAGAGAGTACAAAAGCCTTTGTGAATAAACAAAACAAATGTGTTGGTAATCTATGTTTAAGGGTTATTCACATTTTTGCTGTTTTGAGGCTTTTCAAAAACTTTTCAAACACAGCAGGAAGAGCTTAGGCTTGATTCATGCGCATATTTCTGTTCTTAAAACTTTCCTGAATTTGTACTTTTTCTACATTTTGAAGGAAGAGCCTCTTTGAAAGGGGTTTTTGTTTACATTTATCCAAGGAAAATTTATTCAATATCCTGCACAAAGAAAAAAAGAAGAAGAAGAAACGAAGAGGTATTGAAGAGGTACAATAATGCCCATTCTACATCAGCTAACAATGCAACAAGAAAGCAACTTCTTATCCCAATTGAGTTCATAGATGTATGGGCAATCCAGCAAATACTCTTCCTAGGTACACCACAGTAATATGTGCACTAGTACATAGGGACATGTATGCAAGAATGTTTATTGATTTTAGTGAATTACACATTAGCAGAAAAAGCTTTAATGAATTATAGTGAGTCTGCATAATGATATCTTATCCAGTTTACAGTAGTAGGCAACTACCTTCTCTTTGCATAATTATCTTGGTTATTCTTAAGGATTTGTTCTTTCACAAACATTGCCAGGTAATGTTATCTAAATGTAAGGCAGAAATTTGGATTTTGATTAGAGTTGCAGAAAATTTAAATTTAAACAATAATTTTGGAAAAAATGTTTTTGTGATTTTAAATTGTCCAATTGAAGAATATATGGATGTCTATACATTCAGATCTTTTTTTTAGATTTAATTTTATTATTATTATACTTTAAATTTTAGGGTACATGTGCACAATGTGCAGGTTAGTTACATATGTATACATGTGCCCTGCTGGTGTGCTGCACCCATTAACTCGTCATTTAGCATTAGGTATATCTCCTAATGCTATCCCTCCCCACTCCCCCCACCCCACAACAGTCCCCAGAGTACATTCAGATCTTGTTTTATGTCCATCAATAAGATTTTTTGTTTTCTTTATCTTGTCATGCTTAACATATTCTTAAATGCTTTTTTTGTTTTTGTTGTTGCTATGAGTGAAATGTTTTCCATTCCCATGTTGGGATACTCAAGGCTAGGATCTATGAGAGGTATAGATTATTTAAAATATTTATCGTGTATACAGCCAACTTACCAAATTTTCTTACTAATTCTATTATTTTTTAAATAAAGATGATATGATCTTAATGTGTCCCCCAGAGTTCTAGTGTTAGAAACTTTCTCCCCAGTGCAACCATGTTGAAACCTGGGCCTTTTGGGAGGTATTTAGGTCATCAGGAATCCACCATCACGAATGGATTAACACCGCTATAAAAAGGGCTTGTGGTTCACTCTCTTCTGCTCTTCTGCCATGTGAGGACACAGCACCCATTCCCTCTTGCCCTAACACTTTCTGCCATGTGCAGATGCAGCAAGAAGGCACTCACCAGATGCTTGCATCTTGATCTTGTACTTCCCAGCCTCTCCAGACTGTGAGAAATATTTTTTTCTTTATAAATTACCCAGTCTGGGGTATTCTGTTGTAGTAGCATAAAATGACTAAGATAAAAGGTTTGCTATGTTTCTTTGTAGTCTTCTAGGGGCTCAGGTCTGTTTGATCAGTGGCAGCTCTCCCATTGCGGGTAAATAAAGAGATCTCCGTTTTTTTTAACAACACCTAATGGCTGTCCAGTTGAGCACCAGGTAGCAGGCTACCCTCTGCTATATTGGGGAACTCTTTTGCTCCCCAGTCTCTTTGTTCTCTTTAATACTTTGTCCTCCTGTTAAACTCCTTGGCCTCTTGGAAACCAGGGATACCTGGTACTCTCATGAAAGGCCAATGAGGACCTTCTCCTTGGAGTTCACCAACCTTCACAAGGTAAATTATTTCCTGGGGTTCTACAGAGCTGGTCTCCAGATGCTCACTCAGATAAAGAAGATTGTCCCATATCAGTTAAGTGGGGACTAACAGGTTGGAATTGGTGAGGAAGTCAAATGGCTGCATTTGGGTCACTGTATTTCCAGAATGCCCCTCTTTTAGATTTCTAGATTATTATGCCTAATAGACTCAGTGTTACTTTCTAAGGAAGCTGTTGAATGATATATGTATGGCTTCATCCTGGCTCAAGCACTTAGTGACTTGGCTTCCCACATTCTTCCTTTCTCATTCTCTTTCCAACCATACACCTTAACCAAGTAGAGTCTAGATTATCTCAAAATGAACTTTGTACTGTGATGGAATTCCAATTCACAGATAGCAAATCCTAGAGGCTTAAACTTGCATTCAATTGAAAAAGTTATAGAATAACTGAATAAATTATCTTTATGACACAGTTTATCAGGCATGATTGATAACATCACTAGATGTTGGCTGAAGACCAAAATACATAATGTGATACATTATCTGGTCTCTAATAACAGCCCCTAGTGAACCATACCTTCCAGTCTTCCTGCCCACTGAATCTGGACTGGTGGGCCTGTGACTTCCTTCAACTGATAGGATGCAGGAGAAGAGACAGTCAGACAGTTACAAGGCCTAAGCCTGTAAGAAAGACGGTAGCTTTGAGTCATGGTGTAAGACATCCAGCTACTTTGCTGGAAAGACCATGTAGAGACACCACATGTAGAGGCCAGTTGAAAGAGAGAAAGGAATCAGTAACTTCTGCCTTTACCAGCTACAGTCCCAGACTTAGGCATCCTTGCCAGGGTATCTATCAGATTCGTGAGAGGAGAATCCTGGGTGTTTAAGCGTATCCACAATCTGATCACAGCTGCAAAGAGACCCTAAGTGAGACCACCAGAAGAACCATCTAACAGAGACTATTTAAAAGTGGTGGGAGAAATAGTATGCAAAATGGCCTCTGAGTTCAGTCCGTGTTGGAGCTTAGGCTGACTTCGTTCATTCAAATAGACATTCTTCAGAATGCCAAACCACAAGCCATATAATTTTATTATGCAGATTTATTGCATATTAAAATTGTTGTTGTTTTAAGCCACTAAATATTGAAGTAGTTTGTTCTGCAGCAATATATAACCAAAACATATGTTAAGGCAGAAATTTAGAGTGAAGTTGGGACTCTCAAATTCACACAGTAACTTATTTCCAGACCTAGATTTTCCATTTTGTTCCATGTTTTCATCCTTTTGTCTCCTTGTTGCACTAAGACAAAAATCTTAGTGACACAATTTAGGATTTTTAGGACACTTTTGATTCTCAGGGATTTAAGAATGATCCACTAGAACCTACAACAAAGAATGCAAATAAAAGCAGTTCTGTAACTTGGATTCTCCAATATGCTGAAAGTGCGCAATCTTGTTTCATTTCCCAAAGTATTAGGCTTTCTGAATCAGGCCTTCAATCTAGTGAAGTGTCTGTAAGAGTAAAATGGCACACACCACACAGGCTCATAAAATCATAATAATAATAAAAACCCCTCAGACTTTTTTTTTTTTTTTCAGCTGTGAAGCAGCACCTGCCATTAGCTGTGGTGGTTCCTATTTTCATATTGTCTGACAGTAGCAGTTGGATCACACTTGAGCCAGTGTGACTGAGAGGCGGGCTCCCTGCTTCCACAAAGCTGAATTTAATAAGATGAGAACAGCATGCCAAGATGGGGAGCTCCCTCCCTGACACTTATCCTGACACCAGCCCCTCAGCGGGGCCGTATTGCTGTGGTAATCTGGGTGAGCCGGACAGAGCGTCCTGCTTACAAGTTCAATATAATGGAACAGCAGGGGGCGAAGGGCTGGCAGAAAAGCTTAGCAAAGTTAAAGCCTATTACTCTATGCTTGAGGAAAAATGAGTCACCAAATATTACACCCAGAGCAAGACTTGAACCTGCCAAATGCAGCAGCAACACACGCTAAGTCTTGTCCATAATGGTGCATTCATTATCCTATGGTCCAGGGTAATGTGGATTTAAATGTTTTTAACCCTAATGGAAATGTATATGCAAATTTTCCCTTAAGCCCATCCCTCCCTCAGTGTTCTTTTGCCCTATTTGAATCTAATAGGCAAGGTGACTGTACACTGCATATGTCAAAGAAAATGATGCCTTCTTTATCTGCCGTCAGTAGCAAGAAGAAGGCAAGAAACTGGACAGAAATCTTTCAGCTGCATGTTATGGCTATTGTTGTTGCTGTTCTGTTTTATGCCTCTTGTGGTGTTGAATTTAAAATTAATGGAAGAAATAGCATGCAAATGATCTCTGTGTTCAGTCCTGATTGAGGCTTAGGCTGGCTTAGTTAATTTTAATATCAGCTCTTCAATATAAGTGAATTCTAACACAAACTCTTCAATATAGATAGGTTTTGATACAAGTTCTTCAATGCTGGCCATTCAAATCAAACTCTTAGAAGTGGAACAGATTTGCCGTATATTTTCCATCAACCAGTGCCCCAGAACTTACATATTTCCATCAACCAGTCTAGGACTTTGTCTAACTGAAAGACTATTATTTAGAATCCTGATCCTTAGGACTCTAGGACTCAGTCTTTTTTTTGAAAGAATGACAATAGAACTAAGACTTGTGATTCCTCCTGCTTCCCTAGATTAGCTACTACCAGATTTTCATTACAGCAGAGGCCACTGAGATAATCAATTATGGTGTTAATGACAACAGCCACCAATTACTGAGTTCTTATCATGGGCCAGGTGCTTGGTTGGGTAATTTATGCCCATTATCTCCAATTGTTATATAGTGCATCATAAATGTTCTCATACTGTTCTTCAGATGTGCAAAGAAATTTCACCTTTTTTATTTACAGCTGGCCAAATCTTATTCTTCATGGTTTTCCAACGGAGATACAACATTAAATGTCAGACCCTTTGGATGTATAGTGTCTTTCAGCTATATACTCAGTCTTTTAGGTTTCCTCTCTTTCCCCTTGCTCCTCTTGAACATGGTGTCTGAAATGCATGTGCTTAGCACCAGTGGTGAATGAACACTCTAGACTCATGTTAGTTCTTGGGTTCCTGGAGGCCCTACCTTGGGATGGCTGGCCTGACCAACTGCATAGACTGAAGAGCAATCAGGTTCTAACCAGCTATTTGGAGCTTCCTGCTGGCCTAATACTAGAGACTGTGATCCTGGCCTATTAACTCTGTTTATGAAGCCTTCAAATGTTGCAGACTCTGACCATCCCAAGGTGTATGACAGTCCACCTTCTGTCTCTTACATTCTGTGTCCCCACATCAGGACATGTAGGAATACCTGTATGCCCTTCATGCCAGGCGCAGGCCAGGGGGAGCAAGCCCACTTCCTCAGTCTCATCTCTCATCTCTCTTGTTCTTCTGTCGTTCAGTGGTGTACTTTTCTTCCCACTCCATAAGGACATGGTGCAGAGATTAATGGGAGATCCTTCCTAAGATCTTAGCTGTGTCTAGGGAAGTAGACCACTAATCTTTATGTCTCGGGGGTATCCTAGAAACATCTAAATATTTCCATTGTCCTCTCACTTTATTTATTTATTTACTTATTTATTTATTTATTCATGCATTCATTCATTGAGATGGAGTCTTGCTCTGTCACCCAGGCTGGAGTGCAGTGATGCGATCTCTGCTCATTGCAACCTTGGCCTCCTGGGTTCAAGCGATTCTCTTGCCTCAGCCTCCTGAGTAGTTGGGATTATGGGCATGCATCACCATAACCAGCTAATTTTTATATTTTTAGTAGAGATGGAGTTTCACCATTTTGGCCAGGCTTGTCTCAAACTCCTGACCTCAGGTGATCCACCCCCCTTGGCCTCCCAAAGTGCTGGGATTACAGGCGTGAGCCACCATGCCCGGCCCTGTCCTCTCACTTTAAATGCAGGACAAGGAGTGAGGAAAATGGGAATCCTGACATCTGACCTCCTTCATTTATCATTCACACTTTTCTTCTTTTAACACTGCCCTGGGCACAGAAGCAGGGCTTGCCCCTTCCTCTTCCTGCCTAGCCAGACCCCCATACCTCATATGAGTTCTTGTTGTACTCTAATTGCCCTAATTTAGGTTCCCCAGAAACAGACAAGGAATCAAATGGAAGTAGTATATTTGGGAGGGGCAAAAAACACCAAAGTGGGAAAATGAGAGAGGCAGGCAGTAAATAAATGGTGCATTATAGACCAGTTACCGCTGTGGGCAAGTGGACCTTAATCCCATGGGTAACAGAGTAGAGCACATGTTCAGAGTTATTCCACCCAAGGGTTAAGGAAGCTGCAGCATTTATACATCAATTCCTCTATTTGCTGTTGCTTCAGACAAAGCCACAGGACCTCAGCCATGGATTATCTGATTCAAAATGACTTTAACAGTTAAATTCTGACAGTTGAGACTTGCAATTTTCCCTAAAAATTATTTCATTAATTTGTGAACCTTTTTCTTCTACCTCTTGATCTGAAAGCCAAACAGCCAAACAAGCAGGAACCATGACAGTGTTCATTCCAGTTCAGCTAAAGACATGCATTAAAACAAAATAATTTGGTTGTGTATCACCAACCAAGTATCACAAGCAGTTCATCGCTTTGGCAGAAAGTAATAGCTTTTAAATAAAAATCCAGCTAACGTTTTTGATCAAACTATAGTAGTTACAAAAGGAATTTATTTCCTCTTATAAATCAGAGTAATACCTCAGCCCTGGAGGGCTAAACTCTCTTTTATTTCTCAACTTTTTGAATATGCTGGTCTCTCTTGTCTCTGAAACATCCTCCCATCAAACTTCCACTATCCTTGTCTTCACAGACAACCTTTAGGTATCACTTTACATGTAATTTCCTCTGAAAATCTTTCTTCCATTCTGCCACTCATCTTCCAATTCCCAAGAAAGCACTTTACTCATAGCACAAGGTATTTAACCTGCCATAGAGTGCATCTATCTGTGAAGTAATGACCAGTTTTCCTCTCTGAAGCCCACTAGCTCATGAGTTCATAAATATAAGGAGTGCTTTCTAAATAAAAGTAGCTTGACACCTAGCATGGCTTACATGCTCAAAGCGGTTACACAGTGAGTGAGTTACACTTGCTTTCAGTTCCCATGAAGCCTCACCTAGATTAGGAGATAGCACCCGTACTCAGAAAGGCCTGGGATGGAATCCTAATTTACCTCCTCTGTGACTTTTGGCAAATTGCCTAACCTCTGTAATCTTCTGTTTCCTCATTTGTGTTAAAACATTAATATTTACCTGTCAGTGATGTTGTGCCACTAAATGAGATGTAAGTCAATTGCTTGGTATTTTATATAGCAAATGGTAAGCATTCAATAGCTGGGAAGTGGATTCTACTGCCACTTCTCAACAGAGGGTACTTGGAATCATATTAATACTTATAATGTATTTATTCCTACTATCACAGCAGTCTGAGAGGCTGAATATATAAAGTACTGGTTCTCAAACTTTTGCATGTATTAGAATGCACAGAGTACATATATATATACGGGCCCTAGCTCTAAAATTTCTGATTAAGTAGGTATAGGGCGGGGTCCAAGAATTTGCATTTCTGACAGTCTCCTAGATGACACTAATACTACACTGATGGGCCTGGCACCAACCTTTGAGAACTGATTCTTGCTTTCTTCACATCTCCCTCAGCCCAGACAGCTGCACATGGGAGTCACTCAAAAAGCTTTCAAAATTACTAATGTGTGAGTCCCATACTATAGATTTCTAGTTTAATAATAGGTCTAGGGTTCAGCCTGAGCATTAGTGTTTTGAAAGTTTCCCAAGTGATTCTAATGAGAAGCCAAGGTTGAGAACTGGGGCCCCAGGTGCATGTCAATGAAGCCTTGCATCTCAAAGTGTGGTTTTCAGACTAGCGGCATCCACATCACCAGGAAGCTTGTTAGAAATGCGCAAACTCAGACCCCACCTGGACCTGACTAATCAGAATCTGCATTTTAAATAAGATCTTCCAAAGGATTCTTGTTCACGTAAAGTTTGAGAAGCTCTGAAACACGGAGTCCTCTCACCCAGCTCACATCAGAGGAAGTATTACCAGATCTTACCTTTGCTTCAGGGATTTTCTTTCCTAAAAGACCAGGATTTAAGACAAAATGAGGAACTCATTACCTATGACCTTTCCCCCAAAACAGGGGTTTTTACTCCTACATTGCAGGCATGAGTCTGAGAACCCTTCACTCATTGTCCCCATCCTTTTCTCCTCTCTATCTTCTCAGACTCAGTTTTCATCTCCAGACACAGCCTTCATCACACCTATTTATTAATGCCAAGGATTCATACTCTGATTCAAGTAAAGACAGGAGGCAGGATCAATGTCTTAGTAAAATTCAGAAAAATGAAACTCCTCTTTTAAAATATGTTAGCACCTGGTTTCTCCCTAAATTACCCTAACACACAAATGTGTTGAGTATTAAAATAAAATCTTTATCCACTACAGGCTGGAAAGTGGAAAGTAACATTGAAGGGATGCCTAATGATTTGGAAAAAGAAAAAGATCCAGCTGCATTAGTGAAGAAATTATGAGGTGTCTATGACCAGAGAAACATGAAATGTGCTAATTGAATGCCCTCAGATGCCATTATCAGTGAGGCCCCTCCAGAGCCAGCAGCACAGGCTCATCTGAGCAGAAACCTGAGCTAACAGCAAAGAGAACTGTCTTGATGGCCTAAGTAGGGTTCTAGGGTGCATGAGTCAGCAGGCGAGCGTCCTTGTGCATGGGAGTTCATTAGGAATCTTCCATAATCAAGAGTGAAAATCACCTCTGGTTGAGTGTGCCATTATGTATTTGAAACCCAGAGAGAGGACAAGTTTTATTTTTAGAGAGAACAATAACAGCCATATTAGGAATACGTGCATGCACACATTGCAGTCATGTACACACGCACACACCCACACACACTCCAAATCACAACTCTTGTTACTCCAAATGTATTCCATGAACCAGTAGCATCAGCATCATCTGACCCCACCCTGTACCTACAGTTTACGCATCTGCATTTTAACAAGATGCTCAGGTCATTTGACGCACTTTAAAGTTCGAAAAGAATTACTATAGACCAGTGGTTCACAGCTTTGGCTGTGCACTAGAATCACTCAGGAATTTCAATATGCAGCAAATTTTGACAGCCAATGGTCTAAAATCAAAGATAAAATTATGCCCTCTCTTTTCCCTTCAAATTGAGCCCTTTCACCACTTTTAAAACAGGTCTTTGATGTGCAAGAGAAATGCTTTAACACTGCTATTGAAAGATAACTCTTAGACAAGATCAGGTGCATTCAGGGTGGTATGGCCATAGACAGCTAATGGCTCCTCTAAAGACTAACTTTATTCTCTTCTAGTAATTATGTCTTTAGCTATAAGCTTACTGAGAATACAAACCGTGACTTACTTTGTATAATATCAGATTTCAGGCAAACCAAAGGGCTTGGGCCAGCATCAATGCTTAACCAATGTTTGTAATTAATGATAAATTACTGATAATAAGTGAAAGCTCAGAATTCTGCCTTCTCTGTGCTATTCATTTTTTTGTACATTTCAATTATGGAAGACATTGTTAGGATTATATCTCTTCATAAATATTAGAAGCTCTTTGAAATGCAGGAACACATTACTTCTTCTCCCCCCCATCCAAATATATAATATATTAATAAATACAGAGCATATATTCAGTGACTCTAAATCTCATTTAATATCCTTAAGTTTTGATGAAACTAGAAGGCAGGATTTTTACATAAGAACATTTGAATTTTTGTAATTATGAAGCATGCATTACTGGGAGTTTGCTGCATTTTACATAAGAACTTTTTAATTAATGAGAATTCCTCAGGAATGAAAAAACAGCTGTCAATAATAATTTTCTTAAAACTAATGTCTTCTAAGATATGTCATAGATTTAGAATATATTCAACAGAGTACACTGCACTTTACTTTCTATAAATCTGTGCAGTGAGTTTCTGTGTTTGGAATGATTACACTAGACAAGGGGTTGGCAAATGTTTTCTGTAAAGGACCAGGTAGTAATTTTTTTTTCTTTGTTTCACCAGCCATGCAGCCTCTGTCACACCTATCTACTCTGATATTGAAAACAGCCGTAGACAATAAGTAAGCAAATTCTTGTACTTGTGTCCTAAAAAACATTATGAGAACAGGTGGATTTGGCCCACAGGATATAGTTTTTCAACCCCTACAGCTGGATTATGTTAAGAGGTAAATGTGGAGTAAATTATACTTACAAAGGCAAAATAAATTAGTTTTGGTAGAAACTAGAGTATAAACAACTGCCAAACAATGCAAACACACATACTTAGATACTATTTTCACAGAGAAAAGGAAACTATAAATCCTTACCAAATCTTTCAGAGCTAATGTGGGGGTGGAGAGTGAGAAAATGCTCTGTTAACTTGTAACCTTAAGAAATATATAATTAACCAGGACATGATATTACTCAAATAGTCATATTATTCACAATTTTCTGTAAAGATCGTAGCAACAAAAGACTGTAGGATGACTTCTTCTCCACTATGGAGAGAATCAAGTGATGACTTCAGTAAGTGAACTGGAAACATAACCCACCTTAGTTTTCCAGCGGAAGTAGGGCAACGAGAAAGTCAGCCAGGAGCTGATGGAAACACCTATAGTCAAAATAATGTCTGTTATACTGTAAAAGCTCTTAGTCTTTTGATTTGTGCATTGATCAAAGACCATTTCAGGGTTGAAACTGTTGAATCCTAAGTGGATAGGTAAAGAGCTTCAGGTTCCCTGGTAATTTGGAGATTCCTTCCCTCAGAGGACATAGTAATTAGCCAGGAGGATACTCAGCCAAACCTAGTATGCTATTGTGGGTCTCTTAACAATGTCTAACTCAATGGCCTTCACCACTCATGACACCAAATGCACACACAAGAAAATGGATTTCTCTAGCAAATAAGATGTTAAAATATTAGCTTGGTCTTAACAGATGGTCCTCCAAGTTTAATCTGGTTTGATAATTTCAGAAGACATAAATTTTTGTTTGATCAGAATTGATTATCAGAGCACACTCCTGGTTAAATATTCTGGATTTGAAAAAGAAATTTAGTTTCACTCAGGGGTTCAGCAAGCTGGTGTCTGGTTTGTTGTTGTGATGGTGGTAGTGGTTTTCTTGTGGGGTTCGGTTTAAGACCCACCTATTAAGCTCTTTACCATCTCCTTCTTTCTTCCTCATTCTAGAAGTATTTCTCCTCCAGAGCAGAAGGTGTTTAAACAACACGTGCTAATGAGCTAGAAAGAAGCATCTATTAATTTGGTAACGGACAAGCAGTAGTTACATATTTCGGCCTGAGAATTGGATGTTGCTTTAGAGGCGATGAAGAATCTCTAAGGAAGTTTCTTAGATTTAAACCTCCCTTACAATTTCTGGCTTCATGTTAAATATGTAACAGTTTCCCTCTCATACCATTTTGTGGAAATTGGTAATGTAGATGGCCATTTACAAAATGGGAACTGGGGTGAATACACACATGACTTTGCCTGGGACATCTCACATTTCTATGCCAATTATTTTATTAAATTCTCACAATATCCCTTGGAGAGTTTACCTTTGGTTTTCACTTTATAGATGAGGAAACTTAGTATAAGAGAACTGGAGTTACATGGATTGTAAATAGCAAAACCTAGATCTTAACCTATGAGAATGATTCTAAAAGAATGTTCAACCACAATGCTCCATTTCTCAATTAAAAGCTACAGTATACTGCAAAGTGCCAGGGAATTGTTCATCTCTTCTGTTTGGGAGAAATTGTATTTGGAGAGTAGGTAAGAGACAAAGTTAGAAAGAAAGGTGGAAGCTGCATAAATATAATTTTATAAGCAATATTAAAATTTCTACATCTTTATTCTCCTTAGTTGGCTTAGTCTGGGATATGACATGAAGTTAAAACGTGCATTTCTAGAGGGGGTTGTGCACATATGTATACATCCAGGTCTGTAGGTGAAGAAGAAACTGTGAAGAAACTAGCAAGAGACAAGGTGGTATTTGCCATTAAGTTTACAATGAGGACCGTAATGTGTTCCAGTTAATACCTGTTGTAGATCAAATACTATGTCTTCATTATTTTAGTGCCTTTTCCCCCTTTCACTCTCAAACATTTCCCAGTTTGGGCAATAAATTGTATTGCAGTCGTATCTATAATAAAATATTCAAATAATTTCATTTTTGTTTAAGTGCTTTTGAGGCTTTATTGAAATCTTAATGTATCCTTAAATATTTCTTGGAATATTTTATTTCTAGGAAAACAGACTTGATCATTCCTTCAGATATTTGTTGAAAGCACTGAAACAGCCACTGAAGGGTGGGAATGAATCCACAAATGAAGGTGACAGCCTATGAGCAAAAGCGATAATGACGAGATGATTATAACAGAGGTAGGTAGAGCCATTTCCGGAAAGAAGAGGTTTGATCAAGGATAGGAGCTTTGTCCTGGACATAAAATATGTGAACAAGAGTTTATGTGGTGGTCGTTGTAGCCGAAGAATATTGTAGAAAAACAAGTGAGCAAAAACATACAAGCCCTCAGCAAACTGAAGGCTATCATGGGCCAGAGTAAGGGGCCAGCTCTTTCTGCCTCCAACGCCGAGCGGCAAGAGGATAGAGAGAGGGGAAAAAAGCAGCAGGAACTTCTTTCAGTTTCTCTGGTCATACATAAGGACTCTCCTTTCTTGGAGTTTTGGATACCTGACCAGCCACCACTGCAATTGTCACCACCACTGCCATAGAATTTCCTGGGAGATAGAACAGTAGAAAACATAAATTCTCTTTGATCCCATGAGGCCCCCTTTCTCCTTCTTTAGACTAAAATTAAGTGGGTTTTCTTGGAGTTCATTTTGTCTGTACCTGATGTATAGTTCCTGTTTTCCAGCTGTCTCGGTCCTGCAGCAGGAGATGCCAGAGGGGAAAAGTGGTTCAGTAGTACTTCAGGTTCTGGTTTCTTTCGTTAATCTACCTGCTGCTACTTACTTTACAGGCTCCTCAGAGAAATGCTACATACATTCCATCCAGGGTTTTAACTTCCTTCATAGAGAGAGACAGAGTGGAATATGTTTACTCCACCTTGACTAGACATCCCAGAAAGGACGGGATATCCCAGAAAGGATGTCTTCATTACTGTAAGAAGATTGGCTTCATGACTAAAAGTATCCAGAAACTTTTTATCTGAAACTTGAGAAAGTCATTGGACCCATCTTAGATTTCACCCGAGAGCTGGGGGAGAAAAGAATAAAGTTGTTTTATGAAGTGTCTTTCAACTTAATGCTTCCATATGGTTAAATTTTTAAAAGGAATATTTACAAGTATTTCACCTTAGTAATCAATTCTACAGAGCCAGCAGGAAAAAAAAAAAGTCAGTCTGAAAATACTTGAAATGCTTAATTATTTTTCAGAGTAGACAGTAAGGAAGAAAAGGCCCCAGATCCTAACTTTGGCTCTCCGCTTCACTGAATTACCAAAATAAGGGAAGTCTTCAGCCATGGCTTCAGATCAGGACAAGAAGGGAACTTCATCATGCCCGTGTTATTGTTGGGGGATTGATCCAAAAAGAAAAGACCTAAGTTTCAGCTGGTCCCAAACCATGGAGAATTTTACCCACACAAAGCCCCCATTTGCCAATGCAAATCTGGTAATTGGACACTTAATTACCCTATTTGCACACATAAATGAGGGGTGTTCCTGCAAGAAATCAGAGTCCACTCTTACAACTTTGGCCGCAAGCAATGAAACCACATGCTTTTGTCAACAGTTAAGTTGATTAGAATTGTGTTTATTTCTGCTCGTGTTAGGCCACATGTATTTTCATTGGAGCCTGATGTCTATTGAGTTAAAAGCTTAGTTTAAAAAACCTATGTTATGCAGAAAACCTAGATAGTAATTGCCAACTATGTGCCAAGAATCCTTTCATCATGTAGAGAATACAAGGTCTGAATAAAAAGAAATATTCTTTGCAACCTCATATGCTTGGGCAGACTCAGCAGTCTTATCGTCATAATAAAGACAGAAGGGCCTTTTAAAAGAATACTTTCAGCAAAATTTCCAGCATGGATTACTCTTTTGGGTAAATGGCTCAAACATTGAATTTTCCCATTTCCCTAGGGCAGGTAAAGGAGTGAATTTTCTCTGAATATCTTCTAGCTAGACAGTGTCCTAACAATGTCCTTAGGGGGAAAAACGTTCTTTCATTTGGAAGCATGTATTGTGAGTAGGCCCATCTGGGTTTCCTCCCTGTGAATAGAAACACCAAGATTTGGCCGTTTTCTGATCTTTGATTATATGCAGGCCTGAGTTCTAGTCCTGGCTCTAACTCAAACTGTGTACTATTGGGGACAGATTCAGTTCCTTACAAGTGCTGAAAAAAAAATGGTGAAGGGAAAGCTTGCCAGGGAGAATCAAGCAGTAAGTCTGGGAAATGGAGGCAGGCACGGGAGGCCTCTAAGGTAGCAATGGTGGAGGAAGATGAGCAGTAAGGAATGATCATTAGATTTGGTGATTTGAAGGTCAATAGTAACTTTTTTCTGTCTTGGTCACTAGGTGCTTAATAAATATATTTTGAGTGAATGACTTAATTATCAGCACAATTTGTTGAGCACCCCTTGCCCAGGAAGCACCATGCAAGGAGTCCAGAGTACTCAGAAAAAGAAAATGGGCTCCTGCCTACAAGAGAGTTGTGAGAGTACTCGCCAAAGAGTAAAAACTAGCCAAGGTGAAACAACTGAGCAAGACAGTCAAAGATGTAATGTGAAATGAGGGAGCAAGATGAGTTCTTACATAGTGATAGGATGCCTAGTGTGTATTGCATTCCATAGAGGGGCTCCCCTCCCTCCTGAAGTACAGGGGAACAAACTATGGAAAGACGGAAGCTGGCTTGTCTTTACCACTGCTGTGATCACCTAAGGTTCAGTAGATGCCAACCAGTGCAGAAAAGCTGTGCACCCGGGGAGGCCCCACCCCAACACGGTGAAAACCAGAGGACTCTGGAACCAGGCCTGGATTCTGGCGGCCCAGAGGTAGAGTACTTGATTTCATCACTTCTTTGTCTCTCTGCATTATGGGGCATCAGGACTCTCTTACTTGGGCTCCATCTTCTTTCATTATTTCTCATGTGGACATGTGGGATACACACACACACAGACACACACACACACACACTCTATATATAATAAATATAATAAATGCTATATTATTATTGTTTTATTTCCAAGGCAAATATTCAAAAGAAATTCTACTAATGTGTTATGTGTGAAAACGGTTATGTGTGAAAACTGTTAGTTTGAGAACAGAAACAGAAGTACGGGCCCTGTCTGTCACATCCATCACTATAATCAACTTCCTCACCATCCCATCCCTCAATAAGACATGTTTTAAAATCTTCATCATGATTTTTTTCCTTCTTTCCTCCTTCAATTCTCTTTCTTCCTTTCTTTCTCTCTCTTTCTTTCTTTTCTTTTGAGAAGCTGCAAGTGCTATTGTGATGGGCTTGACCGGAAATTACTGAAAAGTGACTCTTTTAGTTGAACATAGAAGTAACAGTGCTTAAAGATGTTTTATCAGTGGCTAAACACTCTGACCAAACTTTAGAGGTCAGGGGGTTAAGAAAAATATTTTTTCACTTTTACAAACCTGTGAACTTCAGCTGTGTCCTGTTGGTTTAGAAGCGGAAGAGAGGAGAAGAAATTACCTTTAGTAAGTGTTGACTAGATTTCAGGCTCATTAACCAAATTATCTCAGTTAACTCTCTCTGCCACCTTCAGGTAGGTATTAATATTTACTTTATAGATGAAGAAGAGTGTTGTTTAGAGAAGATTGGCAACTTGCATAGGATTACCTAGGGAAGGAAAAAAATCAGAAGGCGTGTTCTATGACCTTAAAACACATCCAAAATATTGGTGTTTTTTCAAGCTGTGGGTCAATAAGTCAATTTAATGTATCATGACTAGAGATTTTTAATTAAAAAACAGACTAAAATATATTTGAAAATATCCAAGTACCATTTCCTAAAGCTTTTGCTTTATCTAGTGTATGTGTGTGTGTGTGTGCGTGTGTGTGTGTGTGTGTGTGTGTGTGTGTGTGTACTACGTTATGATGAAAAATGTATTTCTCCCTGAGTTGTAGTCAAGTTTGAAAGCCACTGCAATTGCCCATACTGGTGCTATACAGTAAGAAAAAAAATGTCTAGTTAATTGTCATTAGGGTAATTACATAATTTATAATCCAAACAAGAACACTTCGGAAAATGAAGGAAATTTTATCATTAACTACAGGAGGTTAGCAGACTTAACAGGGATTGTTCTGGGAAAAGTTAAATGAGCATTCACCCCAATAAACATTGCTATGGTCTGAATGTTTGTGTTCCTCCAAAATTCATATGTTGAAGATTAATCCCCAATGTGTTAGTATTAAGAAGTAGGGTCTTTGGGGAGGTGATTAAGTCATGAGAGTGGAGCCCTCACAAATAATATTAGTGCCCTTGTAAAAGAGGGCTGGGGGAGTTTGTTTGCTCCTTCCACCATGTGAAGATATAGCAAGAAGGATGGAGCCCTCGCCAGCCAAACCCCACCACAGCCTTGATCTTGGACTTTCCAGCCCCCAGAACTGTGAGAAATAAATTCCTGTTGTTTATAAATTACCCAGTCTAAGGTATTTTAGTTATAGAAGCCCAAAAGGACGGAGACAATCACCCACATCCCATCCCCATATCTTACATTTTAGCAACAAAATGACTGGTAAAAATAGAGAATACATTTAGGAGAGAATGTGTGACATATTTTGTACTCAGGGAGGTAAAACAACTATTTCAGGTTACAGATACATGTTTTTTCCCCAGCACACTATTAAAGTTCTAAATCATTGTATAATGGTGCAAAGAATATATTCTTTCTCCTATTCAGAGACTGCAATGTTTGTCAGCACAATCTGGCATTATTAATGCTTTGTTAGTAATTAAACTATGAAAATATCGAATAAATACCCATAATGTAAAATGACAACTTTCTTGTAACAGGGGCATATAGGGTATCACAGTTTTGTGCTTGTAACTAATTCTATGCAATACCTATTGCATTTTTATGGATAACAGCAAAAGCATTGTAAGTTTAACTTCACCCGTTTATCTTCACTACATTTTACAACATGTGTGTGATATCAGTATAAAGGCTGACATTCTAAAGTAAATGGCTGGATAGCAATACATGGAGGATCAAAGATCATATGACTTATACTATGTGAAAATATGAATGTTCCATCTGCAGACAGTGCTTAGTGACTTTTGGAGAATGTGTGGTCTTTCATCATTCCCTGCTCCTCTTCTGCTCACCATTGATACCTGCAGGAAAAGAATAAAAAATGTCAAGTTATTGGGAGTACCCAGCTTTTTTGCTACCATATTCCATCCGGGTTTTTTTTCCTGTAATTTGTTCATTTAATAGATGTAATTATGATCTATATGCTAGTTACTGTGCTAAAACACTAGGAATAGAAAAATGAATTAGAATTTTTCTCAGCCCTTGAAGGTTGTATAGTCCAGAGAGAGAGGAGGAGAAAGAGAGAGAGAGAGAACAGATAAAACACCACACAATATGACAAAAGCTATAAGAAATGAGCAGAATTCTGTGGACACTCAGATTGCTAAAGAGACTCTGCTGTGGACTGAATGTGTCTACTCCAAAATTCATATGTTGAAACTTATCCCCAATTTGATGATACTTGAAGGTGGGGCCTTTGGGAAGTAATTAGGTCATGAGAGTGGAACCCTCATGAATGGGATTAGTGCCCTTACGAAAATAAGAGACATGAGCTCTTTCTTTCTGCTCTGTGCCATGTGAGGCTACAACAAGAAGGTGGCCATCTACAAACCAGGAAGTGGGTCCTCATCAGACACCAAATCTGCCGGAACTTTTATCTTGGGACTTTCTCACCTCCAAAACTGTGAGAAATAAATGTTTGTCATTTAAGCCATCCAGTCTATGGTAATTTATTATTGCAGCCCACACTAAGACAGACCACCTCTGCCTAGGGAAGTCAAGAAGGCACAGAAAGAAAGAGAGAGAGAGAAAGGGGAGGTGGGGTGGGGGTTGGGCAAAGAGAATGTATTGTTTCTAGCAGAGGAAAAAACATGTGCATGGCCTGGAGTCCTGAAATGATAAGGTATGTTCTGAGACTGGTATAGCTTCTTACAGAGGAGTACTGGAAGTGAGGTTTAGAATACAAAGTGGTGCTAGATTGTGAAAAGTTATGTTACAAAGCCCATGTGTATTGCACAGATAGAAGTCAGATAATAGATAATGTCAAGTGTGGGAGGAAAATAATCGAGATTAATTTTTATCTTTAATAGAAAGAGAACTTCATAGGAGGATGGTTGATGGGCTGTAATTGTAAGAGTCTGTGATATTATGTCCAGCAGGAGATGAGAGCTACAGCAGGTTAAAAATAGCTAGGTAGAGAAGAAGGTCCATTCCTCTCTCCTTGAATCACTGACTGCTTTGACAAATGGATTACAACCAAAGTGTCACTGTACCTAATTCAGACCTAGCCATTAAGAGGACTGGAATCTTCTGCCTTTGACTATTGAAATTCTCAATCGCCACATAAGAAATCCAACTACATTGCATGGAGAAGCCACAAGTCCACAGTCCACAAGTATTGATAAATTACAATTAATTAAATGTCATAGCTTGCTCAGATTTTCTTAGTTTTTACCTAATGTCCTTTTTCTGTCCCAAGTTCCCATCCAGGATACCAGATGACATTTAGTTGTCATGCACCTTAGGCTCCTCTTAGCTATGACAGTTCCTCAGGCTTTCCCTGTTTTTGATGACCTGACAGTGTTGAAGAGCACTGGTCAGGTACATTGTAGGAATGCCTCTATATTAGAATTTGGTATTTTCTCATGATTAGACTGGGATATGAATTTTTGGGAGAAAGATCACAGAGGTAAAGTCTTTGATCCACTTTGAGTTAACTTTTGTATGTGGTGTGAGGTAGGGACTCAATTTCATTCTTTTCCCATGGATATACAGTTGCCCCAGCACCATTTGTGACAAAAACTTTGTTTTACCTTTTTAAATATTTTTTTTTGAGAGGAGGAGGAGTATTCTGGATGATTTACATTTTTATGTGAATTTTGGGGTCACCTCGTCAATTTTGGCAAAATTAGTTAGGATTTTTATGGAAATGGTGTTGAATCTGTAGGTCACTTTGGGGAGTATTGCAATAGTAATAATATTAAGTCTTTCAATCCTTGAACACAAGATGTCTTTCCATTTATTTAGGCCTTCTTAAGTTTCTTTCAAAATGTTTTCTTAATTTTATTTTCTGATTGTTCATGCCACGTATATAGAAGTACAATTAATTTTGTATGTTGATCTTGTGTCTTTCAATTTTGCTGAACTTTATTCATTATAATAGTTTTAGTGAAATCCTTAGGATTTTTCATATTCAAGATTATGTCATCTGCAATTATAGTTTCACTAATTTCTTTCTAGATGCCTTTTATTTCATTTTCCTTCCTAATTTCCCTGACTAGAAATGTAACTGCCCAATGGTCAGAGGCGTTTGAACCAGAGCAACTCCATCTTGAATATGGTCTGAGTGAAATGAGGCTGAGATCTACTGGGCTGAATCCCTAGACAGGCATTCTAAGTCACAGGATGAGATAGGAGGTTGGCACAAGATATGGGTCATAAAGACCTTGCTGATAAAACAGGTTGCAGTAAAGAAGCCAGCTAAGACCCATCAAAACCAAGATGGTGATGAGAGTGACCTCTGGTCATCCTCACTGCTACACTCCCACCAGCACCATGACAGTTTACAAATGCCATGGCAATGTCAGGAAGTTACCCTATATGGTCTAAAAAGGAAAGACATGAATAATCCACCCCCTTTAAAGCACATAATCAAGAAATAACCATAAAAATGGGCCACCAGCAACCCTTGGTGCTGCTCTGTCTATGGAGTAGACATTCTTTTATTCCTTTATTTTCTTAATAAACTTGCTTTCACTTTACAAACTCAACCTGAATTCTTTCTTGTGCGAGATCCAAGAACCCTCTCTTGGGGTCTGGATCTGGTCCCCTTTCCAATAACACAATGAGTTCATTTTTGCCTACTGCCCAGATGGAGCCTACTTACCAAGGCAGGGGAATTGCAATAGAGAAAGAGTTTAATTCAAACAGTGCTGGCTGAACAGGAGACTAGAGTTTTATTATTATTCAGATCAACCTTTCTGAAAATTGAAAATCAACCTTTCTGAAATGGCTAGTTTGGTGGGCAAGTGAATAGGTGCTGCTGATTGGCTGGGGGTGCAATCATAAGGATATGGAAAATAGTTCTCATGTGCTGAGTCCACTTCTGGGTGGGACCACAGGGCTGGCTCAAGTGGAGCTACTGGTGGTCATAAATGCAAAAACTGGAAATGACATCTCAAAAGGCTAATCTTAGGTTCTGCAATAGCGATGTTATCTGCAGGGATAATTGGGGAAGTTGCAAATCTTGTGACCTCTGGAATAAAGGCTGCTAATTTTTTATATCTACACCTTAGCAGAATTCCGGCTACTGTCATACTTCTAACCTGATGGTCTTTTATTAGCTTTACAAAGGTGGTTTAGTTTGGGGGAAGGGCCATTATTATTTAAACTATAAACTAAATTTCTCCCAAAGTTAGCTTGGCCCAAGCCCAGAAAAGCCTGAAAACAGTTTGGAGGTTAAAGGCCGGAGACTTGGTTAGATCAGATCTCTTTCATGACATAATTTTCTCACTATTACAAATTTTGCAAAGGTGGTTTCAGAAACTCCAGTAAAATTTTAATAGAAGGGATGACAGCACATACTGTTGTCTTGCTCCTGATTTTAGCAGAAAGCCATTCAGTTTCTTGCTGTCAAGTATGATATTATTGTGAATTTTTGTAGATCTAAATTATTAGATTCAGAAAGTTTCTTTCTACTCTTAGTTTGTTGTATTTTTATCATGAAGTGGTACAAGTTTTGTCAAATACTTTTGCTGTAATCTGATGATTATGTGGTTTTAGTACTTTATTGTATTAATATGTTTATTACATTATTGATTATCAGATGCTAATTCAAACTTACATTGTTGGGATAAATCTCACTTAGTCATGGTATGTAATGTTTTTATATGTTGCAGGATTAGGTTTGCTAGTATTGTGTTGAGGATTTTTGCCATGTATGTTTATAAGAGATGTTGGTCTGTAATTTTATTTTCTTGTGATGTCTTAACATGTTGTTTTTTTTTTAATACTTTAAGTTCTGGGGTACATGTGCACAATGTGCAGGTTTGTTACACACGTATACATGTGCCATGTTGGTTTGCTGCACCCATTAACTCATCATTTACATTAGGTATTTCTCCTAATGCTATCCTTCCCCCACCCCCCTCACCCCATGACAGGCCCTGGTGTGTGAAGTTCCCTGCCCTGTGTCCAAGTGTTCTCATTGTTCAATTCCCACCTATGAGTGAGAACATGTGGTGTTTGGTTTTCTGTCCTTGCAATAGTTTGCTCAGAATGATGGTTTCCAGTTTCATCCATGTCACTACAAAGGACATGAACTCATCCTTTTTTATGGCTGCATAGTATTCCATGGTGTATATGTGCCACATTTTCTTAACCTGTTTTGTTTTGTTTTAAATCAGAGTAATATTAACCTCACAGAATGGATTGTGAAGTATACTTTATTTTCTTTTCTTTTTTCTTCTTCTTTTTTTTTTTTTTTTGAGACAGGGTCTCACTCTGTCACCCAGGCTGAAGAGCAGTAGCACCATTATGGCTCACTACAGCCTCAACCTCCTGGGCTCAGGTGATTCTCCCACTTCAGCCTCCCAAGTAGCTGGAACTAAAGGCACATGCCACCATGCCCAGCTAATTTTTTGTATTTTTTGTAGAGATGGAGTTTCACCATGTTGCCCAAGCTGGTCTTGAACTCCTAGGCTCAAGTGGTTCACTCACCTCAGCTTTGCAAAGTGCTGGGATTACAGGCATGAGCTACCATGCCTGATTTCTTTTCTATTTTTTGAAAGATTATTATTAATTTTTCTGTAAACATTTGGTAGAATTCACTAGTAAACTGATATGAGCCATGGCTTTTCTTTGCAGAAAGTGTTTTGTTGACTAATCATATCTCTATTTTTTTATAAATATACTCAGATCTTCTGTTTATTCTTGAAAAAGTTTATGTAGTTTGTCTTTCTAGGAACTTATTCATTTCATCTAGATTATCTAATTTGTTGGTATACATTTCCTCATACTGTTCTTTTTAATCCATTTTTTTATTTCTGTAAAATTAATAGCAATATTCCCTTCTTTATTCCTGATTTTAGCAACTTGAGTATTCTATTTTTTCCCTTTTGTCAGTCTAGCCAATAGTTTGTCAATTTCATTGGTCTCCTGAAATAACCAAGTTTGGTTTTGTTGATTTTTCTCCTTTTTTTATTTCCCATCTTATTAATTTTATTCTAATCTTTATTATTCCTGATTTTTCTCTGTTGCTTTTCTATTTCCCATTTTATTAATTTCATTCTAATTTTTATTATTGCTTTTCTTCTGCTAGATTTGGATTTAATTTGTTCTCTTTTTTTCAGCTTTTTGAGGTGGAACTTTGTTATTGATTTGAGACTTTTTTTCTTTCCTAATCTAAACATTTAGTGCTATAAAATTTTCTCTTGGCATTGTTTTAGCTGCATCCCATAAGTTTTATGTGTTTTGTATTTATTTTCTAAACCTCAAAGAATTTTCTAACTTCTTAAGATTTCTTTTTAGACCTATTGGTTATTTAGGAGAGTGTTGCTTAATTTTCACATATTTGTGATTTTCCCTATTGTCTTTCCATTATTAATATCTACTTTCATGCCACTGTTATCGAAGAACATCTTTTGTATGATTCCAATTCTTTTAAAAGTATTGAGATTTGCATTATGGCCTAGCATAGAGTCTATCCTGGAGAATTTTCCATGTGCACTTGAGAAGAATGTGTGTTCTAATCCTGTTAAGTAGAGTGTTCGATAGACATAGATTGTAGTTTATTCGTAGTGTTTTTCAGATCTTCTATTTCCTTATTGATCTTCTGCTTAGTTGTTTTATCCATTATTGAAAGTGGAGTGTTGAAGTCTTCGACTATTATTGTTGAATTGTGCATTTCTACTTTAAATTCTGTCAGAGATTGCTTTGTTTATTTTGAGGTTTTGCTGTTAGGTCTATGAATGTTTATTATTATTATTATTATATCTTCCTGATGGATTAACTCTTTAATTATTATCTCATGTTCTTCTCTATCTGTAGTAGCATTTTAAACCTCTTTTAAAAATATTATTATAACTACACAAGCTTTCATGTGGCTGCTGTGTACATGATCAATCTTTTTCCACCCTTTTACTTTCAACTATTTGTGTCTTTGTATCTAAATTTTGTCTCCTATTGATGACATTATAATTGGATCATGTTTTTATACCCAGTCTATTTCTGCCTTTTGATTGGGTTGTTTAATCTATTCACATTTAATGTTTTTGTTGATATAGTTAGATTTATGCCAGCCATTTTGCTTTTTGGTTTCTATATGTCTTCTGGCTTTTTCCTCCTTTCCTCTTTTACTATTGTGTTTTGCACTGAATGCATATTTTCTACTGTAACATTTTAATTCCTATAATTTTTTTGGAGTTGTAATTTATTTATTTATTTTATTTTTATTATACTTTAAGTTCTAGGGTACATGTGCACAACGTGCAGATTTGTTACATACGTACACATGTGCCATGTTGGTGTGCTGCACCCATTAACTCGTCATTTATATTAGGTAGATCTAATGTTTTCCCTCCCCCCTCCCCCAACCCCATGACAGGCCCTGGTGTGTGATGTTCCCCTTCCTGTGTCCAGGTGTTCCAACTACAGCTTTTAACTTATTTTCTTAGGGGTTGTTCTTGAGCTTAACATATACATCTTACCATAACCTACTTAAGATATATATTGTCTCGATTCCAGAGAGATAAAGAAATGTTACTCCCATAGAGCTCCATTCCCTTTCCCCTTTTTTTGTGCTATTGTTACATATATATTACATCCATATATATTACAAACCAAACAATACATTATTATAATTATTACTTTATATAACTTTATGTCTATTAAAGAAGCTGAGGAAAGAAAGGAGAACAAATATATGTTTACAGTTTGTTATACTAACCTTCTTTTGAAATGTTTCTTGTTATTTTAATTTGTTCCTGTGGATTCAAGTTACCATCTGGTGTCATTTTCTTACTTCCATACACCTTTACTATCATTCGCCTACTTTGTAATGTTAATTGTCAAGTATATTATATCTTTATGTTTTAGGCTCAACAGTTTAATTATATAGTTTTATTAAACTACTTTTTAAATCACTGAAGACATTGAAAGAAAGAAAATATACATTTATACTGTCTTTTAATAGTGCCTTTATTGGTACTTTTTAAAAATGGATTCAAATGACCATCTGGAATTATAGCTTTCAGCCTGAAAACTTCTTATAGTATTTTCTGTAAAGTATATCAGCTACCAATAAATTCTATCAGTTTTTGCCTATCTGATAATGTTTTTATTTCACTTTTGGTTTTGAAGGATAGTTTTACTGAATGTAAGTCTCTTGGTTGACACACTGTTGAGATTTTTTTTTTCCTTCCAGCACTTTTGATACAATTGACCTCTGAACAACACATGCTTGACTGTATTTGTCCACTTACACATGGATTTTCTTCTACCTCTACCAACCCTGAGATAGCAAGACCTCTTCCTACTTCCCCCTAGCCTATGTAATGTGATGACAATAAGAATGAAGACTTTTATGATGACCTAATTCCACTTAATGAATAGTAAATATATTTTCTTTTTCTTATGATTTTCTTTTTTTGTTTGTTTCTTTAAGACAGAGTCTCGCTCTGTTGCCCAGGCTGGAGTGCAGTGGTGTAATCTTGGCTCACTGCAACCTCTGCCTTCTGGGTTCAAGTGATTCTCCTGCCTCAGCCTCCTGAGTAGCTGGGATTACAGGCGTTCACCACTAGGCATGGCTAATTTTTATATTTGTAGTACAGACAGCATTTCACTATGTTGGCCAGGCTGGTCTCAAACTCCTGACCTCAAATGATCTGCCCACCTTGGTCTCCCAAAGTGCTGGGAATACAGGCGTGAGGCACCACACCTAGCTCTTTGTTATGATTTTCTTAATAACATGTTTTCTCTACCTTACTTTATTGTGGAAAGAGAGTATAAAATACATATAACATACAAAATATGTGTTAACCGACTTTATTTTAATAGTATGGCTTTTGGTCAAGAGTAGGCTATTAGTAGTTAAGTTTTAGGAAAGTCAAAAGTTATATGAGGATTTTTCTCTTAACAGGAGATTGGTGCCCCTAACTTGCGTGTTGTTCAAGGGTCAACTGTATATTGTCCCACTGCCTTCTGACTCTCATTGTTTTTTATGAGCAGTCAGCTGTTTATATTATTGGAATTCTGTCATATGTGTTGTCATTTTTCTCTTTGATACTTTCAGAACTTTGTCTTTCAGCATTTTTCTATGATGTATACTAATGTAAATTTATTTGTGTTTGTCTTACTTGGAGTTTATGGAGCTTCTTGGATGTGCAGATTAATATTTTCAGCCAATTTGGAAGATTCCAGTCATTATTTCTTCAATTTTTTTTTTAAAATTATCTCTTCTTCTTCTGGTACTCCTATTATCATATGTTGATGCTCTTAATGGTATTACATATTTCTGTGAGGCTTTATTCATTTTTCTTCTTTTTTTCTTTCTATTCTTCAGATTTTATAATCTCTATCAATGTATCTTCAAGTAAATAGATTCCTTTTGTCTGTCAGTTCAAACCTGCTGCTGAAACCCTCTAGTGAATTTTTTATTTTGGTTATTATGCTTTTCAACTCCAGAATTACCACTTGGTTCTTTTTTATAATTTTCTTATCTCTTTTTTTGTTGTTCTCTATTTAATGAGATGTTGTCACATCTTCTTTCACCTCTTTAGACATATTTTCTTTTAGTTCTTTGAATATATTTAAAATGGCTCTTTTAAAGTCTTTGTTAAATCTGACATTTGGGCCCTTTTACAGTTAGTTTTTGTTGCCCTCTTTTTTCCTATGTATGGGTCACAATTTTCCGTTTCTTTGCATGTCTTGTGATTTCGTTAATTGTTGTTGAAAACTGGAAATTTGTTAAAGCAGCTCTGGATACTAATTCACTTCTGTCCTCACCAGAGTTTGTTTTTGTTGCAGTTTGGTTGTTTTTTGTTTGTTTGTTAGTTTGTTTTTTGTGACTTCACTAACCTATTTTAGTGAGATCTCTTTCCTCTGAAATGTAGCCTCTGTTCTAATTTCTCAAGGGTGTAGTCTTGAGTATCTGCACAGACAACCTGGGATGACTGATTTTGGTAGCACTCTCTTTGAGTGTTTCTTTTATGATCTTTCTGTTAAGTTGTCTGCCTTTGGTATTACACCCAGCTGTTTTGTCAGTAAGGGTATAGCCAGGCAGATTCTACCATTTAGTGAATTGAACTTAGGCCAGTTAGTTGCCTCTCTAAGCCTTACTTTCAGAGTGATATTAGTCAAATGACTAATAATACACATTCTAATATATTATGCCAGTTAAATTAAATCATGGAAATAAAATCATCACCATAGGATCCTTGGCCCAATGCACGTAGTTAATGCTTAGTCCCTGTTATCCAGACTTCCTCAGTACATATAAAGTTGATGAGTGCATAATAACAAGACTTCAAAATTCTAAACCACAAGTATTACAGAAATAATGATTTTCTTCCCAAATCTGGTTTGGCTATCTGCTTTATTGGCTGATAGCAAATATCAACTAGAATTAAGCTTCTCATTTCTACTCTATATTCATTGGGTATCAGGGAAGTTCCAGGATGTATTTTGTTCAACATTTGCATATAGCAGGTTAACAGTCAGATTCATCTGAAAAAAAAATCTTTACTGTTAGTAATTATTGATATGTTCTTCCCTAAAGCATCAGCAGAATCAGATTTCTCCTTTAGAGGAAAAATAGTAATGCTAGTCATTCACTGAACAATTATTAAGTATCTGGTATGTTTGAGGGAAAAAAAGATGCTAGAGATAAGGGAATAGAAAAGGCAAATATTGCTCTATCCTCATGAAACTTATAATCCAGCAGAGTCCAAGCATCAAGGTATTTCAGAAGCACAAAATTTAACTGCTTATGAAACTAAAATTTTTCTCAAGAATTGAGATCAAATTAATGTTTTTGTAATGATATCTTTATAGTCCTGAACAGGGTTTATAAGATATATGGGAAATGGCCTATAGCATTTGGAAGGTAGAGCCAAACTTTTACTTCAGTTGAAGTCTCAAATTGCCTAAAATTCAAAGATGAATAACATATACTATCATCTACCTCCAGGAAATTTTGAATTCATGTGGGAGATAGGCAAATAACATCAAAACTACATAGCAGTGCCCCTGGCACAAAATGATATGTTCAATAATGGAAACAAATATAATTACTACTTTCTAAGTGTAGAAAGGTGCTTGAGGAATAAAATGTAAGGTGCTTATGCCATATGAAGTATGATCAAACTTGACCTCTGGGCACAAAGGAAACAAGAGTCATCTAGATTTGCATTAATTGTGTACCTTTACTTGTTCAGCACTACAATGGGAACTCTGGGGAAGATAAAACCACCTGTCTTCAAGGTGATTATACTGATGAAAAGGACTCAGGACAGAGAACTCAGAGCCAGACCAGTTGCTCAACAACGAGTTTTAGAACTATGAAGACTTTATCTACTCTGAGCTTCCATTTCCTTGTCTGTAAAGTTAGAGTAAACATATGATCACCCAGAGCTGTTGTAAAGATTAAGTGCAATAATGGATTTAAAAGGCATGTGAAAATGTGTTCTGCAAATGTGGAGGTTATTGTTATAATCCAACAGGAGAAATGCTGAGTTCCTTTTAAGCCAATGAGGCCATCTCTGAAGACCTGAACTCTGTGTGCTCATATAAAGTAACCAAGTTACCACATCAAACATGCCTGCCCTTATTGGAGGTTATTGTTACAATCCAGGAGGAGAAATGCTGAGTTCCTTTTAAACCAATGAGGCCATCTCTGAAGAACTGTACTCTGTGTGCTCACATAAAGTAACGAAGTTACCACATCAAACATGCCTGCCCTTCTTTCTCTAACCAGCTCTATAGTCCTCATTCAATGTAAATCCAACATTGATCATGTGGATGAAATGAATCTAAATGTGGTAGCTTTTCTCCACTTGGAAGCTTGAGCCTGAACATGGCTAATTCTGTACCCACTCCATACTGTCCAATTTCCATCCCCTCTATCCCCACCAATAATTTGGTTTCATTCTCCCATATTAAAGTCACACCCCACCAAATTATATGCTCCCCAAAGAGTCACTCTCTTCTTGCATTCATCTCTTCATCTTCCAGGGTTCATAGCAGAGTGATTTGCATGTAACTCGTGCTCAATATTACTTTTAATAAACTTACAAAAGAAAAGACCATTTTAGCTGCTGGTGTTTAGTAAAGTTATCTCCAGTATTGTTTGATGCTAGCTCTTATGTTTTCTGATGTGTTACAACTAGTATGCAACATTAGCCAGAGGGATAATTCATTAGTTCTAATAATATTTGTTGAGTTTGAACTACATGATAAGTGTTAGGGTTACAATAGTGAGCAAAGCCAAACCTGACTCTGCTTTCATAGAGCTCAGGTTCTGTTTGTTGTTCATTGTAAACGAAAACCAAGAAAAATTTAGAAGCAGACTTGGCATTTAGCTAGAACACACAAGTACAGCTGTGTATATGGCCAGAATCTATCTCAGCCAGTGCTTAGGCAACAAGGCTTAGGACATATTTTTATTATCACTTCTAACCAAATATTAACTCTTTAATTCAAAATGTCTACTGCAAAATAGATAAAAATGGCACCACTGATCTGGCCACTTGTAAATAGAATGTTTCAAACATTTTGATTTACAGTATTAGGTGTAAGATGACTTCTCCTGAATGGTCAATGTCAGCCTATTCCTGAACAAATGCAATGCAAATGGGGACTCACGTCCATTGTAAATGTACCCAATCAGATAACCTCTTTTACCTGGTTCGAGAAAGTGTTTCCTAGGGTATATACTTTGTAAACTATCCTCAAGAAATGCTTTTCAAAGCATTCCATGATCAAAATTAGAGAAAAAAAAAATCTATATATGTAAGAGAACACATGAAAGCCCTGAAAAGTGCTACGGTAAAATTAAATTTTAAAAAAGGTTTGACTTATAACCCAGGTCTCAAAACATTTATTTCACCACAGAACCATTTTCCCAAAACACACATATAAGTATACTGAAAAAGTAATATTCTAGGCAAGGTACTTTTGGATACTCTGCTTTAACTTATTCAGATCCTACTCTGGTAATTTTCTTTCTTTCTTTTTTTAAATTGCCATCATAGGATCTGCATAAATGCATTGAGTTGTTCTCTAAGTTCATTTTGATCAGTTATGTCATTTGCCGAAGTGGCAATCAAAATCCTATTTTGTCTTTTAATAGAGTAAGCAGTTGAGATGAGAGCAATAATAATGGCTGTTTAACACCAGAAAAAGCCAGAGAATGATTCTTTTCTACCTGGATATGTACAGAAACCTGCAGAGGATTCATCCTGCAAGTTCATATGCAATTCATTTTCATACTTTTATTTCATATTTATTTTTATTGTACTCTTCTTTACTTTGGCAATCTTAGATTAAGTTTCCAATTTTCCAAAATTGCCTGCGGTGAACTCCTATCCCCAGAGATTTTTTTTTTATTAGTCTCTTAAGCAAGTTATACAATTCAAATCACCTCTCCCTGTCCACCCATCTGCTTGTTTTTGCTTTTCTTCCTCTCTGCTGGATTCAGTGTAGAAATCCTCTATGCCTCCTCTCTCCCCTCCCTGTCCACTGCCCTAAACTCTCCCCCACCGTTCTGTCTATCCTCTCTGTCAGGGTCCAGGGGCCCCTTCTGTTCACATGGCTCTGGGCCCACCTGTACCGGCCCCATCTGTCAGCAAAGCAGCCTCAGCATCCCACAAACCTGGTGGAGGAAATTCTCCTCTGAAGAATTGACGTCACTAGGTGTTCTCCTGAGAGTTGTGCCCTGAAAAATTAGCTACATTGAGAAAGAATAAAGGGCATTTCAGCATGGAATAGAGGTGTTCATCCCACTGGCATTAATAAAATACTTCTTCCACACGGGACCACATTTCAGTCTTTCATTTTGAGCATTATTTAACATCAACCTGACAATTTTTTAAAAGCAGGAATTTAAAAAAGATAATACCTTCAGGATAAACAGAAGTTTTAAAATGATTATTTCTATTATTAAAAATGCATTTTATTTACTAGACCTCCTTATGCAATGTAATTATTTAGAAAATACATTTTTATTAGACCTCTTTATGCAATATAAATAATTAAAAATTATAAGTAAAAATATAAATAATTATTTATATTGCATAAGGAAGCCTAGTAAACAAAATGTATTTTCTGAACCTATCATGACAAAACATATTTGCAAAATTATTTCCTCATATTCTTCCAATTCAAGTAATGCAGTAATCTTTTTGGAAGAAGTCATTCAGTTATAGTTCCTTGGCACTATTTGTAAAGGAGTCAAGGAATCATATCCCAAAGGAAGTGTTTCCTTGAAAGAAAAGCTTATCTCTGATATTTAAAATCCCCTGTCCCCAAAACATATACGCAGTGAAAAAAGTGAAGATCTACAATTGAATAATACAGTAAGCCTTGGCTCCCTTTTTCCTGTCTGAAATTTGATTCATATTTAACCCAGATTTGTGTGTCGATTTAGAGACCAAAGTGCCAAGAGGAGAACAGAATGGTCACAGCCAGCCATTGTAGAGAGTATTTGGTGCCAGGACTGAACAAGGTCTCAAAAATGTTGATGGCACCTGAAATTCATACATTAGAACCCTTGATGTACAAGCCGGTCTCTTGGTTCTGATGTTCCCTTGCCTGTTTCCTGCATGTGAGAGAAGTGCTGCAGCGACCCTGTTTATCTGGCCCCTGCACAACATTGTCAGGACACATTTCCATTTTCCAAGTGACTGCTGCCACTGGGCCGCAGTCTGTGCTCATTTCTCGAGTAGCTAAACCCTTTGACACTGTGGTTTTTAATTAAAATTACATTAAAGTTAATCAACCAGAAAGAGGCTGCTGTAGAAGGAGGTTTGATTGCAACCTGCAAAGGGCACGAAGGCTGCCAACTTGCTAAAGATGTGCCTGCAGATGCCAATCTGCGCACATGAGCCCCACGGTTACAGAGCTGCCGAGGAGAGGTCAGTTCTGTTTGCATTTTCCCTGGAACTGTCAAAAAAATTGCGATGGCCGTGGCATGGCATAAAGTTAAAAAAACAGGCAAGCCTCTTCAAAGCACACCATTCCAGCATTTCTGCTACTGCCCCAAACCACTGATGTGAAGCTGTCATGTCCCAACTGCTTCCTCTTCAGATGCAGTTAGGCTCAACTGAGAGCCATTAGGTTTGTTGTTTGAGGAGGCTATAGATACTCTTAGAAGATCTTGTCTTCTACAGGCTAGGTTTCTGGCATATGATGCTGTGATTGGCTTTGCTTTGCTTTGAAAGGGCCAGAGAAAATACTTGAATGCTTCGGGATTCCTTGTTCATCTTCAAGTTCTTTGCAAAAGGGATTCACTGGAAACTGATTACTCATAGCACAGCATATCTTTATGCATTCTGAACCAAGACACTATCAAATAAAAATTCATACATAGGACTTTTTATTTGACACTTACTAAATGTTGCAATGGTGTTGAGTCTAAAATATAAATTATTTTATGTTCATTTCTTATATGATTAATTTACTTATATCTAGTTCTTGAAGTACCTCACACTTGGTGAGAGATTGGTTTTAGATAAATGAACAAATGAATGAATGAGTGAATGAATTAAAAGAGTGCATCATCTGTCAGAACTAATTCTATCTGTACTTCTTCTCTAAAGCTATATAGTCATGTACCATGTAACGATGTTTTGGTAAATGATGGACCACATGCAACTGTGGTCCCATAAGGTTATAATGGAGCTGAGGAATTCCTATTGTCTAGTGATATCATAGCAATCATAACATCATAGCACAATGTATTACTCATGTGTTTGCAATGATGCTGGTGTAAAGAAATCTATGCTGCCAGTCATACATGTATAGCAATTTTGTAGAGCACATAATACTTGACAATGATAATAAATGACTATTAGTGATTTATGTATTTATTATATAATTTATTATTATTTTAGAGTGTACTCCTTCTACTTATTAAAAAAAAGTTAACTGTAAACAGCCTGAGGCAGGTCTTTCAGCAGGTAGTAACAATGCCACAAGAAGGCATTGTTATCATAGGTGACAGCTCCATGTGTGTTATTGCCCCTGAAGACTTTCACTGGGACAAGATGTGGAGGTGGAAGACAGTGATCTTGATGATCCTGACCCTGTGTGCCTAGGCTAAACTATGTGTCTGTGTCTTAGTTTTTAACAAAAACAGTTTTAAAAAATAAAAATAACTAATAGAATAAGGAATAAGGATATAAAGACATGTTTTTGTACAGCTGTACAATGTGTTTGTGTTTTAAGCTAAGTGTTATTACAAAAGAGTTAAAAAGTAAAAATGTTACAGTAAGCTAAGAATAATTTGTTATTGGAGAAATAAAAAGGAAAATATTTTCCATAAATATAATGTAGCCTAAGTGTACAGTGCTTATGAAGTCTACAGTAGTAAACAGTAATGTCCTAGGCCTTCACGATTCACTCGCCCTTCACTCACTAGTTCACCTAGAGCAACTTCCAGTCTGGCTAGCTCCATTCATGGTAAGTCCCTTATAAAAGTAAACTATTTTTAATATTTTATACCATGTTTTTACTGCACTTCTATATTTAGATACACAAATACTAATTATTGTGTTACAGTTGCCTCACTATTTGGTACAGTAACATTCTGTACAGGTTTGTAGCCTTGGTACAAAAGGCTATACCATATAGCCTAGGTGTATAATAGGCTATACCATCTAGGTTTGTGTAAGTGCACTCCATGATGTTTACACAATAACAAAATCACTAAAAATGCACTTCTCATTAAGTGACTGTAAAACCACCATTACTACAAAAAGTTAGATGTCATTTTAAGTGTCAACTCTATTCATATCTGATGCCTAAATCACTATTCTAAGAATTCTGAGGTTGTATCCAAGTAATAAAGCAGAGAGAATGATTTCTGTCAAGGACTATTCTAGTGCTATGGTTTGGGGAACAATAGAAAGATTCTACCAGAATTCCATGGTTGCTTGGGAGCAAGTGGACAAAGCCTCATTGCATGAGGCTTTCTACAGGAAAGGGAAGAATGAACTTTGAAGAGGAAATGTAACTAACTTTACTGAGTTTCAAGCTCTGAAAGCTGGCAAACATTTTCTTCTATATATCCCTGAGAGGCTTCCTGAGTCCATTCCTGATTCTGATTAATCCATTGGTCCCGATATTATTTACTTGCCTATGTATATCTATGGGTCTGTCTGGGTGCTCCATTCAGTAGCAAGTTTCTTGAATCAGGTGAGCCCCAGGTGCCATGCATACCATAGCTGTGAATGTTAAAGAGTGGCAAAGTGTCTCCCCATAAAAAGCTATTTATAAAAACACAGTTTTGTTCTTTGAAAAAGTTAATTCTTTTGCTATAATGTTTAACATTCCTTGGAATCTCAGAAAAGAATTTTTGTGTATGGATATGGTTAATTCATCATCACAGTATCCTCTCCTTATTGATCATATCACGAAAAAAATTGAACTAAACTCTTAAATACCTCTTTCTTTTAATGAAAACTTATAATCTTTTACTCATAAAATCAGTCAGTATAAATGTTCTTTAAACAGACTTTTAGGGATAACACTTAGAAATAAATTGTCTTCTCTCTTTCATAAAACTGATTTTTTAAAAACAGAAATAAAATGTAAGTTTCTCAATTAGACGTTAACATTTTCTATCCTCTCTAAATCACATCCCTGATGAGATCCATATAAATATATGATTTTCAATACAATTTCTAGGTCAAGCAAAGTATAATGTAGTATGGCCACATCCTCCAGCTTACCAGAGAAAAGTCGAGTTATTAAGTATTACAAATATTACAAAGTACATTAAGTCAACCAGCTAATACTTACTGACCATCTACCATGGGGTAGGTACTCTTTGGTGTGAAAAGCATAGCAGTGGTTAAAGATGATGATGTTCTGCTCCCATGGAGTTTACAGGCTACATATGAGAGAGCAGCTATATAAAATGGCTGTCCTGGAAGCACTATAGGCCAGCTACCCATTAGACATTTCCTTGCTAATAGAATTTCAGTTTGGTTTGGGAAGGCATTACTACCAACATGGCTGCCCCCTTCATTTCAACCACATGATACTTCCCAGCTTTGAGCTTGGGATGGCCATGTGACCCAGTTCTAGCCAATGAGATCTACTAGGAAGTCTGCTGGTAGGGAAGTGGGTTCTTCAAAATATATTTTCATCTCTAATAACAAGAGAATAACCCCTGCCAGGAGTTATTCCTTGCCTCCCTTACCAGCCCACTGTCTCTGCCTTTGATGGAGCCATCCTGTAATCATGGGGCACAAGCACCAAGACAAAAAGCCAAATTCTGAGGATAGTAAAACAGAAGGATGGAAACTTGGGGTTTCAACAACATTTTAAACTGCAGCCTCCAAACCTGAACTTCTAGATTTCTTGTTACATAAAACAATTAAATGTCTATCCCTTAAGCTAGTGTTAGTTGGGGATCTATTATTTGCAGCTAAAAGAATCCTAATTGATATAATTGTCTTGTTTTCCAACATAGAAAATAAAACCTTCCAATCCCATAGTCTACTCCACTTCTTCCACTTTAACATTTTACTTATACTGTATCTGTATATCATGCTACATCAAAAATCTGTCTGTTCCTTATGGAAGTCCCTAATGGAGAAACATATCAAAGGTTAGCTCTTTTTACCTGAGCAGGTTTTTGGAGTAATATCTCTGTATAGGTCTTTGGCAGGCCTCCAAAAGCTTTCCCCAGTTAATATATACATTTTTTTTTCTCTTTTCTTGCTTTAAATCAAATAGGAATTCTCTTGTCCATAAGAATGTAATTTTCCCATGCCTCCATATGAATGAACCAATCAGATCATTCTCTGGATTTTGAGCAAAGGCATTAAAGAGGCTGAGGACATATGTGATTAGTTGGGCAGGCTACAATTCATGAAGGAACAGAAGGATGAGGTTGAACTTGTCATAGGCAACATCTGAAAGCATTATGACTATTCCAGGCAAGATTTTGAGTCCTACTACTACTCAGGTATGCTGGCCATAAGAACCATCTGGAAAGCTGACAAATTTTGACACCTACATTGACAGACTGAACTAAAAATATCTACCTATATGGTTTTCACAAGAGACTCCTGTAGGGTATAAAGACACAGAAAATTGAAAATTACAGATCAGAAAAATACTAAGTATAAGAAAGCTGAAATAGGCTGGGCGCAGTGGCTCTCGCCTGTAACCTCAGCAATTTGGGAGGCTGAGGCAGGTGGATCACCTGAGGTCAGGAGTTCGAGACCAGCCTGACCAAAATGGTAAAACCCCACCTCAACTAAAAATACAAAAAAATTAGCCAGGCATGGTAGCAGGCGTCTGTAATCCCAGCTACTCAGGAGGTAAGGCAGGAGAATCCCTTGAACTTGGGAGGCAGACGTTGCAGTGAACTGAAATGGTACCATTGCACTCCAGCCTGGGCAACAAGAATGAAACTCCGTTTCAGAAAAAAAAAATTCAACTGAATTGCCCAGATATGTAAATATTTGATATCATAGTGAGCATCTGGGAAGTGACTCAACTCCCTCCAATGGTGAGATCAAAGTGGAATGTTTGCTTTGGGAATGGCCTTCCCATGCTTCAACTCTGGAAGTGAGTTGAAGCTCCAGTTAGCCAGTTGAAAAGGCAAGAAAGGAAAAATAGATGATTCTTCCCCAATGGCAGTTGGCCTATGTGCAACTAGTCTTAGCTCTTGGTGGAAAGGTTTAGAGAGTGGTAAAAATTTTTTTTTTGATGACAAATAAAAGGAAGATTAAAGTATTGATTAATACTATAAAATAAGACACAACACAACACAACAAAAACCTCCCATGAAACTATAAATAGAGCTCATAGTTATGTATTTAATGGTGTAAAATATAAGGTTTTTATTTTGGGAATATTAATAATATGACTAGGGTGAGCCAGAACAGGTAACCTATTGAGAAGTCTGTGGGTTTGAATACTCCTTATCATTTGTGTCACATCTGAATTTTTGTTACTGGTTAGTATTATGAGGTGTTACAGTTTGGATTCTCTCGAACAGCAGATGCTAAGACAGAGTTTAGATTATAGAATATTTATAAGAGCTGAAATCAACCCAAGTAAAAGGAAAGGGGAGTATCTTGGTCTATTTTTTGCTGCTGTAACAGAATACCACAAGTTATGTAATTTATAAAGAAAAAAAGTTTATTTGAGGCACAGTCTGGGGGCTGGGAAGTTCAAGAGCATAGCATCTGGTCAGCACTGGTGAGGGACTTCTTGCTGTGTCAAAACATGGCAGAAAAGCAAGTAAGTGAGCACTCAAGACAGAAAGTGAAATGGGGCCAAACTTATCCTTTTATCAGGAGCCCACTCCCATAATAACTAAGCTACTCCCATAATAACGGCATTAATCAATTCCTTAGGGCTTCACCCCCAGGAAGTAATCACCTCTTAAAAGTCCTACCTCTAAATACTCTCACAATGGCAATTAAATTTCAATGTGAGTTTTGGTGTCATTCAAGCTATAGCAGGGAGAAAGCAAGCTTAAGCAGAGGGAAATGTCAAACTGGGAAGCAGACCTGACAGATCCTTGGCCAACCTGGCAGGGTACTCTGGCTCAGCATTTCTCTGTCTTGGGCCAGAATGTGTGGGCCTGTACACCACTGTCTTGCTCAGCCATAAGATGCAAGATGCCACAGAAAGGATGTGACCTCAACCAGGTCAGCTCTCTGCAACTGAGGCCAACCCTAAAAGAGCTGCCAGCTGGAGGTAAAATTATGAATGCATATTGTTAACTATTCCAAGTGACAGTGGCTGTTTCTGATTTCCTTTCTTTATTGAGCTAGTCAAGATATTATTTGCCAAATAAATGACTACATACCATGTTTTGGAGGCCCTATTTATCTGCAGTAGCAAAGATCACATTCAGCATAATGGCTGCAATCAGAGCTAATACTTCATTGTGCTAATGGTACTTTTCAGTAGGATTTCTCAACCTCAGCACTACTGACATTTTGGGCCATATAATTCTTTGTCATAGGTGGCTGTTCTTTATATCATAGGATACTTAGCAGCAACCCTGGATTCAATCCACTAAATGCCAGTAGCATCACTACACATATACACAGTGGTGACAACCAAAATGACTCCTGATATTGCAAATGACCCCTGGGGTTCAAAATCACCACCAGTTAAGAATCACTGATTTCAAGTTGCCCTTCAGAATTCATCTGGTTTCTGCAGCACCAGAATGCTCAGTCAGATGAAGATATGTTGGAAATGATTACCCCTGCATCCCTTAAATCTTTAAAGTTATTACTAATCTGTACTGTAGGCTTCCCGCTTCCAGGATGCAATATTGATTTTGATTAACTATCTTGGTCATTGGGTGGGCAAATTTCAAGGCTTCTACTTGGCTTTCTCCACTATGATTGCTCTTACTCCATAGACCACAAAATCCCAATATGGGGGTCACAGAATCTGACAATATGTCCAACTCAATGACAATTCAGGGGCAAGGGAAGCAACTTCCAGGAGGTCTATAGACCCAGTGGATCCTGTAAGAAATATGGTGGCCAGGACTCCATTTATCACCTGCCTGCCATTTGTTCCTACTCTATCCAGGGGAACATGATGACACTTCATGTCTTTGGCCATCAGCGTCAACTCAGACCCTATGTCCATACATCTTCAAAAAGTATGGAAATTATCCTTACCTCAGTGAACAGCTGCCCAAGTAAGTGGCCATAAGTACCTTTTAAGGACTGAGGGAGTAATTATCATGTATACCTGTTATGGTATTATAGGATCTTCCCTGCTTTGGACCAGTTCACCTCTTTGGTCAATGGATTCTGAGTTTGAAACTGGAATGGGGATTGTGACTTTTCAGTGGGGGTCTGCTCTCATTTTCCTGGTCAACAGCTCTTGATTTCTCCTGCTGGTACAAGCTGAGTAATACCTTTGTTGGATACCTCTTTTGTCCTTAGTACTCACATTACATTAGCTGTCTCAAAACTCTCTGCAAGTCAAGCTGTCATGGCTAGCACTTCAACTTTGCCAGTCATAATAATAATTGTGCCCCTGGCTTCTGGGGGTCGAGCATCACCACTGACCTCTGTTTTTTGTGTTCCATTATACCCATTGCTATTTGGGAGTCAAGTTCTGTAACAGCCTTTCTTATCATCAGTCCTGGCAATCCCTACAGCTGGGAAGAAAATGCTGTTTTGACAGAGATGTGAGCTGCACATCTCTGTGTCTACAACATAGGGTTTCATTTTAATCATACTAGATAATGTAATTATTAATTTAAGATGTTTTGCTATCTAAAGTCACCATTGAACTTTCTATTACCTATGGAAAAACCTGAGTCCAGAATTTTTCCCAGAGTCAGGGAAAATTTCTCCCCAGTGAATATATTTCAAAGACTAGAAGAAAAAAATAAGGATGCATTTTTATTGCCTCTCGTGAGACATGCTTGTTTAAGCGTCTGTTTACCTATGGTAATATCGGACAAAACACTCTCTAAGGCTAAAACCATTACTAGAGATAAAGACAGACATTTTCTAATAATAAAACATACAATTCATGGGAATATTTCTTAAAGTCTAAACTTTTATGGACATAATAACACACCCTAAAATATATGAAGCAGGCCAGGCATAGTGGCTCATGCCAGTAATCTCAGCACTTTGGGAGGCCGCGGCGGGCAGATCACAGGGTCAGGAGATCGAGACCATCCTAGCTAACACAGTGAAACCCCATCTCTACTAAAAATACAAAACATTAGCCGGGCGTGGTGGTGCATGCCTGTAGTCCCAGCTACTTGGGAGGCTGAGGCAGGATAATCACTTGAACCCAGGAGGTGGAGGTTGCAGTGAGCCGAGATCACACCACTGCACTCCAGCCTGGGCGACAGCGAAACTCTGTCTCTCTCTGTCTCTCTCTCTCTTCATATATATATATATATATATATATATATATATATGAAGCAAAAACTAAAAGAAGTAAAAATACAAATTTACAAATCCACAATCGTGGCATGATTTTACCATACTCACTGTCACAGTTAACAAACAAATAGATCAATAAGCCTATAGAAAACTTGAACATCATAATGACTGTCCTGATCTTATAAGCATATATAGAATCCCAAAACCAATGATTAAACAGTACACATCCTAGACAGAAAGTTTATGAAAATTCATCACTTGCTAGTCTACAAAACAAATCTCAAAATGTTTTGATACCAGGTGTCATGCAGATTATGTTCTCTAACCACAATGCAAAAGAGATGATTTTTTTTTAATCTAAAAAGCCAACATGTTTAGTAAATGAAAAAACACATTTCTAAGTAAGTCAAAAAATATATACTGGAAATTGTATGGGCCATTATAGACCATCCTAAACTAATGCCTTCATATTAAAAATGGTGAAACCAACACCCGGGGTAGTTAAATAAATTGCTCACACTCACATTGTAAGTTGGTAGCAAATAAGGGGACAGCAGTGTGTAGTTCAGTGCACAGGATTTAGGGCACAGGCCATGACTTCAGACTAGTTCCTAATCCTCCATTTACTAACACTGTACCCTGGGACAAGTGACAAACCTCTCTGAACCTGTGTTTTCAGTTAAGATAACAGTATCTCCTTTGGAGGCTTGCTTTGAAAATAAATCGACACAATGAATGTAAAAGCCTAGAAGGCAATTGAGAAGGGGAATTGCCTTTAGCAGACCCCAGAAAGTGTGGGAACGTTGCCAGTGATCCCAACTGAGCTGAAGTTTAAAGGGCTAGGTCCAAATTAAACGTGCAGTGGGGCAGAGAATGCAGTCAGCAGAAACCAAGAGCATCCCCTGGAATGAAGTGGACAAAGGCATGCATAGGCAAGGCAAGACAACGTAAGGTAGGTGGCCATACAGCTGGGAAGGTACAGGCCATGCGTCTGGCATACCCATGGAAACCATAGGCAAAAGAGCAGCCACAAGTCTGAGGCCACCAACACCAGCCCTGCCTGAGAGCTCCAAGGATGTGGGGGTGATGTCAGTAGTTTCCATTTTGGCTCCCCAGGAAAGTTGGCCACAAGGCCTTCCTATGGAATCTCTAGGGAGAATTATTTCTAATTTTTAATATTTATGGAAATGCAACCTTCTAAAGAAATGTCTCTCACATAACATCAAGTATAGTGTATTCAGTGAATAAGTTTACTTATTTGTAAATTCAGTAAATATTTCTGGAGCCCCTTCTATGGGAGAGATATGATGTTAAGTACATAGGAACTCAATATCAGTTGCTTGATTAGCATTGCCCTCTAAGAATCTTTGCAGCCAATTGCACGAAAACAACATTAAGGGCTATATTTGTTGTTTATTGCCGCAATAATACTGTGTAACAAGAAACTACCAAACCTCAGTGGCATACAACCATAAACGTACATTTTGTTCACAAATGTATGGGTTGGCTGGTGGTTTTGATGATTTGCTCTGGGATCAGCTGGTCTCAAATGAGCTGGCTCATGCATCAGCAGTTAGCTGACAGATTGACAGGTCTAGGATGTCCTCAATGGGGGGACTCAGCTCTGTTCCGTGTGGTCTCCATCCTTTAGCAGGCTGGGCTAGGCTCATTCACGTGGTGAAAGGTCCAAGAGACAGAGCGAAAGTACACAAGGCTCAGGCTCAGTGTTTGCAGTGTTCTGTTGACTAAAGCAAGTCACAAGGTCAGCCCAGCTTCAAAGAGTCAAGGAGTGGGGAAATAGAATCTACTTCTTGAGAGGAGGTGCAAAGTCACGTGGCAAACAGCAAGGACAGAGAGAGGGGTAGAGAATTTGGAAACATTTTTGCAATCAATCTATCACCAGGGCTAAATTACTCCTTGGCAGAAGCTACAATGGTGATGACATAGAAAGTAAAGTGGATGTATATCTCATAAGAAGAGTGAGTATTCCCTTAAAAAGCTGCATGTGTTTTCCACTTAAAGCAGGGGTCCCCAACCCCAGGGCTGCAGACTGATACTAGTCCCTGGCCTGTTAGGAACCAGGCTGCACAGCAGGAAGTGAGCAGGGGTGAGTAAGCATTACCACCTGAGCTCTGCCTCCTGTCAGATCAGCAGTGGCATTAGATTCTCATAGGAGTACATACCCTATTGTGAACTGCACATGTGGAGGATCTAGATTGAGTGCACCTTATGAGAATCTAATGCCTGATGATCTGAGGTGGAGCAGTTTCATCCCCAAAACCATCCTTCCAATCCTACCTTCCCGTCTGTGGAAAAATTGTCTTCCAAGAAACCAGTTCCTGGTGCCAAAAACGGTGAGGAACCACTGCTTTAAAGGAATCCATACCTCCAAACAAAGGTCAGATACAAAGAACTAAGTTGATATATGAAATAATAATCAATGAAAGAAATATAAAAACAGTTGCTGAGGTTTCATGAGCTAGGACAAATCTAACTTTAGACTTGAAGATCTGAATCAAATTATTCTGTACAGAAAGATAACATTTCTAAAACCCAACTTGTTTGGGTTGGATACAGAGCAAAATATTGACAGACAAATTAATGAATGTGAATGGCAACATATTTTGGGTAAATATTCTCATTTAGACTGCATGGTTCTAACATTTAAATAGTAATAATCTTTTAAGGACTATGCCTTCTGGTTCAGAAAATAAAGTCTCTGCTTTTTGACTGAATATCTAAATTATATAATGAGTCTGGAATATCACATCTTATGCAGTTTTTATGGATGCAAGTGCCTTTTTGTATTGTATGTTTGGTACAAAGACATAGCATTTATTACAGCATGGGAGAATAAAGGTAGAAATCCTTATGAGCATAAAACAGCATGAGAAATGTAATTTTCACTTCCAGCACACTGAAAGATACATTATAAACACTCTTGAAGATGCTGTCAACCACCTATCCAAGAACCAGGATTCCAGAGGGATCAATCTATACATTTTAAAAAGTAATTTTTAACTCGTTAAATAGTACATTTAAAATTCCTGATAAGCAAGACTTTATATTTTGAGGAACAAATTAAAATATATTTATTATTTTTTAATTATAATTTCAACTTCTATTTTAGATTTGGGGGTACATGAGCAGGTTTGTTACATGGGTATATTGCATGATGCTGAGAACCTCTTTTTTTAGAGCAAACAACATGTCATGTAATTTTGCTTGGCTTCTTGCACATTTGTTCAAACTTTGCCCCACTCTCCACTTGTAAGAAATAAAAATTACGGAATAAACATTATCTAAAAAGAAATGCTTATACAACTCTTTTCAGGAACAACAGTAAACTGTATTACTGACAGAATCAGCAACTTAATTAAAAGTCTATTAATGCTGGTGTTAATAAACCTGGCATATTTTCAGTTTAGATTGACACTACTCAAACTGATACTTGGTAATATGTCACAAAATCTGGATGAGAATATTGGCTATATGAATTAAGCTTTGATTACTTGAAAAATCTTAGAGGCTATTACAGATGCTCCATAATCAAATTGTATTTTTTAATAAATATACTCTACTTAGGAAGCCAAAATGAAGTAATGGGCTGTGTACTATTTACCTTCTGATTAGAGAAAAGTCACCAATACAAAATTATTCATGACATTAAAGTTTTAAGTAAACAAACAAATTTATTTTTTTAAGGATGGATATGTGCACTGTTTGGATTTCAAAACTGAATAAGTGGTTTATTACTTTCATTCCTTTTGCAAGTACTTACTGAGCTCCTATTATGTGCCCGGAACTTTTGTAGAGGTCAGAGAAATTGTGGAGTAGGAGACAAAGATGTCATGCTCATGTAATTTACATCCTAGAGATTTTATTATTAAATTTTAATGAGCCTTATTAAAGAATGACTGGAACACTGTAGTAACACGATGGCTTGTTGGAAAGCTATGATGATGATCTAAAATAAAAGTTTTGACAAAGGTTCAAGTATTTCTAAAGAGTTGTGTCAAATAAACCTGTATGTCAGTTAGCACCTCCTTGCCTCTAATGTCCTCAACCGCTAGCAATTCCTATGTTCCAGAAGTTCAAAGTACTATATAAAGTTTCTGAGTTGAGAGAGGGAAATGATGGCTTGTATTCTCAGAGCTAGCGCAAGTTTCAGACCCCTGAATTCTAGAAGTTTTTTCTCTTCTACTAATTTCACTATATGGAACTCAGTCCTGCCTTACTTTCCACAACGATGATGTGCATCATTTCCTAAAACTGCCTGTTTGCACTGCTCTCAAGGCACACTGTCCTGTTTTCTGTTTCTTAAAGGTGCCAAATGACTTCAACTTCAGGGGCCTTTCACTTGCTGTTCCCTCAGCCTGGGATGGGATCCTCCCAGATATCTGCTCAGGTTGCGCCCTCACTGCATCTGGATTACCACTGAAATGCCACCTCCTCTGACCCCCCTATCTAAAGTAACACACATGCACCCTCCCACTCTCTACCTCAATACCCTGCTTTATTTCTCTTTATAATATTTGATAGTAGCTAACATGCTGTATATTTATTTATCTGTTTACCCTCTCTTCCCAACTAGAATATAAGCTCCATGAGATCACAGACCTGGACATAGTCACTGCTGTAACCTCAAAGGCTAGAATATGCTGAGAACATAAAATTTGTTCAATTAATATTTGTCAAGTAAATGAATGAATACAAAAACAAATGAAAATAAGTTTAACAGACTTTCTTGAAAAGTTCTGGGCTAAGATGAAAGAGGAGCTCAAACTACACTAAGGTAAATAAACTTAAAGGGAATTCTAAGCATCCACACTCTTAAAAATGTCCTGTGGCCACTCACTTCCCTTTCCCTTTGAGATGCAAAACAACATACTCCTGCCCTTGTTTTACAGCTGAGTTCCTCCCTTCCTTAGAAGTTCCAGCACCAACTCACACCGAGACTCTCTAAGGGCTCACCTTCTGCACAGTCACTTCTTCATGTATTTTTCCAAAGACAGTTCATTCCTTTAGAGAAAATTACTAAGATCTACTATTTAAAAGTTAAAAATCTTCTTCACCTCATTGCATGATTAATTAAAAGCAATGCAAAATCTAATTTTTGAGTTAAACATTTTTCCAGATAGAAACCATTTGTCTGGTTAAGACATGTATGTCAAAGACTATCCTAATTCCATCAAGTGGGACTTTAAACCATATTTACAGCTTGAATTTTTCTGGGGGGAAAAACATATTTAGATGAGTCTAAGATAGTGGGAGCAGTGAATAAGACACCAGGGGATAGAACTGCTGAGTGAGAAGTAGCACAGGGAGTTTCCTTGTAATGATAAAAGAGCTCTGTGTCTTGATTGTGGCTGCATGAATCAATACACAGGATAAAATTACATAGAACCACACACATGCATGCACACGCAGGGAAATGAGTTCATGTAAGAATTGGCAAAGTCTGAATACTACTCAGTTTTGTATTGTATTTTACCAATGTCAGTTTCCTGATTTTGATATTGTACTATAGTTATGCATGATACTGCTATTGGGAGAAGCTGGGTAATGAGTACCCAGGGATCTCTGTATTATTTTTGCAGTTTCCTGTGAGTCGGTATTTGTTTCAAAATAAAAAGTATAAAACAAAACACAAAACCACAATTGAAGTATCTGTGAAAGAAGTTTCAAAAAATCTATTTCAGACCTAAATTGTGATTCCAAATATAAATATATGAACTGTCAAAAATTTTACAAATCTTTTGGAAAAACAGGGCACACAAGGCATGAATGAGAATGAATTGCATATTTTCTTTTCTTACACAACTGTCCAAACTAAAGGCCTTCCTTCACTGAACCTGCGTTTGGTATCACCACATTTCAGGATGCAGAGAAAAGTGTTAGGCCTGGGAAGGGGTTATTCCCATCAATCTACAGGGGTTGGGAAGCCAATTTGTGGCTCTTAGTGTCCTGCCTATTGGACGTTGGTGTCTTCTATTCTTTGGGGCCAGAGTTGACAAATTTTAGAGGATCATTATATTCACGTGCTGATAATATATTAACCAGCTGTAGTGACAATTGCTGTGATGTAATATAATGTTCTTTGATTATTTTCAAAGCCAAAATTCCCTTTGCCTTATGTGTCTTTAGAAGGATTGGACTTCCCTTAAGAATGCATCTTTCTTGTATGTCAAGAAAGATCAATATTTTAAAGAAAAGTTCTTAACCATCTTACTAGGAGTATGATGACTACACTAGAACGAAGCCCTAATAAATATCTGATCGTATTGTTCAGTGAGATAGAATGCTTCATTTTGTTCATCCTAAATTTGGAATATGTTACCTGTAAACTATAAATGCATCTGGAAGAAGAGAAAGAAATAGATTAGGATGAGAATAAATTGGAAGAAAGGAGAAAAATCCAGACAGTGAAATCCAAATAAGGTCTATATTTTAGTTAACAGTTTATTCAAATATCAATTTCCTGGTTTACACGACATAATATAGTTATATGGCATCTTTGGGTGAAGCTGGGTGAAGGGTGTATGGAAATTATTTGTGCAAATTCCTGTGAGTCTTAAACTATTTCAAAATAAAAAATGATTTAAAAAATTAGAAAGCAAAGAAGCTAAAAATACAGGGTAACTCCCAACACCCACAAATTAATTTACTGAAAAAAGCTTCATATACTGCCCTTAGCTACAGATGGCCAGTGACTCCAAAGCAGATTTTACAGTAATAACATCTATTTTCTTTTACTGGCTTCTTATTAAGAGCCAAACACTATGCTAAATGCTTTATACACATTTTATTTAATCTCCACAACAACCCTCTCATAGGATCAGTTAATCTTCCAAAGAGCTATTATTCTCATCTTCACCGTACCGACAAAGAAACCAAGATTTATACAGGTTCATTTTCCAAAGCCATGTAGCCAATAAGTCATGGGTGTAGGAATTGGAGCCAGTCTCTGTGACTTTGAACTTCATGTGCTTTGTGGCACAAGGGACTTAACTTCCTTCCTTTCTTTTGCTAAGATTAATTTTGCATTATCTTTAATTGGCACATAATAATTATACACATTTATGGGATACAGTGTGATATTTCAATACCTGTATACAATGTGTAATGATCAAAATCAGGGTAATTAGTACATTACCTCAAACAATGATCACTTTTTGGAGTTGGGAACATTAAAAATCCTCTCTTCTAGCTATTTGAAAATATAAACTAAATAATAACTGCTAATGATAGTTACCCTACTGTGCTGTAGAAAAATTAGAACTTATTCCTCCTACCTAGCTATAATGTTCTATCCATTAACCAGTCTCTCCCTATCTCCCTCGCTGTATCCTTCCCTATCTCTAGTAATTACTATTATATTCTCTATTTGTGTGTGATCAACTTATTCAGCTTCCACATAGGAGTAAGATGTAGTATTTATCTTACCCATGCCTGGCTTATTTTACTTAACATAATGTCTTCCATGCTCATCCATGTTGCCACAAATAACAGGATTTCATTCTGTTTTTTTAGTGACCATACTTTCTTGATACCTACCCAGTGGCTTAGATAAAGAAAGTAAAATTATTTTGTTTTCCTATGGAGAATATACAGATTTAATCAGACAGGCTCTAGCAAATCCTCATTTCCTTACATAGGCCCAGGGAGGGAGAAGGCAATGTCCCCTTTGAAGAAAGTGGTCACAGATGGTTCCTTCCTCATAGGTTTCTCTCCTTTGTGTCCTATGGACATAATACACTGCCCATAGCTCACACGACCATGAATTCATAATGTAACATAGACTACCAACTCTGTTGTTGAGGCTGCTAAGTCTGAAGTTTGGTTGACTCTGATGCACATCAAATTGGGGTCCTGAGTTCAAACTAAGAGAGTCCAGCTGCTTATGATATGGAATGGTGTGGGAACTCTGCCCAGCTGTAGTGCTCAGTATTAGGTGGTTATTAAGTAACTCAATTATATCTTCCTTTGAGGAATTTTGAATACTAAACACACAAAGAGAAACAGACACAGCAGAGCGAATCAGAAACAGGAAAAAGCAAGTCCTGAGAATAGCGTTGTCTTCAGGCAAAAGGTCAATGACCACAAGCTGCTGAGAGAATGGCTAGATTTTTAAAGATACCCCTGAGTCATAAATTGCAATTATTGATGCTCCGAGGTTCCAAAGGTCTGATTATGTCATTTTTTCTAGTTTTCCTTACTTTTTGTAAATCCTCACCTATTTTGGTTTTATAAATAGGAGTTTCTCTGAAATTGGAGAAACAGAGAGAGAAGTTCCTTGCAGTTAAGAAATAGAAATCAAAAGAACATACTTCTATATAAAATTCTTAAATATTTTTCACAACCAAAATAGTATTGTGTCCAAGATTATAAAATCATACATTTGTTTTCACACAAAGCAACTGTTTTAACTTTTTTTGAAACTATTTCAAACATAAATTATAAGAATAGTACAAAGAGATTTTACCTAGATTTACCCATTGTTAACATTTTGCCACACTTGCCTGATCATTCTTGCTTTAACTGTATATATGCATACTGATTTTTCTGAACCATTTGAGAATAAATTGCCAATATCATTCCCTATTACCCCTTAATCATCATTATTTATTTCTTAACAGTATTATTTTCACTTAAGCACGATGTAGTTATTGTATTTAAAAAATTTAACATTGATACAATATAGATATTAGATAATATAGATATTAGCTATTAGATAATATCTAATCTATAGTAAATATCTCAGTTTCACTAACTGTCCCAATATGTCTTTATAGGAAACTTTTCTGGTTCAATATCCAGTCTAAAACCACACACTGCGTTTAGTTGTCCTATTTTTTAGGGCGCCTGTAATCTGTAACGGTTTCCCAGCCTTCCCTCTTCTTTCATGATATTGACATTTTTAAGATTACAGACAATTTCTTTCATAGTACACTCTCAACTTTTGGCTTGTCTGATGTTTTCTCATGATTAGACTCAAGTTTTTTTTGGCAGGAGCACTATATATGCAATTTCCTTCTTCGTGCATCACATAAGAGGCATATGAAGTAAGCTTGAAAACCACCACTGTTGCAAACTTCATGGTAATATTTGACCCAGACAAGAATTATCAGTGGATGCTAAGTTAGTGTGTAAAAATTTGATGAGAAACAGAATATTTACACAATCTCAAAGTATCTCCTTATAAATACTTACTAATCTTAAAAAAAGAAATAGTAGTTTTGCAACGGAGAAAGATGGTAGATACCACCTTAGCAAAGTGATCAGAATCATATATTCTTAAAGATAATAACTAAGTACATAGAATATTCCTTGAATATGTTTCTCGTTTTATTTTGTATCATCTACATGGAAAATTACATACAGAAATGAAAACTAACAAGAAGAGATAGTGAGACAAAATACAGCAGCAAAGAAATAGCACCTTCCTTTCACATAAATCCTAAGTAAATGGATCTTATAAGGTGAGATATTTCTACATTAAGTTTCTAGACTAACTAGAAAATAAGTACCCAGAAGTCTGCCTGATAAATTTCAAAACCAGAAAGGGCATGCATCTGACTCCTATGTTCTTCATTTGTAATAACACTTGTAGCCCCAGGGATGGGAAGGGGGCTAAGATGTGATATTCAGAAACTACTGGGTTTCTGAGCAAAGGTACTATGTGGGCCTTAAAGAGAAAAAGGAAAACAAAGACAGCCAGAAGACCTGTAATTAATAGCTGTACCTGCAAAACCAAAAGACTTGAAAAGAGCATGGAAAGATCTGCTGGTCACATTTCCATTTCAAGCAGAAATAGCATACAGCACTGTTCAATAAATACTTACCATCTTTTATGTGCCAAACAATGGGATACCCTTGGGAATCCAAACATTTAAAAAATATCAACCCTTTCCCCTAGATTTTACCCTTTAGGAGGGAGAGTGAATTGGAAGCATTTGGCTGGGGGAAAGCCAATATTATAGGCACTGTGATGAGAAAAGTCGAGAGTCCAAGACTATGAAGTATTCAAAACGCCTTCATAGAGCAGGTAATGGTTGATCTGGCCTATTGGGGAAATTGATAGCAGTTCAATGTGGCTAAAGAATTACTCTTCTCATGACACTTCTTAGGCAATTATTATGAGGCTTTGTCCTAATCAATTTGCACATGTTAATCCATGTAACTCATAGCAATTGAGGAGATAGATGCTATTATTATCTCTCCATTTTACAAATGAAAGTGCTAGAGGAGTGGGATGAAGTGTTGTGCTTAAAGTTTTAATCAAGAGTCAAATTATGGAAAGATACATGTCCTATACTAAAAGGTTTGAAGTTTATCCTACAGTCTGTAGGATAAAATGTATTGTAGATTTTTTAGAACAGAAGTGACATGTTTAGATTTGCATTTTAGAAATTTATTCTGGCAGCTGTGTAAATGGTGAATTAGAGTTAGGCAAGACTGGGAAAAAAGGAGCCAACAAGAAAAGAGAGGAGACAATTACAATAGTCCTATAGAACAAGAAGAGGACATAAACTATGGCAGAAGAAGAGGGCTAGAGAGGATGGTTTGATAACAAAAGTTGTATCAGTGGGATTCATGATTGATAGGAATTCCAATAAAGGAATTTACAATTTTTCCCAGGATCTAGTTTAGTCTATTAAATGGTTTCTAGTGCAACTGATTGAGTCTAAGTTTATTGGTCCAGTGCCCACATATGGTCATTAGCTTGGATTAATCTCTCTGGTCACAGACCACACCACTTATCAGACTTCAGTTATAAGGGGCACTGGGTGACACCGGATGTTTCTGGACAAATCACTGCCTCTGATAGGGAGGAACATCCAAAATACATATTAAAATGTAAGCAGGTCTGTCAGATCAGTAGAATCACCTTATTATATGGAGTGCAGTGCATGTCAGAAACTTCAGGGAAAGTGTTGAACACAACTTATTTCTGCATGTCTTGTGAGCCATGCACTCTCCAACCTTTTCCCAGAATATCATTTCAAAGATTTTTGTATAATGAAAATCCTTGGAAGATGGAGATCATATCTCCCTCCAGGGCAAAGGGTAGGTTTGCTTATAGCTTCGGAAGCCAATATCTTCCTCCAAAGTGAAGGGCTGATATGTTTATTGGCCAGCAAAAATAAATTCACATTCCCTAAGCTCAGGGCTGCTCTCCTGTAACACAACCTACTGCATCCGTCTAGGCCCGTATTGCCCTTGTGGGACTTAAGGACAAAGAGAACAGGCCAAATATGCAGATACTCATGCTGCCTGCTGTGCCGTGCCTAATAAAGTCCTCTGTCTCTGACCCAGAGAGTCTCATGTTTTCTACCAGCATCCATGAAATTGTGGCAGGCTAACTTATGAGGTTTTAAGGAGGTTAACATCATGGACACTTTACAGTACTTGCTAGAAAGTTACTCAAGATTCCTAATCGTGGCACACTCAGTGTGAAAGAGTGACCAAACTAAATAGTTATTGAGCTTAACAAATTGTACAGTCTTTTCTGTAAACCTTTGCTGAAACCATATCCCCATACGAGCCCAGAATCTTGCCTAAGATGTAAATAAACTCACTTTCTTGGTGATTGATTTCAATTTTCGTAATTTTTTAATAGAAGTGATAATGAGCAAGTTTGACCTGCCAAAAAACCCTCACAGAAAAACAGGAAATGATGGCAATTCTCAGATGTCTATTTCAGTATTCACTAGTGGAGACTGTTCTTCTTTTCTAAAGGAACAAATTCCCTGGGGGTCTGAAGATGACTTAGAAAGTGCACAAATAACTTACCTTGAGATTAAATGTACAATGGCTGTTATCTGAAATGAATTTCCTTTGAATTTCAGCTAATATACAGAGGTGCTAAGCGGGGAGGCTTGTTCTTAGACTTATTTAACCATATTATGCGTGTGGCAAGATGGTGGCAACTGAGACTGGATCTTAAGAATGTTGGAAACATCAATGAGTTGATTCTGGAAAAACTGTCACTTAAAAGTTATAAAGCTCTTCTACCTTTTGTGAGGTAGAGACTAGAATTTATTTTTGAAGCTGTTTGACTTTTTGTTTGGGGAAAATGACACACATGTAGAGAAAGATTTATGAAATGCAAATATTTGAGAAGGGCAGTTCCAAAAGCCACACTGTTCTGAGAAATGATGTAAAACCTTATTTTTATAGTGATTACAATGCATCTCTTAGATTATATTGTTAAAATAATTGAAAATGTTTGTTTTTTGGAGCAGGTTTAGGTTTACAGAAACAATGAGCAGAAAATACAGAGTTTCTGTATGTCCTCTCACCCCTCCACAGACAGTTTCCTCTATTGTTAACATCTTGCATTAGTATGGGACATTTGTGACAATTGATGAGCTAATATCGATACATTAACTAAAGTCTACAGTTTACATTAAGTTCATTCTTATTGTTGCACATTCTTTGGATTTTGGCAAATATACAATGACATGCATCCACCATTACAGTATCATACAGAATAGTCTTACTGCCCTAAAATTTCCCTGTGTTCCACCTATTCATCCCTCACTCCTCCCATCCCAGCTTCTGGCAACCACTGGCTTTTTTTTTTTTTTTTTTTTTTTTTTTGAGACGGAGTCTCGCTCTGTCGCCCAGGCCAGACTGCGGACTGCAGTGGCGCAATCTCGGCTCACTGCAAGCTCCGCTTCCCGGGTTCACGCCATTCTCCTGCCTCAGCCTCCCGAGTAGCTGGGACTACAGGCGCCCGCCACCGCGCCCGGCTAATTTTTTGTATATTTAGTAGAGACGGGGTTTCACCTTGTTAGCCAGGATGGTCTCGATCTCCTGACCTCATGATCCACCCGCCTCGGCCTCCCAAAGTGCTGGGATTACAGGCGTGAGCCACCGCGCCCGGCCCAACCACTGGCTTTTTTACTATCTCCATTGTTTTGCCTTTTCCAGAACGTCATATATTTGATATAATACAATAGATAGCCTTTTCAGATTGGCTTCTTTCACTTAGCATTATCCACTTAAATTTCCTCCATGTCTTTATGTGGTTCATTAGCTTATTTATTTATTTATTTATTTATTGAGACAGAGTCTTGCTCTGTCACTCAGGCTGGAGTGCAGTGGCATGATCTTGGCTCATTGCAATTTCCGCCTCCCAGGTTCAAGTGATTCTCCTGCCTCAGCCTCCCGAGTAGCTGGGATCACAAGTGCCCGCCACCATGCCCAGCTAATTTTTGTACTTTTAGTAGAGACAGGGTTTCACCATGTTGGCCAGGCTCGAACCCCTGACCTCAGGTGATTCGCCCACCTCAGCCTCTCAAAGTGCTGGGATTACAGGCGTGAGCCACTGCATCTGGCCTATTTATTTATTTATTTATTTATTTATTTATATTTCCTGAAGGACACCTTGATTGCTTCCAAATTTTGATGATTATGAATAAAGCTGCTATAAACATCCATATGAAGGGTTTTGTGTGGATGTAGGTCTTCACTTCGTTTGGGTGAATACTAAGGAGTATGACTACTGGAGCCTATGCTTAATTTTGTAAGAAACTACCAAACTACTTTTAAAGTGGCTATATATTTTGCATTCACAACAGGTAATTTTTTTTTAAGGTATTGATTTAGACTGTCTTCTATCTGTATTTTCCTTAGGAAGTGTGTGTGTGTGTGTGTGTGTTTTCAAACAATTATTCCTAAAGGATTAGGACAAGAGATTCCAAGACAGCTAAAAGATATTGTGATAGGCAGAATAATGCCCCGCACAAAGTGGCTGTGCCAGAATCTGTGAATATGCTATGTTATGGTACATGTAAGGCAGAATCAAGATTGCAGTTGAAATTAAGGTTGATAATTAGATGACCTTAAAATAAAGAGATTATCTTAGATTACTTGGGTGGGCCAAATGTAACCACAAGAGTCCTTTAAATGTGGAAGAGAGAGTCAGAGTTACAGTGATGCAGCGTGAGAAAACAGGGGGCTTTGAAGAGGGAAGTGAGCCACAAGCCGAGCAATACAGGCAGCTTCCAGAAGCTGGAAAAGGCAAAGAAAGAGATTACCCTCTAGAACCCACCAACACCTGGTTTTTAGCTCAGAGAAATCCATTTTGGACTTCTGACCTCCGGAACTGAAAGATAATAAATTTGTGTTGTTTTAAGTGTAAATTTATAGTTTGTTACTACAGATATGTAGCCTAATCTTCCTATCATCTCGAACTGGGGGAGAGATTTTGAAAAGGGTCTAGGTTGGACTGTTCATGACCCACATGTAATTCCAAGATTGAATGACTCAGAATTAAAAACATATGTCTACATAAAAACTTGTACACAAATGTTCATAGGAGCACTATTCACAATAACTAAAAAGTAGAAATAACCCAAATGTTTATTAGCTGATGAGTGGATGAAAAAATGTGGTGTATCCACACAATTGAATATTATTCAGTCATAAAAAATAATGAAGTGTAGATACATGTTACAGCATGGATGAACCTTGAAGACACTGTGCGAACGAGCCTGGTTGGAAAAGGTCACAAACAGTAGGATTTCACTTATATGAAATGTCCAGAATAGGCAAATTCATAGAGACAGAAAGTGGTTGGAAGAAGCTGAAAGTAGGGAGTTATAAATGGGAGTGACTGCTAATTGAGTATAGGGGGTTTTTTGGGGATGATTAAATGTTCTAAAATTAGATAATGGTAATGATTGCACAACTTTGTGAATATACTAAAAACTACTAAATTATATATGCTAAAAGGGTGAATTGTATGATGTATGAATTATATCCCATTCTATCTCAATAAAGCCATTATTAATTTAGAAAACCCCCACATTTTTGGAAATGTATTAATGATCAGTTACTGAGTTCTGATGTGAGTTGGTAACAGGATTTTCTCTGGGAGAAATGAACAAAGGAATTTCTCACTTGTAATCATTTGGGAGGCAGGTCTTGGACTGTTGTGAAAGAAAAACTGTTTTCACTTTTCTGACCTTCAGGTTATTGGGAGCTTAGATTCTGGATGTGTCAGTCAATTTAAGTTAAGGTATATCACATAAATACCAAATAAAACAAAACAAAAACTAAATTAGAGACTCTTAATAGCACAAGTTTATTCCCTGCTCATCCTTTATGTCATCACAGGTCATCAGGCGACTCTATTCCTTGTCTTTTTCCCTAGAACTTGGATTGATGGTACAGCCATCATTCCAAAAATTGTTTAGCTCACAGCAGAGGGGTCAAGCTCTTGAGTTCTTACAGTGACAATTACATGCTTTAGCCTGCATGAGTTACAAGTTACTTTTACTCAGTGGCCATAGCTAGCTGCATCCTCCACCCAACCAAAGGTAGTCAGGTAGTGCAATATTACCATTGCCCAGAAGAGTACAAATTGGAAACATTTGGGGAATAACACCAAAGACTACAGTTGTAGGCTGAATAATAGCTCACAAAGATATCAGGTTCTAATCCTTGGAATCTGTAAATGTTACATTATTGGAAAAGAGTCTTTGCCAATGTGATTAAGCTAAGGATCTTAAGAGTGGGAGATCATCGAATTAGGCCCTAAATGACACAGTATGCATCTTTATAAAAGGAAGGCAGAGAGAGATTTGACACAGGCAGAAGGGGAAGAGGCAACGTGACCATGGAGGCAGAGACTGGAGTCAGGCAGTGAAACAGTTGGTCACCAGAAGCTGAAAGAGGTAAGAAATTTTCCCCTAGCACCTCCAGAGGGAACGCAGACCTGCTGATACCTTGATTTCCACCCAGTGAAATCTGATTTTGGACTTCCAGTTTCTAGAACAGTGAGAGACTACATTTGTGTTGTTGTAAGCCACCAAACTTGTAGTACTTTGTTACAGCAGCCACAGGAAGCTAATATAACTGTCATATTAGATATGGTAGCTGTGTTTTGGGTACTTTATTTAGGACAACTAAACTCATCCCTTTTGCATAGTCATATGTCCATAACCACACTAAAGCCAAGCAAAAGAGCTAAAGAAAGAGGAACCCAATAGTGACCCACAATCAAAAAACTTAAACCTGTGAACTCACAGGACTGACAGAATCAAACCAGTCACTTTTCACTGGAATCACACTGCACTATCCTCCAGACCTTAGGAAACTCTCACTGAAGGTTATGGTGCTGTCTTTACTAAAAATAAGAAGGTGGCCTAAAATCGACAAGAAGAGAACAGCAATAATTATATTGCCTTGGCCTGTGGTCAGAGCAAGTCAGTTGGCTGAAATGACAAATGACAACCATTCTGGATCTTGGAACATATAGGCATTCCTCAAGTATTCCTTGAAATAATTGGGAAAGAAAACATTGTCAACATACGGATTTCCTGATGTCTGTCAAGCAAAATGGAATTCAAGCTGTACTGGCTTGGGATATTTAAAGGAAGTGTGACACTATAATAAACTTAAATTTTTAAATAGAGGTGCCCTTGGAGGAACATTTAGCACTATTAATTCATTATGCTAATGAAAAACCAAAGCTCGCAGGAATTGTTAGAGCCTCAGTTCCTCGATCTTTAAAATAGAAAGTTTGACAAGACCATCTTAAGTAATTCAATTCTTAAAGACTTGGGACTCTATAAATTAACTTGATAACAAGCTCTAGCATTCAATATTGGAAAGAAATCCAAAGTAGACCTGGATACTTTAAAATTGTGCATATGAGATAAAATTAGCATGCTTTTTAATTTTTTCTTCTTTCTTTCTTTCTTTCTCTCTCTCTCTCTCTCTCTTTCTCTCTTTCTTTCTTTCTTAGAGTGCAGTGGTATGGCTGACTGCATCCTCAAATTCCTGGGCTCAAGCAATCCTCCTGCTTCAGCTTCCTGAGTAGCTGGGACTACAGGTGTGCATCAGCATGCCTGGGTGATTTTTGCTTTTTTTTTTTTTTTTTTAGATATGGGGTCTTTCTCTGTTGCCCAGGCTGGTCTCCAGCTCCTGGGCTCAAACAATCCTCCCACCTCAGCCTCCCAAAGCATTGGGATCACAGCATAAGCCACCACACCTGGCCTCATAAGCAGTTTTCTTTCTTCTCAGGAATGTTTCTGGGGTCAAAAGTGATTATTATAGAAGTAATAATCATCATTAAGGATGGTTTAATGCTAAATATAAAGTGGCAAATTACTAAAAAAAAAGCTTATGAAAATATGCCTTGGAACATTTTGGTAAATAGTGGATGAGCAAGGGAGTGAGTGGGCAAATAACATTTTTAAAAATCTCGAAAACAAAAGCATATAGTCATAGTCTTTCATCTAAAGTGCTTTAGAAAATATGGCTCTACCTCCAAAATATGTATAAATCTGATCACTTACCACCTTCACCGTTTCATGTTGATCTAACCACCATCATTTCTTGCCTGTGTTATTTCAGTCTTAAACGGTTCCCTGTTTCCACTCAAGCCCTATAGTCTATTCTTAATACCACAGCCAGAGGTATCCTTTAAAAATGTATCAGATTGTCACTCCTTTGCTTAAATGTCCCTTCACCCAAATAGCTTCTCATCTCATGCAGATTAAAGCTAAAGTCCTTCCAATGCTTACAAGTCTCCTCTGAGCTGGCTGCCCACTACCTCATTAGCTCTTTCCTACCACTCTCCTCACTCACTGGCTTTGGTCTAATCACACAGGCCACTTCTATTCTTCAAACACACCATGCAAGCTCTCACCTCAGAGCATTTACATTTCTCGTCCCTCTGCCCAAATGCTATTTCAAGTCACATAGTGGCATGACTCCCTCCCTCATTTCCTTTATTCCTGCTTAAATGTCACTTTTTCCTTACGGTCTTCCCTGATCACCTTATGTAAAACAGCAACAATAACCCCTCCCCAGCTTGGCACTCTCTATTTCTCCTCACTTAGCTTTTTCTCCATTGTGCTAATCACACAATGAATATGTTCATTGTCTGTCGCTTTCTGTTAAAATGGATATAAGAACTGTGTTTTATTCACTGCTGTATCCCTAGAGCTTAGAACAAAGTCTAGGACAAAAGGGATACTCCATAAATATTTGTTGAATGAATAAATGAATGCAACTTATTTATTTGTTTGTTTGTTTGTTTGAGACACGTCTTGCTCTGTCGCCCAGGCTGGACTGCAGTGGTGCAATCATGACTCACTGCAGCCTCCATCTCTACAGCTCAGTTGATTCTCCCACTTCAGCCTCCTGAATAGCTGGGACTACAGGCACGTGCCACCACATCAGGCTAATTTTTAAATTTTTTTGTGGTGACAGGGTCTTCCTATGTTGCACAGGCTGGTCTTGAACTCCTGATTTCAACAGATCCTCCCACCTTGGCCTCCCAAAGCATTGGGATTATAGGCATGAGCCACCATGCCTGGCCACTAATGCAGTTAAATATTAGGAATTTGTTATATAATATTACAAGAAGTTAAGAGGTAATTTTCCACAAGTCTGTCTCAGTTGTTCAATGGTGTCATCAAAGACCTTCCACTATGCCATCTTCAGGGTGCTGGCTCCTGTCATATGGGTTGCTTCAAGGTTGCAAAATGGCTGCTGCAGTTCTAACCATCACAGTCACTCACAAATATTTGCATGCAATCATTCAGTTAGTAAGTAAATTTTATGAGACAGTACTAAATACCAGGCATTATTGTAAGCATGGGAACATAACCATAAACAAAACTGAGGAAGTCACTACTCTCATGAAGCGAGCCGGGCTGGAGTACAGTGGCACAATCACAACTCACTGCAGCTATGACCTCCCAGGCTCAAGCCATCCTCTTGCCCCAGTCTGCCAAGTAGCTGGAATTGCAGGTGTGCACCATCCTGCCTGGCTAACTTTTGTGTTTTTTGTAGAGACGAGGTCCCACTATTTTGACCAAGCTGGTCTGGAACTCCTGGGCTCAAGCAATCTGCCCACCTCAGCCTCTCCAAGTGCTGGGATTTCAAGCATGAGCCACCGTACCTGGCCCTCTTTATATAACTTTTAATCATGAAGAAAAATATTTCTCTGAAGCCACCAAACTTCCTTCATGGGTCAGCATTATGTCACATGAGTAACCCTCCTTATAAAGGAAGCTGGGAAAGCAAGTCTCCAAAATTTTCGGCCTCTATCATGACAGGTGGTCATGATAGAGGAAAGAAGAAGTAAAGGGAACAGCTGCCCAAGAGGCAACCAACAGTATTTGCTACAAATCATGCTAAGCATAGGTAGTCATTCAGTATCTGCTTTTTGATAAAGCATTAAGGTTGACAATTATTGCCCTGTGGCTGAAATTTAATATTTCTCTCTGAAAGTTTTTGCCTTCTAAGTTTCTGTCACTTATTCTAACAGCCTTAATCATGCAGCAGCTCCAACATTCTAACAAACATGCTTTGGAAATTCACCAAGAAATGCTGGCTTGCTCCCAGGACTAAGTGATGGCATTTAATTTGCTCACCTGGAAAGAAGGACAATTCCAGAAAAGACCATTTCTTCTTGTATTACTTATTGGTCAACCAGCAACCTTTAAGTCAAAGCTGTGAATATATATAATCTGTCAGGCTTCTCTATGTTTTCTTCAGGACCAAGCCTCAGTTTCAAACTTCTTTTGTCCAGTGTAACTGCAAGACCCACTTTAGACTCTTCACTTCGCTTCTCCGTGGGCAATAAAGCAGCAGTTCCATCACCATTGTCCAAACAGCAAATGAGAAGTGATGTTTCAATATAAGCTACTGTCTGGAAAAGAAGAGAAAGAGGCAGCTTTTCTGACAGAGCCGTTCACACTTTTCCTGCACAGCTGGGAGACATTAGCTGAATTTCCCCAGACTGGTCTGCTTTCTGGCATGGTAAATTAAAAACCCTGAGAGCCTCCAAGGTAAGCTGGATTTCTATCATACACATTTAGCAGCTAAATCACCAAAAGTCACTTTCGAAAATTCACGCAAAGCTGCATCTTTACCCAAGGTCAAGAGTTCAGCAGAAGTTAGCACAAAGGGGATTGTGGGCAGGAGGCAAGAAAAGGGAGAGAAAATATCGATAGATTATCTCTATTCAAAAGCTGCTTTTATTTTGAGGAACTTTGTGCTCAGAAAAGTAGATAGAAGATAGTTCTGCAATAAATAGTATAGGACATATATGAAAAGAATAAATAATATTTCAATGTATGTCAATTTCCATTTCTGCCACCATATTAAGGAGATGGGAAGAGCATTAAAAGAGCCATAGGCCCATCACATTGGTTCATGCCTATAATTCCAGCACTTTGGGAGGCCAATGTGGGAGGATCACCTGAGGTCAGGAGTTTGAGACCAGCCTGGCCAACATAGTGAAACTCCATCTCTATTAAAAATACAAAAACTTAGCCGGGTGTGGTGTCGGGCACCTGTAATCCCAGCTACTTGGGAGGCTGAGGCAGAAGAATCGCTTGAACCTAGGAGGTGGAGATTGCAGTGGGCCAAGGTCATTCCACTGCACTCCAGCCTGGGTGACAGAGTGAGACTCTGTCTCAAAAAAAAAAAAAGCTAGATTTTGGTCCCACATCATGACTAATTAACAGTGAGATTTTGAACATGTCATTTAGCTATGGGGCTCAAAGTCCTATCCCCTTCACTTTATGGGAATTTAGTTATGAAAAATTCTATTTCCCCAGGTATTTTGTGATCTATTATCAGCTTTTGATTCCATAGATAAGGACAATCTCTGGGCTTTTTGTTTACATTCTGCCTTATTCCACAAGGAATCTCAGGCTGCTCTGTGGGCCAACTTACATGACTTTGGTGTAGATCTCAGATTTTAAATGTTTATCTAAATCAATATGGCAATACCAGAATGGATTTTGAAAGAGTCAATTCTAATTTTAAATGGCTTAAAACCAGACTGCACCTAAACATTTTTATTTATAATTTTTGCCTAAGTAATTTATTCTGGCTCAAAAGATCTATATATTTTCTCCTATATATGCCCCAACATATAGATAAACATAGAGACAAGCATCCTTCCCTATGCTGATGATGTAATCTTACTATTATAAGAATATCCTCAAGAAAAATGGAACCTGCTGGCAAATTGCCAATTTGAATTTAAAGAAAAAAAGAATCTTATCACAAAGAGACCATACTTTTTGCATTTAGATCTGTGGTTTCTCTATTTTGTGAACAGGGGGATCTCTGGGGCAGGGCTAAAGAGAAAGAGAAGAGGCAAGTGGTTGTGGCTCCAGCCTCACCCCACCCCGAAAGAGGAGTGTTTTTGTTTGGTCATGTGTTTATTTATTAGACTTCTACACAAATGTTATTCAAAAAAAGGAACTCACTGATTTAAAAAAAAATCTGATCTAGGTGAAAAGAGGCAAAATCAGGAGCCACTGGAATGAATCTTGCCCATGGAATTTTTTGTCCTGTAATACATCATTAAAATGTTTAGATATGTTGCCAATATTTAATTATTTTACATAAAAATTCTGGATTTCTGGGTCTTTTGACAATTGGGGAGGACTGGAAACACTGAGATGCATTCCCACACAACAATGAACTGGAGCTGTGTATTAGCTGAACAGCTTTAGAAAGTCACACACTTTCTAATTCACTATGTCCCCGCTACTCCCTAGTTTTTATCCACCTAATTGTATTCACACATTTATTTCACTTGTCTCACACTTGGGGGAATTCTGGGAGGTGGCCCTAATCTACATGTATCTCAACACCAGTACATTCTGGTATGTTGACTGGGATGTGCTCCTACTTAAAATTAAACTTCTGAGTTGGCCACATTGAGTCTATGGGACAGGATTCAGTAGCTTCAACAAAGGGTTTGTTTCAGCATTTGAACAGATCCATGGACTTTGCCCTGCCTTAGCTGCTTTGAAGTGTTTTATGAAGAGGAACTGGTTCCATCTGGGCATAACTTCAAGTGGAACTAGGAGGCCGTCAGTTTTCTCATAATCTCTAAAGAGGTATGATTGCAAATCTGCCTTTAAACAGCAGCTCAGAGCTTCTTCACCCTTCTACACTGTACAGCAATCTCAGACAGAATCGTAGTCAAGAGGAGACATACTGGAAAATTGTCTAAAGCAGTGCTTTTCAAACTTGTTTTTACTACAACGTGCAGTAAGGGATGTATTCAGCCACAGGTATACACACTTCCACATGCACACACACACACTCATATACACACACACAAGTTTTATGTTACAGTACTTACCCTTAATACAAATACTCTATTTGTACACATGTACATATGAATACATATGAAATCCATTTTTTCATTCCTTAAAGTGCTGTTGGTAACCTACTATCTAGATCTCACAAATTGTAGGTCATAATTTGCAGTTTGGAAAACATAGGTTTAAAGAACATGCTGTTAATTCATCTCCTAGATTTTTAAAGTTCTCTCTTCATATTAGCTAAATTATAAAAACATGCCTATATGATATTATTTTAGTTCTCTATGGACCTGCATCTCTGAATTATGAACTAATATATTACCCTTGCTTTTCATCAGGTGCTGTGATAAGAAATGGCCATTTTCTTGCCAAGTGTCCCTTGTAGGGCAATATTCCTTTATAGTGTGACATACTGTGTTCCTCTTGGAGTCCAAGAAAAGTTGATTTTCCTGACTGGTGTGTAATCTTCTACTAGATAATCATTATTGAATAACATCTTTTATTTCCCATTTTACCGTAACTGTTAGCAAACTTACAACTTTAGTACTTGCCTGTTGTAGCTTTTCTTCACCTAGATTCTCTAGTCTTATTATTTCTTTCTCCATGTCTGCAATCTAACTGCCTTTGCTTTCGTCAGTTCTCATCTAAATTACTACAATAGTTTCTAGTCACTTTCCCTGCCTCCTCTCATTCTAATCCTTATTCCACACTGCTGTGGAATGATTTTTCTAAGACACAAATGTGATGACCTAAAGAGAAAAGATTATTCCCCTGCTTCAAATTCTTCCATGGACCTCCTTGAACATCAGTTTCAAGTGCTGTGGCTTGCACGTAAGGATTTTTTTGGAAACTAGGTTCGATAAATATTGCTTATGTAATATTAACATTTGTAATTCTCAAAAAACTTTGATAGAAAAAAGAAAAACATCTAAAGGGCCAATAAACAATGTTGATCAAATGATTGTGATATGATTTTTGGTATGTGCATACGGAAGTTTAAAATGATGCCTATATACCTAAGAATATTCTTAACTATCCAACGAAAGAAAAAAGTCTACATATGGATCTTAAACTAGCAACTCAAAAGCCAGATTCATCCCTCGTTTAGCTTGTCATGAACAATGTTTTAGATATTGGATATCTTTACATGGGCACTTGGTTTCTAGTTCACTACTCTCAAGCTTCCTACACATAGTTCATCACATTCATTTTAGTTACCTGCCAGATCCCTAGTGGCTTCAGAATTTATCGTATTTGTTAGAAAGTTGAAAGGTTCAAGAGAGGTTTTCTCACCTTAATCTGTTCTTCTCCCAAATGTTGGTTTTGCTTCTGCTTTTTGTATCCTTTCCAGGTTTGATTCTAAAAGCATCTGAAATCCTAAAGATAACAGAGTTGTCTTCCTATCAGCTCAGGAAAAAAGAAAAACAAATAAAAACTTAGGTAAAGTTTTTGAAAAAGGCGTCTCTGATGAAGTGGCATTTAAGCTGAGAAATGAAGAATGAGGAGGAATGGGCTATGCAAAGCAACAAAGGATGTTCTAAGAGAGGTAACAGCAAGGGCAAAGGGCCTGAGACAGGAAAGAGGTTAGTGTGTTAGGTCAATGTGAGCTGGACTTAGTAAGAAACAGAAAGAACTGGTAGCATGTTAAAAAACATTGCCAAGGTTGGGAACATGAAGCACTCCATAGGCCATGATAAGGAGTGTAGATTTTGTTCAACATGCAACAGGAACCCTTCAATACTTTTGGGTAAGGAGTAATTGGTATGATTTCAGTTTTTAAAAGATTATTCTGCTGCCATGCAGAGAATGGCTTGTACAGGGCTAATAAAGGAAGCTAGGAGACCTTCTAGGAGGCTACTGCAATAGAATAGGTGAAGGATGATGGTGGCTTGAGCTAGGTGACAGCGGTGGAGGTGGAAAAAGTAGATGGACTTGACATATATTCTGGAATATAAATTGTAGGAATTGCTGATTGGCTACATGTGAAGGTGATATTTAAAAAAGGACTAATTTCAGGACCATTTCCCTGGTTTCAGGTATTATTAACTGAGTGGATGATGGTAACATTTACCATGAGAAAACTGAGGAAGGATGAAGGTGTATGGCAACTGTGGCCAGGGAGCAGGGAACAGCCATGGCTAAGCATTTTATTCTAAGCATGTTCAGTCTGAAATCTATCAGTCATCAGATAGATGGGATTTAGAGGAGAAGTTCTAGTCTTGAAACACAGATTTTACAACAGATAAAGACAATTTTGAACCTTAGTCAGAGAGTATAAATAGGAAAACAAAGGGAGGAACTCAATCCAAGATCAGTGAAACTACAACAGTAAGAGTTGGAGTAAAGGAAGGAGAGCCAGCAAATACTACTGAGAAAGTGCAGCTAAAAAAGAAAGAAGAAAACAAGAAGACTCTGGTGCCACCAAAACCATCTAGAAGGAAAAGTTTTTAACCTTACTGAATGATGCTGAAAAGTTAAGGTAAGATCTGCATAGGATTTTGCAAACTGAAGGTGGTTGGTGAGTAGTAGAATGGAAGCCAAATAGAAAGGGGTTGAGGAGAAAACGTTAAGTGAAAAACTGGTGATGGCATATGTAGGGATAAGCTGAGCTTCTCAATGAGTAGCTTTGCATATCTGCATGGGCTCCTTGGGTAGCTTAAAGCATTACGAAAATATGAAGTTGCAGAACATGGTTTTACTATGTATTTACCATGAGAGTGCCTTTCAGTTTGAAGTCACGTTTTCTCTTGATTCAGTTGCTGCTAATGTTTTTCATCCAGCTATTCTTTTCAAAGACAGTTTTACAACTTGGCTGAGATCATTCTGCTTGTCGATACACTTCAGGGCCTGAGGTTATCTCAAGATGGTATGTTGGAGTCTGTACAAGTTTCATTTATTTAAAACTTGGACTTGGTAAAAGAATCTCATGAGATTTAACACCTCGCTCCCCTGGCAGGCTTGGGGAGGGGGAAAAAATCATACACAGCAAGTATCATTTACACCATTCTAACACATTCATAGCACTCTTACCAAATCCTAACGAAGGAAGAAAGAATGTACATGCAATAGGGAAGTTTGATAAATGAGAACTATATGGTTATTTTAAGAATGTATAAACAAATGAGAAAGGGAAAGATACTGACTAAAATAAACAATGTTCTTTTTTTATCTTGAAGAGATATAAGTATTTAGAATGTCAAGATCTAAAAATAAAGTGGATTCTGTACCTCTAAACAAGAGAAAATACTATCATTTTGTACCTTTCAGTATCTAAGCAGCTATTCTCTTCTCTGAAAATGATGCATGAATCACACTGGCCAGTAGAGTTGTAATGGTTAGACTTTTAATATTCCTCATTTTAGAAATTTGGATCTAGCCAGAACATTGCAATTTATCTAAACGCAAATTAAGTCCATTTTAAGATAAGAGAAGAAATTTGTATCTTGATCCTCAGACTACCCTATTGTAGAATCACAGGAACTTCAACTGGAAGAAATCCTAGACATATCTAATCCAAGTTCCTACCTGAAGAACAGAGGTCATCCCAATTCTGCATGAAAATCTTCATGATGGGGCATTCACTACCTCATAGAGATTTTGAGCAGATCTCATTAATAGCAAGTTTGCTGTTATTTCACTAATAATGTCCTCTGTACACGCATCACAAAAAGTCTCTCCATTAAAATGCTTCTTCTTCTGTGCAAATAAAGATGACAAATAATTGTTATCATTTTTGAATGTTTACATGCCATGGAAATTATTTCACGTTTCTTCCCACTTAATATTTACAGTAATATTCTGAGATGTACAAGAGGGCAGGTCTCCAGATGACAGATCATGTTGGCTGACCCAGATCTTCCCTCTCTTGCATGTAATTCTCAGGCAGAATGTACCGAGAATTCAACATCCTGAGATAAGGAGGAAATGCCCAGAACAACCCAAACTGTGTCCTCGTTTCTCCTAGAACAGGATGTTCTGCAATGCTTGAGCTTAGCGTGCCAAATGTCACCCAGGTTATATAAACCCAGGGCAGCATGCTTTTCAGGGTCCCTCAGTTGTGGTGCAACATGGGACATGCACACACGGAACTCCATCCACCCTGGGCAGCTTTCCTGAGCCTTAGGAAGCTGGCTTGCTCTGGTTTCTAGGCTTCTGTTTATCCTTGCTGCCTATAATAAATCTGTGATAAAATAATAATCTACTTTGTCCTACTTGTACATGTATTCTATCTCATCGGACTTAAGCAATTGGTAGACAGCCTTTGCAATGCCGGTGTGTTCAGCTTTGTTAGTGCCATCTTTCTTGCCTGTTCTCCAGCTAAAGAGGATATCAAACCAAATACTTTGTTTCCCAGCCTCTCTTACAGCTAGAAGTGGCCTTGGAATTCCATTTTGGCTACGAAGGCATAGAAGAACATCTGCTAGAGGGATTCTTGGAAACATTTTTTCTTCCTTTGAAAAGAAGAGAGACATGTTTGGAGGGTTTTCTCTCTGTCTTACACCCCCACCTGGTCTCACTTCTTCCAGATTTTGGACTTGAAATTATGAAAATGAGATTTCTGGAGCCACCACTGCCATTTTCAACAGTGGAGGTAAAGTCGGGAAAATCATAGAGAACCTAGAATCCTCACATTGTGGAACCACCAGACTAACCCTAAGCCATGTACTTCTAGATTTCTCATTAAGTAAACAAGTGACGTCTTTGTGAACTGAGCCAAATTACCTGGCTTTTCCATTACCTGAAGCTATAATTATACTAATTGATATAGTAGGCAATGTTATTATCTTTGTTTCATATGTGAGGAAACAGAACAAAGAAATAAAGTAAAAATATTCCAAGGTTGCACGGAGGGCAAAGAGCAGAACCATGACTCAAGCTTACATAGCCTCAGAACAAACACGTAATCTCCTCCAGTTTGTTGAATCAATTTTCACGTATTGTGTTTTTCAGATTCTGCATTATGCTGAATAGCCACATGTTGTCATATTTGGCTTTCTCAATATCTCTCCTAAGTGAGGTTGTTAAAGCCAAGTACAGTCACTCCTAAATCAAAGTAGTGTAGAGAGTAGCAGAGATTATCTTGTTCTGAATACTTACATGAACACAGGCTGGAATCCTATGGGCTTTTTACTCAGTCTCATCACCCTCATATCAACTCAGGTCAAGCTTTATTTTGGCCAGGTGCAGTGGCTCGCGCCTGTCATCCCAGCACTTTGGGAGCCTGAGGTGGGCATATCACTTGAGCACAGGAATTTGAGACCAGCCTAGGAAACACAGCAAAACTCCATCTCTAAAAAAAGTTTTATAATTAACTAGGCACGGTGGCGCATGCCTGTGGTCCCAGCTACTCTGGAGGCTGAGGAGGGAGGATTGATTGAGCCCAGGACATCAAGGCTGCAGTGAGCTGAGATTGCACCACTGCACTCCAGCCTTGGTGACAGTGTGAGACCCTGTCTCAAAAAAACAACAAAAAAAAAGCTTTATTTTTTTTCCCCTCAAGTCCTTCTCACTCTTTAATATTTAGGTAATGAAAATAACTTTAGAGAATTGAAAGAGGTTGCTGAAGAAGCATTTCCTTTACTCATTTGCCTTCACACATACATGCAAGATAATACATAATTCTTTCCAAGGAAATGATAGTCTCTCAATCTTTAAAGGCACAGGGATTCCTAATCTCACTTCACTGCTCCAGTGTTTAAAATTTTTATGATCTTCATTAACTGTATCAGTAAAATGTAAGCACCACAAATGCAGGGAATTTTTGTCCCTCTGCTGTATCCTCGGCATTTTAGTATAATATTTGGCACATATTAGGCACTCAGTAAACATTGATTGAATGTGAATGAGTCTAAGAAATTCTTTCTTCTATTCAGTTTAAGTTTTATTTCACTATATTTTTTGCAAGTGGAAATCCCAAAAGGAATGGCCTAAGGTACAGATGCCTTGTGAAACCCTGATTAGCAGATGGCTATATCTATGCCTTTAATTTGTTCTCTCTTTAATCCATCATCCAGGGAAAGTTTAATACCATTTTGTACACCACTGATGACACTATTTCCTAAGACATTCCATCTAACCAGTCGTTTTTGGATCTCTAGCTGCTGATCTGTCCAAAACACATGGTTGGTCAATGAATATGTCACATGGGATAGAATCAAGAGCTATGTTGGAGCCAGTGAACAGGCTGAATGAGCAAATGAATGAATAAAACCAAGATCTATGCAGTTATAATTTCTGTTTGGTCTTCAGTCTTATCTCCTATCACAAGAGGATTTGTTTCTAACCAAACCTTTTGGTATTTTCCTAATACTCACGTCTCTTTTTTATGTTCTCCTATTGATGCCCACTGTTTTCATAGAAATCTAAATTAGATCTAAGTTTTCCTTGCCTCCCCTAATAACACATTACTCTTCCTTAACCAATCTTAAAAATTTTCACTATTTTTTAATAGTAAAAAAGTATTGATCTCCATGAGTAGGTAATTGCACTGAGATTAGCCAAGGAGTCAGTCCTTTATCTCAGATTTCAGAAGATCCTGTAAAAGTGAATCCATTTACTCCTCGCATCACTTTAATCAACTTTCACCCCTTTTGTTCAATTATTGTACTTAGTCTTTCATGGGAAGCCTATCCTAATTTTTGACCCACTTGCTGTGATTAGGAAAACCCTTTAGCCTAAAAGCCAAATCGAGGCTGAGAGAAGCATATCTAAAGTACCTAGAGTTATGAAAAGAGCTCATCAAAACTGAAACTAGGAAGGGATTTAGGAAATAATGAATTTATAAAGAATGTTTGTATTATTTGAAGTGTGCCCTCTTAACTGGTAAAGATGATCTCAGATAAGGAAAACTAAGATGTGGGTTTCTCTGAGAACATACTCAGAAATATTTTATTGCTCTGAATTTAATCTAACCTAATTGAGTGTTGTACCATTTGAGGATCCTCTTCATAAGCAACAATTACAACTTGGTTTGCCTGCCCAGTGGGTGGAAAAATGTGTGAACTCTTGACCTAGTTGAAGAAGAACCCAGAGTTTGAAGCTACACATCTAAAGTCTTAAGCTAACAGAAACCCAGGTAACTATGGAAACAAAGGATACCCGAACATTGTTAAAATATTACTGGTGCCATTTATCTTTAAGACATTATATGAGTTAAACACCTAAAGGAAAGACAATCATTGCATGCCCTAAGGTTGTGGTTAAATTTCCAACATACCATAGGTAAAGGGGCTTGTCACAAGAGCCACCACCCAGGACTCCCTGTGCCAGAGAATTACTCTAATGAAGTGTTTCCTGGACACTATTTATTAGAAGAATTTCTAACATCCTGACCTACACTTCCAGGGTTCTGGTGGAAGATTCTATGCCACCCCTAAAAACATAAAACCAAACACAGACATTTTTACAAAGTGGAAATAAAAGGACGATGAGTCAGGAAAATGACAGCGTTCTGTTAAATTTTGGCAGGGAGAATTACAGAAAAATCAAAAGTGAAGAAGATGTTGGTAACAGTACTGTAAATGTGTTCCTAGTCTTCTTTCAAATAGATCAAAGTTCCAGGGAAATACATATGTTTGCCAGATACAGCTGTCACATATTCTTGGTGGGAATGGAAATTGATGCAACTTCATTGAAGGGAAATTTACCCAAATTCATAAAAATTTAAAATGTGCTTCCCTTTGGCTGAGCAACTTTATTTTTAGTAGTCTATGCAACAGATATCATCTACATTTTCAAAACTGTATACGTACTGCTTATAAGAATGAAAAGTGATAATATGATAAATGCCCATCAGTACAGAACTGGTTAAAGAAATTAAGGTACATTCAAAAAGTGGAATCCTATATGTCCTTAAAAATATGAGTGATAGGACACAAGCTCCAAATATATTAAGTGAACCAGTAAAATCCATAGCTTTCTCCCCCTCTCTTGTATATGCAGTGAATTTTTCTAGAAGGTGGCACACAACTGTAACTGCTTCTGGACGGGGAAACTAGGAGACTGGAGGAAGAAGAGGAAGGAAGATTGCATTTCACTATACAACAGTTGAGATTTTTAACATGTTTATGTATTTCTAATTTTAAAAATTAATTTAATAAATGTATGTGTCACCATATTCAGAACTTACCAGAGGAGACACCTCACCATAAAATGGTGTCATCAAAACCCCTAGGGGAGAAAGTTTTCACAGGCCAAAATATCTAGACTCCTGAGGAGCACAGACACTATAAAACAGACAAACTGAGCACATGAGGCAGATCTGTGGGGCTAAGGGCTTCATAGATAAATGAGAGTTTTAGTAATTTTAAATAGAACACAATAGCATTGAAATTCAATAGGCAGCAGAAATCATGCCTACTGTCAAGGGAGACAAGTTTGTCACTCATTTGCCATTAAGTCCATGATGAAAGCTAAATATTAGTAAAGTTGCCATAGTTTTTGCAAACTATTCTCTGAGGTATTAATAAAAGAGCTAGAAGAGGGGGCCCAGAGTAATAAAAACCAACCAAGCCAAGAACCAAACAACAGCCACAGTTAGTATCAATCATGGAGGGCCTCCTAGAGCAGGGCTACGAATTAGAGCTTTAAGATGGAGAAAAATAGGGGTTGATAGAAAAATAAAGAGGTTCAGGCAGACAGACAATATGGATGACAATACAAAGGTAGGGCTGAAAAAAAAATCCAGACTTGAAAATAGTCTGACTTGAGCTGAAAAAGTATTAAGAAGAATGAGAAAAGAAGAAAACATTGATGTCAGTTATTGAATAAAAGATTCAGTTCAGATTTTATATGCTAGGCAAAAGGAAGCTACGAGAGATTCTTAAGCAGGTAATTGATAGATTTCCATTTTACAACTCTTATATAGAGGAGAAAAAATACACTTAAAATCACATTCTCAGGCTTCCATTTTAAATCTGCCCTCATTAATGACCTAACATCAGCTATACTATTAAAGTCCTAAGAAATCACCAGTTTTCTGTTGGAAGACATGGTGGGAAACACAGGAGTTTTAAGATTTCAATGGTAATATATTCGGATTTTTCTTCTTAGTAAATCTCAGTTTCCAGAAAATTCACCCTAAAAAAGATTACTCTTAGAATTTTTGTATAACTATTGACATCCTAAAATGTCATGGTCAAGATGTTAGGTTTTACTGGTATTAAGTCATCTTTGACAAATTGAACATGAAAAAGTATTTCTTGCCAGTCAATTAGGTAGTTTTCTCTGCATGCTTAATGATTTCAGGAGTCTTTATTGTGAATTCTGAAGGTAAGATTTGAAGTGTGACTATAGTTGCTTTATAAAAGGCACGGTTGTATTGTATTCATGATAGCTATGCATTTTGTGCTGTTTTCAAATCCAACCATGAATAAAGGCTCATACACTTATTAATTACTATTTTTCACTTCATACTATAACCTGTATATATATATGTGTGTGTGTGTATATATATAAGGTATATATATATGTGTGTGTGTGTGTGTGTGTATATATATATAGGTGTATGTGTGTGTGTGTGTATATATATATATATACACACACACCTTATAATTGGGTAGTTCCCAGGTTTGGGGCCCCAGAATTGTTTGTTTATGTATTTATTCTCTAAACTGAGAGTTTGATAAGAATTGAATATTAAATAATTTGAGGTTATTTTCTTGGAAAGGGTTTTTTCATTTCTTTTTAGCATATAGTACATTCAAGTAATTTTAGATGTCAGAGTGCTAAAAAGGCTTCTAATAAAAACCCAGCCATTTCTTGTTGCCTCTCTTCCCCACCCTTCATTCCTGTGCCCAGAGTAATTTCTGGCTTTTTTCATTTTCTCCTCTGGCATTTGCATCAATATTTTAAAGTAACATACACAACCTGTTTGTTCTAGATTCTGCCTAGAAACCAGACAGAGCTTCTGTTGAATAAGATTAATTTACTTCTTATTCTTGTTTTTTTAAAATGTAACCACTTTTCAAGATTTTTTTTTGTCTCTAATGTTCTGAAATTTCACAATCACATGCCAGGGTATAGCTTTCTCATGCTTTGTATTAGTACTCATCTTTCAGTTTTGAGAAATATTCTCGTATTTCTTTCTCATTATTTTCTTTATTTTTCCCCCTGGAACTTCTATTTATCAGATATTGCACTTCTAGTTTTCTTGACTATTCCCCTATTATTTGTTTTTGTTTGTTTGTTTTTGTTTAACTTTTGGGGAGATTTTCTCATCTTTATCTTCCAAAGCTTCTTTGGGTTTATTCTATTTACTTTTATATTTTAAATTTCTCATTTATTGTATTTATTTTAATAGTATCTCATTCTTGTTTTATTTGTGCAATATTTCTCTTATATTTTGTGTTTTCTTTGAAGTTTTCCTCTTCTTACATTTTCTTTTCTTTTTTTTTTTTCGTGAGCTCTATTTTTCTCCCTTTGCTTGTTTCGGTCTCTTTCTTCTTGGAGATTATCCTCAAATATCTGGTTATCACTGACTGTCCTTTTATGTTCAAGAGCGAAGCGCTAAGAAATTGACTGACATCTTCTTGTACAAGGGTGGCGTTGTATGATGGTGGGTTACACTGCAGGGCAATAGAGAGGCAGCTGGCTTTTTACTTGTGAATCTTCTATGTCAATATTAGTATATCTTTTCTCTGGAGTTATTGTCTCCACAAAAGGAGATTCCAGCTCCTATTTGGGAGATGAAGTGGTGACAAGAAAAGATAAATACACTGGCTGCTGGTGCTCTTCTGGTGCTGGGTAGGGAAAGGAAACAGGATTATCAACATTCAGAACTTTCTTATTCACCTAGTTATACTGTTGTCAGTATGCCACTGCCTTCCACTACCTGTCTGCTGTGCCTGGTGTTTCCAATCCAGAACCTCTACTTTGGTTAATCTAGAGAATAAACATCCAATTTCCTGCTGGAGTAGAGTAAAGGAAGCACTGTGACAGTGCAGGATAGAAGTGACAAGAAATGATCCCATTTTCAGAACCTACCTCCAATCTCTCAGGCTGTCTCAGGTCTATACAAAATATCTGCTTGCTCCTGGTTGTCACCCTCCAAATGTGTGCACACACATCCACACTCACTTAGACGTGGACCTTCCTCCCACCTGCTACATCATTTATGATGACTCCATCTTTTTTCTGTGTTCATGTTTTATTTGAATTAAACATCTCTTGTCTCATTGGCAATGGAATATGTGTTTTTGTTTCTTGTTCCTGTTATTGTTTGGGGATGATCTTTGAAGACGAGGAGTCAAAGGTATTTTAATTAAGCTACCTTGAAATAAAAACTTCCTGGAACATGATTGAAGAGTAGATAATTTCTGTGACTGTTGAGGACTGCCTCAGTTTTAGATCAGCATTGTCCAAAAAAAATTTTTGAGGGAACAAAAATATTGTATTCTGGCACTGTACAATATGGCAAATACTAGCTATATATGGAAATTAAACACTGAAATGTGACTGAGGAACTGAATTTTTTATTAGATTTCATTTTTATTAAGTTAAACATTAATTTAATACCCACATGTGGCTACTAGCTACTGTATTGGGCTGTGCAGTTTTAGACAGTAAATAAGTTGAGAAGCCAAACCAAGATTCCAGGTAGATAGATAGCTGTTTCCAATCTGGCTGTAGATTTGGTCTGTTCTCACTCATAAATGTTTAATTCAATTCCCAAAGTACTATCCTCTACACTTCTACAATATTGTGGAGATTACTTTTTTCCCCCATATCTTAATGCTCAGAAGAAATTACTCTATGCTGCAAGTCCTATTTGTCATTCGTCACCTCTATATAAAATGTCATGAGCATGCCAACAGAATATTTAATTATTTTTAAGAAACTTTTTAAAAAATGGCCAGAATTAATTGACTACCAGTGGCCCTCACCTCTCCAAAGTATGAATTAACTTTTCTACTATAGGAATAATATTGACTATGTATTAACTAAATTTTAGATAAAATGTGCTAAAATTAACTTTTTAGTTTCAGAATAATTAATATTAAATTATCTTATGGCACTTATTGAAGAATCCTTTATTCTCTGAGGCACCTCAACATTCACTGTCATAAAAACACATAATTTATATACAGAAGAAATATTATTTGTTCTACCTGTTGTAGTCAAGAGGCATATATTTACATAATTCTAAAGCAGTTTAAATCATTGAGATACAGGATTAAGAAAAGTACAAATAGGATGGGTGAGGTAGCTCATACCTTTAATCTCGGTACTTTGGGAGGCTGAGGCAGGCAGATCATTTGAGGTCAGGAGTTCGAGACCAGCCTGGCCAACATGGTAAAACTCCCATCTCTACCAAAAACACAAAAATTAGCTGGGTTTGGTGGTGGACGCCTGTAGTCCCAGGGAAGTTGCGGCATGAGAATCGCTTGAACCCAGGAGGTGGAGGTTGCAGTGAGCTGAGATCACACCACTGCACTCCAGCCTGGGTGACAGAGTGAGTAAGACTCCATCTCAAAAACAAGAAGAAAAGAAAACTACAAATACCACAGCTCCATTTTGAGCTCAAAAGAGTAAACAGACTATTTCTGTGGAGTCTAATTCTCATATTAGTGACTAGTAAATAGGTTTCAGGGAATTTTAAGTAACTAGGAGTCTGTATTGATTCTTTGCGAGTCATTCGTTATAGTTCCTACCTCTGGAACCAAATACCAAGGAGATGTATATAAAAGTTGAAAAACATATTATAATAATTATAATGTTATAATAATATAATATATGCTGTAATTATAACAAAATAATAATTTTTAACAGATTTCTCCATGGGATAATAAAGTATAAAAGCATAATCAATGATGAAAGAGCCATTCCAGAGACCTGCTTCCTCTGTGTAAACTATTAGCCTGGGAGACCCAGACTTGCAGGTCATTTAGGAGTCAGCTGGAATAATGTAAAGCTGGGATTTTCATCAAATCGATAGTTCCACACTTGGGGAGTCATGAAATATTATCTTTTTATTTGTAATAAGAAAAAATTATACTGTTAATATTGTACTCATGGAATCCTAACTACATTCACTGTTCTTCAGTAAAAATTTCTTATCACAGTTTAGTTGTTAACAATAATCATTTTTGATACAAAGGTAAACAGAAATACCAAAGAAGCATTTTTTGCATTACCAGGGCCTGATGGTGACTGCTTTGTTATATGTAATATTTGTGTTAAAATTGAAAAGCTGAATACTTATTAGATTCTGCAATTGAGAATATTACCAAAAACATGAATTTTGGTCCCACTTTTAAGCTATTATTCTATTGTGATAATTTGTTAGTCTAAATAAAGGTCTACATCTAAATCCCAGAAAATGATGGCCTAAACCTGGGCCCCTGTGCAATGGGAGTGATGTGTGAATCAAACACACTTATGAAACCCAAGTGTTCTCTGTATACTGAAGGGTACTAATGACTTTAATAAGACTGAAACGTTGTGCTTAAAGCAAACTGATTGACCTTGACAACAGAAGTGTAAACAAGAGTCTAATGAATATTAATTTTTCTTCTTTCCTGCATTAGCTGTAGCTGTTGACTGATTAGCTCTGACACCTACATGGTCAAATTAACAAGCACATTTGTAAGACATTTTCCATTGTTTATAATGTCAACAAAATTTCTGAACCTTGGTAGGTGACTATTAGTAAGTTATCATCATTTCTTAGAAATCTACCAGATTACATTTAAAACAATCGCATATTTTAGCTCCCATAATGTATAAGATGCATATTTTGAAATGGATGCATATAGTTCCAATAATTTATGATGGGATTTCAGAGGCTAAGCCAAAATGTAATAATTATTCCATTATTAGACTTACACATGAGCTGGATTAGTTATCAGCAGCATTGATGCAGGGCAGGTTTGATGTATCCTGAGCTACCATATTGAACTAAGTGCCATTTCCCATTGTGCCCTTGCCATCTGTATAATGACATCAAAGGAGAGAAGGCAGGAGCAGATGGCATCAATGGCATACAAGAGCAAAAGTCACACCCACAGCATGCTGCTGAGTAATGAAAGTGAGGTGATGTGCAGGCAGAGAGCAGACGGAAATTAAGAAAGGTCATGGTGGTGCTATGGACTGCTTAGCTCCTACCATCATTACAAGAGCAGCATGCTCCACTCATTCCTACCTTCCTTTTTATGAGAAATGCTCTTCTACCATTCCTAGCATGTGCTTCTAGCAGGGGTTGTCGTGTTTTACAGGACCCCCTTCTTTCTGGCCATAGTTGATTATCCAGGAGGTCAGACCCTGACCCCATTTGGACCCCTTTTGTCCAGAATTTGAACTAGGTAAAAAGAAGTATTCTCTCTTCAATTAAGGAGGGACACAAGATGAAAATGTGCGATCTGTCAGTAGTCATGTCTCCAGCCATGAGTAGAGACCCATTCATTCTACAGTGAGAATGACAAATGACATCACCATGAGGTGAAAAGCGAAGACAGGAAATATTTGAGGCTGGGTTTCAAAGAGTAAAAAATATCTGAAATGGAATAGAGATGGAACTCAGTTGAAACTGTTTCTATTGATCCCTGTTCATGCAAGTAAAGACATAAACTTTTACAGGCCATAGTGGAAATGTGTAAAAACTACAGCCTCCAACCTTGTCAGCAACAGTCAAGACTGGCCAGAGCAGCACCTAGATCATTTTCTTCCCCCTATCTAAACCTGTAAAATAGGCTGGGCCTTTTTATAGTTAGCCACTTTTCTCCCAACAAGGAAGACAATTTAGCTTATGCCCAACAATGCCTGACTGTCTTCAAATTTTACTTCATTCAGAAAACTGATTTGGGACTCTTGAAGTGTTTGATTAATACTCTAGATCTAGTAGAAGCAGACCACTACTATAAATAGATCCTTAGAGATCAAAACATTGGAATGGTTGGGTTCTCTGTTGTAAGCATAATGTGGGTTATCTCTGCAGAGGATTAGAGTTAGGGAGAGAGGTAGTAAGCAAGAGGGAATCTTCAGTGCATCTATATTGATTTCATTATTTTATAGTGATAACATTGTAATAATGATGTGTGAAGTTTCCTGGTAAATAATGTATATATATTACTTCATTATATTCTGGCAACAACCCCATAAGGCCAATACTAAAATCATCACCATTTTATAGATGAGGAAACTGGGCCACTGCCAGATGAACTTACTCAAGGTCATATGACTAATAATTGACAGATCCCAGGTGCTAACAAGATAATCTAGAGTCTGTGCCCTTAACTGCTATGTCCTACTATGTCTAACATGAAGGAAATTTATTCATGTATTAGTTTTGTTAATATCAAAGTAATAAAGGCTTTATATTTTTATAAGTTTGGAAACATGTACACCAAAATGTGAACAGTAGAAATCAATTTTTAAATATTAGGGATAATTGTTATTTTATTTATTATTTTAAAAATTGTTATTTATTCTTTCCAAATAGGTATGCTTTACTTCTGCAATAAGAAAAAATACCATAAGTTTTCATAGTAACACAATTCAAACCATCTTGTGAGACTTTCCACTCTGTCACAAGGGAACTCTAAAGTATGCAGCAGCTTCCTTTCCAACTGGTAATTGGGTCATTCTGTTCTATGCTGATTGGCAGCAAGAGTAAGATTTTGCAGAGATGTTGCACATGTTCTTTTTAACCCCTCTGGCACAGTGTGCTATTTGGGAAAATGTATGTTATACCAAATAAATATGAAGATAGATGTAACAAGGTTGGTTTGCAACTGATACCTGATTAATACTATAAAGTATGAGCCCTGAAAATTTTCTCATGGTACAGTGAATATAATATCTGTAATTTCTGTAATCTCTGTCTGGGAAAAGTCATGCCTAACAACTTGACTAATACGGAGTAGCAGCATGAAACTGAAAAGAACATGAGATTGGGAATTAGCAGACTGAGATTTATGGAGAATGGGTAATTTATCCTGTTAGAAAAGGTTTTAATTCCAACGGACCTTAAATTTTGTGACCTTGTGCAAGCCATTTAATCCTGTTGGCTCTTAGTTTTCTTGTAAATATTTAGTAGATTTTAATTTTAAAATTATAATATTCCATGATTATATGCTAATATATTTGGTCATGTCTGAGGAACTCACTGTTATACTTTTGATTAAAAGTGAAATTTCCTGATCATTCAAAAACTGAAATTTCCCATCTTTTGGACAGATGTATAACACTCCCTCAGGGAAACAGGCTGCTATAGTTACTTAAATGTGTTTTTTTTTTTTTATCTAAATGAAAGTCAAGTATACACATCTGAAAAGGCAGGGCTGGCTGGTGAAAGTAACCCATGAGACATGTGAGTTTCAGGCTTGTTATCAACAGCACAATGGATGCCAGCTTTCAGCTCACATAGAGTAAGCAGCATTTAATATTGATAGCTTCAAGTCAATGGTTTCTGACACAGATTCTAGCAGAAAAGAAAACAGACATGTATAAATATTAGTTTCTGCCTGAAGACAGTTTATTTAGTAATGGGATGGCCTATTTCTAAAAAACTTTATTTATCTCTCTAAAAAGAAAACTGAAAGTAAAAGGGATCAGTTCTCAAAACATGGAAATTGCTAATGAACACAGGGGAACTTGAGAGTAAAGGAAATGTTCTATTTCTTGATTATGGTGGTGGTTACATAAGTGTATACATTTGCCAAAACATTTAACTGTATAATTAAGGTGGCTGTATTTGATTATATCAATAAAGTTGATTTTTTAAAGAAACCTCATGGGTACATGTCAGCATATTCATATAGATTCCTTTTCATTTATTTGTGCTAAAGATAATCAAAAATCCCAAAATGCTTAACTTAAAATATGCCTACCTTTCAACTCAGAAATTTCAGCTCAATAAATTATCATTGTAACGAAACACTAACTGATGAGAACTAAAATTTATTTTCAAGGATGTTCCCTGCAATGCTGCTTATAATAGCAAAAAAAAAAAAAAGATACAATGTAAATTAACTATGGAGAATGGCAGCCGGGTGAATAATTAAGACCCCAGACACTGAAGCCAGGATCTTCAGTTCAAATCCTAACTGTTGCTTAGTAGCTGGAAACGTTAACAGTTTCTTAACATCTCTTGCCTTAGTTTCCACATTTCTAAAATGGGGTTAATAATGGTGCCTATTTAGCGGTATTATTATGAGGATTAAATAAGTTAATATTTGGAAAGTGCTTAAAACCATGCCTCACATATAATAAGTGCTGAATATGCATCATTAAAGTGAGCAGTGTTTTTCTTCTTAAAAAGCAGGGTTCTAGCCTTACAATAGTTAAATTTAATATAATTTCTTCCACTAGGTCTATGCTAACATAATAATCTTATACTAAGTGGATCTGAATTTTAAGAATAAAAATAATATGTTATTTTTATTAAATAACTTTTTTAATGAGTAGTACCTTAAGATTTGTGAAGATCTGATATGTGGAACTTTATTTAAGAGCAGTCTAAATGCTGTCTTCTTCAGAATAGTATGTATACTGTGCTATCTTTTTGTAAAAAAGGAGGAATATAAAGGTACTTGTGATTTTTTTAAATGAATGAGTAAACCGAAAATAAATATAAATGGTTATCTATCTATAAGGTGAGATGAAAGAGATGAAAGCTAAACTTTTCTGAAAGCAATTAGTTTTATACCTTTGTCTTTGGACTCATGTAAATGTTTTATATAACAAAAAAATTAACCTAACATTTAAAAAAATTTCTAAAAAATAAATAAAAATGAAACAAATCAATATAACTATGTAAGTTGTTGGCTTAACCACACAGATAGTAATTAGTCTAATGACTTTAATTATGTATATGCTTTATCTGTAACTATAAATCTATATATTTATAAGTATATTTACATATAATTAAAATAAACATTGATATATCACATGTATATTTAGTAACACATATTTAGTGGAATACTAAAGACAAAAACTATAAATAAATCAAACAATATTTAGTAATTATATTGCTGGTAATAATATTGGTATATAATTTTGAAGTTTTACATTGCTAGCATAAAGCAAAGAAATAATACATTTATGTCATTAATAACAGATTTTTCAGTATATGAGAAAGGAACTACAACTGTAAAATCAAATAAGTTAAATAAAAATTCTGAATTTATGTTGGAAATATTACTATGAACTCATGATGTAATTTTTTGAAAACGTAAATATTTTCTACTTCTGTCTGTTGGAAAGGCCTAGAAACAGTGACCAATCCTGTGGCAATGAGCACCTTTAGTGCTCAGATTATGGTTTCTAAAGACCACTTCCCATTGAAAGGAAACAGGGTTCCTTGGAGAAATGGCTGATTGTAGACATGAGTAAGTACAAAATGAGGCTCTTGTCATTCCAGAAAGCAAGGAATCCCATGAAGATATCAGAGGAGAGTCAAAAGGAACATAAAGCCAACTTGAAGGACTCCCTTAGGGCAAAGATGGACAAATTTGTGCATTTAAAATATATGTTATTTTATTTCAATGTATTGAAGCACATCAAAAATTTTTAAAAATCCATGAATTGCTAATAGACAATTTTTAAATATCCTGATTAAGCATTTCTTCTATACTTCTTTAGTAAACTATTGCCTCAAGGTAATGGCCAACTTTAAAACAGTTGGATCAGACTAACAGCATGTGAATTCAATCATCATCACCAAAAAAAGAGATAACCAGACATTAAATACCTCCTGATATTACATAGTAAGACTCAGCCCCACTCATGAACTATTCTTGAAGAAAAAAATCTAATCTAATCAAGCCTCTAAGTCTAATTATTGGTTTGTTGGAAACTCAGGGGCTAGGATAACATGTTACATAACAATTAATCAGTAAATCCAGAAAGTGGAAATTTATACATAACAAATGCCCTGGTTCTTCACAAAATAAATAGCAAGCAAAAAAAATAAAAACAGTGAAGAATCTATAAATTAAATGAGACTTAAGAAGTATATCAACCTATTTCATGTGTGATTCTTATTGCATCTTCATTTGAACAACAACAAAGGAAAACTGCCATCAAATAAAAATTATAAGACAACTGGAGAAATTTGAACAATAACTAGATATTTAGTGAATTGATGAATTATTGTTACTTTTATTTTACATATCATAATGGCAATCTATCTGTTTTTTAAAAGTTCTCTTTTAAAGATAAATATTGAAGTATTTATATGTGAAATAATAGGATGCCTGAGATTTGCTTTAAAATAATCTAGGTTGAGTATCAAGGGTAAAAAGTAGGTGTGGTTATAAATGAAACAAGTTATGTCATGTGATAATAATTATAGAAACTTAGTGATGGGTTCATGGAGTTTTTATACTAGTCTTCCTACTTTCATACGTATATATTTGAAAAAATCCATAATTAAAAGGAACCACCTTTTTCTGATTTCTAATCTGGTTTTTAGATTCTTTGTTCTTTTTGGACTATTCCTGGTTTAGGGTAGATGTTTATAATTAAATTGTCGGCTGATGCTTCTTACAATTGAATCAAAACAAGGCATGGGAATGGAGTGATATGTAGGAAGCCACAGGTATATTAAACCTAAAAATCTTCTAGCTTCCAAGTAACTATATATTACTATATAATTACGTGTGTCCTCACTTTTGTTTGACTTCAAATGAAGCTGCATTTCTTCAATTGCCTGCCACTGGATAATAGTGTGAGATGAATGTCAAACATAATTAAAACATAGCAGAGCACAACGAGAGACATTGTCAGCAGCCAGTGAATACAGTGCTGTTCTCAACCAGTAAAAAACTGTGCCACAGGCAGATGAACAGATGCTACATTTACCTCAAAAGGGTTTATAGTAAAAGGAAGCAATTTCACAATACAGTATAACCCTGTTCATTTCATCTCCTGGTCCTTATTAACTGAACTATTCAGAGGGTCTCTTACCTGTTTTCCTTGCTTCGAGACTTTCCCACTCTAATTCTTATTTTCCTAAAATTTGCCTGGCTCAGATCCTGCCCTTGGATACTCAGATCCCGTACAACCTGCTCAAGTCAATTCTGTTCCTTATCCTATCATTCAAAGCCTTCCACCATCTGTCTGGAACCTTTGTTTCGGGTCCTAACTCCAGCTACTCATTATTTCCTGATCACAACCAAACTCTTCTTGTAGAATTGCCACCAAGTTATACCCATTTACTCCCCAACTTTACACTTCACTTCCTACCTCCCCCAAACCATAGTCACTCCATTTACTCTGAAAGCTTCTTTAAGAAAGCAAACAAGACAGACAAAAAAAGCTTCCAATTTTTAGCTTATGTCAGTTCCTATCTCAATGTCTGCCAGTAGTCTTTCAACGTCATATATAAATATGAAATCAACTTTCTCCTTCAAATTCCAAAGCCATCTGTCAGTGTTATTTTATTTTCCTTATATCCTTTTTCTCCTGCCAGTTCCTTCTTTCTAGTCAAACTCCCATTTCACCCTGTATTTGGTGGGTTCGTATATTCTTCCTCTGTGATAATTACTTGAACAATGTGTATCTCCCCAACTAAACTATAAATTCTACATGGCAAGGACTATGTTTGTCTTTTTCACATTGTAATCCCAGGACCTAGAGCAAAGAGACAAAACAAGTATTTTCAGTGATTGAATAAATTCAGCAACATAAACATAATTTTCATCCAATATTAATTTTGTTTTCTCCTTATGTTAGGAATCATCTCACTCTATATCACGAATCATCTTTTTCTTTCCTTTTCTCATTCGAAAACATTTTTAAAATAGAAAGTTCCTTTATAAAATTTTTTTTCAAACGGAGTTTGTATGAACTCCAGCAATCCTAAAACACCCAAAAAGCATATTTTCTTTCCCTTATATATCCATATTAAGGCTCCACAATAGAAAAATTGTAAAATAAATACAGGTGACCCTCTAACAATCTAAGAGTTAGGGGCACCAACCCCTACACAGTCAAAAATTGTAATATAACTTTTGACTCCCCAAAGCTTAATTACTAATAGCTTACTTTTGACCAAAAGCCTTACTAGAAACATATGATCAATTAACACATATTTGGTATGTTATGCATTATGTACTGTATTCTTTTTTTTTTCTTTTCTTTTCTTTCCTTTTTTTTTTTTTTTTTGAGACGGAGTCATGCTCTGTCACCCAAGCTGGAGTGCAGTGGCACCATCTCGGCTCACTGCAAGCTCTGCCTCCCAGGTTCACGCCATTCTCCCGCCTCAGCCTCCTGAGTAGCTGAGACTACAGGCGCCCGCCACCACGCCTGGCTAATTTTTTGTTATTTTTCAGTAAAGACGGGGTTTCACCGTGTTAACCAGGATGGTCTCGATCTCCTGACACGTGATCCGCCCGCCTCGGCTTCCCAAAGTGCTGGGATTACAGGCATGAGCCACTGCGCCCAGCGTATGTACTGTATTCTTACAAGAAAGTAAGCTAGAGAAAAGAAAATGCTATTAAGAAAGTCATATAGCCAGGCATGGTGGCATACACCTGTAGTCTCAACTACTCAGGAGGCAAAGGCAGAAGGATGGATTGAGCCCAGGAGTTCCTGAATTTAAATACAGCTTGGGGAACATAATGAAACCTCATCTCTTAAAAAAAGACAATCATAAGGAAGAGAAAATATATTTACTATTCATTAAGTAGAAGTGGATCACCATAAAGGTCTTCATTCTTGTCATCTTCATGTTGAGTAGGCTGAAGAGGAGGAGAAAGATGAACAACTGGTCTTTCTGTCTCAGGGGTGGTAGAGGCAGAAGAAAATCCATATCTGGACCCTGGCGGTTCATGCCCATGTTGTTCAAGGGTCAACTTTTTATGTTTGGGGTAAAGTTAAACCTAACCAATGACAGTGATATGTGTATAGACTTATTATGGTCCCAGCATGGTGGTATAGACACAAGCTGGTTTCACTCCCCTATACAGAAAACTAAAAACAAATGCACAATGCTGAAATTATTACCAGCAATACCCAAGAATTCAAATGTGAAGATGAGACAGTTCCCAGAGAACTGAAAAAGAGAAGTGAAAAAACTCCAAGCAGACAGGAAGAGAGTCAGGCTTCCACATTTGAGACCTCCTTCCCACATTCTCCCTGGCACCAAGCACGAAGAAAATTTTCCTTCAACTTAGCTTCTATGCTGGAAAAAGTGAGATCAAGGTGAACAGCCAGTAGACATCTTGGAATTGAGACGTATGTTTGCTGAACTGAAAAATTCAATGGCAGAATGAATCAAACAAAGAAAGGAACAGTGAGCTCAAAGACAAGCTATTCAGAAATATACAGAGGACAAAAAACAATAAAAAGCAACAAAGAATGCCTATGAGATATAAAAAATTACCTAAAATGAGCAACCACCAAACAAAGAAAAAACAAGCAAAAAAAACTTCTACATGTTAACTTCACCCCCCTCCCCACATTTTGACTTTTGTCACAATTTATATATTTTTATATTACTCAATAATAGCTATAGGTCCCTGTAGCTATTATTGTTTTTGATAAATTTATCTTTTGGGCTTCACACTAGAGTTATGAGTGGACTGCCACACCACAATTACAAAATTAGAGTTCTGGGTTTCTCTGTTGTACTTCATTATATCAGTGGGTTTTATACTTTCAATTTTTTTTGCATGTTAGTATTTTATGGGTATTTTTCTAATGACATCAATGCTGAATTATACCAAACATTTAAAGAACTATTCCAAATCTGCTCAAACTCTTCAAAAAATCTAAGAGGAGATAATACTTCTAAATACATTCTGCAATGCTAGCATTATCCTTGATAATAAAACCAAACAAAGACACAACAACAACAGAAAAACTACAGGCCAATAACACTAACGCACATACATGCAAGAAAGCCAAATTCAGCAACACATTAAAAAGATCATTCACCATGATTGAGTGGGATTCATCCCAAGAATGCAGGGATGGTTCAACATACTGTATCAAATCAACAAACATGATACATCACATTAACAGAAGTGAAACAAGAACTATGTGATTATTTTAATAGATGCTTTAAAATCAATAAAATTGTACATCTCTTTATAATAAAAACCCTCACTAAACTGGGTATAAAAGAAATATACCTCTAAAAATTAAAGGCCATATTTGACAAACTGACTGCTAAGATCACATAAAATTAGGAAAAATTGTATACTTTTCTTCTAAGATCTGGAACAAGACAAAAGAAGGCCACGTTTATCACTTGTATTCAATGTAGTACTGGAAGTCCTGGCAAGAGCAATTGGGCCAAGTAAAGAAACAAAGGACATCCAGGTTAGAAAAAAAAGAAGTTAAATTAGCCTTGTTTTCAGATGCCATTATCTTATACTTAGAAAAATCTAAAGACCACCAAAAAACTGTCCGAACTGATTAAAAAGTTCAGTAAAGTTGCAGGATACAAAATCAACATACAAAAATCAGTAGCATTTATCTACACCAACAGTGAACAATCTGAAAAAGGAATCAGGAAAGCAATTCCATTTGCAATGGCTTCAAAAAATATAAAATACCGAAAAATATATGTAACCAAAGAAGTGAAAGTTCTATAGAAGAAAAGCTATGAAATGATAAAAGAAATTAAAGAGGATACAAAAAATTGGACAGATAGTCAATGTTCATGGATTGGAAAAAGCAATATTCTTAAAATGGCAATACTTTCCAAAGCAATTTACAGATTCAATGCAATCCCTATCAAAATACGAATGACATTCTTCACAGAAGTAGAAAAAAACAATTCCAAAATGTATATGGAACCATAAAAGACCCTAAATAGTCGAAGCAATCCGGAGAAAAAAGAACAAAGCTGACAGCATCATACTATTTGATATAGTTTGGAAATCACTACAATGCTGCCATGTGAAGAAGGACATGTTTTCTTCCCCTTCTGCCATGATTGTAAATTTCCTGTGGTCTCCCCAGCTCTGCAGAACTGTGAACAACTAAACCTCTTTACTGTATAAATTACCCAGTCTCAGGTATGTCTTTATTAGCAGCATGAGAATGGGCTAATATAGTAATCAACCTAAGTGTTCATCAACAAATGAATAAATAAAGAAAATGTGGTATATATACACAATGAAATATTATTTAGCCATAAAAAAGAATGAAATCCTGTCATGTGCAGCAACATGGATGGAACTGGAATTATGCTAAGTGAAATAAGCCAAGCAGCGGAAGACAAATATCACTTGTTCTCACTCATATGTAGGAGCTAAAAAAGTGACTTTCATGAAGATAGAGGTATATTGAAAGAAAATCAGGCAGAAATTCTGGAACTGAAGAATTCATTGAGGGAAATACATTCAAAACCTTCAACAGTAGACTAGACCAAGCAGAATAAATCATTTCAGAACTTGAAGAAAGGTATTTTGAAATAATCCAGTCAGACAAAAATAATTTTAAAAGAATAAAAAAGAATGAACAAAGCCTTTAAGGCATTTGGAACAATATAAAGTGACTGAATTTATGAATTATTAGTGTTCTAGAAAGGAAAGAGAGATAAAAATGTTTAGAAAACCTATTTAACGAAATAGTAGATAAATACTTCCCAAGCCCAGCAAGAGATTTAGACATCCAGATAAGTAGGCTCAGCGATTCCCATGCAGAAACAATGAAATAAGGACTTCACCACAGCACATCAGAGTGACATAAGACTGTCTAAAGGCAAAGGGGAAATAGTGAATTGTAGAAACAGCAAGAGAAAAGTGTCTGGTCACCTGTAAAGGAAATCTCATCAGACTAACAGTGAACTTCTCAGCATAACCTCACAGGCCAGAAGAGAATGGGATGATATATTCAACGTGCTAAAGAAGAAAAAAATAACTGGCAGTCAATAATTTTATATGCAGCAAGATTAGCATTTATAAATGCAGGAGAAATAAAGAGTTTTCCAGACACGCAAATCATGTGGGAATTTTCATGACTAGACTAGATCTACAAGAACTACTGGGAGTCCTAATCTTGGAAATGAATAGACTTGCTATGATTAAAAAAAAAAAAAAAAAGAAAATATAAAACTCATTAGTAAAGCAATCACACAAAGGAGGAAGAGAAAGGAGTCCAATGATACCACTACAGAATTCTAACCACAATGACAAACACTAAGAGAAAAAGAAAGAAAGAATTTATAAAACAACTAGAAAATAATGGCAATATGACAAGAACAAAAGTTCACATATCAATAATAACTTTGAATGTAAATGAATTAAACACTCCACTTATAAGAAATAGATTGGCTGAATGGATTTTTTTTAAAAGATCCAACTATATACTACTTACAAGAAACTCACTTTACATGTAAAGACACATAAAGACTCAAATTAAAGAGTTGGAAAAATATATTGCATGTAAACACAAACCAGAAGCAAGTAGGAATAGTTATACTTACATCAGATAAAACAGACTTTAAGTCACAAATGATAAATAAAATTTAAAAAAAGACAAAGTAGATATTATTTAGTGGTGCAGTTATCAATTCAGCAAGAGCATATAACAATTCTAAATTTCTATGCAGACAACACTGGAGCATCCAGGTTCATAAAGCAAATATTACTAGACCTAAAGAGAAGGACACACCACAACACAATAATTGTGGGGGACTTCAACACCCAATTCATAGCACTAGATAGATCACCTAGAAAAAAACAACAACAAAGAAACATTGGACTTAAACTGGACTTTAGACCAACTGAAACTTACAGACATTTACAGAACATTCTAACTAACAACTGCAGAATGTACATTCTTTTTATCAGCAGATGGAACATTCTCCAAGATAGATCATATGTTAGGTCACAAAACAAGTCCCATCAAATTTTTAGAAATGAAAATCATATCAAGTATCTTCTCAGACCACAGTGGAATAAAACTAAAAAATAATACCAAAGGGACCTTCAGAAATTATAGATACATAGAACTCAAACAACATGCTCCTGAATGACCCTTCAGTCAATGAAGAAACTAAGAAATAAGAAAAAATTTTGAAACAAATCAAAATGGAGACACAACATACCAAAACCTGTGGGATACAGTAAACAGTGCTAAGAGGTAGATTTATAGCATGAAATGCCTAAACCCAACAAGTAGAAAGTTTACTAATTAACAATCTAATTATGCACCTCAAGGAACCAGAAAAGCAAGAATAACTCAAACCCCAAATAAGCAGAAGAAAAAAAATAGCGAAGATCAGAGCAGAACTAAATAAAATAGAGACTAAGAAAACAAAACAAAGATTCAACAAGACAATAAGTTGGTTCTTAAAAAAGATAAATAAAATTGATAAACTGCTAGCTAGACTAACCAAGAAAAGAAAAAAATAAACAAACTCAAAAATGAAAAAGGAGACATTACAACTGATACCATAGAAATACAAAAAAAAGATTATCAGAGACTTATGAATAACTATATGCTCACGAACCAGAAAATCTAGAGGAAGTGGATAAATTCCTGGAAACATACAACCTCCCACAATTGAACCAGGAAGAAATGGAAAACCTGAACAGACCAATAATGATTTCATCAGTAATTTTAAAATCTCCCAACAAAGAGAAACCCAGGACCAGATAGATTCAAATTCATGCCAAATTCTACCAAATGTACAAAGAACTAATATCAGTCCTCCTGAAAGTATTCCAAGAGTTGAGGAGGAGGGAATTCCCTCTAACTCATTCTACAAGCCCAGTATCATCCTGATACCAAAACCAGACAAGGACAAAACAAAAAGATAATATCCTTGATGAATATAGAAACACAAATCTTCAACAAATTACCAAAGTGAATCCAACATTACATCAAAAAGATAATGTACCATTATCAAGTGGGGCTTATACCAGTAATTCAAGGATAGGTCAACATACATGAATTAATAAGTGTGATAAATCACATTAACAGAATTGAGGACAAAAACCATATGATCATCCTAACAATACAGAAAAACATTTGATAAAATTCAACATCCTTTTCAACAACTGGGGAAAAAAAAATCCAGCAATGCTTTATGATAAAACCCTCAACTGGACATAGAAGAAACATACTTCAAAATAATAAAGATAATTTATAGGCCAGGTGCTGTAGCTCACTCCTATAATCCCAGCACTTTGGGGGGCCGAGGTGGGCAGATCAGCAGGTCAGGATATCAAGACCAGCCTGGCCAAGACGCTGAAACCCTGTCTGTACTAAAAATACAAAAAAATTAGCTGGGCATGGCAGCACGCGCCTGTAGTCCTAGCTGTGCTGGAGGCTGAGGCAGGAGAATCGCTTGAACCCTGAAGGCGGAGGTTGCAGTGAGTCGAGATCGCACCACTGCACTCCAGCGTGGGCGACAGAGCGAGACTCTGTCTCAAAAATAATAATAATAATAATAATAAAAAGGTAATTTACGAAAAACCCAAAGGTAACATCATACTGAATGGGGAAAACTGAAAGCATTTCTTCTAAGAACTGGAATAAGACAAAGATTCCCACTTTCACCATTTCTATTAACATAATATTGGAAATCGTAGCTAGAGCAATCAGGCAAAAGAAAAAGTAAAATACATTAAATTTAGAAAAGAAGAAGTCAAATTATCCCTGTTTGCTGATGATATGATCTTGTTTACAAAAATCTAAAGACTACATTGAAAAATTCTTAGATTTGATAAATGAATAAATAAAGTTGCAGGATACAATATCAATGTGCACAAACCATAGCATTTCTAAACATCAATAATGATCTAGCTGAGAAAGAAATCAGGAAAGCAATCCCATTTACAAGAGCTACAAAAATATAAAGTACCTAGGAATAAATGTAACCAATGCAGAAAAAAACCTCTACAAGGAAAACTACAAAACATTTTGAATATAACACAAATGGAAAAATGCTGCATGCTCATGGATAGAAAGAATTAATATTGTTAAAATGATCATGCTGCTCAAAACATTGTACAGACTTAATGTAATCCCTATCAAAACACCAACTTCATATTTCACAGAATTAGAAAAAAATCCTAAAATTCATATGGAACCAAAATTAGCTCAAATAGCCAAAGCAATCCTGAGCATAAAGAACAAAACTGGAGGTATCACACTACCTCACTTCAGAATACATTACAAAGCTATGGTAACCAAACAACATAGTACTGGTAAAACAAACAAAACAGACACATAGATCAATGGAACAGAATAGAGAACCCAGAAACAAAGCCACATATTTATAGCCAACTAATCTTCAACGAAGCCAACAAGAATATACATTGGGAGAAGTCAGTAAACGGTGCCAGGAAAATTGGATATTCATATGCAGAAGAAAGAAACTGGATCCATACCTCTCACTATACACAAATATCAACTCAAGGTGGATTAAAGACTTAAATGAAGACCTGAAACTAAACAAATACTAGAAGAAAACCTAGAAAAAACTCTTCTGTACATTTGTTGAGATGAAGAATTTATGACTAAGACCTCAAAAGCACAGGCAACAGAAATAAAAACAGACGAATGGGACTTAAACTAAAAACCTCTGCACAGCAAAATAACCAATGGAGTAAAGAGACAACATGTTGAGTGGGAGAAAATATTTGCAAACTTTGCATCCAGCGGGGACAAATATCCAGAATATACAAGGAACTCAAAAAACTCAACAACAAGAGCAAAACCCCCACAACTATTCCCATTAAAAAGTGAGCAAAGGGCATGATAGATGTTTTTCAAAAGAAGATATACAAATAACCAACAACTATTTGAAAACTGCTCATCATCCCTAATCATCAGAGAAATGCAAATTAAAACCACAATGAGATATCATCTTACTCCAATCAGAATGGCTATTATTAAAAAGACAAAAATAACAGGTGTTGGTGAGGATGTGTAGAAAAGGAAACTCTTATACAGTATTGGTAAGAATGTAAAATATGCATACATTTAATATATGTATATATGTGTATATATATATATGTATATGTGTATATATATATATACACAATGGAATACTATTCAGCCATTAAAGTAATGAAATCATGTCTTTTGCAGCCACATGGATGGAACTGGTGGTTGTTATACGAAGTGAAATAAGCCAGACACAAAAAGACAACTATTGCATGTTCTCATTCGTAAATGTTTGCTCAAAAACGTATTCACATGGATGTAGAGAGTGGAATGATAGATAACGGAGACTTAGAAGCGTGAGGAGGGTGGAAGAGGGGAGGATGATGAGAAATTGCTTAATGGGTACAGAATACATTATTCAGGTGATTAATACCCTAAAAGCCCTGACTTGACCACTACTCAATCTGTGCATGTAACAAAACCGCACACGTATCCTATAAATTTGTATAAATAAATAGGAAATAAAAGCCACAGTCATTCACTTACATATTGTTTATAGCTGCTTTTGCACTACAATGACAGAATTTTTTTTTTTTTTTTTTTTTTTTTTGAGACGGAGTCTCGCTCTGTCGCCCAGGCTGGAGTGCAGTGGCGCGATCTCGGCTCATTGCAAGCTCCACCTCCCGGGTTCACGCCATTCTCCTGCCTCAGCCTCCAGAGTAGCTGGGACTACAGGCACCTGCCACCACGCCCGGCTAATTTTTTGCATTTTTCAGTAGAGATGGGGTTTCACCATGTTAGCCAGGATGGTCTAGATCTCCTGACCTCGTGATCTGGCTACCTCGGCCTCCCAAAGTGCTGGGATTACAGGCGTGAGCCACCACGCCCAGCCACAATGACAGAATTGAGTAGTTACAACAGAGACCTTGTTGCTCAAGCAGCCTAAAATGTTTACTCTCTGTTCCTTTAGAGAAAAACCTGTGGTATAAAAAAATTAGTTTTTGAAAGATGATGCTGAAAGGAATTGTGACTCAGTCCCTACCAGGGAGAAAGACATTTCAAGGTAATACAGTTTTAGCTATATACAGATCTCAGTGAACTCTTTGCAATGTCTAGTAAACTCCTCAATAAAAAGGAAAAAAATTAAGATGTAATGTTATAAGGAAAAGATATATGCCTAAAGGAAAATAGTTCATTGTTAGAAAAACAGCAATAACAACAGAGATGCTGTTTCCAGTTTGAGAGAACTTGTGAAGTATTTCCAATAATTTTCCAAGGAAATTATTCCAAACCCACATTATTGTCAAGTGTGCTGCCCTGAATTATCGGAGAGTTTGCTTTTGATGTTAAACTAGCGGTTTTTTGGTGATTTGGTGGACAATTCTCAGAATCACAATTATATTAGGAAACCAAGGAATAGAAGAAAGTAGTGAGCAGAGAATGAAAAGTGTAGAGGGGGCACACAGCTGGTTGTCCTTGGGCAAATGAGTTCACCAACAACTCTGAGCCTTCATTACTGCACATGTGAGATGGGAGATAACATTACATAAAAGCTTAAAGAAGAAAATGTATGGGAAAGTGTCTGGCATAATTAAATAAATATATCTGGCTAGACTAAGTGGAACACTACAATTGATAACGAATGGTTTTGTAATAATCATGGATAGTGACAGAGTAAACTCTCCATAAATAATAGTGTTTATTTTTACAGTAAGAATATGTATAAATGTCCATACAGGGTTGCTTTTCCTCAACCAGCCATAGAAGCAAAAGTATTGTACTGTTTCTTATATGATGTGGGTAGTAACCGAGCATTGTCTCACAGACATGACAACTTGCCATTTTTTAGTACTAATTACCATGATATCCTCTCTGTGAAACTGTACTATCGCTTCTGTCTAAATGATTAATTTTATGAATCCTCCTACTCCCCAATAACCTGGAATTAGTGTTACATTGTCCCCCGATCTCCAAAGTCACGTAAGAAAATACTGACCATGTGAAATTAAATAAACAAGTAGTATTACCTACTTCACAGTCTTTCCTGCTCTTCCTTTAAGAAAATCTCTGTTCTGTTTGACAATGACTCCTCTAGAAGACCAAGGAATTGCACTTAAATGGCATTTTTCTTTGCCCTTCTACAGGGAGCAAGATTTCATTGGTTCATTGATGGTGCACAATGTGCCAGAAAGTCTTCTAAGTGCACAATACTGAATGTTCATATTTCTTTTTTCCTTTTCTTTTTCTTTTTCTTTTGAGAGGGAGTCTTGCTCTGTCGCCCAGGCTGGAGTGCAGTGGCATGATCTCGGCTCGCTGCAACCTCCACCTCCCAGGTTTAAGCAATTCTCCTGCCTCAGCCTCCCTAGTAGCTGGGATTACAGGCACATGCCACCACACCTGGCTATTTTTTTTGTTTTTGGTAAAGATGGGGTTTCACCGTGTTAGCCAGGATGGTCTCAATCTCCTGAACCTCGTGATCTGCCCACCTTGGCCTCCCAAAGTGCTGGGATTACAGGCGTGAGCCACCATGCCTGGCCAAATATTCATTTTTCTTAAGGTAATGCAAGCTGCTGTAATGAATAAAACTCCAGATCTCATTGGTTTAAACAAACAAACATGTATTTCAAATGAATGTGTATTTCTGGCTTCTGTAAAGTCTAATCACGGGAAGGAGAAGGGGGCACTCTGCTCCACACGCTAATTCAGGGATCAGGATGATAGAGGCCTTGCCAACTTCTATACATACATTCCAAAAAGGTCCTAAGCTTTGACATTCAGCTAGCAGATTAAAGATAAGATAGCAAGAAGGATGGTCCAGAGATATTATAGGACAGGTCTGGAAAGGGGTATACCCTACTTCCATCCACTTTCCACTGGCCAGAGTTTAGCCATGTGGCTCCACTAAGATTCAGAACATGCTGAAAAATGGTGTATAGGGCTGGAAACTCCTTTCCTGCAACAATTCTATGCTGTTAAAGGGCAATATGAACTTTTGCCAAGGGCTGACCATACTGCAACCTTCCCTATAAATGTGAGGCACTATTAACAGTGACATGCATAAATATGTACATGGGATCTGAGTTCTGAAAAAAGCAAGCTTGTCAAAGAAATGCAGAAGTTCACATTTTCTATCACAAAAAGGCTCACTGAGAAATTTTAGTATGCTGTATCAAAGCTTCTGAATGCAACCCATAGGTGATTTCACACCAAAAGCAGAAGAGGACAGGTAGGCATAAAACAAAGGTTAATACGGGTTTTTCTTTTTTTTAGTGTAACTTTATTTTACCACTTTTATTAGATCATTTGGTTGTTTTCTCAAAATTTTTCCTTCTTGGATTTATTACTATAAACTCAGAGGATGCTTGAATGAATAAATAAATAAATCTCTGTTGGAGATTTGCTTGATGAGCATCTGTCACGGTGTTTAATTATATATTAACAGTAACCCAAAAAAAGTCTTAATGGCTCTTTCAATTTTGAACTGTTCATCATGAAATTGTGTTGATCATGCGTTGTTGTACTATGAAGTTTTTGTCAGGAAAAAAAAAGAAGTTTCTGATATCACAGGAATTCTGGGTCCTAATTAAGCAATCAGATTCAACAAAGTGTATATTAATTTAAGATCACATACCTCAGGGGCATTGAAAAGCTGAAGGCTGTTCTCTGAAAGTCATTTACAATTTGTAGTGTCACAATATCGCTGTAAAGTGTCCTAAATTGTAACTGAAAGTATCTCCAGAGGTAAGCAAAGGGAGAATATTTTAATCCTGTCACTGTAGGTCACTCAGTCTGAAAGAAATTTACTTCTTGATCCATATATAATTTTATTGTGTAATAGTTCTGTCTGCTTTTACCTAACAATGTAAGTATGTAATTATTTATTGATGTCCCTTTTACGTTACATTATGCCAGGTAATGTTATTTGTCAGCTATAATGATGAAATACAAAAAGATATAATATTTAGAAAAGAACACATTTACTGACAGACGGTATGTTTCAACAGGAGCAATAATGTTCCTTCAGGGTCTTCAGAAATATGTGAGGGCATATTTGGTTGTCCCAATTATTGGAAGACACTACCTAGTGGGCAGTGTCCAGGAATGTGAGACATCCTGCAATGTGCAGAACACTTCTATGGAATGCAGAATTGTCCAGGAGTTCACATAGCTTTAGCATCCCTCCAGACATCCATGAAGATGACATACCTTCATTACATAAGCTTAGAAGCTAACTTTGTTTTATATATTAACACAAAGTCTATCTTTGCACAATTTAAAGTTTTTTATTTATTTCTTTATTTTATTTATTTATTTATGATGGAGGCAGAGTCTCCCTGTGGTGCCCGGGCTGATCTCAAACTCCTAGTTTCCAGTGATCCTCCCATCTTGGCCTCCCAAAGTGCTGGGGTTACAGGCATGAGTCACCGCACCTGACCTATGCTTGCACAATTTATAGATTCACAGACCTTTCCAGAAATGTAACTACCCTGTAAACTGATAGAAGATTACTTTTTGTTTTGTGCAGAACTTTACAAAGAAATATTTATTTCAAAATACCATATATATCATTTCAACAAATTATGTTTCTAACTGCAATGCTGGTTATGGTATTTGAATCATCAGTACTGGACAGTCAGCATTGTTAGCTCTACCATTTGTGTGGACTCTAATTTTAAGTAAACATGTGACTACATTTTTGTTTTCTTATACAGTCTATGCCTGAACTTTCGTAATTCTTTTATTATATACTACTATCCTTTTATTTTCTTTTATCATTTATTTGTTGGTAGGGTTTTATAGTTTTGGGGTTTTTTAACATACAAATATCAGAAGACTTAAAAATCTTTGTGGCACTGAATCTGAGAGAATTGAGAACCACTGTTTAGGACAGTGTAGGTTTTCAGGATTGCAATGAAATCATAATTATAATAATAGCTGCAATTTATTGATTGTTGACTATGTACCAAGCACTGTGCTGATCAGTTAACCACTCTGGAAAAGATTGATTATTGACTGAGGGAATAACCAAAAGCAAGTAATAACTGTAAGTCTGAACTATCATTGCTTTCAGTGCAGCAAAACTATTATAGTCTCCTAATTTCAGGAGATGAGAAAGACCCTAAAAAGTACTACTCAAACTTACCTGTGTACTGCTGAACACACTCACCTGGGGATCTTATTAAAATGTAGATTCTGATTCAGTAGGTGGCTGCTGGTCTACAAATCACTTTCTAAGAAGCAAAGATCTAAAAATAAGTTTCAAATATTAATGCATCACAGGTGTACAAAATTGTTAATATTAATATAATTAAAGGAATTTTTAAATGCAAATTAAAAAGGACATGCAACACTTTCAACTTTTTCATAAATGAACATTTGCATTACTATGAGGTAAAAAATAAGAAAATACACTAGAACAAATCAGAGAAGTTAGTGAACATAACATAGAACTTGTATATATAATGAGGGACTCTCACCAAAACCTCAAAACATAAGCCCCCAAATTAGCATATATTTAACATAGAAAAATATAAATATTAGGCAAATACAATATATACTAGCATATATATAAAAATAATAAAATATGTCAATTGATCTAATATAAATATATTAAATATTATTTATTAGACTAAAACATATTAAAATAAGCAATTAGCCATAATTTTGCTCCCAGTATGCTAGCTAAAATATAGATACATATCTACTAACTTAAAGCCAGTTAAGCTGTGGAAAAATGTGTACATTGGAATTTCTGGTTGCAATATAAACAAATGTGAATATTTTGTTAGGATACTCCCAACTATTATTAAAAACCATTAAAAAGTTCATACTCTATGACTAAAAATTATTTTTATACTAAGCTACTTACAGTACCCAATAATTTACTCTGAGAAAAGAATTCACAAGAGAAAAAGATGTCTAGCGCCATAGATTAACAAATATTAATTGAGTACCTACTGTGGTCTATGCTTGAGGCATTGTTGTAGGTACCTGGGGTACACTGGTGAATGAAAAAGGTGAAGGTCTCTGCCTAGCCAGGGGAACCAGGCAATAAATGAAAAATGTAACAAGGAAATTTTATTATAGTATGTTAGAATGTGATCAGTGCTGTAGAAGAAAAAGAAAGCAGAGGAGGTTAAGAAGCATCAGACTTTTAAGATGAGGGTATAGTCAGGCACTGTGGTGCATGCCTGTAGTCCCAGCTACACAGGAGGCTGAGGCAGGAGGATCACTTGAGTGCAGGAGTTGGAGGCTGCAGTGAGCTATGATTGAGCCAACTCACTCTGGGCAACAGAGTGAGACCCTGTCTCTATAAAAAAAGGAAGAAGAAAAGAAGATAAAGGGCTAGGGTGAGGCGGGCAGGGATTATCTCAGGTTTTTAAGCTGCATGCAACATAGAACCCTTGTAGGGTCCTGAGCAGAGGAGGAGCAACAATAGTTATAATATTGCAAAAATAAAAACAACTGACAATGTGTGTTAAAACAAATGACACTGTTCGAACACAGAAGAAGAGTTTAAGACTTTGAAGATAATAGACTCCATGGAAAAATACAAAGTATTTACAATAAAATAAAAAATAACAGCACTATTTCTAGATTGAAATCATGGGACATGGAAAAGATAAAATAAAATTGAATATAATCTTTGTTTATCACCATATTGAAGTAAGAGATAAGATAGTAAAAAACAGGAGTAAGTGAATTTTTTTACATACATATAGTATAGGTGTTTTTACCTGACCAAGTGGCAAAATAAAGAAAAAAAGAAAAGAAAAGGAAAAGAAAATCTCTACATCAACCAAGTAAGTCCTCAAACTAGTAGCACTGTACGTGTGACAGCATAACATCAAAGTCACCATGACACACATTCCTATGGTCTTCTTTCCACACACTAAAAGTAGATACATTCAGGCCAAATATACAACAAAATTAAATCTTTCTTAAGGTCTGCAGAGTTCTTCCCCCTTGGACTCTTTTTTCACCTTTATATTTTACAGTGATAGATATAAGTTTCTTTCTAACTAAAAATCTATGATTCTTTGGTACTTTTACAATTAATTTAGGTGCAAACCTCTGATCTCTATCTCTGTGGCACCTATGGCAAGGCTCAAAGCTATCAGGAGAGGCAGAAAGAAGAGCTACGGGTATACAGAGTTAACAACAAACTTCAAGTATAGCTGCTTCTCCCAATTTAAAAGTAAAAATGCAACAGAAGTCTCCAAGGTCAAAATCTCCTCTGTTCTGCTCTTCTCCATGAACAACTTCTTTTTATACTCACGCAAAACCTTTGACCCCTAAGAAGCCTAACAGCCTTCATAATGATGTCTCAAAAATAACTCTTTATATGGTATCCAGTGCATAATGGATTCAGAGACATGAATAAAACATCTTAATTTTCAAGTATTTCTTTTTAAATTAATTTTTGAAAGAAAAATGTCTTGTAAAGAAAGAAGGTTTTTTTAAGGCATGCAGCTCTTGCATAGAAGGATATAGTTTTCATGGCCTGTCTTGTTAAAAATGTCCTAGTACCCATCTGATGCACACTTATTTATGGATTTTAGACTAAAAGCTCTTTTTTGCCGGTTTTCTTCACAAGCACTTATCTCGACATCCTCATTAGGTGTTTTTTTTTTCTTTTCTTTTTTGTTGAGGCCTAGTCATGCCCTTGGTACTCTCTTTTGTTCCATGCTGCAAAAGGAATGGTTTTTAAAGGCTCCCTCTCCACCAGTCCCACCTTTTTTTTCTTTGTAATTAGCCTTATTTGAGGACCAGAAAAGCAAAAGACTGGAAAAAATACAAAAACTATTGAACAAAAGATAGGATGTTTTTTCCCCCAACCATATGCCGTACAGCTCATGTACAACCTGGGTCAGATGACTTGCATATATGCCTTTAAAATGAAAAGTGAAAGAAAAAAGAAAGGAAAGGCATTGACTTACACAGCAGCTGCATTGGTATAAACAGGCTCAGAGTAAATGTCACAATGAAAGGAGAATAATACATTTTATCTTTATTGCAAAAGTAATTCACTTTAAAACCAAAGAACATGATGAAACTAGGTGCCTGATGACAATACTTGCAGGTAGCCATTTGAAATATCTTAATATTAATTTGGTTTAATTAGAATGAGAGAAACAATTTTCTTTCTTCAAATGCAAATGCTTTTTTATTGGAGCAACACACAACTGAAATTGTTCAGCTCTTTCCTTTAAAATGGGTTCATTAGAATTGTTTTGATGCAGTGATGATTAATGAAACATTTTTTCTGCCTTCTCTTTCCTTAGTTTACTTACTATTTAACAGCCTATGTCTAAGTAAAGGGCCAAGGGATTTATACTATCCTTGCCTCTAGAAACAAAATTCTAGCTTTCAAAATATTAAAATTTATAAATAATAACTGGACTTTTGGGCCTATAATAGAGTTGCTCACTTCAAAAAAAATTTTTTTGTACAAATATGGTTCTATGAAAATGATTATCAAAGGCAGCTTTAATGAGAGAAATGTTAGGAAAACTAAGGATTCTGGAAATACAGTTGTCAAGAAGCCAACCAGTCTTCTTCCCTCCTCTAATCCATGAAGAAAATACTTTATCAAAATATGGGCTTTCTTTGTTGTTTGTTTTCCATGCTGATTAGGCAAGCATGAGTCAATATCCAGAAGGAAACATAAGGCATACTCTCACTGGGTAATTTAAGGAGAGTTCAATACACAGACTATCTCCAAAGCTATGAAACAGGTTCAGGAAAACCAAAAAGGGGTAGTGTTGATATCAACTTCCAATCCTAGGCCTGAAGGGGAAAAAGAAAGAAACCACTATTGAATCTACAGAGGTAACTATGTGAAATAAATATGGCCTTTGAAAGAGACTTGTGGGCAACCCACAAGACTTGGCAATGCAGAAGGTAAAGGAACACATGCACCATCCATTCTCTCCTCCTGCCCTCTGATTTTCTGCAGATGTTTCACATTAGACAATCTCACCTGGGAACCAAAGAACAAGGAAAGCCATCCACATAGATAAACGTTCCAGGCATCAAGCAGTTGGAGACAGAATCAGAAGCAAATTAACGTTATCCTTATTTTTTTTAAGTCATCAATAAGTACCTCTTTTTCTCTGCTTTTTATTATAGATACAGCCATCTATTCTCCTTAAGCTTTCTTTTCTTTTTACATCAAATCAGTTTAATTAAATTTTTTAGGAACAATTTTGAACAGTGAGCTTATATCCTCTTAATTATTTTAGCAATTCAAAGAGCTCAAGATACCTAAAAATGTTAATGCTTTCTTCTCACCCCTATTGGGTGTACATTGATTAATGGATATAGCCATTTCACTCAGCAAGTATTTATTGAGTACTTACCATATGCAAGGCACTATCCGAGAACCATGGGGTACACAAAGGTAAATCAAGTAAGGATGCTATCACTAGCATATATCTCTGGTTTTCTCTTTCCTGCATCCCTTTCTGTTTTTTTTTCTGCCACCCATGATCAGACACAAGATTGGGCACATGATTTAGGCCTGACAATCAGTATGCCCCTTCCTCCTGACCAAAGTGATAAGCCAAGACAGACAAATTGCCTAAGTTAGATCACTACAGTTTTATTTGGAACTTTCCTGCCATATTTATCAAGAAAGAGGTACTCTTTCAAATGGAATTGTTCAGTGAAAAACATGCAGTCAAACTGAGATAAAGAGCTGAAAAGGAGAGAGAGACTAAGACTCCAGCCCAGCTATTCCTGGCCCCCATTCAACTTCTCAGTGTTCTGAGACAGTAAATTATCTTGTTTGGGATAATACGTTAGTCAAATCTTATCTGGTTACAAGGGATAAAATCATATGATTTTATCCGTTGTTACCAGATAAGATTTGACTAACGTATTATCCTCAAGAAGTTTATATGTAATAGATAAGATATGTGTGTATGCAAAACACAAAATATAGTTATAAATGGATTTTTTAAAAGATAGAGTTCAACCATTTGATTCAGCACTCCCACAACTGGGCATCTACCCAGAGGAAAAGAAGTCATTATACGAACAAGATTCTTGCACACACATGTTTATAGCAGCACAATTCATGATTGCAAAAACATGGAACCAACCCAAATGCCCATCAATCAATGAGTGGATAAAGAAACTCTGAGAGGTACATATATATATATATGACGGAATACTACTGAGCCATAAAAAGGAATAAATTAATGACATTTGCAGCGATCTCGATGAGATTAGAGACTATTATCCTAAGTGAAATAATTCAGGAATGGAAAACCAAACACTGTATGTTCTCACTTTTAAGTGGGAACTAAGCTATGAGGATGCAAAGGCATAAGAATGACACAATGGACTTTGGGGACTCAGAGGGAAAGGGTGGGAAGGGGTGAGGGATAAAAGACTACAAATAGGGTGCAGTGTATACTGCTTGGATGATGGGTGCACCACAGTCTCACAAATCACAACTAAAGAACTTACTCATGTAACCAAACACCACCTGTTCCCCAATAACCTATGGAAATAAAAAATTTTAAAAAAATAAAATAAAAGATAGAGTTCAAGGAGGCTAGGTTTACTTACAGAAGCAATTATCTGAACAGTCGAGGCAATTAAGATGTCATCTGAACTAAGACCTAAATCATAGATGAAATTGTGGGCAAGTTGTTCATTGGGGGGAGGGGCACAGAAAGAGGTAGCAGATGTGGTATTTGTGTATTTGTATTTCACAAAGAAAGTGAGGTGAATAATACAGTGGGGAACATGTTACAATCTATTACTTGTGAGAACACAAACATTTAAACAATGTATATGACTCCAAGAATATATAGAACATTATTTAACAATGGTTGAATTTTGATAGTAGGACTGCATATAATTTTTTTTCTTTGTGCTTTTCTACTTTTCAGACTGCAGTTTGGAATAAGTAGAAAATAGAATTATTTATTACATGAAAAAATGCCAAAATCTATCAAAAAAGGGGAGGGTGTCACAATTAATGTTGAGTTTTAGAAATATTAATTCTTAAGCTCATTTAGTTTTGAATTGTTTGAAGACTGACGGTGCATTGGTCAACAACAGTTCTTAATTTCACGCCCACAAATTCAAGGGTAGAATTCACTCAGACCATTGCAGCTCTAGGCTTCATGCCACTTACTGTTTTTACAGGTTGCCTAAGATCAATGTATGTGTCAGGGAACTTGTTATCACACTTTTTTATCACTTTAGGAAACTAGATTTTTAGTACACAGTTTTATCAAGGAGAGCCCAAAATTCAAAGAACATAATGGCATGAACCTAACAAAACCATCAAAACCTGATAAATTCAAGCAGATTATGTAAGTGGTGGGGCTGCATCAAAAACTAGGAAGAGTTTGAGCATTCGTTTACATGAGGGAAAAATTGATTTTATTTGTGTAAAACTAAACAGGACTAAATGTGAACATACCAGCCTCCATCCATTTGAACTGACAAAGTGAAAACAAAATGCCTTTAAAAATTAATTGAGGTATTTTAAAGACTATGCCCAGTTTAGACTCAAGAGGAGTTAACAATCTTCTCTCTTCTGTCACTCCTGAAAAATATTTTTTAAAAAGCCCTCCAGTGTATCTTAGGCTGTTATAGACACTATTATTTTATCAATTAACCTAAACAGGCTTATAATCAGAATTTAGAAAATAAATTATTAGCATCCTTCCTCCCCAGCCGACTTTAATCTTCTCAACAGTCTTCTTTTTCCTTTAGTTTTAGGTGGTACTCATTAGCTTTTAAGGGCTAGGGAGTTTGGGAAAGCAGAAAGAGAAGGATTTAGATCCCTCAGAAAATAAAATTGAAGACTATTTTATGGACATCACAGAAATATTTTGTCAGGTTAATCTTTATTATTTCTTTCAGGTATTGTTTGTTTTGCTACTAGAGCTTCTTTTTATAGTTCCAAGATGAAATATGATTTGTATGTATTTCTTTTACAAAATGTCTAAGTATGCATTAGTATTTTGTTGGTCCAAATGTAATTGCGGCTTTTTGCCATTAAAGTGGCAAAAACACTAATCTGATAGATTAGACAGATATATATATGTATATATATACATATATATATACATACATATATACACACATATATATATATAACCCTGCTGTTTGACATATAGGATTTAATTATTTCAAATTTTGGAGTGGGCTGAACAATTAACATCACTATGCTAAAGAAAGACTCATGATAATTTCAAGAACCATGCTAATGTATGAACAGAAAAAAAAATCAATGGAAGAAATAGTGTCTGAAAACAATCTAGGTAACTTTCAGGGTCTTAATAGCATTTTAAGAAAGCAAGAAAATGGCAAATTATTCAATAAATAGTTTGGGGACAATTGGTTATCCACTTGGAAAAATAATAATATAACCTTTACAAAAACAACCTCCAGCTAAATAAATATTTAAACCTATTTTTTGAACTGTGAATGTTCTAAAAGAAAATATACTAAAATAATTTTTAAATCTTATTATAGGAAAAATCATTAAAAACTTTGCCAAAAAATGTAAAAAACATGAAGGAAAACTCTAATTCCTGACTTTATAAAATTTTATTTTTTATCTTTGTAAATTGAAAGACACCATAACCAAAAATATGTGGTTTATATATCAATACATTGGAATAAAATATTTTGCATACTTATCTCAAAGGGCTAATATTCTTAATACATAAATGCTTCTTAAAATCAATAGTGAGAAAAGCAAACAACCCAATTAAAAATGGTCCCAGAAGAGAGAAAAGTAGGTGTTAAACTCATATAAAGATATTTAATGCCACTCATCAAAGAACTCTTGTTAAAATAGAGCTTCTAAAAATATAGAAGCTTAATAACAGAGTATTGGCAAGGATGTAGAGAAATAAGCAATGTAATCAAGTATTGGTATAAGTATAAATTGAAATAGACCTTAGGAAGACATTATGACACTATCAATATGTTAAATCCACATTCTCAACTACCCAGTAATCTCACCAGGGAGATTCTATGTTATAGAAATACAGGCATGAGTGTGCAAACATATCTATAAAAGAATGATGATTAGATCTTGTTTAAAATAGCAGAAAAAGTACTAATTTATATATTAATAAGACACTAGAAAAATGAATTATATTGTATCTATGTGTTTCAGTCATCTATTACTGTCTAATAACACTCCAAAACTTATGGCTTAACACAACAATTCTGTGGGTTGGGAATATAGACAGTTCTTCCTTTCTATGTAGTATTGACTATGGCCAATCGCATGCCACAACAGCTGGTGACTGGCCCATGCTGGAATTTCCAAAAGCCTTCACTCATTCATGTCTGGTGCCTCAATGCTTCTCCACATGACCTTGTATTAGGCCATTCTTTGCACTGCTATAAACAAATACCTAAGACTGGGTAATTTATAAAGAAAATAAATTTAATTGGCTCATGGTTCTGCAAGTTGTACAAGCATGGCATCAGCATTTGCTCAGCTTCTGGGGAGACCACAGGAGTTTTACTCATGGCAGATGGTGAAACGGGAGCAGGCACTTCACATGCCACACACTTTTAAACAACTAGATCTTGCAATAATTCACTTACTATTGGGAGGACAGCACCAAGCCATGAGACATCTGTCCCCACAGACCCAACACCTCACACCAGGTCCCATCTCCAACATTGGAGATTATATTTTACCATAAGATTTGGGTGGAACAAATATCAAAACCATATCAGCCTAGTTGAGCTTCCACACATCATCTCACAATAGTCAGACTTCTCACATGGCAGATGACTTTCAAGAGAGAGCATTCCAAGAAGATAAGCCCTGACATAGAAGTTCTTATCAAGTTTTGCTATCCCATCAGTCAAAGCAAGTAACATGGCCAACCACAGCATCAGTGTATGCTGATGCAGCATCAGCATCAGAGCAACCTCAACTACATATAGGCATCATTACCAGGAGGTGTGATTCTTTAGGTATCACTAACATAATAGTCTCCTAAACATGCAACAGAAAATAGCAGAGCCATTTTTTTAAAGGAGTAAGACATTTGTATATTTTTTGATAAATAGAAACTTGTTCTGGATGTATTTTTAAGTGCAAAAAGCAAGTTATAGAACAATATTCATAGTCTGATCACATTTGGTTTTTCTAAAAAGCAAAATTACTGCATGTGTATATAATACATATGATATATATATATGTGTATACACATGTATGCATGTGCATGGGTATACACACACAAATAGATATTGAGAGAGAGAGAGAGTGATCAAAAAGGATATGCTCCATATACTCCAAGCTGGTATTAATGGTGATTACTGGGGATTAGGATTGGAATGAACAAAGGTTTTTTAAAACAATTATTGTTTGACTTGGGTTATAATTTTTATTTTATCTCTTGTATTCTTTAAATTTAGTACAACTAGCATACGTTATTTCTGTGTTTTTTAAAGAGAAAGTATTCAGAACAATCTTTAGTTCATGCTACAGACCTATAAGCAGCTGCAATAAATCATGTTGATTGTGGTCTGCCAAAGCAGGGCACTAAAGAAGGGTGACAGGTTAGTAAAATAGTACAGGCTCATCAATTATGACAGGACAATCTACCATAATATCTCTTTAAACAGCTTTAAAGCATGAAGAGTTACTTTGATAATTTCTCCCTTTCCTGAAAGTGATTTGTCTTAGGCAAAACCCAAGTATAATTTTGGTAGTAATTAAAATTTTATTTGTTTTGACACACACACACAAAATCTACTAGATGAACTTTTAATTTCTCTTTCCTTGTCGACTGTGTAATAACTAGAATGGAATGATGATGGTGATGATGATGATGATGATGTTGATGATGATAATGACAAAAATAGTGCTTACTTACTAAGCATGTCACCTGCACAACAACCTGATAGGGTATCTACTACTGTTATGTGCATTTTGCAATCAAGGAAACTGACACTCTATATCATATAGCCAGCATTGTGGAAACTGAGATGTGACCTCAGGTAGCCCTGGTCCAGAGCTCTTTTTATACTGCTTCTCCTGGGAATGATGATAGATGATCTCTGTGTATATACAAATATCCTTAAAGAATCAGGAGTCCTATTTTTAATACAAATGAAGAAAGAGTAATAAAAGTTTTCGCTATTTAAAATCCATTTCCGATTACCTTTTAGGGTATAACTAGTAGAGGTTAAGCATTCATTTATGCCTATGATCTTGGTTTTGGCATCACACTAAGTCAAAGACAACTCAAGTTGTCTAGGCTGCTTCTATAACCACATATAAGTCTCTCTGTGCCATAAGAATTCTCTGTGCCAGGCTGAATTCAATCTACCAATATTCTAACACTGAAATTAGAGAGCTCAAACAACAGCTGATTGCACACCGTGAGATCCACTAAAATCTGACAGCAGGTGCATTCACCAACTTTGACCATAATGATGGCAATAAGGAGACTCTGTTAAAGGGACAAGAGCACAGATATCTGGCACCAGGACCTGGAAAAAAGCAAGACAGTTTTAAACAAGTACCACATGTGGTGACTCATTAGATGTTGAGAGCTAATAAGAGGCTGAAGATTTTTAGCTTAGCACTGATGCTGTGGACAGCAGGATATCGTAACATCTAGAAATTGAGAATGAATCAGGAGGTAGTGATAAATCCTGTGCTGATACCTGGTATGTAGAATGGTTATATTTTCAGGATAAATGCAAAGATGTAAAAATTAAAGAGCATGCTGGAGTGAAGCAAATATACAGCGAGATCTGCACATTTGTGGATTCATTCATTCACTAAGCAAGTACTATTTGATGGTAGCATCCCAGGTTTCAAAACATAGAAGCAGACCAAAAAGACATGGCCCTTTTCTTATGGAGCTGAGAGTTTAACAGAAATGAAACAACCAGATAATGATTATAATGTGCAATGGGTGTTATGATACTAGAAATATAGGATATCATGGGACCATTGTCTAGAGAAGTGAAGAAATTCCAATGGAGGTGTGGGTCCAGGACAAGGACAAGGAAAAATGCATTCATGGAGAAAAAGCCCATAAATGTGGATATCAGCATGTAAGGAGGTCAGAGATGTCAGGAGCTAGGTCATAAGTGGTGAGAAATGAGGAGATGGAGAGATGGACAGGGGCCAGATGTTGGTGTTCCATGAAAAAGCATCTCTGTTTTTACAGACATGAAAATTATTTTAATAGCTACTTTTATTTAGAAGCAGCCAGCAAACCAATATTTATGAAACTACTATGTGCCTCACAGTGAACAAGACAGTCTCTGTCCTCAAGGAGCTTATCTATTAGTGGAGGGATCCAGACAAAAAAAAAAAAAAAAACTCATAGAAAATACAAATAAATATCTAGCAAGTGTTAAGAAGAAGAAGAAATCAAATTCTATGAAGAAGAATGAGTGAAGGGGCACATTTTAGCTCCCGTGGTCAAGAATGACCTCTCTAGTGGAAGAAATATTTGAATTGAGATCTGAACAACTGAGAAAGAGGGAGGCACGTGAAGGTCTCGAGAGAGCATTCAACGCAGAAGGAACAGCAAGGGCAAACAAAGGGGGGATCAAAGCAAGTGTGTGTTCAAAGCTCAGAAATTAGGCCAATGTGGCCAAAGACAGTGAATGAAAGGAGGTGTAAGGGAGTTGATGTCAGAGAAATAGCTAAAGGACAGATCAGGTAGAACCTTAAAGAAAGACCAGCTAAGCATCTCACTTGCCCAAGATTATCCCAGTTACCATTCTTTAGCTCTGTTTAGTTAAGAAAGCCCATGCTTTACTCAGAAGTTTATAGGGTATGGCAAAGAGCTTAGACATTGCAGTTCTGATGAAAGTCACTGGAGGGTTTTAAGCAAGACAACAACATGATCTGATTCACACCTTAGAAAAGTTGCTTTGGTTGGTTTTGAGTGAGTTTCTTAATCCTGAGTTCTAGTTTGATTGCACTGTGGTCTGAGAGACAGTTTCTTATAATTTCTGTTCTTTTACATTTTCTGAGGAGTGCTTTACTTCCAACTATGTGGTCAATTTTTGAATAAGTGCGATGTGGTGCTGAGAAAAATGTATATTTTGTTGATTTAGGGTGGAGAGTTCTGTAGATGTCTATTAGGTCCGCTTGGTGCAGAGCTGAGTTTAATTCCTGGATATCCTTGTTAACTTTCTGTCTCATTGATCTAATGTTGACAGTGGGTGGTTAAATTCTCCTATTATTATTGTGTGGGAGTCTAAGTCTCTTTGTAGGTCTCTAAGGACTTGCTTTATGAATCTGGGTGCTCCTGTATTGGGTGTATATATATTTAGGATTATTGGCTCTTCTTGTTGAATTGATCCCTTTACCATTATGTAATGGCCTTCTTTGTCTCTTTTGATCTTTGTTGGTTTAAAGTCTGTTTTATCAGAGACTAGGATTGCAACCCCTGCCTTTTTTTGTTTTCCATTTGCTTGGTAGATCTTCCTCCATCCCTTTCTTTTGAGCCTATGTGTTTCTCTGCACATGAGATTGGTCTCCTGAATACAGCACACTGATGGGTCTTGACTCTTTATCCAATTTGCCAGTCTGTGTCTTTTAATTGGAGCATTTAGCCCATTTACATTTGAGGTTAATATTGTTATGTGTGAATTTCATCCTGTCATTATGATGTTAGCTGGTTATTTTGCTCATTATTCGATGCAGTTTCTTCCTAGCATCAATGGTCTTTACAATTTGGCATGTTTTTGCAGTGGCTGGTGCCAGTTGTTCCTTTCCATGTTTAGTGCTTCCCTTCAGGAGCTCTTGTAGGGCAGGCCTGGTGGTGACAAAATCTCTCAGCATTTGCTTGTCTGTAGAGGATTTTATTTCTCCTTCACTTATGAAGCTTAGTTTGGCTGGATATGAAATTCTGGGTTGAAAATTCTTTTCTTTAAGAATGTTAAATATTGGACCCCACTCTCTTCTGGCTTGTAGAGTTTCTGCTCAGAGATCTGCTGTTAGTCTGATGGGCTTCCCTTTGTGGGTAACCCGACCTTTCTCTCTGGCTGCCCTTAACATTTTTTCCTTCATTTCAACTTTGGTGAATCTGACAATTATATGTCTTGGAGTTGCTCCTCTCGAGGAGTATCTTTGTGGCATTCTCTGTATTTCCTGAATTTGAATGTTGGCCTGCCTTGCTAGGTTGGGGAAGTTCTCCTGGAAAATATCCTGCAGAGTGTTTTCCAACTTGGTTCCATTCTCCCAGTCACTTTCAGGTACACCAAAAAACTCACTCAAAACCACTCAACTACATGGAAACTGAACAACCTGCTCCTAAATGACTACTGAGTACAAAACGAAATGAAGGCAGAAATAAAGATGTTCTTTGAAACCGAAATGAGAACAAAGACACAACATACCAGAATCTCTGGGACACATTTAAAGCAGTGTGTAGAGGGAAATTTATAGCACTAAATGTCACAAGAGAAAGCAGGAAAGATCTAAAATTGACACGCTAACATCACAATTAAAAGAACTAGAGAAGCAAGAGCAAACATATTCAAAAGCTAGCAGAAGGCAAGAAATAACTAAGATCAGAGCAGAACTGAAGGAGATAGAGACACAAAACACCCTTCAAAAAATCAATGAATCCAGGAGCTAGTTTTTTGAAAAGATCAACAAAATTGATAGACCACTAGCAAGACTAATAAAGAAGCAAAGAGAGAAGAATCAAATAGAAACAATAAAAAATGATAAAGGGGATATCACTACCGATCCCACAGAAATACAAACTACCATCAGGGAATACTATAAATACCTCTATGCAAATAAACTAGAAAATCTAGAAGAAATGGATAAATTCCTGTACACATACACCCTCCCAAGACTAAACCAGGAAGAAGTGGAATCCTTGAATAGACCAATAACAGGCTCTGAAATTGAGACAATAATTAATAGCTTACCAACCAAAAAAAATGTCCAGGACTAGATGGATTCACAGCCAAATTCTACCAGAGGTACAATGAGGAGCTGGTACCATTTCTTCTGAAACTATTCCAATCAATAGAAAAAGAGGGAATCCTCCCTAACTCATTTTATGGGGCCAGCATCATCCTGATAACAAAGTCTGGCAGAGACACAACAAAAAATGAGAATTTTAGACCAATATCCCTGATGAACATTGATGCAAAAATCCTCAATAAAATACTGGCAAACCGAATCCAGCAGCACATCAAAAAGCTTATCCACCATGATCAAGTGGGCTTCATCCCTGGGATGCAAGGCCAATTCAACATACACAAATCAATAAACGTAATCCAGCATAGAAACAGAATCAAAAACAAAAACCACATGATTATCTCAATAGATGAAGAAAAGGCCTTTGACAAAATTCAACAGCGCTTCATGCTAAAAACTCTCAATAAATTAGGTATTGATGGGACGTATCTCAAAATAATAAGAGCTATTTATGACTAACCCACAGCCAATATCATACTGAATGGGCAAAAACTGGAAGCATTCCCTTTGAAAACTGGCACAAGATAGGGATGCCCTCTCTCACCACTGCTATTCAACATAGTGTTGGAAGTTCTGGCCAGGGCAATCAGGCAGGAGAAAGAAATAAAGGGTATTCAATTAGGAAAAGAGGAAGTCAAATTGTCCCTGTTTGCAGATGACATGATTATATGGTGGTGATTCCTCAAGGATCTAGAACTAGAAACATCATTTGACTCAGCCATCCCATTACTGGGTATATACCCAAAGGATTACAAATCATGCTGCTATAAAGACACATGCACACGTATGTTTATTGCAGCACTATTCACAATAATAAAGACTTGGAACAAACCCAAATGTCCATCAATGATAGACTGGATTAAGAAAATGTGGCACATATATACCATGCAATACTATGCAGCCATAAAAAAGGATGAGTTCATGTCCTTTGTAGAGAGATAGATGAAGCTGGAAGCCATCATTCTCTGCAAACTATCACAAGGACAAAAAAAACAAACTGCATATTCTCACTCATAGGTGGAAATTGAACAATGAGAACACTTGGACACAGGAAGAGGAACATTACACATTGGGGCCTGTTGTGGGGTGGGGGGAGGGGGAAGGGACAGCATTAGGAGATATACCTAATGTAAATGTCGAATTAATGGGTGCAGCACACCAACATGGCACATGTATACATATGTAACAAACATGCACGTTGTGCACATGTACCCTAGAACTTAAAGTACAATAAAAAAAAAAAAAAAAAAGAAAAGTTGCTTTGGCTACAATTTGAAAACGTTCTGTAAGGAGGAAGGACAAGGCTAAGAGCTTACACTTTCATTAATTCTGTTTAAGGCCCAGATACCCAAATAACTTTTTTGATTTCTCACAGAACTCCAGAATCTTGGAATTTGGAAATAATTTTGGAGTTTACTTTCTCTATTCTCCTATATCCTGTAAGAATGCCTCATACAATAGCTGATGCCTATAACTGGCTTTAATGAAACAGAAATCAGTGTCAGATTTTAAAGAGAAAACTTCCACTGGATAAAAAGGCAGGAGACTTAAAATAAAAAGAGCACGGTCATTGGAGAAAGACAGAGCCAGATGTGTGTCCTGACTGGTTAGAAGCTTTTTAACCTTAGGCAAATTTCTTAACCATTCTGAATATTCAATTTGCCATTGTCAAAATCAGGCACACCAAAGGAAACTTTTATATAGTTTCATAATACGGAAAGAAGAAAATTATTGAAGGTCTCTAGCAATCACTGCAATAATGTTTTGCAGGCCATATGAATTTTTTGTCCTGAAAAATCTAGACAGGGCTGACTGTTGATGAAATATACATTCGCATGGTCTCCTTTACTGTTACAACTAGGATAAGGCAACCCAAATCTGTGTGATTTACCACTGGTGCCAAGAGACTAGACCACAATCATCAACACCTCAAGGGGCCTCCTTTTTCAGAAAAATATACTAGCTCTAGTAAGTCACCATGAAGATATTATAGACACTTATATTAGTTTTCTAGAGCTGCCATAACAAAGTACCACAAACGAAGTGGCTTAAACAACTAAATTTATTGTCTCATAGTTCTGGAGGCTAGAAGTCTAAGATCAAGGTGTTGGCAGAGTTGGTTCCTTCTGAGGGCTGTGAGAAAGGATCTGTTCGGTGCCTCTTTCCTAACTCCTGGTGGTTTGCATCTTTGGCATCCATTGGCTTATACATGCATTGCCCCAATCTTTGTTTTCATGTTCACATGATGTTCTCCCTGTGTTTGTGTCTGTCTCTTCAAACGGAATTATTTTCGAATGGACACCAATCATATTGAATTATGGGCCCACTTTACTCGGTATGACCTCATTTTACCTTAATAAATTACATCTGCAATGACCCTATTCCCAAATAAGGTTACATCTTATTTGGAAGTACTGGGAGTTAGGACTTCAATATATGAATTAGGGGGCAGGAGAAAATTCAATCCATAACAATGCTGAAATAAATCATCTTTATTTTACGTTAGTTGATGTCCCCTAACCCCCAAAAAACATTCTGTTTAAACTTTTCTAGTGAAGAAAAAAACATTTTTAGAATTACTTAGGACATTCTGTTTTAAAAATATTTTCTAAAAGCATCTACCTTGTTAAAAAATATATATACAACATTATAAAAAGGAATTAAAAATGGAGATGAATTTGATGCAGACCTCCCCACAGGGCTACCACTGCCACCACTTGTTCTCAACATTGACATTTGAATCTCAAGGGCAATCACAAACATGGAACTCATTCTGAAAATCTCTGTTGCCCTGTTGGAACAACTGTTCGTGTTTATAAGGCACATGGTATGATGAAGATTATATTTATTTTATATTAGTCTGGGGGCTGGCATTGTTGTTCTAAAAGTCTGAAGATGAAATTACAAATTTAAATAGTTCCTCTTTGTAGCAAAGCCTGCTGTTTGCTATAGCAGATGCTGACAGTGTTCTGCCCATATCCTATAGGCACTCATTCTACTGAAAGCACCTGTGAGTCTCTGCCAGAAGGCTTTCTTTAAGCCTGTGTGTAGCGCAGACTAGAAGTGCTGGGGGTTAACACCACTGGGAGCACCCCTCAGCCAATGCTAGATGGGAGTTGGCAGATAAATGCTCCATTTTCTTTGCAACTTGGTTGGAAAATGTCTGCACTGACTTCCAGCAACTCTAAGAAATGTCTACCCTGACTTGCAGTGTTCCCAGCTGCATTAAGCTTCCGTTGCCCATTCTTGCAACTTGATTTATAATGTACCTTTTTTTAGCCGCCTTCCTTTTCTTCTCTCACTTCCCTACATACCCAGAATTTCCTAGTTTCATCCCCTAAATAAACCACCTATACAGTTGATCCTTGAATAAAACAGGTTTTAACAATGTGGGGTCCACTTATATGCAGACTTTTTTCAATATATTAGAAAACCTTTTGGAGATTCGAGACAATTTGAAAAAACTTGCAATGAACTGCATGGCCTAGAAATATTGAAAAATTTAAGAAAGTCAGGTATGTCTATTTTATCATTTGCTATCATAAAATGAACACAAATCTATTATAAAAATTAAAAGTTATTAAAACATATGCACACAAACACAGATTACACATGGAACTATTCACTGTCAAGAGAAATGTAAACAAGTGTGATGATGCAATATTAAATCATAACTGCATAAAATTAACTATAGTACATATTGTACTACTTTAAAAATGTTATAGCCACCTCCTGTTGCTATTATGGTAAGCTCAAGTGTTGTATTTGCTTAAAATTCCATGTGTATTAGTCCATTCTCATGCTGCTATGAAGAAATACCTGAAACTGGGTAATTTATAAAGGAAAGAGGTTAAATTGAGTCTCAGTTCCACATGGATGGGGAGGCCTCAGGAAACTTACAATCATGGTGGAAGGTAAAGGGGAAGCAAGGCATCTTCTTCACAAGGCAGCAGGAAGGAGAATGAATGCAGGAGAAAATACCAAGCACTTATAAAACCATCAAATCTCATGAGAACTCACTATCACAAGAACAGCATGAGGGAAAATGCCCCCATGATCCAATCACTTCTCACCAGATCCCTCCCACGACACGTGGGGATTATGGGAACTACAGTGAGGACACAGCCAAACCATATCACATGTGAGGCTAATCATTACCGCATGAGCAGTTCATCTCTCCAGTAAATTTCATTTTGCAGTAAAGAGTGATCTCTTGCAGTTCTCACGTATTTTTCATTGTGTTTAGTGCAATTTCATAAACCTTCAAAAACACCAGGGGACCCATAAAAGCTACCACTAGTGATGTTGGAAGTGCTCCCAACAAACAGAGAAAAGTCATGACATTAACAAGGAAAAGTTGAATTGTTTGATATGTACCATAGATTGAGATCTGCAGCTGTGGTTGCCCGCCATTTTGAGATAAACGAATATAGTGTAAAAATCATTGTTTAAAAAAAAAAAAAAACAGAAAAGGAAAAGAAATTAGGGAAGCTGTCTCTGCAGCTATGCCAGCAGGTGTGAAAACTTTGCACTTTTTGTGTGAAATACTTTATCTCATATTGAAAATGCAGCTTTATATGGGTGAGGATTGCTATTAAAAAGGCATACCTACAGACTCAAACATAATACAACAAAACATGGTTGGCTGGGCATGATGGCTCAGGCCTGTAATCCCAGAGCTTTGGGAGGCAGAGGCAGGAAGACCATTTGAGCCCAGGAGTTCATGACCAGCCTGGCCAGCGACCCCCACCTCTACAAAAATTTTTAAAAATTAGCCAGGTGTAGTGCTGTACACCTGTGGTTCCAGCTAATCAAGAGGCTTAGGTGGGAGGATCACTTACGCCTGGGAAGTCAAGGCTGCAGTTAGCTGTGATTATACCACTGTACCCCAGCCTGAGTGACGAAGCGAGACCTTGTCTCAAAAAAAGAAGAAGAGGAAAAGAGGAGTCATTATATGACAACTTAGAGCAAAAGGAAGGTGAAGGATCTAAAGTGAGAGAATTTAATGCCAGCACAGGATTGTCTGATAATTTTAGAAAGAGGTTTGTCTTTAAAAATGTCAAGATAGTAGGAGGAGCAGCAGCAGACAAGTTCTATGACTATATGCCATTAAGAAAATTGAGAAAAAAGGATATCTGCCTGAAGAGGTTTTTAATGCAGATGAAAGTGCCTTATTCTGGGGGAAAAGTGCCACAAAGGACATTTCTTAGTCAGGAAGAGAAGTGAGCACCAGAATTTAAGGCAGGAAAGGATAGGCTAACTCTAGTGTTTTGTGCAATTGCAGTCAGGGTTATCATCAGAACTCCCTTATCTATAGAGCTGCTAATCCCAGAGCCTTGAAGAGAAAAGATAAACACAAGTTGCCAATCTTTTGGTTGTACCAGAAGTAGTCCTGGACAATAAGAACACTTTTTCTGGATTGGTTCTATTGATGCTCTGTCCCTGAAGTCTGGAAGTACCTTGACAGTAAGAGACTGCCTTTTAAAGTACTTTTGATATTGAACAATGCCCCTGGTAACCCATAATCCTATGAGTCAACACCAAGGGAGTTGAAGTGGTCTACTTCTTCCAAAATGCAACATCTGTAAATCAGCCTCTAAATCAGGAAGTCATAAAGATCTTTAAAGTTCATTACACAGAGTACTCTATGGAAAGGATTAAGGTCTGCGGTCAGCATTACGAAAGAAAACCCCCCAATATAGAGAACATCCTAAAAGTCTGCAGAGATTAACCATTGAAGATGCTATTGTAGTTATAGAAAAAGTTGTGAAAGCCATCAAGTTTGAAACAATAAATTCCTGCTGGAGAAAATTGTGTCTAGATGTTGTGCATGTCTTCACAAGATTTGTGACAGAGATACTCAAGGAAATCATGAAAGAGATTCTGGATATGGCCCCCCAAAAATGGTAGGGAGTGAAGGATTTCAAAATATGGATCTTGGAGAAATTCAAGAGCTAATAGACACCACATTAGAGGAATTAACAGATGATGACTTGATGGAGATGAGTGCTTCCGAACAAACGCCACATGATGTGGAAGAAGATGTAGAAGAAGCAGTGCAGGAAACAAATGGACATTAGGTAATCCAGCAGAAGAGTTCCAATTATTCAAGACTGCTTTCGACTTCTTTTACAACATGAACCCCTTCTTTGATACAGGCACTGAAACTAAAGAAAATGGTGGAAAAAAGGTTTGTACCATATAGAAACTTTTAGAGAAATAAAATAGCAGAAAAGTCAGACAGAAATTATGATGTTATATTGAGTATGCCTGCCTCTCCTGTTTCCCATTCCGCTTCCTCTACCTCTTCCACCTCTGCCACTCTTGAGACAGCAAGAACAACTCCTCCTGCTCCTCCTCTGCCTCAGCCTACTCAGAGATAAGACAATGAGAATGAAGATCTTTATGATGATCCACTTCCACTTAATGAATAGAAAATACATTTTATGATTTTCTTAATAACATTCTTTTTTCTCTAGCTTACTTTATTGTAAGAATACAGTATATAATACATGTGATATACAAAATATGTGTTAACTTACTGTTTAGTCATTGATAAGGCTTCGGGTCAACAGGAGGCTATTAGTTAAGTTTTGGGGAAGTTAAATATTAGGCATGGGTTCTTTTATTGCAATGGGGGAATTGGCACTCCTAAACCCCTTGTTGTTTGAGGGTCAACTGTACATTGTTTAAGCATTTGCCTCTGGCATAATTCAAACTAAGACCATTATCTTCTTAACAGCTATTCCCTTCTTCCTTATTTACATGACTTCAATTTTGTGAAGTTCCTATCCTCCTCTGCAGTGCCATAGACTTTAAGAAAGGTTGGCCCAGTCCCATCTCTGGAAAGCATCCTGAGTGATCTAAATTGATAATGATTTCTTATTTTTCTAGGCATGAGCAGGCAGCTCAGTTATGACCAATGAGAGACATGCAGGAAAGTCAGCTATAGGACTCTGGAGACATAGAAAACACCAGTTTATTTTCAGCCTCTGGATTTTGTCATGTCTAGATGAGATGCTAAAACTGTTGCAGCCATCTTGCAACGATGAAAAGAGGTATTGGGAGGACAGAGCCAACACAGTGGTAGGGGCAGAGCCATGAGAATACCCAAGAAGAGCCGGAGCTCTAGTTACACTGAACCTGGAGCTGCCCTTTCTTTAGAATTCTTGTTATGTGAAATAACTCTCATGCTTCTGATCAGTCTAGTCAGGGTTTTTTGTTACTTCAGGCAGTAAGCATCTAATTAATACATTTATGAGTAGAGAAAAAAACTTCACAATCCTTAGGCTGTGTAGAAGCTGGATGTGGCCACTGAAGCAGAAATCAAGAGCCAAAAGGGGTCAAACAGACATCAGGACAAACAGACCATGGGCAGGAGGAGAAAATAGGGAATAATGGTCAACAAGTAATAATGGTGAACAAAGCTAAAATGCACAGACTCCAAAAAAGTAGGCATCGAGGTTGGAGAATCTTACAACCTGTCTTATTTCTTTCCTCCCTTCCTTCAACTATCATTCACTGAGCACATACTGTATTCCAGTGCACATTTAGGAACTGGACATTCAGAGGTGGACAGGAACAATGGGGCCAGAGCCCTTGGGAGGCTTGCATCCAAGAGAATCACTGGCAAGTTAGGGCCTAGGATTACATTCTGGAGCAAGAAAAAGGAAAGTGGACACATGCACAGGCCCAGATAAAACTCTGGTTGCAGCTGAGATGCTATTTCTGCTGCTGTCTTCCACATGTGGATACCTCCATCTAGGCTTCAAAGGAGCCAAGAATGACTTCTGACCGCAGACAAAAATATTAGGGAATAAGCCATGCTAAAGAAAGAAAACTCTTCAGAAGGCCACTATGGAAACCCTGATATTGGTAAAACAGCCCTCAGAGAGAGAAAAGTCACTTTTATTAAAAATATAACATGAGGTGGATAGTGGTGCTTGGCAAACTATTTTTCTCCTCAGGTAAGCAATAGTCTAAGTTGAGGAGGTCAAATAAGATCAACTGAACAGCTCCGTGGAAATCTGTTGGTAAGTTCATTCTCAGTAGGAGAAAAAAATGGCAGTAATGTCTGCCATGGGTACAGAAAAAATGGCAGCCATTTGGAAACCCATTTGCAATAGCCTAACTGCAGGAAAATGTGAAATAAGAGAAGTTTTGACTCCCATTCCTATGGGAGAAATTATTTTGTAGCTGAGAGAAAAACAGAGCCAAAATATAAAACTATACTTATTTTTCTTCTTGTGGTCAAACTTATGCCATAAAAACTGCGAATCTTGACATTGGCAAGTACGCATTCCTGAGTGTTGAGCAAAAAAATGAATCAGTTGACCTAAGCATCTCTTAAATGCAAAGTACAATATTACTTATACAATTTAAAAGTAGATTTTACCATATTATTTATGATCCTGTGAGATTTACTTAAAGTGTACTGAATGTTTATCATTTGTACATTAAATCTGATAACACCTTTTCTTTGCATTGAATTGCAAATGGCTGTGTTACCTAATGTCGTTCTACTTTGCATATGCTCTACTTTATTTACAAACATATTAAAAATATCCACTTATACACATTTATGCTCTCTTTTCAAGGCAATATGGCTAAGCATTTTATTAAAATGTATAATTATTGCTAAAAATAATTGTGTTTGTTAGCACATTATGAGAGCATAAAGACTAGTTTTTATTCATTTATTTATTCACTCATTCAACAAATATTTGTGGAATACCTATTAATTGCCAGGTGTGAGAACACTGGGTTAAAAGCTAGATTTATCACCAAAAGTCTGTTTATAAACCTAATTTTCTACTGCAGCCTTATGATGGAACCAGTTAACCATGAATTATTTGTACCAAGGTCTAAATAATGAATCAACACAAGACAAAAAAAAACCTTGATGGGACATGAGAACTAAGTTTTGGGGGCAAAAGCAGAGTTGGGGCAAGGCCAGATTCAGATCCTGAGAGTATTAGAATGAACAATACAAGATAGCGGCTGGACATGGTGGCTCATGCCTGTAATCCCAGCACTTTGGGAAGCTGAGGCAGGTGGATCACCTGAGGTCAGGAGTTGGAGACCAACCTGGCCAACATGGTGAAACCCCATCTCTACAAAAAAAACACACAAAAAAATTAGCTGGGCATGGTGGTGCACACCTGTAATCCCAGCTACTCTGGAGGCTGAGGTGAGAGAATCACTTGAACCCAGGAGGCAGAGTTTGCAATGAGCGGAGTTCACGCCACTGCACTCCAGCCTGGGCGATAAATCGAGATGCTGTTTAAAAAAAAAAAAAAAATACAAGATAGAAATAATCAAAAGAGACTATGAAGACCATGGAAAAATCTAAAGCCAATGACTACAGAAACTTACAAATAGCAAGGAAAGCACACTTTAATCTGTGCTTGGTTTGTGTGAGCAAATTCTCATTGACAGAGAACTGTGTTGAAAGCTCTGAGCTCCATTCTCTGAGAGGTGCATCTAGTAGCACCTACAAAGTACTATTTTCAACTACTTGAGACTTTACCACTTTGTCACAGAAAGCTAATCCTTCTATAATCTCTGTTTTATGTTTGTTCCTATCAAGTTTCAGTTGATTTCCAATTCAGATGCAGAATTCTGACACTATTAGAAAAGGTGTGATACGTATTTCTTCTCCCACATTAGACTATGGTACATCTTCTTTGACTCATGACCTAGCATTCACTTAAGCAAACATCCCTATCCTCTAAGATGCAAAAAACAGAATATTATATCATCAAAGCCAACAAGTTAGAAAAAGGGAGACTTGAAAACAGTAACAAGTTCCAAATTAAAATAAGCTCATATAAATGTACAAGGCTTAATGGGTTGGGTAGAAAAGGTTGGCAGGCTAATACTCAGCGAGTCCTGGAATTGAAAAGGCAAACTCTGAGGCCGGGCACAGTGGCTCACGCTTGTAATCCCAGCACTTTGGGAGGCCAAGGTGGGTGGATCACTTGAGGTCAGGAGTTCAAGACCAGCCTGATCAACATGGAGAAACCCCATCTCTACTAAAAATACAAAATTAGCCAGACATGGTGGCACACGCCTATAATCCCAGCTACTTGGAAGGCTGAGGCAGAAGAATCCCTTGAACCCATGAGGCGGAGGTTGCAGTGAACTGAGATTGTGCCATTGCACTCTAGCCTGGGCAACAAGAGCAAAACTTTGTCTCAAAAAAAAAAAAAAAAAAAAAAAAGGAAAAGGAAAACTCTGTTCAATGGTATAGACACAGAAATTCTTTATTATTATTGTTCTCAGAGCTAATCAGGCCCTAGAAGCCGACATATATTAACTATCTCAGAAGAGATAGAACTATGTATCAGTAAGTCAATTACTTTTTTATGAGAAGAAATGGTCAATATCCTTACATCTCCTTTCCCAATTTCAAGGTATTTCTAAATCTCATCAACAGTTTTTTTGGGGATCACAAACTAAAAATAACAAAAGTCAAAGTTTCTTGATGAGTCTTTTATTCAGGCCTGGTGATATGACCATTCCATGTCATTAAACTCTCATGCCTAGCAGGTGGGGCTGTGGGGCTCTGAATAAGGCTTCATTTCCAAGTCCTACAGTTTTAAGAGTCAAGAATGAATACTGGAATGGTGTTGAGCTGACCCAGAAACTAGTTTGTATGAAGCAAGTAGAGAGATAAAGATGGAGGTTTTCAAAAGGAAAGTCATAACTGAGAAAAAGGAATAATTAATCTTTGAATAGACAGGAAATAAAGTCCAGAGGGAGACTCAAAGTGCTGGGTTAGAGTCCAGGACTCTTTCCTGGGGGCACTTATGGGCCTCATCAATAAATGGAAAAGATCTGTCGAGGTTGCCAAGTAGTTCAGATACATGACACGGGAATTCCATTGACTGGAAACTTTGTGCTCCTGGAGTCTGTTGGATTAAAACTGACAGACTTACCTTCTGTTTTATTAAAGTCTGAAAATCACTACCTTTCTTTATACAACCTATGAATTTTATTAAACATTAATGGCAAGGCCGAAGTACCAAAAAGGATGGACCTGACAAGCTGCTTGCTCAGTTTTACTATGCAATCCTGATGACATGAAAAAATAGATGATAAAAGTATTTAGTAGTATATTCTCATAGGCATTTTAAAGATTATGGATTAAGCCCAATACAGCACACAGATTATCTCTGCTAGATGTTCTGTGTTTGCCCCTCAGCATCCACTCTGTACCTCATCCACTCTACCCTGTGCTGCAGGAAGCTGACATTTATGGATACATCAACCAGGTTAGCTCCTCTTCTGCCTTCCACTTCTGTCTGGCAGATGGGAACTACTAGCAGTAAATCAGAAAGTGGAAGAAGGATGAGATTATAGCAGCATAATTGAAAGACTGTGGCCTCAGAACTTATTAATACCCTTAAAAATTGTGTTCATTGATAAGAGAAACTAAGACAAAAATTATATCTATTGATTTTACCATATGAGAAATTAAAACAGAAAAATTTACATTGATATAATTTATTTTAAAAAACAAACTCATTGTACATTAATATAAATAACATGTTTATATGAAAAGTAACTCTATTTTCCCACACAATAGCAATTAAATTGGCATTGTTTTATGTTTTTGCAAATCTTCTTAATACCTAGCTTAATATAAAACAGCAGGATTTTCATATCTACTTCTGCATTCAATCCGTTGCAATATTACATCATGTGGTCCCTGGAAAACTCCACCATACTCTCATGAGAACATTAGAGAAAATAAGGCAAATAACATCTCAGTATTAGTATAAAGATATTTTTGAAAATAGTTATCAGAGGTCTTGAGAACATCCAGGAGTCCCCAAAAAAACTGCTGGTTAGACTATGCCCCTGGGTCCGCTCTGCCAAGCTGCAAGTTGGCAGTGGCAATGTTCCCTTATCAAAACTGCATCTCCTATTGGGCAGCCAACCCTCTCCTATAGTTATAGGATAAATATTCCATCCCCTAGCCCTCTCTCCAAACCCCGGGGGTGATAAAGGCTCCCTGTTGTTGCTAGTCCTAGGGTGTTTCAAGATTCCTTGACTTGCCTTAATCTTGCCCATACCTTTGTAAGTAGGCCCTTAATTAAACTCTCCTCAATCTTTTGTATGTATGCCGGTGGTAGACAGATGTAAGTTGGACCTCAATGATCTCCATCTCCTAGTATGTGCCTTTGTGTAATCTCATCCTCTTGAGTGAGGGAGGACTTGTGACTTGCTTCTAACCCACAGAATGTGGCAAAGATGATGAGACTTCACTTCCATAGTTTTATTGTGTTGTGCAAGACTCTGTCTTGCTAACAGATGCATTCTAGTGATGGACTTGCTGACTTGATGAAGTAAGTGACCATGTTTGGAGATGTGGCCATATGTCAAGGAGCTGTAGGCAGCCTCCAGAAGTACAAGGCAACTTCTAGCCAACAGCCAGCAAGATGCTGGACCTCAGTCCTGCAGCCACAAGTGAATAAAATGTGCCAACAATGTGACAGAACTTGAAAGCAATTCTTTCCCAGTTGACTCTCCAGATAAAAACACAGCCTCATCAATACTTTGATTGCAACCCTAATAAGACTCAAAGAGAGGAGCTGCCAAAAATGTACCCAGATTCCCTGATTCACAGAAACTGTGAGATACTAAATGCATATTGTTTTAAGGTGCTAAATTTGTGGTAATTTTTTACACAACAATAGATAACACAGTGCCATTTTCTCCCTAAAACCCTAACTCAATACACACCAATTAAAAAAAAAATTCTTTTTACCACTGTCTTCCTATTTTTATCAGCCTTTCCATTTATTTACATATTACCTAATGTCTACAAAGCCACTAGCAACTAAAAATGTGAAGAAGTATGTAGTGATGTTGGAGTTAAGCATTTTAATCATTTAAAATCTTGCTCCAGTTGACTTTTTCCTGAGTTGAAAAAATTTAGTATATACTAGTCATACAAGCAAGGCCCATTTGTTTTTAACTTAACAATTATTCATTATTCATTTACTCAACACATATTTATTGAAGGCTTACTTTAGATCAGGAAGTATTATAGGAACTGTGAATGCAGGAGTGAACAAAACAAGCCAGCTAATCTCATAGAATTAATGTTCTACCAGATGGAGACAGGCAGTAAACAAGAAAAATAGGTAAACTATATAACACATTGGAAACTGATCAATACAGTCAAAGAAACAATGTCATACAAGGAAGGAGCATAGGGTGCATTGGGGTGAGGAAAGAGGTACAATTTTAAATTAGTTGGCCAGGGAAGTATTATCTGAGAAGAAGACATCTGAGTAAAGTCCTGCAAGGAGGTAATAAAGGAGCCACGAGAAATCTGTAGGAAGAACAATCCAGGAAGACCAAATAGCAAGTGCAACAGCCCAGAGATGGTAGCACATCTGGTGTGGCTGAGCAAGGGTAAGAGTAATGGAGTTACAATCTGTAAAAGGGGAATGGAGATCAAATAGGGCATTTAGGTCATTGAAAGGACATTGACTTTTACTCCAAATGACACAGGAAGCCATTGAAAGGTTTTGAGCAGAAGTATGATATGACTTGACATGTATTTTTAAATGCATCACTGGCTGCTGGGTTGAGATAGTCTACAGGGGACCAAAGAGGGAGCAGGGAAATGTTTAGGAAGTAAAGGCAATAATTTAGGCAATGGATGATGTTGGGTAAACCTGAATGATAACAGTAAAGGTGATGGGATTTCTAGACTGAGCAGCAGGGTTTGCTGGTAGACTGGTTGTTGGTGGAGAAGGTGGCAAACGTGTGAGAAAAAGAGAGTTGCCAAAGATGACTCCACCTTTTTTGGCTTGAGCAACTGGAAGGGTAGAGGTGGCATCAGTTGAGCTGGGAAAGGGTGTAGAAAGGGTAGGTTTGAGAAATAGTCAGAGAGAAGTTTGGATATGTTAAGTTTGAAATATCCATTAGATGTCCATATGGAGATGTTAAATGCTCACTTGTATATATGAGAATGAACCTCAGCACTATCGGCATTGGGCCAGGTAATTTTTTGTTGTTGAGTGTCGTCCTGTGCATTGTTAGATGTTTAGTGACATCTTTGCCCTATGCCCACTAGATGCAAGTAGCACCTTTCCCCCCATCCTCCAGTTGTGACAGCCAAAAAGGCTCCAGGCATCCCTAAGTATCCCCCAGGTTCAGGGGTGAGGGACATAATTGTCCTGAAGTAAGAACCACTGTAATGAAATGAAGTTATGAAGAGAAGTCTGGCTGAAGATATAAATTTGAAAGTCATCAGCATAAAGGTGATATTTGAAAGCATTAGACCAGTTGATAGCACCAAAGTGTAGCAGAAAGAAAAAGAGGTTAAAGAACTCCAATATCTGGAAGTCAAAGAAATGAGGAGGGACCAGCAGAGGTTCAGCAAAAGAAACATATAAGGAGCAGTCATGTGTGAGGAAAACTAAGAGACTGTAATGTCAAGCATGGGGGAAAAGATGTGCACAAAAGAGAGAATGTACAACTGTGTCAAATACTGTTGATAAATCAAGTAAAATAAGAACTGAGAGTTAATCGTTGGGCTTAACACAAAGGTTACTGATCATGACATTATCTATTTCTGGAGTAAATGGAGCAAAAATACATCCTAATTGATTTCAGAAAGAACAAATTATAGACATTGACTAAAACCATATAAAAATAATGATAGATGTTGACTATTTTTTCAATGAGTTTGCTATGAAGGGAAAGAGGGAAATCAGGCATCAACTAGAAGGATAAATGAAATGATGGGGAAAACAGAAGAGCATGTTTTGGTACTGATGCAAAGAAAAATTCAGTTCAAAGAAAAAAATTTGAAGCTGCAGAAGAGAGGAGAAAATTATTAGAGTGATATCATTGGATAAGCAAGAGATAATTGACCATGACATGTAAGTCATAATATATACATGTCAGTATATATAGTAGATGCCAAGGATGTTAAGTTTGAGATGCATATAGCAAATGCCCATGTTCTCTTGGCACTCTCCATCCTATACATGCCACAGCTCCTACCTCACGCACAACATGAGGGCCTTCACTAACTGGAAGAGCAAGTTTAGTCCACAGGTGTTGACCTCATCTCTTCCAAGCGGCCCTCAGCCAATGACAGATGGGTACTGGATATAAATACCTAAGGAAGTTTCTGTACCATCTCTTAGAGGTCTCCAGTAGACCTGGGCTCCAGTTGTCCATGGCAGCAATCTGCTCATTAGCACACATTTCACTTGCTGCTTTCCCTTCTCTGTCTGACTTCATCTGCTGATAGCGCTAGTGCTTCCCGGGATCACCTCCCAAATAAGCTACCTACACTCAGACCCTTGTCTCGGTGCCTGTATCTGGGGAAACCCCACCCAAGACAGTGTAAACTCAAATGATTTTTAACTAAGCCCTACCTACTAGTTAGTAGTACAGTCCTTCCTGTAAGAAAAATTGTCATTCCAGGCTAACTTCAAACAATGCCTTTCTGCCTTAACAAATTTCAATCCAGACTATAACACAATGGATTATTTATCTTGACTAAAATGGCCCCATATCTGTGCTTGAGTGTCAGTCTTTGTCACATCAGTGTGATAGCACTAAGTGTTTAGCTCGAATAAAGTGGTTCCCCGTCCTTTGATAATACAACATGGGTCCAGAGTTCTCTTCGCTACAATTTTCAGCTCCATCAAGAGTAGCCTAAGACATCTCAGAATTCCCAGAGATTTTCAAAGTGTGTTTCATTTATTCTATTATGCACTCATTCTGCCTTGTCCGTTTGAACTGGATTCACCAGGGAATACAATTTAGTTAGCCATTTTTTTTTCTTTTTGCACTCTCTAGCCTGCCATTTTATTTTTACTTTAAATTGCGCTGCTTCCTCATTCTTCACCCACTCCACCTCACTCAACCTACACTTAAAATCTCATAGAGTTGGACAACTATAATGTAGTTCCTTCTCTTTTCTTAACACCTGAAATTTCAGTTTGCATAGTTAGGTAATACCAATATTTATGTAGTGCTTCATACGTGCCAGACACTGTTTTAAATGAATCAATTTTTTCTTCACATCAACAGGTACTATTATTATCTCCATTTTACAAAATTGAATTACTACTGATTTTAATTGGGATTTTGAATTTCATAGCACCTCAGGGCTAGAACTAACCTTGAAAGTTTTGTGTCTGGAATTGGTGGGTTCTTGGTCTCACTGACTTCAAGAATGAAGCCACGGGCCCTCGCGGTGAGTGTTACAGTTCTTAAAGGTGGCGTGTCCGAGTTTGTTCCTTCTGATGTTCAGATGTGTTCCCCTTCTGGTAGGTTTGTGGTCTCGCTGGCTCAGGAGTGAAGCTGTAGACCTTCGCGGTGAGTGTTACAGCTCTTAGGGCGGCGCATACTGGAGTTGTTCGTTCCTCCCGCTGGGCTCGTTCTTCTCGCTGGCTTCAGGAGTGAAGCTGCAGACCTTAGGGGTGAGTGTTACAGCTCATAAAGGCAGTGTGGACCCAAAGAGTGAGCAGTAGCAAGACTTATTGCAAAGAGCAAAAGAACAAATCGTCCACAGCGTGGAAGGGGACCGGAGAGGGTTGCCACTGCTGGCTGGGGCGGCCTGCTTTTATTCTCTTATCTGGCCCCACCCACGTCCTGCTGATTGGTAGAGCGGAGTGGTCTGTTTTGACAGAGCGCTGATTGGTGCCTTTACAATCCCGGAGCTAGACACAAAGGTTCTCCACGTCCCCACCAGATTAGCTAGATACAGAGTGTACACACAAAGGTTCTCCACATCCCCACTAGATTGGCTAGATACAGTGTGGATTGGTGCATTCACAAACCCTGAGCTAGACACAGGGTGCTGATTGGTGTGTTTACAAATCTTGAGCTAGATACAGAGTGCCGATTGGTGTATTTACAATCCCCGAGCTAGATATAAAGGTTCTCCAAGGCCCCACCAGAGTAGCTAGATACAGAGTGTCCATTGGTGCATTCACAAACCCTAAGCTAGACACAGGGTGCTGATTGGTGTATTTACAATCCCTGAGCCAGACATAAAGGTTCTCCACGTCCCCACCAGACTCAGGAGCCCAGCTGGCTTCACTCAGTGGATCCCCCACCGGGGCGTGCAGGTGGAGCTGCCTGCCAGTCCTGCGCCGTGCGCCCGCATTCCTCAGCCCTTGGGTGGTCGATGGGACTGGGCGCCGTGGAGCAGGGGGCGGCGCTCATCGGGGACGCTCCGCCGCACAGGAGCCCACGGAGGGGGTAGGAGGCTCAGGCATGGCGGGCTGCAGGTCCCGAGCCCTGCCCGGCGGGAAGGCAGCTAAGGCCCGGCGAGAAGTCGAGCGCAGCGCCGGTGGGCTGGTACTGCTGGGGGACCCAGTACACCGTCCGCAGCCGCTGGCCCGGGTGCTAAGCCCCTTATTGTCCGGGGCCGGCAGGGCCGGCTGGCGGCTCCGAGTGCGGGACCCGCCAAGCCCACGCCCACCCGGAACTCCAGCTGGCCCGCAAGCGCCAGCGCGCAGCCCCAGTTCCCGCTCACGCCTCTCCCTCCACACCTCCCTGCAAGCTGAGGGAGCCGGCTCCGGCCTTGGCCAGCCCAGAAACGGGCTCCCACAGTGCAGCGGTGGGCTGAAGGGCTTCTCAAGTGCCGCCAAAGTGGGAGCCCAGGCAGAGGAGGCGCCAAGAGCAAGCGAGGGCTGTGAGGACTGCCAGCACGCTGTCAACTCTCAGTTTGTTTAGGTAAGCTTTTCTTTTCTTTTTTTTTTTTTCTTTTTGGAGACCAAGTCTTGCTCTGTCACCAGGCTGGAGTGCAGCGGTGCAATCTCGGCTCACTGCAACCTCCACCTCCCGGGTTCAAGCGATTCCCCTGCCTCAGCCTCCCGAGTAGCTGGGACTACAAGCACACACCACCACGCCCAGCTAATTTTTTTTGTATTTCAGTAGAGACCGGGTTTCACCATGTTGGCCAGGATGGTCTTGATCTCCTGACCTTGTGATCTGCCCACCTCAGCCTAGGTAAGCTTTTCTTGATAGAGATGTGTCCAAGCACCTCTAGGATAATTATAGACCTAAATCTTATTAATAGCCTGCAGATTTCTGTAAGACTTAGCCTGGCCTTTCTGTCCTGCCAATCTGCCATAAATGCTCCTTTGCTCTAACGCTTCAGTCACAGTGGCCTCATTCTGTTTCTCCAGTGAGAGAAGCTCCCTCAATTTCAGGATTTTGATCAATGCTTTCCCCTCTGCCTGCCACTCTGTAGTAGACATAATAATAGCCTGCAAAGAAGTCCATGTCCTAATCTTCAAAATCTGTGACTATGTTACTTCATGTGACAAAGGGACTTTAAAATATGATTAAGCATCCTGAAATGGGAAGTTTATCTTGGATTATTCAGGTGGGGCCAATGTAACCACCAGAGTCCTTATGAGAGGGAGGCAGGAGAATTAGAGTCAGTAAAGAAGATATGATCACAGAAGTAGTGGTCAGAGTGTTGCCATCACTAGAAGAGAGACTTTAGCCCTGGGATGTGAGCAGTCTCTAGAAGCTGAAAAAACAAGGAAACAGATTCTCTCCTAGAGCCCCCAGAAAGAATGCAGCCCTGCTGATCCATTTTAGAATCTAAACTCCATAACTGTAAGATAATAAATTTGTATTCATTTATGCCACTACGTTTGTGATAATTTGTTACAGCAGCAATAGAAACAAAAACACTCTATTTCACCCATCTCCCCTCTTCATTTTCCCTCTTACTAGTCTTTTAGACTAATAAGACTAAATATCTCTTCCTCAAGGACACTACCTTTATCACATAAACTCACCAAGAAATGCCCCTGTTACATTTTCAAAGCATTCCATACTTTCCCTTCATGATACTCAACAATACTGTTTGATTATTTAATTAATATCTTTGTAACCTACCAGACCACAATTTCCATGAGGGTAGAGTCTATTATGTTTTTTTCTCATCATTATATTCCAGGCATCTCACACAGTAATATCACAAGCAGTCAATAAAGTGTTGTTTAATGAATAATTAAATAAGCAAAGTAATTAATATAGGATCTGAAAATGATTTGATAGCTCTAAGGCATGTAAAGATTATTGTTATAACTAACTGGTTAGCCCTCCAAACGAGAATCAATGCTATATACCAAGGGTACCCTAGGAGGGCAGGGCCAAGATGGCTGACTAGAAGCAGCCTCTGACCATCAGAGGCTCCCATTGAAAAGAACCATAATACTGTGTGAATCCCGCACTGTCAACCAAGGTATCCAGGTTCTCCCAACAGGAATGATTAGGCAGCTGCTGTGATCCACAGAGAGGAAAAAAGAGCAGTGTGGTGTGGCAGCCCACCTGAGAGCCACACAGGTCAGGGGAGCCCTTACCCCCCAGCTAAGGGAGGTGGTGAGTGAGCATGCTACCCAGCCAGGGAAACTGTGCTTTTTATATAGAACTGTGTAACCCCTGGATCAGAAGATCCCACTTGCAAACCCATGCCATTGGGGCCTAGGGTCCCAACTCTGGAGCCATGCAGATTCTCAACAGCCTCTAAACTAGAATATGCTTAAGCCTGCTGAGTTCACAGCGGGGAGGGGGCAACCAGTACCACATCTGTGGCTTCCTGCTCTCTAAGCCATTTCAGCTTCTTGGGGAAGGGACAGCAGCCAGCACTGGGACTCATAACTACCTAACATGATAAGCTCCCTGCACTGGGGAAAGGCAGCATGCATCTCTATAGCTCCAGGCCACACTTTTCCTCTGTTGGAGCCAGTGAGGCTGGACAACTTGGTCCCAAGAGGTGTCCCCCACAGCCCAACATACCAGCTGTGGCAGACTGTGGCCAGAATGCCTCTTTAGGACTGACCCTGACCCATCCTTCCACACTGGAATGGACCTCCCTGCAAGAAATCTAACAACTCCAGCCAGAGGCTCAGGGACAGAACCCTTATCTCCCTGGGCCTGAGCCCCTAGTGGGAGGGGCAGCTGCAGTCTCTGTGGACCAGCAGACTTAGCCTTTCCTCCTCGTAGTTCTGAGGAATCCAGGCAGCCCAGACAAGTGGGTTCCCTCCAGAGAAACACACTCCCTCCACCAAGGGACAGTCAAAGTGCTTCGTTAAATAGGTCCTGTTCCCTATGCCACCTGACCGGGTGAGACCCTCCAACAGGAGTTGTCAGACACCCTATACAGGAACAATCCTACTGGCATCAGATTGGTGCCTCTCAAGGTCAGAGATTCCAGAAGAAGGGGAAGGCACCCATCTTTGCTCTTCTCCAGCCTCGAGTGACATCTCCAGGTGTGGGAGCAAATCAGACGAATAGGGCCTGAAGTGAACCCCCTGCAAATTTTGGCAGCCCTACAGAAGAGGGACCTGACCATTGAAAGGAAAACAAACAAACAGAAAGCAATAACAACAGCATCATCAACAACAAAAACGTCCCCACAAAAAACCCATCCAAGAGTCATCAGTCCTAAAGATCGAAACTGACAAACTCATGAAGATGAGAATCAATGAAAAACTGCTGAAAACCCAAAAGACTCTTCACCTCCAAAAGATCTCAGTACCTGGCCAGCAAGGGCACAGAACTGGATGGAGGATGAGATGGATGAATTGACAGAAGCAGGCTTCAGAAGATGGGTAATTAAAAACTCCACTGAACTAAAAGAGCATGTTCTATCCCAATGAAAACAAGCTAAGAACTTTGATAAAATGTAAGAGGAGCTGCTAACTGGAATAACCACTTTAGAGAGGAACATAAATGACTTCTTGGAGCTGAAAAACACAGCACAAGAATTTTGTGAAGCATACACAAGTATCAATAGCTGAACTGAACAAGCAGAAGAAAGGATAGCAGAGTTTGAAGACCACCTTGCCAAAATAAGGCATGCAGACAAGATTAGAAAAAAAAAAATGAAAAAGAATGAACAAAGCCTGCAAGAAATACGGGACTATGTAAAAAGACCAAACCTACAATTGATTGGAGTACCTGAAGGAGACAAGGAGAATGGTTACAAGCTGGAAAACACACTTCAGTATATTATCCAGGAGAACTTCCCCAACCTAGCAAGACAGGCCAACATGCAAATTCAGAAAATACAGAGAACACCACTAAGAGACTCCATGAGAAGATCAACCCCAAGACACATAATCATCAGATTCTCCAAGGTCGAAATGAAGGAAAAAATGTTAAGGGCAGCCAGAGAGAAAGGCCAGGTCACCTACAAAGCAAAGCCCATCAGACTAACAGTGGGTCTCTCAGCAGAAACCCTACATACCAGAAGAGATTGGGAGCCAATATTCAACATTCCTAAGGAAAAGAATTTTCAATCCAGAATTTCATATTCAGCCAAACTAAGCTTCATAAGCAAAGGAGAAATAAAATCCTTTCCAGACAAGCAAATGCTAAGGAATTTTGTCACCACCAGGCCTGCCTTCCAAAAGCTCCTGAAGAAAGCACTAAATATAAAAAATGAAAAACCAGTAGCAGCCACTGCAAAAACACACCAAAATATAAAGACCAATGACACTATGAAGAAACTGCATCAACTAATGGGCAAAATAACCAGATAGCACCATGATGACAGGATCAAATTCACGCATAACAATAGTTACCTTAAATGTACATGGGCTAAATGCCACAATTAAAAGACACAGACTGGCAAATTGAATAAAGAGTCAAGACCCATTGGTGTGCTGTATTCAGGAGACCCATCTCATGTGCAAAGACACACATAGGCTCAAAATAAAGAGATAGAGGACAATTTACCAAGCAAATGGAAATACAAAAAAAGGAGGGGTTGCAATCCTAGTCTCTGACAAAACATTTTAAGCCAACAAAGATCAAAAAAGACTAAGAAGGGCATTACATAATGGTAAAAGGATCCATTCAACAAGAAGAGCTAACTAGTCTAAATATATATGCACCCAATACAGGAGCACCCAGATTCATAAACCAAGTTCTTAGGGACATACAAAGAGACTTAGGCTCCCACACAATAATAGTGGGAGACTTTAACACCCCACTGTCAATATTATACAGATCAATGAGATAGAAAATTAACAAGGATATTCAGGACTTGAACTCAGCTCTGGATTAAGTGGACCTAACAGACATCTACAGAACTCTTCACCCCAAAGCAACAGAATATACATTTTTCTCAGTGCCACGTGGCATTTATTCTAAAATCAACCACATAACTGGAAGTAAAACACTCCTCAGCAAATGCAGAAGAATGGAAATCATAAACAATCTCTCAGACCACAGTGCAATCAAATTAGAACTCAGGATTAAGAAACTCACTAAAAAACAGACAATTACATGGAAATTGAACAACCTGCTCCTGAATGACTCCTACTCCTGGGTAAATAATGAAATTAAGGCAGAAATCAAGAAGTTCTATGAAATTGATGAGAACAAAGAGACAATGTACCAGAATCTCTGGGACACAGCTAAAGCAGTGTTAAGAGGGAAACTGATGGCACTGAATACCCATATCAGAAAGTTAAGAAAGATCTCAACTGGACACCCTAACATCACAATTAAAAGAGCTAGAGAAACAAGAGCAAACTAATCCAAACGCTAATAGAAGACAAGACATAACTAAGATCAGAGTAGCACACGTATAACTATGTAACCAACCTGCATGTTCTGTATGTGTATCCCAAAACTTAAAGTAAAATTTTGTTAAAAGGCACCTTGTCTATAAAGCGTTATTCCTATATTTAAAAGGTACCAGAGGATGGGCACAGTGGCTCATGCCTGTAATCATAGCACTTCGGAAGGCCGAGGCAGGTGGATCACCTGAGGTCAGGAATTTGAGACCAGCCTTGCCAACACAGTGAAACCCTGTCTCTACCAAAAATACAAAAATTAGCGGGCATGGTGGCGCACACCTATAGTCGCAGCTACTCGGGAGGCTGAGGCACGAGAATCGCTTGAACCCTGGAGATGGAGGTTGCAGTGAGCTGAGATTGCTCCACTGCACTCCAGCTTGGGTGACAGAGTGAGACTCCATCTCAAAAAAAAAAAAAAAAAAAAAATAGGCATCAGAAGTTTATGGTCAGAAACATTGCTGGTTAATGAGAAATTGGAAACTCCTGCCTTGATTCCCTTGATCACATTTCAATGTTTCTGTTTCTAAATTGTGTATTTTTCTTGTTTCCACCAATTCAAATAAATGAAAATTTTGAAAAGAACGTTAGTTCTGTAACTGCTTTAATAACTCTATTAGTCAAGATAATCCCTGCTATTTAGTAAAAAAAATCCCCAAGTCTCACCAGTTTTATACACAGATAAAATTATTTCCTGTGCTTACAAAGGCTGAAGAGAGTCAGCAGAGTTGTTCTCTGTCTGTGATTCAAGAATTCAGAGTCCTTTCACCCTGTGATGCCACCATTTCAACCTCTGACTTCCAAGGCTATTGTGTCAGGCAAAGTACAAAGAACTCGTAGTTCTTGACTGCCTTGGTCCAGAGGTGACACAAATCCTTCCACTCACAAGACATTGGCCAGAACTTGAAACTTGGCCCAACCTAACTACAAGGTAGTCTGGGAAATTTAAGGGGACACCGGGAATATTTGGTAAGCATCATTTTCTTTTCTACAATAGTTATAAATGTTTTTGGCAATGTTTCACTATTTATAAGTGAAACAAAATGTTGCTTCTCCAAGTATATTTTAATGCACATAGAAAATTCCAGCTCTTCAAAGAAGTACAGTGACACATTTGTAAACAGTCTTTTTGAATAATCATTTCAAATTTTTCTCTTTTAATGAAAGATGTGTTCATATTGGCTTTTCTTAAAATAGCATATGCAGAGATGTGCTGGAGCTGGCTCGCACTAGTTCTGAAGCTGATTTTGCACCTCTTCGTAACTCCCAACTTCGTGTTAGGTGATATCGTAATGGTAGCTTGAACGTGGTCACAAGTGAAAGTATTTACACCATGGAAATCAGCAAATGCAACAAATCAGGACTTTTGTTTGTTTTTCAAAGAGTCAGTTGTTAAACATTTGCTAGCATGCTACTATGTACACTGGTATTTAAAATGATTGTTTGCTCCTGGAAATCAGATTGTAACAGTGTTAAAATGACTGAGTTCTAAAATTTTAAGACCAAATTTTTTGTTCCTGTGTGTCTGGCAATGCAGCATAGTAAAAGGCTCTAGTAGAAGGGTCAGAAAATCAAATCTATTCCACATTTCGCCACTAATCATTCATGAGTCCTTCACCAAATCAATCTCTCTTGGATGCGGTTTCTCTAGTGTAAAAGAAGGAGATTGTGACAGCTAATCTCCCAAGCCCAGTTCCAGGCTGAGTCAAAACATGACCTCTTACTCTGTGTTAAGATTGAAGCTACCTAGAAACACCTAATTATTTCAAGGGCAGAATATTGCAGTTTATTTCTGGATGTTTCTGTTAGAATTTGTTTTTTACTCTAGAAGTAGTGTGTGGGAATAGCACAAATATATATATATATATGAAATAATGGTGCTGTGTTATTGCAAATTGAATAAAACATTAACATTGCAAGGAATTCACAATTTAAGCTCTGTCGTCTTGAGAATTAATCTACCACATCAGCAGCATTTCTTTTTTCTTTTCGATCATGTTCCTTTATTGGCTTTTGTTTTAACTATACATTGCTGCATAATATCATCCCCAGACTTAATTACTTAAAACATAAACTCGTTTACTACAATTCACAATTTTCTGGGTCAGGGATTCAGGCATCAAATAGGATTGGTAGGTGGTATTCAGCTGGTGCTCGGCTGATCTAGACTATCCAAGATGGCTTTATTGATGTGCCTGGTAAATTGTCAGGGACAGTGGCAGGGCTGGGTTCACCTTGGCCTCTCTTTCATTCTCCAGCAAGATAGTCAGACTGCTATATGGCATCTCAAGTTTTCCAGAGACCAAAGCTGAAGATGCCAGTTCTTGAAAAGGCCAGGTCTGAAATGGACATATGTCACTTCTCCCATATGCTTTTATTGAAGCAGCCACAAGCCAGCCCAGATTCAGTGGGAGCAATGTCAAGTAATTTGTGAGCACTTTTAATCTTCTATAAAATCAAGACATATCTTAATACCACCAAGCCTTCATGAAGACCCTCTGCAATCCTGACTTCTCCCAAATATGCCACTGCCACCAACAACAGCAGAGAGAATAAATCTCTCTCTTAAGCTCCCACTACATCACAATTCCTGTTTTAAGGCCTGTGTTTTTTTATTATAGCTACTTTGCATTCTTGCCTTAGTGTCACCATTCATGTTAGGTGTTAACACTATGCTTTGCCCCTCTATACAAGCTTTGCTGCGTTTACCACAATATTAGTATATAGTAATTATACAAAAACATGTTAATTGTATCAATACATTACAAAATATTGTTTGTCTACAAAATTGTATATATTATGGCTAGAAACCCTGGTGCTTTATTTAACTTCTAGTAAAGAAAATATAGAATACACCCATGACCTTGCCAAAAATTTTGACAAAATCAAAATTTAAATAAATCTGTATCACAAAATACCATAAACAAAGTTCAAAGAGACATGAAAGATTTGGAGAAAATATTTGTAACGTATATGATTAGAACATGAATTAGTATCCAAATTTTACAAGAAAACCTACAAAACAATAGAAAAAGATAAACCACACAAGAGAAAAATGTGCAAAGGATATAAATAAACCATTCACAAAAGTAAAAATACAAATGACCAAGAAAAGATGCTAAATCTCACTAATAAACAGGGATTTGCAAATTACAATCACGATAATAGCATTCTGCATTTTAAAACTTGGCAATATCAATTCTTAGCAATACTCTAAAGAAATGGGAACTGCTATATAGAAAGCAATATTCTAAAGAAATGAGAACTGCTGATAGAACTGAAATTGGTACAGATACTTTGGAAGCTAATTCAGCGGTATTTATTGAAACAAAAAATATATATATATACACCCTCTGTGACCCAGTAATTCCACTTCTCATTAACTTTCCTTGTTCCCATGCAAAAGGAAACATTTTTATATTGTCAAAATTATTGACAAAGTTTATTATATTTTACTATACTTTAAAATAGCAGTTAAATAAAATGCCTGTTGTACTAGCCATAACCTACACATTTTTGTAGGCAGGTATTATCTTGAGTGTATTAATATAATTGATCTCTTTCATATAATTATTATGTGTAAAGAATTATGTTAAAAGTTAGTAAGTTATATAGAATTATTTTTAAACATGAAAAAAAAAAAAAACAACCAGAAACAACCTAAATGATCATCAATAAGGGAAGTGCTAAACAAAAGTTATTATAATCTCAGGTTTTAAAATGGGGGTATATTTTTGTGTATTAACATGTACTGGTCTCCAGGACAAATTACCAAGTAAAGTAGAACATGGTAGAACATGGTAGAACATTATATATATAATTCATATATATATATATATATATGAATTCTATTTATGTTAAATAAAAACAATACAATACTATATATTGTTATGATTTTGTAATAATGACATGTAAGTGCAAAGAATAAGGTCTGGAAGAATATTTAGAGAGTTGTTTATAGCGGTGAACTGGAGAGACAGTGAGAGGGGCTGAAATTCAAAGCAGAGATTAAAAAAGGACTTTAGTCCCATGTTTCAGTTTCTACTAAGACAATATATTTATTTGTGACAAGTAAAAATAATTTTTAAAATTAATCACAAATATTTTTATTTCAGAACATTTGAAGAGGTAGGTTACTATATATCAGTAACAAAATGAGATGTCCACGTTTTATTTTTAAGTGAACAAAGTATGTTTCAGAGCAATTTGTGTAATACAACTTCATTTGACTAAAGAAGGAGAAAAAAATCTGTTACATTGACATGTGTTGTATTTAAGTGGGAAATACATGGAAATGGAAAGATTCCCACAAACTGGTGTTGGTGATTACTTTGTAGGGGAAGAGAGTTAAGATGATAGGTAGAGAGGACAGGAGAAGATTTTTTTTTTAAGTGCTTCTGTACTGTTTCAATTTTATGAGCATGTACTATTCTTATAATTTTTAAAAATCCAATTTAAAAAGTTAATTCAGGGTAGCCTACATGGCTAGTTATAAAACATCCTAAATTTCACATCTAAACCATGGACTATTTACAGGTCTCATTTTTGCTTAAAAGATGGAAGCATTTGTATGTAAGGGACTGACTTGAAGTTTATGCATTAAATCAATAGACAACAATCTTCTCAGTTCATGTGTTCACTGATCGGCCTCCTCCATCAGGAGTGAAGGAAATAGAAAAATGCAATGATTCTTTTCTAACGGTTAGGGAAAATGCTCTAAAAGGGACTCATGGCTGGGTGTGGTGGCTCATGCCTATAAACCCAACACTTTGGGAGGTTGAGGCAGGCAGATCACTTGAGGTCAGGAGTTCAAGACCAGCCTGGCACATGGTGAAACCCTGTATCCACCAAAAAAATACAAAAATTAACTGGGCATGGTGGCATGTGCCTGTAGTTCCATTTACTCAGAGGCTGAGGCAGGAGAATTGCTTGAACCTGGGAGGCAGAGGTTGCAGAGAGTGGAGATTGCCCCACTGCACTCCAGCCTGGGCAATAGAGTGAGACTCCATCTCAAAAAAATAAAAATAAATAAATAAATAAATAAATAAAAGGGACTCATTACTTTTTATTATGATTGCTTTGTAAATCTTCAGGCAAAGGGTGTAAGAGCTAAATAATCTGAACAAAATCTGGATCAAAAAATTTGATATAGACCAAATTATAAAGCAAGTATTGGAAGAGACTGTAGTAATTGTGCAATCACCTTAATTAACATAGTCACTAAGGGGTAAGTGTATAAACTGACATTGTTACTGTCCCACCCCTTTTTGCCCTCAGAAAAAGAAAAAGAGTTTTACAGAAAGTGTCTGTTTTGATGGTATCAAACATGGTAGGAAGAGCCTCTTCCTTTTATCATTTCCTGTTTGTCAGTTTTCTATCTAGGTGTCAGGTTTAAATTTGGTACATGCAGTATGCAGTGAATTATTCTCAAGCAAAAAAAGGCAAAGACAAAGAAACAACACCTCAGATTATGCATTTGAAAATAAAATATAATTTAATGCATAAAGCAATGTTATTTTTTATAGTTTAATAACTAATCTGCTATAAATTGAGTTAAAATACGTAATGCCAGTGAGTGCCAGAATTAAATATGGCTCTAATTGTTTGTAAATTGTGAGACTGTGATTTGAAGCTTGATTTGGGAAATGCTGACATTGCAAGATTATAAAGTAAAAGTCATAATGAAGAATGATAAATTCCAAAATGGAGAAAAGTCAAAGTTGAAATGCCAAGAGAAAATATAAGGCAAGAACCTCCAAAGAAAATGATAAGAAGTGAAAGATGGCCAAGCACAGTGACTCACACCTGTAATCTCAGCACTTTGGGCAGGCCAAGCTGAAGATTGCTTGATCCCAGGAGTTTGAGGTTAAAGTAAGCTATGATTGCACCACTGCACTCCAGCCTGGGTGACAGAATAAGACCCTGTCTCTAAACAAACAAACAAACAAACAATAAAACAGTGAAAGAGTATTCTAACAGAAAATAAGAAATACAATAGCACTGATCAAATCACAGGATTTGTATTGGATTCACATGTACAAAAATGTAGCTCCCTCTTAGCTATTATGCAGAGAAAAGGAAGAGGGAAAAACCCTATTAGGTCTTCCTGATGATTGACCCTAAGAATAATGAAGCACTAAGAGAATTTTCTCTATGCCTGTGATATGGTTTGGCTGTGTCCTCAACCAAATCTCATCTTGAATTGTAGCTCCCGTAATTCCCACATGTTGTAGGAGGGACCTGGTGGGAGATAATTGAATCATGAGGGTGGTTCCCCCATATTGTTCTCATGATGGCAAATAAGTCTTACGAGATTGCATGGTTTTATAAGGGGTTTCCCTTTTCACTTGGCTTTTATTCTTTCTTCCCTGCCACCATATAAGACATGTCTTTGGCCTTCTGCCATGATTGTGAGGCCTCCCCAGCCATGTGGAACTGTGAGCCCATTAAATATCTTTTTCTTTATAAATTATTCAGTCTCAGGTATATTTTTATCAGCAGCATGAAAATGGACTAATAAAGCCTGTGTGTGCCTGAGTAAATAGTAGAGTATAGCCATATCTGGATTTTCTAGTACAATACCAGTTTATTTATTTTTAAATGTGAAATAATTGACACAGTCAAATGCACAAACCTTTAGTGTATAGCACAATTAATTTTACATATGTATACATCCATGTAACTATTATCCAGGTCAATATATAAAAGATCCTATCACTATAGAAGATTTTTTAAAGTGATCCTTCCTAGTCATTTCCTTTTCCTCCAAAGGTAACCAGCCATACAACTCCTGTTATCGTAGTTTAATTTGCATGTTTTTGAACTTAATATCAATGAAATCATACAGTATGTAGACTCATGTGTTTGGCTTCATTCATTGTTTAATGACATTTCCATTGTTTCCATTTGGGAATCATTATGAATGAAGCTACTATGAGCATTCTTTAAGAGTGTTTTGGTGGACATATGTCTTTATTTGATATTCTTTGAGTATATACATAAGAGTAAAATTGCTGACTCATAGGTCGGATGTATGTTTAACTTTATTAGAAATTGACAAAATTTTCCAAATTAAGAATTGTGGTATGCATTATATATTAGCCTCATTCCTGATCCTATTTTCTGCTCATCCTTGATTTTTCATATATATTTCTCATACTTTCATACTTTTTTTACCTTACTCTTTATCATGACTGGCTAGGTATTTAATTTTCAGAGGTGGAAAGATAACCAACAACTCAATGATAAATTTATAATTCATATGTCATGGTTTTCTGGTTATCTATTGTTGTATAACAAACTCCTCCAAAATTTAGTATCTTGAAACAACAAAAATTATTTGTTTTGCTCACAAATCTGCAATTTTGTTAAGGCCCATTGGAAATAGCTTGTCTCTACTCATCAGCTTGAATGACTCAGCTGTGGCTGGAGGGTCCACTTCCAAGACAGCTCACTCACATGGTTGACAGGTTGATGCTTATTTCAGATGGGTGCTCAATTGAAGCTGTTAGACAGGGATCTGGATATCTTTCCCTGTGGGAAACCGTTTCTCCATAGGGTTGCTTGAGCTTCCTCACATCATGGCAACTGGTTTCTAAGAATAAATGTTTTGGAAGAAAATAAGGAAATGGAAATTCCGATTTCTTAAGGCCTGGACCCAAAACTGACAAGTGTCACTTCTGTATTCTATTGGTCAAAACAGTCATGGAGCCTCCCCAGATTCAAGGGGAAGGGATATGAATGCCTACCCCTCAATGGGGGAAATAGCAAAGAATTCTCAGTCACTTTAATCCACACCATATACTCTTTGGCAAAAAATAAAAATTATTTATATTCCCCCCACATGTAAAATACACTCATTCTCTGCCAAGAATGTCTTAGCCCATTACAGCATCAGCCTCAGGCTCAAGGCATTAAATATTGTCATCTAAATAAGGTTGTATTACCTAGCTCAGGTCGCCATAAAAAAATACCATGGACTGGATGCCTTAAACAACAGAAATATTTTTTCTCACAGTTCTGGAAGCTGCAAAGTCCAAGATCAAGATTCAACAATGTTCATTTCTGGTGAAGGCTCTCTTTCTGGACTGCAGATGACTGCAATCTCTCAATGTCATCACATGGCAGAGAGAGAGAGAGAGAGAGAAAGCGCTCTCTTCTTCTCTTCCTCTTCTTATAAGGCCATAGTCCTATTGAATCAGAAGCTCACCCTTATGACCTCATTTATCCTTGATTACCTCCTAAGACCCTATCATCAGATATAGTCCCACTGAGGGTTAGGGCTTTATCATATTAATTTTGGGTAACACAGTCCAATCTATAGCACACATCTAGCTGCTGATACTCAGGTAACGTTTCTTGAGTATAGGTCACTGAGTGTAGATCCTGTTGATGAGAACCTGTAAGTTAACAAGAAAAGTGTTCTCAACCTATAATAGTGAGAAAGAGATTGGATAACTGTAATAGACAGTCCCACTCAAAAAGGAAGGGAACAAAAGCATAGCAGTCACAGATCCACAGCAATTCTGAAGCCCAATCTGGCACATGGCACCAGTCCCTTTGATAAGGGTCTAGTTCTGCTGTGAGTGATTAACCGTGGCTCTTAGCTTTGACCTCTGGGCTCTAGGATCTTCCCTCTGAATTATTTCACATCAATTTAAAAAGGTCTGTGTTTGCAGCAAGGTAGATATCTTAGCCTGCTTCTTAACCATATAAATTAATTTTATGTTATCTCTCATTCCAAGCTGCTTTGATTCCTTTAACAATTTTATAGAGTTGTATATCAATTTATAAAAAACTCCCATAAACAAAGGTACGCTTACATTTTTCTGAGATGAGTCCTTCTATATCTGGGCCATGTGTAAGTCTGCTGTGGAGCAATAACTTTAAGATTTCTAAAATCCATATTCTTTAGCTGAACGGTCTATAAAAGGCTGTCTTTAAATCTTTTTGAGATATTAACAAAGGGTCTTACATCTACATACTTGAAATATTTACTCTGAAATCATGTTCTGATGATAGCTCTAGATTTTATCTTGCTGTTTATTACTCTGAAATATTTTACTGCAAGACACAGGGGATGGAAAACAGTTTTATCTTCAAGACAAGCAAGTCCTGAATATTTTCTATTTCCTCTAAATTTGACTCAAAAACTTAACAGTTAATTCTTCATTTCCTCTCTCTCTTCTTACAAGCAGTTAAGAAGTTAACTTATAAATTATCACAATCAGTAGAAGCAGCCAGTTGGAACTTTCTACATTCTGCCTGGAAATCTCCACAGCCAAGTCCATGAGTGCTTTATATATTTATTCTTTCTATTTTCCCAGTTACCACAGACAGCAGTGTTGACAAACCATGTGACACAACATAACAAGGATCGTTTTCCCCTCATTCTCAAATAGCACTTTCCTCCCCTCATTCTCAAATAGCACTTTCCTCCTCATCATAGGAGCCCTCAGCAGTGGCCTCTTGAGGCCCTTTGAGCTTTCGTTTCCAGTCTCCTTGAGGCTCTTTCAACATTCACCCACTGCCCAGTTCCAAAGCCAATATCATATGTTTAACGTTTTTGTTATGGAGCATCCCTTTTCCAGGAACCATTGCTGTACAAGAAATTATGCCAAAATGTAATGGTTTTGAACAACAGTCATTTAATTATACCTCATTTTTTTGTGGGTCAGGAATTTTGGCAGGGCTCAGCAGAGTGATTCTTCTGCTCCATGTTACATTGACTGAGCTAACTCAGTGGTACTGAGTTGCAGCAAATGGGTTGGTTTGGAAGGTCCAAGACAGCTTCTTCATATGTCTGAAGCATTTTGATGGGGGTGGCTGGAAGTCTGGACTTAACTTGAGTACCTACATGTGACCTCTCCGGCATAACTGCCTCAGGGAGTTGGAATTCTTACAAAGCACATTAGGACTTCCGGTGAATGTATTCCAAGGAACCAAAGCAGAAGCTCCTAAGCTTATTCTGACCTGGGCTTGGAAGACCTACAATGTATTCCTTCTGCCACATTCTACTAGCTATGAGTGAGTCACAGGACCTGAAGGCCAAGGGCGAGGGGGTGAAGAGAAACAAGGAAGTTTGGTTCATTGGGGGACAATCTTTGGACACTTGATATATGGTACAAAATTAGTATGTTACTTGAAGACTAATAAGAAGCATTGCAATGTCACCATTCTTTATCCAACCAACAAATTAGCATGGCCTACTTTTAGCTATTATGGGCATTCTCTGTGTTGTGTAATCACGGGTAAATTATTTCAACTTTCTGTAATTCATTTTTGTCATTTGTTAAGTGTGGTTGATAATACCTATGTCATAAATTTGTTGGGAGATTATAAAGTGTTTAGTTGAGTGTCTAGCACAGAGTACATGTGAGGCATAAAATATAAATATGCAATATTATTCATCATTATTCCTATAGGAATTCTATCAAAAAGGAATTATATGTAACATAATAAACAAAAAAAACAAACACAGAGAAAGTACTGAGAGCTAACAAAAGTGATTTTGTTTTATTGTTGAATCTCAGATATTTATAAATGGTATTTATAAATAGTGAGTAGAAAAGTGAAAGGGCATTGATACAGTTGAGCTTACCTTAGGGCAATACTAATTTATACTTCTAAATCTCTCAATGATGCTGGTAGGTCTCAAAATTGTTCTGGAGAATGTTCCAAAGATGAGGTAAAAAGAAGATTCATGTCATCCATAGAGTCTTCTCTGGTTTAGACTATTCCTAAGAATGAAAAGTCATCTGCTTTACACCCTCAGGGAACTAGTCTGTTTAAGAACCAATTGTAAATTTAAGAGGAACTTCAGAGTTATTAAATTTTTTACCCCAAATCTGAGAGCCTATAGATAATGAGGCCAGCCAATGTTTGCTCTAATGAGCACATTGTTAAATGTGATGCTCTTATGAAAGTGTGCTCTACTTTTGGAGTTGGTCAAAGCATTCAAAATCTTTTCTCTTTTGTTTTCTTTCGTTTTCTTGAGATGGAGTCTCCTTCTGTCACCAGGCTGGAGTGCAGTGGCACAATCTCGGCTCACTGCAACCTCTGCCTCCCGGGTTCAAGCGATTCTCCTGCCTCACCCTCCCAAGTAGCTGGGACTACAGGCATGTGCTACCACACCCAGCTAATTTTTGTATTTTTAGTAGAGACGGGGTTTCACCATGTTGGCCAGGATTGTCTTGATCTCTTAACCTCGTGATCTGCCTGCCTCGGCCTCCCAAAGTACTGGGATTACAGGCATGAGCCACCACGCCCAGCCAGCATTCAAAATCTTAATCCTCAAGATTTCCTCCAAAGGAAGACATCTTCATTTCCAAGACCGCAAACAGACCTTTCTCTCAACCCATTTGCACTTGCTCTCTCTTAGGTCTGCAGATGGCCAAGTAGTAGGGCTGAAATAAGCTCATGAGGGCATGGCACTCCCCTTCCTCAGGAGACATGCTCAATGAAGACGAAGTTTCTTTTCTGGAATCTCTTTGAGAGGCACGAGTCACTGGTCTTGGTCACATTTCCCTCTCTTCTTTTCAACCAATTTTCTCTCAACACAGACATGTTTGCTGTCATAAAGTTGTAAACATATCTGTGATGCTGCTGGAGCTAAGCATTTTCAGATGTGTGGTTAATTGAGGCCTTCTAGGAAGGTCAGATTAGGCCTGAGAACTAAAGTGTCCTACATGTAAGGGGGGTCATGGTGATAAATTATAGTCATTCTTATTTATTGACTGGTAGTACAGTAGCATGGAGTTGAGAATTTAGATTAGGAAAGAGTAACTAAATATGAATTGACTAGCCCATGTGCAATGATGCAAAATAATATGTTACCAACAGACTGATTAGAAATGTGGGAATGCTATGCTCCTGGTCCAGCTACTTGGATTTTTATCTCATTTTTCTTCTACCAAAAACCTAGTGGCTTGAATTTGCTTGCCTTATGTCATACCCAAACCAAGAGGAAAGGAGCAATTTGGGGCTATGGATTTATAATGGGAGGCACTTAGAAAACAGTTGGAAAGGCATTGACCCAAGCTTGCAGATCTCTGAGCAACAACCTTGTCTGAGTGTCTTTCCATACAGAACCATGCCTGGAAGAATATTTGCATCCACATATCTAAAGAAGCAAGAAAGCATATGAGATGAAAGAGTCATTTTTCTGAATGAGAGAAGCAAATTTTAGTTCATTTTCAGTGCTTGGTTTACGTTTTAAAGAAGACTAACAACATTAATGATCAAGTGTAGGACCGAAGCTAATACTAATCTAGAAATTGTTATCTTTCATGGTGGATTAAAATCTGAGCTTATTTTTACTTCAAAAATGAATGTGGTTAAAGGTCAACTTCTATCCCTTAGTGTCTCATTTCAGTCACGACACCCTTCACATCAAAGCTAATTCACTGAAATAGAAAAATCAGATCTCCAAAGAAGTGATGAGGCAGATTCTAAATTAACAGACTTCATCATTAGGGTAAGGGAGCAGCAGCAAATCAAAAGTCAGTTGGAGAGCTCATTATTATTATTGTGCTTATAATAATAAGTTCTCCATTATTATATTTTCATTATTATTTTGAGTTACTTGACTGCTTAGAAGTTTCGCTGTATTTAATTAACCTTTCAGAGGACAAGTCTATAATTTCTGACTTTGCCCTATTGAAGTTATAGCAATTGTTAAAACCTGAAAAAGAGTTTCTGTTCCATTTTCTAATTCCATGAAAGACTGACTCATTTGTAAAATGCCTCCACATTTGTAACTGAAGATATGCACCAATTCACTCAGGAAACAAGCCTTGCTATACATGAGAGATCAATTGTTTTATGAAATGAAATTAAAAGTGTAAATGCTGTTAATGTTTTAAAGATCAATTGAAAGTACTCCTTAAGCTCATTTGACCAAGCAGTTTTTTTCCCATTTTTTGAAATCACACCTGTGTTAAGGCATGCACTCTTTTCCTCTATCTGGTAAGCACAAGGTGTGGGAACTGGTGCAATAGATAATTAATCTCTATTGCTATCTATAGTTTCATAGTTAACACTGTCTTAGCAGAAGTGTGAAAACACATTCACACCTTTGAAAATGGATGATTAACTAATCAAATGACAATATGAATGTCAGACAAAATTACAGAAATGACTGCAAGGCAGAGCTATTTATGATTATAACATTCTATTTAATTATTAAGGGTGGATTGTTCAGTATAATCTGTGCTCCTCAAACATCTAGGCAGATTCTCAACTTTTTAATTGCAGGACTCCTCAAAAAAGAATGAAGAAAATTTTAGATTTCCCCTTAATTAAGGAGTTTTAAATACAAGAGGTTAAAAAGGAAAAGAGAGGTACAGTTCAAGACCACCTGCAAAAGGGAGCCAAGAAGCGATAATCACATTTGAGTGAACTGTCAATTTTTTCCTCTGGACTTTGTAATTTCCATTTAAAATGCAGAATAATCTGAATACATATTTGAATATTCAGTCTATCACAGCAAAGTCTCTTTTGATAGTCTGATGTGTAAAAATCTAAATTGGGAGGTGTATTAGTTCATTTTCAAGTTGCTAATAAAGACATACTCGAGAATAAGTAACTCTTAAAGAAAAAAGTTTAATTGAGTCACAGTTCCACAGGGCTTGGGAGGCCTCAGGAAACTTACAGTCATGGCACAAGGGGAAGCAAACATGTCCTTCTTCACATAAGGGCAGGAAGGAAAGAATGAGAGCAGAGCAAAGTGGGAAGCCCCTTGTAAAACCATCAGATCTTGTGAGAACTTACTATCACGAGAATAGCATGGGGAAAACTGCCCCCATGATTCAATTACCTCCCACCTGGTCCCTCCCACCACACATGGAAATTATTGGAACTACAATTCAAGATGAGATTTGGGTGGAGACATAGCCAAACCATATAAGGAGGTAGGACCCTATATTCATTATCTTGCTAATTTTCTAAGTTAACTGTGTGTAAAGTTTAAGAAATGATCATTGGAAAAAGACAATGACACTCTTGGAGGAATGCAGATCTAATAATCGAATGTTTAAAACCAATATTCCATGTACCTTGTATTAAAAGCCTTTAGAATAAAAGTATCTATCCATATTTATATTTTAAAGCCAAAGTGTATATTAGTGGCTCATATATCATATTGCCTTATAGTGTAGTATTTTAAGGACATCTTAACTGCCCTCTAATGCCTTGAAATCTGGCTACATATCTGACTTATTACCCTGCCCCTAATTAGTAGTGTTTCATACTAAGTAAGCACTCTCGTCTATTGAATAAATGCTAATGGTAAATGATGAGACAAAAGTTGCCATCAAGTTGCATTTTTATGAAAAAAAGTGGTTATGAAAAGCAAGAAAAAGCATGATTTTCAATTTATAAATTAGTCACACATTTCTTTGTTATACAGAAAATAAAAATTATACTAATTAGCAATCATTTATTAGCACCAAGTGAATATTCTGTCAGCTGTTTGACCTTGTAGTTATTATTGCCCACCTTGAATGTGTGTAGTGATGTAGGTATATACACATACCTATTTTCCCACCTGCAACCCACTGGTAACTTCTGTTGCCCTTTCTTTCCTGAGACCACCCTGGTCCAGATCTTTCCCATTTTTCTTCACCTTGACTTCTTAATAACATTCGACACCACACAATATCCTTCCTTTTTGAAACATTAGTTTCTCACCTCCAACATCAGAGATTATAATTCCACATGAGATTTGGTGGGGACAGATCCAAACCATATCACATACACATGTACACATGCATGCACGCATACTTAGGGCACCACTCTCTGCTCCCAAGCCTACACCTACACTAGGCTTTCTGCTCTTGGTGACTGAAGAGCTATTCATTCAGCCACCTGGGTGGATACCTAGGTGTCGCCCTTTACACTTCCCGCTCATGCACCCACACACCTAATCTCTCACCATGTTCTATTAATTCTACCTCCCAAACATTTCTTGGATTTGTCCCCTTCCATTCATCCTCACTGGCCTGCCCCAGTCTGGGCAATACCTGTCTTGCTTCATATATCACAACATCCTACTAGCATGTCTTGTTGCTTACATCTTGCCCCTTTCTGTTCATTCTCCTAACCAAGCCAAATGTCCAACAATGATAGACTGGAAAATGTGGCACATATACACCATGGAATACTATGCAGCCATAAAAAATGATGAGTTCATGTCCTTTGTAGGGAAGTGGATGAAGCTGGAAACCGTCATTCTCAGCAAACTATCGCAAGGACAAAAAACCAAACACCGCATGTTCTCACTCATAGGTGGGAATTGAACAATGAGAACATATGGACACAGGAAGGGGAACATCACACACCGGGGCCTGTTGTGGGGTGGGGGGAGGGGGAGGGATAGCATTAGGAGATATACCTAATGTTAAATGACGAGTTAATGGGTGCAGCACACCAACATGGCACATGTATACATATGTAACTAACCTGCACGTTGTGCACATGTACCCTAAAACTTAAAGTATAATAAAAAAAGAAAAAAAAATTTAAAATGAAAAAAATTAAAATAAAAGATTTTTTAAACGGTGGTCTTTAAGCTTTTTTGCCTACAAACCCCCCAATAGAAATTTTCAAAATTATATGTAATGTTTAATTATATGTAATGTTTAAGTAAAACTTATTTTACTGTAAATTTAAATAATTTCAAAGGCTAGAATATCTGATACAATGTAAACAGTGATACAGAAAATATAAAGAACATTTATTTGGATACATTCAAAAGAGGACACAGTTGTGTCCTCAAAAGTCATTTAATGCCTGCCATTGGCCTCTTTAAAAATACCTGAACAAGTTCACAAGTTCTTCTCTAAGAGTTAGTGATTTTATGGTTTTTTTCTCAAACTTATATTTCTATTATACTTCCTCCACAGATTTTATCTTAACAGAATAATTTTTAGTCTTTTATTGATTATTCTGTTACTGCAGCAAAAGCATATATATATATATATATATATATATATATATATATATATATGCTGAAGTTTTCATTTCCTGTGTCCATAAGGCTCTAAGTATTAAATAATTTCTTACAGATTGATTTACTATTATTCATATCATTCAATATAATTAATGAAAACAACAAATATATATTTAGAAAAATGCTTACTAAATATAAGTAAAATATTACATGAAAACCACCTCTTAATGAGATAAATATCTTTTTTAAATTAGTTTATGTGCCTATGGATAAACATTACTTATTTCTAGAATTAGGATTCAGAATAAATTCTATGCCTATGTTTGACCTTATACATATAATTTTTGAGAAGCATTGATCCCATAAATACCTATATGGGCCAAGAAAGAATTTTATTATAGCAATGACAGCTATTTATTTAAATGTTTTCCAAGTAACATACCAAAAATCACATGATAAGTTATTTAAAATTACTTTACAATGATTTATGAGTTAGCAACTTAATTAGGTCCTCCTTTAATCTTATGAAAAGCAAACCATTGGACATCCTGTAACTTGTGAGTTTTACCAGTCATTAGAGTTCTTTACTTGGCCAATATCTGAGAAGTATACTAAAAAAGCTTCAGCTAAACTCATATGACAATTAGTTTTACTCTTTCATTTGAAGATGTCTTATTCATGATTCTAAAATTAGTCAAAGTCAGGCACATGCTTGTACTCTCTCTCTCTATGTGTGTGTGTGTATATATATCTATATATATTCCCACATTTCACATTAGGGTATTTTCTGTCATCTGTTTAAGAAAATATCTTAGCATTTGTGCTGTGGTTTAGTTTTCCAGGTCATTTCCTGATGCTTTAAAAAGCATAGCAGGTTGACATGAAGATAGGCTCTTGAGAATTATTATATTTAGATAGTACAGTAACGTAATTTCATGGTGAAAAATACAGAACTAGAGCAGCAAATGCACATTTGAGACAGTAGAATTAATCATAATAAATGGAGGCAGATTTTAGGTTCAGGACATTGGATAAATGTATTTTGCAAAAATTAGTAGCAAACAGAAGAGAGGGTATCGCCATGTATTAATGATGGCTGGTCAATGTATTATTTATAGTATAAGCTACAACATATTTATTTTGTTATTCTTATTGTAATAAATAGGAGGAATGTATAGATGACTAAAGATGTTGATGACTGACAGCAGGAACCTTGGTCAAGTAAAAAGTTAGTGTGTTTACAGTATTCAGTAATTTCTTAGGAAAAATAATGAAATTGTTTCTCCACAATCTGAATCAAAATGTAAAACAGAAACTTACCTTTGTTATATGTTCCTTTCACTGAAGCTGTAAAATCTTTAGAAAATGAATCAATTATTTTCCACTCTTTTCTCCTTGAAATCAGACCAACAAGACAGCTGAAAACACAGGTGAAGGGGAATTCTCTCGTTGGTATTGGTATTCTTTCTCCTTACCCAGGAGGGGGAAAATATCCAGAGGGTTCACTCTGTTGCAGATGCTTACTTCCTATGATGCTTTTTACAATTTGGAATGCTCCAATACTAAAATAGATAAAGCAGGGATCTTTGACTTGCATTGTTTCCTGGATGAAGTGAGGTGCCACCCTCATCAATGTGTTTAATCAAATTTTTTTTCTTTTCAGGTGCATTGCATTCTTTGATGATAGTTCAGGAATGAAAGAGACAAAACCAATAGGTAAAAATTATCATTACTCCAGCATCTTTGCTCTGCAAGATATCTGATTCCAAAACATTCTAACACCCTATTTCTGATACCACATTTTGCCCCTAATAAAAATATTTTTAATACAAGGACAAATCTCAAATCTTCCAAGTGAGTTTATTGTGTCTTGACAAGAGGAGTCTTCACCAGTACCAGTATTCTGAATTGTCCATCTGTTTGGTGCCCCTGGATAACTCACCAAAGCAAGGTTCAGAATGAATGAGTGATATGCCTCATAAAAAAATAATAATAAATAAAAATAAAAGAGGGAGAAAGATAATTATGCTAGGGCAAGAGGAAAAGGAAAACCATATGATGCCTTCATCACAAGTGTGTGCATTCTCTAGTAGAAGGAGTACAAAAGGAAGGTGACCACCTTAAAATTAATTACAAAAAACTGTTCATGCCTCTGACACCTTGAACCCCAGTGAATGAGCCTACCCCATTTGGAAATCTTTTGTTCTAAAGACAATTTCATATCATCTCACTGCTTAACATTTAAGTGGCCTCCCTTTGCTGTCAGGATCAAGGCCAACCCCATTAATTTTGCCTATAAAGTAAAGAGGTCCACTTTAACCTCTTCCTGTGTTTGCAACCTCGCCTTTTACCCTTGCACTTGATCAGCCAGATTGAAGTTCCTCAGACTTTTCCAAACCTACCAAGACTTCTTTCCTTGAGAGTCTTTGCACACTTTCCTCAGTTTGGAACATTTTTCTCTTCTGTTCTTTTTAGCTTGACTTGCTCCTGTTGGTCTTGCGTTTTCAATGTTAATTCCTCTTAAAAACCTTTCTGAACTGTCCACCCCTAGCCACATCCCAATCACTGAACTGGATTAGGCATTTATCCTATGCACTATGTGCTGTTATTGCCTCCTATCCCCACAAGGCATTACCCACTTGTATTAGTCCATTTTCACGCTGCTGATAAAGACATACCCAAGACTGGGCAATTAATAAAAGAAAGGTAGTTATTGGACTTACAGTTCTACATGGCTGGGAAGGCTTCACAATCATGGTGGAAGGTGAAAAACACATCTCACCTGGTGGCAGACAAGAGATGTGTGGGGAAACTCCCCTTTTTAAAACCATCAGATCTTGTGAGACATAGTCACTATCATGAGAATAGCATGGGAAAGATCTGCCCCCATGATTCAATTACCTCCCACCAGGTCCCTCCCACAACATGTGGGAATTGTGGGCGTTATGATTCAAGATGAGGTTTGGGTCGGGGCACAGCCAAACAGTATAACCGATTATCAACTTTATTGTAATAATTAAAATCTTACTTGTAGACATAGCATCTTAGGGCCAGGAGCACTGTTTTATTCACCACTCTATCATCAACTCCCATGCCAATGTCTAACATATAAGACTTATTCAATATTGAGCGTAGTTTTCAACAGACATAGAGAATTTACATATTCAAATAAATCCAGACTTTCAAAGTACTTTTTTTCTTTCTGTTTATTTTGTTGTTGTTGTTGTTATTAATATCAACAAAAATGAGCTTAAACAAAGTGGTAACACTATCTTTTAAAATTATTTTTATTTATTTATTATTATTATTTTTTGAGTTGGAGTCTCACTGTATCATCCAGGCTGGAGTGCAGTGGCGTGATCCTGGCTCACTGCAACCTCTGCCTCCTTGGTTCTAGTGATTCTCCAGCCTCAGCCTCCCAAGTAGCTGGGATTGCAGGTGGGTGCCACCATGCCCAGCTAATTTTTGTATTTTTAGTAGAGACAGGGATTCACTATGTTGGTCAGGCTGGTCACAAACTCCTGACTTCAAATGATCTGCCCACCTTGGCTTCCCAAAGTGCTGGGATTACAGGCATGAGCCACAGTGCCTGGCCTCAAGCTATCGTTTTATTCCATTGCTTAAAAATGGGAATTCCTCAGCATGAAACATACACAAACCAGTTATAATGATCCCAAGAATGCCTATTAGGAATTCTGGGTTCTAGGCTTGACTTTGTCACAGACTACATTTCCACTGGGTAAGGCATTTAGGATCTACGTACCACTCCACTTTTAAGTCCTGTAGTTTCTTCCTACTGTTTTACTTTAATGTATATGGTCACCAAACTCAGCTATGGGCCATGAACACAGACTGAGATGCCTCACATGTACATGGAGAGACTTAGTAGGCAACATGGTGCTACTTTGTATTTGTGGAAATAGTTGGTCTTTAAAGAAGGGGTATGTAATCATGATGAAGTGTCCTGGAAGAAAACAAAGTATCTCAAAAATGTTTTGGAGCTATTTCATTCTTCCTTTTAAGAGCCACCACTTTTCTGAAACTTTCTGTAAATGCAATAAATTGAGGGTCCAGAAGGATAGTGATAAGTAAGAAGGAATAAGATTATAAAATAAAGTTATGCCACATGTAGGCCTGTTGGGCCTGTAAGTTTGGAAAATCTGGAATCATTGAAAGGTTTTGGCAAGTAATAACATCATGAGATGAAAAAGGAGTTTAAAGGGTTTAATCTGGCTGGGCATAGAAGGAATTGGAGAAAGAAAGCCTAAAGGTCTGAAATAGTTGGGAGGCTACAAAAATAGTCCAAGTGGAAAGGGGTGTGGTCCGCACAAAAACATTGACTGTGAGAAAATAAAAATATATGGTATTAGAGAAGGTTACGCAACATGATTTGGATTTAGGGAGTGAAGTGCAGAACTTAGGTTCAAAGATAATTGAGGTTTAAAATATGAGTTGCGTTGAGAATATTGAGAGAAATATGGATGACAGAGAGTAAGACTTTTTTCAATGTGCTAAATTTGAGGTATCAATACAACATTTAAATTATTCAGTAAAGAGCTAGAGATGTAAACTTAAAATTGAGAGAAATCAAAATTCTAGTGTTATTTGGGAAACCTCCACATAAAATGCAACAGTTGCAGTCCCCAAGATGAATCAATCTAAGAGAAAGACCACAGAGAAGGTCCAATTTCTCAAGATAAAACACAGTAGAATGGTCAATGTTTAAAAATGAAAAAGGGTGACTCAGAGAGTAAAAAACAAAACACGAAAACAAACAAACAAAAACAGAATTCATGGTAGAAGTAGGTGAGTCTAGTTCAGAGGAACAAAAAGGTTTTCAAAAAGCCCAGGCTTGGTGGTGGTGCATGCCTGTAATCCCAGTTAATCAGGAGGTTGAGGTTGGAGAATTGCTTGTGCCCAGGAGGTCAAGGCTGCAGTAAGTGATGTTCATACCACTAGCCTCTAGCCTGAGCGACAGAGTGAGAGCCTTTCTCAAAAAAAAATTAATAAATAAAAAATAAAAAAAAGAGAAAGAAAGAAAGGAAGAACCTTAAGCTCCCTATATAACTGAGAAATACCATAATACCTGGGAGTAAGGACTTTCTAAGTGAATTTATTTGGTCCAAGTACAGTTAAAACTTGTAGTTTGAAACATGATGCAGTGGCTTAGCTGTCATCAGTAACATCTAGTTCACTAGAAGTTGACAGTTTTTCTTTGTTGTTTTTAAGTTATTTAGCTTATAGGGGAAATATACTATCATTTATACTTAAACCTGACCTACATATTAAAAATAACCTACTAGTTCAATAAGGTGTATTTCAACCTGAAAGTAAATAATGTATGCAATCTTCATGGCAAGCAATTTATATAATTGGAACACTTTCACTATAATTAGTGAAGAGTTGAGTTATTCTTCTTTTCTGAGAACTCATCTGCTGCTGCCCTCTTAATGCTAAGTTGAAGAGGCTGTCATTAGCAATATTTCACAGGTGGGTTGTGATTAAAATTTATTTATTTATTTTTGTATGCCCAGACTTTTTTCCCTTTTATGATTTCAGAGTAATAAGTAGCTTAAACCAGAAATATAAAGCCATACCTATTGTCTCCTGCAAGCCATGAGTCGAAAAATGAATTGAAGAATTATTCAACAATAAATCAAGGTCAGGAAAATGTGTTGAAGAAGAGCATTAGGGAAAAGGGAAAAAGGAGGGAAGGGAGGGAGTCTCAAGCAGGGGCTTTCCTCCAGATGACACTAACCGTAGCTGGATAGGCATTCATCTAGTGGTTATAGCTGATTTCAAAATTCAGGAATCAATGAGCCAAATCAGATCAAGCAAAGTGGTTGTGCTATTTTGGTAGGAAGTGGAGGTCCAAGAGGCAAGTGAACGGAAAGCTAGAGAACCTAGTTTGAACCTCAAGAAGCAAAGGTATAAGCCAGAGAAAAGGCTGGACAGTGCTAGACAAAAGAATGATCAGCAAAGCCTGGGACAGAAGTCAGCTGCATAGGCATGTTGAATGTAAGAGCTGATGAATAACGCAGTAGCTGAAAGGAGTTGAAATGCTCCTTGGTAGAGTTTTTAGTCAGATTCTAACAGAGTGAAAGGAACTTTAGAAGATGTCAGAGTGATCATATATCTCATACATGATTGAACCCTTTTACAAATAATTAAGTTAAATTAACTTTTAATTAAATACTAACGTAATATAGGCCAAGGACCTATTCTTTCCAGACAGTATGTGAATCATCAGAAATACAAAAGTGAGGTATGATCCCTATTGTTAAACCTCATAGTCTAATGAAAGAGAAAGCCTTGAAAACAATCTAAATAAAGCATTAATATAAAACATTGATACGAACACAGTGTGGGATTATCATTAGACTACCCTAAGAAAGTAAGGGAAAACTGGAGAGAGGAGGAGTATATGAGCTGGGTAGAAAAGACACTTTGTCAGGTATGAAGGCATTCAGTACAACAGTGGCTGAAGTGCTCTAGGCGTGGAGAAAACATGGGGGTGGAGTGTGAGGCATATGATGTGAGTGGAGTGCAGATTGATAATTGGGAGAAGCAAACTAGAGCCAGACAGAGGCAAGAGCTGCAGTTAGTCTTATCCATAAGGCAGCAGTTCTCAGAGTGTGATCCCAGGTTCAGCAGTGTTAGCATCACCTGGGAACCAGTTAGATATGCAAATACTCAGGACTCAAGCCAGCGCTAGGAAATTACAAACTCTGGCGAAGTAGGTGGGGCCCAACAATCTGTGTTTTAATGATTCTTCTAGGTAATTCTGATGCACAATGAAGTTTGAAAACTACTGTGCAGGGAAAAGTGAAACCGTAGAAAGTAGTTTAGCAAGGCAATGAGAAGGTCTTATTTTCTTAGGATGAAAACTAGCCAAAGTATGGAGACTGGACTAAATGAGTGGCTGAAGACTATGGCAACTGCAAAATACAAGAAAGAGACGGTAAAATTCAAATACCTTAAATGAGAAAATATGAGTCAGAATTTGACATGGTGTGGCTAAGAAGGTACTTTATGGTCCGGCAGTGATTTGAAGTCTGTTAATTAGGGGAGCACCAAATAATCTTCTCTCGACATGTTTTTAGTCGTTGAAGCACTACTTTTTATTAAAAAAAATTTCTCATACCTTTCATTTCAACTTTTTCTATTTCTTATTTCTTACATAATTGGACACAAATGACAGCCTAACTTTAAGAAGGGGAGTTCAGGAAGCCCTGGAGAGCCCTGCAGTCCTGCCTAGGGTAGATTCCCCTAAATCTTTGTGTCTTTATAATAAGCCGTGGAAATCTATTTGTCACAGATGAAGTTATGTCCCCTGCCTTAAAGCTCACATGTTGAAGCTGTAACCCTCGATGTGACTGTGTTTGGAGACAGGGCCTGAAAAGAGGCAACTAAGGTTAGATAATGTCATAAAGGCAGGACTTTAATTCAATAGGACTGGTGTCATTATAAGAAAAGGAAGAGACACCAGATCTCTCTCTCTCTCTCTCTCTCTCTTTTCCTGTGTGCACGCAGAGAAGAGGCCATCTCAGAATACAGTAAGAAGGTGACCCTATAAGCCAGGAAGAGAGGCCTCACCAGAAACTAATCCTGATGGCGTCTTGACCTTGGACTTCTAGCCCCCAGAAATGTGAGCAAATAAATGTATGTTGTTCAAGCCACCCAGCCTGTGGTATTTTGCTGTGGAAGCCTGAGCTGATTAATTATTATAGTAAAAAGAACGTGGCCTCTGAACCAAACAGATGCGACTTTAAATCCTAGCTCTGTCATTCATTAGTTGTATCTTTGTGTCCCAGTTTCCTTATTGTCAATATAGGCAACGAGGATAGTATTGCCTCCTATGGTCATTTATTTATTCAACAAGTATTTACTGAGTGCTTTTTATGTACCAGGTACTCAACAAATAATTGCTGTGCTCTTGAGGCTACAATGGCAATTAAGAACAAAAATAATCCTTTCCTTCCTGGAACTTATGATAGAGAAAGAAACAGATAACAAATGAATCTCACAAATTTATGTTAGTTTGTAAGTATAATCAGTGCTACAGCTTCTATTAAAAAAGCATGTCTTTTCCAAAGCCATGCCCCCTTTCCTAGAGCAGCCTTCTATCAATGATCGGTTAATGCAGTAGTACAAAGTCCGGCTCCCTTGCTCCAATTCAGGACAATTGTGAAGGGCCATCCCAGCTTTAGAGCTTTATGTGGAGTTGGCTTAGTTCTTATTATGACTGTACCACAGCTCAACTTCTCCCTCTCCCTAATGCTGTTTCTTTCCCTTCTTTTCCATAAGTATTAGCTTTCCAAAAGTAGAGCACTCACTAACAAATTTCCATGTGTTAATCTTCACCTCAGAGTGTGCTTCCCAGGGTCTGACCTGAAATAGCAGGTTCATAAGGAATAAATGTAAACTTGCTCTGCAACCAAGATGGGAAATGAAGATTCTTTAGCTAAACCTGAGAGTGGGATATGGGCTCCCTCCCACAGCCCATTCCTCATCTGACTGCCCACAAACTAGAAGCCAGCAACCACAGACCAGGAATAGACAGGCAGGTGACACTGTTCCTTGTCCTGACATGGACAGGTCACATATCCTGTTTTGCACCTTTGGTAAGTCCAGTGGTCAGATGTGCAGAAACAAAGTCTCAATCTGGAAAAGATGAAAATATCATGTGTACCCTCACCTTATCTATCTAGAATTTCTGTCAGTTGAAAAGACCAGGATACATTCACAGAAATAAGCAGGGAGATGGACAGAATAAATAGTCTAGAAACAGGCCCATGATGAGAGAAAGAACTGAAAAGGAAATGGTAAATTATTCAGTAAATATATCTAGAAAAATAGTGTTAAAAATTTGGTTAGTTATTTGGAGAAAAATTAAGGTAGATATTCAATTCTCACCATAAATAAACAGAAATAAAGGTAAGAAAAGAAGGTAGATGTAAAATAGAAATCTATTTCTTTCTTTAATTTGTGGGGCTTTTTTATGCCGCTTTAAGTTCTGGGATATATGTACAGAAAGTGCAGGTTTGTTACATAGGTATACATGTGCCATGGTGGTTTGCTGCACCTATCAACCCGTCATCTTGGTTTTAAGCCCCTCATGCATTAGGTATCTGTCCTAATGCTCTCCCTCCCCTTACCCTGGAAATCTATTTTTTTTTAAAAAGAAAATATTGGGGACAGGATGGGTTATCTCTCTCTAAGAATTAAACAAATCAAAATTACAAAGGAAAATACTCTATACATGTGTAAGTCTGTCAAATTAGTATAAGTAAAAGAAAAACAATTACAAAGAATTAATGCTGCAAAAAGGATAGAAAAAGACAATACCCTTGACATAGAAAGACAATATATAAATCAGTAAAGAAATAGAAATAGTATAAATTAAAATGGGAAAGAATATAGATCGACATTTCACAGAAGGCCAATTAAAGGGCTAGTAAATACATAAAAATGTTTATCAGTACTAATAAAAAGTAAAAGGTTGTAACAATATGCCTGTTTGTAGCAATTTTACAAAAATATTTAAGATGACTTTACCTATTGCTAACAATTTATCCATAGTAATTAGCAAAATAATTTTACTCCTAAGAATTATCCTTCAGAAATAAACAGAGCTAGAGATAAAAGCTTTATTTTTAGAATATTTATCTCGGTGTTAATTGTGAAAGAAAATTTAGAAACAACCTAAAACATCAACAATAAGTAAAAAGTGAAATAAATTTTGGTATCCATGTACAGCTTTGACGAAGACTTTAATTTTTTCTAAGCTTCTAATAATACAACTAAAAGGAAGTATGTATAGATATATTCAGTATATGTTTTATATGATTGATAATGATTCAAGCATAATCAAGTGAATGATTATTTCCCTTTAATCTTTGCTTTTAAGTACCCAGAAATCAATACCTTTATAAATTTATCCAACAGATATTTGGTGAGTGGCTTCTATGTCTTAGGCACTGGGAGAAATGCTAGGTGAGGGGCTTTGGCATTTGTGAGTCTTTGGGTCTCTAGCTTACTGGCCACCATATGATATGGAGCTGAACTATGTATATAGAACCAAATCCAGAGAAAGTGTGACTGTCACACCTGGAGTAGCATAACACATGGGTCTTCAAAGAAAGAAGGCCTGGCATGAGTATTGAGAGCTAAAGTATTGAGAGCTAAGGGATTTTCAGCCAGAGAAGGTGAAAGCAAAGAAGAGCAGATTACAACAGGCAAAGAATAGGCAAATAGTAATATGGGGTCATCCCGACAAACTAGTAGGCTGCTTCCTGTGCTTGGATTTTCATGTATTCTCATCCAGTTCTGTTGCTTGTATGATCTTATTCTATGGGCATTGAGAGAACCATTGCAGGTCTTTGTATTAATTATGACAATGTTTTTGAGTAGCAAGAGGCAGGAACCAACTTAAACAAACATGGGAAACAACGAGCAAGTGTTCTTTTAGACCAGATTGCATGCAGATTGATTGTCTTGGAATATAATCCCAAGAAGCAGGAGTGAGGAAGAGGGAAGAGTGAAAGAGGGAAGGACAGAAAGATAATACATGAATGTATCATTAAGTTTCCTACTTCACAGGTGACTGGTGTGGTTTACCACGAGACCTTTGCAGGAATCTTTAAAATGTGTTTCAAGATTGTCTGCCTGGGGAATTAAAAAATGGCGCACATTTATCCATTGGATTCCATTCACTATTAATCAAGGTAGTCCTACCGGCGTTAACTTCCCCTACACTTCTAGATTGTATATGAACTGCTACTGAGAGGGTGCCTGTGCATGTTCCATGGTGTAGTGTCAGAAGCAAGTGAGAGGCACAAGGCTGAGGCAAGGTGCTGTCAAGTTGCACCTACATGAAGAAGGTTGAAGGAAGCTTGAAAAGAACCAGCCCCATGTATAAGATTTGGGCCAAAAGTATTTGAAGTGGTGCACAAGAGGTGTCCTATGTATGTCTGTTGTGGCTCAACAAAGAGCAAAGACACAGAAAGGCAGATATAGAGCTGAGCCTCACAGAAACTGCAACTGGAAACCAAACTTCTTCTGGACTTTCTCAGTCTTAAGTCTCTGTATCTCTTTGGTTGGGCTTCACCTTTTTCCTCTCCCTATAGGTAGCTTTCACTACATGGCAAAAACTAGTCTTTTAATGACTTCTACATATTTTGCATTTAACAATTGCAGACTCAGAATACAAACTGAGATGTTAGACTCACATCTATAATTTCTAGGACAGAGTTTCATCAGCCTTTCATAGGCCAGGTATCCATTTTTGGACCAATGAATATGGGTAAAGAGAGATGTCATGTAAGGACACGAGGACACTGGTAGAAACCATATAATAAAGTAGGGAAGGAACAGAAGAGCAAGATGCCAAGCAGACAATACCAGAAATGTGTACCTCATGTCCTGAGTTAAGAAAACATCTCTTAAAGTATATAGAACCTGGAAGTACCTATAGCAAATAACCAGAAAGGACGAAAATAGTGTCAGAATTAAGGCAGGAGTTAGGGACAGGGAAAAGAACAGAAATGATATTAATAAAGAATAATTGATGGGCCATGTGACCCACTTCAGTTTTACATGGTGCCCTTACATTCTCCATTAACAGGAATTTGTGCAAGAAGCATTTATGATGCCAAGTCCTGTGAGAAATGTAGGGGACTACCATAGCACATAAGACACAATCTCTTTCCTCAGAAAGCAGATAGTCATGTGACTTAGTAACAACAGCAATACCTTATTTTTATAGGACATCTTTCATCTACACTTTGAGATCCCTGGCTCCATGACACAGAATCAAATTAATAGAAGTTAACATAAACACTCTTCTTTACTAAAGGTCAAGGCCTGAGTTCTTTGGGATGTCTTCATTTGGACTTAATGCTTCATGTCTAATTGGTAAAGATACCAGAATCAGTGATGTGGGATTGTTTTGTTTGAGCATAGCACTGGGAAGAAAGCATTGAAACTTGATAGCAATACTTAACATTAGATTTTTTTTTTCTTGTATCTTCTTTGGCTCCAAATAGTAGTGGATAATCTAGCTATTTTAACCATATTCATAGGGCATGGCACTAATCCCACACCTATTCTACATGGTAAAAGCTTTGTCAATGAGGACTCCATTTGCCTTTCTCTTGTTGAAAATCTAATTATTCTTTAAGACCTACTCGAACATAAGCAAGTATATAAAGTCTTCTGAAAGTCAAATTAATTTATCCATTCTTTGGGCTCCCATATCATCATCTATCAGTTGAATTGTAATTATTTGTTCATATATTTTTCTATCTCCCTCTAGACTTTGAGTCCTTAAAGGCAGAAACCTCATCTTACTGATCTTTATTTTCCCAGGATTCAGTACAGTGAGCGGCATACAGAAAATTCTCTGATCTGAAGGAGGAATGGTGCTCAATTAAGACATTTGTCTTCTTTCAGATTAGCAGGGTGGAGATACTTGGTGTTAAGTCACTAAAGTTTTCATAACTTTGTTTCCTCTAAATGAGCAAAAGGTCTCTGACTTGTTTTCAGTGCAGTTGACCCACTAACTGGTATGTCATTGATGTTTCAGGCTCGGTGTACAACAAAAAACACTCCTGTGTTTTCTTCGTCAGTTCCTATGAGAAATTCTACAGAGGATCATAGCACCCACACAAAGCCAAAATAGGAGAAATCCAAGATAAGTCATGTCATAGTATTATTATTACTTTTGAAAATTATTTCATTTTCTAGGAATAGAGCCTCTGACCCCAGAGAATATTGTGGTCTGTCTCAAAGGAGGCCACCCAGAAAACCATACACAGTAAAAACAAAACATAAAATATAGAAAGCCTTCTGCAGAGGTGAGAGGTGATATTTCACACTTTTTTTTCTCACCTGATAAATGATAGGGCACACTGCTAAATCTCCTTTCTTCATTTGAAGGTTGTTTCACATAATACTGATTTAAACCCATTGTTGTCTAGATTTCAATCCTGAAGGCAGAGTAGCTCTGAATAAAACATTTTTAAAAACTACATATCCTGTAATAATAGTTTGAAAGAACAGTTTTCAAAAGTGAAAATAGAGAGGACAATCATCATAGTAACAATTACTATAGTTTAAGAATGGCCTACTGTGTGCTGGACACCACTGTCAGCGTTTGTAACAGGGCATCATTAAGGCTCAAATCAATCATGCGGAGGTGGGTTATATTTGTACAGATGAAAAAATTGAGGCTCAGGAGGATAAACAATTTACCAAAAGTTACATTTAAAGTAGCAGAGCAGCTATCTCTATATATACAACAACATGAATAAATCTCATAACCATGAAGTTGAGCAAAAAAAAGCCAGATAGGAAAGACTACACACTGTATGATTACATTTATATAAAGATCAAAAACAGGCAAAACTAATCAATGCTCAGAGAAGTTATGAGAGTAGCTACTTTTGTAGAGAGAGGTTTTACTAAAAGGAGATAAAAAGGAAAGTTCTGGATGACTAGAAATGTTCTATATTTTGACAGAACATTATTCTGGGTGGTAGTTCAAAGTGTATAAACATGTAAATGTTCTATATTTTGACAGAGCATTATTTTGGGTGGTAGTTCAAAGTGTATAAATACGTAAATACTTAGCTGCACAAAGATTTGTAGTCTTTACTGTATATAAGTTATATCTCAATTTAAAAAGTTAAGTAAAGTAGGGGAGAAAAATGAGTTTAGCTCTGTGTATTAGGCCATTCTCACGTTGCTCTAAAGAAATACTAAGACTGGATAATTTATACCAAAAAGAAGTGTAACTGGCTCATAGGTTGGATAGGAAGCATGATGCTGGTATCTGCTTGGCTTCTGGGGAGCCTTCAGGAAACTTATAATCATAGTGGAAGGTGAAGGAGGAGCAGACATGTCACATGGCCAGAGCAGGAGTGGGAGAGAGAGGAGGTGCCACACACTTTTAAACAGATCTCACAAGATCTCATTCACTATCGCAAGGACAGTACCAAGAGGATGGTGCTAAAGCATTCATGAGAAATCTGCCCCCATGATCCAATCACCTCCCAACAGGCCCCACCTCAAATATAGGGGATTACATTCAGCATGAGATTTGGGTGAGTACATACATCCAAATTATATCACTCTGTTTAGTTCCAATGGTCCTAGTGAAAACTAGATACTTTTTCTGCATCAGTTTCAAGTTTTTATATTAACTACAAACTCTTACCCATTTTTCCAGGATAGCCCAAAGAAGTCTTTACAGGTAATTTAATAAACCATTGTATGTAAGTTAATGTAGCAGAAATTGCAGATTACAAGGAGGTTGGTTACGAAAAGTTGATATAGTAATCTGGGACTAAGTTTATAAAGAGTTTTGTGAACCTTACTAAAAGAAGGGGTTTGAATTTTATTTATATAAGGAACTACTGAGGATTTATATATGTATGTATGTATGCATGTATTTGTTTCAACTGGCAAGTTAGATAGTATATATTTATAGTGTACATCATGACGTTTAAAATACATATTGTGGAATGACAAAATAAAGTTATTTAACATATGCATTACTCTACATACTTATCTTTTTTTTGTAATGGGAATACATAAAATTTATTACAGAGTAGCAGTTTTCAAATAGACAATATATTGTTACTAACTGAAGTGATCATGATGTACAGTAGATCTCTTGAACTTATCCTTCCTGTCTAATGGAAATTTTCTATTTTTTTAATTAACATTTCCCCAAGGTCCCCAAACCCCTAGCTTCTGGTTACCACCATTTTACTCTCTGTTTCTATAAGTTTGGTTTTTTCACACTGCACATATAAGTAAGATCATGCGGTATTTTTCTTTCTGTGCTGAGCTTATTTCACGCAAGAGTCTTTCAAAATTGAAGGACACATAATGTCCTTCAGGTTCATCCATGTTGTTGCAAATGACAGAATTTCTCTTTTTAGAGCTGAACAGTATTCCATTGTGTATATATACCATGTTTTCTTTATCCATTCGTCTATTGATGGACCCTTAGGATGATTCCATGTCTTGGCTATTGTGAATTATGCTGCAATAAAACATGGGAGTGCAGATATCTCTTCAGCATGTTGCTTTCATATCCTTTGAATATATACCCAGTAGTGGGACTGCTGGATCATATGATAGTTCTGTTCTTAAGTTTCTGGGGAGCCTCCAGACTGTTTTCCATAATGGCTGTACTAATTTACATTCCCACCAGCAGTGTGTAAGTGTTCTCTTTTCTCTATATCGTCATAAATGTTTATTATCTTCCTGTATTTCTGCTATTCTAACAGATCTTAAGTGATATCTCATTGTGGTTTTAATTTGAATTTCCCTGATGATTAATGATGTTGAACATTTTTTCACATACTTATCATTTATATGTCTCCTTTTGAGAAATGCCTATTAATGTCCTTTGCCCATTTTTATATTGGGTTATTTGTTTTCTTGCTATGGAGTTGTTTGAATTCCTTATATATTTTGGATATTAGCTCCTTATCATTTGTATGATTTGCAAATATATTCTCCCATTCCATAGGTTGTCTCTTACTGGGAATTTTATATAAGAAATTTTATAATCATATTTGCTGTTGTGGGTGACATGGAATAGAGAGAATAAGTGGGAGGAAGAAATGCCTAGGAACAGAGAGCCAGTTCAGAACTATTACAATAATATCAGCACAAATGGGCAGACCTTGGACTAGGAGTTATGACTCTGATTGGCAGATGAAATAAAGATATATTAAGGAAGGAGAACTGACTACATGTTTTGATCAATCAGATGTAGAGAAGGGACAGTCAGGAGCTGATTGAAGTGGATAGGTGAACTGAGTCAGATTAAAACAGGCCCTATTCAACAGCCAGGAAAACAGGGACAAAGTATTTTATTCTGGTGACAGGCTAACACTAGACAGGTTCTCAGGGCTCTAGTGAAGTGATTTGGGATTCAGGGAATAATTGTAGTCCTTTAAAAATATTTCAATGCTTTTATCAGTTGAACTGTGTCTCCCAAAATTCTTGTGTTGAAGTCCTAGCCCCCAGCACCTCAGAATGTGACTGCATTTGGAGATACGGTTTTAAAAGAGGTAGTTTAGACAAAATGAGGCCATTAGGATATTCATTAGAGTTGGTCCCAATCCAATATGGCTGATGTCCTTACAAGAAGACATTAGGAGACACAGCCACACAGAGGGAAGACCATGTGAAGACACAGGAGAAGATGCCATGTACAAATCAAGAAGAGAGGCCTCAGGAGAAAGCAACTCTGCCGACATTTTTGATCTCAGACTTCTAACCTGCAATTGTGAGAAAATATTTCTGTTGTTTAAGCTACCCAGACTGTGGCACTTCATTATGACCACCCTAGCAAATAATAGAAATGTCAACATGGACCTAAGTCCTTTTAAACCAGAGAAGGCACAAGCCATGCAAACTGGGTGCTAAATAATACAGCTCAGAAAGTAGGCAGGGCCACCAGGGACCCTTGATTAGTGATCTTCTGGCCGAGAACTACTTCTAAATCCTATCCTCTGGTAGAGATGAGGCGTCTAATATTCTTTCAAGTTTGATTCTTACTGACTCAAATTTGAAATCTCATTGATTTCAAGTTTTATTCTCATCTGTAGCAGAGCCAAGCTGCAGATGAAAAGTCTTTACTTCTGATGCTAAGAAGAGGCAGAAGCAAGGAGGGGCTGACTGATAATCTCAATTTCAAAAAACAACTAGCTGCATATCAACATATAGCATAAAGGAATGTTAGATCCAATTCAGAATTGACTCAAAAATAATCAAGATACTTGTTTCTACTTGCACATTCCTTTGCCTTCACATACAAAGAGAAATTCACTGTGGTTCAACTACTGTTATTACCCTGCATTACTGCAAATTTCTCTGAACTGATCTTTCTGTTTCATTATCGCCACTGTTAGCCCCCAATAATGAGGATCAAGGCAGATCATTTCAGGCATGAATAGGCACATTGCCATGATTTTCTCATTTGTCTGTATACATTTGCCAAAAAAAGGAATTATCCAGAAATCTTGACTCTTTGTCTTAGTCTTCTAAATCCAATTTCAAAGGATAGATTCTTCCTTTGCAATTACTCTCACATCCATCCTTTTATATATCCCAGTTGAGGCTCTTTTCATATCTTGCCCAAACCAGTACAATAGCCTCCTTACTTTTCTGCTTGCCTTTTAGCTCTTTCCTCGCTGCCTACATTCATCCTGCGCAAAACTTTTATAAAACACCTTTAGAAAATTTTGACCACAATGCTCTTTTCCTATATATTAACCTTCAACAGATTCTGGTTGCTTATAGTAACACATTCAAACACACCTCTGTCTAGTGTTTAAGGCTGTGGGAATCTGGACTTTTCTAGCCAATGCATAACTGCCCTAGCTTCCCAAATCCTAAAATGCATTGAAGTAGTTTCAAGCATTGCCCACCACATGCCTGCCACACAGCCCCGTGGTGCTTCCTGCCACACAGCTGGGTGCTTCCCACCCCTGTGCTTTTGTTCATGTGATTCCATTCCTTAGCCTGTACTCTGCCATGCTCCACCATGCTCTTTCAAGAACAGTTCAAATCCCAGATGCTTTTGCTCTCATTTTTCTCCCAGCATGAGATGCCCTTTTTTCTGTCTACTCATTGTACCCATCGTTCAAGGCCGAGCATAACTTCTAACTTATCTCTGAAGTCTTTCCTAACCATTGCGGCATTCAATCCTTTGAGAAAGGCTTTTGTGGGGTCACCAGTTACCAGACGTTGCCTGAGCTCTAGGGATCACAGCTGGGTAAGACACTGTTCCTAATTTCCAGGATGATGTCCTCTCCTCTTTCCTTGAGCTCCTTTTGCAGTTACTACCCAAAGAATTGCCTATTAATAATGCGATGCCTCAGGAAATTTCTTCTGTTTTTAATTGCCAATTACATTCGCTTAACTTAAAAAATGACTTATCTTCCCTAGGTATAGATTGTAAAGACTCAGTTTCCCCCCAAAGTATCTGGTTTAACATGGGAGTAGAGAGAGATATACTATTATGTATCAGGTATTGGGCTACCGTTTTTGCTAGTGCTTCTCCTGGTGTGATACGTCTAGCAGTTCATTCTATGGGGCACACAAAACCCATGATATTACAGATACTGTTGCTTAGGATAAGGCTAAAGTAAATAGTGCCTATTTAAGTGTTTTTAAAAATGTGTTGATTTAAAAACAAATGTTAAATAGTAATGTTTCAAGTAATAGCTATGGCAGAAATGGTAGAAGTGGTCCTTTAAAGTCTTTCAAATGCATTGTATGATATCACATTTATTCCTCAGAACAACCTTGTAAATTGGAAACCAAAGTCCAGAAAAATAATAGAACTTACTCAACTCACTAAGATAACAGATCAAACTTTCCTCCTTTACCATAATACCCTTTTGCATATAGAAAGATTTAGTTTAATTCTTGAATATGGGTGTCTGACCTGTGTTTTCATACTCCATCTCCTCAAAAAGATTGCTTTAGCTTTCTAAATCAAATCCTTCACCTTCAGAACAATAAAAGAGGCATACCAGAGTCATTTTGGTGTATTTCTAAGCATATTTACAAAATATACAAGGAAAAGGACCTGATTCCCTGGCTGGGTGAGTGAAACGTTAATTCTTCACCTTGGCACCTCAACCTACAGCTGTAATAAGGGCCGTTATGCCCAAATAGGCCCTTAAACGGAAGACCTGCTGAGCAGAGACCCACTTTCCCAGCCCTGCTCAACTGCCTCAGCTTTTCTGCCAACTGACCAGGCGGAAGCAGCAGCAGGGGAGGAGGGACTGCAGGTAGGTGGGGAGGGGATCATTTTGAAAGCCCTGAATCCCTTGCAGGGAAGAAGCAGCTGCTCCTTGTTTTTCTAAACATCTGTCCCATCTGTCCCAGGCCTCAGCTCACCCTTTCGTGGCTCGAGCCAGTTAAACGTGAATTTGACAAGGAAGCACTTCTGAAGGCTGGTTTGTGAGTGGAAATGAACCTAAGTGCCACCTAGAAAGTTTCTTCTATTGAGAAGAGGTGAGTAGTGGGTCTTCAGCGGGACGGCTATTACCTTCCTTCATTTTACTCTCACAAAACATACAGCTTTTACTGATAGAGGCAGGATTTGTAACATCACCCAAATCATACTGTACGTCCTGAGGATATTATTTCACAACATAGAGGTACTTCTAGAGCCCATATTTTAACGTCTAGGAGAGCCACAGTCTTTGATTTGAAGGAGAAATAACGATATTGCACACACCATATCACCTTTATGGTAGAACAAGCTGTGAACAACTAGTGCGTGTGGCGTTTATCACATTTAACAGCGTGTTGCTTTTATTTGTCTCCTCTGCCACACTGCTCCTTGAGAACAGGGACGTTATTTTTATTGTTATTTTCCCCTCGTATTCAGAACCGTGGCTGGAACTTGGCAGGCATGAAATAGACATTTATGAATGAATGAACGTTAACGAAGAAAAAAAAAGGAACTGGATGATTCATTTGGTTCTCCGAAGGCGGGTATGGGGGACGGGGCTCGGACTTTGGCCCAGTCACCGAGTGAGGCACAGTCCCAAAGTCCTGCAGGTCCGCCTCCAGTCACGGCCGACCCGGGTCTGCAACTGGTGCACAAGCCTCCTGAAGCGAGGCTGCGCGCGTCCTGCACGGTCCCGCCCCAAAGGCACGCAGACACGCCCCCTTTCCTGGTCATTCCCCCTGCGAAGTCAGTTCCACTCTAGTTACAGGATTGGGGCGGGGCCAGAAAGGCGCAGGCGCAACGGGCGGCGGAAGTAGGAGCCTGGGAAGGAAGAGGGAACGGGTCCTGGCGGTGCTTTGCAAAGGGCCCGTGTTTCTGTTGCGGGAAGCTCCCGGGGGTCGCACGTGCGTCCGAGCCCAAGCCCCTCCCCTCCACTCCCCTTCCTGCGTGCCCCGGAGCCGCCAAGCGGCTACGTTCTTCTCGGCCCGCCGAGATGGCGCTCGACCCCGCAGGTACCGGGGCGGGAAGCGGGGTTTGCCGAGGGGCCTCGCCCCGGGTCTCACGCCGCGGGCCATGCGGGCTGGATGCCGACCTGGGAAAGGTGCAGAGCTCTGGGTAGCATTGCTTCCACCAGCGTCTCCTCATACCCGGCGGCTGCTTCGCCCGGTCTGAGGTCATCTTCTCACTTGTTGGGGATTATGGTTATCTGAGGTTGCGTTTGTTGTCTAAAGTATCATCCATTGTGGTTTCCAACTTAACGCGACTAGTCTCTTCATTGTCACCCTCTTTTCGCCCCTTAAGGTCACAGATGCATTTAATGTATGCTGCAGACACTCTGGCCCCAGAAAAATTTGTATATTTGTTCTGGCGCACAGTTTTACATTTCTGTTTGGGAGTTCATGGACCCCGAGTTCATCCTTGTAACCCAACTTAAAAACATATTTCAAAGGATCCATCACTATGGCAGGAGTCAGTTTCTTTGGAAAGGATCTTCAAAATCTTGAATGTTGTTTTAATCTCTTTGCTTCCAGCCACTTCCGTTTGCAGCAATAGTTAACTTACCCTCGAATTCCCGTCCTTGTGGAAGGTCACCTGCAGTATCTTTGCGTTAGGCTATTTTTGCAAGGGAATAGATAACATTTTTGGAGGGAATGGTAGTTGGTCTAGTCCATTTCTTTCATTTTATGGATACAAAAAGTCAAAACATTGAGAGGTAAATGGCGTCAAACTTGGGAGATTCAGAAATGGAAAATGCTCTTTCGGAGCCTTCAAGGAGCATGGAAAATATATGTAGCACAGAAATAATGTTTTAATTGAACATGTTATTACCATGCTAAGTGTTCTCTATTATCCAACAATAATATGTGGTATGGTAGGTCCTTTTAGCTCCATTTTACAGATTAGGAAACTGAGGCGAAGAGAAGTTAAGTGACTAGTCCAGCAGGTAGTGGTAGATCAGGGAGTACTCTAATTTGAAGCATAGAGGAGTTCTGGAACATAATGATCATATTCATTTTGGACTAGGTGGTTATGAAGCAGTTAGCAGTTGATCTGGGCTTTGAGGGATGGAATTTCCAGTGGTTGGAGCTGGAGAAGAGGCAGCCCTATGAGCAAAGGTTTAGATAGTAAGGTGCACTGTGCGATGCTTGGTTTCAGGATGACTACCATGATTTGGTTCTTGAGGGTAGAAGGGGTAGAGTATAAGTGAGGGGTGAGTAAGGAAGGTTCAAGTTTAGGCCCATATAATTTATGGTATCTTTTTTTTTTATTTTACTGAAACGGAGTCTCACTGTCGCCCAGGCTGGAGTGCAGTGGCGCTATCTCGGCTCACTGTAGCCTCCGCCTACTGGGTTCAAGCAATTCTCCCACCGCAGCCTCCTGAGTAGCTGGGATTACGGGCGCCCGCCACCACGGCCGGCTAATTTTTGTATTTTTAGTAGAGATGAGGTTTCGCCGTGTTCGCCATGCTGGTCTGGAACTCCTGACCTCAAGTGATCTGCCTGACTTGGCCTCCCAAAGTGCTGGGATTACAGGTGTGAGCCACCGCACCCAGCCTAATTATGGTACTTCTGAACTTGAAGTGACCTTTAAAGTAATCTCATACGGATGAGGAGACTGAGAATGAGAGAGGTTAAAGATTTCCATATATCTACACTTTTTGAATTTAGACAAGGAAATTTGGGAAAAAAGTCTTCATACTTGCTCTCTTCACTTGCTTACCTTCCAGTTACTCATAAGCCACTCCAATCTTGTGTTGTACCCAAGGCCACACAGCTAGTTGCTGGTAGAGTCAAGTCTGGTTAGAACCTAGGTAATTTCATTTCCAGTCCAGTGCTGTAGACCATGCCACCTTTTGAGTATTGATTAAACAAAGACTTGTTGAGTGTCTGGTATATGTCCCATATTGTTCTGGACCCTAGGGAACAGTAGTACATAGGACAAACAAAATTCCTGCTCCCAATAAAGCTTATCTAGTGGTAGAAAAAACAATTAACACCCCCTTTTCCCCCTACACAGACACGTGCGTGGGCACACACACATACACACACACATTTTTACAGATTGTGATAAACATGAAGAAAATAATGTCATGTGGTAGATGGTGAAGAGATTAGTCAGTGAAGAGCTTTATGAGGAAGTGTCATTTGAATTGGAATCTGAGGGATGAGAGGAAGCTAGGCAGAGTGTGCTTGGCCATCAGGTAGCAAATACTTAAAATATTTAACTTGAACGTGGGTCAGAGTGTGGAGGGGATCCATAAGGAAAGATATTGGGAAAGTAGGTAGTCACTAAATGCCTAGATATTGCAGAGGCTGCAAGTCCTCAAAGGCTGGCTGTGATAATAAAGCATTTGGATTTTTTCTAATGGCATCAAATGCCTTTAGAATCTTTTAAAGAGGGCAGTAACATAATTTATGTGTTTATTATCCTCGCTACAGTGGTAGCATGCATTGTAGAGGGGTCAGGTCATAAGTGGAAGAAGGGAGACAGGTTAAGGGATAGGAGCAGTAGTCCAGGCCAAATATGTTTGTATCTTAGCCCAAGATGGTAATAGACAGATGGAAAGAAATATACAGCGTCATGAGGAGAAATTGACAGGACCTGTGGTTGCATTGAATAAGGATGGTGAGAGAAAGGGAGGAAACAGTGGGCACCGTGGCTCATGCCCTTAATCCCAGTGCTTTGGGAGGCCGAGGCAGGCAGATCGCATGAGCTCAGGAGTTTGAGACCACCCTGGGCAACATGGTGAAAATCCATCTCTACTAAAATACAAAAAATTTAGCCAGGCATGGTGGCACACGCCTGTAGTCCCAGCTACTCAGGAGGCTGAGGAATGAGAATTTGAGCCTGGAAGGCAGCGGTTGCAGTGAGCCGAGGTTGCGCCACTGCACTCCAGCTTGGGCCACAGAGTGAGACTTCGTCTCAAAAAAAAAAAAAAGAGGAAATAGGGATAATTCCAGTTTTTGTACGTCAGCAGCTGGGTGGAAGGTCATGGTCAAATCTAACAATGTGATTATTGGAAACTTCATCAAAGGAAGGAATGGAAGCAATGGAGAGTAAAAAAGTGGAGTCAGCAAGTAGGAAGGTTTTTTTTTTTTTCCCTAAATTGTTTTGTCTGTTTAAATTCCAGAATAAAATGTATGGAAGCCAGTTTTTTTTTTTTTTTAATTTCGTGTTTATTTGGTTCATACGTTGAAGCTTAGTTTCACATTTTGATGTTTTACTGCTTTGTACAGCCCACGATGGTATTTGCCCATATTGAGTAAGTGAATAATAGATACACCAATTGAGGTTCATTTAGCAAAATCTGTTTTCCTATTGGTTTATTTTGTATTTTCTGTGATCTTTATAGAAGCTTGATTTTCATTTGGCAGCAACTTTTAATTAACTTTGTAGGGTCTCTGTTTTCCTCAAGAAACTGTGAACCCAGCGAAAAAATGCAGGTTACATGCTTATACATAGTTTTATTTACATTATTTTCCTTTTTTTTGTTAATGTAGCAGTAATAACAGCAATCTTTGCTTATTGCCATGTTCCGGACAAATTTTCAGACATGATTATATTCTCAGATGATGGCCCATAGGAACCTGCACCTGATAAATTTGATTTTTCACTTTCTCTATCAACTAAAGTAATTCCTTTCTCCCTTCTTTGACCTTTCCCCTTTTTAGTTAGGTTCTCTTCCCTCTGTCAACATAGATTCATTCTCTACTTATGCAGAATGGGGCATGGCAGCCTAAGGGAAGTTTCCTTAATCAGGTGTGTGTGTGTCCCTGTGTCCTTCTATTGCTGTTTTTTTCCGGGAACTTAATAAAAGGAGGAAGATGGGACAGAGATAGGGCTTAGGGGGTGGAAAGTGGGTTCAAGAATTTCATGACATTCCATGAGAAGGTGTTTAAGGTATATGTGTCTTGGGAAGATTTAATTATGGATGTTCTTGGAACATTTGGGTTGCAGTACTCCAAGTTGGGGTTCTTTCAGTGGTTCCTGTGGGAATGTAGGTAAATTACCTTTAGGGGTACAGGAACAGTACTAGCCCTTACATTTACTAGAAAATTTTAAGTTAGACATGTAAACAAACTTGAAGAATCTTTTTTGAGCATTGTATGTTTAATATGTAAAAGGTTGTGGAGTTGATTAGAAAAATTTTTTATTTTTTTTAGTGATGGGGTTTCACCATGTCGCTTAGGCTGCACTTGAACTCCTTGCTCAGGAGCACTTGAACTCCTGGGCTCAAGTAATCTGCCCACCTCGGCCTCCCAAAGTGCTGGGATTATAGGCATAAGCCACCCTGCCTGGCCTATAAGAAAAATTTTGATTTTATTATTGCCGCCATATCTCTAGAGTATCTTCTTAGACATAAATTACGTTGGTGGCTCAGAACAAAAAAAAAAAGACCTAACATCTACATTTTGTATATTTATAAATTAAAAGCATATTTGCCATAGAAAATACATTATTTTTGTCTCATCGGATTAACAACTCTCTGATGGTTGCTCTGTGAAATTTGAAAAACACAGGCTTAAGCAAAGACAATAAGAAAGAAGAATTGAGATCAAAGAGGAGTATGTGCCATGGCAGTGGGTTGGGGGTTGGGATTTCAGTTTTGAAGCATGAAATGATCTGTAAACCATTTCAAGGATTTTGAATTTTATACTAAGAACAATGGGAAGACACTGCAAGTTTTTAGGTAACGGAGTGACAAACAGAACTCTCCTTATTTTGTGTTGATCTGACTTTTGTTTAGATCAAGAATAACCTTGATCTCAGCCACATACTGCATACATGATGTGTCTTTCCAGAGTATCCCATCTGGAGGTACATGGGTATCTGTCTCTCGTAGGTGATGTTAATTTTGATTACCCACTCAAGGTTTTGCCCTGTTTTGTTGCCGTATTTTCTCTGTTTTGCAATTAGTAACTAATCTGTGGGAAGGTTAAGACCTTGTAAATATTTGCTTCTCATCAAATATTTCTCTTTGATTTGGGGTCCATTGATTTTTTTTTTTTTTTTTTTTACCTGATTCAGTCTTTCCCATAATGGTTGCAAAATAATGATTTTCTACCTCCAGCACACTCCCTTCACATTTACTAGATGGTTGTTGACATTTTACTGTAAGCAAGAGATTGCTTTGTTTCATTTTCATTGATTTATGAATTTATTATTGGTATTTTTGGTAAGGACTCATGAACTGCTGTATTTTCAATCGTTTGTACTCTGTTAATGTACATAAGTATTTTTTGTGTTCAAATTTCCCCAGATTTGGCCAGAGTTCCCTTTAAGCTAGCTTCTGGATCTTTGTCATATACTCTCACCATTTTTTTGAGCATTTCCTTTTTATTCCCTCACACAAGGTATCACTGCTTCATCTTGTACCTACCCTGGCCAATCCATACAATTAGTTATTTCTCTGAGAAGCCCTGGTTCCTTTTATTTGGGCACAGTATTAGAGAGTAAGAGCTGGTCACTAGAACTGCATGTAATTTGGGTGGTTTATTAATAGATTGCCTTTAGGAAAAGAAAAAAAAAACCCTTAAGAGAGTAAGGAAAATAGGAGACGGGAGGGGAAAAATCTGAGCAAGGATGTGGTTTCAGGTCTTAACCTAATCAGCTCTGGTGTACCACATGGTACATACAGTTTATTGTGCCTTGGAGGCAAGGGAGCTGGGCTTTCATGCCCTTTTTCAGTCATTGGTTACTGTAGTAGTTGGGAGAGGGACAGCAGCAAGGAAAACAGCAAAGGGCTACCATGGCCAGGGGCAGTCCTGAGAAGGTTGCAGATGTGAATGCTCCAACATTCTCTGCTGCAGGAGGGATACCAGCTCTATCCTAAAAATAATTTATCTGAATCTGTTAGGAATCTTAGTTGGATAGTAAGAGTTTTGATAGTAGTGAGAGTTCAGATAGTGACAGGTCAGATAGGAATGGGTACTTGCACACATGTATACATACACACAGGTGTGTGTACTGCATCCAGTAAAGTGTCACAGGTTGTGGTTAACAAGTTTGAATAACACTGGCTTAAGATATACCTAAGGTAGGCTAAGCTGTACTTTTTTTTTTGTCTTCTAGGCCATCGTACATGCTGTTCTCTCTAGAATTTCTCCCATCTTCCCTATCCCCAGGTCTACTGAATTCTTGTTCATTTTTCACAACTCAATTTAAAATCAGTTTCTTAGGAGAGTTTTCCTGATTGCCACCACCTCCAGTTAAACATTTTTTTTTAAGGTTTAGGATTAAAAACTCCACCAAAATATCATATAACCTATGTATAGAGTTGTTTTCCTTTTAGATATAAAATCCTTTTCTTTGACGAATAAAAGGAAACCTTTTATTCAGATATGATGCGCCTATATGTAACAAATAATTGGAGAAATAAAGAAAAACATAATTTGAAGAATGGGAATGTTCTACCTGTGTAATAAATAGTAAATATTTTTCATATGAATCCACCTCTTTAAATTCATTAGAGACCAGATAAAAGGATAGGTCAGTTAATTTCACCTAGATTATAGAAGATTGGCCACCTCCTCCCAGGGAGGTAGTGTACTGTTGTGGAATCAACACCGAATTTGGGAGTTAGTAAGACTGACTTATTGTCTCAGACTTTGTCATTAACCTGTCCTTAATGACATAATATGAGGTTTGAGGATGAGAAGTAGGGAAAGAGATGTATCAGATAATTGCTAAGGTTGCTTCAAGCCTTGAACTTTTATGATTCTAAATATTAATACTTGTCATAGGTCTCAAGGGGTTCTTGACTCCACACAGAAATAAATTCAAGTTTGTGTCTTGTTGCCTGGATTAGTATCTTTTTTAATTTTTTGTTTGGGGTGTTAAAATCATATGTGTAAAATTCTGTAGATGTCAAAAATATGAGAAGTATTACCTTGTACTTGATATAAGTGGACCAAACAAAATTGTGCCCAAATAAAACTATTGATACCCAAGTTAACATTCTCCCCGACAATCCTCTGTTCTATTTTTGCATTTTTTCTTTTTTTTTGAGACAGAGTCTCGCTCTGTTGCCCAGGCTGGAGTGCAGTGGCGTGATCTCAGCTCACTGCAAGCTCCGCTTCCTGGGTTTGTGCCATTCTTCTGCCTCAGTCTCCTAAGTAGCTGGGACTACAGGCGCCCACCACCATGTCCGGCTAATTTTTTTGTATTTTTAGTAGAGATGGGGTTTCACTGTGTTAGCCAGGATGGTCTCGATCTCCTGACCTTGTGATCTGCCTGCCTCAGCCTCCCAAAGTGCTGGGATTACAGGCGTGAGCCACTGCGCCCAGCCTATTTTTGCATTTTTAAGTAAGAAGATTGAAGGAAAAAATTGCTAAGAATGTGGTGTTTACCATCCTGCATTGTGTTTTGCTAAAGAACTGTTACTGGGAGATTCTTACAGATCAAAAGATATGTTAATTACCTAAACATGACTAATTGGAATGTAGAGTATCACATGTTTATGCTGCAGAGTAAGGAACCTTGCTTGACTGATTCATTATTGTATACACAATCCCTGGTGTGGTGATTGGTACATAATAGGTACATACGTATTTGTTTACAGTGTATCTGTAACTATCAAATACTAAAACTCTTTTAAATATACGTGTCATTTGTTAAACAGTTAAAACAATTTTATTGCATATTTACCATATGCTAGGAGTTAGAGGGAATTACAAAGATGAGTTAGACGTGGTCTCTGACCTCATTAAAGTTAACTTTTACTTGCAGTAGTTCTCAGTCTAGCTGCATATTATAATTATTTGGGGAGCCTTAAAAAATATCAATGCCTGGCTTTTACCCCAGCATTTCTGATTTAACTGGTCTGGGGTGGGGCCCAAGCATTAAGAATTTTGTACAGCCCTCTCAGGTGGTTCTTGGGTACAGCCAGGGTTGAGAGCTTCTGGTACCAAAATCTGTCTTAGTCTACTCAGGCTGCCATAACAAAATCCCATAGACTGACTTGAGTGACCCACACAACATAGACTGGGTGGCTTAAAAAATGTACATTAATTTTTTTTACTATTCTGGAGGCTAGGAAGTTCAAGACCAAGATTCAAGGAGATCTGGTTGCTGACAAGGACTCTCTTCCTGACTTGCAGATGGCTGCCTTCTCCCTGTGTGTTTACATGGCAGTGAGCGGGGAGGGATGGGGGAAGAGGAGGTTGAGGGAGGAGGAGGAGAGAACGAGAAGGAGAGAGAGCCCTCTGCTTCTTATGAGGCCACTAATCCTATCGAATTAAGGCCTCACCTTTATGACCGCATTTGACCTTAATTACCTCCCAAAAGCACTGTCTCCACATACAGTCACATTGAGGGTTAGGGATTCAACATATGAATTTGGAGAATGGTAAACACAATTCAACTCATGCCAACCACTGATCTAGCAGGAGAAGATTGGATATATAGTGTGATGTGATGTGTTTAAGTCCAGGTGTGATTATAGCAACAGAACGAGTGCAGGCAAAATCTTGGGGTTAGAGGAAGGAGAAATCACTTTTTAGTGCTGGAGGTCAGGAAGAACTTTGGGATGGAGAAATGTTGAATTGAGTTTTAAATAAGTAAACTTTGATAACAAAAAATAAGAGGTTGAAGATGGAAAATAAAGACTGAGATTGAACTAGAGTTTGGCTTTACCTGTTACTTGCCGGGTAATGCTGCAAGATTGCTTTGAGCTTTCTGAGTCTTAATTTCTTTGTATCTGCTTCTAAATGAGATGATGTTTGTAAACCAGTTCCATCCACCACCCTTTTCTTCTTTCTGTAAATATTTATCGTGTTGCTTCTGTGTACTATATAACTATAAGCCGATTTTTCAGGTAAGAAGGGTAACATAACCACTAGGTTGGCAAAATGAAGGTTTACATTGTAGGAAATTTAAGTTGGAATTGAGCTGCTGGTGGGACTTAGAAACCACCAGTAGATAGTTGAAAATGTGGAAAGTTGGAGATGGAGATGAGCACTGAGAACTCAGTATCATAAACACTATCTTTAAAGGTGGAACCTTGTGGGATTGCCCCAGGAGGATTAAGTACAGATATTACCTTGGAAGTGTGTATAGTTCTAGTATTGTTACCATTGTTCAGGATATTTTTGAAACTCCTTTAAGATTTCCCTTTGGATTCTTCAGTACACTCGTCTTAATATCCTCATTTTGGCAAATCTTTGTTCTGAAAGTTAATTTGAATTTCAGCCAAGGTTTAACCAGAGACAGTCTGGTGAAGGTGATAGACGATCATCCTGGGAAATGCTGCCTCTTCCCTTGTCTCAGTTTGTTTTATGTTGCTATAAATGAATACCTTAGGATGAGTAATTTATAAAGAAAGAAGTGTATTTAGCTCACAGTTCTGCAAGCTATACAGGAAGCATGGCATCTGCTTGGCTTCTGATGAGAACATTTATGCTGTGTCAGAACATGGCAGAGAAGATCAAAGGGGAAGCGGGCATGTGTGAAGAGGGACCAAACGTGAGAGGTGTCCTGACTTTTACAACAATCCAGTCTCTTGGGAACTAGTCATTTTCTCTGAGAACCAGCCCACTCTGAAGAACTAGTCCACTCCAGCAAGAGCAGGAATTCATTACTGCTAGAAGGGCACAAAGCTGTTCATGAGACATCTGCCCTCGTGTCCCAAACACATCCCATTAGGGACCACCTCCTTACACTGCCACACTGGGGATCAGATTTCAACATGAGATTTGGTGGGGACAAACCATATCCAAACCATATTGCTCCCACCCCAAAAAAGTTATATTATGGAACTGGTTTTCATGTTTACTTCAGATTAGCTCTGAAGCCATACCAAGAAAGATGATGTGATTTGAGCAAAGGCTGAGTCTTTGAAATAAGTGAAAAACCCTTCAATATAAAAATAATTCTCCTATTCCATTATCAAAGTATTATATTTTCTTTATAGGAATTCTATGAAATATTGTAAGATAAAAGAAGAACCAGTAGTAACATGGTGGAGAGAGGCTTGAGGAACATTCATAGGATTGAGAATATTACACAATCTTCTAGATTTATATGAGGAAAAAAAGTAAATCAGGCAATGTATTGCTAAGAAGGCCACAGGTATGCTGTCATTTATTACTTTCTCAAATGTCTGCTCCTGTCCCATAACACTGCTGATTTTCTGCCGGATATCAGTGGGAAATTGTGCTTGTAGGCGCAAAGACAGTCTTGAAGTTTTACCAAATAAAGTAAATGTGAAACTTGTTCATTTAAGAAATTATGGCCACAATGGCGGTTGTAACACAGTTCTAAAATTGGCATGTCTTATTGCATAAGTTAATTTCCTGCTTTGGTATACTTTTAAATATGTTGTCCCTTTCTGGCCTCCTCTTGGTTAAAGCAGTGTGGGTGGAAGAGGAACTTTTCACACCTAGCAATCTGCAGAATCTGAGGTCCAAGAAATAGGTGCTATTGGGAAATGGGCACATCTAGTGTGAACAAGGTGGTTAATTAACAGTGAAAGCTGATAGGACAGAGAAGCTCAGATGAAGCATACTATTGTGGGATATGGGTGTTACTTGACCCAGAAGCTAAGCAGAAATAGGCACATCTACCTCACTGATGTACTTTCCGTATTTTGTAAGCGTTTGAGCTTATACAAAATTAGATTGTTAGTGGCTGACCTAATATTTGATGTTTATTCTCTTTGAATGTGTTTTTCAGCCAGCTGACAAATTGCTCCCCTTGCTTTTAAAAATATTTTTTTCCCGTGGTAGGAAGCAGAATCAGAATTCCCTTTGATTTTACTTTCTGATAAAAAATTGAGAACTGAATTTTCAAATTTTGCTGGTTCAAATGGTGCTTCTGAAACACAAACTTACTGTCTAAAGGTTGTTTCCCTGCTTCAGCATAACTGTGGAAGCTCATTTAGCCTTGTTTGCTTAAGTCTCCTAAGGCCCCCACTCCATGTGCATGGTGGTGTCATTGAAGGTTTAGAGCCTGGGTTACATGATCTTGGCATTGGCACTTTATTAGAAGCTTGGGTCATTTCACCTCTGTGAGCCTCCACTTCTTTATCTGCAAAATGAAATCAAAATACTTACCTGAGAGAACTGTTATGAAGACTGTATGTATTCATTGCCCTCATCTTCAGGTTTCACAGACAGGCAGGCTGGAGCATTGCGGGGAAGAAAACATCTCTCCTACTCTTGATTTCCCTTTTTGTTTTTGTTTTGTCAGTTCTAGTATGGCTTGAAGGAAAGAAGGTGAATTTTCCTATTTTAAGATGTCTCTTCGTCTACCCTTCCTCATTTTACTCTGTCGTTATAGCAAGAAGGTATGAACAAACTGGCAAGAGGAATATCTGGTCATGAGCATACATATCTTTGTGCTGTTGAGAAAAACTGGAGTCTGCCTAGATTCCTGGTGTGAAGCACTTAGTGAGAACTAACAATTGAGAACGCTGGTCTCATTGTATTGTATATCATGCCTTCTTCCCGGGGCTCTGCCTTTTGAGACTCTTCATAGCTAGTAAAGAAGAGGGACCAGTCGGACGTGGCAGCTCACTCCTGTAATCCCAGCATTGGGGAGGCTGAAGTGGGTGGATCGCTTGAGTCCAGGAGTTTGAGACCAGCCTGGGAAACATAGTGAGATCCCATCTCTATAAAGTACACATAAAAAAATTAGCTTGATGTGGTGGTGTGTGCCTGTGTTTCCAACTACTTGGGAGGCTGAGATAGGAGGATCACTTAAACCTGGGAGGTAGAAGCTGCAGTGAGCTGTGATCACGCCATTGCGCCCTATCCTGGGTGACAGAATAGTATTCTGTCTCAAAAAACAAAAACCAAAACCAAAAAACCCCCCAAAAAACTCCCCCCAAAAAGCTAAACAAACAAAGAAGAGGGATCCAAATATAGAAACTATTGCTAATGAGAACACTGTTGCAAGTTTATTACAAGCATTTTTCATGTTTTTCCTACAGAGTAAACAGTAGCACCAAACTGTCTTCAGGAGCAAGTAAGTGTTAACTAGTAAATTTTTTAAAAAATGGCATTACCTAAGTAAGTATCAAATTAGTTAAATTAGAATGTTTTCATTATTGAAAGGGCATAACTTGCCCTTCATATATCACATTCTTTGCTATTAAAGACTCTGTAATATTCTTATTTGCTTCACTGTTGTCTTTGTGGATTCATAGCAAGTGCTGTTGTCAGTAGCCTTATAATCTAGCACTGCCATATTGCAAGAACACATGAGCCCCAAAGCAAAATATGAGCTAACAAATTCAGCCAGTGAAAAAGGTGAAAATTGACTTCCAGGTGATGATAGAATGTTGAGAAGTTAGAGCTTTGGAAATTTTCCCTGATGGTGTTATCCTGATTCTTTAATTCAGTATAAATTTATGTGACTATACAGTAGCAAACTTTCAAAATTTAATTTTTAGTTTTGCAACCTCTGTACAAATGTATAACATATATACACCAGATTGAGATTAAGAGAATCACTTTGTAATATTGTGAATCAAAATTGCCATTTCTATAATATTTGTAATGTTGAAGATAGCTTTTTCAAAAATTATAATTAATAAATCATTGATATTTAGTGGCTGGTATGCTATCAAGTGGGAAAATCTTTAGTAGAATTTTCATATTTTTAATACTGTCATTTCTGATTTAATACCAAGAATTTGGAAAATTGAAATCAATATTAATACAATTCTGGAATTATTTATTTGCCCTAGGAAGTTTTAGAAGAAGGATCAGATGTCTTGACAAGCCGTTTTAAAAATGTGTTTGATAGGAATATTATAGCTTAGAATTCGTAATGTAGGTAAATTTCTGTTATAATTTATTTTTGGAAAAATGGTTTGATATTACACATCTATGTCTGTATTCAAGGAATTGATTCAAAATAATATTGCCTTAGTTATTTAAGACCATTGGAAGATTTATAGAGCAAATAGAAGATTCATCAGGATGCATTATGAATAAGTTGTATAGATGAAAATTATATATGTGAAAAAAAGTAACAATTTGAAATTAATTTTGTAAATTTTGAAAAAATTTTGTAATTTTGTATAATCCAATGTCTTCTAATCTGTTTAGTAATTACACTGAATAGTTACTGATGTCTAGTTATGATTTATTCTGTAGGCAAGGCAAAGAGGAATTTGTGGAGATAGTCTCAGTTTTATTCTTTTCTCTGTAAGTAAGCATCAGCTTTCCACTCTACAAGATGTGTCACACAGTCCCTTCAAATTCCACAGGTCCGCAACTGAATTTCTCTCTTATCTGATCCTTCTTTTGTATTCCCTATCTCAATAAATGGTCATATCCTTTTACTTGAGGCCAGAAAACTAGCAGTCCTCCTTGAATCATCCCTTTCCCTCATCCCCTTTAGGCACCATCAAGCTTATAGGACCTCCCTCTGAATTTGTCCTTTTCTCTCCAACCATGCTTCCAGTTCCTTCTCAGTGCTTTGTTTTGTTTCCTCTTTTTTTTTTTTTTTTTGAGACAGAGTCTCGCTCTGTCTCCTAGGCTGGAGTGCAGTGGCATGATCTCGGCTCACTGCAACCTCCGCCTCCCGGGTTCAAGCAATTCTCTTGCCTTAGCCTCCTGAGAAGCTGGGACTATAGATGCGCGCCACCATGCCTGGGTGATTTTTGTAGTTTTTTTTCACTAGAGACAGAGTTTCATCATATTGGCCAGGCTGGTCTTGAACTCCTGGCCTCAAGTGAGCCGCCTGCTTCAGCCTCCCAAAGTGCTGGGATTACAGGCATGAACCACTGTGCCCGGCCTGTTTCCGGTAGCTTCTGGCAAAGCTAAGGAAAAAGAGAATGTGTAAATAAATGATACAGCAAAGAGTTCAGCAAATTATGACCTATGGGCTAAATCTGGAAAGGCCTATAAGCTAGGAACGGTTAGTAACATTTTTGAAACGTTGTTAAAAAAAATGTATATATATACATGTACATACACACACACACACACACACACACACACACACGCGACAGAGATGATATGTAAAGCTTAAAATGTTTATACTCTGGTTCTTAGCAGAAATAGTTTGTCTACCTTTACATAGGCAATGAAAATTAGAATACAACCACAGGTGTTGTAAAGAGAAAAAAAGTCATGTGAACACCTTCATATCATTTTTTTGTTTGAAAATTAAGGCGAAATAGATAGGGTCATTGAGAAATATAATTTTGCTAAAACTTCAGCTGACTCTAGAATTAGTAAAAAGCCCTTACAAAATTGAAACAATAGTTACAATTCTCTTTGTGCCTGTGTGTCTTACACATGCACACATACATACACCAAAACGCAAGCCCTGATAGGTTGTGTATTGGTCAGGATTCCACCATGGAAATAATCAGTAGGAGAAAAAACATATATATATATCTTAAGATGGGTATATATATATACACACATATGCATATATGTGTGTGTGTATATATATATATATATGTATACGTGTCAAGAGATCTTGCAAGAAATTGGTTTATGTGATTGTAGGGACCAGTTGGGCAAATCTGAAATGCACAGGGCAGGCTGTCAGGAAGGGCAGGCTTGGAATTCTTGATCTTGAGCTGAAGCTGCAGTCAGCAAGTGTAATTCTTCAGGAAAACCTCAATTCTACTCTTAAGGCCTTTGAACTGATTGTATTAGACCCACCCAAATAATCTTTGATAATCTTCTTTATGTGAATCTGCAAAATACCTTCACAGCATCACCTGAATTAATGTTTGCGTGAATAACTGGGGGCTATAACCCAGCCGAACTGACACATAAAACTGACCATCACAGGTGGTTTTTAACAAACTTTCAAGGAACTGAGAATAATCTTTGTTTTATACACAATGTTCTAGATAATATAAAGGGAGAGGAAGGTCCCTAATTTATTGTTTAAATAATGCAACTTTAACACCAAAACAATGCAAAGATAAGGGAGGAGAGTCATAGGCAAACACCGACATGGTGACAACTTGAAAAGATTTTAAACAAAATTTGAGCATCCAAGACAGAGGTCTTGCTAGTTACTACTTAACCACTTTTCTAAAGGATGTAGCCAGCAAGAATTAAAAAAGAGGATGCAAAACTGTTTCTGATTGTCTACATAGAAATTGGAAGAGAATCTTTTGTCAGAATATTAAAATTGAGAGAGGTTTTATTGATTATAAGGACAACATAAAAAATCAATTGAACCTAAACACTAGCAGTAAATAATTACAACAGGTTATTTATGGAAAGATATATTTACCAATAGAAATCTAATGAAAGATGAACAGTAACTTTAAGGAGAAAATTATGAATCTTTTTGTCTACTTAGTAACCTAATTTCTAATAGTTATGTGTTGAAATCTCCCACTATGAGTGCAGATTTCTATAAATTTTTAAGCTAATCGATTTTAAATTGAGGTAAAATATACAGTGAAATTTACAGATCTTAAATGAGTTTTCATAAATGTATATATCCTAATTAAGACATTTTTCAGAGAGTACCTTTTCAGCTCCCATATATAACCACTGTTGTAATTTTTATCACCATAGATTAACTTTGCATGTCCTTGAATCATGGCAGTATGTACTCCTTTGTCTGCTTTCTTTTGCTCAAATGTTTTTGAGATTCACCTAGGATAGATCACCTATCCTACTGATAGTAGTGGTATACAAATAGTATCATTGTTTTTTATCACTAAGTAGTTTTTGGCTATTCTGAATAATGCTTCTCTAAATAGACTTGTACAAGTTGTCTTCTGGACTTATATTTTCTTTTTTTTGTTTTTGAGACTGAGTCTCACTCTGTCGCCAGGCTGGAGTGCAGTGATGCCATCTTGGCTGACTGCAACCTCCGCCTCCTGGGTTCAAGCGATTTTCCTGCCTCAGCCTCCCGAATGGCTGGGACTTTAGGCGCACGCCACCATGCCCAGCTAATTTTTGTATTTTTAGTAGGGACAGGGTTTCACCATGTTGGCCAGGATGGTCTCGATCTCTTGACCTCGTGATCTGCCCGCCTCGGCCTCCTAAAGTGTTGGGACTACAGGCGTGAGTGAGCCAGGACTTATATTTTCATTTATCTTGCATAAGTGAATACCTAGGAGTGGAACATATTTAACTTTATAACTCAGCAGTTTTCCAGAGAAATGTATCATTTCACAGTCCCATCAGCAAGATATGAAAGTTGCAGATGCTTCACATTCTCTCCAACGTTGGTGTTGTCATTATTTTTAATTTTAGTCATTCTTGTGCATACAAAATGATATAAGGGGTTTCATTTGCAGTCTCTTGATTAATGATTTTGAGCACCTTTATATATATATATATATATATATATACTTACAATTTGCATATCATCTTTTGTGATGTGTCCATTCAAGCCTTTTGTCCATCTTTTATTGAGTTTTTATTATTGATAGTTAGGGGTTCTTGATATATTCTGGACTCAAGTCCTTTGTTATATATATATGAAATAAATTTTTCTTCCTGGTCTGTGGCATGCCTTTTTAAAATTTTCTTAATTGTGTCTTTTGATAAACAAATGATTTCATATTAGTGAAGTCAAATTTATAATTTGTATAATTTATTTTTACTGCCTTATGCCCTTTTTGAGAAACTGTCTACTCCAAGGAATTGAAGGGTCTTTTTTGTTTAATAGTTTTAGTTTTTACATTAGGCTTATGATCCATTGCTAATTAATTTTTGTGGTTACTGTGAAGTAGGGGGTCAAAGGGTTTAGCTTTTTTTTTTTTTCCATGTTAATACGGTTCTGCCACCATTTGTCGAAAATAATTTTATTTCTTCATAAACTAGCCTTGGTGCATTTGCCAATAAATTGATCGTATATACATGGAAGTATTTCTGGATTTTTTTTTTTTTTTTTTTTTTTGAGATGGAATCTCGCACTGTCACCCAGGCTGGAGTTCAGTGGTGAGATCTCAGCTCACTGCAAGCTCTGCCTCCCGGGTTCATGCCATTCTCCTGCCTCAGCCTCCGGAGTAGCTGGGACTACAGGCACCCGCCACCAAGTCCGGGTCATTTTTTATATTTTTTTTTAGTAGAGACAGGGTTTCACTGTGTTAGCCAGGATGGTCTCGATTTCCTGACCTCGTGATCCGCCCGCCTCGGCCTCCCAAAGTGCTGGGATTACAGGCGTGAGCCACTGTGCCTGGCCTTGTGGATTCTTTTGTTCTCTTTTGTTACATTACTCTTTTTGGCTACCCAAATTATGCCAGCACTACGTCGTCTTGACTTCTGTAGTTTTGTAGTATGACTTGTAATCGGGTAGTTGCTGCATAGCATCTAAATTTGTTCTTCTGTTTTAGTGTTGTTTTGGCTATTCTATGTCCTTTGTGCTTCCTTGTATGTTTTTTCACTTTTTTATTATAACTTTATTTTTTAATAATATAATAATAATAATAGGAAACTACAAAATCATGCAGTTTCCATGTACCTGCCTTCTTCCCTTTCCCTAATGATGCTATCTTACATAACCATGATATGTATATTCTCAGTGGGTGTGATAACTGCCTTCAAAAGGATAACAATTGACATTGGTGGAGACAGAAATATTACTCTCTTAATGTATAAAACAATGTTACACCCGCAGTGCATAAACATATATGCTATATCTGTGATATTAACATTTCATAGGGGTACATTAGGAAAAAATGTCAAAAAAGGGTCCTTTTAGGGCAAAAATTAAAAAAGGTTGGGACAGGCTCCTATAATTAAATGTGGACAAGGAAACTGGGAATTGGCAATGGTATAATATTGTTGATTCAGGTACTAATCTTAGTCGAATTTCACCACTTTTTACATGCATTTTTTTTGTTGTTCTGTAATTATATGACATCTGCATCATGAGGATTTTCTCCTGTGATTGTTTCTAGAAGTTTTTTTCTTTAACTTTTTATTTTGAAATATAGACTCACATAAAATTGTGAAAAATGCTATATAGTCTTGAGTGTCCATCTCATAGCTTTCCCCAGTGGTGACATCTTATATATCTGTAGTACAATATCAAAACCAGGAAACTGAAGTTGATACAATACTGTTAACTAGATTATAGATCTTTTCAGTTTTCACCAGTTTTTACGTGTACTCATATGTGTGTGTGTATAATTCTGTGTAATTTTATACCATGTTTCTTTTTTTATAGGGAAAGCGTTCAGAGTTTTAGTATTAAGTATGATGTAAGCTAGAAGATTTTTTGTAGATGCCCTTCATTAAAGAAGTTCTCTTCTGTTCCACGTATACTGATTTTGTTTTTTATGAATGCATGTAGAATTTTGTCCAATTTTTTTTGGCATCGATATGATTATATGGTTTTCCTTTTTTGGACTGTTAATATATCTCATGGATTACATGGTTTGAATTTTGAATGGTGAACCACCCTTGCCTCCCTGGAATAAGTCCAACATTTTTGTTATGTGTCTTTCTTTTTATGTATTGCTGAGTTTGATTTGTTAATATTTTGTTGAGGATTTTTGCATCTGTGTTCATGAGGCATACTGGTGTGTAGATTTGGTGTGTGTGTGTATGTGTTTTGTAAATACCGTTCTTGCTTTTAGTATCAAGGTATCTGTGCCTTCTTGAGTGAGCTTTGGTTGGTTTGTAGTTTTTTTAAAGGAATTTATTCATTTCATTCTAGTTGTCAAGTTCATTGGCCTAAATTTGTTCATAATATTCCCTTATTATTTAAAAATATTTATCATTTCTGATGTTTGAAATTTGTGACCTTAGTCTGGCTAGTGGTTTATAAATTTTATTGATCTTATCCTCTCGAACCAGCTTTAATTTCATTGTTTTTTTTTTCTTTTATTTGTGTGGTATTCTTTATTTCATTGATTTATATTTTGATATTTATCTTTTCCTCTTTTGCTTGCTTTGTGTTTATTTTACCCTTTTTCTGGTTTCTCAAGGTAGAAACTTAAGTTAATACAAGACCTTTTTTCTTTTTCTAGATAGGTTTTTAGTGCTACAAATTTCCTGCCAAGTACTGTTTTAGCTGCATCACATAAATTTTGATATATTGTGTTTTTATTTTCATTCATATCAAAATACTTTCGCATTTCCTTTTTGGCATTTTCTTAGATCCATGGGTTATTTAAAAGTGCGTTATTTAGCTTACAAATATTTGGCGATTATCCGGAGATCTGTTATTGGTTGCTAATTTAATTACATTGGTGTCAGGGAACATAGTTTGTAGGGCTTGAAATTCCTTCAGATTTATTGAGATTTGTTTTATAGCCAGATTGTGGTTTATCTTAGTAGATGTTCTGCTGTTATTAGGTAGAGTATTCTATAAATGTTAGTTAGGTCAAGTTAGTTGATAATGTTGTTCAAGTACTTCACAGTTTTAACGAACTTAAATATATGTTTTTGTAATATGACATATATTTTACATTTGTATATCATGCGTTCAGTTTTTTTTTTTCTATCAGAGCATATTCTCTGTTACATCTTGTGAGAGATTTTATTTTACAAAGAAGGTTACAAAATTATCTCCCATTCTTCATGCTTTTCTGTAGTGTGGTTTTGTTACCAAGAATAGAATCTGATTTCCTTCCACCTGAGTGTGGGCTATCCTTAATGACTTGAAATCAGTATAGTGTAGCATGAACGAATGGTGTTGCATGGCTCCAGGTAGAGAGGCCATTGGTAGATGTTCTGGTTTACAGTCCTAACTGAGCACTTCTTTTGGCCATTCCAGGCCAGATGTCAGATACATATATGAAAAAAGAAGTAATTTTGGAAGTAAATCCTCCAGCCCCAGCTTTTGTAGCTGGTGGGACTCTAGAGCAGGTGTTCAATTTGCCATTTTAGTCCAATTTTGGAAGTTGTGTTTAAAATGCACACCAGAGCCACCGGAACTTTGAGTCTTCCCAGATCAGGCCCCTCTGACCCATAGTTTATTGTTTATTGTTTTACATCACTAAATTTGATGAGTAGTTGTTGCACATAGTAGTCATTCCCCAGTGTACGAAGGGGATTGGTTTCAGGAGCCCCATATTTACCAAAACCTGTGCATTCTCAAGTCCCACCATGGGCCCCTCAGAACCCATGTGTATGAAAAGTTGGCCTGAAAAGTTGGTATACCATATAGGTTCGCATCTCCAAAATATTGTATTTTCAATCTGCATTTGGTTGGATAATATCTGAGTATTAAGTGGACCCCCACAGTTCAAACCCGTGTCGTTCAAGGATCAACTGTAATAAGGAGATTACTTCTTTTTCTGTAGGGTTTGAAGGTGGTAAGCATTTTAGTTCCTATATATCTGAATGTCCTTAACCTCACTCATAATTGGTAGTTTAGAGACTCTAGAATTCTTTGTAATTCTTTATAATTCTCTCTCAGAACTTTGAAGTTATTTCTCCATTGTCTTGTTGCATCATGTCTTGCCAGTGAGCCATGATGTAAATCTGATTCTCATTCCTTTATGTAGGCAGTGTTTATTCCCTTTTGAAGCTTTTAGGATTTTGGGGTTTCAGACATTTCATCAGAGTGCATTTAGGTAATCCATGGTCCATTGCTGTCTGAGGACTCAGGTCTTTGTATTTGCCTCAGTATATTTATTATACTTAATAATAATCTAAAATCTTCTTTCCTATATTCTTTTAATGGGAAACTTTCTGGTCTTTTGGGGATAAATACCTATATATACTTTTTTCACCCGTGGCCTGAAGGCAGCAGAGGAGGTGACCATTTGGCTCCTACTGAGTCACTTTAATTAATAACTGTTTAGTTTCCTCCAGGGAAGTTTTCTTGCTTTCCATATTTGCTGCTTCAGAGCATGGAGCAGCACCCACTTTTGGCATGCGTGTTTTTCCTGGATACTCTATAGTAATATGATTACCTCATTTAATCTGATCTAATCTGCCTTTTTTTCTTTCAGAGATTCCTCATCTTTTTTGGTTCACTGAAGGCACTTATCCTTTGTTTATTTTTCAGGACTCTCTTAGCATTTAAGGAGCAGGTGGGACTCTAGAGCAGGTGTTCAATTTGCCATTTTAGTCCAGTTGTGGAAGTTGTGTTTAAAATGCAGAGAAATCACACACGCTTTGTTTTCATATGGACTTGTAGTTCCACCTTTTCTTCTGTTAGTTCTTTTTTAGGCTACTCTTACTACTAGGTAGAAAAACTACTTGTGTGTCTCTTAATCTTGTATCTCTTCATCTATTCTTGGATCTCAGTATCGGTGAAAATCCTCTTTTGTGGATTATATTAATAAGGGAATGATTTAGATGCCAACTTTGACAAGATTGCATGGAATATGTTATAAAGTAAAGATGTTGTAGTATAGTTTGCAGAAATTTTAAGAAACATGTTGCTTGTATTCCTCACATTTTTGTTGTTGTATATAAAAAAACATTGCAAATAGGATGAGTTTTAATGACTAAAATAATCACAATTTCATAAGGTTGTAAGTTTTGAGTATATTTGCATAGGCTTTTATTTTAAGTAAACCAGAGTCTTATTTTTCCTTTAATCTGGTGATTTGCTTGAGACTTTATTAAAGAAAGATCTTTTTTTTTTCAGACCAGCATCTCAGACATGTCGAAAAAGATGTTTTGATCCCTAAAATAATGAGAGAAAAGGCCAAAGAGAGGTGTTCTGAACAAGTTCAAGGTAACATTCAAATATTCATGTAAAGATCAAATTTATTTTTAATAATATGATCTGAATTTAATCCTTAGCCCCAGAATCAAGTAGTCAATGAATTAATATGTATGAATTGCTTCTCACCCTTTCGCTGAAATACCAGTATTTCAGCTTTCAGAACTTCCAGTGATGTTCAATTCATTTACAGTTTAAAAATATTTCCCTAAATTACTAGTAAAAAACATTTTTTGTTTTTTTACCCTCAGAGGTACAGTTATATACATGGAAAAACTTGGTATGAGTAATTTGGAGAAACAAGTTACTCTTACGATTTTTATAGGGGAGGAAGAAACATCAAATCTAACATATACCTGTTTCCCATCTGTCACCATATTCGCATACATATATATATTCTAAGGTGATTTTCTTTGGTGTCATTGTCTATTACTGAATTGTTAATAGAATCCTGATAGGACTTACAGTGAGTCTGGGGTTTTTGTTTTGTTTTATGTTTCTAAGTGGAAGATATTTATGTAAATACATACACTAGACAGCTACAAGTGTATGTTTTCTTTGGAAAATGTTTTAACATGAAATACTCCTATAGATCTAGAGACATCAGTGATTAATATGTAATATTCTAGTGAAACATGTAAAGAAAGCAGTGAAAGGTGAATAGTGAGGCCATAATACATTTGTAAATGATGAGTTATTAGAAAAGCACATGGCAATATTACTTTAGAAATATCTTTAAAAAATTCTGTCTCTTGGAAGGGCCATCAAAAAGAAGTAATAAACTTTTATGGGCATAGGCTATTTTCCTGGCTTTACTTCTTCACTTTCCCTGTGGTCATCTTTATTGAGGGACCACAATAATTTTTAGTGAGGATGATGGGCTGCACTTCCACTGCAAGCTTCACTACAGGGGAGCAGGGCTGTGTCAACTCTAATTTCAGGACTGGGTCAATAACATTTGGATACTAGGAACGCTTTTGTTCCCTTCCCTGTCCTCTGCCCTTAGAGAGGACCTTTGCAATTGATGAATGGAGGCAATAAAATAAAGAGTAGTTCTTTGGAATCAACAATGTGTGATGGTAATTTTTGTTTCTTCAATAACTTATTATGACCTATTCCATTTTAAAACTCATATAAATAACCATCCAATGGTTTTACTCTTGATTCTTGTGAGTTAGTTTAATCAGAGTACCTTTCTTTAACACCTACCCCCAGATGTCTTGAGACGTCAACCTATTGACACCTGCAGGTAGTGCATGTATGGCATTGGTAGGTGTCATGTTTATGGTCACAAGAGGTACATCCTGCACATTCCTCATACAACTTAAAAAATATATATCCTGATTCAGGTGAGGGGAGATAAAACTTAAAAACCCTATAATAAAGTTGTAGGGCTTTTTACTGCTAGGAAAATTTACTTATTACTGATATATCAGTCTAAAGTTACACATATAAGTTGTATGTGTGCTGTCATGTAGCATATTGTCTTTATACCTAGAATGAAAGAAAGCTAGCTAACTCAATTACAGATTTAATTTTTACTGACATAATTCCAAGGAAAATGCAGAATGATTGTATGACTTTGAGTTTTATTTTTGGTTTTTGAAATGAAAGCGTAGAGTATAACTTTAAAATATTTATTTGTGTTACAAAACTAGTGTTTTATAATGGTACAGAAAATAAAGTGTTTAATTTTCACTTCATCAAAAGTTAAGTTGTTTAGGATGTTGACGTAGTTAAGTTTTTGCTGTTTTAATATACTTACGGTTTCTGAAGACTGAAAGCATCTTAAAATCTGTGACTCATTTGGATTATTTAAATGTATTCATCTATATTAGAATGTAATAATATAATTTGAATATCTTATAGATAATTATGTATTGATTTTTTAGGCCATGTGATTCAAAACAATATTTTAGAATCTAAAATTGATAAGAGAATAAGAAGTCTTTAGTATTTTCTAACCATATAAATTAGGAAATCATATACATTAGAATTATTCAAGCAGCAGAAGAAAACTTCATTTAAACTCAACAGTTATACATAATTTAGAATCGGGACATTTCCATTGTAGTTTATTTACTGTTTATAGCTTTTGCTTTATTAAATAATTATAGGATTTTATATAAAAGCATTATATATGCCAATTGTATGGTTCTTAGATAAAAGATACAGGAATTTTAATAAGTGATCTGACTTTCTGCTAAATGCCTAAAACATGATTATGTAGGAAAGCTTTTCCGTTAGATTTTTTTTTTAATGTCATTTCAACCCAGCTGATCATAAGAATTGGGTCAGACTGCCAGCAACTTAGGTTTGTGAAGGGAATGGAACAGCTTTTCCATGGACAAAGAGAAATGAAATCACTTTCAATGAAAGAAAGATGCCTCATTATAGTCACCAACAGCAGTTATTGACAGCTACACTTCCTATTAACAAGGAGCATTTAACTAAGAGTTTGGCTGTTGGATCTTTGGACTTGATCTAATTTGCTAGCATTAATTAGTTTCTTTTGAGCACAGACACTTGGTGCTCACAGCTATAGATTTGCAGGGCTAATTAGGATAGAAAATTGAACAGAATTGGGTAAGGCATTAACCTTCAACCATTACCAGCTGGGACACTGATAAAGCCCACAGAGTCCAAATGTTACCTATTGATGTGAGGAGTACCCTAATGAATATCAATTTCAGCCAGGTTGCTATATTCTTACTAGTTCTGTCTTCATTTTAATTTTTTAACCAGCTTACATGATACCCTCTTTATCTATACACCATTGGTTTTTACTTAATGTACACTGAATTAGTCTGAGTTGCATATTTCACCTAATGTTTAAATACAGTTAAAATTTGTCTTAAGCAATAGATAACATTTAGAATGTTTCATCATTATATACCCTTATACTTCTAAAATTTAATTTTAATCTGGAATTACATGATTCTAATTCTACAGTGAATTTGTATAAGTTCCAGTAACTATGCCATTTCAGTATAATGAAAACTATAACGTAATACAAAAAAATTTTAGCTTTTGGGTGACAAATAGTGTTCATATTATTTAAATGGTGTCAACTCTTGAATCTTGGTCTTTATAAAATATATTTTTAATAATGTAAAATAAACACAAAAGTATATGGTTTTTTTTTTTCCTTTTTCTTTGAAATGGAGTCTCACTATGTTGTGCAGACTGGTCACCAACTCCTGGGCTCAAACAAGTCTCCCACCTTGGCCTCCCAAAGTGCTGGGATTGCAGGCGTGGACTACTGCGCTCAACCTATGTTTCTTTTTGAAGAGAAGAATAGTGCTTAGCACCTTTCCTTTTTGAACTTTGATTTGATTACAAAGGAGAATCCTGATCTTGCTATTGGGGAAACTTTGACAAGATTATAAACTCTGTTGATATCAAAAGAAAAATTAATTGATTTAAATATAAAATTTAATTTTATAGTATTCTTTCTTTGCTAGTGATATTGTTGGTGGTGAATAAAGCCGCTAAAATAAATGACTGAAGTATACTGGTAGATATTAACACAGTGAACACTGAGTACATTGGGAATGGAACTGAAGGAAAACCCTAGAATGGCCAAATCGCTTTCTTACTTCCTCCCACTTTCCTCACCTTCCAAAAGCCAAAACAGTAACCTCCCACCAACTGTAATGATGAAATCATTGCTTTTTCTTGGATCTAGGAGTTAGCACCTTGTGTCTTAGGGAGATGGTTTGACAAACTCTGGATTTCAACTTTTGTCTTTTTCTAGCTGTTTGACTTCACTAATTAAATGATTTATGTTTTCTGTTAGTAATATTTAAAAAATATTGTTTGCCGTATATAGGTAAAGTGTGCATACTAGTATTAATACATTTTTCTCCATAAGAGGAAGAGTCACTGAATTGTATAGTGTTTTGTAAAAATTCCTCATTATATTTCTTTGCTTTTTTTGAAGTGCATAGTTGACATTTGCTATAAAGTCTCTATATTGGATAATGACGTTTGCTTTAGAAATAATAACAGCCCTTTCTCTTTTTTCCTTTTGCTATCACAGGTAAAGACAGAAAAGTATTTTGTCATCAGGGATGGGCTGGAACTTTCTTTAACCTAGCTGTATTCTCTTACTGACTCCTTTCATCCCTTGGGCCCTCTTTTCCCTTATTTTAATGTTTCTTTTGTATTTATGTTGCAGTCTTTATGATCTGTTGTCCAATAAGTGGGATATAGCTCTGAAAGAATTACATAAAGTACAAGGAAGCATGGGTTATTTGTTTGTTTGAAACATCACAGAGCTGTAGGTAAATAACAAAGAAGCTTGATAAAATGCGCTCTTCTGTCAATCACACAGAACTGAAGTATGTTGTATTTTGTGAAATTCCAAAGATAAGTGAATGAACAAAAAACAATCAAGTCAAGAATGCTTAGAATGTTCTTTAGGAAGTTTACAGGCAGGTAATTATCAGAACAGCATTGAAATAGGTTGCAGGGCTGCAGACTATATACATGGTCAAAGTAATCACTCTTCTGTCCAACTGTGTTACTTGAAGCTGCCAAAAATCTGCCTTTTTATTTGTTGTTTGAGGTGTACCACTCTTATTACATGTATTTTTGTCATTAACCAGTGCACCAGTATTAACTAATGCTGAAGTGGATATGCAACACATCTTGAGACTGGTTTTGATATACTAAAAGGAAAATAATCACCGCATATGATGAATAGCTGTTATATATGAGTATATTATACAGTCTAAGAAATACAAGTAGATATAAGGCACAGTTTCTGCACTTTGGACTTACACTGAACTATCTCATGGGTTCCCAATCACCATTGGATTGGTTGATTCACTAGGAAGACTGACAGGACTCAGCATATAATCCTATTCATAGCTAAAGGTTATTACAGCAAAAAGATACAAAGCAAAATCAACAAAGGGAAAAGGCATATGGGAAAGTTCAGAAGAAACCGTGGCACAAGCTCCATGAGTCTTCTCCTGGTAGAGTCACTCAGGGTGTGCTTAATTTCTCCAGCACTGTATTGTGACAACACATGTGAAATGTTGTCTACCAGGGAGGCTCATTAGAGACTCAGTCCCCAGAATTTTTATTGAGAATTTGTTCTCAATAAAACATTTGGGAACCCTCTGCCTAACATGTACCAAAATTTCAGATTCCCAGAAGGAAAGCAGGTGTTCAGCATAAATCATATTGTTTGTACAAACAGTTTGGGCACAGTGAGCCACTCTTATCAATTACGAAATGGGGACACTCCCAAGATCCGAGTTCTCCGATGCCACCTAAGGGCCAATCTTGCAAGCAAGCCTTTTAAGGATAGCAGTGTCATGCCTGCTATGTTAACTCTTTTCTGCACATGGACATAATAAAAGTTACTTAGCAGTAACTATTTGTGTATGCCTATCATGCCTGGTGTTATGCCAATGGAATCATGAGTAATAGGCTTATATCAATCATAAATACAGCTGAATTATTTTAAAAATAACTGAACAAAGTATATAGCAGTCCTTCTTATTTGTGGTTTCACTTTCCATGGTTTCAATTACCTGTGGTCAACTGAGGTTCTAGTTTTATCATTTCATATCATCATCATAAGAAGGGTTAGTATAATAAGATATTTATAGTACAATAAGATATTTTGAGAGAGACCATATTCACTTAACTTTTATTGTTACAAACATTCTATTTTATTAGTTGTTGTTAATCTCATACTATGCCTAATTTATAAATCAAATTTTATCAGGGGTATGTATGTAGAGGAAATAAACATAGTATACATAGGATTTGGTAGTATCTGCAGTGTCAGGCATCCACTAGGGGGCTTAGAACGTATCCCCCATGCATAACAGGGGACTACTGTATAATGGTTATTACTTACTGATCCAGTGGTTCTCAATTGTATGTGTTAGCTCATATGCTCATTATCAGACTCAATAGCTTATTATGATTATCTTGTTTCTGAAAACAGGACAGTTTTGCAATAAAATTATATGTAGTTGGACATAAATACCCTTGAATAAAATGGCTAGTTTTCTTCTCACAGAGGAAGATGCAGTATATTTTGGTTTTAGAAATAAATGAAACTTTACTTTAAGTTCTGGGATACATGTGCAGGATGTGCAGGTTTGTTACATAGGTAAACTTGTGCCATGGTGGTTTGCTGCACCTATCAACCCATCAACCCATTACCTAGGTTTCTTTTTTTTTTTTTCTTTGAAACCGAGTCTCTCTCTGTTGCCTAAGCTGGAGGGTAGTGGCGCAATCTCAGCTCACTGCAACCACTGCCTCCTGGGTTCAAGTGATTCCCCTGCCTCAGCCTCCCAAGTAACTGGGACTACAGGCGCACGCCATGACGCCTCGCTAATGTTTGTATTTTTAGTAGAGATGGGGTTTCGCCATGTTGGCCAGTCTGGTCTCAAACTCCTGACCTCAGGTGATCTGCCTGCCTTGGCCTCCCAAGTCCTGCCATTGCAGGTGTGAGCCACTACACCTGGCCAATCCATACCTAAGTATTAAGCCCAGCATGCATTAGCTATGTATCCTGATGCTTTCCCTGCCTCCCTGCCCCCAACAGACCCCAGTGAGTGTTGTTCCCCTCCCCGTGTCCATGCTTTCTCATTGTTCAGCTCCCACTTATAAGTGAGAACATGTGGTGATTGGTTTTCTGTTCCTGCGTTAGTTCCTGCTGAGGATAATGGCTTCCAGCTCCATCCATGTCCCTCATTCCTTTTTATGGCTGCATAGTATTCCATGGTGTATATGTGCCACATTTTCTTTATCTGGTCTATCATGGATGGGCATTTGGGCTGATTCCATGTCTTTGCTATTGTGAATAGTGCTGCAGTGAACATACACATGCATATATCTTTATAATAGAATGATTTATATTCCTTTAGGTATATACCCAGTAATGGGATTGCTGGGTCAAATGGTGTTTCTGGTTTTAGGTCTTTGAGGAATCACCACACTGTCTTCCACAATGGTTGAACTAATTTACATTCCCACCAACAGTGTAAAAGTGTTTCTGTTTCTCCACAGCCTCACCACATCTGTTGTTTCTTAACTTTTTAATAATTGCCATTCTGACTGGCATGAGATGGTATCTCATTATGATTTTGATTTGCATTTCTTCAATGACCAGTGATGTTGAGCTTTTTTTCATGTTTGTTGGTAGCATAAAGGTCTTGAAAAGTGTCTGTTCATGCCCTTTGCCCACTTTTTAATGGAGTTGTTTGTTTTTTTCTTATAAATTTGTTAAGTTCCTTGTAAATTCTGGATATTAGACCTTTGTCAGATGGGTAGATTGCCAAAATTTTCTCCCATTCTTTAGGTTGTCTGTTCACGCTTATGATAGTTTCTTTTGCTATGTAGAAACTCTTTAGTTTAACTAGATCCCATTTGTCAATTTTTGCTTTTGTTGCAATTGGTTTTGGCATTTTCGTCATGAAATTCTTGCCCGTGCCTATGTCCTGAATGGTATTGCCTAGATTTTCTTCTAGTGTATAGTTTTGGGTTTTACATTTATGTCTTTAATTCATCTTGAGTTAATTTCTTTTTTTTTTTTTTTTTTTTTTGAGATGGAGTTTTCGTGTTGCCCAAGCTGGAGTGCAATGGCACGGTCTTGGCTCACTGCAACCCTGCAACCTCTGCCTCCCAGGTTCAAGCGATTCTCCTGCCTCAGCCTCCTGAGTAGCTGGGATTACAGGCATGTGCCACCATACTCGGCCGAGTTAATATTTTTTTGTTTTTTGAGATGGAGTCTCACTCTGTTGCTTAGGCTGTAGTGCAGTGGCATGATCTCAGCTCACTGCAGCCTCTGCCTCCTGGGTTCCAGTGATTCTCCAACCTCAGCTTCCTAAGTAGCTGGGACTACAGGCATGTGCCACCACACCTGGCTAATTTTTATGTTTTGATAGGGATGGTGTTTCACCATATTGACCAGGCTGGTCTAGAACTTCTGACCTCAAGTGATCCACCCACCTCAGCCTCCCAATTGAGTTAATTTTTGTATAAGGTGTAAGGAAGGGGTCCAGTTTCAGTTTTCTGCATATGGCTAGCCAGTTCTCCCAGCACCATTTATTAAATAGGGAATCCTTTCCCCATTGCTTGTTTTTGTCAGGTTTGTCGAAGATCAGATAGTTGTAGATGTGCAGTCTTATTTCTGAGTTCTCTATTCTGTTTCATTGGTCTATGTGTCTGTTTTTGTACCAGAACCATGCTGTTTTGGTTACTGTAGCCTTACAGTTTGAAGTCAGGTAGCATGATGCCTCCACCTTTGTTCTTTTTGCTTAGGATTGTCTTGGCTATATGGGCTCTTTTTTCTGGTTCCATATGGATGTCAAAATAGTTTGTTCTAATTCTGTGAAATTTTTCCAATTCCGAATTCTAGTGGATGCTTGACAATGGTAGTGTAATGGGAATAGCATTGAATCTATAAATTACTTTGGGCAGTATGGCCATTTTCACGACATTGATTCTTCCTATCCATGAGCATGGAATGTTTTTCCATTTGTATCGTCTCTGATTTCCTTGAGCAGTGGCTTGTAGTTCTCCTTGAAGAGGTCCTTCACTTTCCTTGTAAACTGTATTCCTAGGTATTTTATTCTCTTTGTAGCAATTATGAATGGGAGTTCATTCATGATTTGGCTCTCTGCTTGTCTATTTTTGGTGTATAGGAATGCTTGTGATTTTTGCACATTGATTTTGTATCCTGAGACTTTGCTGAAGTTGCTTATCAGCTTAAGGAGCTTTTGGGCTGAGACAGTGGGGTTTTCTAGATATAGGATCATGTCATCTGTAAACAGAGACAGTTTGACTTCCTGTTTTCCTATTTGAATAACCTTTCATTTTCTTGCCTGATTGCCCTGGCCACAATTTCCAATACTGTGTTGAAAAGAAGTGGTGAGAGAGGGCATCTTTGTCTTATGTTTGTTTTCAAGGGGAATGCTTCCAGCTTTTGCTCATTCAGTATGATGTTGGCTGTGGGTTTGTCATGAATGGCTTTTATTATTTTGAGGTATGTTCCATCAATACCTAGTTTATTGATGGTTTTTAACATGAAGGGATGTTGAATTTTATTGAAGGCCCTTTTTTGCATCTGTTGAGATAATCATGTAGTTTTGGCCTTTAGTTCTGTTTACGTAATGAATTCGTTTATTGATTTGCATGTGTTGAACCAGCCTTGCATCGTGGGGATGAAGGTGACTTCATCGTGGTGGATAAACGTCTTGATGTGCTGCTGGATTTGGTTTGCCAGTATTTTATTGAGGATTTTCACATTGATCTTCATCAGGGATATTGTCTTGAAGTTTTCTTTTTTCTTTCTTTTTTTTTGAATTGAAGTCTTGCACTGTCACCCAGGCTGGAGTGTAGTGGTGTGATCTTGGCTCACTGCAAACTCCATCTCCCAGGTTCAATCGATTATCCTTGCCTAAGCCTCCCAAGTAGCTGGGATTACAGGTGCCCACCACCACGCCTGGCAAATTTTTTTGTGTTTTTAGTAGAGATGGGGTTTCACTATGTTGGCCAGGCTGGTCTCAAACTCCTGACCTTGTGATCTGCCCACCTTGGCCTCCCAAAGTGCTGGGATTACAGGTGTGAGCCACCACGCCCAGCCTTCTTTTTTTGTTGTATCTGTGCCAGATTTTGGTATCAGGATGATACTGGCCTCATAAAATGAGTTAGGAATCCCACCTCTTCAGTTGTTTGGAATAGTTTCAGAAGAAATGGTACCAGCTCCTCTTTGTACCTCTGGTAGAATTCAGCTCTAAAACCGCCTGATTCTGGGCTTTTTTGGTTAGTATGCTATTTATCACTGCCTCAATTTCAGAACTTGTTATTGTTTTTTGTTGTGAGCACTTAGTGCTATAAATTTCCCTCTTAACACTGCTTTAGCTGCATCCCAGAGGTTCTGGTATGTTGTCTTTTTCTTCTCATTGGTTTCAAATAACTTATTTATTTCTGCCTTTATTTCATTATTTACCCCGGAGCCATTCAGGAGCTAGTTGTTCAATTTCTATTTAGTTGTGTGGTTTTTAGTGATTAAGTGGTTTTCTTAATCTTGAGTTCTAATTTGATTGTGCTGTGGTCTGAGAGACTGTTTGTTATGATTTCAGTTATTTCGCATTTGCTAAGGAGTGTTTTACTTCCCAATTACGTGGTAGATTTTAGAGTAAGTGCATTTGGTGATGAGAAGAATGTATATTCTGTTGATTTGGGGTGGAGATTTCTGTAGATAACTGTCAGGTTCACTTGATCCAGAGCTGGGTTCAAGTCCTGAATATCTTTGTTAATTTTCTGTCTCGATGATCTGTCTGATATTAACATTGGGGTGTTAAAGTCACTCATTATTATTGTGTGGGAGTCTAAGTCTCTTTGTAGGTTTCTAAGAACTTGCTTTATGAATCTGGGTCCTCCTATATTAGGTGTATATATATTTAGGATAATTAGCTCTTCTTGTTGAATGGATCCCTGTACCATTATGTAATGCCCTTCTTTGATCTTTTTGGTTTAAAGTCTTTTGACAAAAAGTAGGATTGCAACTCCTGCATTTTTCTGCTTTCCATTTGTTTGGTAAATTGTCCTCCATTCCTCTATTTTGAGCCTATGTGTGCCTTGGCATGTAAAGTGGGTCTCTTGAATACAGCACACTAATGGGTCTTGACTCTTTATCCAGCTTGCCATTCTGTGTCTTCTAATTGGGGGCATTTAGCCCATTTACATTTAAGGTTAATATTGTTATATGTGAATTTGGTCCTGCCATCATGATGCTAACTGGTTATTTTGCCAACTTGTTGATGTAGTTGCTTCATAGTGTCATTGGTCTTTGTACTAAAGTGTTTTTGTTTTTTTCTTTTTTTTTTTTTTTGCAGTGGCTAGTAACAGTTTTTCCTTTCCATATTTAGTGCTTCTTTCAGGAGCTCTTGCAAGGCAGGCCTGGTGGTGATGAATTCCCCCAGCATTTGCTTGTCTGAAAAGAATCTTGTTTCTCCTTCACCTAGGAAGCTTAGTTTGGCCAGATGTGAAATTCTGTGTTGGAAATTCTTTTCTTTAAGAATATTGAATATTAGCACCCAGTCTCTTCTGGCTTGTAAGGTTTTTGCTGAGAGGTCCACTGTTAGTCTGATGGGCTTCCCTTTTTAGGTGATCTGGCCTTTCTGTCTGGCTGCTCGTAATATTTTTCCTTCCTTTCAACCTTGGAGAATCTGATGATTATGCACCTTGGGGTTGATCTTCTTGTGGAGTATCTTACTGGGGTTCTCTGAATTTCCCTAATTTGAATGTTGGTCTGTCTTGCTAGGTTGGGGAAGTTCTCCTGGATGATATCCTGAAGTGTGTTTTCCAGCTTGTTTCCATACTTCCTGTCTCTTTCAGGTACCTTAATCAGTCATAGGTTTGGTCTTTTTACATAATCCCATAGTTCTCGGAGGTTTTGTTTGTTCCTTTTCATTCTTTTTTCTCTGATCTTGTCTGCCTGTCTTATTTCAGCAAGATAGTCTTCAAGCTCTGAAATTCTTCCTTTCAGCTATTTATACTTGTTGCAAATTCTCAGGTTGTGTTTTTCAGCTCCATCAGGTCCTTTATGTTCCTTTCTAAACTGGTCATTCTGGTTAACAGCTCCTGCAATGTTTTATCATGGTCCTTAGCTTATTTGCATTGGGTTAGAACATGCTCCGTTAGCCCAGTGAAGTTTGTTATTGCCCATCTTCTGAAGCCTACTTCTGTCAGTTCATCCATTTCAGCCTCAGCCCAGTTCTATGCCCTTGCTGGAGAGGTGTTGCGATCATTTGGAGGAGAAGAGGCACTCTGGGTTTTTGAGTTTTCTGTGTTTTTTAGTTGATTCTTTCTCATTTTCATGAGTTTATCTAGCTTCGGTCTTTGATGTCCTTTAGATGGGGTTTTTGTGAGGACCTTTTTGTTGATGCTGTTATGCTGTTGTCATTGTTACTGTTAGTTGTTTGTTTTTTTTTTTTCTTTTTTTTTTTTTTTTACAGCCGTCTTCTGTAGGGCTGTTGTGGTTTGCTCGGGGTCCGCTTCAGACCCTATTTACCTGTTTCCCTCCTGCATCTGAAGGTGTCACCAGTGGAGGTTTCAGAACAGCAAAGATGGCTGCCTGCTTCTTCCTGTGGGATCTTGGTCTCAGAGGGGCACCGACCTGATGCCAGTGGGAACGCTTCTGTATAAGGTGTTTGGCAACCCCCCGATTGGGTCTCACCTAGTCAGGTGGCACAGGATCAGGGACCCATTTAACAAAGCACTCTGGCTGCCCCTTGGTGCAGGGCATGTGCTGCTCTGGTGGGAATCCTACTCGTCTGGACTGCCCCAGTTTCTCAGAGCCAGCAGGGGAAAGACTAAGTCTGCTGATATGAGGAGATCGTAGCCGCCCTTGCCCCCAGGGTCTCCATCCCAGGGAGATCAGAGTTCTGTCCATAAACCCCTGACTGGAACTGCTGAAATTCCCACTGGGAGGCCCTGCCCAGTGAGGAGAGATGCATCCAGGTTTGATCTAAACAGGCAGTCTGGCCACTATCTGCCACAGCCACTGGGCTCTGCTGTGGGAAATTCCTCCTGGTTCCAAACCACCCAGTCTCCCTGGCACCGGCAGGGGAAAATGGCAGACTGGAGCTGCAGTGGTGGCTGCTGCCCCTTCTTCTGGGAGCTCGGTAGTGTTAGGCAGCAGCCATCATCTGCAGTGATGGCAGCCACCCCTCTCCCCGGGAACTCAGTAGTCTTAGGCAGTCCCAACCGCCTAGCCAGTCCCAGTGAGAAAACCTAGATACCTCAATTCCCAGTGCAGGATTCACTTGCCCTTTTCATTCTTGGTGGGAGCCTTTGACCGCAGCTGTTGCAGCTGTTTCTAGTCAGCCATCTTGGCCCCAATGAAATATTTAAATGCTAAAAATTTAAATGACAAAATTAGTGAGAATTTTGTCAGGATGGATGAATATAGTTTTTTAAACAGTTTATGTAACTCATCTTTCAAGGTATAATTGTGTAAAATCTACATTTGAACACAAATGTGAAGAATTACGTATCTTGAAATTTTAAAATATTGTTAAAATGAATATATATTATTATAAAATGTCATAGCTTTTTTACTAATACTTCATTAACAATATTTTATTGTTCTAATCTTCCTAGACATTAACTTTGAATTATTTTGCTATAATAGACTTAAATACTTTCATGAGAAATTAATCTAAAATTAAATATGGCCTTTAAGCAGATGTGCTTGTATATACAATCTGAGTAGAAGATCACACTTCACTTAAGTTACCTGATGATCCTGCAGTTGCAGTTGGCATTTTTTCCTGGTAATCAGAGCCTGACACTGGTAAACATTTTGCAAATACCCACAGATAATCATATTTTACTGAAATACATTTTTATAGGAATCTTGTATATCTGTTGGAAAAATAACAAAGGAGGCATTTTGGTTTCTACAAAACTCTGGAATGTATTAGACTCTCAGATTTAAAACCAGTTATTAATAGCCCGTTTTTGAGGGTCTGGGGACAGAATTTGCTTTGAAGCGTAATGTACAAAAGAGATAAAAGCAGTTTTATTGTATTGTGCTTCATTTTGTTACATTTATAGAGCCAGCACATGACAGCAATGTGTGATTTTGATGAAGCAGATTTTAAATCAGAAGTTATAGGTGACAGTTGCAGCCTAGTATGTATCTCCTTCCACTTCCTTTTTGTGGTTTTCTCTTTTGGGAGATAGAAAGTATAGAATAAATTCTAAATCCTATAAATCAGCAGTTTTAAAGAATAATGATTTCTTATGATTTATTCAAATTTTCAGAATATTAAATAAAGGTGATAGAGATTTTATTCTGAGGCCCATAAACAAGTTTATCTGGTGTCATATTTTAATACATTGGTTGTCTCCATTGTATTTGCGTTTGGTAATACTGTTTGCATATATTTTAGTGTTAGCCAAATATTACATCACTAAAAATATAATTTTACAAAGCAAATAAAGAATTTTCTGATTCCTTTGAGCACTTGAACCTTAGCGTTATGTGGAATGTACTCATTTAAAATATTTATTATTCCCTGTATGTCAGTTACCATTTTATAACAGTGAATAAAATAGACAAAAATCTTGAAAGTTATGAACTTTAGTGGGGGAGGGGAGGATAAATAATAAACATTATTAGTAAATATAAGTGCCTTAAAGAAAAATAAATTTTGATAAGGTCAGTGGGGAGTGCTGATGTTGAAAATGAGGCTGCAGTTTCTAATACGTGATCAATATAGGTCTCACTGAGAAAGTGACATGTGGACCAAATTCTTGAAGGAGGTGAAGGAGTGAGATAATTCAGATATCTCTGAGAAGAATGATCTTGGCAGAAGGAATATCATGTGCAAAGACCCTGAGGTGTAAGTGAAGCTGGCATGGCTAAGGGACACCAAAAAGGTCACTGTGGTTAGCTTGGAATGAATGAGGGGTAGAGTGAATAGGGAGGAGTTCAGCAAAATGATTGGAGGCAGAATCTTTCAGGGTCTCCTGGGTACTGAGGACTTGTAGCTAGTAAGGAGAAAAATGGAAAGATGAAGATTGCTTTGAACAATGAAAAGAGACAGGGTCTGATTTATAATCAGCTCTCATTGCTATGTTAATAATAGGTGGAATAGGGACAAGGGGAGAATTAGAGACACCATTTTTGTCTGATTGTGTGATTGATGTGATTGTGTGATTGATGTGATTGAGATACTCCAACTGACAGATGATGGTGGACTGGAGGGGTGGTAAAAATGGAAGTGGTGAGAATGAGCACATTTGAGATATATTTTGAAAGTAGAGGCAACAGAGAAAGAGATGGCTCCTTATTTGTCCTGAACAAGTAAAAGAGGAGGAGTTATAGTTAGCAGAGATGAAGAAGACTGTGTGTGGAGAAATTATATTATTTTATTTTATTATTGGTGGTAGATGGACTCAGAGTTTAGTTTTGGATATGTTAACTTTGAAGTGTCTTATTAATTATTGCAGTGTGAAACCACTTTATCAGACAGTAGTAAAAATCTCTCTTATAAAGGGAAACAAAGGAGTAGAATGTTTGTACAATTGTGGTGGTTCTAATGTTTTTGTGCACATTATGCAGGTTCTATTTTCTGTTAGTGAACTATCAGTAACATGTTCAACTTGGATAGTGATAGATTAAAAATTGACATTTGTATTCCTTTGCCTTCCTCTTAAGATTTCAGATAGACCACTCTCCCTCCAGAAGAAACCATAACTACACTGATTTGTTAATTCAACAAACTATCCTTCAGTACTACTATGTGCAATACATGGTGTTAGATACAGTGGGGAATAGAAAGACATGGTGTCATAGCTCAATAAAAAGAGTAAATTACCTATTCGGTATCAACTGACTTGTTAATATAGCAGGACCATTATTAGAATTCAGCTATCTTTATTCCCAACCTAGTGTGTTTTCCATAATAATGTACCTTTTAACTATGTCAAAGATAGCAAATACAGTTCATCTGTGTCAACTTTAATCAGTTGATAGTGGCTGTCTAGCACATTGTGAATGGGGTCAATCAGAAAGAATGTCATTAGATCAATTAGCTATTACTTTATATTACCTAAACTTAGTATAATTTAAAATTTGATAATGAGTTTATTCAGTTTATAAAGAGTTCTGTTTTTGGCATGGCCTAGTAGCTCCATTGCACAATTCCTTCTGCAGAAAACTACTATAACCTATGAACAAAATAGGAAAAATAACTACCCGAAAGCACTGGAGAGCAAACAAAAGCAGACAGAAAATAGAAGTCAAACATTGAAGGAAGGAAATAGCACTGGGTGAGTCCCCTGCCAGGTAGGGTGGCTGAAACTCTTGACAAACAAAACCCCTCAGTCTTGTTGGTCTGAAGAACCAAGGACAGGGTTTGGTGTAGCTGCAGGCCTTGGAAAGTGCGTGTGCATGCATACTCAAAGTAAATTAAATTGCCTGCTTAAATGAAAAAGAAAAAAATTATTCAGAAAAAACAGAACCCAAACTTTCTACTCGTATTACTCACAACATTTGCAGTAGAATGCAAAATTATTCAGTGTACACAGAAACAAGAAGACATGAACCATTCTGAAAAGAAATCAATGGACTAACTTCAAGATAACTCATATGTTGCTATTAGCAGACAAGAATCTTAAAGCAGCTGTTGTAATTGCTTAAGAACCATAAGGGAAAATATGTTTGCAATGAATAAAAATAGGAAATATTAACAGAGAATTTGAAGTAATAAAAAAGACCCAAATATAAATTCTAAAACTGAAAAAAAAAAAACTGACATAAAACTTTTAGAATGGAAATGAATAGGAATCATAACCTAAAGATAGATCAAGGAAATACCTAAACAGAGAGGGGAAAAAAAAAGATTTAAAAAATGAGCAAAACCCTTACGGACTTGTAGGACAATAACATAAGGACAACCTTCATGTAAATGGAATGGCATACTTGCCAGAATGGCTACAATTAAGAGCACTAACAACATTCACAAAACACACATCTGCCCAGTGACCTAGCAACTCTTTCCAGGAGAAATGAAACTACGTAAACAAAAAAGGCCTGTATGCTAATATTTATAGTAGTGTATCTATCAGTAGCCAAAAATTGAAAATAGCCCAGATTCGTCTCAAAAAAAGAAGAGATGACTAATTGTGGTGTACTTGTACAATGGGCAATAAAATGGAACAAACTACTGTTCTGTACGACAGTTGAGATGAATTTCAAAACTATTATGCTTAGTGAAATATAAGTGAAAAAAGTGTATACTCTTTTAATATTATGTTCTAGAACAGGCAACATTTATATAGTGTTTCAGAATAGACAAAACTTATATGAACAACAGTTGCACTACGTGGGAGTGGGACAAGTATTGATTGAAAAAGGATATTAAAGGAAGTTTCTGGAGTGATTTTAATATTCTGTAGTTTTCGGTGGTTTGTATTGCACAAAGGTATACTTTTGTTTCATTGAATGGTATATATTAATACTCATTTCATTTTAGATCAGTGTTATCTAATTAGAAAAATGTAGACAAATATTGAACTCTTATCACATGCATGATGAAGTATTTCTGGGTAAGAAAACATATGTAATGTATAGTGTTGACAAGATTTTGGAAAAGCAGGTATTTACACTGCTGGCCAGGAATAACAGCATGAAAGGAGCTTGTATTTAAAAAATTCACAAAAATTCATAAATGTGGCTACTCTCTTACTTAGCAGTTCTACCATTAGGATTTTATCTTAAGGAAATGATAAGAGATGTACAATAAAATATGCATAAGGATGTTCAACATAGCATCATATATAATATGGAATATTGCCAAAAATGTAGTTGTCAGCAGAGTCCGATTGCTTATATAAATTATGGTACAGCCATAGGATATAAGATACATACATTTGTAGTCACAGTAAGTGTGTTGATCAGAGTGAGAAACTAGTTAACAATATATTGTATTTATTCAACAGTTGGCAAACTGCAGCCTGATGCCCAGATTTGGTCCACCACCTATCTCTGTAAACAAAGTTGTTTTGGAACACAGCCATGCTCATTTACTTATGTATTGCCTATAGCTGCTTTCACACTACAGCAGTAGAGTTGGGTAGTTGCAACAGAGACCATATGGCCTACAAAGCCTAAAATGTTTACTCTTTGGCTCTTTACCGAAAACATTTCCTGACTCCTGGTTTAATCAAATTAAATTCTAGAAACACAGGAAAGGCTTGCCTAAATTAACTAATTCCGTAAATTTATGAATACTTACCATGTATCCAGCCCTGCACGTAAGCTGTCTACATAAATGTGACTGAAACAGATTCAGTCTGCATTCTTATTGAGTTTAAGTATGGCAGGGGAGATAGTTATCAAATAAATATTCAAATTAAAATTGATTCTATAAAGGAAGAGTGCAGTGAGGAAATGTTAACAGGTATTATTTCTAAGTGTTGGTAATATTGGCAATTTTAAAACTTGATTCCTTTTCTGAGTTTTTTCTAGGATTTAAATATATTTCATTGGAAAAAGGTAACAAAGATTGAGTAGATAACTAGACATTGCTTCAGTAATTTTTAAAACTTCTGATATTGCTCTGAATGCACAGAATTAAGTTTAATTTACAGAATTAAGTTTAATATCATGTCTGTTAAATATTATTGGTTGCCTATCACATGTTCAATACTGTGAGAAGTGCTGTAGATACAGAGTTGAAGTCTGAGACTTGCTTTTGAGTACCTTATTGTGTGGTTGATAAGAGACAAACCAGGCACAGAAAATAGAATTACACCATATTAAACAATTTATAATAAAATACCTACATGTTACTTTAGAAAAAAATAAGCCAGTGAATTCTGATATAGGCAGGTGAGACTTAATGAAGTATGTGGGTTATCAACTGGACCTTGAAGTACGGCTAATTATTTGGCTAAGTATAGGGAAACTGGAAAAACATTTCAGACCAGAGACCCAGGATTTAAGGCACAGAGGTGAGAATGGGCATGTTTGTTGATACAGCAGCAAAGAGATTGACCTTAGGAAACCAGTGGTGCATTAGGGGATTAATGATGTAGATAAAGACTGAGAGTCAAGGCTGATTTTGGAGTGTCTTAACAGTCTGAAACAGAAGTTTAGATTTGATTTCTGGTTAAAAAAAATCAGAAGAATTTGAAATCTGTTCTTTCTACCTCCCTTTATTCATTTTTTTCCTCTTTCTCTTCTGTGTATTTCCCTTCCTAGGAAAATACTTCATACAAATAAAACGGAAAGATTAATTTTACCACCAAATACAAGACAAATTACAAGTTTACTTTTTAAATTTTGGCTTTCTGCATTCTTTTAAAACTAGAAGCTGTTTTCCATTAACAGTGACAGACAGCAGTGTAACCATGTGTGTTTGCTAGAACTAAAGAGACGTCCCTATCTCAGATTGCTGTGGCATAACCCGTGGCATTTATTCAGAGTGAGGCTGTTTTAAGAGAATGAGCATTAACTGCAATGTAGTCCTACAGAGATAACTGAACAGTCTTTTTGCTATTGTTCTTACAGGTGTCCTACGCATTATTCCTTACCTTCTCTGGAGAAATTGATTCACCAGATTTGTCAGATTTTTAAATGTAATATTTTGTTTTATTTGAAATCAAAGCTAAAGAAATATGTTCTTTGCTCTAAGAACATATTTTAGCTATGTTTAGCTAAATAGCTAAACACAGTTTAATCTTTTAATTTAATGGCTACTGACTTGTGCTTACATAATCTGAAAGTTCACATTGTCAGGCTGCTTTTTTCCTTCTAATCAACACCAGTAATTTTACTCTGCATTCTAATATATTACCTGTGTTATTATCTTTAAAATGCATCCACGAATGATCTGTTTACATTTAACTTTTTCATCCCTTTGATTCTTCATCATAACCTTAAAACTTTGGTTTTAATGACAATCAAATTCAAACCAGAACGAATTTAACTCTAAGTTCATATTATTAGATATCTTTCCTTATTTCAGCTATCTCTACCAGCAGAGCTTAAGAAAATCCGATTTGACTTGACTAGACTTACTAGGACATATCTTTCTGTAAGATTTCCAGGTCATCACACACAGCTCAGCTTCTTTTTGACTTTCTGAACTTTGCCATGTATTTGTTGCAAAGTATTTCCGTAGTTCAACCCTGTACTCATACCTTCCTAGTCAGTGACATTGCCAAAGGACAAGTCTTGCATAGAATTAAAGTGATGGGCAGAATCTTTATGATATTTTTCAAAGTGCTTTATGTAAAATATTAGGTAATTGACTAGCTTTAGGTCAAACCATGGGTAAATATCAAGCACATGATTAGAAACCAGTTCTTGGCCAGGTGTGGTGGCTCACGCCTGTAATCCCAGCACTTTGGTGGGCTGGGGTAGGCAGATCACTTGAGGTCAGGAGTTCGAGACCAGCCTGGCCAACATGGCGAAACCCCATCTCTACTAAAAATAAAAAAAAAAAATTAGCCAGGTGTCATGGCGCATGCCTGTAATCCCGGCTACTCAGGAGGCTGAAGCAAGAGAATCGCTTGGATGCAGGAAGTGGAGGTTGTGGTGAGCTGAGATTGCACCATTGCATTCCAGCTTGAGCAACAGAGAGAGACTCCATCTCAACAGCAACAACAACAACAACAACAACAAAAACAAAAAAAAAAAAAAAAGAAAAGAAGAAAGAAACCAATTCTCTGCAGTAATATATTGTCTTGCTTTTATAGTTGTCTTTTTAAGCCTATTGGGTCCTTGAGCATTTTATGTGGTGATTTCATTTCCATTCTAACTGACTGTTCCAGACAGATGATATGCCTTTATGGTGACGGAATACCCTGGCTTTATTGACTCAGTAGGAACAGTTGTATTCCATCTCAATACAGATTACTGCAGTTACAGTGTCTGCTTATTTCTTGTCACTCACCTACACAGACTGAACTAGACCATCCTAGGAGAAAAGTCAAAGCTATATTTGGAAATTTGAAACCCTCTTTAAAAGCAGCTAGATGTTCATTGAATCCTAGATTGTGTCAGTACAGTGTACAAATTTAAATTTAGGATATGTTGCATTGTATTTTTTTCCTGGTATACCTCCCATAGATATATTTTATGCCTAGATCGCAAAATTTGAACTTTTGGAAATTAGAATATCTGAAGATTTGACTTAAGTGTACTTTGTGATGCATTAGTGTGAAAAATCTTAATTGTTCCTTTCCCTCTCATTTTGGCTTCAGAGATCATCTGTGGTTGACTTATTTATTGTTGAGCATATTGAGGAGCTCTTTCATTTCATTAGTACCCAGTGATTTTCAGAGTAGACCTAAATAGGTCTACTATTTACTGCTTCCGTGATTAAGGCTTCATGCAACTTCTTTTGTGTTATCTTTTTCTTTCATATCTTCCCTGGTGAAGTCTGTTTAGATGATGAGATTCAAATTGTCATATTCTTAGAGTAGAACCTTTACTTTGCCTGTACAATCGATGTGTATTGGATCCTCATCTCTCACACACAGGCTAAATCAGTGATCCTCAAACGTTCATTGTACTTCAGAATTATCTAGGAATTAAAACAAAACAAAATAATAGTGCACATGTTTCTCTCCACAGAGAGATAATTGCATTTTTTTTCCCAAAGCTTTCAAGGTGATTTGAATGTGCATCCAAGGTTGAGAAATAATGGATTAGCCAAAGGAACAGAATGTCTCCTTAAAGCAGCCCATAGCAACAAACCATATAGATTTTGCTCATTTGTGTATCTTAAAGTTACATAATTTATTATCTAAAGCACTCTTCTATATAAGCCATAAGTTTTTGGCTGTTTTTGTTGTTAGATTTCTGTGTGTGTGTGTGTGTGTGTGTTGGCTATTTCTTGACCTTTACTTCCCTTACTTCCATCTTGGAGGTTAAAAGCCAAATTATCTAGGCTAGGTGTCAGGTTCTTTTCCAGTAGGCCAAGGATTCTTAGCAAACTCTTAGGGAATAAGAAAGTATGCTCTGGCAGCCGTAAACCTTGACCTCTTTTGTATCCTGTCAATTATATGGCTGCTTCCTTTACTAACCCTGTTGCACACAAACTTCACCTTCTTTAGCAGCTTCTTCCTACTCTGTGTTCCATCAGTGCATTCTTTGATGTTTCAGTTTTCATATATGGATTCTAATCCAAATGAGCAGAAATTGCTTTGTGATTATTGAGATTCCTAAGTACTTAGGATGTAATGCTAATAATTAATTGATGAATTTAGTGAAGAAAATGATTGTGACATGGAGAAAGAGTCTTTAACCAGCATGTGTGTGTATTCTCTGTCCTTACCAAGATGATGGTTCTGTTGCTGAGTACAGTAGCTAAGGAGGTACTGGTGACCTTCTCTGCTGGGGAGGAAGGACTTGTGACACAAAATACATATTTTCCTTCAAAAGCTGTTTATGGATGGAATTATAATTTTGTTCCAGTTAGTGAATACATATTGTAGTATGAGATAAAGAGAGTTGATTATGTAAAAGTCTTATTTGGGTTAAAAAAAAAACACATGACTTTCTGTCAAATATCACATGTTCTCACGTATAAGTGGAAGCTAAGTAATGTGTACATAAGGGTACAGAGAGTGGAATAATAGACATTGAAGACCAGGAAAGATGTGAGGGTAGGAAGTGGGTAAGGGATGAGAAATCTATTGGGTACAGGGTACTGTATTCAGATGATGGTTACACTAAAAGCCCAGACTTCCTCCCTACACAATATATCCATTTAACAAAGCTGCACTTGTACCCCCTACATCTATACAAATAAAAAGTGAAAAAAAAAAACCCATGACTTTTGGACCAAGTTATCAGTTAGTTATTATTATTCTGTATATTGTCCAGGTAAATTCTCAGCATTTTTTTTTTTTTTTGAGACAGAGTCTTGCTCTGTCGCCCAGGCTGGAGTGCAGTGGCGCGATCTTGGCTCACTGCAAGCTCTGCCTCCTGGGTTCACGCCATTCTCCTGCTTCAGCCTCCCGAGTAGCTGGGACTACGCGCCTGCCACCACACCCGGCTAATTTTTTTGTATTTTTAGTAGAGACGGGGTTTCACTGTGTTAGCCAGAATGGCCTTGATCTCCTGACCTCGTGATCTGCCTGCCTCGGCCTCCCAAAGTGCTGGGATTACAGGCATGAGCCACCGCACCTGGCAGCATTTTCTTTTATGCTACCTTTTTTGGTACATACATTTTATACTTGTATATGTCTAATTTTTGAGTTTCATTAAAAAAGGCTGAATCTAAGATATCATTGTTGGCCTTGCTAGCTAGTACATTTTTATATTGATAGAATAACTTTTTTTGCTATGTCAGTATTTTGTGTGGGCCTGTTTGAATATCAGTACTTCTTTCTAATGAAATAGCGTTAACTTAGTCGGGCAGCAAGGAACCTCTTGACATTTTGACTTTGAAGAAGCATTGTTTTTCCTGTAGTGTTTTATACTGGATAGTTTATATAGGGTTGTTATTGAAATTGGATTCTTCACTTTTTTCCCTGTAAGTTTTAACATGTCATTTAGTGAATGTAAAGTTATGCAAAACGTTTATATTAAATAGACTTGTTAAGTATGTCTTTCTTATCTGCTACATGATTCCTACTGAGAGTGTTAATATTCACATATTCATTTATGAAGTCTGTTATTCAGGAATATACCTATTTGTACCATAGTCTTCATTGTTGAATGATTGCTGTTAAAGAATGTATTACATAATGATATTTTGCATTAGTGAATGGAATATATCAATTTTCTTCTTTCCATTTCCTTTTTGTATTAGAGGAAAAGTTCCAAGATATAAGGAAGTAGGTCATGGTATCTATAAACTGCTGAGGAACTGAAGTGTATATTATGAAGTAAAGATTGAAGCTCAGTTGCCCTCTAGGGGTTCAATTTTAACACAGCACATGTAGAAATAATTTACTGAGATCTTGGGGGAAGGGTAGATCTGCTGAATGTGGGAGCCTATTTTTCATTTTCTGTTAGAGCCTGACTGGTCATTAAAAAGCTGGTTTTGATTATTTATTGCAAAAGAGAAGAATATATCCCAGTTTTGTAATATACAGACAGTTTAATGAAACATCCTTTTTGTTTGCTTAATTTTAAAGTCAGGGCTTTTGTGCTGGAATAATCCAACCGTCAACACATTTTCAGGTATTATTTGGTGACCAATTCTCGGATTCTTCCTAACACTCTTTTGTCTTCTCAGTGTCACCTCTATAGCACTTTTAAATCAGCTTCCTCCCTTATTCTGCCCAAATCCAAGAACAGACTCCAGTGAAGTGGCTTCTTCATGAATCCTCTCTACGTTTTATGAGATGTGATCATCATGAAACTTTTCCTTTTGGTTTCAGCACCTTTGACTGGCATCTTTGTCTGGATTAGTAAGACTATTTCTCTCAGTTTGAAACAGAATGGCTACTGGCTCTCTAGTTTAATTGATACCCAACTTTGTATTGATTGAGGTCCACATAATTTATGTTGGAATCTTTCTCTGGTGCAAAGTGCTCTACTTTGTAATTGCAGAGTTAGACTCCTACTGTTTTGGTAAGAGGGAGCAAATTTTTTTTTCCTATTATTGAAAATGTTAACTTTGACTTGTGTAAATAGTAAATATGTTTATTGTATGTGCAGATATTTACATGTTTTAAATAAGCACATTTCTATACTAAATTTGAAAATTCACATGGTTATTGGTATACTTTAAAAAGATTTGTGTGTTTTAATATATGCTCTTTTATTCCCTTCGAAAGATGCTATAAACTTTACTCCTTTTAATATATATTGGTTTTTATTTTTACCGTTATATTGAGCTTTTCTATTTTTTTCCTGATGATTTTGGAAAAACCTCCATTATTAATGGTCAGAATCTTTAGTTTTTATCATTGATTTATAGTAATTTTATTTTTAAAGTTCAGTTTTTATGTGTTATTTTACACTCTGAAAACCATGATTGAATTTCAATGTATATTAAAATATTAAATTGGCTATAATATAGCTCTGTGCTGTCCAGTATATTAGCCAGTAGTCACATTGCCTATTTAATTTTAAATTAATTAAAATTATATAAAATTTAAAATTGAGTCTCGTAGTGGTACTAGCCACATTTCAAATGCTCAATAGCTGCATGTGGCTTGTGGATACCACATACGACAATGCAGACATCAATCATTTCCATCGTTACAAAAAAAATTATTGAACAGCTCTGGTATTGATATATGAATCTTCTTCAACGTGTTTTTAAAAATACGTTAATACTGGTAGTTTCCTGTGTAAAATGAAACATGAAAATGTTATATGTCTTTATTTTATTAAAAGATATTTTGGAAATAACTAAATTAAAAATGATCACATGTGAAGTGAGTTTACCTTTATCATAAAGAGTAGCATATATTTCTGATTATGAGCCAAGTGATATCAAATAATTTAATAAAATTATATATTTTGACGTGTGTAAATACATCTACTTTATCTCCATCTTGTGGTAGAAGTATCTGAAAATCCTGTTAAGAATATCATTAAAGCTTATTCATTTTTACATTGACTTATCCTTGCTCTTTCTCATTACCGTAAATGTAACATTAAGTGTTAAATGTTTCTTTAGGAAATTTTGGGTCTTACTAAAGGAGCCAACTGAAAATAATTTTAGGTTTTATAGTTACTATTGAAGGTAAATGTACAACTGCAACTGCCACATTTTGACTGTGTGTTGGAATATTAAAACAAGGAATATAAACATTTAAATCATAGTTGAGAGGAAAAACAAAAAAGAAAGCTTTAGCTGCTTCATTGCAAATGTAGCTTTGTGTTGTTAAAGAGGATTATGATGAATACATTTGTGTGATAAATTTATAAAGTTTGATAAATTGTTTCATACTGACTAATATTTTTTATAATTTTTATTTTTATAATTTTTTAAAGTATACTCACAGTCCTTTTGTGGATAATTATGATTGTAAGAATATTTTTGCAAGTAAATGAAAAAGTGATTATTAAAACACTTTGTAAACTGTAGCATTTTATACAAATACATAATCTTATCTTTTAAAAATATATAATATGAAATATTTGGTTGGGAAGACCATCTCAGAGGTTTAAAAACATATTTCCAATCAGGTCTATTTGTATCATTCTTTTATTTTCTTTTTATTTTTTTGATGAGTTTCTTTAAATATATTTTTAAAATTTTATGTTCTTTGAGGTTTTTTTTAAGTTTTTGAATTAAGACTAATACAGTCTGCAAAGCAGTATTAATTTAGAGTTATGTTTCAATATAGAAAAGTCTCGATGAGTGCTCTAAAAATTCTGAAAGAATTTTTTTAGTTAAATTCTAAGATTTCAGGAAGAATTTTGTGTAGCAAATAAACTTTAGCTAGGTATCATTTAGATAGTTTCTTTTTAAAATTCGTTTTGTTTATCTTACTAAGTATTGGGGAAGGAATAGTCTGTGAAATGGAAACACCTAAATTATTTATTAAAAGATATTCCAAGTAGGTAGTAAGATATAAAAGCCGAGTATAACATGAGATATTTGTAGGACAATGAGAAGGTTAGTTTAATTATATAAAACAATTTAGTTGCCATTTAGGGTCGTATTTTGGTGCTCCTTGAAAGCCAGGCAAAGAATTTTAGAAGTCATATAATAGAAAACAGGGATTTTTATGCTGCAAAGATCTTTATTTAGGGAGAAAGTCTGTGATCTCAGAAACTTAACGTTAGATGAAGCCTGTGAGGTTAACTACTACCAATGCAGGAATCTTTCTAACAATATGTGAGACTTCATTTTCAATACCTCTACTCTACTTCAGGCTTTCAGTATTTACTTCCTTTTTGCATTTTATTGTTGTGGGGGAAAACAACATCATGCTTTTAATAAAAAGGATATTCAATTTATGTAAGTAATGTAGAAAATATAAAATGCATTCCAAAAATTACTCTAAATTCTACCATTCACAAAGACAGACATCTCTCTGGGAACAAAAGGATAATACAAAGGGATTATATTATATACACTACTTTTTTAGTGGAATTTATAAAACAAAAGATTTGCTAAAGTTTATGTAAATGTTTCTTGATAAAAGGTTACTTGCCTCCATTACAAGAAAACATATGAAACCCACTGACAAGTTTGAGTGATTATGTTTTAACTCCATATTCTAATTTTGAACAGTATTGAGTGATTCCCTTGTATGAAAGTACAGTTATACTTCCCCCACCTTTTCTCTTTCAGGTCCCAGTTTCTGTAAGTTGTAATTTTACATTGTCATAATTTATAATACTTATATTCTTGTCTGTAACCATAAATCCAGTGCTCATCACATTTTGTCTTTAAAAATTTTTTTTTGATCTGTTGCTTGATTTTATTGCCAATAGTTAATTTAATAAGAGTCTTTGGGTTCTAGAATCCTTGATATCTTTCATGGTTGGGAATGACTGCTTGTTGCCTAATAGATTTGTGACATGTAGAGTGGATATAATATTGTCAGGTCGTATTTTCTGTACCTCAGAACTTTGTAGATACACATTGCATCAGTATTTTATGACATTAAATGTTGCTCTGGGAAGTCTGAGAGCAGCCTGATTTTCATCCCCACCCCACCTTGCAATCATCCTACCATAGGTGACGTGATTTTTCTGGTTGGATCCTAGAAGAATTCTTTCTGTATCCTTGAGTTTGGAAGCTTAACTGTGATATATCTTGTATCAGTTCTTTCTGGAACATACTGTGCCCTTTTGGTTTGTACATTTTTTTTAATCAGAAAACTTTTCTTAAATTATAATTGAAAATGTTTTTTGTTTCCTTTTTCTGGGGGAATTTTTTTCCTCAGAGATAACCAATCATCCTTGGAACTTTAAAACGAGGATTAACATTTGATGGTATTTACTGCATAACTAATTATTCCAAAATGTAGTGGCTTAAAAGAGCACATATTTATTAATCTCATAGTTTCTGTGAGTCAGGTATCTCGGTATGACAACTGGGTCTTCTGCTTCAGTTTCTCACAAGGCTGCAATTAATGTGTTGGCTAAGGAGGGTCTGTGGTCTCATCTGAAACCTTGACTGGGGAAGCATCTGCTTTGAAGGTCACTCATGGTTGTTGGCAGCATTCAGTCTTCTGTAGGATGCTGGGTTGATAGCCTTACTTCCTTCCCACATGAGCCTTTTCCACATGGCAGTTTACTTCATCAAAACAGGCAAGCCAAGAAGACCAGAGAGAACATCTGGTAAGACATGCCACAGTCTTTTGTAACTCAGTCATAGAAGTGACATCCTGTCTGCATTACCATACTCTTGGTTAGAAGCAGATCACTAGGTTAGAAGCCTGCTTAATGGGAGGGGTGACATGGACATGAAGGACATGAACAATAGGAAGCTGGGATCATTGGAGGCCATCTTGGAAGCTGTCTTCCAAAATAGTTGCCTACCATGCCTTGGTTTTCTCTGTTTGCATTAACCTTTTTTTCCCCTCTATATTTACTGTGATTATCTTGAGTAATTTAAATAAAATTTTTCATTTGAATTTTAGCTGTGTCTATGCTATTTCTTTTATGTTTCTAATATATTTATTAGCACTGTTACAGATTTGTTTTGGTCTTCAATTTATCTCTTCTGTCATCTCACTCTGTTTTATCAACTATTCCTTGAAGTCTAGTTTTCTTGAATTTATGTTTTTATTAAGTTCTAATAGAGTGTGACATTTGAGATGAATCTTCTTTTTCCTTAGGCATGTTTGCAGAGTTGCCTTGCTGTTTCTCTGAAAAATTGTGGGTGAATGCTCTTTAACACTTCTGCCACCTTTTTCTGATGTTTGTTTTCTCCTGTGGGCTATATTGTGAAGGCTGGGGTGTTCTTTTATGTACTTTCCTGAAGCCTGAGGGAGGGGGAGAGGGAGCACATGGCCAATGCAGTGTTTTTGTTAAGTAGCCTTCAGGAATGTTTCCTCTTTTCTGTGGGGTTACCTTTGGGTTATCTTCTCTATTAAGTGTGGATCCCTGAAAAATGGCATACCCTGGTGGTTTTTCTAGCCCCTGCTGAAATCCTTTGAAGGTGGGTAAAGGTTTTTTTATACTAAGTGTTTTTGTTTTGTTTTGTTTTGTTTTTGTTTTTGCTTTATTTTTCTGTGGGCTATTTGTGCCCTCAGTCTACTTCTCTCAAAAACAAAGAGTGTTTTTAGCGGGAATTTGCAAGGTATTTTAATTCATTTTCTTTCCCCAGTGCATTCTAGGAGCTAGGATCCATGGCATGTTGAGCCTTGCCAAAATCTTTCCTTTTTTCCTACTTTTTGAAATTTATAGTATAATACTATCACCCTTTTATGGCATAGGGGCAGCTAGCCAATTTTTGTCTTTTTAAAACTCTGTTTATCTTATAGAATATTGAGGAAGAGTTTAAGAGCTTACAATATCTTGCAGTTTTACCCAAAACTGTCTTCAATATCTTTTCAATTATTTTATTAGCATGAAGACTAGTTTTTTCTATCTAGAAAATTTCTTTTTCTCCTTCTTCCCTGATTTTACCCTTATCCTAAACGTTGTTGCTAGGTAAAGCTTTTTCAATTGATCATTTTAGTTCATGTCATTCCCCACTGCTTATGATCAAGCCTAAGCTCTTATATTTAAGGTCACCTGGGTTTTTACTTCAGCTTACTTTAGTGATGATAGTCTCATTCCCTTTCTTGAATTTTCTTTTCTGGATAAATTTAAATATTTTCTATTTTCCCATAGATGCCTTAGGTAGATTTCTAAGATGTGGTTAGTATATAATAGGATGTTTGTATACATTATGGTTTTTAAAAAGACCCCTTAATCTCTTTATTGCCTTTCTGTAGGAATGTACTTATTTGTCAAGATTCGTCTAAAAATGTGGTCTCCAGAAATGAACATAGATGTGCTGTGAGCTCCTTGCAGTTGTGATTGCGACACTGATAATTAAGATTGGTTTAGTTGTTCTGTTGTACTTCATCAAATTGTTGATTCACATTGAATTTATCAAACGTCATTCTATTCTAAAATGTGAAAGTATTTTTAACTTAAATGTAGGAATTCGCATGTATCCAGGTAAATTTTACCTTTAAACATTTTTTTGCTCTGGTTGTCCATACTATTGAGAGTATTTTGAATCTCCAATCAGTTCTCTCTTGTATCTATATATGCTAAACATACCTTTAATGATTTCCTATACATCTCTAAATAGTAATTTTGTGGGAACGTTAAGTGCAGTAGTTCTATTACTTTGCATCCTTTTAATTTCATATAGTTCTGTTTTCTTCCCCGTGTCTGCCTGGGTGACATGAGAGATTAAAGACTGTGGTTGTTCTGTGTATGGGCTCAAGCTGGATGGAGGAGTTGATATTAGAGAAAAGAGAAGCTTTCCATTTGATTAAGCTACAAATAGAGGGACTTTTTTTTTTTTTTCGAGTGGCTGGGGAGGTGACAGAATGGGAAGCATCAAAGGGAACTTTGGCAGAACTTGGTAATTGAAGAGAAAACCACTGAAGAGAAGCATGATGATGCCAGGAGTTTGATTTCAAATGATTTGTAAGAAACAGTGAACCAGGACACATTAAGTTTGAGGTAGATGGTTGTAAGATATCAAGAAGATACTCATCTTTAACGAAAATTTGCTTTTGAGGCTTATGTTCTAGATTTTAAAACAAAACACACAGTCTTTTAAAAATATTCTTTCTTTTTTTGAGATGGAGTCTTGCTCTGTCACCTATCCTGGGGTGCAGTAGTGTGCTCTCGGCTCACTGCAGCCTCTGCCTCCTGGATTCAAGTGGTTTTTCTGCCTCAGCCTCCTAAGTAGCTGGGATTACAGATATCCACCACCATGCCTGGCGAATTTTTGTATTTTTAGTAGAGACCGAGTTTCACCATGTTGGCCAGGCTGGTCTCAGACTCCTGAGCTCAAGCGATCCGACTGCCTCAGCCTCCCAAAATGTTGGGATTACAGGCATGAGACACCATGCCTGGCTAAAAGTATTCTTTTTTTTAACTTGAAAACCTGTGTAGTTCTGTAAAATCTTTGTTAACTGTCTTCCTAAGACCTTTTATATTTTACATATAGCATTAAATTTGAACTATATGGATTTCAAATAAAAGAAGAGAATAATTGCTATTTTCGAAGAACTCATTTTAATTGGTTAGAGTAAATATGAAGGCAGTGATTTTTGTAAAATGGCCTTTAACATATTAATGTCTGGTTATGTAGAAAGTGCTGTAACAGGATCATCTGTTCTACTATAACTTCATGTATGCCTATTAATGATACATAACTGTGGAGCAATAATGTAAGTGAGCTCTGTCAAAAAAATTACATAAATGAATTGCAGTCAGGAGAACCTTACTCAGTGGTTATGTATACAAAATTTACCCCCCCTTGATATGAAAAAATTTTTTATAATTGCTTTATTTTCTTACGGAATAGGCTTCTAAAGTTGCGAATTGTATTATTGTTAAGTAGCAAAATTTGGGGGTAGTATTTCCTTTTTGTCATGTGAAATAAATTTTTCTCTTTTACAATACAGGACAAGTAAATTTTTGTGAAACATTGCAGATGTTAGATGGATTTGGGAGAATTTTCCAAACTAAGTGGACGAACTTATATAGCTACATAAATAGTAGTGAGTACCAGAAGTTTATTAATTTGCTTATATTACATAAAAATAAAATGCTTTAGTCATGAGTTAAAAAGCTAATGGAAACTCATGTAGGCAAGTTAAAGTCAACATAAAGTAATAATACCAGAAATCCTAAATTTGCTGTATTTCAGTCATTTTTATGAATTAAAAAAATCTTTTTAACTTGTGGTTCTTTATTTTTTCCATTTTCGCTTTAGGAAATTTGTTTGTGTTCATTGAGTTGGGTAAAATAGAAGACTTAGGTTCTTAGTGCATTTTGATATGACTCCTTCTAGATTTGTCATTCTAAAACATCAGACAGGATTCGGGTTGCCTATTACTCAGAACTAGTTATATTAGAACTCAGGCTTTGGGTATTAACTGAACCCTTCTTTCTTTGTTACCCATAGAGAAGTTACAGAGATGCTTAGTTTACAGTGCTGATCATTATTGTTATTTTTTTTAAAACAAAACAAAACAATCTGTAGACAGGAAGGAGCAAAGAATGCAGTGTTCACGCTGTGCTACCCCAGAAATACCTTTAGTGAATAATGTTTTTCTAACAGACTCATTTTAACGTGAGCTCGTTTTTACTCTTAAGTGTGTAAGCCATTTTTAATGTATGTCTTTTGTCTCCTTAGCCTTTACTTTCATTTTAGTGACATTGTGAAATTAAGCCCTGTCTGATTCCCACAAGAGTAACTTAGGTACTTTTACATTAGCGTTAGTAGCTATGCCTTCTCTTTAGACTAGGCTACCTTACCCATGTTGTGTTTAGGAATTCGTATGAAAATTTATTCTTATCTACAGTTATTTTTTTCTTCATGCCCATTTTCCTTGAAAATATTTAAAAAATATGTCTTGTATAGAATTAGAAACTTCAGTATCGGTATCACATCACTGGCTATAAAAACTATGTTACTGATTTATTTACTTCCTTTAAGTTTTTCCCCAAAAATCTCCTTAGAGGGGCCTACCTGGATGACCCTACTGAAAATGTAACCTACTAGGTCCTTCCTCCTATAACTTCCTACACCCCTTAACTTCTCTCTCTTTTTCTGTAACTCTTACCACATTGTAACATACTGCTCAATACTCCTTTTAGAATAAGAGATCCTGGTTTGTTTTACTCATATATCCCTAGAACCTAAAACAGGCTTGGTACATAGAAATGTTCAGTAAATATTTAACAAAAGAATGAATTAAGAATATACAGTTTCCCTCGGTATCCACAGGGGATTAGTTACAGGATGCCCGTCCTTCTCCAGGAAGCCAAAACCTAAATCCCATGAATACTGTATTTTTTATCTGTGTTTGGCTGTGGATATGGAACCCACAGATAAGGAATGGTATTTATTGGGGGGGAAAAACCCATGTATAAGTGGACCTGTGCAACTCAAACCCATGTTGTTCAAGGGTCAACTGTATCATCTGGGTTATATTTCTCCTATTATATAGAATAAGAATTTTCATGCCCTAAACCAGTTACTTTCAGTTTCTTTTCACCTGGTCCATAGTAAGAAATACAGTTTAAAATACAACCCTGAGTACACATACATATGAACAGATTGTTAGAAATCTGAATTACTCTCTTCCCCCAGCTGTTGTAAGACTAAACAGGCCAGGAATTATGCATATATTCAGTAAACTAGAATGTGACAGATACTTCCTATGAAAAAATGTAATGCTGAGACTCCTTAAATGGTTTGTTGATCACCATTGTAACCATGTAATATTTTATACTAAAACCAGATGACTTAGGAAATAACTTCCTGTTTGACATTAAAAAAATATGATTCTTTAGTTTTAAAGTTTATACATTTTTGAGGAAGCTCTTTTTAGCTTAATGTCAGCAAAGCAGCTGCTGCTTGAATTTACTTTCTAAAACACTGAATTATTCATTTCCATAAATAAAACTTCCTTAGTAATTATTTAGCATTAATTTATTTCTCTTTATTTCAGTCAACCCTGTTGACATTCTGTTTTAAAATTAAAAATATTCTTTGTGGAATTTAACAAATAAGACTGTGACAGCCACTTTCTTTACTTTCTTTTGTTTTCATAACAGGATTTCCAGATCCTGAGATGAGCTGTGTCTTATTATTTTTATTATTTTAATAAATGTTAAACTAATAAAATGTAGAACACAAGTAAATTCTTATTTAAAAATGTCTTCTAAGTAGCTTCTAAGATGAACTGCTATGATTATGACTTATTTAACATATATTGAATTCTAACAATGTAAACTTATTAGAAATACTTTAAATAATTATTTCATTGTATTCACCAATTGTTTAATAGAGTAATAGGGAAAAAAAGTAAGGTTTGTTGTTTTACATTTCTTGGCACTCTTCCATCTATTTTTGCAAATATGGGAATACCTCCTTGAATTTTGTGCTGCCTTTCTAGTAGCCTGTGGTGAGCCCTTCCACCTTCAAACTCTTATTAGTTATTTATGTGGCCTCTTTGGGCTATCAGTCTTTACTGCTGTGTGATATTTCTTGCCATCTTTCCAGAATTGCTGTTTTATTTATTTGTTTCTTTGTTTAATTTTAAATGTGTCACTGCCTTGCTGCTCCATTGGAGACTTCCTGAGGGCAACAGACAAACTATTTGATAGCTGAATACATATTTGGTAAGTTAAGAGAGGAGGGGAGAAAACCCCTTTATAAAGTAGCATCCATTCAAATGAAACATTCTTACCTAAAGTGCTTCTTGGAGCATATATTTAGAGAGGTTTAGTAACTGATCCATAAGACAATCAGTGTGGGCTTAAAGAAAATGTAAACTTTTAGGTAAGGGCCCATCTGAATCCCTGTTGAAATGTACTATAGCCACCATTACTGTGGCAGCCTCATAGGACCATGGAAGAGAATGAGGCCTATGGAATTAGAGATGGGAAAAGTCTCCATTTAATTCCTCTGTCCTAGGTTCTACAATGCTATTTAGAATATAATTATGGAGACCTCTGCTTTAATAGTTGTTGAGTGGGTGACAGCAGTTTTAATTGGAATAACCACAAGTGTATAATTATTTTAGAGCTGAAATGTTTAAGAAAGCTTTTCCAGCAGATGACACAGACCATCAGCCTTCAGCTGGGAGCCATTACGCAGACATGTTTTGTTTTTCCTCTGCAGTGTTTTAGAAAACAAAGTTGGCTATTTACAATTGTGAGATTTTACATAAAACAAAAATTCCAGCTTAGAAAAAAGGTAAATCCTCAGATCTGATGATTCTGTATTTCCAGTCCTACAAGACGAACAATGATCTGGAATAAAGTAACAGCTGTACCTTTAAACATGGACATGTGTTGTAGTGGTTCATTACAGTTTTTGTGCTTGCACTGTTCATGTATTTGTATACACACACATTATGTATTTATATGTATATAATATATATAAAGATAGATACATTTATATGCAAAAACATATTTCTCTGAAACTGTGCTCCAGTCATAAGAAAACCAAACTGAGATGTTGGTCTGGTTCAAGAAAAACAGGATGGAGCCTTTTGTGAAGGTAAAGAATATTCTTTTGTGTTTAACATGCAAATGGCTCAGCTTCCAAGTTGCATAGGTAGCCCAGCCTGAGTCTACAGGACTCTACCTGTAGAGTAGAGTCCTACTCTACAAGTCTTGGAGAGTATCAGATCTGTCAAGTTTTGATTTTTATGCCCTTAATTATAATCTGTAGGTAACTCATATGGCTCATTGGATATGAATTTTGGAAATCTATGCTTCCAGATTACTTTGCTTAATTCTTGCGTCCTCATACTTTTTCTGTGAAGGGATATATACCTAAGACACTAGGAAAAGCACATCCGAGGTAAGTAACACTGATGAATATTTAGTACATGGTTAATAACCTAGTTTGTGAGGTTTAGAAATAGTAAATTATATTTTATATATAATATTCTATATAAAATATATTTTTATATATAAAGTATACATATTACATATATAAAATATAGTATGCAATGTTAGTACATACTAAGTATTCTCTAAATTATTTTTATTTCTAATAAAGTGTACATTTATCTGTGGTTCTGCTCTCTTAAATTTATTTTTTAAAATTTGAACATTTTCATCTGAATTTTTGAGTTTGCTAACAAGCCAAAAATCATTTCTATTTGATTAATCCAACAAATAATTTACTCTTCTTTATCTTAAATTTGAAGAGAATTAAGAAATAAAAGAGGAGGAACATCTATTTCATGTTCTGTTTAGTAGTAACAGTTGCAAATATGTAAGCATTTTATTCTTGGATTCACTAATTTCCCTGCTCAACAAAGATGGGTCAGTATGTTCTGTTTTTTTTCTGGGAAAGTCTGTAGAAATAATTTGGTTGTTTTTAAGCACCTGCATGCTTTTTGGAGGCAGTGGTGGTGGAAAGAGTATGATGTAAAAGGAGCTGTTTCTTTACCTACCTTACAAATATCTGTGCCTGAAACAAGCCTCTTCTCTGAGCATAATCAGTCTCTAATAAAACTGTATTCCTAACTACTTGAGCTGATAAATAGTGAGGTTGTTTTAAACAAGTCAAGTTTATTTTATGTCAATTTTCTATTTGCCCTGTGTAAGATATATTTAATTACTTTACTCCATCTCTGTGTTCAAATTAATCAGATTCTGCCACATATTGGTGCTCAAAATAGAATAATTCTTTAATCAACTGTGTTATCCATGCTATGGTAGAGTAGAATAGAAAATCTACTCGTGGCATATTGAAGATGCATGCATTTTATTTTCTATTGTAATTTAAAAGTAAAATCAGAAATACTGATTTCTACTTGACTGGAGAGATGATTTAGTTTGAATATCAGCCTGATCTTAATCAGGTGAGAATTAATTGAGTTGGAGGTATTAGATATTCAGTGATGTTAACTGAACCATGATCCATCTAGAGAGAAGCTTTCTTTTGTACTGTGTTAGAATTATCAAATAGCTCATGCACTACAATGTAAAATAATCTTTTCATGTTCATCCTTCTACCTTCTTGTCTCATTAAATGCACCACTAAATTCATTCTATACACAGACTAATCTTTAAAGTAGCAAGCTAATAAATCACAAGTTAATAGAAAATTAAAAGCATAATAATTTTGTCATAAGATGCTGCTGTCACAATTTTATAATGATATATTTTCTAGTTACTAATTTTAAAACCAAGTGATTAAACCTCTGCTTTTCAAGTATACCTGGGACATTAAAAAAAACTCTTAGTTTACTTTTTTTTATGTTCAACATTGCAAGAAGAAAGTGAGCAATTCAGAAGTATTTTAATGTTTATCTTCAGAAATAAAAATAGAGTCTGTAACATTATAGTGGTCTGAAATGTGGCATGGGCTTTTCATTTATTTTAAGAGTGTGACAGCAATATCATAAGTGTTGTGAAAATATAAATGGTGAGATAACACCTCCATGGGACTTGCTCTTAAGTAGTAAAATTGTAAATTCTTTAAATAAACTGCAGCTAGAACTGAAAGCATCGATTTGCCTTGTTAACTATGGATACTATACTTATTAAGTGTCTAATTAAATTTAGTATAACATGTCTGTTATTTCCTCCTTTTTTTCCCTTAAAACTGAAAATTTGGACTTATTTATTAGCAAAGTATCACGTTATCATTGTCAGATTTCTTCGATTTTGGCAGTTGGTGTGACAGTGTTAAATTAAAAGAAAGCCAGTAGTGTGACTTTTGATAGTGTCGTTTTACACTGGAATACTGTTTTTTGCTTGGTATTGCTATAATGGGAATATTCGAATCTATGTAGCTGTATATTTTGTGAAAAGGAATATCCAAATTTATATTCGAGAACAATTAGCATTTAATAAAATTAAGCCATAATTGCAGAAACATTCCTAGAGTGCGATGAACAGGGAATTCTCACGAGATACAGTAGGGTTCCCCACCTAGTTGTTACTAAACAGCAATTTAGGGCAGAATGGCCTGCTTAGGAAAAAATGAGAGAGAGGGAGCTGGCTTTTTCACTCTGCTCTTCAAAGCCGAGGCTTCTCTTATATAGACCCCACTCTCCCCTCTCCAGCACCCAAAATGATTTCTATCTCTCTTCCTTCCTTCCTTCCTCCCTCCCTCCCTCCCTCCATCCCTTTCCCTCCCTCCATCCCTTTCCCTCCCTTTCCCTCCCTTTCCCTCCCTTTCCCTCCCTTTCCCTCCCTCTCACCCTCCCTCCTTCCTCCCTCTCTCCCTGCCTTCCTTCCTTCCTTCCTTTTTTTTTCATAATATTCTGTAAGATGTAGAGAGTACCAAACCACAATACAAATGTGTTTTTTTCAATTCTTGTCCCTGCCAGTTTTCCTCCTATGAAATAACCACAGTTATCAGTTTTCTTACATATTCTTTCATAGCCATTATGTACTTGCAGACATACCCCCCCGACGTGTACACATGCACACCCCCCAAACACAGAAATGATAACGTTCTGTACCTTGCTGTTTTCACTTTTAAGTCTTAGGGGTCATTCCCTATCAGTGTGCTATTTTTTTTAGTGGCTACATAGTATTTCGTGATACAGTGTTAACATTTAAGCAGTTGATGTTACTGTGATAGATTTGATGACATCACCAAAAGCCACATTCATATAAAAATACTTTTTGCTTCAGGTGAGAGAAGACAAGATGAGGAATGGCTAATAATATGTTATTCTTTTCATGATTCCTTACAGATGGGAACCTATTTATTTACTATTTTGGAGACAAGGCCATGCTCTGTTACCTAGGCTGGAGTGCAGTGGCATGATCACAGCTCACTGCAGCCTTGACCTTCTGGGCTCAAGCGATCCTCCCACCTCAGCCTCCCAAGTAAACAGTACTACATGCGTGTGCCACCATACCCAACTAATTTTTAAAATTATTTGTAGGGGCGGGGCCTCACTATATTCCTGAGGCTGGCCTTGAATTCCTGGATTCAAGCGATCCTCCTGCCTCAGCCTCCCAAAGTGTTGGGATTACAGGCGTGAGCCACTGCACTCGGCTTACTGATTTATTTTTGTTAAGAAAGACATATATGTAGTCTATATCTGAATTGCATGAAAAATTCTACTGCGATCGAATTTGGAGAATTTACTGTCCTTATGGATGCTGTTTTTTTTTTTTAAAAAAATAGGAGATGCTAATGTTTTTTAAGCCAGTTGTTAAATAAATAAATTTGACAAATGAGCGTACTATAAAGTGGGTGACAAGGATTTGTTAATAGTCTGGAAATCACATACCTTGAGGAGGCAGCAATGTTTAAACTGGCGCTGAGCCAGGAGAAGAGAAAAAAATATGAATGTTATTTCCTATAGTGTATGATGAAACGGCAGCATTAGACTACCTTTTTTCAGCCTATAGTACTCCCATCCCCCATCAACACACACCAACCCCCATCAACACACACACACTATGGAACTGGCTACCTTGCGAGTTAAGGAATTTTCTGTCACCACAAATGTTTAAACAGTAAGATGGAGTAGGAAACACTTTGTGAAATAGATTAAGTGACCTCTAAAGGCCTTCACACTCTAACCTTTTTGATTCCAGAAGTCTAGAACAAGACAGCTGGTCCTGTCCAGGGCCCTCGATAAGTAGTATTTAATGGTCACTGTTGGCTCATACTTATTGCCAGAATGGGCTGTAGACCACTTGCAAGTATGAAAAAGTCCAACAGGTTCGTTTATTACTTGTGTCACTAAAAACACGGATCCTACTTTCGTTTCTCCATTGTGTAAGTGATGAGAGAAGGCAAAGCATCTACTAGTGGCAAGAAATCCTAGAAGGCTCCATGTTCAAAAGTTTGCCTGTTTTGTTTTGTTTTGTTTTTTGTCAGTTGCTTTTATCAATACCTATCAATGAATTGGCCTTTTAACATTGGAGACTATGTGGGACAGCAAAGAGGGAATATGTAAGAAAAGTGTGTTTGGGGAGACTTAGGGAATCTTCTATGTGATCTTTTAAAAAAGATAGAGGGATTTGGTGCTTTCATTGTCCACACCAGGCTGTGTGAATGTCTCTCTTTCAAATTCTGGTAGCACTTAATATCTGAAACATGAAATTTAGCACTTCATTATATTTTGTTTGAAGAAGCCCCTTTCTAATGTGTAAAATCCTTATTTTAAATATTTAAATATATTTTATAGGAATACTGGAAAACAGTATGGAATCGGAGAGTTGAGGTATCTGATGCTATTTGATTTTATATGGTTGCTAAGTGGTCATTTAGCAAAAAACCAGCAACAGTGTCTACCTTATTCTTTCCTGTGGTAGTGATACAATGTGATGAACCATTGCCACTTGCTTCCCAGGTCTCATTTGTGACCTCATGTGTGAGATACCTGGCCTGGGTTAAGTCTCTATTGCGTGGGCATGGAAATTTCTGCCAAGCGTAGGAGTTTTTCATGTGTTCTGGAAAGGAATAAGTGAGATCCAATAGTAATTACAGATAACGTTTCTGAAGTTAAAAGACCTGGTTCTAAACCAATCTATGTATGCCACACTAATCTTGGAAATATGATGTAGCCTATTTAAAGTTCATTTTATTCATCTGGCAAATGAAGATAAAAATAGTGCTTACTTGATCGTGTTTTTGTACAATTCAAGTGAGCTAACACGCATAAAGTACCTAGTATAGTAGTGCCTGGTACAGAGTAAACACTCAGTTTATCTTAGTTGCCATTTTCATGTTTTTATTGCTATTACTACTGACATTATTAACTACCTTGCAAAAAATGATTAGGAAGTTGTCATGGGAAAATGGAAAAACAAGAAAAAGGCCACCTGAAATAAGACAGTTTCTATTCAACATTATTAATGTATTCTTGAATTTTGGTTTTCCATCATGTATGTTCCTAGTGTTTTAACTGCTTCTTGTAAGAATCACATTTTAATCTCAAACTTATATTCTAATCAACTGAGATAATGAATCTCAGTATCCTCCTGAAACTTTTTAATTTTGCTATGAAACCCCGAAGTTTTGTTACTGTTTTTTTGAATTTTGTTTATGAATAAATGCTGAGTACAGCCTTTACTAAACTGAAGAGATAGTCATGATAAAGTACAATGTTGGAAATTTTGATCTTTGTCAAAGAAGTTAGATAACAGTAATGGCAGAGATTATTTAGCAACATATTTTAAAATATTAGAGTGAGTTAAATCAACTAAAAGCTGGTAGAAAATGAGAATTATTAACACTCCTTCAATTAATTCACTTATTCAGCTATTTGTTCGATAAATATATATGAATATTTACAGTTATTCATTTATATACAAATGCACAAATATTTATTGAACAAATATAAGCTAAGCAAGTAAGCTTTGCTGAATGATTATTTTTTACCTTAGTCTTTATTTTCTTAAATATTTTATTTTGATTAGGTATTTTAATAGGCTTAAAAAGGATCAGTGGATAAGAAAATATGTTCCAAGGAAAGATATGGAAGATAACTAAGCCTAGAATGATCATAAGTTATAAATCATAAAACAGTAGCCAAATCATCATCAGCCACCTGTTTGCATCTCACCTGAAGTATAAGGAACTAAAAATGTCTTTAGCTATGTTGTCCAACATGGTCACCATTAGACATACATGGCTATTTTAATTAAAATGAAAAATTTAGTTATGCAGTCGCATTAGCCACATTCAGCTTGGGCAACATAGTGAGACCCTGTCTCTTAAAAAAATACATCTTATTTAACCTAATATATCAAAAATAATATCTTTTTAACATGCAGCCAATATAAAAATTTTTAATGAGATATTTTATATTCCTTTTGTCACTGGATTTTTTTTTTCATTTTCTGCCTATGTTAGGTAGAATAATAGTCCCCAAAGATGTCTCAGTCATAATCCCTGAAACCTGTGAATATGGATATAAGGAACTAACTGTCCTAGAGAATTGAAAATAAAAGCTATGTTTAATGCATCACACATAAGAAGTAAGGATTTTTATCTGTTCTAATCCCCTCACTGGAATTATGTGAATCTAAGGTATTTCTGGACAGTATCGCTTAAAATTTTAACATAAAAACTGTTGGGTGATTTTCACTCATCTTAGTAGACGTCTCAACAGCATTTGACAATAATGATTATTCCTTCCTTGACCCAAACTTTCCCAGAAAAGATAGTCATCTGATGGATACATTTTGTTAGTTTTTATATTTTAAAGTTGTATTCAAATAATTTATAGAAGAATGAAGACAATGACTTTAGAAAGTATAATAAGAATTTAAACATAGCAAGCCCCAATTTTTATTCCCTATTTTACTTGTTCTGAAAGTTTTATAACTTGGAATGGTTTATGTCCTTTGATTGCCACTAACTGCTTATCATGAACCTGGAACATAATCTATTTTAAAGATTCTGACTCCATATAGCTCTAATAGGTTCTAGTTTACCATTAATCTTTAAAATGTATTTTCTTTTTACTTTAGATTTGAGGGGTACATGTGCAGGTTTGTTACATGAGTATATTGTATAATGCAGTGGTTTGGGCGTCTATTGAACCGTCACCCAAACAGTGATCATAGTAACCAATAGGTAGTTTTTCAGCCGTTGTCCTTCCTCCTTCCCTCCCATTTTGGACTCCCCAGTATCTATAATTTATATCTTTTTGTCCCTGCATACCCATTGTTTAGCTCCTACTTGTAAGTGACAACATGCGGTATTTGTCTATTTCTCTGTTAATCCACTTAGGATAATGGCCTCCAGCTAAATCTATGTTGCTGCAAAGGATGTGTTTTCGTTTTTATGGCTGTGTAGTATTCTATGATATATATGTACCACATTTTCTTTCTCCATTCCACTGTTGATGGACACTTAGGTTGATTCCATAACTTTGCTGTTGTGAGTAGTGCCGCAATAAACATACAAGGGCAAGTGTCTTTTTGGTAGAATTATTTCTTTTCCTTTGGGCAGCTATCCAGTAGTGGGATTATCCAGTTCTGTTTTTAGTTCTTTTAGAAATCTCCAAACTGCTTTCCACAGGGATTGAACTAATTTACATTCTGTTTATAAGCATTCCCTTTCTCCACATCCTCAACAACATCTCTTAGTCCTTTGTTGGATGCATAGTTTGCAAGTATTTTCTCCTTTTCTCTAGGTTGTCTGTTTACCCTGTTGATGGTTTCTTTTGCAGGGCAGAAGCTCTTTAGTTTAATTAGGTCCCAATTGTCAATCTTCTTTTTGTTTCATTTGCTTTTGAGATCTTAGTCATAAATTTTTTGCCTAGGCCAGTGTCCAGAAGAGTTTTTCATAGGAATTTTTTTTTTTTTTTTTTTTTTTTTTTTTTTAGTTTGAGGTCTTACGTTTAAGTCTTTCAGCGATCTTGAGTTAATTTTTGTATATGGTGAGAGGTAGAGATGGAGTTTCATTCTTTTGCACATGGCTAGCCAGTTTCCCCAGCACCATTTATTGAATAAAGTATCCTCTCCCCAGTGTTTATTTTTATTTACTTTGTTGAAAATCAGTTGGTTGTAGGTATGCAGCTTTATTTCCAGGTTCTCTGTTCTGTTCCATTGTTCTGTGTGCCTATTTTTGTACTGGTCCCATGCTATTTTGGTTATGATAGCCTTGTAGTATATTTTAAAGTTGGGTAATGTGATGCTTCCAGCTTTGTTCTTTTTGTTTAGGATTACTTTGGCTATTTGGGCTCTTTTTTGGTTGCATATAAATTTTAGGATAGTTTTTTCCAATTCTGTGAAAAATGACATTGGTAATTTGATAGGAATAGCATTGAATCTATAGATTGCTTTGTGCATTATGGGCATTTTAATGACATTGACACTTTCAATCCATGAGCATGGGTTGTTTTTTCATTTGTTTCATCTGTGATTTCTTTCAGCAGTATTTTGGAGTTCTCGTAGAGCTCTTTCACCTCCTTGGCCAGATGTCTACCTAGGTATTTGTGTGTGTGTGTGGCTATTGTAAATGGGATTGAGTTATTAATGTGGTTCTCAGCTTGAACGTTACTGGTGTATAGAAATGATGATTTTTGCATGTTGATTTTGTGTCCTGAAACTTTACTGATGTCATTTATCAATGCAGTAGTCTTTTAGAGGAATCTTTAGCATTTTCTAAATATATAATAATTGTTGGTGAACTACTTACATCTTTAAAATGAAGAATTTTTTTTTTTTTTTTTGAGACAGAGTCTTGCTCTTGTCACCCAGGCTGGAGTGCAGTGGCATGATCTCAGCTCACTGCAACCTCAGCCTCCTGGGTTCAAGCAATTCTCCTGCCTCAGCCTCCTGAGTAGCTGGAATTACAGGCACCTGTCACCACACATGGCTAATTTTTGTACTTTTAGTAGAGACAGGGTTTTGTCATGTGTTGGCCAGGCTGGTCTCCAATCCTGACCTCAGGTGATCCGCCCACCTCGGCCTCCCAGAGTGCTGGGATTACAGGTGTGAGCCACCATGCCCAGCCAAAATGAAATATTTTTAAAAACACCAATGACTCATAATTTTGTTGAAGTTAAGATGGCCATCTTTTTGGCTCCATAGTTTTAAAACATTTTCACTTTTAGATTTACAAATACTATTTCCTTTTAATCACCTTTTAAATATATCTGTCTTTAGCATTTGGATCAAGTACATTTCAACACACAGATATCATAAAAGATGAAAGAGTACTGCGTTGCCCTGTTTTTAGCACAATGGGATACAAGTTTTTGTTACATTATACTTCATGAAAAATCACTCCTGTTAAATGTCTAATGGGATGAGAATACTATATTTCCTTTTTGTCCTTAAAAATGTATTATTCAGGCCAAGTCAAGAGAATTGTTTGAGGCTAGGAGTTCAAGACCAGCCTGTGCAATATAGCAAGACCTTGTCTCTAGGAAAAATAAATAAAAAAAATTAGCTAGGTGTGGTGCTGCACACCTGTAGTCCTAGCTACTCGGGAGGCTGAGGTGGGAGGATCACTTGAGCCCAGAGTTCAAGGCTACAGAGAGCTATGATCTAACCAGCGCCCAGCCTGGGTGACAAGAAAAAAAGTATTATTCACGCATCAGTTCCTGATTTTGAGAAAATTCATCTGGGATACTGTCACCTGAAGACTTATAGTCAATATGATTATGTGCTTATATGATCAATTTCATCATCTTCGTTAAAGTCTAGAGTGCTGCTCTTGGTTTCTTTGCATTCTTCTAATTCATCTAATAATTGCAAAACATCTTTTAGCCAGTTTTTCCCCCCACTGTGGTAGTATATTAGTTTTCTATTGCTATTGTAACAAATTATACAAACTTAGTAGCTTTATTAAGACAATACAAATTCATTGTATCATAGTTCCGTAGTTCTCAAGTGTGACAGGTCTCACTGGGCTAAAATCAAGGTGTTAGCAGAGCTGTGTTTGTTTCTGGAGCCTCTAGGGGAAAGTCTGTTTCCTTGCCTTTTTCAGCAAAGATGCAAGTATTCTCTTTTTTCCATCTTTAAAGCCAGCAAGATAGAATCTCTCTGACTCTGCTTCCATCATCTCATCTCTTTTCTCCTGTTCTCTTCCGCATCTGTCTTTCACTTTTAAAGACCCTTGTGATTACTTTGGGCCTTCCCAGATAACCTCCCTATTTTCAACTGATTAGCAAAGTTAATTCTGTCTGCATCCTTAATTCCCATTTCCTGTGTATCTTAACATATTCATGGGTTTCAGAGATTGTGACTGGGACATCTTTGGGGACTATTATGCTACCTAACATAGGCAGAAAATGAAAAGAAAAATTCAAACCTTAACTGTATTCAGTGAAAGCTTTAAAAAAAAAAGAAAAGAAAAAGCTACTTTTATATCTTCATGAACGGTAATACAATACATTGAGCAATATAGTAAATGTGATGTAATAATGGAAGCTTTATTTCACTATTGCATCCTTCTAGGGGATTTCATCATTTTCTTTTCTTATCGTAGTTATTTTTAGCATAGTTGGAAATAACTGACAGGCCATGATGCAATAATTTCTGCTATGATGAAATAAAATGTTTGAAGATACAGGAAAAATAAGATCAATAAGTTATATATTGAATCTTAGCTTTACACGAAGATCAAATGATCCTAGTTGATAAAATGAATTTTATTGTATTAAAAATATGTCCATTTTCTTTAGATTTTTGGAGGCCTCTAAGAAAGAATAAAGTCTTAAATTATTCTTGAAATAGTTATGGAATTACTTATAAATGAAATCTACAGGCTGAGCATGGTGGCTTACGCCTGTAATCCCAGCACTTTGGGAGGCCGAGGTGGGCGGATCACAAGGTCAGGTGATCGAGACCATCCTGGCCAACATGGTGAAACCCCATCTCTACTAAAATACAAAAAATTAGCCCTGTGTGGTGGCGCATGCCTGTAGTCCCAGCTACTCGGGAGGCTGAGGCAGGAGAATCGCTTGAACCTGGGAGGCGGAGGTTGCAGTGAGCCAAGATCATGCCACTGCACTCCAGCCCGGCGACGGAGCGAGACTCCGTCTCAAAAAAAAATAAATAAATAAATAAATAAGCCTGCAAAACTAAAATTGGGTCTAGTGGACCCTGATTTTATACTGAGGGTCAAATGCTTGGTTTCCTTGCTTTCTCTGGTGCCACATAGTCCTCTGTATTTTTCCAGTTTCTTCTTTTTCTCCTAGCGTTAAGTGTTAGGATTCCTCAGTGGTTGTCCAGGGCCTCTTTTCATTATTTTTGTTAAGTTACTACTATCAAAACAGTATCTTCAGAACCTGCTTCCAACTCATAGGTAACTGCCTTCTACTTGGATGTTTCACAGGCCCCTTAACTGAACATGTCCTAAATTCATTGTCATCTTTATTCCATCTTCCTCCACCAAAACAGAACAAATTCATATGCTATTCCTTTTTGGTGAGTGTGTGTTATGTAAAACAGTGCTTTTGTTTGTTTTTCTGGTGTTTTTTAAGTCATCAACCTGGGCCATCATGCACCCAGCAAGAAAATTAGGGGTTATCCTTGACTCGTCCTTCTATTACACTCATAAATAACTATATTCCAAGTCCTGTTAGTTCTCTCTGGTTTCATTTTTATTCACTCACTTCTGTCCTTTCCTGCTTTGTCTGCCACAGGTTTAAATGTTTTTAGCCCCTTGGACTATTGTACTAACTTTCTATCCAGTTTTCTTATTTCCAGTTCTGTTTCCTCTGCCTACTCTAAGGTTCTGTGCAGAAGAAAACATGATCTTGTCATTCCACTGTGCAAACCCTTTTGAGGATTTCGATAGCCCTTAGAACACAGCCTAAACATTTTAACATTGCCTACTGGTCGTATTTGGTACATGCCTTTTCTCCTGCAGCTGATATTTACCACACACACACACACACACACACACACACACACACACACAAGCTAATTGCAAATATACATTTTAACATTGCCTGCTGGTCATACTTGGTACATGCCTTTTCTCCTCCACCTGACGTCCACCACACACACACACACACACACACACACACACACACACACACACACACACGCTAATAGCAAATGTACAAACCATTCTGAATTATTCTCTGTAATATGTCCTGCCTGTTCATCTCCAGACCTTCTGTGCCCTTCCCTTTGTCCAGAATACTGTTCCCTCTCTTCATTTGCTAACACAACACAGTGTACATCATAGCTTAAGAGTATTTCACATTGGAATTCCCTCCTGAGTGTGTCTGAGGTTCCCGTTCTGTGCTTCCATAGCACCCTCCCTGCCCAGAGCAGGTATCAACTCAACTGTTAGCATTTGAAGATTACTTGTCTTCCTCAGGGACTATTGTTAGCTCCCACAGAGTAGGAACCCTCTCTTTCTTACTCTACATGGTAACCCCAGAAGCTAGCACAGTGTTTACACAGTAAGTACTTTGAAAATGTTTGTTGAATGAATGAGTGATATTTTATGAGCCCCTGAATAAATGAGAAAATACTTAAATATTGTAATTTATTGAATCAGCTAAAACGTGAATCATTAATTAACTCATTGGACAGTGTCTATTATAAACACAATAAATATTAGCTATTGTTGCTATCATGAAGACAGGAATGTAGATAATTTTTTCTTTTTCGTTCTACTTTGGTAATTAAAGAAAAACTAATGCAGTATTTACAAATGAATCTTTTCTTTAAAATTAAGGTAATGATTTGGTGATTTCCCATCTGCAGTGTATAGATTTGCCTTTGAAAATGGAAATGTTTTTAAAGATGTAGTGCAGTGAAGAAGCCACTGTTTCAATATATGTCTTGTGAGATAGCAATCCCCAACCTTTTTGGCACCAGGGATCAATTTTGTGGAAGACACTTTTCCAGTGGTTTTGGGATGAAACTATTCCACCTCAGATCATCAGCCATTAGTTAAGAGTCTCATAAGGAGTGTGCAGCCTAGATCCCTCGCATGCACAATTCTTCACAAGAGGGTTTGTGCTCCTATGAGAATCTAATGCTGCTGCTGATCTGACAGGAGGTGGAGCTCAGGCAGTAATGCTCCCTCGCCAGACGCTCACCTCCTGCTGTCCCGCCCGGTTCCTAACAGGCCATGGAGTAGTACCAGTCTGCAGTCCGGGATTTGGGGGACCCCTGTTGTAAAAGATGTTTATCATTTCTGGACATTATATTTTTCCATTTGAACTAATGGTTTTATGGATCTTTAGAAAATTGTCTGTGGTACTCTTTTTTTTTTTCTGTAGGGATGGGTGGCTAGAATGTTTGCTGGAAAAGATTTACTGGTGCACTTTTTTCAGCTTACTTGAATTTATCCTAATTTACTTCTCATCCAGTCTGGAATTAAGTTATATTTGGCTTTGTCTATAGGTTGGATTAGATTCTTTCCAAAAGCCAAACTACTTAGGTCATTGATGCAGAGGTCGCAGGGAGACCTACAATTGTGTTACTAAATTTTATAGACGAATGTATATAAAGTCTGAACCTCATGAAATACTGTTCATGCTGTTGGTTATACAGAATAATGTGCTGTGTGTCCCTGTGGCCTTGATTTTCTTCAGCTGAGCAGTCATTAGAAAGAAGAGGACAAAAATACTATCTTCATTGTCTCTGCTTTGGTTCAGACCTTCCTCCCTGCATTGAAAACTGAGGGTGACCTCCTGTTGTCTTCAGGCACTTTTTACTTCACAGCTTCCAGAAGGGATGATGATTACTGAGAGTGGCGCAGCACTTAGGCGTCGTCTATAGGGACCTGACATTAGACTGTTCACTACAGAAGTCCTCACATAAAAGATAGCTTTTCTTGAGAAAATTTATTTGTAGATTTTAATTTATGTTACAGATTTAAAACTGCAGACACCTTTGTCTGAAGGGAAATCTTACTAAAAGTCAGCACTTAGACCCTCTTTCAAATTGTATCATTTTTAGTCCTATATTTGTAAAACCTCTTATAATTCAATAACTGTTCAAAAGATCTTTTCTACATTATGTTTAAAGTACCTCTCTGCTTTTATTCTTACCTAGTTTTATGGAAGCAAAGTTTTGTGATTCAGATTCCTATTTGTAGAGTTGATATGATGTATTATGAATTTAGGGTGATTTTTAAGTCTGCCCTACTATGTTCTTTAATAAACAAGATGTCCTAATTTTTTCCACCTATTAAGATGATGGTGCAGTTATGGAAATATTGCCTATAGCTTATATGTTAAAATTCTAAACTGTATTGGTATCCAAATATGCCTTTGCTTTTTGTAATGCTAGGAGAAAATAGGCATTTTTTGATGACTTTACTAGCTGAGGACATTAAAGTACTGAAAAGTTAGGAATAAGTGCTGTGTCTAAAGACAGTTGTGAAAAAATTCATTTTAAAAATCAAATTAATGGAGATATGAACAGAGTGGTTCTAATCAGAGAAATGAAATAATGGGGATTATTTCTTTTAATTTGATGTGTTTTAAAATTGTCATCTCAGTGAATGCTTTAGTTCTAACTGGATAACTGCATTTGCAAAGTAATGATGTTGCTTGAAACTGACTATGTGCAGAGAAAGTGTAAAAGATGAACTATCTGCTATTTCTAGTTCAATGCACAGTTGTCATATTTATCCTTTGCTCAATTAAGGAACCATATTATTGGGGATTATTTAAGTATTAAAGTATATCTGGAAGTTCCATAAATTAAATAAGTTAAAAAATAAATCACTTCTGTTAGTTTTATATGGAAGCTCCCAAGTTTTTTTCATATCATAGTTAAACTGTACTATGATATGACTACTTGTACTTAATTATATAGACTACTTGTACTTAATTACAATGTGAATAATTATTTTGTCCATTATGTTAAAGTTAGGAGAAGACTTTATCTCTTTATGTTTTTTCCTAGATAATCTTGAGCCAAATTTAATTATATCCAAAGAATTTTTTTTAAATTTTTTTTTTGAGACGGAGTCTCACTCTGTTGCCCAGGCTGGAGTGCAGTGGCATGATCTCAGCTCACTGCAGCTTTCTCCTCCCGGGTTCAAGTGATTCTCCTGCCTTGGCTTCTCAAGTAGCTGGGATTACAGGCGCCTGCCACCATGCCCAGCTGATTTTTATATTTTTAGTAGAGATGGGATTTCACCATGTTGGCCAGTCTGGACTCAAACTCCTGGCCTCAAGTGATCCACCCACCTTAGCCCCCAAAGTGCTGGGATTACAGGCGTGAGCCACCGTGCCTGGCTTCAAAGAATATTTTTACCAATAGTATATGATATTACGTGGTTTCTTTGAGATAAATTAAGAGTTTACAAAAGAAAGACACAGACTTTTATGTTCTTGATATCTTAAAGAAAAAAATATACTGAGTGCTCATTACTTTAAACCTTTGAATAACTTTTAACAATCTCTCCGCATTCCTACTGTTTATTGATATTCTTTTGTATTATCTTAAGATAGACTGAATTGAATGAAATTTGAATTTTATAGTTTTTAATAGTAATTAAAATTATTGATAGAATCAGATATACAAGCTCTTTAACATTTAATGTAAATTAAAAGATGGAACTGATTTAAATTGGATTTGTTTCAGAATTCCATTTTGGAAATCAGTTGGCAGTATTAGCAACATCACTATTATATGAATATATGCTAATGTAGAATGAAAGAAAGGTCCTCATTAAAATCTTGTTGCTAAACAAGTGACAAAAACCTTGCAGACAGCTTAAGGCTTCAGGTCAGTCATATTTACTCCTGAAGATATTTGGACAAGTGTGAAAGTATATAGACTATGCCTTTATTGTGATCAGAACACATAAATGCTAGTTTGTACCAGTTCCCTACCAAGGACATTTTTACTAATATTAGACAAAACAAGTCTTAATGCAATGCCTAAGCATCCTATTTATCTAAGTAAGTTAAAATATTGGGTTTGTTAAATCAGAAAGTAAGCATTTGCTAACAGCCGTTGTGTCTGTGTTTTCCGGAAAAGGACTGAGGTTTGGTCAACTAGTGTGTTTTCATGAGACAAAATTCATGATCTAATTACCTTTCTACCAAATATTATTTGGGTGAACTGGTCTGGTATAGGTATAGTAAGGTGACAGTAAAGGTAAGGTGGTGCAGGGGAATCCAGCCCATGGTTCATTACCACTATTGAACATGGCAGTTCTCTTAAAGAAGCCTTTAGCTAGCTTTAGCTAATTCCGGATTAACTTTATATACATATTGTTTGAGGATTGCCCATGTCTTTTTATTTGGGATCGTAGTCTTTGCTTATGTAAAGGTAGATCTTAACATCATGCTATAAATAGAAAAATTAACGTATAGGAATAGATAGGCATTCCAGAGTGAAAGTTAGTTGACTTTTAGATAGCCATGTGGCTACCCTTCAGCGTCTCCACTGAAAATGAGCTGGCTATAAGTCTGCTTTGCCTTTTGAGTGTTAGAGAGTCCTTAGTCAAAGGGCACAAAGAATTTCCCTTGGTTTGATTTGACCTGTGTGGCCAGCTCATCTGCGTCAAGAGGAACAAGAACATTTGCAGTTGGAATAAAGAAGATACTTGATTACGTTTAGAGTCTAACAGGCTGGGTTGGGAATGAGAGAGCAAATGTTGGGACTGCTGAGACTAGTGAAGCAGAAGCCAAAGGGAACTAATCCTGTGTGTCCTTGAAGGGGAATACTATGTATCACTCACTTCATGTGATCACACACATTAAATTATTTGAATTAAAGTCATTTCTTGCATCCCTTGTTCCTTCTTCCTATTCCACCAATTTTCTTGGAAGTATCACTATGATGTTGTGAGTGGATACAGGTATCTATGCTATAGGGCTCTTGTCCCAGCAAGGCCCCCCTAATGAATTTTTTATGCATTTAATAAATCTCATTTTTGGTTGCTTGTGGTTTAAAAATATTTTTGTTACATAATTATGTATTTTCATGGACACTCCTAAGATTATCTGTCTAAGACAATTATAAATAATTTATAATCCCAAGTACCTGGAAGGATAACACATAGCTCAAGAAAAGAGAGGAATCTTGATTATTTTGTATTTTCAAAGTTACAAAAGATATTGAGAAAACACAATACACAATTTATTTTTATTTTCATTTTTTTGCCTACAGCTTCTTTGTAAGGACGATGTTTAAGATCTCACTTGGAAATAGTTGCTTACTTACAGTAGATGAGGGGTGGCAGAGTCTGGAACTAGGGCAGCCAGTGGTCAGAAGGAGGGACCAGAGTAGTTCATGAGAGTAGCTGCAAGAGATGAGGAGCAAAGCATATTGTCCTGTGTAAGGGATAAGACAGGACTGAGTCTGACCCAAAGCAAACACAAGACAGAGTAGTAAGTGGCCCACCTGTGGGTAGCATAGGTACCAGGCTTTTCTGGGTTTGTGGTCCTGAAAAGGCAGAATACCCAAGGTGCCAGTACAATTTAAAGAGCAAACTAGCAGAGTGGAAATTTGACAGAAAGCCATTTGAAGTATCTACAGCACCTAGAACTTACTTGGGAATGAAATGGGGGTCCTGTTATTAGAAGTTAAGAAACCATGGCAGGGTTGTGTAAAAGCAAAGGGATGCCTTGCTGCCATCAGGTGGGAATCCACCGGCTTTTGTTGCCAGGTACTAAGAAGACATGCAGAGACTAGACAACAGATACCAATGTCTGGAAACAATTCCCTTTCAAAGGAAGAGTCAACTCTTTGTATTTCTCCTAGAATATACAGTCGTGCACTGCATGACAGTGTTTAGGTCAATGACAGACTACATATATGATGGTGGTTCCATAAGATGATAATGGTGTATTTTTACTGTACCTTTTCTATGTTTAGAAATGTTTAGATATACAAGTACTTACCTTTCTGTTATAATTGCCTGCAGTATTCAGTACAGTAACATATGGTACAGGTTTTAGCCTAGGCTATACAAAATAGCCTAGATATCTACTCAGCTGTACCATCTAGGTTTGTGTAAGTACACTCTGATCTTTGGACCACGATGAAATTGCCAAATGATGCATTTCTCAGAATGTATCCTCATTGTTAAGCAGCCCATGATTGTACTGTTTCTCTACTAGAAATCCTATCTCTACATCCTGTCTCTATGAAGTCTCCTTGCCCTTCATCTCAGAAGTCCTCTCTCCCTCTTCTCAAATCACATTTATTTATACAAAGTGAATATCACTCATCTTATTCTGCCTTTTACTGGTGTACATGTCTTTTGTTGAGCACGGTACCATGTGCCAAGCACAATGTACATAATAGATGTTCAAGGCTGCAGTGAGCTATAATCATGCCACTGCACTCCAGCCTGGGTGACAGGCTTTCTTTTTTTTTTTCTAAAAAGAAGAAAATTGTGTGTGTGGGTATTTATATAGATATAATTACAAGTAATTTTTTCCTTCCAAATTTATTTCAGATTTTACCAAATGTTGCAAGAACTCTGGAGTTCTTATGGTAGTAAAATGCCGGAAAGAAAATTCTGCATTGAAAGAATGTCTAACTGCTTAGTAAGTAGTTGTCTCAGCGTTTGTGCTTGTATGTGTATTTGTGGTAGATAAGAGTATGTTACTTAACTCATTACATGTAATATATTCTGTACCTCTCCATACCAAATTTATCATATTGTTGGCTGAGTCTAAAGTTCCAGTACAGTCTTAAAAATGCAACATATTTATGAAAGAGTCTTTTCAAATTTTCTCAGCATTGTATCTGATTAAAAAGATGAAGTCAGCAGACAAAAATATATGATTTTTCACTATTTAATAAATCTTTTTTCATGAACAGTTTGATCTGTAAAATATAGTACAGACTGATTTTTGTTTATTCTGTTGTAAAGATAACTGAATGAAAATATCTCTGAGACTTCCTCCAGCCTTGTGATTTGTTGGATTAATATAATTTAACTCCTAGAAAGTTGAGATAAATCGTATGGATGATAAAAAGGTAAATTTAGATTTTTGAAGTTAACCAAATTTACTTTTAAAATAATTTTATAATATCGTGTTCACTAATATTTTGTTGTAGTTCCTTAAATTTAAGTAAAAATGTGTGAAGTTCTTTGAATTCACATGCTGATTTATTCACCCATGTTCTATTGCCCACATTATTGACAGATAAGATTGCAGAATACTTTAGTAAGTATTGTTAATTGAATGTTGAGAGATCTTAGTTTTGGTAAGCCTTTGTTTCCTTTAATTTCTGTAGCCTGTGCAGCGTATATGTCAGTATGGTATGTATCTTAGAGGATTAAATAAAAATGTAATGAACACCCGAACCCTACATTTTTTTTTAAATAAAATATGTACACATAAACTTATAGACCTTTTTTTAGAATGGTGGAGTTGGAAAAGACTTTAGAGATTATGTAAACTCATCTCTATATTTGCTATATTTGTAAATGATGAAACATAATCAATATTGATTTTTTTTCTTAAGTTAATAATATCAAAGCAGCCCTTATTTATGGTCCAGGTATTGTACTCAGTGCTTTACCATATAGGAGTAAAAGTTCATTCTGTGACTTAATATTCTTTCAGTTCTATTCTCAAGTGCTTCCAAGAAATGTTTACTGAGTAAACGAATCTCTTAAACTTTTGTATGACTGAATTATTAAATTCTGTCTTATACATTGATTAAATAATTTTTATATCTCAGATTCAGTCATCATAATTGTTATTGCTAGTTTGACATATTATCCTTCACTCCAGTTGGGGGAGCTCTAGAGCAGAGTAGACAGGAGTATAGACTGCAGAGAGGGCAACCTGGGTTCAGCTTCTGTATCAGTGAGAGCTTAGCTAGTCGTGTTACCTTAGGCAGGCTCCTCATTGTAAGAAGGAATAATTATATCTTATGGAGTGATTGTGAGGTACTGCATGTAAACACATTTACCATGATAGGTATTCAGAAAATGTTAGCTCTTTTTTGATTAGTATTTGTTATTATTTATCTGAATATTAATCATTTGAATATCCTTCCCTCTCTCACCCCCTAGAAATACAAGAAGAAAATAACAGATTCTAGTCCATCTGAGGGGAGGAGAGGGGCTAGGAAGGATGGCTGTTTCTGCTTGTTTAGAAGAGATAAGCAGTGGATGTGACATTAACTGAAAGTAAATGGAAAATTATTAGGGAAAATTGTACTTGACTTTGAGTCCCCAGATACACTAAGAAATAGTATTTATTCATCTTTAAATAAGAAGGTGTTCTGCTTTGTTAATTACTATTGACATTTCCATGAAATGAACGTAACTGCTATCCTCTCTCATTTTGAAACATTGTTTTTGCTCCTTTATTTCTACCTCTTACTTTCATTTTTTTCCTTAATACACTATGATCTGATTTCTGTCCTCACATCACTGAACCTGCTCTTTTTAAAGACTCTGATGGGCTGATGGTAGACAAATCCAACAAATTGTTCCTTTTCTTTTACTGGACCTGTCTCTGGCAATCCCTTCTTAAAAGTCTCCTCTGTCTTCCCTGATAATATTTTTTCCCATTTTCCCAAAATCTCTTTGTACTTCTCCATGTTTTTAATCTACTCCTTAATGTTGGTGATTCCCCAAGTTCTCTTCTCATTCTTAAATCTGAGGAAGTTTAGTTTGCACCCATGAATTCAATTACTTACTATAGAAAGTAACATTTGTTTCTTTGTTCAAGTCCAAAAATGAACTGGGCTCCTTTTGCTCGTCCTACAACGTGTCTTTGTGAATTATACAGTAGTCTAGTATCTACAGTCTTGTCTCCTAACTCTAATTGGTTATTTCCTATTGATTTCTGAAATTTCCTGCACATCATCTCTTCCTTTTCATTCCTACAGCTCCTCCTTTGGCCTGCGCCTTCCATCATTTTTGCCTGGATTATTTTAACAGTTTATTGGCTATCTTGCCTCTAACCTTGCTTGCCTCCTTTTGTCCTATCTGCCACATGTTGTCAGATTCATCCAAGACACAAAACTGATCTTACAGGTGAGGTGCTCTATTAATTGTGCCCCATTTTCTTCAGGATTGATTTTAATTTCTGAGTATAGCATAAATGGCACATCATGATTTGACTTTTGCCCATTCCATCTTCATTTCAGGCCTTTTCTCCTATGTGCATAATCTGCTATAGTGGTACCTATCTACTTGGCAGGTTTTCCTGCATTAATTTTTCCTCATCCATGTGTCTTCCCACACTTGCCTTCTATATGGATTTCTGTTGGTCTTTCAAAATACAACGCAAGCATTTCCCCTTGAAACCTCTGCCCTCCCCATTTCTTCCTTGTTTCCATGGTGCACTGGGCCATACCTCTGTCACAGTATTTTGTAGATTTAATTTTAATCCAGTCTTTACTTGTCCTTTACACCGTGGGTTCCCAGGACAGGAGCTGTGCTTCTCATTGCTCTATTCTGTGACAGTGCTATATAAAAATGAATGATTTGGTCTTTAGTTTGGTAGCATAAAGTTAACAGTGAATTTTTAACCATTACTAAAAGTGTACTTCTAAAGATTGAGCCTGATGAACCAGATGTCTGAATATTAGTAATTAAAGTAAGCTTACATTTAACACATGCAGGATTATTTACTTGAAAATATTTTCATTTCCTTCTCATAGCTATAATGATCCAGCCTTTTATGAAGAATGCAAAATGGAATACCTGAAGGAAAGGGAAGAATTCAGAAAAACTGGAATTCCTACAAAGAAAAGGCTACAGAAGCTTCCAACAAGCATGTAGGCAGATACTCAAATGACATTCAGGAACTCTAATATTCATGGAAGTCATTTTATAGTCCTTAAATAATGGACTCAAGCATATATGTTTGCTTTACCTTAATTATGGAAATATTAACTTTATCTGAAATAAATATTTTATTTCAAAGTTTTGGTTTCTTAAATGGGAAAGGAGTAGTTACTGAATTGGGATATGGTTTTCCTGGTCATTCTGGACCTTTTGAAAGTTTTCCCACAACTATAGTTCTATAACAGTGATACTGATTTTTTAGAGTTCAATATGGTCCTTATATTATTTTTTTCCAGTGTATATGCTAATGGCTAATCATGGGAGCCAAAACTAAAGAAAAGCAGGAATGGACAACCTTCAAAGGTGTTAATAATAACTAGGCAGTATAGCAGAATGGCTATGAACCAGAATCCTTCCTGATTCTACCACTTATTAGCTATACAGCTGTGGAAGTAAATCTAATACAGTTTGTGAGGATGTACTGAGTATTGCATATAGCAGGTACACGTACAGTGTATAAGACAGTGCTTCAGACCTGGTACATGCTCTTATATTGGTAGTTACTGTTAGTAGTAGTAGAGGCTTATTTGGAAACTATCTTAGTCCATTTTCTGTTGCTATGGGAGAATACCCAAGACCAGGTAATTTATAAGAAAAGTTTGTTTGGCTCACAGTTCTGGAGTTTATTTGCCAGCAGCTTCTGGCAAGGGTTTTCATACTGCATCAAAACATAATAGGGTGTAAAAAATAGAAGGACAAACAAGTGTGGGCAAACTTTTATAACAGCCCGCTCTCTTGAGAACTAATACCTGTAATAATGGCATAAATCCATTCACGAGGGCTCCAGCCTCATCACCCTATTACCTCTTAAAGGCTCCATTTCTTAGTCCTGTTAAATTAGCAACTAAGTTTCCAACACATGAACTCTTGGGGGACACATCAAACCATAGCAGAACCATAGATAAGGAGATACCTACTTATATGAATTAATTTTACTTACATCTTTGATGTAGAATTTTCTAAAACATAATGTTCTTAACCTGATAACTTGTTAGTCCTTTAATCTTTCATTTTGAAAAGTTATATTTCTAAGTGAATTACCATTCTGTAACATAGTAATGGACTCAGGAAGTAGTATAAAAAATTTATGTCCCAATTTAATAATTTGAGCTTTTATATTAAAAGTTATTTTTTCCCCATGAGCTGTTAACTCTTCCACAGCCATTGTAACTAGTTTCAAGATAAGTAAATTTTACGTATATTTTCACAGTCCTCATTAAAATCACAAATAGAAATTACTACCCACTAAGACAAGGTTTAACTTTCCCTAATCCCATGCAATAGATCTGAGAGATTTTTTTTTAAGAAAGAATTTAAATAGGACACTAAAGAATCAATTCAAGTTCCACACTTTACTCTTGAGTGAACCACTCAAAAAACTATTTTACTTTTATTTGAAATACAAAGAAACCACATTTTCCCAGGCCACAGATCAAAAGGAGGGAGATTACTAGAGCAGACAAAAGCAAAGCAAATATAGAAATCTAGAGACCACACAGCATAGGGGCAAACATGCCCATATTTCCACATTGACCTTTGGTATTGGTGCATTTCCTAGAGCACAGGAAGTTAACTGTTTTTAGAGATAAATGAAAATGGAAGAGTTACTTTAAGAAGCTAGTGAAATATACAATCTATTTTATAGCTTTGATTAAAATCAGAAGTAGCCCACTTCATGTAGAAAATTCACTTATGTACATGTTGCTTTCCCCATAGAAGCCAGATTAGATTACACAGTATAAATAATATGTTCATCCTCCTTATGTCAAAGACTAAACCATTCATTGTAGCCTTCAGAATACCCATGTGTATCCATACTGAAGATTTTTTTCACCTGGTACATCTGTCTCAGTTGTGTCTTGCTTGCTTATGGGTGCCTCTGTTGATATTATTCCCTGTTAATATGTGGTAACCCACAGGTTTTTTACCCCTTAAGATACACCTTCTCCAAGTAGCCTTTCTGAATTAAGATCAGTACTTTGTTGTCACATGATTCAGCTCTTCAAGTCTGAATTTTCCCATTTATTTTGGTTTTCTAATGTTTCACATAGGCATGTTCCTGCTTTTAAGAATTCAGTTCCATTTTGGCAGCAACTCAGTAAGTCTTACAGATGTAAATTTTACTTTAGCTAATAAGGGAGCAAGAGGAAGGAATAGGTGGCTTTTTGTTATGTTTTCTTCATTCTGTCGATTTATGGATGTACTGAATTGAACCTTATAAAAAGAAATCTAAAGATTCCAAAGGAAGCTCTTTAGAGCAAGTTTCAGCTAGTATGAAAGAAGTCAACATAAAATATTCAATTTTAAATAGATTCATAAGCTACAGATGGGCCACTGTTTTTTGGTTGTTTGAATTTTACCTAGAACAGAGATATCAAGTGTAGATTTAAAAGCTTCTAGCTGGGTAAAAAATTTTTGGCTAATCTTTCCTTACTAAAGAACCTTATACATCATTTGTCTAACACTTTAAACTGTCACAGTCACTGACTTTTTAGTATACCTGTTTGATAGCTATCATCACTGTACTGTTTAAATGGAAAATAATTTTCTCCACTCAAAAGCTGGTTTAACAAATGTCTATTGTATGAATCATATTAACAACCAACAATTAGTACTAGATTTTGAGATCTATAGGCAAGGACAATATTTCACATCCACTTCAATTTCAAACAAAAATATTTATTTTAATTAAACAATTTCTTGGTATTGTTCAAAACATTAATCAAGCAATTATCTCATAAGACTTTTTTTCTTTACAAAGGAAAATTTCCAATTTTGGTTTTAAAAAAGGCAAACCAGTAAGCTACATTAGAGATCAGATATAATATACAGCCTATGCAGCCACATGAGAAATAGTTTTTGCTGCTTTGTTATTACACAGGTAGTTGCTTCCTTCAGCTAAAGCCTGGAGTATTGTATTTCTTTTATGCATATTGGGTTTGGTTCTATTACTTGGCAGGAGATTGTACTCCCCTGAGTCAGCTGTGTTCATTGGTCAGAATAAATTCCAGCATCTGACACCAATTCCATTAATCACAGACAAGCTTGAATAAGTGTAAGATAATAGAAAAAAATATCTAGTGAATGGCGAACATTGTCTATGTATGTATGCTATTCAGTAATACAGTAGAAGAGATCTGAGATATTGAGTTCAAGATATATGAAACTGTCTATCAAAAAGGATAAAAGTCCTCCTACATGAAATACTTTAATTCAGGCAAAAGGTGTATGAACCAAGTAAATCTCCACCCTGAAAGAACTTAAATTTCCATGTGAAGCCATCTTTATTTCCTTCTTTATTTCCAAATAATTGGCCACTTAGAATAAGTGTGGACATTTCATGATCGACAATATCAATACAGCCCAAACCCTGATTTCTATGATTAAAAATAATAATTTTAAATCACTTTCTCAATAAATAGAATATTACATTTCAACACAAAGTCTAACAATTTAGAAGCTGCTCTACACAATGTGCAGCTAGCTGTAGTCTCTTTGAAGAAAATGACTTTTTATCATTACACACATTTATGTTTATATTATGGCCCACAGAAGGGCAGATTAGACTGAAATCTGTGTGATGCTCCTTCTACTACTTATTGAATAGTGTGTAGGGTTACAATCATTTGTTTACACCCCAGAGTTTTTCAACTATTTCATTTTTTTTTTTTTTTTTCCCAATTAGGACTTAAGGAATGTGCTGGGACAAAGTTGGCTTCAGTGATCAGGTTGTTTCAAGTCTTAGAATTCAAACTTCAATTCTAAAAAAATTTTATCAACAAAACACTGTGACCAAAAAATCACTTTAAATCTTAAATATTGAAACGCAATAGCATATAAAGATGGTATAACCTAAGATGCTTTTATTTCATTATATTTTCAATATCTTTACGCATTATAACAACAGAAATGTAACCTACTCACATTGCCATTTGTTCCATTATGCAATTTGAAGAAACATGTTTTCCTTTTATTTTTATGAACAGATATTTAGACATTTCACATTTTGTAAAACCACGTCTACAATCTCCAATTCCATTCTTCTGAGAGGCAAAATTTTACAATTAATATAGAAGGCAGAGTTTTTTAAACACCTTAAGTTTACTTATTAATTAGTATAGTAGCATATTTCAGATTCTTAGAATATGGAGCTAGAGGGTGCTCTTTCATACTAGAAAACCAACTATGTTGGTTTTTGTACTATTGTACAGTGTGTTCAAATATAGATACTGAAGACCTCTGCAAAATTTTAATCAAAATCTCCTTTCAGTTTGTTAAATAATTTCTTGGGAGGACCACTGAAAGAGATAAGTGTCCTCATGGTGAAATCGTGAATCTCTTCCAAATTAATTCTTATAAAGGCAGTTCTGATTATGTTGATCCAAGTAATGCAGTGGTGGAAGGTTGGGTAAAGGCAAAGTTTTAGTTTTAGTTTCCCCAAATGCTGTCTCACTTGATTTAGGAGGACTTGGAAATACCCAGGAATTGTCTTCCAGAGAATTTCTGCCATAAGAACTGTGTTCCTGAAAGCATGTACCATCATTAGGAATGGATCTCTCATTGTCTGTCCATGATTGGAGGATTGCTTTCTCTGATAAAACCTTTACATCTCCTGGTAAAGGGGAAGATGTGGTATGACAAAGAGCTTTGCCATTTGGTAAGAGAGGGGGATGTCTTGTGTATGTTGCAGTAAAATTCATCAAGTGCAGTTTTGTGCTGTCTCTTCCAAGGTCTTCACTGCATCCTACAGGGGCACAGGCTAAAAAGAAAACACAGACTAAATGTCAGTTTTCATTACATTTGTGATCATAAAATTCGATAACACTTCACCAATTTGAATTCTAGAACTGGTGATGAAATTAAGATTTCCAAGTTAGTGTGATCATTGAGGCACTGTGACTAGGAGATAAATGACAGATGATCTGAGTTTTAATCCTGGATCAGCAATTTACTGTGACTTTAGATATTTGTCTCTTAGCTGCTCCTGATGTCTCTTTCCTTGTCTGCAGAATGGATATAGAATTCCTGTCCCAACTATGTCATAGAGCTTTTAAAAGATGAAGAACTACATATTTTTAAAAGTTGGAAACTAATACAGTTAAAATACAAATAAAGATCCTGTTCTTGGCTCTTATTGTGGCTGGAGAAGGATTGCAGACTGTTCACATGTCAGTGGGGACTGAGACAGTTCTTAAGTTTTAGCATTTTTTAGTTAAATATAATATTCCTTTGCTCAAACTCTTTGTCCACAGGCAGTCCAAAAGCAAATTTTTTAGAAATAATTGCATTTTTAATTGGTGAGACCCAAATGAAGTTTTTATATATCAAAGGCTTTTATGGATAAAGCAGTTTAAATAAAATTTGTGAAATCTTGTTTCTTGTAAAACACAGCAAATGTTAATGCTACTGTGGTCACAATGTAGGTAAAGTAAAAAAAAAAAAAAAAACAGCCAAAAAAAAAAAGTTTTGTACAAATGCAATGGCCTAGAAAAAGACTACTTAAAAGCTATTATTTCACCACAGCCAGCACATTGGTAATACAGGTTTCTCCACTCCCTCCAGCTCAGCCTACCAGTGTGGAAAGGTAAGTTTATCCTTAGCTCAAGAAGGATGGCCAAGTGTAACTAAGGCTTGACTTCATGTAATTTTAGAAGAAACAGATTGAACGACATTATAAAATAAGTTCATTGTTTTTCCTGGGAGGGTGGATATGGATGGAGGAGAACTGGAAGTGTAGTGTTTGGCTTTGGAAAAAAGGTGATACAAAGGTCAGGAGAAAGGTGGTTCTAGTCTCATCTCTGTACTCCTCAAAGCAATGAGTTCTGTGTAAGGAGTGGTGACCTTGAGCCTACCACTGTCATAGGAAAAGTGCTAGAAAACTTATGTTCCAAAGCACCGAAAAATATTAATCAGCTAGGAAGGAACACAAGGATGAGCCATGTCCAAGTATGAAAAGAGCATTGCTCCTTTATTATTCTTTGGTAGTTCTATTTATCATGTAAACAAAGCTACATTGAAAACTCAATGCAGAATTACTCTGTGAGTCCCTTTATAGAGAGATCTTATTTGTACATTCAACCTTTGGTCTCATATATAACTCTGACCACTGGAAAACTCAAGGACAAAGTGAACCAAAAATTAAGCTGGACTTGCTAAAACACCATACTATTTTCCCTGATTTATATGTAACCAACTCTCTAAAAATGAAAAGGAGTTCTACATTCAATTTTCCTTCCCAAAATTTAACATTTTTCCTCACTAATAAACACTCCTGAGGAGAACTATTTATGACACAATCCTCTTGTGTCCTCTTTAAGACAATGTGAAATATAAATAAGTAATTTTAAACTAGATGGTGATAATCTTTTATAAAAAGTCCTATCTCATTTTTAAAAAGTAAATTTTAGGGCATTCAAATTTGTATCACACAACTTTTCAGAAATATACCTGTTATGTAATACTAGGTACAAATGTACTGATTTTTCTCCAAGGTATAAAAATAGCTTTGGCGAAAGTAGCTACTACTAGTTAACACAAAACTCAAGAAGTTAAATCAGTCAAGCAGTTAAATATGAAAGGCAAAGCAATGAAAATTTTTGTTTGGTTGAAGGGCATAAGGGGAGAACACCTAGTCTTCGTTGTAATCAGCTATATCCTTTATGGAAAGAAAAGCTTATAAGAAATGCAAAAACCCAAATAATGAATCAAAGTTTGTTTTCTTTTTCAAAACAACCTAAAAAGCTAGGTGTTTGGTGTATTCTGTAGCACTGGAATGAAAATTTGCTTTTGGTGTCTTTTTTTTTTTTTTTTCAAATATATGAAGTAGCTGTGGTAAAAGGTCAACTAGAGCAAACTTAACACCTCAGTCTTATACACATAAGCAACACTTGGCTGAGAAAAGCCACAAGGGGAAAAGAATACAGTACTGAAGAAAAAACACATCAGCAACACCTTTATGTGTGAAGTTGACCAGTATGAGACTGAAGCCAAAGCAGAGAATGGGTAGGCTGCGAATGTACTATATATACTTTGGCTTATCAATCTCTCATTTGATGAGATTTTGATAAGATATGACAGCTAGTTGCTCTTCAGGCAGTTTGGCTGGAATCAGTGGTTTCCGGTAAACAGTGACTTGCCTTTCTTGATTGCAGTTGAGGTTTTCAGTTTTCTTAGTAGTTCAGCTTGTACTTGAGTCACCAGATGTAAATTAGACATTTCTCTCTTCAGTTCCCAGTATGCATGCTGCATATTATCACTGAAATAAATTTTTTTACAAAAAGTTAATACTCATCATTCTTTTTTAGACAAAAGGGAATAACTTTAGAAATATGCAGATCAAGTTTCTGCTCCAATTAGTTTTGAGATGATGTAAACTGAAAAAAACAATTGAAAGATATTTAACTAGGGCATTAATAAGTGAAAAGATCTTGAAAGAATAACACTGTCCATCTGATATGTAGCAATTAACTATTATATTAAACGGTATAATAAAAATAAAATTATAACTGATAAGAGCTTCTTGCAGAGTCTCAGAACTGAGATTTCATTTTAGGCTGTAATGTGCAGCTATTAATTAGTAAGTAGTAAGAAATACATTCTTTATTTGCAAATCTGATTAAGAGTAAAGTTACATTCATTCAAATATGGATCAATTTGTATTTATCTTTTGATTGTTTTGACACTGTGAATTGAAATGATATATCAACTGCTGAATATATATCCAAGTCTACATTAAAATAAAATTTAGGTTTCATGCATTACATTCTTTATGTTTGACTGGGCTGTCTCATAATGTTGGTTCTAAACCAATGTGACATGACAGCACAAGACATGAAGAGCCAGATGATTTCCTGGTAAGGAAAAAGAAGCTAGAGAGGGAAGATTATATGAAACAGAAATAGAAACTTCAAAAATGCCTCTCCTGTTTTTATAATTAAAAGTATTTTACCTCAATTATCTAAGAAATTATAATTAGTGATTTTAAATCTAATTTTTATAGATTTTGTTTTCCATTAAACATTCATATTCAGACATTCATGATTTTCTTTTTTTGCTGCTTAATTGCCAACTAAATGAAATTAAAATCTTCAGCACATATTCTCATTTTGTTGTACAGGAATATCACAAAATATTAAATGTAAGACTAAATCTTATAACATTAAAAAAAAATTATTACCCCTTAGATACTAGTGTAATTTTAATAGTACAGAAATCAAACTAGACAAACGTGTCACCTTATGCTTCAATTTTTGTGTTGCCATAAACACTTAAACTTCAAAAGGATAACATTTTTGAAATCTAATATCTCAAATTACAGAATATAGTTTATATTTAATATATAATATATAAAATATTTTGAATTCTGTAAGGTGAAATACCTTTTTGTCAATAAACTTTACACTGCTTTTCAGAAAAATCTGCTTTAGTCTGTTGTAAACATCATTTGTTAAGTTGTAGTATATTAGAAATCAGAGCTCTTTGCAAGTTTTTAATAGGTGTCAAATAATTAGTTCACAAAATTAACCATGTCTACTTCACCAAAAAACATCTGAGTTGTTTGCTACAATGAATGTTTCACATAGGAACCTGTCTTAAGTGTGAAGAGAGTTGTTGGTTTCTTGGTACAATTCTAGGCATTCAGTATGCTTTCCGAAGAGTTACTCACATTATATAGCAGTAAGTGTAAACACTGAACATGTGCTAATTCATTCATTCAGTCATGGTATGAATAATACAGCTTAAAAATAGTTTATTATTGGTGCGAGACAGTAAATCAGTGCCTGTTTTAGAGAAAAGAAGAGCAAATACTGAAGACAGTTCTGAGTACTAAAATACACAGCTAGGCATGGAAATAAACAATTCTAGTAACGTTTACAGTGCCTAATAAAAACTTTTCAGTTCAATTTAATGAAGACTGCTTAAAACTTAGGTTTAGTTAAAAACTAGGTCACTGAGTTTAATACACATGTAGTCTTGTTTTTTGCTCTTAATGTAACCTGAATTTAAAACTACAGATAGACAAATCTAAAATTATTACTAAGTATAGCTCTCCCTCTTGTGGATAAGAAAATAACTGCAGTTAGTGTTTCCCACTTTACAGTTAACATTAAAAGTGCTACAATCTTCAAAGTGTGTAAAAAATTATTTTAAATTCTATCTACTTGAACAAAATGTTTAAACCATTATTTAAATGATATTGGAAAAGGCAAGTTGTCATCCCTAATTTTTAGCAGGCTTCCAATTAAACCTCTTATCTAGGTATTTCAAAGACAATGTATAGATTGTGACCTTCCTATCCTCACCGCAGTTCCCCAACTGGGAGTATAAAGTTTAGTTTTGCTTTAAATGCCACACAAGCAAAATGCTAGTAATATATATAGTTGTCTATAAAGAACTTATACAACTACTTAAAATATTGAAATGTTACACTGAAACTTCTCAAATGAGAACTCTAAAAACAGATAAAGCACAAATAATGATGGCTGAGCACTTATTATATACTAGGCACTTCACCTACATTGTCACACCAACTTGGTAAAGTGAGTAACCTCATTTTACACACGAGGAAATGGGTTGAGAAGTCTACTCCAGTCTGCCATGTTGCTGTTCAAAGCTGTCTTTCACTTAACCCGGTCTAATGACTGATCACTGCCCTTTTGGAGTAACATTTTTGATATCATCATCAATTACCAAGCACCTACAATATGCTGACTGCCAACACAATCTTATAAGTTTTATACTTCTCAGTATAAAACTTCACATCTCTGACTTTTAAGTGAAACCTGCATGTCCACAACTGAAGGAGGGAGTACATGTCCTGCTTACAAAGTGTAACAGCTAAAAGCCCAGCTTTCTTAATTGACACTATATATGGAACTCTTTAATACACAAATAACTATTCCTTGTATAAGAAAAATCCACTTACTTGAGTTTCTACTTCAGCCATACATATTTTTCTTTAGCATTTGAAAATTTACTGAACTATTACATCCTCCATCATCACAGTAGAATTAAACTATGGGATATTCTTAGCCAAGAGTTATAGACTTAAAAGTGTGTATTTTGACAACTGCGGTTCCCCCCAAACAAGTGGCTCTCATTTTTTATTGCAAGGCACAGCAAGAATCATTTTACACTGCAACCCAAAGAAAACAAGTTCTAAGAAACCATACTTACCCTTATTGTGTGTAATGCACTCTGGTATTGGTGTGTTCTTTCTGACTTATTCCATATTTTTATAATGCTTATTATAACTAATAAAATTTCACAGCACTAAGGAAACACAGAAGAGCCTGATAAACACTAACCTAATCTTTTTTTTTCTAAACCTGGAATTTACATTTTAGGAAGTCATCTGTAACACAGTTCCACAATGTAAGTTTACAGATGATGAGCAAAAGAAGTACAGCGACTCCCTGTCTAGATCTGGTTTAAAAACTGAAGCCATCAACCTAAAGCCAAAATCAAAACAGGACACTGGCAAGACATTGGTTAAATTTCTGATAGGGCTATTATTGTTAAATGATGTTTTATACAAGGAGTATCATATAAAAGGCCTCCAGTAATTAAAAGGTTCACTCTATCTTAAGATAGAGAAACAGTATACTACACCTCATTTGCCTAGCAATATGATGGAAGAAATACAAAAAAGGAGAGTTCCAAAAAAGCAAGTTATCTAAATAACTGAAAAATATTCCTTAAAAATATCTAAACCTTTAGTTAATGGTTTAATGGAAATATCCCTATATACTTTCTCCAATATAGTAAACTAATCTGTCATCTGAATTGTTCCTCTTAAAAGTGGATGAAGTAACTTACAAAGATTAACAAAACACAAGAACATAAACTGCAAACAGGCAGAAATGATGAGGCGAAAAATAGAAAACAAAACAAAATGCAGTGGAGAATGAGGTTAACATAAAAATGCATGATAAAAGTTGACCAACAGTAGGCCACAAATTTGGTTATAAGTTTTCTAGTACATAACCAGAAGAGAGAAACCTAATCAGTTTTGCAGTTCACATTGTCTACCTGATACAAATGCAAACCAATTTGCAAAAAACCACAAGTGTATATGAGCACTAAGAGAGCCACTGGAACATGCTGTAATTACACAATTCTTTACATACATACTGTTGGTATGGCTTTAACGTGAAGTAACTTTTAAACTGAATTTAAGGCAATTATTTCTAAAAACTGTCCTCTGAATTGATACTGAGCTTTAAAGAATTGCGAGACTATACTCTGGAGCCACAATTACAGCTTTGCAGCCTTGAAAATATCTCCTTGGGACTCAACTTTCCCCAAATCCTGGCACAGAGATTTTTTCAGTATTTTGTTAGTTATCTGATGCCTTCAAACAGGTATTTTCTGGGGGAGTCAGGTTTTCAAGAAATTCTTAGTGGATATGACCCAAATTATGTAATCTCCCATGAATGGAAGCAGAAATTCCATTCTATATCACATGCTTCAAATGTACTATTTATATAGCCCCTGTATTTGATCTCTTTTGATGATATTATTCATTCTCTACTCCTTTCTAAACTGATTAGAAGTGGCTTATAAAAAGGACAATACAGAAAAATAAGGGGAAACCTAGGTTGACAGGAGAAAAGATAACAAGATAATTTTAAGGAATAGTTTACATGGATACTATACTAGACACATTTTTCAAAAAAAGAAAAAGTTTCCTTGCAGTAAACTTAGATAAAATTCGAAGGCATAATTGAAGTACTGTTCAAATGGCAGAGTTAAATAACAACAGAGACTGTACTGCCAGCTCACAAAGCCGAATAAAACAGTTACTGCTGGCACTTTATAGAAAAAGTCTGCCAACCCCTGATCTAGAAGAGTGGCTGTATCTCATTTCCTCAAATTGTTTTTCCTAATTGATCATTTCTCTAAAGCAGGTTTTTGATAGAAATTGGCCTGACACAATTCACATTATTTACTTAGGTCAGTAAACTTTGGAAGCCAAATGATAAAACAATGAAGTCAGATCAGTATTTTTTATTGGATGGAGGGTAACAATGTAGAGAGGCTATCTTAACATAGTAGAAACAACAATTATTAGATAGCTTAAAACACAGAATTGAAGTTACTTAAGTAAAAATGATACGTATTTGAGGAAAAAGGGTTGAAAAAGTATATGAACTCTGATGGCTACTTCTATTCTTATGCGAAGAGGGAACAGTCCTCAAAATTCATGCTATCCCATGATTGCGCCACTGCACTCCAGGCTGTGCTACAGATACTCTGTCTCAAAAAACAAAAAACAAAAAAAAATAAATTTCATGCTATCCCAAAGACTAACAATGGCCAAGTAGGCTCTTAAGACAAAGGAATGTTATTATATATAATGAATAATTCTTCATGTACAAATTCAGTATTACAGAATACCTCCACATAGCTAGTTCCCTAAAATCATACCTAAAATATTACTAAATGTTCAGAAAGTTTAAGGCATCCTGTTTTTGTATTACTTAAATTCAAAGCTGTTATTAACAATTAAATTTTATTCTACAAATTTATTGTGATCAGAGGTTACATCAGTATCCAAACAATATCCATTTTTTGTTTTTAAGGTTAAGTCATAAAAGAAATCTAAGGACCTACACAAAGTGACTTATGGAAGAAGACAACGTATTGTCTTAATGCTGAAGAGTGGTCATACCTTGAAATGCTTAGTTTTTGGAGATCTCTGCTCTTCAGATTGTCTTCCTGATATGGATCCTGTCATTTGTTTAAAAAAAAGAAGTTTAAAAGTTGTAATTTTTACAATTTATTTAGTCTCAGCTCTTTCTTACCAGAGACATGTTCAGGTTTTACAGAATATATCTGTAAGTGCAAAGAATACAATTAGATTTTATACTCAATTTTAATGAAATACCTCCAATCTATAACAAATATCTCTAAATCACGTCCAATGGTTTAAAGTATTAATGCTTTAATTTTCTTTAAAAGAATAAAATTGCTCTCATTCTGTAAAAGACCTTGTAATCTTACAAAATATATTTCTAAAGACACCAATCTGAAGTGTATATTCAAAAAAGTGTTACACATTTGTCACATTTCTGTTTACTTATGGTATGGGTGAATGAATTCTATGGGAAAATGGAAGTTTTTTTGGTATTTCACTTTTTCGTAGTATTACCAAAAACACACCAGAATTTTAACAGGTTACTGTTGTAAAACATCAGCATACATTTCCTCCTTCCACATGGATTAAAAATGACCTGGCAAGGACATCATAAAGTCCTTATATGCTTTTAAATTCAGTTGATTTAGGTTGCAGATATGACAGAACCTTCAGAAGATATTTTTAAATGACTTAGTATGTTTGAGACAACTCTAACACACTTGTTTGCAATGCATTCTCATTTAAGGATCTGTAACAAATGAAAATGATTATCACAGGTACTAATTCTCCTGGCAGATGTGGCCAGTATAAGCTCAGAATACAAATTTTAATTTTATTATTTCTTACTAATACAATCTAAATTATATAATTTGCAGTGAAACATTAAAAAGCAACACAAGGACTTCATGAGTACTCTCAACTTGAGAGTAAAATGTGAAAAATACCTAATCTTATAGGAGTTAAAACATTTCTGGATCTCTGATTTTAATACTCTAACAGTTAAGTTAAATCTTAGGGAGCCCTAAGGAGAGGGGAAACAGAACTGGCCCACAGGTCCAGGAGGTTTGACCACTAACGAGACACATGTCCTTGGACCTTGTTTTTTCCTGTGCCTTACAGGAAATAATGGAATCTGATCAGATCACTTTTAGTATCCTTGTATCATGAATTAAAATTTTTTTTTTAAAAATTAGTATATACTTATGCATATGTTCATTGAAAACCTTCCTCATTTTTAAAGCCAACAATATAAAAAAATTTGACAGTTTGAGTGGGAAAATGTTTTTCCAACTACTATCTAACAATTCAGAGACTCTAATGTACATCAGCAGTAAGCTCATAGAGACTGTATCTAGTATTCAAAGACCCTTTTGTTGGCTAGTAATAGATCACCTATGTCCTAAAGGTGGTAATGGATCTGTTCCCTAACTAGTGCCACATGATGTGGGAGTTTCATATAAGGTGAGGCCCATGGCTACAAAATCTTGGGAAATAATGTTCAAGTTATATAGGTTTCTATACTATAGCAGAACCTTTAATATACTACAGTACACTGTGAATCTCTAACTGGGCTACCGTTATTAGGGACTTTAGACGTCTTCTAAACCAACTTAATTTTACTGATCTAGTATCTCTTTTACTTCTTTGGCCCTAGAGTCTGTATTTCTCACAGGATCAATGGTTCTGAATATAAATGGCTGGAATATTAGGGGACACAGAAAGTCTAAAAGGCCCATAGTGGAACTGCCCCTGAAACCTCACTAACATGAAATATTAATGAACTGAGTTCCCTCACTAAATATTTAAAAAACAAACAAACAAACTAAAACAACACTATTATATCCATGTAGGATGCTATTACATACTTCAGAAGGTTTTATAAAATGCTTCACTGAAAGCATCATCTTAAAAATTTTTTTTAAAATGGCTAGACTAATGTGAGCTAGAGTAATATGGCTAGAGTATTGTGAACATAAATTTCTCTCCTTGGCTTCCTCTCAGATTCCTGTCTCCAAGAGGATTCTGATCAGCAACATCACTGAAACAAGATTTGAAAGTATGCATCAAGATTTCAACTTGGAATCCTTGATAAACTTTTATTTCCACTCTTCCTTTTCTTTGTTCATTTCTTTTAGTTGTGAGTGAGCCCTTTTTAACTTCACAGCCTCACCCTACCCCTAATAAATGCCTGTGAAGGTGGGGGCCATGTTATAAATATTTCTTTTTCAATATTCCTCTCTTAGCTCATCTTCAACTGTTTAAAGTTTCCTGTCTCTCAGATTTAACTTAGTCATCAGTTAAAGAAAGTGATTTCTTCTACCTCTAAAAGTCTGTTTCTGTGATTTGGTTACTTATGACAGATGAATTTAAACTAAAAGCAAATTTATTCCCTAGCACCATCTAGTGGAAAAGAATAACTAAAATGCTAAGAATAGAAATTTCAATACACATAAATACCTAAAAGTACTGCCCTTCTGGATTACTCTAATCAAATTTTTTAAAAAAGCATTTACCTACTGAACATACTATATAATGGCCACTATGATAACTGGCTGTGATTAATATATTAAGTCCTGTAAGCATGATAGTAATGTTTGATCAGGAGCATAAAACTGTGTCCCCTAATATTCCAGCCATTTATATTCAGAACAGTTGATCCTGTGAGAAATACAGACTCTTGGGCCAAAGAAGTAAAAGAGATACTGGATCAGTAAATGAAGTTGGTTTAGAAGACGTCTAAAGTCCCTAATAACTGCTTTATATACACTAATTTAACCTTCATGAAAAAAGGTATTTAATGTCTACTTTACAGAAAACAACTTCCCAAAAGTAAAATGGTGTTCCTAATGTTAACAGTTAATAAGCAACACCAAAATTATGAGCTAAGTTTCCGATTCCATGGTACTGCTTGCTACACTACAACAAAATATCTATCACGTATAAAGGCTATCAAATTTCCTTTCAAACAGAATATAAATAATGACAATTATAATTCAGAATTTCAAGGTCCATATCTTTTCCTGTAAACCCATCTTTTGAAAAGAGGCTTCTCAGTGGTGATGGTAACTGAGCTGTAGAACAGGATGCTGAGTCTTTGAAGGAATTGTGGTGTGTGGCCACAAGCTCAAAGCTGGGGGAATCAACTTTGTAAGTAGGAAAAAAACCACTTTGACTCTAACGGGAGTTGACAGTAATTTTTGTAGTGTTTCCTTTTATCAGGGATGGGGGTGCCAAAGGGAGTTCTCATTGCCCAGTTCAGAGGAATTCATTTGGCCAAGGACTAGGCAGACTGCTATATTATTCTTAATGTCTGGCTCATTCTTATCGAGTGGTCACCTCTCATAAAAACTACATTAGAGAAGAAAGAAGTATCAGCTCCATCTAAGAACACTTGAGATTCAGGGCAGAATCTGGAAAGCAGTCAGGAAGTATGGGATGGAGTTCCCCTTTCAGATGGTGGCATCCCAGAGGAACAAGAAGAAACACAATTCCTCAATAGTGTTAGAATGCTTTGGTAGGCAAAATGGTTGAGTGGAGAAACATTATATAACTGGTTATACCTTAGTTTGAGATACATGAATGCATAAAATGGCTATTTGCACCAGACTACTAAGCTTTTCAATTTCTTGTAATAATTATTTAAAATCTGCATTTGGTGCATTGCTCTCACACTACCTTGCTTCTTTATCATTTCTTCTTTTAATCTCAGCACTGTCATGATGTCTGAAAACATAGATCCAAGCTTGTTAGAACCTGATGTAAAATACTGGGCAAACAGACTCTTGGTGAGGACCTAAAAGGCATCTTGTTTTAGTGGTTGACTTCAGGCTAAACACACTTCAGCAACTTGGCAGGTTTTTGTTATTTTTTTCCAATTCTTGAATTCTCAGATATTTGCTGGTAGTTAAAGATGCCCCCAAAGTATTAGTCTTTTGAAAATAAGTAAGCTCTGTCATGTTTTCTTTGTTGGTCGTGTTTTTCTTTGTTGTTGTTTTAATTATAAAAATCGAGTTGTCCCTTATGATATCTAAATTAATGAAACTATTAAGTAAAATAATATAGGACTTAAAACCTGAGTTCTCTTTAAACTTTACAGAGAAAAGGAAATTGAAGGAAAGAGAGTCTGAAAGAACAGTTATAATAAACTAATAAGCTTACTAAAAATCAACCTTTTAAAAAACAAAATTGTATAATTTTGTGACAGACTAAAAGTATATGGCATGTCAAATTTTAGCAGAAATGCTTAAAGAGGTAGATAAACAAGAATTTTTTAAGGAATAGAACATTCTCTAAATAATTACAATTTATTTTAACTCTATGGTTTAATACAATCTTAGTTATAAATCCTACATATGATACACAAAAAATACTGAAATTCTCAATTTAATAATTCTGTAATACCGTTTGTTTGGCTTTCTGTAGTTCTATTTTGAGATCGCTACATTCTTTCCTCATCAGTTCCAGCTCTTGTTCCAAACCATGGATCTTCAGGTCACAGCTCAACTTTTCCACCTCCCAGTTTGATGAAGGTGGATTTAAATTCCTCATCACTACAAAAAGGATGGACACTGAAATTGTTATCTTTTCCTTCTACATTGACTGCAATTCTTAAAAATAGGTTATTCTGGTAAAATGTAGATAATAGAAAAACTAACATAAAACATATATGATCAATAGTTTTTTAAAAACAGTAATTATTAATACTTTCAAATATCTATGCTAAGGAGAATGAGAAATCTAGCAATCTTGTTTTAGAATTTCTAAAGACAACTACACTAAAATAAGCATATGCTAAAATTGCAGACAGATCAATATTCTGCATAAGGTTAAAACAGTGATAAAAATAATAAACTGAATAAACTGAGGCTCAGCTAATCATTCCATCCAGTCCTCTCAGAGGTATGAAGTTTGACCAACAAGCTCAGAGCATGATGTCAAAACAATTTATCCTTAAACATTCCACTGCAGAAACTCAATAAACTGGATACTGCTTTATTCTTTAATTAGCACCTCAGTCTCTCTAGCTACAAAAAGCTCCAACTAGCTATGCTAAGAGATTGCATCTCAATCTCCTATCAGAAGGTCTCTCAGACCTTCTTAGCTTGTCTCATCATAATGAATATTCATGGGAGCAGGCTATTTATCCATATGCCCCAGATCCAACTTTCCACCCCAACATTTCATCTGCACCTTTTAACAACCTTTGGAAAGAAAAAGAAATTGTAACAACTTCACAGCAGTGTGTTTAACTGTGGGCAAGATGTTCAGTAAGAAAGAGAAGCCAGGACAACCAGTGGGCTAGATGATTTCACTTCTACTTCTTGCTTCTGGGCTTCTACTCTTTTCCTCTTCTGCTTCATCACAACCTAGACCTGAATAAAAACCATCACATTTTCTCTAGGAAAAGTGCAATATATAGCTAAGGAAAAGTTAAAGGAAGTTGATATTATGTGAAGGTAGAACAGAGAAATTAACATAAACCTAAAAATTAAAAAATAAGTTAAGGTCTTAGCATATGGATACAGAAAACTGTTGATATTACAAATAAATGGAAAAATATGTTAATTCTGTTAGAATATTTATAACAAGTAACTGGCATACCCTGCTGAGTTTCCACCTCTGTCCTCAGCTGGAGGAGTTCTACTTCTTTAGATTGTAGCTGCTCATTCAATACTTTCAAAGATTCAGAGTTGTCTTTATTCTAGTTAAGTAGGGAAAATGCCAAATTACATTCAATAAAATCTACACGTTGGTATATTGTAATTTTCAGGAAGATACTGAAAAAAACACATTCTTGTCTTTAAAAGCAAGGTGACAAAATGAACTCAGTTTCTCAGAAATGTCTTTTTTTCTTTTCCTAATTTAGGACATCATTATTCACTGGCTTAAAAAAAAAAAAAGACTAAATCTACCATGTCATAGTTTTTCAAAATAAGTCGGTGGTGTTAGATGTATTTAAGTCCTAAACATCATTACATACTAAATATTTTACATAAAAATAAGTTAAAATATTACTAAAATTTCCATTTTGCCTTGAACATGTATACAAAATTTTAATTACTAAATGTAAATATTTAACTTACTTCTAATTTTAAACCTCTTGAAGGAGAAAATTCATTTCCAAAATGCAGATGTCATTCGCTTCAAATCAACTTACCATTTTGTCCAGTTTGCTCTTCAAATTATCTCTATCAATGCAAACCTCTCGATATGCATGATAGGCCTTATTTACTTGTTCTCGTCCCACGGAACTTGTTTCTTCTTCAAATCGAGCTATTAGCTAACGGTATGAAATTAGAAGAGAAAGCTTAAGAGAGTATTCTATAGATAAAAAATAAGTCAGTGTTCTGATGGCTCCATATCTTACTTCAATCGTAATAAGGGGATAAAGCCTGGATTCATTAGGTGAGTATTTCATTTCCACAAATTAATCTTTACATAGAAAGCAAAAATGTGTAGAATATTTTTTGAAGCCTTCTATGCTTTTACATAATCAGTATTTTATAATTCATGGTGTCTGTTTTATAACATTAAATCATCATAATCACAACAGAGTATAGATGTGATACACACTGCTTAGATGTTTTTTAAATTAAAAGTATCTAATTTCTATAATCAGAAAAAGCAGCACCTTAGGGCATACTTGACTTTTTTTTTTTTTCGAGACTGAGTTTCGCTCTCATCACCCAGGCTGGAGTGCAATGGGGCGATCTCAGCTCACTGCAACCTCCGCCTCCCAGGTTTAAGTGATTGTCCTGCCTCAGCTTCCGAGGAGCTGGGAATATAGGTGCACCACCACGCCCTGCTAATTTTTGTATTTTTAGTAGAGACAGGGTTTCACCATGTTGGCCAGTCTGGTCTTGGACTCCTGACTTCAGGCAATCCACCCACCTCGGCCTCCCAAAGGGCTGGAATTACAGGTGTGAGCCACCGTGCCCAGCCAAGGCATACTTGACTTTTTAAGAAATAGATGTGTGTGTTAATTTGTTAAATCCTTTATATTACAGGATAGGAATTAATAGGATTGTTGGTCATGAAGTACAGAAATATTTCCAATGTTAACTATACATAAAATCCCATTTTTCTACTAAACTTTAAAATAAAGCTATGTGCCCCAAAATGTTACCTTCTCTCACTGTATGCCAATATGTTACAAATTTACATAATCAACATTAAAGTAAATATAATTCATATGAATACAAAGAAATTATAATTATTTTACAACCGACTCCTTTTCTCTTACTTCCCACCAAAAATGAATCAAACTCTACCAAGCCCCATCTTCAAGTTTTTTTTATATAGGATAATTCATTTCCTTGGATAATTAATTTATATTACACAGGACAATGCATTCTTTACCCTTTGTGGTAGCTGCTCTTTGTAGGATAAAAATGCTCTTATCTGAGCTGAAAAAATACAAACTAAGCTAAGTTAAAACTTTAAAACTCAAAAATAAAAGGATGACTGAAGAATATTCCTCATACATAAAGCCAAGTAGATTGGTGCTTTATATTGAATCAGCTACCTTACTTATATATTCTGTAACAGTTAGATGTGTCACAATTATACATGGAAAGGTAAACAGAAAACATCAGTTGATCAATTAAAAGCATTATTCCTATTACATGTGTTAAAGAAGAGAAAGAATGTTGAAGTAAAGATTTCAGCCTTGGTAAAGATATTATTAAACCTATTGGACAATGTTCCAGAAGCTTCCTCCTTTGATACTTAATTTCCTTTGTTGGTATATCTTTTTTTTTTTTGCCCAGATTTGAAAATTCTGAATAAAATACATACAGCTATGGAGGTAAGTAAACCTGAAAATGAAAGAAAAATATTTGGAATATAACTCCAAGTTGTTAAATCCTCTCCTACAAATATTTACCAAGTACATGGTATGTGAAACACAGGATAAGTATAATGCCCAGAGTTTTCAGATTAGCAGTGAGTTATTCTTGGAAATTTAGTACAATCATGGAAGACAGGACAAAAAGTATTCAAAATTTCAAGTATTTTGAATTATTCCTTATGTCACAAACGCAATGAAGGTAAAAGATAAAAATTACCTTTTCTTCCAAAAATCTTATTCTCTTCTTTAACAAAGAGTTCTCTTTCTCTGAATCCTTAAGTCGTTTTTTGATGTCTTCATATGCAGTGACAAGAGCAAAATGGGAAGCAACAGATTCATCTCCTGAATATATTGAAACTGGAGTCACTGTATCTCTCTTATGGGCTTTTTCATGATTCAGAATACAGATATCATCTTCTACCAGTGCATCCATGACAACTGTTTAAAAGAAAAAAAATATGAGTGACAAATGTCTCACTGAATAAGTGAAAAGGAAAAAAAGTTATAGTTAAGAATAATGTAAATACTAGGACAATGTTTAAAAACCAGACTGCCTGGGTTGTATTCTAAACTCTACCATTTAGTGTCTGACTTTGGGCAAGTTGCTTAACCTCTATGCCTCAGTTTCCTTATTTATAAAGTACAAGAAATAACAGCAAATACCTCATAGAGTCTTAAGAATATTAAATTATATCTATAAACCACTTAAAACCATAATTATTAGTATGTTCTATAAAAATCTGAAATATCAGTTTCATTAAAACAATCAAAATTTTTTAAAATACTTCATCCCCAAATATATCTTCTCCTAACATTTCCACTTAGATCTATTAGTAGCAAGTTTCATAGCTTCTCAATTTATAAATTTTCAAAAGTTCTTTGAGTATAATTCATTACAACAACATATTAATATTATATTATAGAAGTCTTAATGCATACTCTATCTTTCCATACCAGTAATTGGCTATGTTTGTTGTATATTTAGAATAGAAGACAAATTAATTAACATTTGAGTGTCCAATATGTCCCACTATAATGCACTACATTCTTTTAATATTATCTCTTTTAATTATCTGAACAATTCTATGAAATATGTATCATCTATATTTTATAGGTAGGTCTTAGAAAGTTGAATTAGCCCTGTTAAATCTAGAAGAATGTTAAGCTCTGTGAGGGCAGAAGCTTTGTCTGTTTTGCCCATCATTTGTGTCCCCAACTCATCACTGTGTAGAAGTTGCTCAATAAATATTGATTACTGAATGAAGAGTGGGTAGAGTAGGATTCAAATCAAACTCTGACTCCAAAACCTAAGAGAAGAGCTCGTTACCTTCATTGTTTAACGAAAAACTGACTTGCTCTGAACATCTACTTTTGCTGTTAGGTTCAGCATTACTTCTCTGAGAGTTAGGTTCCTGAAAAACATGATGGAAGGAGAAACTGTGGCTAAAACCTTTTAAGACCTCCTGGGAAAAACAGAATAAGAGGGACTTTAGACCATGCAAGAGAACCTAAAAAGTCCTTTTAAATATTTTTTAGTTTAAAATAAAAAACTAAATATAGCACTCTAAATAAAGATTATCAATTGAATTTCATGTATCTTAGATCAGTAATTATTACTAGAAAGTGAGTTTTTAACTATCCCTTGCTTGAAATAAAATTTGGTTACTTACTAATATCAGTCACTGTTCAAGAACATTATAGATGAAGAAACTGAGGTAGGAGGAATTTAAGTATTTTTTCCAAAGTAACATAGTAAGTGGAGAGTTGAGATGTAAACATAGGCAATTTAACTACAGCCACGTTTCCAACCCGTGTTTCACTATGCCTGCTTTCTTCCAAAATGTCTAATCTCCCTCCTGTGTCAACTAATCCCTTTAACATTTCTTTTGCCTTATTTCAGATCACATGAATACTAACAAAAGGTTTTGTGTTTTTCTGGGTCTGGTCTTATATCATTATATTTTTGCTTTTCTAATTGTACAATTAAAAACTTCCAATTGTCAACTAAAGCAACAGCTGGGAGCATCTAAGCAATTTGTATCTAGAATTATAAGAAAGGCAGGTTAAAATAAATGTGTATACTACAAGTCTTGAGTAGGTAAAACCTGCCATCCAGTCAATCTTCATTAACATCAATTTAACATTTTCTAACCATACAGGACAACTCCCACTCTTAAGGTACAATCTTTCCCAGTTTTTCAATAAAGTCCAAGAACAAGAATAGACTATGCTATCTACAGTATACCAAAAAAGTGGCGGATTCTCAGAACCATAATTACTCATGCTGCTTCTGATGCAAGCTGCATTTTCTCCTAATGATGAAAAGTTTAACTTTTCTTCCTCTAAAAGAGTTTACTTTTCAGTCTCCAGATTCAATGATATTCCAAAATAAGAGCAAACATCATTCCAGTCATGCTACTGCTAGCTGAAACTCTCATTATTTCCTTTCAAAATAAAAGTGCAGGTTATTCTCATATTGCAAACTGAAAGTATGCATATATATCTTCATATAAGACTCTTACACATGCACACACACACACACACACACACACACACACACACACTCCCCTTAAAAGTAGAGCAAGTAAAATAGTCACAGACGGCTAGGTAAGTGGTAGAATGCAGCCTGGTTTAAGGAGAGGTAAAATTGTACCCACAGTAGACATTTGACTTAAATAATTTAATACTCAACCCAATGGGCAGGATTTATTCGATGTGGATTTTTTCTAAAGACAGCTGAAAACAAGAAATAACATAAACTGCTCTGCGAAGTCAAAAACAGATACCCTGCAGTTTGTGTATTTTAAGGATTGGGCTCACGCACTTCTGTTTTACACAAACTTCTAACTAGCTCAGCTGGGATTTACTTGTTCATTTTTATCATGAAACAATCATTTACACAGCAAGGAAAACCCAGAGAGGCAGAGTTGTGCAGAAAAATTATTATTATACCATAAAGGTAGGTAATAAATTTGAAACAACAGAATGTTATGGGGGGTCTGAGGGATGGGGAGAAAAAGTGGTTTTCAAAGAAGATACCACAAAAGAGCAAATGTCTCTTAAGACTGTACTCTCATGTGAAGAGGATGGTTATTTTCATTGTACTGTACTTATTGTACTTACACCTTTACAGTTTGTTAACTTCCAGCAGGGGAACAAGTTCAAAGATCTAAGTGTGGGGAGAAAGGTTGAGAAGAGGAGTGGCAGGAGATGAGATTAAAAAGGCAGGATGGAGACAAACTGAGATGGTCCTTCCTGGTAGAGGCACTGTGGATTTTGGTGCTTATTCTGCTGAATTTTAAAAACACAGGCCTGGACATGATTAAAGGGTGTGAATACTTACAATGTTGATTTTTTTTTTTTAATTCACAACCAGTGAACTACTTAGCATTATGCTAAATGTTTACAAACATTATCCCATTTAATTCTCAAGACTACCCTATGAGGTACAAAATCTTATCAAACTCATCTCACAGATGAGAAAACTGGGACCTGGAAAGGTAAAGAAGCTTAGCTAGGATCACTTAATTAGTATGAACCAGGACTTGGATTTTAGAGCCTGAGCTATTAATATTTTCCCCTCTCCAATGAATCTTTTACAAAATCTTACACTCCTACAAATCTAGGAACCCCTCAGAAGGCTTACAAAAGTACTTTACATGGAAGGGGGTATATTGATACAATAATGTCACATTTTATACAACATGATAGCTAGTCATTTTTAAGACAATATGAGTAGTCAGACTGGTTTACCTATTGATATGCTACCTTTTTATTTATAAATCAAAAGTTGCATATATTATGTAAGAAAACAATGGCATAAAAGGATTTTTCAAGTTTTATACCATTATTCTATATATTTATTCTATACACTATAAACATTACTTAGAATACGCGGAAAAGCAGCATCAAATTGCTTATCTGTCCTAAAAGTTATGTAAGAAATAGCCATATATTAAAACACACAATGTGCTAGCACCACATATATGTATCAACTTTTATTGTTTTAAAATAACTGTCATTTAAATTTGTTATAAAATGGAAAATTAAAATTTTAATTACTATCCCTGCAAAAATTAATATGAAATCACAAGCATGAGAATATTAATACTTATCATATTAGTCTGTACAAACCAGACTTCTGGAGAGTAAAAGCTACAGGTCCAGGGAAAATGAGATCATAGAAAGGAAACAATACAAGGCAGATATCCCATTATATTTATTAATATAATGAAAGGAAAACTGTTAGCAAAGTAAAAAGTAGGCTATGTGTTGCCTTTGGTGTTATTGCTACGCAAGCATCCTTTATAAAATGTATTTCTACAGAGAAGTAAAGGGAGCTGTGGTAATCAGTCTCATAATAAAGATTCAGTTTTAAACACTTTTGTTGCAATGAAATGGCTGTGTGTGTGTATCCAAATCAGCTGGCCCATGAAGTCTGATTTTCTAGATAAATGGTAAAAGTGTAACTGGCTATTATTCTATTTGACAAACTAGACCAAGCTAGTTATATCATTTAACATTTGAAGAAACTTAACATTATACTGAGTCTTATTTATCATAATTTAAATGCTCTTAAAATAATAAATCTTTGTTAGCATTAATCTTTAAAAAATAAGTGCCATGAGCAGAATATTGTTATCAAAAATTAAAATTACCAAAGACTAGATAGTATTTTAAATAGTCTAGCAGAAACTGAACTTTCAAAACTTAACAAACATCAAAACACTGTCCAAAGACAAGCTTAAGTGGACTTCTCTCAGTGATGAAAATCAGTAATAAATGTATTCCACAGGGACATTCCATAAATAAATTTTGCTTTTCCAAGGGCATTCTAAGAAGCTGGAGATGACTGAGGGCAGTGTTTGACAAAGGTGTGGACCACTGCCTTAGAATTCCTCTGCATTCTGTTAAAAAATACTGATTCCTAGCTTCCACTGCAGATCTATGCAAATCAGAATATCTGGGGTGAAAAACTGCAAAGTGCACTCTGAATAAGCACCCAGGTGATTTTAAGTCATATTCCAATTTGAGAACCACTCATCAGAAAGAACAAAGCCAAGCAGTTACCACGTAATTTACAGAATTCCAATTCTTAGTATCCTTGAACATTTGTGGGCACAGTTAGTTCTATGTTATGAATTAGTAAACACCCTTTAGATTTTATTTTTAATATTATAGAAAGTAATTTCACATTCATCATCTCATCACAATATAGTGGGGTGTTAAATAAAGCACATTTATAGGCAAATGTATCTATATGTACTCATGCAAACATTTTATATATTTGGCAATTAAATTTTGTTTCTCCTTAGAGGTTTACTTAAATATAAAAAGCGAATTAGAAAAGATTGAGGTAAACACTATTGACAATTATTTTTGAGAACAATGAAATTTCCAAGAATGATAAAAAAGAAAGGGCACAATTTGTCAGATAAAGTAGGTAGAAATAAGAACAGTACTACCTGAAGCTTGGGGAGAAACACAGGAAAAAAAAGATTCAAACATTATTTATTAGAATTATTTTAGAAGATCTTAAATTTCAGTCTTCATCATGGCAATCAACACCAAGAGAACTCTCAGTTGTTCATATGCTACGTATGTCAAAGTTTGGGATACTAGAAAACATATCTGCTGATATCAGACTGGTCTTTTTTCTAGGAATAAATATGATTATCCTGTCATATTTCATCATCTTTATATCTGCCATTTTCATATTTCATCATCTTTATATCTGCCATTTATTGATCACTTACCATATGCCAGTCACTAGTGCTTTCACATGCATTTTTCTACCACTTAGCTAAGTACTGTTATGAAGAAAGTCTTAGAAAAGTTAAATACCTTACCTATAGCTACACAGCTAATCAGTGGCAAAGGTGAGATGTGAACCTAAGTAAGCTGTCAGAAGTCTATGGTCTTAATACAACATTCAAAGAGGCAATACAAAAGGGATTCTGGTTATCCTAAGAATATGGACAAGGCATAACTATGTCAAAAAGAACACTTTCCCAGGATTCAGAAACACAGATTCTAGTCTAGGATTTGCAACCCTGATTATAGTTTAGTTCGCTTTACCTCTCTAGATCAAAATTTTCCCACCTATACAGAATGATAGGGTTAGACTACATCACTAAGATGCCACCTTACTAAACTGTGAAGGCAAAAGTTTAATACAAATACAGAACAATGGCAACCTAAACAGAGAGAAGGGAATTCACATTTATGCCAGGAACTGCATAAAAGGTATGGTACACACATTATCTCAAGTCCACACCAAACTTGGCAAGAAAGGTATTAGCACCATGATAAATGGGGAAATTGAGGCTCAAAGAGGTGAGGTAAATTCACCTCACCACAGCAGTATGTGACAAAACTGAAGTTTGAATCAAGGCCTATATGGTAGGCTCTTTATTCCATATTGCCTCCTGAAGTAAATCATATTTAGAATTTTCACCACCTTTCTACCTCTGAAAAGTTAGGATATTCCCGAACCTATTTCGTACAATCAGTCAAAATACTATGGAGCAAGGATTAAGTCTTACGAAGACGAACAGACCAATGCTTATTCCCCTTTCTCAATTTGTAAAATAGCCTAACTAGTTTATAAAGAAGGGTCATCAAGTACCTCTTTTCAAAACATCATCTCTTAATCTGTGTACATTAGCAATAAAAAGCCCTGTAATTCAATAAATGTCCAAAAATGTACTCAACATTAGATATACAATATGAAGAAAAACTCCAGTTCCATTTTTATGACTCTTGAGTTATCCAACAAACTGCGTTAGTCCAGAAATCAGTTTGTATTGCACAGATCAAGACTCTTCCAGAGTTAGCATAGGTATGAAGAGCAGTCTACTTCTTTTCATCCCTTTCATACAGTAATACCTCTAATGCAACTAAGCATCTACTATACATTCAATGTTACTGGTGTTATTGAAAATTATTTTCTAACAGTGATAAGGCAACTATACTTGCACTCTGAATATAAGTGCCATAAAAAAGAAAAAGATTGGTTCTATTACTTCATGGATTATAAAAAAAACTTCAGCATTTTACTTAATAATAATGACAAGGTTCTGCATTGGTAATTAATAGTAGCCAAGCGTTTATGGTATACCAAGCAGTGTGCTTCACCTTTTGGAGAAACTATCTCATTTGTTCTTCATAAGCATTCAGTAAATCTATGTAATACCTCTGAGGTTGTAAAGAATCTCCTCAGATTACAGGTGGAGAAATTGAGACATGAAAACATTAGAAAGTAGGGGAGCCAGAAATGAAAATCAGGCAGCTGACTCCAGAGCCAGCATAACTCTTAGAAACTATGCTTTGGTGCCTTAGAGTATGTATTACACCCATTTCAGAGATAAGGAAAATGAAGAAAAAGTTTAGCCTCTTACCCATTGTCAAGTAAATGGAAAAATCAGCATTCAGATACTGGTGTTCTGACCTAATCCAGTGTCATTTCCCATTATGTTATGCTGTCTCTTTAATATTAAAACCTTCTACTTGCGTAAGATGTCTGGCTTACAAACAATATCACATTAAAATTTGGAAATATCCTGTAAAGGATGCACTGTTCTCAATTTACAGATGATGAAATGATCACAAGATTGGGCAATGAGATATGGCGTTTTTAGAGAAATGAAATTCTGCCTTGAGATCTTGCTCAATCCAATTTGAAATTCCAATCTAAAAACCAAAATGTCTTCTACACATAAGGCGCAAGGGTCAATTTTAATTCTGGTACGTCTGTCTTTGATCACCTTAGCAAATTTCCATCACCTCTTGGAGCAACTGATGGTTTGATTTGTACTAGAGTTTTCGTGGGTATTTTATCTCGCTTTCGAGTATTGGGGTTTCTTTTGTGTAGAGGGTGTCAGCCTACCTTGCACGTAGTAGTAGTTACTCAACAAACAGCCGAAGGCTGGAATGAATACCGTATACAGGTTAGACATTGGAGAAACGACGAATACCTGTTAGCCCTCGATCAAGTGCAGGGGGTCGATATTCACCACTCAGATGCCCCAGGGAGTACCGTCCTAGCCAATGTCCCTCTTTTCTTTCCGATAATTTGTATCGGAAAGAAGCATTTAGCAGTCTCAATGAATGAAAAAAAACTGAAGGCGCCCCAGTAAGAGTACGAAAAGAAAAGGAGTAATTAGAGAAGTGAATGACCAAGAAGGGCCTGGACAGCTGGGGGTGAGGGTGACAGGGGAAAGGGTGTGGACAGCTGGGTGTGGGGGTGACTGGGGAAAGGGATGCCCAGGAGTGGGCCGCTCCCTAGTCAAAGGAGGGGGCGCGGGAGGGAGTGAGAAAAAAATGACGTGTCTTTTTGGACCGGCAACAGCTACGGAGGTTGGCCGCGGCATTGCCCGCATCCCTATCCTCCACCCGTCCCTGGCGAGTCACTCACCCAGAAGCCAGGCTACGTAGGGCCGCCCCCAAGGCCGCCGAGTTTCGATTCCTTAGTGTTTGGAAACGGACCGAAAACAAACCGGGTCGCCAGGGGTCACCACGGGCTTCCGGTTTCTTCGAAGACACCGCCGCTTCCACAGCGAAGGGAGCTGCTCCGGGCACGTCGCGGAGGGAGTCCCATTTCTTCTGACTCGGCAGGAGCCCGGGACGTTCTGGAAGGAGGGACGAGCCGAGGCAGGAGGGGCCGGGCCGACGCGAGAGAAGGCCCGTTACCCAGCAATACGCGCGCGAGACCCAGGCCCGCCGTCGGGACCAGCACGGGCCGGAGGGAGGGGAAGCACTCCGGAAAGTGATTGGAAGTGTGGATGAGCTCTCAGCCGGAAAAGGGGCTGCCGCTGTCCGCGGGCTCGGCGCCAGGGACGCGCGAGGAAACCGGAAGTCAGGCCCGAGGGAGCTGGGAGGGCGTTAGCGAAGCCAGGTTCGGTCGTGGGGGTGGGGAAGTGCAGGAGTGGCGCGCGGCGTACTACATGTCCCGTGAGCCTCCGCGGCGGGACGGGGCGGGGCCGCGGGACGCCAGGAGGCGGAGGCGGAGTGGAGTTAGGTAAGAGCGTTACCAGCCGTCTTGTCTGTTGGGCCGAGGTCCCCCTTCAGGGGCGCCCTCTGGTGCGTCTTTTTCACTCAGTGTCCTTTTGGGGGGTCCCCGGGCCGTGTGGTGCGTGCTGGCTCGGCTCAGTAGCGCTGTTACAGGCTTACGAGCTGACGTGGCTGGGAACTGGGAAGTCTGTTAGAAGCCGTTCCTCTGTAGCCTCTGTTTTCTAAACTACTTGCAAGCCCTCAGGCGATCACTTGAGGCACAAGCTCGACGAATTGCGTAGGGGTCTGTAATTATTCACAAACGACACCACGACTTCTAGCACACTGCTCAATTTATGGAATGAGAGACAGGGAGAAGATGCCAGAGTACTGGAGTTGCGCCCGGCTTCCCTGGAGTTGCCACCACCTTGGTTATTTCTAGATGATAGACCGTCCCTAGCTGTGGAGTCACAAGTAGTTGAATTAATTAGTCATTGAAGGTCGCAGCCAGGTGGAACCCCTGTAACTCTAAGGTATTATTGGTTAAATAAACAAATAAACAAGGAACAATAATTATAGAAAATTTAACGTCACTAACCGCCGATTAGCAATACGGACATTACTCACCACCCCCTTAAAGTAGTATTTTGTCATCTGTCCGCTTAACTATCAGCCCAACTGTCAGCCCAATAGGATGGATTTCACTCAAGGGTTTATATGAAAATTCGTTTTTATTGTTGTTGGTTTTTTTATTGTCTTTTTTGGTTTAGATTTAAGTGAAAATTTATAGCTGTTAGGAACAAAGACCACAAGTTGAAGTTTTATGACATTTCTAAAAATACTTAGAAATCTGTGTTAATGTTATCGTTGAGAAAGGAAACGATTTGCTTCAATTTACTGGGCTGGAGAATGGAAGAGAGCAGTGTTTTTAATATTTTGAGCAAGTATCAGTCCTTAAATTTTTTTATTGCTTCCATGATGCATTTTGAGAATTTTCAATTTAAAACAACCATTAGGTGTATGTTTTTACAAGTAGAGTTTTGAAGAATGCTAGCAAAATTGGTTGAGGCATCACAAGTTATTAGAAATAAAGTGGTAACCTGGTTTTTAATTTGAAGGTGTAGAAATATTTTTGAATCTTCGTTCACAATTTAAAATAATTTAAGAATTGTTGAAAAGGCAGGGGACATCATTTTTATCTTTTCTTTCTGAGTAAGTAAAGATAAAATGTCATAAATCAGTATTTTGAAGTTTATCTGGTGAGAGAGTCAATTTTTGTTTCACAGTGCACACTACACAGTGGGTTTATTAACATATAATGGGTTTATTAAGAAATGTATTTGCTTAACCAGGATGTACAAATTTTATTATTTTAGTCAAGTAAAACATCTTAGTTTTTCTTTTTGGGTTGTAGAACCCCTGCTAGATTATGACAAAATATAATCCGTATAGTCATTGGATTTAGCTGCAAATGGTCACTTTCCACCCTGTATCTGCTTCAATTAACTTTCTCAAATAAAATAAATTGTTAGAGAAAACTTGTTACACAGTTCATATATAATCATGTATTAAAGGTTTATTATCAGGGAAAGACCTCTGATAAGTTAATTAAAAGATACAGTCTTGATAAGGACATTTTATAGGAAAAGAGAATGGTTAGATAATTGTTAAGCTCTAAGAAAGAAAAGAATTTAGGGGTCCTGAATGATAATCTTAACTGATAGCCAACTAGTTCAGTGAGTGGTTGGTTTTCCAGAGCATCTTGATTCCATTGAAATTTATTGGAACTTTGCTTAGGGATTTTTTTCAGGAATTTTCATATTTTCCCAAGAGGGAGTTGTGAATTACATCATCTAAAAAGCTGTGTCCAAGGCCAAGTTTGGGACAGTTTCTTTTCTTTTAAACCATTACATTTTTTGTAGCTACAAATTTAATCTGAAATTTTCAAAACAAGTCACTGCTTTAAAAATATATATATATTTTTTAGAATGGCTGTTTTGGACTGAATTGAACACTCTTGACACCAGGCACTTTAAAAATTGTCCTGTCTACATGTTGTCGCTCATTATATAAAAAATATATATATATACATATATATATTACAAAAGCTCCTTCTCCACTTTTTTCCACCCCCTACACCAATTCCAAGATCTAGATGTTCTCCCATCAGGGAAAGGGCTCCTGAAGGACATGATACTGGCCGAGACTGGGTTCCCTTTTTCACTGAATTAGCTTGGACTTCAAAGCAATATCTTAACAAAGAATATGGGCCCTAGTACAACTTCTGACTGTAGCTTAGCCTTTTTACTTATTTTTAGGTAATAAGGTGCATTTTTAGAGCTTCAAATCTTAGGCAACATGTAAAAATAATGAAAAACCTTTTTTTTTCTTAAATGAGGACTTTGTCTATATCTGAGCTGTGAAGAATATTTACAGTAAAAAGAAACAGTAAGTGCAATTTTTAAGAAAATTTTTTAAGTGAATTTCTGATTAGTGATTTAAATTGTATATTTAATTTGATTAATGTCATATTACCTCAGGGGTCATATTTTTTGTTTCTTTGTTGTATATTCTGAGGACTGTGCTTTGGTGCACCCGAGATAGATGTGGCTCTTGATTGTCAGAGGAAGAAGACTTAATATGTCAATACCACTAAATTGAAATGGCAGTGTCTGTCTTTTCATGTTCATATCAGCTTCAGTGTCATTCCATCGGTGTTGTTTCAGAAACTTCTTCCTCTGTTTTCCTGACATATCACATGTTCAGGTTACTATCTTTAGGGTATGAGAATAGTTTTAGTGGCAAGGATAAAAATGATTTCAAGAATACTACCCAAAATAAAACCTGGTATTTGGGCATACACAGTTGTCTTCCCTGTTTTCCCTGTACTTTCTCCTTCCCCCGTCTCCTTTGTCTCCTTACCCCTCCTTTCCCTCTATCTCAGATGTATGCACACACACACACACACACACACACACACACACACACACACGAGAGAGAATTATGTATGCCTTGCAGTGCATGACTTCTGTTAAACTGTGTGTATCCAAACCTGTGTGCATCTTAAACCGGCAGTCTCTGAACTGGGCAACATACATCCTTTACCCTTAACCTTGAGAGGAACATAAAGGCTTTCCCGGGGGGGTTATATAGTTAAGGATAGTTTAAGAGTATTAATTCTCAGGTTGTCAACTTGCATGTATTCATTCCTAAGATTGATCTTCCTCAGAGTGTACTGAACTAGACATCTTTTTGCTTTCCTCTTTAGCAGTTGTCCCTCTCTCACTGACAAATATGGGGATACCTTATCTGACCTAAATCTTGATAGTGGTGTTTAGAAAGTAAATGACTGTGATGAATGAGTAGTTAACTCTTTGGCAAAATTGGTGAGTTACAGTTGCTTTAGAAAATAATTGCAGAAGGACCAAATTGACTTATCAGTTGATCATTAAAAATAATTTTTGAAGCATACCCATGTGTGATTTTTGGTATATAACTTATGAGTTCACACAAATGATTATTGCTATAACCAGAAATCGTTACACTTGCAAATGTTTGGAATGGAAGAATAAAACATATAAAAATAGAATTAACCTGAATTCTGTTTCTTTCTAGCAATAAGTAATATTTATTTTTGGGTATATGGCCTAATGAGGGAGGGGGCAGAAGGTCCTGTCCATTTTTTTTATGACATGCATTTCCAATAAAAGCTTTTTATATTTTATAGGCCAGGCACAGTGGCTCATGCCTGTGATCCCAGCACTTTGGGAGGCTGAGATGGGCCAATCACCTAAGGTCAGGAGTTAAAGACCAGCCTGGACAACATGGCAAAACTCCATCTCTACTAAAATACAAAAATTATCCAGACATGGTGGCTCACTCCTGTAGTCCCAGCCACCTGGGGAGGCTCAGGCACGAGAATTGCTTGAACTCAGGAGGCAGAGGCCACAGTGAACTGAGATTGCACCACTGCACTCCGGCCTGGGTGACAGACCAAGACTCCGTCTCAAAAAAAAAAAAATCCTTTATATATTTTATGATAATTATAATTTGTTATATGTTTAATACTCATCAAAAGTGTTCTAGTCATTTAATGAGGTCACAGTATTAGAATTTATGTTCTTGGAAATTTTAAAATTTACTTTTTTTATTGTAGGGAAGTATGATAGGGTGATCAATTTAAAATATTTTGAAACACTAAAATATATTATGTTGGGATAAGCTAATGTGGAGGAAGTGAGATGGAAATATGAATTCAAGGAAAAGAGGCATGATATCCAGTTCCCAGCTGCTAAAGGAGAGCTTGTTCATGTAATTTTCAAAAAGATGCATGATGGTAGATTTTAAATTACCATGGCATTTACATTTCATTTATAAAAGAAATTATGACTTTGACTCCAGCAGAAAGTTGTGTCCTAGACATACAATCTGTGCTTCGCTAAGAACTTTTTGACTTAAAAATGTTTGCATTCAATAGGAATTGTTTGCTGACAGAGGTTTTTTTTTCTTTTTCCAAAATAAAACATGAGTGCCATAATTGTCTGCACAATGATAAAATGCAGTGATTTTTCTGGCAGAAACATGGTGAAGAAAAATTAATGGTCCTAGAAAGCCTTTGACATGAACAATCATAGGGAGAAGAAATGTGAGACCAACCAACAGGAGAACAGCAACAGAGGAGGTTGGTAGATTGTAAGAGAAGACTCAGTGGAGGGAATCCTATACTTCTTATTAAATGAAGTAAGAGAAATGCTCGTCTGAGGCTTTGCAGTTATACTCTTTTGCTAATTGAGATATGAATTTGTTCATTTATTCAATATTTGACAAATTATTGAGCACCTATCATGTGCCAGACGCTGTTTTAGGCACTGGGATGAAATAGGCAAAATGGCTTTTTTAAAGTACAAGGAGGTAAAACGTATTAGAGAAGCCAGTCACATTGACAAAGAGCTGTGTGAAATTTAACAACATGATAAGAAATTCCCTTTCATGGGGATATCACCACCGATCCCACAGAGATACAAACTATCATCAGAGAATATTATAAACACCTTTAGGCAAATAAACTAGAAAATCTAGAAGAAATGGATAAATTCCTGGACACATACACCCTCCCAAGACTAAACCAGGAAGAAGTTGAATCCCTGAATAGACCAATAACAGGCTCTGAAATTGAGGCAATAAAGAGCCTACCAATGAACAAAAAGTCTAGGACCAGACGGATTCACAGCCAAATTCTACCAGAGGTACAAAGAGGAGCTGGTACCATTCCTTCTGAAACTATTCCAATCAATAGAAAAAGAGGGAATCCTCCCTAACTCATTTTATGAGGCCAGCATCATCCTGATACCAAAGTGTGGCAGAGACACAACAAAAAAAGAGAATTTTAGACCAATATCCCTGATGAACATTGATGCAAAAATCCTCAATAAAATACTGGCAAACCGAATCCAGCAGCACATCAAAAAGCTTATCCACCATGATCAAGTGGGCTTCATCCCTAGGATGCAAGGCTGGTTCAACATATGAAAATCAATAAACATAATCCAGCATATAAACAGAACCAACGACGAAAACCATATGATTATCTCAATAGATGCAGAAAGGCCTTTGACAAAATTCAACAACCCTTCATGCTAAAAACTCTCAATAAATTAGGTATTCATAGGATGTATCTCAAAATAATAAGAGCTATCTATGACAAACCCACAGCCAATATTATACTGAATGGACAAAAACTGGAAGCATTCCCTGTGAAAACTGGCACAAGACAGGGATCCCCTCTCTCACCACTCCTAATCAACATAGTGTTGGAAGTTCTGGCCAGGGTAATCAGGCAGGAGAAGGAAATAAAGGGTATTCAATTAGGAAAAGAGGAAGTCAAATTATCCCTGTTTGCAGATGACATGATTGTATATCTAGAAAACCCTATCGTCTCAGCCCAAAATCTCCTTAAGCTGATAGGCAACTTCAGCAAAGTCTCAGGACGCAAAATCAATGTGCAAAAATCACAAGCATTCTTATACACCAATAACAGACAAACAGTCAAATCATGAGTGAACTCCCATTCACAATTGCTTCAAAGAGAATAAAATACCTAGGAATCCAACTTACAAGGAATGTGAAGGACCTCTTCAAGGAGAATTACAAACCACTGCTCAACAAAATAAAAGAGGACGCAAATAAATGGAGGAACATTCCATGCTCATGGATAGGAAGAATCAATATTGTGAAAATGGCCATACTGCCCAAGGTAATTTATAGATTCAATGTCATCCCCATCAAGCTACTAATGACTTTCTTCACAGAATTGGAAAAAACTACTTTAAAGTTCATATGGAACCAAGAAAGAGCCCGCATTGCCAAGTCCATCCTAAGCCAAAAGAACAAAGCTGGAGGCATCACACTACCTGACTTCAAACTATACTGCAAGGCTACAGTAACCAAAATAGCATGGTACTGGTACCAAAACAGAGATGTAGACCAATGGAACAGAACAGAGCCTTCAGAAATAATACCACACATCTACAACCATCTGATCTTTGACAAACCTGACAGAAACAAGCAATGAGGAAAGGATTCCCTATTTAATAAATGGTGCTGGGAAAAGTGGCTAGCCATATGTAAAAGCTGAAACTGGATCCCTTCCTTACACCTTGTACAAAAATTAATTCAAGATGGATTAAAGGTTTAAATGTCAGTCCTAAAACCATAAAAACCCTAGAAGAAAACCTAGGCAATACCATTCAGGACATAGGCATGGGCAAGGACTTCATGTCTAAAACACCAAAAGCAATGGCAACAAAAGCCAGAATTGACAAATGGAATCTAATTAAACTAAAGAGCTTCTGCACAGCAAAAGAAACTACCATCACAGTGAATGGGAGAAACCTACAGAATGGGAGAAAATTTTTGCAATCTACTCATCTGACAAAGGGCTAATATCCAGAATCGACGAAGAACTTAAACAAATTTACAAGAAAAAATCAAACAACCTCATCAAAAAGTGGGCAAAGGATATGAACAGACACTTCTCAAAAGAAGACGTTTATGCAGCCAAAGGACACATGGAAAAATGCTCATCATCACTGGCCATCAGAGAAATGCAAATCACAACCACAATGAGACACCATCTCACACCAGTTAGAATGGCAGTCATTAAATAAAGTCAGGAAACAGCAGGTGCTGGAGAGGATGTGGAGCAATAGGAACACTTTTACACTGTTGGTGGGACTGTAAACTAGTTCAACTGCTGTGGAAGACAGTGTGGCAATTCCTCAAGGATCTAGAAGTAGAAATACTATTTGATCCAGCCATCCCATTACTGGGTATATACCGAAAGGATTATAAATCATGCTACTCTAAAGACACATGCACACATATGTTTGTTGCGGCACTATTCACGATAGCAAAGACTTGGAACTAACCCAAATGTCCATCAGTGATAAACTGGATGAAGAAAATGTGTTACATATACAACATGGAATACTATGCAGACATAAAAAATGATGAGTTCATGTCCTTTGTAGGGACATGGATGAAGCTGGAAACCATCATTCTCAGCAAACTCTCGCAAGGACAGTAAACCAAACACCGCATGTTCTCACTCATAGGTGGGAATTGAACAATGAGAACACTTGGACACAGGGTAGGGAACACTACACACCAGGGCCTGTCGTGGGGTGGGAGAAGGGGGGAAGGATAGCATTAGGAGATATACCTAATATAAATGACGAGTTAATGGGTGCAGCACACCAACATGGCATATGTATACATATGTAACAAACCTGCACGTTGTGCACATGTACCCTAGAACTTAAAGTATAATTGAAAAAAAAGAAAAAAATAAATTCCCTTTCATTTATTTTTTGCCAATAGTTTCTATATGTGCCTATAAAGAAAAAAAAATCCATTTTTTCCTACTTAAAATGGGAAGAGAAGAATAATTCTGTTTTGAGGCTTTCATTTACATTATAAAAACCAGGAAGACAAAGCAATTATTCAGAGGAGAGCCATTTTATAAAGCTACGAATAAATAATAATGAAAGGATGACATTAAAGTTCATTAAGATCTATAGAAGGAAGTTAAGCTACATTTTTCAAATACGTTGTGTAGCAAAGGAGAAGGAAAACGTCCAAACTCACAACTCACAAAATACAGAAGTGAAATTTTTGATTTGGTGTGATGGTTAATTTTATGTGTCAACTTGAATGTGTGCCGTGGGCTGCCCATGTATTTGGTTAAACATTATTTTTGGGATGTCTTTGAGTGTCTTTAGATAAGATTAGCATTTGAATAGTAGATGGAGTAAAGCAGATTGCTCTCCACATTGTGAGTGGGCAGCATCATCCAATCCACTGAGGGCCTGACTAGAACCAAAGGTAGACAAAGGGAGAATTCGTGCTCTCTCTGCTTGAATATTTGATCTGGGACGTAAGTTTTCTGCCTGTGGACTAGAATTTATAGCATTGGCTCTTCTGTTTTGCAAGCCTTTGGACTTATACTGAATTATACCACTGACTCTCCTCGTTCTCTAGCTTATATATGACAGATCATGGGAGTTTACCTCCATAATTGCATAGGCCAATTATATATACATATAATATATAGTTGGTATATTTTATATATATATATATATATATATCTCCATACATATATATCTGTGCATCCTATTGGTTCTGTTTCTCTACAGAACCCTGACAATATACTTTGTAGTAATTACAAAATTAGATATGGTTTCCTAGAGTGAAGACAAAGACTTTGAATTGCCTATGAATCAGTACTCAAGTGATTCTTAAGTCTCCCTCAAAAATGTGTTATTTATTCACTGAAATTACCTTATTAATTATTTACTCTTGGTAGTCATTCTATATCATTCCCTTTTGGCTTTAGTAATCACTTCCCTCATCCCACAGTCAAATCTGTTCACCTAGTTTTATGGGTTTTACTCCTTAGCTGTCTGAACTATTGCAATAGTTTTCGTTTAAAAATTTTTTTCTTCCAACACATTCTTTATATTCATTTCAAAGTGATCTTTAAAAACTGTAAATGTTATCATTATACTTCTCTTAAATTCCTGAAATGACTCCTTAACATTTTTTAAAAGGACCTTCTTAATATAGCCGAGCCTCTTTCTCCACCAGCTCTTATAAATACTGCCAACGTAGGCACTGAAATTGGATATCTTTACACACTTAAAAGATTTTCATTCAAGTGACTCTGATTATTCTTTTACAGTATTTAATGTCTTGGATTATCATTGATATTATAAAAATAATTGTCAAATTCTCAGAGAATTGGGGAACCCCAGGAAAATTCTCTAACATCAGTTTGAAAATTATGAATCTGGTTCTCACATGTTTGTCCTAGATGAAAACATATTTTCAAGGGAATCTTATATGTCTGGATAAGGAATTTTACTAGAATACATTGAGTCTTAAATTTATTTGGAATATGTACCAATAAAGCATCATCACTTTTTCAACATCAAGTGTTGTGTAGTAGAATTCAAAGCGACACATTCCCTTTGTACTTGAAATAAAAAGGTTTTTCTCCATAGACCATCCAAAACTAAGAATCCTCTGAAATCTTCGTAGTAGATTAGATTGCTATCTGAATATTATGGTCAGAAGTTGGAGGAGGAATTTATATCTCATTTTACCCCCCCCAACAATCCTTTTTCTGAAATAATTCAAATTTTCTGTTTGAAAATTGTTTTGTTTTCCTAACAATTTAATTTATTTATTGTCTGAAGTGAGATAATGTGTACAAATAGCTGTGCTAGATAACAAGTTTAAAGATCAGAGAAAAGACTGAAAACTATTACTTCCCAGAAATACTTAACTGTACATTGAGAAAGTCATTGATATGTTGAATCTAGTAACTGAGGTGATGGCTCAAAATTAAGTAATTGAGTTTTAGAAGCCAGATTATCCTTTACTTGTATTTTTAAGTTTGATTCTTAATACTGTATTGGATGAAAGTGGAAATGGTCAGATCTGCCACCCAAATTGTTGTGTATTTTAAATTCAGGATTTATTAGTAACAGAAATAGGATTTAAAATTATTTGTAGCATTTACATTTGTGAAAAATATAACTGTTTTTTGACAATAAGTATTGTATTCATTAAGTTTGAACATTTTTCTATTTTGGTCAATATTTTCTTATGAAGGTACAAAACACAGTATAAAGAGTCTAAGACAATTAAAATTTGTTCTATGCAACGAAGCAGAAGACAACTAGGATTTTCTAGTAGAGCTAACTTACTTGACAAAAATAGGCATGAGAGTGTCTTTGATTTCATGGATAAAAATAATAGCTTGAGTTGAAGAAAAGAGAAAAAGGCCTAGAGAAAAATATGTATCTTGGCATTAAATGAATTATCAGAATACTTCGTAATCCTGACTTTGTAAATATAAATTAGCAACAAAAAAAGTTTGAAAGTTTGTAAATGATTTTCATCCTTACAAAAAACTGTAGAACAAGTTATTCATTGCTTTTTAGGAGAGAAAAAACTATAGCGCAATCAGGAAATCATCAACTATAAAATGTAGCATTAGGCATATTTATGAGATACGTTCATGAAACATTCCCTTATGTAAGAGGTAATTAAAGATAGTGTCTTTTTTTCCCCCTACACATTGTAGATTATGATCGTCCCATCTTCTCTTGGCTAAACTTTTGAAACCTTAAATATTGATTATAATTCATAATTTCATTTGGTCACTTCTCATGTTTTAATAAGAAATTTTAGGAAAAATTAGAAATCATTGAAATTTATTTGTTTTGCTAACAGGATGATATGTTTAAAACCAAATATATCAATAATTACATTAAATATAAGTAGACTACTCGAAACAAAGATGTCACTTTGGATTAAGAAAAATCATTGTGTACTGATTATAAGAGATGCATGGGAAAGAGTGAAGGAACAGAAAATATTAATAATGTATACATTAATGTAGCTTGGTATAATTATAGTAAGATGAAACAAAGCAGACTTTCAGGAAGAAAAGTATTACTTCCTCCAGAAGACAAAACAATTCTGGCCGGGCGCGGTGGCTCACGCCTGTAATTCCAGCACTTTGGGAGGCAAAGGCAGGTGGATCACGAGATCAGAAGATCGAGACCATCCTGGCTAACTCGGTGAAACCCCGTCTCTACTAAAAATACAAAAAAAAAAAAAAAAAAAAAAAAATAGCCAGGCATGGTGGCGGGTGCCTGTAGTTCCAGCTACTTGGGAGGCTGAGGCAAGAGAATGGCATCAACCCAGGAGGCGGAGCTTGCAGTGAGTCGAGATTGCACCACGGCACTCCAGCCTGGGTGACAGAGCAAGACTTTGTCTGAAAAAAAAAAAAAAAATTCTGTTTGTATGCATCTAAAGAAACAGCCTCATAAGAAATGAAGTAAAAATTGATGAAACCAAGGGGCAAATCTAAAAGTAGATTTTAATATACATCCCTCAGTAACTGATAGAATTAAACAGGAAAATAATGCATTAAAAAAAGAGATAACTGGATTTAAAATGATTTACATCACAGCCACTAGGATGGCTATTATCAAAAAAACAAAAACAAAAACAGAAAATAACTATCCTAAAACTCATATGGCATGTCAAGGGACCTTGAAAAGAAAAAAAAGCAGGAAGACTCCTACATTCTGATTTCAAAAATTACTACCAAGCTACGTTAATCAAAACAGTATGGTACTGGCATAAAGATAGACATATAAACCAATAAAATTAGAATAAAGGGCCCAGGAAAGTTATTTATGTTTCATATGCACCTAACACACATAGCCCAAACGTAATTTTAGGCTATATGTATTAGGTACATATGAAACATAAATAAATTTTGTGTTTAGGCTTGGGTCCCATCCTCAAGATGTATCTTTATGTATATACAGATATTCTAAAATCAAAAAAAAGGTCAGAAATTGGAAATGCTCTGGTCTCAAGCATTTCAAATAAGGGATATTCAACTAGTACTGGCATAAAGACAGACACACAGACCAATGGAACAGAATGGAGAGCCCAGAAATAAGCCTACACACTGTGGTAAAATTATCTTCAACAAAGATGCCAGAACTACATAATAGGTAAAGGATAGTCTCTTTCAACAAGTAGTCTTGAGAAAACTGGATATTCACATGCGAAAGAATGAAATTGGACCTTTATCTTACACCATACACAAAAATTGACTCAAAATAGATTAAATGAAGCATATGAAAAAATATAAGGAATTAAACTATAAAACTCTAGAAGAAAATGTAGGGGAAGAGCTTCATAACATTGGTCTTGGTGATGATTTCTTGGATATGACACCAAAAGCACAGGAATAAAAGCAAAAATAAACAAGTGGGACTATATCAAACTAAAAAGTATCTTCACAGCAAAAGAAACAACAGAGTGAAAAGGAAACCTATAGAATGGAAGAAAATATTTGCAAACCATGCATCTGATAGGGGATTAATATCAAAAATATATAAGAAATTCATACAATGTAATAGCAAAAAAAAACCTGATTAAAAATGGCAAAGGGCTTGATTAGACATTTTTCTAAAGAAGATATGCAGATGGCAAGGTTATATGAAAAGATACTCAACATCACTAATTATCAGGGAAATGTAAATCAAAAACAATGAGCTGTACCCTCATACCTGTTAGGATGGCTATAATTTTTTTTAAAGGCAGAAAGTAAGTGTTGGTGAGGATGTGGAGAAATTGGCATCCTTGTGCACTCTTGGTGGGAATGTAAAGTGGTGTAGCTGCTGTGGAAAATGTTATAGAGGTTTCCCCCAAATTAAAAGTGGAACTGCCTTGTAATCCAGCAATCCTACTTCAAAGGTATTTATCCAAAAGAATTAAAAAGAAGATCTGGAAGAGATATCTATATTCTCGTGTTCATTGCAGTCGCTCACAGTGACCAAAAGGTGGATACAAACTAAATGTCCATAAGCAGATAAATGGATAAAGAAAATGTGGTGTATAAATGGAATGGAATATCCTTCAGCCTTAAAAAAGTTTAGTTATATAAGATGAAAATGTTCTTGAGATCCATTGTACAACAGTGTGAATATAGTTGACAATACTGTACACTTAAAATTTTTAAAGAATAGGTTTCATATTATATTATTAAAAAAATAGTTCAATAGAAGCCACAGAATGGGAGATATTATCCAGAATCTACAAGGAACTTAAGTGTACAAACAAAAAACAAGCCCATTAAAAAATGGGTAAAGGGCATGAACAGACACTTTTCAAAAGAAGACATACATGCGGCCAACAAGCATATGACAAAATGCTCAATATCATCATTACAGAAGTGCATATCAAATCCACAATGAGATACAATCTCCCACCAGTCAGAATGGCTATCACTAAAAGGTAAAAAAATGACAGATGCTGGCGAGGTTGTGGAGAAAAGAGAACACTTATATACTGCTGGTGGGAGTGTAAATTAGTTCAACCATTGTGGAAAGTAGTGTGGCAGTTCCTCAAAGAACTGAAAATAGAACTACTGTTTAACCTAGCAATCTCATTTCATACCCGAAGAAATATAAATTGTTGTATTATAAAGACACATGCATGTGTATGTTGAACACTATTCAGAGTAGCAAAGACAATGAATCAACCTAAATGCCCATAAGTAGTAGTATGGATAAAGAAAATGTGGTACATATACACCATGGAATACTTTGCAGTCATAAAAAAGAATGAGATGACATCCTTTGCAGGAACATGGATGGAGCTGGAGGCCATTATCCTTAGCAACTAACACAGGAACAGAAAACCAAATACCACATGTTCTCAGTTATAAGTGGGAGATAAATGATGAGACCACATGGACAGAAAGGAGAACAACAGACGCTGGGGCCTACTTGGTGGGGAGGGTGGGAGGGAGAGGTTCAGAAAAAAAACAAAACAAAGCTGTTGGGTACTATGCTTAGTACCCGGCTGAGGAAATAATCTGTACACCAAACTCCTGAGTCATGAGTTTCCCTGTCTAACATGTACCCCTGAACCTAAAATAAAAGTTAAAATATTTTTTAAAAAAAGAATAACAAAATAACTGATATCCAGAATATACAAAACTTTATTTAATAATAACGCAATGACAACCAAGTAGAAAAATGGTCAAGAGACTTAAACAAGTACTTTACCAAAGAGGATTTCCCAGTGGCCAATAAAAAAGAAAAAGTACTCAGTTTTTCTTATAATAGCACTGGGCTTATTCTCATTCTTGGCAGATTGTTTCTACACTTTGAATGAACATATTAATGTTAACCATATCTTTTACCTTTTATATTCTGATGCTTTGACATTCTGGTGTTTTGCTGACCCTAGAAGCACAGCCCCACTCAGTGTTTGCCCATTTGTAGAGATAGTAAACGACTGGCCTTGGAATGTACTTTTCAAATGCAGACCAACCAATCCAGAGCCCACACCCCACCCACCTCCTTTATCAAGCTCTCACTCTCCATACCACTATTTACCTGTGCTAGTCACCCCAGAGATAGGTACCAGAAAACTAGGGTCAGCCCTTATGTCCTAGAGCTTCCTGAAATCATTCAAACTAGCCAATCTTAAACCTTATGGCTTGCCTTTCCAACTCCTTCTCATAGAAACCACAATTAAACTTCTTGCTCACAGTCCTCCCTCTCCCTCTGCCTCCTGACTGATCCTACTCCTTCCTCATCTAGCCCTCTGTGGTGGTGGACATTCCCTCCTTTTGTGAATAATAAACTGTCTTTTCACAATGGCAATTATCTTGTGATCTGTCAGACTTACTCTATCTCAAATTTCCTGTTAATAGCCTATATTTTAAATATAGTCTTCCTATAATCCATACTGTCCTAATCCATATTCAGTTAGTCATCTGTTAAATGTAAGTAGCATCACAGTAAGATCACTACACACCAGAATGGCTAAAATGAAAAAGACTGATAGTATCAACTAAGAGCAAAAATGTGGAATGACAGAAACTTTTATATATTCTTCATGGGAGTATAAGTTGGTACAACCACTTTGGAAAGTAATTGGCATTATCTATTATGTATGACCCAGCAATTCCATTTATAGGCATATATCCAACTGTTAAGTGTGCACATTGCACCAAAAGACATAGACATATATAAAAACATTCTTTTTTTTTTTACATCACATTTTCTTTATTTCTTCATTGGCTGGTGGGCATTTATGCCCATTCCATATTTTTACATTGCAAATTGTGCTGCTATAAACATACGTGTGTAAGTGCCTTTTTCATACAATGACTTTTTTTTCCTCTGGGTAGATACCCAGTAGTGGGATTGCTGGATCAAATGGTAGTTCTTCTTTTAGTTTAATCTCCATACTGTTTTTCATACTGATTGTATTACTTTACATTCCCACCAACAGTGTAAAACTATTCCCTTTTCACCACATCCATGCTAACATCTATTATTTTTTAATTTTTAAATTATGGCCATTCTTTTTTTTTATTATACTTTAAGTTTTAGGGTACATGTGCACAACATGCAGGTTAGTTACATATGTATACACGTGCCATGTTGGTGTGCTGCACCCACTGACTTCCACAACGGTTGAACTAGTTTATATTCCCACTAACAGTGTAAAAGTGTTCCTATTTCTCCACATCCTCTCCAGCACCTATTGTTTCCTGACTTTTAATGATCGTCATTCTAACTGGTGTGAGATGGTATCTCACTGTGGTTTTGATTTGCATTTCTCTGATGGCCAGTGATGATGAGCATTTTTTCATGTGTCTTTTGGCTGAAGTGTCTGTTCATATCCTTTGCCCACTTTTTGATGGGGTTGTTTGGTTTTTTCTTGTAAATTTGTTTGAGTTCATTGTAGATTCTGGATATTAGCCCTTTGTCAGATGAGTAGATTGCAAAAATTTTCTCCCATTCTGTAGGTTGCCTGTTCACTCTGATGGTAGTTTCTTTTGCTGTGCAGAAGCTCTTTAGTTTAATTAGATCCCATTTGTCAATTTTGGCTTTTGTTGCCATTGCTTTTGGTGTTTTAGACATGAAGTCCTTGCCCATGCTTATGTCCTGAATGGTATTGCCTAGGTTTTCTTCTAGGGTTTTCATGGTTTTATGTCTAACATTTAAGTCTTTAATCCATCTTGAATTAATTTTTGTATACAGTGTAAGGAAGGGATCCAGTTTCAGCTTTTACATATGGCTAGCCAGTTTTCCCAGCACCATTTATTAAATAGGGAATCGTTTCCCCATTGCTTGTTTTTGTCAGGTTTGTCAAAGATCATATGGTTGTAGATATGCAGCATTATTTCTGAGGGCTCTGTTCTGTTCCGTTAGTCTATATCTCCGTTTTGGTACCAGTACCATGCTGTTTTGGTTACCGTAGCCTTGGAGTATAGTTTGAAGTCAGGTAGCGTGATGCCTCCAGCTTTGTTCTTTTGGCTTAGGATTGACTTGGCAATGCGGGCTCTTCTTTGGTTCCATATGAACTTTAAAGTAGTTTTCTCCAATTCTGTGAAGAAAGTCATTGGTAGCTTGATGGGGATGACATTGAATCTATAAATTACCTTGGGCAGTATGGCCATTTTCACAATATTGATTCTTCCTACCCATGAGCATGGAATGTTCTTCCATTTGTTTGTATCCTCTTTTATTTCGTTGAGCAGTGGTTTGTAGTTTTCCTTGAAGAGGTCCTTCATCTCCCGTGTAAGTTGGATTCCTAGGTATTTTATTCTCTTTGAAGCAATTGTGAATGGGAGTTCACTCATGATTTGACTCTCTGTCTGTTATTGGTGTATAAGAATGCTTGTGATTTTTGCACATTGATTTTGCGTCCTGAGACTTTGCTGAAGTTGCCTATCAGCTTAAGGAGATTTTGGGCTGAGACGATGGGGTTTTCTAGATATACAATCATGTCATCTGCAAACAGGGATAATTTGACTTCCTCTTTTCCTAATTGAATACCCTTTATTTCCTTCTCCTGCCTGATTACCCTGGCCAGAACTTCCAACACTATGTTGATTAGGAGTGGTGAGAGAGGGGATCCCTGTCTTGTGCCAGTTTTCACAGGGAATGCTTCCAGTTTTTGTCCATTCAGTATAATATTGGCTGTGGGTTTGTCATAGATAGCTCTTATTATTTTGAGATACATCCTATGAATACCTAATTTATTGAGAGTTTTTAGCATGAAGGGTTGTTGAATTTTGTCAAAGGCCTTTCTGCATCTATTGAGATAATCATATGGTTTTCGTCGTTGGTTCTGTTTATATGCTGGATTATGTTTATTGATTTTCATATGTTGAACCAGCCTTGCATCCTAGGGATGAAGCCCACTTGATCATGGTGGATAAGCTTTTTGATGTGCTGCTGGATTCGGTTTGCCAGTATTTTATTGAGGATTTTTGCATCAATGTTCATCAGGGATATTGGTCTAAAATTCTCTTTTTTTGTTGTGTCTCTGCCACACTTTGGTATCAGGATGATGCTGGCCTCATAAAATGAGTTAGGGAGGATTCCCTCTTTTTCTATTGATTGGAATAGTTTCAGAAGGAATGGTACCAGCTCCTCCTTGTACCTCTGGTAGAATTCGGCTGTGAATCCATCTGGTCCTGGACTTTTTTTGGTTGGTAAGCTATTAATTATTGCCTCAATTTCAGAGCCTGTTATTGGTCTATTCAGGGATTCAACTTCTTCCTGATTTAGTCTTGGGAGGGTGTATGTGTCCAGGAATTTATCCATTTCTTCTAGATTTTCTAGTTTATTTGTGTAGAGGTGTTTATAGTATTCTCTGATGGTAGTTTGTATTTCTGTGGGATCAGTGGTTATACCCCCTTTTAACATTTTTTATTGTTTCTATTTGATTCTTCTCTCTTTTCTTCTTTATTAGTCTCGCTAGCAGTCTATCAATTTTGTTGATCTTTTTAAAAGACCAGCTCCTGGCTTCATTGATTTTTTGAAGGGTTTTTTGTGTCTCTCTTTCCTTCAGTTCTGCTCTGATCTTAGTTATTTCTTGCCTTCTGCTAGCTTTTGAATGTGTTTGCTCTTGCTTCTCTAGTTCTTTTAATTGTGATGTTAGGGTGTTAATTTTAGATCTTTCCTGCTTTCTCTTGTGGGCATTCAGTGCTATAAATTTCCCTCTACACACTGCTTTGAATGTGTCCCAGAGATTCTGGTATGTTGTGTCTTTGTTCTCGTTTGTTTCAAAGAACATCTTTACTTCTGCCTTCATTTCGTTATGTACCCAGTAGTCATTCAGGAGCAGGTTGTTCAGTTTCCATGTAGTTGTGTGGTTTTGAGTGAGTTTCTTAATCCTGAGTTCTAGTTTGATTGCACTGTCGTCTGAGAGACAGTTTGTTATAATTTCTGTTCTTTTACATTTGCTGAGGAGAGCTTTACTTCCAACTATTTGGTCAGTTTTGGAACAGGTGTTGTGTGGTGCTGAAAAGAATGTATATTCTGTTGATTTGGGGTGGAGAGTTCTGTAGATGTCTATTAGGTCCGCTTGGTGCAGAGCTGAGTTCAATTCCTGGATATCCTTTTTAACTTTCTATCTCGTTGATCTGTCTAATATTGACAGTAGGGTGTTAAAGTCTCCCATTATTATTGTGTGGGAGTCTAAGTCTCTTTGTAGGTCTCTAAGGACTTGCTTTATGAATCTGGGTGCTCCTGTATTGGCTGCATATATATTTAGGATAGTTAGTTCTTCTTGTTGAATTGATCCCTTTTACCATTATGTAATGGCCTCTTCGTCTCTTTTGATCTTTGTTGGTTTAAAGTCTGTTTTATCAGAGACTAGGCTTGCAACCCCTGCCTTTTTTTGTTTTCCATTTGCTTGGTAGATCTTCCTCCATCCCTTTATTTTGAGCCTATATGTATCTCTGCACATGAGATGGGTTTCCTGAATGCAGCATACTGATGGGTCTTGCGTCTTTATCCAATTTGCCAGTCTGTGTCTTTTAACTGGAGCATTTAGTCCATTTACATTTAAGGTTAATATTGTTATGTGTGAATTTGATCCTGTCATTATGATGATAGCTGGTTATTTTGCTCCTTAGTTGATGCAGTTTCTTCCTAGCCTCGATGGTCTTTACAATTTGGCATGTTTTTGCAGTGGCTGGTACCGATTGTTCCTTCCCATGTTTAGTGCTTCCTTCAGGAGCTCTTGTAGAGGCCTGCCCTACAAGAGGCCTGGTGGTGACAAAATCTCTCAACATTTGCTTGTCTGTAAATAATTTTATTTCTTCTTCACTTATGAAGCTTAGTTTGGCTGGATATGAAATGCTGGGTTGAAATTTCTTTTCTTTAAGAATGTTAAATATTGGCCCCCACTCTCTTCTGGCTTGTAGAGTTTCTGCCGAGAGATCAGCTGTTAGTCTGATGGGCTTCCCTTTGTGGGTAACCCGACCTTTCTCTCTGGCTGCCCTTAACATTTTTTCCTTCATTTCAACGTTGGTGAATCTGACAATTATGTGTCTTGGAGTTGCTCTTCTCAAGGAGTATCTTTGTGGCATTCTCTATATTTCCTGAATTTGAATGTTGGCCTGCCTTGCTAGATTGGGGAAGTTCTCCTGGATAATATCCCGCAGAGTGTTTTCCAACTTGGTTCCATTCTCCTTGTCACTTTCAGGTACACCAATCAGATGTAGATTTGGTCTTTTCACATAGTTCCATATTTCTTGGAGGCTTTGTTCATTTCTTTTTATTCTTTTTTCTCTAAACTTCTCTTCTCGCTTCCTTTCATTCATTTGATCTTCCATTACTGATACCCTTTCTTCCAGTTGATCAAATCGGCTACTGAGGCTTGTGCATTCATCACGTAGTTCTCGTGCCATGGTTTTCAGCTCCATCAGGTCCTTTAAGGACTTCTCTGCATTGGTTATTCTAGTTAGCCATTCGTCTAATTTTTTTTCAAGGTTTCTAACTTCTTTGTGATGGGTTCGAACTTCCTCCTTTAGCTCGGAGTAGTTTGATCATCTGAAGTCTTCTTCTCTCAACTCGTCAAAGTCATTCTCCATCCAGCGTTGTTCCGTTGCTGGTGAGGAACTGTATTCCTTTGGAGGAGGAGAGGCACTTGATTTTTAGAGTTTCCGGTTTTTCTGCTGTTTTTTCCCCATCTTTGTGGTTTTATCTACCTTTGGTCTTTGATGATGGTGACGTACAGATGGGGTTTTGGTGTGGATGTCCTTTCTGTTTGTTAGTTTTCCTTCTATCAGTCAGGACCCTCAGCTGCAGGTCTGTTGGAGTTTGCTGGAGGTCCACTCCAGACCCTTTTTACCTGGGTATCAGCAGCGGAGGCTGCAGAACAGCAGATATTGGTGAACAGCAAATGTTGCTGCCTGATCATTCCTCTGGAAGTTTTGTCTCAGAGGAGTACCCGGCCATTGTGAGGTGTCAGTCTGCCCCTACTGGGAGGTGCCTCCCAGTTAGGCTACTCGGGAGTCAGGGACCCACTTGAGGAGGCAGTCTGTCCGTTCTCAGATCTCCAGCTGCGTGCTGGGGGAACCACTACTCTCTTCAAAGCTGTCAGACAGGGACATTTAAGTCTGCAGAGGATTCTGCTGCCTTTTGTTTCGCTATGCCCTGCCCGCAGAGGTGGAGTCTACAGAGGCAGGCAGGCCTCCTTGAGCTGAGGTGGGCTCCACCCAGTTGGAGCTTCCTGGCTGCTTTGTTTACCTACTCAAGCCTCAGCAATGGTGGGGGCCCCTCCCCCAGCCTCGCTGCCACCTTGCAGTTTGATCTCAGACTGCTGTGCTAGCAATGAGCGAGGCTCCGTGGGTGTAGGACCCTCCGAGCCAGGCACAGGATATAATCTCCTGGTGTGCTGTTTGCTAATACCGTTGGAAAAGTGCAGCATTAGGGTGGGAGTGACCTGATTTTCCAGGTGCCATCTGTCACCCCTTTCTTTGACTAGGAAAGGGAATTCCCTGACCCCTTGAGCTTCCTGGGTGAGGTGATGCCTCTCCCTGCTTTGGCTCATGCTTGGTGCGCTGCACCCACTGTCCTGCACCCACTTTCTGACACTCCCCAGTGAGATGAACCTGGTACCTCAGTTGGAAATGCAGAAATCACCCGTCTTCTGCATCGCTCACGCTGGGAACTGTAGACTGGAGCTGTTCCTATTTGGCCATCTTTGCTTCACCCCAAAAAACATTCATTGTCGCATAACAACCCTAAACTGGAGATCTAAATAGCTAGCAGTTTTAGAATAGATAAATAAGTTGTGGTATATTTTCATAATGGAATATTCTATGGGAATGAAAATTAATAAACTAGCTACAAGCAATAGCATGGAGGCATCTCATATGGGCACAAAAGAATACATTATGATATACTTTATATGAAGATCAAAGCAGACAAATAAAACTATTAGAAGTCATGATAATGGCTACTATTGGGGAGAAGAAAGACGGTAGTGACTAGGGAGAGGTTATAAGATATCTAAGGTGGTGTTTATGTTCTAATCCTTAAACTGGATGTTGGTTACATGACTATATTCACTTTGTGATGATTCATTGAGCCATGCAGTTATAATTCATGAACTTACTCTGCTAATTTTCATAAAGGTTTTTGTTTTTGTTTTTGTTTTTGAGATAGAGTTTTGCTCTTGTTGCCCAGGCTGGAGTGCAATGGTGTAATCTCGGCTCAACGCAACCTCCACCTCTCCGATTCAAGAAATTCTCCTGCCTCAGCCTCCTGAGTAGCTGGGATTACAGGCATGCACCACCATGCCCAGCTAATTTTGTATTTTTAGTAGAGATGGGGTTTCTCCATGTTGGTCAGGATGGTCTTGAACTACCAACCTCAGGTGATCCGCCTGCCTCAGCTTCCCAAAGTGCTGTGATTACAGGTGTGAACCACCATGCCCAATAAATTTTTTTTTTAACTATAATTAGTTACAGAGTTATGTTTCCTTTAAACATCAAACATTCTTAGGTTTGGAATATTAGACTTTAAATTTATCGTAGTATTGATAAATGTATACATTTGAGAGTAAATCATGTAAAATATTCTACCTAAATTATGTGTTGATGCTTATTGCTTGATTTTATTACAACATTCTACCAGTTTTGTTAAAGAAAAAATTTTTCTGACGCTTGTTAAAATGGTAAGGAAATCTTTATCCAAGACTGTTGCAATAGGTATATGGTAATAGGTGAGAGAAATCAGAATAAAACAAGAACAACTGGGGATTTACAGCCAAGGAGCATGGTAAAGGGGTCAGTGGATAGAAAATTACTGGGAGGAGAAATCAAGTGTAGGGGGATTTTGTTAAATTGACTTGATAAGAGTCTTACTAAAGGCCAAGGAGTTACACATCAAAGGAAGTTGAACAAATATCAGGAGTGATCAGCTTGGTATAGTGGCTCATGCCTGCAATCCCAGCTACTCAGAAGTCTAAGGTGGGAGGATCACTTGAGCCCAGGAGTTTGAGGATACAGGGAGCTATGATTGTGCCACTGCAGTCTAGCCTGGGCAACAGAGAAAGACCCATCTCAAGCAAACCAACAAATAAATAAATAATAAATAAATGATTGATCAATATTAAGGATGGAAGGACTCTCAGTAAACTAACTTAACAGGATTCTTTGCTAAGACTGGGCTGCAGAGGCCAAAGACAGGACAGGGTGGGTGGGGGTTGGTGGCGGATGTGGTCATGCTCCAGGCCTAGGGGAAAAGAGGCCTTAGAGGAGCCTGATTAAAGTTTAGTCAAAGGGAGAGTCTTTGCCAGTTTCTTCTTCTCTTTCTCCTGCTTTCTTCTTCTCTTTTGTTTGTTCTTTCATCTTCCTTCTTCTTCTTCCTTCTTCTTTCCTCCTCCTCCTCCTCCTCCTGCTCCTCCTCTTTCTCCTCTTTCTCCTCCTGCCCCTCCTCCTCCTTCTCTTCCTGCCCCTCCTCCTCCTTCTTCCTCCTTTCTTCATTTTTTGCTTGTAATAATATGGGCTTAATCTTGTTCTTGGCAGAATGGTTCCATACTTTAATTACCTTGCTAAAATTCATACTACCATAATTATATTCAATTAATATAGTAATTGAAGGACTTATATTGATAAAAGACAATAATTATGAAGATTGTTGGATGTAGTTAGAGATTTATGTGAAATATTCACTTAGCCATAATATTAAAGAACCGTAGTCTATAGTATTTTTTTTGTGATATAAAGACATGGAAGTTTTTAGAAGCTTAAGAGAATCATCAGTGTTTTTAGAAAAGGAAAATAAGCAAATCATGAAATGTTAACAGCCCAAATATCTAAAGATTGAATATTATTTCATGAGGGAATGAAATAATAACTTTTTAAAAATAACTTTTTTTCTTCAATTAGAAAGGTTTAAAAAGTGCCTATTGAACAACTGGCAAAGTAAAACTACAGTGTAGCCATTGATATTAATACATTTTGAAGTACATTCTGCTAGTATTTTTCTGTGCATTATTTACAACCTTTTTTGGCAACTTGTCCTTTATTTTATTTTAATAAGTTCAGAGGATACAAGTGCAGTTTTGTTGCATAGATAGATATATTGCCTAGCTTTGATGTATTGGCTTTTAGTGTACCCATCACATGAATAATGAACATTGTATCCAACAGGCAATTTTTCAGCCCTCACCCCTTTCCCTACCTCTCCGTATTTAAAGTCCCCAGTGTCTATTATTCCCCTCTGTAGCTCCATGTGTACCCATTGTTTAGCTGTCACTTACAAGCGAGAACTTGTGGTATTTGATTTTCTGTTTCAATTATTTTACTTAGGATAATGGCCTCCAGTTCCACCTATTGTTGCAAAAAACATGATTGCATTCATTTTTTCTGGCTGCATAATATTCCATGGTCTATATCTATATATCCATATCTATATCTATCTATCTACACAGACCCCCTACATTTTCTTTATCTATTCACCCATTGATAGACACTTAGGGTGATTCCATAATTTGGCTATTGTGAATAGTGCTACAATAAACAGGAGAGTGAAGCTATCTCTTTGATACAATGATTTCCTTTCTTTTGGATATGTATCCAGTAGTGGGATTACTGGATCATATGGTAGTCTTTAGTTTTTTGGAGGGACATCTATGCTCTTTTACATAGCAGCTATACTAATTCACATTTCCACCAAAAGAATAGGAGGGTTCCCCTTTCTCCACATCCTTACCAGCATTTGTTATTTTTTGTCCTTTTAATAAAAGCCATTTTTACTGGGGTGGGATGATATCTTATTGTGGTTTTGATTTGCATTTTCCTGATGATTAGTGATGTTGAGCCTTTTTTCATATACCTATTGGCCATTTGTATGTTGTTTTTTTTTGTTTGTTTGTTTGTTTGTTTTTTGAGATGGAGTCTCGCTCTGTTGCCCAGGCTGAAGGGCAGTGGTGAGTGGTGCAATCTCTGGCTCACTGCAAGCTCTGCTTCCTAGGTTCAAGTGATTCTCCTGCCTCAGCCTCCCAAATAGCTGGGATTACAGGTGTGCACCACTATACATGGCTAATTTTTGTATTTTTGGTAGAGATGGGGTTTCACCATCTTGGCCAGGCTGGTCTTGAACTCCTGACCTCAGGTGATCCACCCTTTCACCCTCCCAAAGTGTTGGGATTACAGGTGTGACCCACCGCACCTGGCTCCATTTGTATGTCTTTTAAGAAATGTCTACTCAGATCTTTTGCTCATTTTTAAATTAGATTTGTTTGTTTTTGTTTGTTTGTTTTTTGCTGTTGTTTGAGATCCCTATAGATTCTGGTTATTAATCCCATCTCAGATGGATAGTTTGAAAATATTTTCTCTCATTCTGTAGGTTGTCTCTTCACTTTGTTGATTGCCATGCAGAAGCTTTTTGGCTTCATGTGATCTTATTTGTTTATTTTTGCTTTTGTTGCCTGTGCTTTTGCTGTCTTATGCGATAAAATGTTTGCCCAGACCAATGTCCTCAAGCATTTCCCTAATGTTTTCTTATAGTAGTTTCATGGTTTCACATCCTAGATTTAAGTCTTTAGTCCATTTTGATTTGATTCTTGTACATGGTGAGTGATAGGACACTAATTTTATTCTTTTGCATATGGTTATCTAGTTTTCCCAGCACGATTTATTGAAGAGGCTGTCCTCTTCCCAGTGTATGTTCTCAGTACCTTTGTCACAAATGAGCTGAGTGTAAATAGGTGGTATTATTTCTGTGTTCTCTATTCTGTTTAATTAGTCTATGGGTCTAGTTTTATGTGGCTTTGGTTACTTTGGCTTTGTATAGTATATTTTGAACTCAGGTAATGTGACGCTGCCAATTTAGTTGTTTTTGCTCAGGATTGCTTCAGGCTCTATTTTGGTTCCATATAAATGTTAGGTTTACTTTTTCTATTTCTATGAAAAATCTCATTGGTAGATTGATAGGGATTATATTGAATTTGTAGGTTGCTTTGGGTAGTGTTATCATTTTAATGGTATTAATTTTTGCAAACTATGAGTATGGGATGTCTTTTCATTTTTTGTATGTTCTTTTCATCAGTGTTCTCTTCCTCAACTGGTTTTTCTTGTATAGATCTTTCACTTATTTGGTTAAATTGATTCTTAGTTATTTTATATTTTTTGTAGATATTGTAAATGGGATTGCTTTCTTGAGTTCTTTTTCAGATTGTTCACCGTTGGCATATATAAATGCTACTGATTTTTGTATGTTGATTTTGTATCCACAACTTTACTGAATTTGCTTAACAGGTTTTCGTTAATTTTTGTTGATTTTTCTTTCTGGATGATCTGTGTGTTACCAAGAGTGAGGTGTTAAAGTTCCTTACTATTATTATATTACGGTCTCTCTCTCTCTCTCTTTAGATCTTTAATATTTGCTTTGTATACTTGAGAGCACCAGTGGTAGGTGCATAGACATTTATAATTGTTTTGCTGAATCCTCTTGCTGAATTCACGCCTTTATCATTATATAATGATCCTCTTCATCTCTTTTTAGTCTTTGATTTTTACTGTATTTTTCCTGATGTAAGTATAACTACTTGGTTTTTTTTTTTAGTTTTTTGTTTGTTTGTTTGTTTCAAGTTGTATGTAATACCTTTTTCCACCCCTTCACTTTGTCTATGTGTCTTGATAGTTGAAGTGAGTTTCTTGTAGGCTGTATATATTTGGATCATGTTTCTTTATTAATTCAGCCACTCTCTGCCTTTTAATTGGAGAATTGAGTTCATTTAGTCAGTGTTATTATTGATAAGTAAGGACTTAACTACTGCCATTTTGTTGCTTGTTTTCTGGTTGCTTTGTAACTCCTCTCTTCCTTTCATTCTTTCTTACTGTCTTTCTTTGGGGTTAAGTGATTCTCTCTGGTAGTATGTTTTAATCCATTGCTTGATTTTTAAAACATTTTTGTGGGTACATAGGTATATATATTTATGGGTTAACTGAGATGTTCTGATACAGGCATGTAATCTGAAATAAGCATACCATGGAGAATGGGGTATCCATCTCAAGCATTTATCCTTTGAGTTACCTATAATACAATTACATTCTTTATTTAAAAAATACAATTAAGTTTATTATTGACTATAGTCATCCTATTGTGCTGTCAAATAGTAGGTCTTATTCATTCTTTCTATTTTTTTTTTTTGTGCTCATTAACTGTCCACACTTCCCCTACCATCCCCCGTCTACTGTTCCTAACTTCTGGCAACCATTCTTCTACTCTCTATGTCCATGAATTCAATTGTTTTGATTTTTAGATCACACAAATAAGTAAAAACATGAAATGTTTGTGTTTCTGTTCCTGACTTATTTCTCTTAATAACATAATGTCCAGTTCCATCCATGTTGTTGCAAATGATGGATCTCATTCTTTTTTTTATGGCTGAATAGTACTCCATTGTGAATATGTACCACATTTTCTTTATCCATTCATCTATTGGTGGACAGTTAGGTTGCTTCCAAATCTTAACTATTGTAATCAGTGCTACAGCAAACATAGGGGTACCGATGTCTTTTTGATATACTGATTTCCTTTCTTTTGGGTATATACCCAGCAGTGGGATTGCTGGTACTTGATATTTTTAGTGAATCTATTATAGGTTTTGGGGTTGTGGGTATCATGAGTTTACAAAAACATCTTATAGATGTTATTTTAAGGAGATGTCAGCTTATCTTAGAATAGAAACAAATAATGAAGAAATAGAAAAAACAATCTCTACACTTTAACTCCATTCCTCTCACATTTTGACTTTTAATTATTGTATTGACATATTTTTATATTACCCATATCTTTACAGATTGCTCTAGCTATTTTTTGGATAGATTTATGTTTGGAGTTTCATTCTAGAGGTATGAGTCTATTGCACCACCAACTTACAGTACTAGAGTTCGCGGTTTGTCTCTGTACTCAATTTTCCTAGCACACTATGTCTGGCAGATTGTGGGAGGAGTGTCATGAACATAGAAGTCTGATTCTCTATACTGTCTGCTCAGTGTTTTCACTTCTCTTTGGACACAGGGATTGCTTCATCCTCAGATTTCAGTTCTGGGATATTGCTCATCGTAATCTTGGCAGAAGGTATTTGTTTTTAGTTTTCTCTTAGGGAGAAGTGAAGCTTGATTCCTTGTACTCCACCATTTTGGTGATGTAACTTTTGTCGCAAAATGTATGTTGAAATCTTTTGTTCACTGATAACTCCCTAACCTTTTTTTCTCTTTTATGTCTTAAGTGTAATTTTAATGGAAGGAAAAGATAAATTAATTAGTCTGTAATCTTAAACAGAACTGGACAATTTGCTTTCTTTATTTAACAATATATTGTGAACATACTGTTTAAGCATAGGCATGATTTTAGTTTTGAGGTTGAAATTATATTCTTTATTCCTTAGTTATGTATTTAGACAGTTCTAATGAAATTCAAAGTGAAGACAAATATTTTTCCAATATTGAACTCACTGCATGATGATTTTTTTTTTTGTATTTTGTTAGTGATTTCTTTAGAGACCTTTAGTTTGTTTTGTTTCTTTCCAGAGAAAGAATTCCAAATTTTCCTATCCTCAACCTGTTGTTTTACTCTGCAGATTCATATGTCATGCATTAAAGATGCATGCTTTCATTTTTGCATCATGCAATTTAAAACTACTTCCATTTTTACATTCTAATTTTAAAACTTGTGGTAGAGTCCTTTTCTTAATATTTGTGTCGTGATTCTTGAAACAATCATTATGCAGTTCTCACTAGAACTGAGAGTAAGAACGTTATTACTCTTTGTTAGGATTATGACATTTATTTCAAAAACAAGGAAAGTAAATGACAATGTATAAATCAATTTGAATGTCAAGTTACAATTTTCTAATTAGATTAGCTCAAGATTCTATTTTTTGTGTATTATAGTTTAAGGAAAGTGGTCAACTGAATTAAAAACTTTTTTCACATTAGGGCAACAAAATTTTACCTTTAAATAAATCAGCTGTATGACTTCCATGACAATATAACTTAAATCCAAAGGTCAATTGAGAATGGGCACATGCAGGAAAAAGTAACTAAGCCGTCTAAATTTTGTATTCTGATTCATTCTATCCATATAATTTTTTATTTATAATGCGACTGTATTTGAAGACAGTCTGAAGAACTTAATTTGAACTGTCTTGTTAGATCTGTTTTATTCTTACAAGTCTTAATATGCTGAATAAAATTGGCAGCCATTCAATGTAGACCTAAAGCATATAGCTTGATTATTAAGATTTGGAGTTAGCATTTTAGCACAATTTATCAAATTTCCAATTATTTACTTTTCCCTTGAAAATATTTAGCACAGCAGAATATAGTTGCCGCAAAAGACACCAGCCATTAAATATGCCAGTATGCTGTTTTCGTCCTTTCTACCTTCATGTCTGACTTTGGATGAAACCTATCAGTTATCTGTATTATTACAAAAGAAGATCTTTATTAAGCTTCTTGGAGCTATGCCAGAAATTATCCACCAGTATCTGCATAAACTAGTCTCTGAATAATAACAGTTTTGCATAGATACAGGCTCTTAATAAATTTTTGTAGGATCATTAAGTATAGGGTTGACATAGGAGCGTAAATTTCTTAATTAGGTAAAAGAACGAACAGTGAAAGTTAAATATACATCATAGAGAAGATTAAAGATAAATGTAGTTTAAAGATTAGAAGAAAACTAAATAATTATTTGTTGAGCACTTGAAAAAAATCATGAAAGACAAAGTAGAGTGCTCTCATTCTACTTTGGTTTTTGCACATTTTAATTTTCTTATCTAACTAGAAATATAACTCACTTAAAAGCAGTCTAGAAAGTAAATCAAACATTTATTATATCTTCAGTGTGTCCCAGATACTGAAATGGGTTTCATATGCTGCTTAATTTCATCATTAAAACTATCTACGAATTAACTATTATTACCATCAACATATACATATGATAAAGAGATGTTCAGATCATTTAACTGACTTGCCTTAATTTGAAAATCTTGTAGGAAACGAAGTGAGAATTTAAGCCCAGACCTAGGGATGATGTTCAACTGATACACATGGCCATGATTGTTGTTAAATATTTTGAATATCAGCACTGCCTAAGCCAGTCTAATTCTGAAGTTTATATTTTTTTCATTGTTTCATGCCTTATAAATATTCAGTGCTTCTCTTTGACGAGTGTTCATTTAGATGCTAGGGATAAAGCAATTAATAAGATAGATATGAGCCTTGTCCTAAGTGGACTTGTCTTGTAGAGGATGTCACTACATAAACTATAATACAATGTGTTAAGTGGTATGCAGAGGGAGTGGAGATTGCTGAGGCATATAATAGGGATACTGACTCCTACTTATTATCTTTCTGATTAACTTAGACATCACTTCTCCCAGGTAGCTGGACACTGCCTGAAAATATCAGGTGTGCCTTATGTGCTTCCATAGTATTCTATATTTGGCCCATAATAGTACTTATCATCACTTGTGGAGAGGGGTCTTGTATTTACCTTTTCATTTTATACCTGGTTCATAGCAAACCCTCAAGAAAAAGTTCTAGAACAAAGAAAATAGAATCAAGGTCTGAGACTGCAGCAAATCAGTGACAGAGTAGTTTTAAATAAGCTTTTATGTATTTGGATGAGAAGTGATGGAGATATCCTTGTAAAGCCAGAGGAAAATTTATCTTTTGAGAATGAGGAATATGGTCTAGAATGAAAAAGATTTAGAATAATCACTGAGGGGATGCAAGAGGAAAAAGAGAAATAATACATTAAAAAGACAGCCTTAAACAAGTGCTATAGAATGAGGGTAAAATTGCTGAGGTTAAAACAAAAAACAGCAAAAAATGCCCTTAAGAATGTTACTGTGAATTCTTTCCTGAATATCAACAAGTAGAAAGTTTGTCTGTGTGTTTTTCTGAAATCTACCTTTATAAAATAAATATCTTCTGCATTAAAATGGGTCATTGAAACAAAAGTTTAGAAGGAAAATACCTCTCTGTTCTATTTCCAAAACATTTTTTTTTTACACTGGATGTATTAACACCAGTCATTATTTGAGCAAAATTAAGGAACTTAGGACATACAAGGAAATGATTGTACTCTTTAAATGGGTGACTTTTGTGAAATGTGAATTATATCTCACAATAAAGTTGTTAAATAAAAAAAAATGAGAACCTTTTCCATAGCAAAACTAGAGAATAGAAAAACGTGACCATTTGTAGCTCAAGTAACATATCAAGAAGTTTCTTAGAAGGTGGCTTTCTGTTTTGGGGGTCAAAGGGACAGGTGAATTATAATGGAGTAGACCTAATCTTGGAACAAAAACATTAAGTAAGTCAAGTTTATTTTTATTTTTAATGTTTAATTTTTTTATTTTTATTTTTTTAGTTTATGTATTTTTGAGATGGAGTCTAGCTCTGTCGCTCAGGCTGGAGTGCAGTGGCGTCATCTCGGCTCACTGCAAGCTCCTCCTCCCGGGTTCACACTGTTCTCCTGCCTCAGCCTCCCGAGTAGCTGGGACTACAGGTGCCCACCACCATGCCTGGCTAATTTTTTGTATTTTTTTAGTAGACACGGGGTTTCACCATGTTAGCCAGGATGGTCTCGATCTCCTGACCTCATGATCCGCCCACCTTGGCCTCCCAAAGTGCTGGGATTACAGGCATGAGCCACCACGCCCGGCCAGTTTATTTTTTTTTATGCTGGACTCCTTCCCCTCACCACCCGTATAAATGTATGTCATAACTTGCTCTGACCCCACAACATTTTCCAGCTTGCTCTTTTCTTTGCATTTCCTCACTTCCACAGAAACGTGCAAACAAACAAACAGAAACAACTACTCAAAGAATCACCTGAATTTGTTTTATCCATTTCCTTGCTTTATCATTATGCTTTAGCATGCTCCAATGAGAATTTCATCTTTACTATAAACCTGCCATTGCTCTTGTCATGTCGTCAATGATTTCCATGTTGAAATTCAATGGCAACTTCTCTGTCTTCATTCCTGAAAATTCTAAGTAATGTCCAACACAATCAACCATTTAGTTTTTCTGGAAACATGAATGTCACTAACTTTTATCTGATTATTTAGGTTGAAATCTTAGTAGTCAAACTTGATTAATCTCTTTCCATTTTTCCCTACATGGAATATGTCAGTGAGTCCTGCATATTTGACCTCTGAAACATATGCAGAATGAGTCCACTTTTTTCAAAGCTCTGTTCCCACCCAAGGCCAAAACATTATCTTTTTCCACAAGTCTATTCTCTACCTAATAATGTGCTATGTTTAAAATATATATACTTTGTTGAACTTTACCAAATATATATATATTTGGTATATATATATATATATATATATATATATATATATATTTGGTATATATATATATATATATATTTGGTATATATATATATATATATATTTGGTATATATATATATATATATTTGGTGTATATATATATATATATATATATATATATACAGAAAAGTAAAACAATTATTAATTTAAGTCTTTACTGAATTCTCTTGAAAGGATGGCAGATGGGGAAGTACTTCATTTAATAGAAAATAAAATTCCTTACTCATTTGTCCTCCTCAAAGTTCCAAACTATGCAGGAATTGCTTGCCTCCCTAAAAACTTCACCAGTAGCCTATTGTTGACTGAAACCCTTAACAATAACATAAACAGTTAATTAACACATACTTTGTATGTTATATCTGTTGTATACTGTATTCTTACAATAAACCTAGAAAAAAGAAAATGTTACCAAGAAAATCATAAGAGAAAATATATTTACTATTTATTAAGTGGAACTGGATCATCATGAAGGTCTTCGTCCTTACTGTCTTTATGTTGAGTAGGCTGAGGGTTGGTTTTGCTGTTTCAGGGATGATGAAGGTGGAAGAAAGTCTGCATGTAAGTGGACCCATGCAGTTCAAACCTATGTTATTCAAGGGTCAACTGCGTATGTGAATGTTAGAACACCACCAGCCTGGGTGACACAGTGAGACTATGTCTTTACTAAAAATAAAATAAATTAGATGAGCATGGTGGCACACGGCTGTACTCCTAGCTAGTCAGGAGGCTGAGTGGGAGGATTGCATGAGTCCAGGAGTTCGAGGCTGCAGTGAGCTATGATCCCACCACTGCACCCAGGCCTGGGCAACAGAGAGAACCCTTATCTCAAAAACAAAATTTTGGAACAATAAAGTGGCTGTATTAATTTGCTAGGACTTCTGTAACAAAGTACAACAGATTGGCTGGCTTAAAGAACAGAAATTTGGCCAGGCGTGGTGGTTCACACCTCTAATCCCAGCAATAGGAGGCCAAGGTGGGCGGATCACCTGAGGTCAGGAGTTCGAGACCATCCAGACCAACATGGAGAAGCCCCATCTCTACTAAAAATACAAAATTAGCTGGGTGTGTTGGTGCATGCCTGTAATCCCATCTACTCGGGAGGCTGAGGCGGGAGAATCGCTTGAACCTGGGAGGTGGAGGTTGCAGTGAGCTGAGATTGCACTAGTGCATTCCAGCCTGGGCAAGAAGAGTCAAACTGCATCTCAAAAAAAAAAAAAAAAAAAGAGAAATTTATTTTCTCACAATTCTGGAAGCTAGAAGCCTGAGATCAAGTCTGAGATCAACCCTGTTGACAGGATGGGTCCCTTCTGAGAGCTATGAGGGAAGGATCTGTTTCAGACCTCTCTTTTTGGCTTGTAGATGGCCATCTTCTCCCTGTCCTCACATAGTCTTTCCTCTGTATGTGTCTGTGTCCAAATTTCCTCTTCTTCCAAGGACACTAGACATATTGGATTAAGGCTCACCCTAATTACCTCATTAAATTTAATTACCTCTTTAAAGACCCTAACTCCAAGTAGAGTAATATTCTGAGTTACTGGAGATTAGAACTTTAACATGTGAATTTTTTTGGAGAGGAGGGCAAACAATTCAGCTGATAATAGTGGTTTTCTTGCTTTTGTTTTGAATACTTACTATTGTGCCAAAGACAATTTATAGAATCCTTTTATTGGTTATTTTCTCCATTTTCACAAACTCTAAAGCTTAATCTAGTTTAATAAAAGAGAAAAAAGGTACATATAATATTTAAGATACTGAGTCTTTGATAGGAAAGCTGGATCCTTCTGTAAAGTGCCCTTAAGTCTTTCAAAATCCTGTCCTAATGAGTAAAATTAAGGAAATTTCAGGGTACATAGATATTATATTAATTGTATGGTAAAACAAATGTTAGTTTCAGTCTTTCCACATTAAGAAGTAATAGTTGAAGCATTTTCAACGATGACGGGCTATACTTGTTTTGCCTCATAATAATAAATTTATAATAATGAAATCACATGGAATTGACACTAGCAGTATTTGTTAACAATTCTGAATTAAGGTTTTGCCAAGGTTTTGATCACTCAACCCTGTACTATTGAAATATTAATCAGGGCAGACTTAGCTTTCTAGTGCAAATACCTTGAAGGAGAGGGTAATTCCTAAATATACAGAGGTAACTTGACTGTCTATGTTGCATCCTGTGTCATCTCCCCAATATTAATACTCAATAAGGTGTTTAATTTATATAAGACATCTAAAGCAGAACCACAGTTCCTTTTGGGAAAATGGCAAATGTTTAGGATGAAAGAACCTATGCAAATAGTACCAAAGCATTACCACATAGTAGCTAATACACTCTATTAAATGTTACATATTGGAAAAATAAAACATGCAAGTCTTAAATATGACACAAAGCAAAGGTTAATGCTTCTTGGATTACATTTCTTGTTATCCGTGGGCTTATCATGGATATAAATAGTTAACTATTTTATTTGTATTATGTGACTGACAATGTCACTGAAAACCTGCACAATGCAGTTTTAGCTATGGATTCAATTAGCCTTTATGAAGGTTTTACCTGTGTAAAATGGGCATTTGGTGTGTTTAACCTATTAGGGTATATTTTTTTTTCTACTTTATAAGTAAAAAAAAAAATCTAGAAGATAAGAGGTGTGTGTTAAAGCTGAGTGGGCTGGATTTTGGGTGGCCTTTTTAAGTCAAGACATTCTAAATATTGGGATGTTAGGTGATTAATGAATTCTGAACGTGGACCTCTTCAATTCTAAAATTTTCATTAAAAGCCTCCCTCACATGAACCTAAACCAAAGTACTCTTTTTGCCACTTTTCTGAAAGTTCAGGGGAAAAAAGTCAGTTCACACTTTTTATAATGAATGAAGAACATTTGCCTATTTTATAAAAATGTGACTCAATGCTTACTTTTAAAACTGGATTTTTAAAAAATTGGATGGTATGGGTACCCTGTAATTTTATAATTATTCATCTAAACTTAAAATTTAATATTTCTTCCTTTTAGAAAAAATCAATATGCTCCATACCACCATATACACAGACCATGTAGTGAATTTCCTGGGCTCTCCCACAGCTTTAGAGGTATATTACTAGAGCCCTAGCCATTATCATTTTCCTCCATATTTTAAATTTGGGTAATACATTTCTGCTGGTATTAATAGTAGAATATACTATAATGTGGATTATCTCTACTTCTGTGTTTATTTATTTGTTACTAGACCCAACCACAGTCTTCTTTCCTTGCTTTCATCTTTCTCTACCCATGGAATATGTTATATGTATTTATACACTTTGTATTAATATGTTAGAAATCACAAATCTGTTTTGTACTTTTTATGTTATTAAATACTGCTTGTCAAACTTTTGCTTTTATACTAAATAAAATTAGTCTTACTAGAAAATTTTTTAAAAATATTCTAAAAACAAGAAAAGCAACCTTACGGCTTCCCTGCTTTCCTGAAGCTTTTCTACTGAGTACATTCACTTCAGACTATGTATTCTGGGTATTAATTCATGTGTCTGTATACTGAAAATATTTCATTCTGGTTACTTGCCTTTCAATTTACTTTATGGTTTTAATTTTTCAGTGTACCTTTAGTTACACAGAAGATTTAATCTTGACACATTCAAGTTGACCAATCTTTCTTTCTTTTTTTTTTTTTTTTGAGACGGTGTCTCACTCTGTCACCCAGGCTGGAGTGCAGTGGGACCATGTTGGCTCACTGCAACCTCCATCTCCTGGGTTCAAGCAATTCTTCCGCCTCAGCCTCCTGAGTAAGCTGGGATTACAGGCACCCATTTCCACGGCCGGCTAATTTTTTTATATTTTTAGTAGAGACGGGGTTTTACCATGTTGGCCAGGCTGGTCTCGAACTCCTGACCTCAAGTGATCCACCCGCCTTGGCCTCCCAAAGTGTTGGGATTACAGGCGTGAGCCACCGTGCCCGGCCAGCCAATCTTTCTTTTATGACTTTTGTGTTTTACATACATTTCTACTTCAATATTATACATATTTTATACTGTTTTGTCAGTCTAGAATTTATGTTTATAAGTGGTGCTAGGTTAAGATTAAACTTTATTTTTTATTGTAAGAATCACAAATAGATGTTGAATTTCTCATGCTTTTGGGGGACATATTAAGATGATCATATGGTTTTCCTTCTTTAATCCATAATGTGGCATGTCGTGAAAACAAGACAAGTAGTCAAGACCTGCACATATCAGACCTGTTGAAACAGTATTTAATTTACTGGAGAAAGCTCAAAGGGACAGGGGTCAATAGCTCAAAGTGTGAGTCTCTGTGACACCATCCCACTCTGAAGCAGACAGTGCATAGCAATTTTTAAAGGCCATATGAGAAGTTCCATTAGAGGGATCTTGACTGTTGGCCTGTATAGCTTTTAATTAATAATTAGAGAAATACCACCTCATCCCCTGGCATGATCAGGTGCCAGAATACAGTATGATGTGGAAGAACTTTTATTCCAGCACTATTCTGAAAGCATGGATATTCAAGGTTGACGAGATGTCCCAGCCCAACTGCATCCAGGCCTTATGGTTACAGCTTTAAGATAGTGCAAGATAAGAGTAGGATTGACCATATCAGTACACATGATTAGACTAGCACCAGCTCCTTCTCTGGCATGATAAGGGTTGAAGGTGACAGTGGCATCCAAACATTGTGGTTGACCAAAATTGATTGCTGTAGGCTCTGGGCCATAGTTAGTTTCTATGGAGCTTTGTAGGACATCATATCTTTGGGAGGCTAGCCTGCAGGGGACCATTCTTGGATTAATTGATTCTTACTCTTATTACCTATTTGGCCATGGTGAATTTTTTCTCTTAATATTCTAACAGATTTGATTTACTGTTTTAGTTAGGATTTTAAAAATCTACTTTCCTAAGTGAGATTAACGTAACCTTTTATTTTCTTGTTTCTTACACTCTCTTTATCTGGCTTTTAAGCTTTTTTTTTTTTGAGTTAAATATATACATTGTATCCTTTAGCAACTTTAAAATTTTTGTTTCTATAGTTATATTTCTCATACAATTTATTTGTTTTCTCTTTTTGAAGAACCAGCTTTTGCTTTTGTTGATTGTTATAAACTGAATGTTTGAGTCTCCCCTAAATACAAATGTTGAAACTCTGACCTCCAGTATGGCTAAATTTGGGGTGGAACTCCTAAGAAAGTAATTAGGAATAAACGCGTTCATAAAGGTGGTATCCTGATCTGGGAGGATTAATGCCCTTATAAGAAAAGACACCAGAAAACTCACTTCCTCTTTTCTTGCATACACGCCAAAGAAAAGCCATGTGAGGATCCAGCAACGAGGCATCAGTCCGCAAGCCAGAAAGAGAGCCCTCACCAGAAACAAAATCAGCCAGAACCTTTACCTTGAACTTCTAGTTTCTAGAACTCTAAGAAAATTAATAAGTTGTTTAAGTTATCCAGTCTGTGATATTTTGTTATTCCTCCCCAAGCAGACTAATAGATTCATTGTGTTTGTTTTTTCCTTGCTTTTTAGTTTATTCATTTCTCTTATACATCATTTTGTAAAGTTCAAGGTGCATCCTATGAAAAATTATTAGCTAAAGTTTGCCTCACATTAATATTTATTTTTTATTATTTTGATAGCCTATCCATTTAAACAATTTTGATGGTCAAATTTAAAATATCTGTGATATTGTATTGATTCTTTTAAAAATAAATAGCCTTTTATATTTCTATTTTTATGAGTTAAGGTTATATGATTATAGATATTCTAAAATGCTCTACTGTTTATTAAGCCTATGTTTTATAGGATACCTGTTTTCTCTTGTTGGATTTGTTTCTTCTCTTTTATTGTTGGCTCTTCTCTTTGATTTTTGTGATTGGGTGATCAACTGTATTTTAGATTCATTGTTAGTCTGTTTATGAGTTCTCTGCTTACTTTAGTTTTTCTCCAAAAAGGAGAAGGAGAATTGGTGGGGCAGACTCCTGGATAGGGTGAGCCAATAGCTTCTTCTGAGCAGTAAAAACTTCCTGTTCCTCCTGAATATCAGTAGACTACCGAAGGTCCTGTTTTCCCCCTTCCGCCCAGCATCAGCTCTCTCTGCTTTACCTGGCAACAGGCATCTCTGTTGCTTTTTCTTGGCCAAAGAGAGATTACCCTATATGCTGTTACTTCAATACTCAAACCAATCACTCTTGGTTTTCCCAGATCCCTCCAATATTCACTATCTGTCACTTGTAGGCTTAGCAAACCCTTGGACCACCTCTCATCTTTGTAGGCGTTTTCTTCTGTGCATGTTCTGCACATGGTTTTCTTCTCTTTGTTCCCATCTGTCTTCTTTCATGGAAGGATTCCCCATCATTTCTACAGATCTGAGGGTACTATTTTTTTAAAAAATTATATATTTTAGAAGATATGAAAATTTACTCTTCTGTAATTTCCTGGCACTTGAAGTGAGATGCGAAGGCTCTGGCAAGTATTTAGTCATCTGTCTTAAACCAGTCTCCAAGACAGTTACACTTTAAAAATTGTTTTATTTTCATATAATTTCAGAGTTACAGAAAAGCTGCAAAAATAGTAGAAAGACTTCTCAGTTACTCTACATCCAGTTTTTTCAAATATTAACATTTTATTAGATTTGCTTTATTTATCTTTATGTTTTTGTGTACATCTATCTACTCTATCTGAATCATTTAAGAGGAATAATTTAAGAATAAGTTGCAGTGATATCATAAAAAATGGCAGAATAGGAAACTCAAAATAAAAGCTGTCTGCCCACTATAACAATGATTAAACTGGCAAAATCTTTCAGAATTGACTTTTTTGGCGCTCTGGAATGTAATTTTAGAATCTAACCAAAAACTTAGTAACACCCAGAAGAGTGTGCAATAAAGAAGGAAGCTGCTAGATTTCAGTAAGAGAGTTTTATGGCATTTTCACTTACCTTCTTCATTAGTCAGGGTTCTACAGAGAAACAGAATCAAGAAAATGTGTATGTATAGAGAGAGATTTATTTCAAGCAATTGGCTCATGTGATTGTAGAGGCTTGGCAAATCCAAAATATGGTGGGGTAGGTTAGCAGGCTGGAGACAGAAAAGAGTGGCAGTTTGAGCCGAAAGGTAATCAGTCTAATGGTATAATTCCTTCTTGCTTGGGGCAGGTCAGTCTTTCTTTTATTAAGGTCTTCAACTGAATGGATGACGCCCACCTACATTGTGGAAGACAACCTGCTTGACTCAGAGTTCACTGATTTTAGTGCTAATCTCGTCCAAAAACACCTTCACAGAAATATCCAGAATAACATTTGACCAAATATCTGGGCTCTGTGGCCTAGCCAAATTGACACATAAAATTAGCTATCACAAGTCCCCCCCTTGTCAACCTGACACCCATACACATCTCCTTAAACAATACTTAATCTGCCACTAAAGACTCTAACAAGATCGTACTTTTGCCTAATATGATACAACTATGTTGCATACAACTGAAAACACACTAATCCTTTTTCCAGAAGAGGTTGCAAAGTCCATGTGTGATGTTTTCCCTTTTCCTAGATATCCTGTAACACAAATACTTTGATGTAAAGTTAATAGTACTTAAATACTATGACATAAAGTCAGTATATCTTATATTACAAGATAATGGGATATTAGGGGAAGAAAACAAAGATATTTGGCTTATACTCACATATATTCATAATAAAATAAGGAAGAACTACTCATGACAATTAAAATTCTCATTTCTGTAACTGGTCATGTAGTCATAACTGGCACCTTCTGCCCCTACCTATTTTGTATTTTCTTTGCACCTTCAGCCAGCATCTCAGCTGATAACCCAGTCCTTCATTCTTGAGTGATGTGGGCCATTAAGTACTCCTGCCTGTTTTGGGTTATTATAATTTTCTCTTAACTTTAGTCACAGTACGTGGTAATACTGAGATGCCCTAAAGGATTTCTCTTGTATTGCAGACATACTGTTTCTCTTCCATTGTGAAGCAGTATCCCAGTTTCTTTTTGGAAGTCAGGATCAATCAACTGATCCATCACAGCTCCCTTCTTTGTTGATTTAGATCAATAAGGAGCCCCTCAGCCTAAACTTCCAGTTCAATGGAATCATTGTTGTGTCTCCTAGTGGAAGCATTTTTCCCTCTGGAACTAAGACCTCTAGGCCGACAGAGCATGGCATCTTGGGAACAGGAAGCAAAAATGTTACTAGTGGGCCACTAGGGGTAATAGTGAGTAGTGATACTCCCATTGCCACCCCTTGATTCATGGATACAAGATATAAGGGTCCCCTTCAGGGCAGACCTAGAAGCTTTCAGATCACTGATGGAGAACTTGAGCTAGAAATTTGAGTCCCTGAGCTCATCCTTTTTCTTTTTTTTCCATCACTTTGTCCAATAACATGAGGAAGAACCATCCAATCTCATTATACTCATTAGTTTGACAAAAATGTTTGAAGATACTATATGCATGGTTGCCCAGATCTTGGCTTTTATAAGTGCTTAATTAGGAGCATCCATTGGTGATATTTTGCTTACCTCTATTGCCATATCATGCCATGGACTAAAATTGCTCTCTTTAGTAATGGAAATGGAGTTATTAGTGTCTTTAAATCTAATCAGAGACCAATTACAGAATTCCCAGAACCAATTTAGGAAACGCATCCTTAAGATTTTGTTCTTTTAGAACAATTCCCAGTACCAGAATCTGTCTTAGAGTTCTTCAGAGAAACAGAACCAATAGGACATGATATATTTATAAAGAGAGATTTAAGGATACATCTCATGCAATTGTGGATACTTGGCAAGTCCAGTTTCTGATGGGGGAGGCCAGTGGGCTGGAGACTCAGGGAAGAGTTGCAGTTTGAGTCTAAAGTCAGTCTTCTGGTAAAATTCCTTCTTACTCAAGGGATGTCAGTGTTTTTGTAATTAAGGCCTTCAACCGACTGAATGAGAACCACCCACATTATGGAAGTTAATCTGCTTTACTCAAAGTTCATCAATTTTAGTGTTAATCTTATCTGAAAACACCTTCACAGGAATATCCAGAATAATGTTTGGTCAAATACCTAGGCACCATGGCCCAGCCAAGCTGACACATAAAATTAACCTTTTTTGACATCCTCCATTTCCCAGTTTACAGATGGCCATGGGAATGTCAGCCCACATTCTTGATGTGAGTTGCTAGTGCCAGAGAGGGCAACACAACAAAGAATATCATCTTCACAGAGTAAAAGTGCGGATGTGATCCCTCTTACTACTTCATGGTGTATTTCAAAAAACAAAGAATTATTTTTATTATTACTTAACCATAATGTAGTTATCAAAATCAGCATCTTAACATTGATGAAATACTATTACCATATGAGTATGTCTTAAAAGTACTTATTACAAATTCCAAAATTTCCTACCCAAAGTTTTTACCAAATTTATGCTTTTGTCAGTGATATATCAGAATTTCAAATAATTCTTTATTATTTTAAAAATGTGGGTATTATATAGTTTTAAATTTGCTAGATTGATGTATAACTTCTTCAGATTCATCCCAGTAGAACGCCTGCCTCTTTAGTGACTACAGACCTCACTTCCCTTCTCTGGAGTTTTGGAGTCTATTTTCTTCATGGAATTTTGCTAGGAACAAAAGAAAAGTCTAACTCCGTAAGTACTTGAGAAACTCCAAAATGTTTTTCTCTAGTACATAAGCATTTTTATTCCCATCACTGTTCTCTATTGCATATATGCAATTTTAAAATGTAAAAAAATTCACCTGTATAACTTCTCTATGAAATAATAATTTTTCAGATAAAATTAAAATACTAGGAGGTTAAATGACTTTCCCAAAGTTAGCCACAAATTAGAAGGTTGTGGAATCTTCTTACACTTTCTGACTTTGAAGTGGATAACATCATTTTGGGTTGGTTAGGTGGAAGAACAGTGAAACACTCTATCAACATTTGCCAAAGGGAATTCATATCTGCTGTCTTTTGTTTTAAAGACAGTGATAAAGGCATCTTTCATGAGAGATGAGAGGTACCAGGCTAGACTAGGGCCCCAGATAGGGATTGAAGGTGATGAAGTGTCCTGGATGTTAATGATTGACAAGAAGCACAACTTTTAGACTAAAATTATTTTCAAGTTAAGGGAGATTACATAAGAATTGGAGATAGAATAAACTTGAAGCCCAGCACATACTGCAAAGTAGATAAGGTTTTTAGCAAGTCTTCAGAACTAACAAGACTTAATGACACAGTTGTGATCAAAGGGTGACTGATGAAATTTGTAGTCTGATACATGGTTAAAAAGAACATAGAAGAGGATATAGCAGGCAGTCATGCCAGCAATATGGAGCACTACATGATTCCAGCCTTCAGTTCCATCAGTCCCCTCTCCCTGCCACACACACACACACACACACACATGCACACACACACACACACACAAAGCCAATGAGACAGCCACCCATGAATGAAAATAGCCCTGGGAGGGCTCAGGAGTCCAATTAACAACATCCAGCAATGCAGTGGAACAAATAATAGACAATATTCTGAAAGAATAATTGCAGAAATGGGCATACCTGAAATGCCTGGAGATGGCTAGGGATACAAAAGAAGGGCAGGGGCTACTAGTATCAGCAGTGTGGCTTATGCTACCACATGGCAGCCCCTGTGGAAGCCATGGACACCTTGCAGTTTTCACGGAATCCTCTTAGTGTTTGTCAGCATGACCTCTAATGCTCTGCTCCACAGAGGATACTGACAGCTTTCACAACTGAGGTAACCAATAACATTGCCACTGCAGACACCCAGAGAGGGAAATGCTTTTGGGTCCCTCACCCTCATCCCCTAAGAAGGAGCCACTATTTTGCCACCCCAGGACCAGGCCACCACCCACCCAACCCAGTGCATGCCCCAGCCCCTAGAGAAAGACAGGAAGAAAGGAGCAAAGGACCCACAAAACAGCCAGAAAAAATTTAACAAAATGGCAATAGTAAGTCCTTACTTACTGTTTGCTATTTACCCATCAATAATTACATTGAATGTCAGTGGATCAAATTCTCCAATTAAAAGACATAGAGTAGCTGGATGGATTTGTTTTAAAGAAAGATCTGATAATATGCTGCCCATGAGACTCACTTCAGCTTTAAGGACATATAGACTGAAAGTGTGGAAAAAGACATTTCATGCAAACAGAATCCAAAAGAGGCCAGGGCTACACATATTAGACAAAATAGACTTTAAGTCAAAAACTGTAAGATGAAACAAGGTCATTATATAATGATAAAAGAGTCAGTTCATCAAGAAGATATAACATCCATAAATATATATGCACCCAACATCATACTACCTAAATATATAAGGCAAATATTAATAGATCTGAAGGCAGAAATAGACAGGAATACAATAGTAGTAGGGAATTTCAGTACCCCACTTTCAACAAGGGAGAGATCATTCAGACAGAAATCCAATAAGGAAACACTGAACTTATACTACACTTTGGACCTAATGGACCTAACAGAAATGTAGAACATTCTATCCAACAGTAGCACAAAACACATATCCTTCTCACACATGCACAGAACATTCTCTAGAGTAGAGATAATATGTGAGGCCATAAAACGAGTCTTAACAAATTTAGGAAGATTGAAATCATATAATTTCTGACCACAATGGTATAAGATCAGGAACCAATAACAGGAAGAATATTATAAATTCACAAAATGTGGTAATTAAACAACATGTCCCTGCACAACCAATGGCTCACTGAAGAAATCAAAAGTGAAATGAAAAAAAAATATTTTGAGATAAAGAAAAAGATATCATACCAAAACTGATGGGCTGATACAAAAACAATACTAGGAGAGAAAAATTTATAGCAATAAATACATACATGAAGAAAAATGAAAGAGTTTAAATAAAGTTTACACCTCAAGGAACGAGGAGAAAACAAACAGCCCAAAGTTAGCATAAGGTGGGAAATAAAGATTAGTGCAGAAAAAAAAATAGAGATTAGAAATATACTAGAAAAGATCAAAGGAGAGAAGATCAAAGAAACTAAAACTGGTTTTTTGAAAGGATAAACAAAATTGACAAACCTGTAGCTCAACTAAGAAAAAGGAGAGAGAAGACTGAAATAAAATAAGAAATGAAAAAGGAGACATTACAACAGATACCATAGAAATACAAAGGATCATAAGAAACTACTATGAACAATTATATGACAACAAATTGGATAAGCTGGAAGAAGTGGATAAATTCCTAGAATTATGTAACCTACCAAGATGGAATCATGAAGAAATATAAAATCTGAAATAGGCTAATAATAAGTAAGGAGTTTGAATCAGTAATCAAAATTTCTCATCAAAGAGATGATAACTTCGCTGCTGAATACTACCAAATATTTAAAGATGAATTAATATCAATCCTTCTTAAATTCTTCCAATAAATTGAAAAGGAGGAAACACACTTCTAAACTCATATTACAACATTAGTGTCACCCTTATACCACAATCAGACAAGGACACTACAAGAAAAGAAAATTACAGGTCAATATCCCTGATGAACGTAGACGCAAAAATCCTCAACAAAATGCCATGAAACCAAATTAAACAGCACATTAAAAGGATCATACACTATGATCAAATGAAATTTATCTTTGGGATGCAAAGATGGTTCAACATATGCAAATGAATAAATGTTATATGCCACATTGACAGAATGAGGAACAAACATTATATGATCATCTCAATAGATGAAAAAAGCATTTGACAAAATTTAACATCAGTTTATGATAAAAACTCTTAACAAAATAGATATAGAAGGAATGCACTTCAACATCACAAAGGCTGTGTATCACAGTTGTATGGCTAACATCATACTCAGTGGGGAAAGGTCTAACGTTTTTCTCTAACAAGACAAGCATACCCACTCTCACTCTCACCACTTCTGTGCAACATACTAGAAGTTTTAGCCAGAGCAATTAGGCAACTAAAAGGAGTAAAAGATATCCAAATAAAAAAAGGAAGATGTAAAATTATCTCTGTTTCCAGAGGACATGACATTATGTATAGAAAACCCTAAAGACTCCATCATAAAACTGTTAGAACTAATAAATTTACAAAAGATACAGGTTATAAAATAAATATAAAAATTAGTTATGTTTTTGTACACTAACAAGAGCTATCAAAAAAGTTATTCAGAAGAAAATCCCATTTACAATAGCATCAAAAAGAGTAAGATCCTAGGAATAAACTTAACCATGGAGATGAGAGATCTGTACACTGAAAACTATAAAACATTGATGAAATAAATTGAAAAATAAACAAATGGGAAGATATTTCATATTTGTGGATTGGAGGAACTAATATTGTCAAAATATACTTATGATCCAAAACAATCTACAGATTCAATGCAATTTCTATCAAAATTCCAGTAGCATTTTTCACAGAAATAGACAGTAAAATCCTAAAACTCCTTTGGAACCATGAAAGACTCTAAATTTATAACAGAAGCAATCTTGATCAAGAAGAACAAAGCATCACACTTGCTGATTTGAAATTATATTACAAAGCTATAGTAAGCAAAACAGTATGGTGGCATCATAAAAATAGACATATAAGCAAGAGGAAGAGACCAGAAATAAACCCATGCATATACAACCAATGGATCTTTCACAAAGGCAGCAAGAATACACAATGGGGACAAGAATAGTGTCTTCAACAAATTGTCTTAAGAAAACTGGATATTCACATGCAAAAGAATTAAATTGGACCATTATCTTACATCATACACAAAAATCAACTCAAAATATATTAAAAAATGAGACATAAGACCTGAAACTATATAACTCCTGAGAGAAAATATAGGGGAAATCTTTATAACATTTGTCTTGGCAATAATTTCTTGGATGTGACACCAAGTGCACAGGCAATAGAAGCAAAAATAAAGTGGGACTACATCCAATTAAAGTGTATCTGCTCAGCAAAGGAAACAATCAACTGAGTGAAAAGGCAGCCTATGGAGTGGGAGAAAGTATTTGTAAGCCATACATCTGATAAGGGGTTAATATCCAAAATTTGTAAGGAATTCATACAATTCTGTAGCAAAATATCAGATAATTTGGTTAGAAAATGAGCCAACGACTTAAGTAGGCATTTCACCAAAGAAGACATATGAATGTCCCACATACATTGATGTTGAAAAGATGTTCAACATCAATAATCATCAGGGAAATGCAAATCAAAACCACAATGAGATAACTCTTCATACCTGCAAGGGTGGCTATTATCAAAAAAAGCAGAATGTGTTGGTGAGGATGTGGATTGGCATCCTTTTGCACTGTAATGTAAATGGGAATGTAAAATGGTACAACTGTTGTGGAAAACAGTATGGAGTTTCCCCAAAAAGTTAAAAATAAAACTACCATGTATTCCAGCAATCTTACTTCAAAGGTATTTATCCAAAAGAACTGAAAACAGGACCTGGAAGAGGTATTTCCAATCCCATGTTAACTGCGGTGGCATTCACATTAGCCAAGAAGTGGAAACAAACTAATGTCCATCAACAGACAAATGGATAAAGAAAATGTGGCTTTTACATACAATGGAATATTATTTAGCCTTAAAAAGGAGAAAATCTTGTCATTATGACAGCTGAGTAAGCCTGGGGTACATTATGCTAAGTGAAATAAGCCAGACACCAAAAGGCAAATACTGTACGATCCAATTATATTTAGAATTTGATAAAGTTGTACTGATGGAAACAAAGTAGAAGGGTGGTTACCGGAGGGCTTGGAGTGAAAAATAGGGAGATGTTGATCAAAGAGTACAAACTTGCACTTATAAAATCCTTAAGTTATAGAGACCTAATGTACAGCATAGTGACTATATTTAATAATATATACTTAAAATTCGCTAAAATATTAGGTCTTAATTTTTCTTTTCAGAAAAAATAATAGATAACTATGAAAGGTGATTGGTTTATTAACTTGATTGTGGTAAGTATTTTGCAATGTATCTATGTCAAAACATCATGTTATATACCTTGGTATATACAGTTTTTGTCAATTATACATCAATGAAGCTGGTAGAAAGGGCAAAGGAGCTGATAATGCAGCAGGGTCAGTAGAGAGTTTTTGAGGAAAATTGGAAAAGCCAGAATGGATAAATCATGAAACATTAGAACACAACAAATTTCAGAGATCATCTAGCCCTATTCTCTAATTACAGATAAGAACACAGAGGTCCTCTAGAGATTATACAGCTAGAAAGTTGAATAACCAGTATGAAAAATTATACTTCATACTGGTTATTCAACTTCAATTCTTGATATTTTTCTGCTGTCTCTAAAATATTACAAAAATTTAATCCATATCGTTAGAATTATTTTATTAATCACTTCAAGTTCTTTCTGGAGGTAGGCAGGACACAAATAAGTAATATTCTTTTAATCCTGTTAATACTTTAAAAATGGCATTATGTGAACATTTCATTTTTAAAATGAAGGTTTGACTGAAAACACATTATATGTTCAGTATTGCAGTCTTATAAGCATTGTTTACAAGTGAGATATTATCTAGAAAGTGAAAACGATGAAAATTAAAATTATAATATCAAAATTCTCCAACTCTGAAGACAGTGGTGATACAGATACTGTTGTTTTTCTCAAACCCAGGAGAGTTGCATAATCTGTGATAGCCTGCAGCTAAAAATGGATATATATCTTCCTATAACCAAAGTATTGTAGAGCGAAAGTATGACAACTTTGGAAGAACAATCATTTTTCTCATTCACATGCAAACAATAAAACCAATTTCTATCATAAGTAGCCGTTTATCTTCATTACTATTCCATATGTATTTATTCATACTGTTTCATTAAATTCTAGTATTGGGCTGGGTGCAGTGGCTCACACCTGTAATCCCAGCACTTTTGGAGGCTGAGGTGGATGGATTGCTTGAAGCCAGGAGTTTGAGACCAGCCTGGCCAACATGGCAAAACTCCGTCTCTATTAAAAATACAAAAATTAGCTGGGCGTGGTGGCACATGCCTGTAATCCCAGCTTCTTGGGAGGCTGAGGCATGAGAATCATTTGAACCTGAGAAGCAGAGGTTGCAGTGAGACAAGATCACATCACTGCACTCTGGCCTGGGTGACAAAACCATACTCTGTCTCAAAAAAAAAAAAAATCTGGTATTATTCAAAACTCCTTGCATGTGTTGTGATTTTACCTTTTTGGGTACATCAGTCACAAAATAGATATACATTGTAATAAAAATGGATGCTTCATAAGAATTTATATTGGCTATACTCCATCTTAAATACCTTTGTTTTAATGAACGCAAAAACTATGTAATATTTTAATTCAGGAAGAATTGATCTTATTTTTTAATTTTTTCAAATTCTGCTATAACATTTAAAAATAACATGTATGGGCTGGGCGCGGTGGCTCATGCCTCTAATCCCAGCTCTTTGGGAGGCCAAGGCAGGTGGATCATTTGAGGTCAGGAGTTTGAGACCAGCCTAGCCAACATGGCGAGACCCTGTCTCTACTAAAAATCCAAAACTTAACTGGGCTTGGTGGCAAGCACCTGTAGTCTCAGCTACTTGGGAGGCTGAGGCAGGAGAATCACTTGAAGCCAAGAGGCAGAGGTTTCGGTGAGCCAAGATAGCATCACTGCACTCCAGCCTGGGTGACAGAATGAGACTTTATCTCAAAAATAAATATATAATTAAATAAAAATAACATGTATGTAATACAGAAATCTTTGTAGAATTTATGTAAAATCAACACAGACTTTTCTTACTTTTTATTTAGCTTATGAATGTCACTTAAAGCTATACATACCTATAATAATCGTACTGTTATTAAGTTGCTTAGAACTATTTATTAGGACTCTACAGGCCTTGGTGTTCTCTTTAATAAATTCAGGTGAACTAGTAATGCTTATTTCTGCATCATTTCTGTTGTTCTAATGAAGTTCTCATTATGTTTTGTATGCACAGTTTAGTAGCTTTCTTAGTAGGTAATTATTCTGTTTCTGTTTTCTCTGCATCTCTTCCAAAACACAAATTAAATGTAAGACATTGTCAGTCTGGCTGCTATAACAAATTACCGTAGACTGGGTGGCTTCAACAACAAACATGTATTTCTCACAGTTCTGGAGGCTAAAAAGTCCAAGATCAAGGTGACAGCAGGTCCTATATCTGATGGGGGACTGCTTCCTGGTTTTCAGATGGCTATCTTCTCACTGTATCCTCACATGGTGAAGAGTCGAGGTAAAAAGAGCAAACTCTGTGCTATTTCTTATTGTAAGGACATTAATCCCATAATGAGGGCTGTCCTCTAATGACCTAATTACCTCCCAAAGTCCCCATCCTCAAATATAATCATCTTGGGGGTGGGACACAACACTTTCTTAATTCCTAGAATTTTTACTTTATAGTTATTTAAAAAGTTATTTTGGATGGTGGACGGGAGGCAGGACTAGATTGCAGCTTCAACTCGGATGGATAGAACAGTGTGCGGAGGCTCACATCATGAATTTTTGATCCAGAACGACTGCAGGAATAAATCAAGAAACCTGAGAGGATCCACAGACCCTCTGAAGGAACCAGATTGCTCCTGCAAGACCTGGAAGACACCCCAAATACTGTGGGTGTCCAAACTGTGGAAGTGGGAAAGGGAAATTGTCTGCCCCCAAATACACACCCCCATGGAGGAAACTGAAGATCTAGATTACGGGAGGAGATGCCGTCCTTACCTGGAGCTGAGTCCATTTATAGAGCCGAGTGAAATACAGGGGTAGCGGAAGCAGCAGGAAAAGACCTGTGAGCTCGCTGGGTCCCCTAGAAAGCCATATCTGCCTGGCCTCACAGGAGTCCTTCAGGAGGGTGGCCAGAAGCACTGAGAAAAGGCCACAGGGAGAAGGAAATATCCAGCTGAACTCTGTAACCATTTGAACTGATCGAGAGGCCTCCTTGCCAGAACTCAGAGGAGGGCATGAATCCAGTGTGCAGACTCTACAGGCGGGGAACAAGGAAAGCCATATTTGCTTTTGCAGCTAGGAGGCAGGTAGCCTGGGGCAAGTTCTCAGCCCCATTTGCCCACTGCCTGGAAACAGACTTGGTGATGTTGCTGGGGGCATGGTGGGGGTGACACTGGCCCTTCAGATTGTTTGGCAGCTGGGTGAGGCCTGTGACTCTGGTTTTCCTCCACTTCACTGACAACCTGCATGACAGTGTAGACAGCCGTAATCCCGCTAGGAACATAACTGCTTTGACCTGGGAACCTTACCCCCATCCTCCACAGCAGCTGCAGCAAGACCCACCCAAGGAGAGTCTGAGCTCAGACATGCCTAGCCTTACCCCCACCCAGTGGTTCTTTCCTACCCACCCTGGTAACGGAAGACAAATGGCATATACTCTTGGGAGTTCTAGGGCCCCACCCACCACCTGTTCCTTTACATACTGCCACAGCTGATGCTCTCTGGGAAGTGTTACCTCCCTGCAGGAGGCCAACCAGCACAAAAGTAGTGCATTAAACCACTGAAGCTAAGGAACCTCCCAGAGTCCATTTCATCCCCCTGCCATCCACCAAAACAGGTGCTGGTATTCATGGCTGAGAAACCCAGAGATGGTTCACATCACAGGATTCTGTGCAGACAACCCCCAGTATCAGCCTGGAGCCTGGTAGACTTGCTGGGTGGCTAGATCCAGAAGACAGATAATTACTACAGCTCAGCTCTTAGGAAGCCATGTCCATAGGAAAAAGGGGAGAGTACTACATCAAGGTAATACCCCATAGGACAAAAGAATCTGAGCAACAGCAATTAACCCTAGACCTTCTGTCTGACAGAGCCTACCCAAATGAGAAGAAACCAGAAAATCAACTCTGGTAATATGACAAAACAAGGTTCTTTAACACCCCCAAAAAATCACACTAGCTCATGAGCAATGGATCCAAACCAAGAAGAAATCTCTGATTTACCTGAAAAAGAATACAGGAGGTTAGTTATTAAGCTAATCAGGGAGTCACCAGAGAAAGGTAAAGCTCAATGTAAGGAAATAAAAAAAAATGATACAAGAAGTGAAGGGACAAACATTCAGGGAAATAGATAGCATAAACAAAAAAACAATCAAAACTTCAGGAAACAGTGGACACACTTATAGAAATGCAAAATGCTCTGGAAAGTCTCAGCAATAGAATGGAACAAGTAGAAGAAAGAAATTCAAAGCTTGAAGACAAGGTCTTTGGATTAAACCAATCCAACAAAGACAAAAAACAACAACAACAAAAAAGAAAATATGAACAAAGCCCAAAGAAGTCTGGGATTATGTTAAATGACCAAACCTAAGAATAATTGGTGTTCCTAAGGAAGAAGAGAAATTTAAAAGTTTGGAAAACATATTTGGGAGAATAATCAAGGAAAGCTTCTTCAGCCTTGCTAGAGACCTAGACATTCAAATACAAGAAGCACAAAGAATACCTGCAAAATTCATCACAAAAAGATCATCGCCTAGGCACATAGTCATCAAGTTATCTAAAGTTAAGATGAAGGAAAGAATCTTAAGAGCTGTGAGACAAAATCACCAGGTAACCTATAAAGGAAAACCTATCAGATTGACAGGAGATTTCTCAGCAGAAACCCTACAAGCTAGAAGGGACTGGGGCCCTATCTTCAGCCTCCTCAAATGAAAGAATTATCAGCCAAGAATTTTGCTTCCAGCAAAACTAAGCTTCATATATGAAGGAAAGATACAGTCTTTTTCATACAAACAAATGCTAAGATAATTCGCCACTACCAAGCTACCACTACAGGAACTGCTAAAAAACGCTCTAAATCTTGAAAGAAATCCTGGAAACACATCAAAACAAAACCTCTTTAAAGCATAAATTTCACAGGCTCTATAAAATAAAAATACAGCTTAAAAAAACAAAGACGGCTGGGCATGGTGGCTCACGCCTGTAATCCCAGCACGTTGGGAGGCCGAGGCAGGTGGATCACGAGGTCAGGAGATCAAGACCATCCTGGCTAACATGGTGAAACCCCATCTCTACTAAAAATACAAAAAATTAGCCGGGCGTGGTGGCAGGCGCCTGTAGTCCCAGCTACTCGGGAGGCTGAGGCAGGAGAATGGCGTGAACCCGGGAGGCGGAGCTTGCAGTGAGCTGAGATTGCACCCCTGCACTCCAGCCTGGGCGACGAGCAAGACTCCATCTCAAAAAAAAAACAAACAAAAAAGACAAAAAGAAACAAAAAAAGCAAGGTATACAGGTAACAGATAGAAAGATGAATGGAATGGAACCCCACATCTGAATACTAACATTGAATGTAAATGGCCTAAATGCTCCACTTAAGAGATAAAGAATTGCAGAATCGATAAGAATTCACCAGCCAACTATCTGCTGACTTCAAGAGACTCACCTAACACATGAAGACTCAATATGCACCTAACACTGGAGCTCCCAAATTTATAAAACAATTACTAATAGACCTAAGAAATGAGATAGACAGCAACACAGTAATAGTGGGGGACTTCAGTACTCCACTGATAGCACTAGACAGGTCATCAAGACAGAAAGTCAACAAAGAAACAATGGTTTTAAAGTATACCCTGGAACAAATGGACTTAACAGATTTATACAGAACATTTCATCCGACAACTGCAGAATATACATTCTTTTCAGCAGCACATGGAACTTTCTCCAAGATAGACCATATTATAGGCCACAAAACAACCCTCAATAAGAAAGTTAAAATTATATCAGGCACTCTTTCAGACCACAGTATAAGAAAACTGACTCCAAAAGGAACCTTCAAAATTATGCAAATACATGGAAATTAAATAACCTGCTCCTGAATGATCATTGGTTCAAAAATGAAATCAAGATGGAAATTTAAAAATTCTTCCACATAAACGACCATAGTGATACAACCTATCAAAACCTCTGGGATACAGCAAAGGCAGTGCTAAGAGGAAACTTCTTAGCCCTAAATGCCTACCTCAAAAAGTCTGAAAGAGCACTAACAGACAATCTAAGGTCATACCTCAAGGAATGAGAGAAATAAGAAAAAAACCCAAACCAAGCAGAAGAAAGGAAACAACCAAGATCAGAGCAGAACTAAATGAAATTGAAACAAACAAACAAAAAAATACAAAAGATAGATGAATCAAAAAGCTAGTTCTTTGAAAAGATAAATAAAACTTTTAGACTATTAGCAAGATTAACCAAGAAAAGAAGAGAGAAAAATCCAAATAAGCTCAATATGAAATGACATGGGAGATATTTTAAATGACACCACAGAAATACAAAATATCATTCAAGGCTACTATGAACACCTTTACACACATAAACTAGAAAACCTAGAAGAGATGGAAAAATTCCTGGAAAGATACACCCCTGTTAGCTTAAATCAGGAAGAATTAGATACCCCGAATAGACCAATAGCAAGCAGCAACATGGAAATGGTAATTAAGTCCAGGATGAGGCAGATTCACAGCAAAATTCTGCCAGACATTCAAAGAATTGGTACCAATCCTACTGACACTATTTCACAAGATAAAGAAAGAGGGAACCTTTCCTAAATCATTCTATGAAGCCAGTATCACCCTAATACCAAAACGAGAAAAAGACATAAGCAAAAAAGAAAACTACAGACCGATATTCGTGATGAACATAGTTGCTGAAATCTTTAACAAAATACTAGCTAATCAAATCCAACAACATATTAAAAAATAATCTGCCATGATCAAGTGGCATATCAGAGATGTAGGAATAGTTTAACATATGCAAGTCAATAAATGTGATATACCACATAAACAGAATTAAAAAGAAAAATCACATGATTATCTCAATAGACACAGCAGAAGCATTTGACAAAATCCAGTATCCTTTATGATTAAAACTCTCAGCAAAATCAGCATACAAGGAGCAAAGTTCAGTGTAATAAAAGCCATCTATGACAAACTCACAGTCAACATAATACTGAATGGGAAAAAGTTGAAAGCATTCCCTCTGAGAACAGGAACAAGACAAGGATGCCCACTCTCACCACTTCTCTTCCACATAGTACTGGAAGTCCTAGTCAGAACAGTCAGACAAGAGAAAGAAATAAAGGGCATCCAAATCAGTAAAGAGAAAGTCAAACTGCTGCTGTTTGATGATGATGTGAGTGTTTACCTAGAGAACCCTAAAGACTTCTCCAGAAAGTTCCTAGAACTGATAAAATAACTCAGCTAAGTTTCAGGATACAGAATTAATGTACACAAGTCAGCAGCTCTTCTATACACCAACAGCAACCAAGCTGAGAATCAAATCAAGAACTCAACCCCTTTCACAATAGCTGAAAAAAGAAATTACTTAGGAATACACCTAACCAAGGAGGTGAAAGACCTCTGCAAGGAAAACTACATAACACTGCTGTTAGAAATCATAGACAACACAAAAAAATGAAAAAACATCCCACGCTCATGGATGGGTAGAATCAATATTGTGAAAATGACCACACTGCCAAGAGCAATCTACAAATTCAATGCAATTCCCATCAAAATACCATCATCATTCTTCACGGAATTAGAAAAAAAATTCTAAAATTTATGTGGAACCAAAAAAGAGCCCACATAGCCAAAGCAAGACTAAGCAAAAAGAACAAATCTGGAGGCATCACATTAACTGATTTCAAACTATACTATAAGGCCATAGTCACCAAAACAGCATGGTACTGGTATAAAAATAGCCACACAGACCAATGGAACAGAATAGAGAACTCAGAAATAAACCCAAATACTTACAGCCAACTGATCTTTGACAAAGCAAAAAAAACATAAAGTGAGGAAAGGACACTCTTTTCAACAAATGGTGCTGGGATAATTGGCTAGCCACATGCAGGAGGATGAAACTGGATCCTCATCTCTCACCTTACACAAAAATCAACTCAAGATGGATTAAGGACTTAAATCTAAAACCTGAAACTATAAAAATTCTAGAAGATAATATTGGAAAACCCCTTCTAGACATTGACTTAGGCATGGACTTCATGACCAAGAACCCAAAAGAAAATGCAATAAAAACAAAGACAAATAGCTGGGACTTAATTAAAGAGCTTTTGTATGGCAAAGGAACAGTCAGCAGAATAAAAAACCCAGAGAGTGGAAAAAAATTCTTCACAACCTATACATCTGACAAAGGACTAATATCCAGAATCTACAATGAACTCAAATAAATTAACAAGAAAAAAAAAACATCAAAAAGTGGCCTAAGGACATGAATACACAATTCTCAAAAGAGATATACAAATGACCAACAAACATACGAAAAAATGCTCAACATCATGAATAATCAGGAAAATGCAAATCAAAACCACAATGCGATACCACCTTACTCTGCAAGAATGGCCATAATCAAAAAATCAAAAAACAGATGTTGGCATGGATGCGGTGAACAGGGAACACTTCTACACTGCTGGTGGGAATGTAAACTAGTACAACCACTGTGGAAAACAGTGTGGAGATTCCGTAAAGAACTAGAAGTAGAACTGCCATTTGATCTAGCATTTTCACTACTGGCTCTCTACCCAGAGAGAAAAAAGTTATTATATGAAAAATGTACCTGCACATTCATGTTTATAACAGCACAATTTACAATCACAAAAACATGGAACCAACTCAAATGCCCATCAATCAATGAGTGGATAAAGAAACAAGAAACAGTGATATATATATAATGAAATACTACTTAGCCATTAAAAAGAATGAATTAATGGCATTCACAGTGACCTGGATGAGATTGGAGACTATTATTCTAAGTGATGTAACTCAGGAATGGAAAACCAAACGTCATATTCCTCACTTACAAGTGGGAGCTAATCTATGAGGATGCAAAGGGATAAGAATGACACAATGGACTTTGGGGACTTAGGAGGAAATAATGGAAGGAGGGTGAGGGACAAAAGACTACAAATAGAGTGCATTGTATACTGCTTGGATGGTGGGTACACCAAAATCTCACAAATCACCACTTAAGAACTTACCCATGTAACCAAATACCACCTGTTCCCCAATAACCAATGGAAATAAAATATTTATTTTGAACTCATTTAGACATATATTCTTATCACATCTCACATAAAAAAAGAAAATATAAGTGAAATAAATGTGGTTATGGAATTCCTAAAGCTTATTCATATAAACGTACTTTTCCTAAGTCTCTTTTCAATTCAGTCTTTGATGTTGATCTTTCCACATAATATTGCTATGGTCTGAATGTCTGTGTCCCCTGAAATTGATATTTTGAAATCCTAACCTCCAAGATATTAGGAGGTAAAGCCTTTGGGAGGTGGCATTAGGTGGTAGGCCTTTGCAACCTGAACATACTAAGGCAGGAAATTGGTACTGAGAAGTGGAGGTGCTGCTGTAATAAATTCCTAAGAATGTGATAGTGGATTTAGGGTAGAGGCTTGCAGAGTTTTGAGGGGCATGCCAGAAAAAGCGTACATTGCTGTAAACAGAGGTTTTTGTTTGTTTGTTTGTTTTTTTGAGACAGAGTTTCACTCTTGTTGCCTAGGCTGGAGTGCAGTGGTGCAATCTTGGCTCACTGCAACCTCTGCCTTCCAGTTTCAAGTGATTCTCCTGCCTCAGCCTCCCAAGTAGCCAGGATTACAGGCACCCACCACCATGCCTGGCTAATTTTTGTATTTTTAGTAGAGACGGCGTTTCACTGTGTTGGCCAGGCTGGTCTCTAACTCCTGACCGTGTGATCTGCCTGCCTCAGCCTCCCAAAGTGCTGGGATTATAGACATGAGTCACCCCACCCGGCCAACAGACTGTTAAGAATGATTCTGGTGAGGGCCCAGAAAGAAAAGAGGAGTGCAATAGAGAATGTCTCAATCTTCTTAAAAAATACCTAAGTAATCCTGAGGAGAATGTTGGTAGAAATATAGACAGTAAAGACCATTTAGGTGGGAGGCCATTCTCAGATGGAAATAGGAACATATCATAAAGCAATGGAGGAAAGGCCATCCTTGTTATAATGTGGCAAAGAACTTGGCTCAATTGTGTTCATGTTCTAGTGTTTTGTGGAAGTAGAACTGTGAGTGATTAAATTGAATATTTGACTGAGGGAAATACCTGAGCAAAGTGTTGAAGCTGTGGCTTGGCTCTTCTTGACTGCTAATAGTAAAGTATAAGAGGAGAAAAGTGATTTAAAGATGGAGTTGTTTATCAAAAGAGAAGCAGTACTTAAGGATTTGGAAACTTCTCAGCCTACACATATAGTAAAGAATGAGAAAGCATGTTCAGGAGAGAACATGAAGGGTGTGGCTAAATGACCATCTGATAAAGAAATTGGCAATCTCAACAGAAGCCAATATCTATTATCCAAGAAAATGGGAGAATGACCCTGCAGACGATTCAGAAATCATCAGAGTTCTTGAAATGCTTTTGTAGTGACTGTTGTCCAGTCATAGCATGAGAAAACCATATCTGTGCACTTTTGGGTGAGCTTATACTTTAAATTATCAAGTCTATTCATGTAGAGGCAATGACAACTACATCATGACTTTGAGAGGATATTGACTGGAAGATACAGTGTGGTTGCTGAGATGTTTAAATGTAAAAATATGTGCCTTGGAAATTATGAAGTATCTTATTTTTTGTGATACTCTTAGTTTTAAACAGACAATGACTCCTCTTTGCTTCCAGGATAATAAGGTCGATTAACCTAACATGGTAAATAAGACTCTTCTGAGGTTTTTCCACCCTCGCCTGCTATGACCTTTGCTTCCCTTAAAAAGTGTTCTAACAGCTCAGCTCAATATTTTTGTACGTTACATGCATGCATGTTTTCATGGAATTTCCTTTTCTTTTTTTTCTTTTTTTTTTTTTTTTTGACAGACAAGGTCTCGGTCTGTCACCCAGGCTACACTGCAGTGGCATCATCATAGCTCACTGCAGCTTCCAACTCCTGAGCTGAAGCAATCCTCATGCCTCAGCCTTCTGAATAATGGGAATATAGGTGTGCCCTATAACACCCAGCTAATTTAATTATTTTTGGTAGGGATTGCATCTCACTATGTTGCCCAGGCTGGTCTCAAACTCCTGGGCACAAGTGATCCACTCACTTTGGCCTTCCAGAATGTTGAGATTACAGGCATGAGCCATTGCACCTGGCGAGTTTCCTCCTATGTGCTCCTTTGCTCCATCACCTTGGTAAAGTGAACTACTTATCTTTTCAGGTTCAGCTCAAATGCTAGCTGCTCCCTGCATCCTTCATGGAGCCCTCTTATTTTAAGAAAATTATTTTCTCATTTGTGTTCTCCTAGGTATTTGTACATCTAACATCACACTGTATTACATTTATCAAGTATTTTATGGAACTTGGTATCTATGTTGTTCTGAGTCAAGAACAGGGATTGTTTCTTTTTCATCTTTTGTTCCCAGTGTCTGACTTTTAATAGGAACTCAATACTTGTTTGAATTGATGTTTAAAGTCATCCATTTATTCAAAAAACATTGAGTATCTATAGTGTGCAAAATAATATGCTAGGAGTTCAATATAGGGTAATAAGTAGTACTCTTATTATCCCCAGGTAAGGGATCAGAGATTTTGAGTGGTTAACTAATTTGCCTAGTAAAGAGTGGTAGAGTTGTCTGGCTGAAAATTGAGTGTCCATAACCATTCATATACATTTCCTTGAACTCAAGACTTTATAATTTTAAATAGCCATTCTGTGTTTTCTATTTTTAAAATTTAATATTTTGTTTTTCTGCATTTTCTAGTTCAATATAACTAAGTTATGAAATAAAAAATTAAAAACAAAAGTTGAATGAAGCAAATATTGTACTCAGCATAGCTTTGCATTTGTCATTGTCTTTATGAACTAATTCTGGTCTACTTAGGTATGATTATATAGGGATCCCTTCAAAGGCTCTAGCATTCTTGTGAACACATTCACTTCCTCATTGTCATTTGCATCTTCTCTATGTGGCAGGAGTTTTGAAAACCAGCAAAGTGTTGGAGAAAATGTAATGGAATCAATGAGAATCTGGTTTGAAAAGAATAAGCATTTTATGATCTATATTCTAAATTCTGGTAGCCTGGATAAAACGTATCAAATCTAAAATACCAAGAGGTTTAAGTTAGATGCAATTGAAAATGAGTATCACTATTTAAGTAATAATGACATTTTCTTAGTGTTAGTTTATCTTCTCAGCGTTATCCACTATGAGACCCAACATCCTAAGAAAATTTGAAAACCTTATCTACCATTTAAAAGTAATCTTTTAATCCCCTTAACATTTTATAATAGACTGTCATAATGAATTTTCATAAGCTTTCCATTGATGTGATGCCACAAACTTTCCCCTTTATAGCAACCCATTGGTTGCAAGTTGGACAAAATCCTACATGATTGAGTGACAGTAATTACTTTCTTCTTTCTGTCATCTCTCTCATACTTCATTATTTGCATTATTAATATTGTCTAGTTTTTCTGTTTCTTTTTAGAAATTTTCTAAAGTAACTTTATTTTGTGAGGAATAGTTTAATCTAGATAATATATTCTATAAACTAGTTAGTTAAATGTAACTCCAATACATTGCATAATAGTAATTGTAAATGAGTAACTGAAAGGCACATTTGTGAAGCCCTCTTAAGTTATGGCATCTCCCACCTTTTCAGCAGGAGACCTCACATATGACCAGCTTACATATGGTCTTAGTAAAGATTCCAGTGTCAATTTCATATTAAGTATTAGTAAAGCCTATTTTTCTTACTTATTAAACAAAAGTAAATAGAATGTCCTTGAATGAACTCGTTATTGATAATCTCATTCTTTCTAGATCTGTACCCCAACTATTTTCCCTCAGCTCAGTTGTTCACATAGACTGTCAATACCTGCTTTAGACTTAGAATTATCTGAATCTCTTTTGGTACAGGGAAAGACATCTGAAAGAAAGGAATACAGAGCCCAGAAATAGATTCATATGCACATATGTGAATTAGGGTAAAGAGCCATTTCGGACCAATTACTAAAAGATGAAGAATTAAATAAATATTATTTGATCATTGGTTAACTACTTAGATAAAAAGTAGAGTCTTCCATCTTATTCATTCACAAACACAGAAAATATTCCCGATACTCCAGATGGCTTAATTTTTTCTTTTTCTTTTTTTTTTTTTTTTTTTTTTGAGTCTCACTTTGTCACCCAGGCTGGAATGCATGGTGCGATCTTGGCTCACTGCAACTTCTGCCTCTCTGGTTCAAGCGATTCTCCTGCCTCAGCCTTGCAAGTAGCTGGGATTACAGGCGCCTGCCACCACACCTGGCTAATTTTTGTATTTTCAGTAGAGGCTGGGTTTCGCTATGTTGACCAGGCTGGTCTTGAACTCCTGACCTCAAATGATTCACCAGCTTCAGCCCCTCAAAGTGCTGGGATTATAGGCATGAGGAACCATGCCCGGCCACTGTTTTCTCCCTTTCTCTCACTATCCTCATTCAGTGAATACTGTTAGGTAGCAAAGAAACTGGAAAACATATGGAAAAATCTAAATGAATATTGTAGAAAACACACTAGTGATAATTATGACAAATTTTGAGGTATAAATGCAAAATAGAACTATGATGCTGGCAAGAAATGAGATAAAGGCACAAAGGTCATCTGGATTAAAGCATTCTGTTATTCTGAAGAAGGTAGAGATATTGATTAATTTATACCTTGTTAAATCATGTATTAAGAGTAGTATTAAGGGTAACTATTGTAATAAAAATAACATAAACTTGTCAAAACCAGTATAGAGAAGAAAAATATTAATTTGTTTTAATACAAGTTAGGAAAGGAGAAAATAAGTAAAGAAATAGCATAATAAATAAAAGGTGCACAAAAATGCAAGTATATCAGTGTCAAAGTAAATGAACTAAAATCACTGGTTAGCAGATCATATCTTAGATTGGATAAAAATGCAAATCCCAACTATATATTGTTTACAGGAGGCAGAGATAAGGAAACCCATAATATTAGAAAGGGTAAAAGTAAAGGGATGGTAAAAGTTATAACTAGGACCAAGCCAATCAGAAACATAACTACTATCTTAATTGCTATGTTAATAGTGGACCAAGTAGTTTGGTTCCACTAATTAAACTAGTAGATTGGCAAAGAACATTATTAGGGATAAATTGCATCATTACATAAGATGAGGAAGAATTCACCAACAAGATGTAACAAATCTGAACATGTATATATTTAATAAGCAAAGAAACCTGACAAAATTATGGGGATAAATTGACAAATCCACAATTACTATGGGAGATTTTAACATAGCCCTTTAAGTAATTAATATATCAACCATTTAGTATGGATAGAGAAAATTAACCCCACAATCATAAAATTTTATTTATAATTGTTGATACAAAGCTTGGTATAATGATTAAATGTACACCTTGCACCCAACAATTGAAAAATATGCATCATTTTTTGCACACATATAACATTCACAAGTGTTGTTAAGTAGGGCCACAAAACAAAACAAATGCCAAAAAAATCAATATCACACAGATTATATTCTCTAACCAAAATACAATTACATTAAAAATCAATAATAAAATCTCTTAAATACCCCTACCTTCTGAATTTTTTAAATTAAGTAACTCGGGTAAAAGATGAATAGAAACCTTGTGTTTAAAACTAAATAATAAAGCAATACTGAGATAGGAATGTATAACCTTGAATGCTTGTATTAGAAAAGACTGCAAATGAATTAACTAAGCATCAACTTAAGAAGAGAAAAATAAGAGCAACAGAGAATGTCCAAAGAAAGTAAAAGGAAAGAAAGAATTAAGAAAAGTGCAGCTATTCATTAAATAGAATTCAAAAAACTGAAGGGACTCAAATTCTGGTTGTTTAATAAACTCTGACAAGATAAATGAAGAAAAAAAGAGAGGGCATAAACAAACTTCAAAGCAAAAGAGACAAATGTAGTAGATATACTAAAATTCATAAAATTTATGTTAAAATTAGAAAATTCCTCCCTTAGGCAAACTTTCCCAAAATGGGGGAACATTTTTTACTTTATTTAATGAAGTGATTTTATAATCTTGATATGAAAACCAGACAAAGACAAAAGGAGAAATAAAATAATAGACAAATCTTATTTATACACACATGTAAAAATATTAATTATTAATAAACAAAATACAGCAATGTATATTAAAAACTTATGAGGCATAACCAGGTAGGGATTATCCAGAATACAAATATAGTTTATTATTCAAAAATTCATGAATACAATGTGTACCCAATTAATACATTTTAAAAGAAATCCATATATTTATCTCAGTATATGCAGAAAAGAATTTGATGAAATTAAACACCACATTATGATTAATATCAACAAAAAAAATCCTTTTGGTAAGCTGGTAATAGAAGGAAAACAACTTTCTGTAGCCTTTTAATGGTCTCTACAAAAACCGTACTCCCAACATAACAAACATTCGAAGCATTCTCTTTAAAATTAGAAAAAAAAAAATCTACTATCATGGCTTCTAGTCAATGTTATATCTGTCTTAGCCACCATAGTAAGACAGCATATGAATATTGGAACTAAACAAGCAAAAAAAGTTGTTACACACACACACTTCATGTGAAGTGAAAGTCTAGCAAAGGGCAGAGACTCTGTAAGTAACACATAACCTGGCTCCAAAGTCTAACCTCAGTCACTTCTGCTTTACTGACTGGTGACCCAGAAAGTAGAGAAAAAATTTATTCACTTCAGTTGCAATCCACATTGCGTTTTTGCCTTTATGCATTTTCTCATCAATTAAAGAATTAAACACATTAAAACAAATATCATTAGTAAAAGTTTATATCTTCTGCTAGATTTGATTCTGTTTTTAGACTTTTTCACTCTTTCAACATGAAAAACAGTGTTACACTGAATGTTTTTGGTCTTGCTATGTATTGGTTGGTCTTTTTAAAATTTATTTTATTACATTTGCATGAGTGGGATTAGTAGGTCAAAATTTTCGAACTATGGCTATTGAAATATATGGACAAATTTCTAAAGCAATTTGCAGTGGCCCTGGTAAGATATGTGACAAATGTAAGTAAGTGAGCTTCTAAATATATGATTAACTTATAAATTAAAGGATTCTTTAAATGGTGCTTATACTTGGATAGTATGGTACATTAGTCTTTTTATTTTTAAGAAACAGACTTTGTATTGCAAAATAAGTTGCCAATAATTAGTTCTACTTGTATTTTATTTATATTTATTTATTACTATATACTTTTTTATTGAAGCCAGAATTTGGGGGCTTTGTTACACAATTCAAACTTTTTATATGTTTAAAATTTTTCTAACAAAAAAGCTCTGAGAAATTTAATTAATAATAAATAAAAGCTGAAACTATATGAGATTTATTTAATTTTTAAAAATCTTGCATTTTTGTATGTTGAAATATTTTGCTGCATTTGATTTCCTGAGACAGAAGAAGAAAAGGTTCATTTAGTCATGCAATATATATACTCAAGAGGCAGTACAAACTAATGGGTAAGATCACAAACTTAGAATCAAACTGCTGACATTTAAATTCCAGCTCTACTGTGTACCAGTTCCAGGACCTGAGACAAATTGCTTTACATTTCTTAGCTTCAGTTTTGTCTGTAAAAATGAGCATAATAAGGTTGTTGGGAAGACTATATGAGCCATGTGTATAAAGCACTTAGAATAATACCTGGTGCATAGTCAGCATTCAGTAAGGCTTAGCTGTTATCATGGGAAAATGTACTTGATGTATACCAGATGTGTGCTATATATTAGGTTAATAGAAATTATAGTCACCTCTACTCCCCTTTGGCTCCATCATATTTTTCTTATTTTTAATTTTGGTGCATTTTATGCTCAGAGTGATTGTTGTTTCTATTTTGTTCCTTTATTTCTGGGTAGGTGGAAACAACGTGTTCAACATATGTAGTCTTTGTAGGATAGAGAGGGGGTGGGCATAGAAGATATCAAAGAGGAATTTCTCTGATTTTTGGTTTGAATTTTCTCTCCTTATACTCTTGAATCCTCATTCTGTTATTTTCCTCTTTCTTATTTTCCAGATTAAATGCCTTAATGGATAAAGAAAAATTGGATGTTAAGATTGAATATTGTAACTATGCAATGGATTCCTCAGTGGAAAACATGTATGTAAACAAAGTGTGGGTTCAATGTGAGAATGAAAATTGTTTGAAATGGAGATTGTTATCAAGTGAGGATTCAGCCAAGGTTGATCATGATGAACCATGGTACTGCTTCATGAACACTGATTCAAGATATAATAACTGCTCAATTTCTGAAGAAGACTTCCCTGAAGAGTCTCAGCTTCATCAGTGTGGATTTAAGATTGTCTATTCACAGCTCCCTCTTGGAAGCCTGGTTTTGGTAAAATTACAGAATTGGCCAAGGTAAGGTTTGTGTAGTTTTATGACTTTTGAAATGTAGTCTTGCTAGGTTTATGAATATTAAAAATCTTTTTGAAGACTAAACATTTTTCTTTTGTCTACTTGTTTCTTGATTTATCATTGCTCTTTTCCATACTTCTTTGGATTTTTTTCTAGCTTTTTAAATGGGAAAGTTAGGTAACTGAATTCGAATCTTATTTTCCTCCCAATATAGGCAATTAAAGCTATAAATTTTTCTCCAAGTAGTGTTGTAGCTTCCTCCTACAAATTTTGATATACTGTGTTTTATTATTCATTTTGAAATATTTACTGATTTTCTTTGTGATTTCCTTTTTGAAATCCGTTTTTTAGAAGTGTGTCTTTAAATTACCAAATATTGGGGAATTTTAATGTGTCTTATTGCATTCTAATTTAAATCTGTTGTAATCAGTTCCACTGATTCTGATTGTATGGCCCACCATACCTTCTTGTGGCATATCTTATTAATGTTTCACAGTCATTTGAAAAGCATGTATTCTATAATTGTTGCCTAGATACCTAAAATATTTTTTTCTTTAGATTTATGTAGATTTATTATATTCCAATATTTCCCATTCTAGGTTGGTTTTCCCAAGTATGCAGTGTGCACTTTCAGTATATAACTTCAAGTCTTATTTTTAGCTAAGGTTTATTAAATTATAACCTATTATATTTGTTCTGTTGCATTGCTTTGATTTTCTTATTTTAGGATTTTGATATTACTTATGGTGGCTATTTGTCTATCGTTTGTATTACCTTTTCTTGAACTGTTTTTCTCTTTTCAATTTTTATAAATTTAATTTTTTTTCTTTTTTTTCTGAAGGTATTATCAATTGTTCTTGTGTTTCTTCTAGTTTAGTCTTTCTTGTCAAAATTACAAAAAAATTTTTCATTAGTCATGTTTCTTCTCTTTTCAAATCTTTTTCTCTTTCTTTTAATTTTAATTTTAGGTTCCGGGATACATGTGCAGGTTTGTTGTATAGGGAAACTCGTTTCATGGGGGTTTGTTGTGAAGATTATTTCATCAACCAGGTTTTTTTTTAATTTTATTATTATTGTACTTTAAGTTTTAGGGTACATGTGCACAACGTGCAGGTTTGTTACATATGTATACACGTGCCATGATGGTGTGCTGCACCCATTAACTCGTCATTTAGCGTTAGGTATATCTCCGAATGCTATCCCTCCCCCCTCCCCCCACCCCACAACAGTCCCCGGTGTGTGATGTTCCCCTTCCTGTGTCCATGTGTTCTCATTGTTCAATTCCCACCTATGAGTGAGAACATGCGGTGTTTGGTTTTTTGTCCTTGCGAAAGTTTGCTGAGAATGATGGTTTCCAGCTTCATCCATATCCCTACAAAGGACATGAACTCATCATTTTTTTATGGCTGCATAGTATTCCATGGTGTATATGTGCCACATTTTCTTAACCCAGTCTACCCTTGTTGGACATCTGGGTTGGTTCCAAGTCTTTGCTATTGTGAATAGTGCCGCAATAAACATACGTGTGCATGTGTCTTTATAGCAGCATGATTTATAATCCTTTGGGTATATACCCAGTAATGGGATGGCTGGGTCAAATGGTATTTCTAGTTCTAGATCCCTGAGGAATCACCACACTGACTTCCACAATGGTTGAACTAGTTTACAGTCCCAGCAACAGTTCCTATTTCTCCACATCCTCTCCAGCACCTGTTGTTTCCTGACTTTTTAATGATCGCCATTCTAACTGGTGTGAGATGGTATCTCATTGTGGTTTTGATTTGCATTTCTCTGATGGCCAGTGATGATGAGCATTTTTTCATGTGTTTTTTGGCTGCATAAATGTCTTCTTTTGAGAAGTGTCTGTTCATATCCTTCGCCCACTTTTGATGGGGTTGTTTGTTTTTTTCTTGTAAATTTGTTGGAGTTCATTGTAGATTCTGGGTATTAGCCCTTTGTCAGATGAGTAGGTTGCAAAAATTTTCTCCCATTCTGTAGGTTGCCTGTTCACTCTGATGGTGGTTTCTTCTGCTGTGCAGAAGCTCTTTAGTTTAATTAGATCCCATTTGTCAATTTTGGCTTTTGTTGCCATAGCTTTTGGTGTTTTAGACATGAAGTCCTTGCCCATGCCTATGTCCTGAATGGTATTGCCTAGGTTTTCTTCTAGGGTTTTTATGGTTTTAGGTCTAACATGTAAGTCTTTAATCCATCTTGAATTAATTATAAGGTGTATATTATAAGGTGTAATTATAAGGTGTATAATTATATATTAATTATAAGGTGTATATTAATTATAAGGTGTAAGGAAGGGATCCAGTTTCAGCTTTCTACATATGGCTAGCCAGTTTTCCCTGCACCATTTATTAAATAGGGAATCCTTTCCCCATTGCTTGTTTTTGTCAGGTTTGTCAAAGATCAGATAGTTGTAGATATGCGGCATTATTTCTGAGGGCTCTGTTCTGTTCCATTGGTCTATATCTCTGTTTTGGTACCAGTACCATGCTGTTTTGGTTACTGTAGCCTTGTAGTATAGTTTGAAGTCAGGTAGCGTGATGGTTCCAGCTTTGTTCTTTTGGCTTAGGATTGACTTGGCAATGTGGGCTCTTTTTTGGTTCCATATGAACTTTAAAGTAGTTTTTTCCAATTCTGTGAAGAAATTCATTGGTAGCTTGATGGGGATGGCATTGAATCTATAAATTACCCTGGGCAGTATGGCCATTTTCACAATATTGAATCTTCCTACCCATGAGCGTGTACTGTTCTTCCATTTGTTTGTATCCTCTTTTATTTCATTGAGCAGTGGTTTGTAGTTCTCCTTGAAGAGGTCCTTCACATCCCTTGTAAGTTGGATTCCTAGGTATTTTATTCTCTTTGAAGCAATTGTGAATGGGAGTTCACTCATGATTTGACTCTCTGTTTGTCTGTTATTGGTGTATAAGAATGCTTGTGATTTTTGCACATTGATTTTGTATCCTGAGACTTTGCTGAAGTTGCTTATCAGCTTAAGGAGATTTTGGGCTGAGACGATGGGGTTTTCTAGATATACAATCATGTCATCTGCAAACAGGGACAATTTGACTTCCTCTTTTCCTAATTGAATACCCGTTATTTCCCTCTCCTGCCTGATTGCCCTGGCCAGAACTTCCAACACTATGTTGAATAGGAGTGGTGAGAGAGGGCATCCCTGTCTTGTGCCAGTTTTCAAAGGGAATGCTTCCAGTTTTTGTCCATTCAGTATGATATTGGCTGTGGGTTTGTCATAGATAGCTCTTATTATTTTGAGATACATCCCATCAATACCTAATTTATTGAGAGTTTTTAGCATGAAGAGTTCTTGAATTTTGTCAAAGGCCTTTTCTGCATCTTTTGAGATAATCATGTGGTTTCTGTCTTTGGTTCTGTTTATATGCTGGAGTACGTTTATTGATTTTCGTATGTTGAACCAGCCTTGCATCCCAGGGATGAAGCCCACTTGATCATGGTGGATAAGCTTTTTGATGTGCTGCTGGATTCGGTTTGCCAGTATTTTATTGAGGATTTCTGCATCGATGTTCATCAAGGATATTGGTCTAAAATTCTCTTTTTTTGTTGTGTCTCTGTCAGGCTTTGGTATCAGGATGATGCTGGCCTCATAAAATGAGTTAGGCAGGATTCCCTCTCTTTTTTTTTTTTTTTTTGAAAAGGTCAACAAAATTGATAGACCGCTAGGAAGACTAATAAAGAAGAAAAGACAAAGGGGATATCACTGCTAGCAAGACAAATAAAGAAGAAAAGACAAAGGGGATATCACCACTGATCCCACAGAAATACAAACTACCATCAGAGAATACTATAAATACCTCTACACAAATAAACTAGAAAATCTAGAAGAAATGGATAAATTCCTTGACACATACACCCTCCCAAGACTAAACAAGATAGAAGTTGAATCTCTGAATAGACCAATAACAGGCTCTGAAATTGAGGCAATAATTAATAGTTTAGCAACCAAAAAAAGTCCAGGACCAGATGGATTCACAGCAGAATTCTACCAGAGGTACAAGGAGGACCTGGTACCATTCCTTTTGAAACTATTCCAATCAATAGAAAAAGAGGGAATCTTCCCTAACTCATTTTATGAGGCCAGCATCATCCTGATACCAAAGCCTGACAGAGACACAACAAAAAAAGAGAATTTTAGACCAATATCCTTGATGAACATCGATGCAGAAATCCTCAATAAAATACTGGCAAACCGAATCCAGCAGCACATCAAAAAGCTTATCCACCATGATCAAGTGGGCTTCATCCCTGGGATGCAAGGCTGGTTCAACATACGAAAATCAATAAACGTACTCCAGCATATAAACAGAACCAAAGACAGAAACCACATGATTATCTCAAAAGATGCAGAAAAGGCCTTTGACAAAATTCAAGAACTCTTCATGCTAAAAACTCTCAATAAATTAGGTATTGATGGGATGTATCTCAAAATAATAAGAGCTATCTATGACAAACCCACAGCCAATATCATACTGAATGGACAAAAACTGGAAGCATTCCCTTTGAAAACTGGCACAAGACAGGGATGCCCTCTCTCACCACTCCTATTCAACATAGTGTTGGAAGTTCTGGCCAGGGCAATCAGGCAGGAGAGGGAAATAACGGGTATTCAATTAGGAAAAGAGGAAGTCAAATTGTCCCTGTTTGCAGATGACATGATTGTATATCTAGAAAACCCCATCGTCTCAGCCCAAAATCTCCTTAAGCTGATAAGCAACTTCAGCAAAGTCTCAGGATACAAAATCAATGTGCAAAAATCACAAGCATTCTTATACACCAATAACAGACAAACAGAGAGTCAAATCATGAGTGAACTCCCATTCACAATTGCTTCAAAGAGAATAAAATACCTAGGAATCCAACTTACAAGGGATGTGAAGGACCTCTTCAAGGAGAACTACAAACCACTGCTCAATGAAATAAAAGAGGATACAAACAAATGGAAGAACAGTACACGCTCATGGGTAGGAAGATTCAATATTGTGAAAATGGCCATACTGCCCAGGGTAATTTATAGATTCAATGCCATCCCCATCAAGCTACCAATGAATTTCTTCACAGAATTGGAAAAAACTACTTTAAAGTTCATATGGAACCAAAAAAGAGCCCACATTGCCAAGTCAATCCTAAGCCAAAAGAACAAAGCTGGAACCATCACGCTACCTGACTTCAAACTATACTACAAGGCTACAGTAACCAAAACAGCATGGTACTGGTACCAAAACAGAGATATAGACCAATGGAACAGAACAGAGCCCTCAGAAATAATGCCGCATATCTACAACTATCTGATCTTTGACAAACCTGACAAAAACAAGCAATGGGGAAAGGATTCCCTATTTAATAAATGGTGCAGGGAAAACTGGCTAGCCATATGTAGAAAGCTGAAACTGGATCCCTTCCTTACACCTTATAATTAATATACACCTTATAATTAATATATAATTATACACCTTATAATTACACCTTATAATATACACCTTATAATTAATTCAAGATGGATTAAAGACTTACATGTTAGACCTAAAACCATAAAAACCCTAGAAGAAAACCTAGGCAATACCATTCAGGACATAGGCATGGGCAAGGACTTCATGTCTAAAACACCAAAAGCTATGGCAACAAAAGCCAAAATTGACAAATGGGATCTAATTAAACTAAAGAGCTTCTGCACAGCAGAAGAAACCACCATCAGAGTGAACAGGCAACCTACAGAATGGGAGAAAATTTTTGCAACCTACTCATCTGACAAAGGGCTAATACCCAGAATCTACAATGAACTCCAACAAATTTACAAGAAAAAAACAAACAACCCCATCAAAAGTGGGCGAAGGATATGAACAGACACTTCTCAAAAGAAGACATTTATGCAGCCAAAAAACACATGAAAAAATGCTCATCATCACTGGCCATCAGAGAAATGCAAATCAAAACCACAATGAGATACCATCTCACACCAGTTAGAATGGCGATCATTAAAAAGTCAGGAAACAACAGGTGCTGGAGAGGATGTGGAGAAATAGGAACTGTTGCTGGGACTGTAAACTAGTTCAACCATTGTGGAAGTCAGTGTGGTGATTCCTCAGGGATCTAGAACTAGAAATACCATTTGACCCAGCCATCCCATTACTGGGTATATACCCAAAGGATTATAAATCATGCTGCTATAAAGACACATGCACACGTATGTTTATTGCGGCACTATTCACAATAGCAAAGACTTGGAACCAACCCAGATGTCCAACAAGGGTAGACTGGGTTAAGAAAATGTGGCACATATACACCATGGAATACTATGCAGCCATAAAAAAATGATGAGTTCATGTCCTTTGTAGGGATATGGATGAAGCTGGAAACCATCATTCTCAGCAAACTTTCGCAAGGACAAAAAACCAAACACCGCATGTTCTCACTCATAGGTGGGAATTGAACAATGAGAACACATGGACACAGGAAGGGGAACATCACACACCGGGGACTGTTGTGGGGTGGGGGGAGGGGGGAGGGATAGCATTCGGAGATATACCTAACGCTAAATGACGAGTTAATGGGTGCAGCACACCATCATGGCACGTGTATACATATGTAACAAACCTGCACGTTGTGCACATGTACCCTAATACCGAAAGTATAATTAAAAAAAAAAACAGCTCCTGGAATCATTGATTTTTTGAAGGGGTTTTTGTGTCTGTATTTCCTTCAGTTCTGCTCTGATCTTAGTTATTTCTTGCCTTCTGCTAGCTTTTGAATGTGTTTGCTCTTGCTTCTCTAGTTCTTTTAATTGTGGCGTTAGGGTGTCAGTTTTAGATCTTTCCTGCTTTCTCTTGTGGGCATTTAGTGCTATAAATTTCCCTCTACACACTGCTTTGAATGTGTCCCAGAGATTCTGGTATGCTGTGTCTTTGTTCTCGTTGGTTTCAAAGAACATCTTTATTTCTGCCTTCATTTCATTATGTAATCACCCCGGTATTAAGCCTGGTATCCCTTGGTTATTTTTCCTGATCCTCTCCCTCCTCCCACCTTCCACCCTCTAGTAGGCCCTGTGTCTTTTATTCCCTTCTACATGTCCATGTGTTCTCATCATCAAATATTTTTCTCTAATCACTTTCTCACTTTTTTTTAGTTTTTAATTATACTTTATGTTGTTTTTTTTTTCATTACTTGTATTACTTTCTTAATTTCTATTTTCTCAACTTGAACTTTCAGGTACAATTTTGATCTTTGTAAGGCCATGCTGCTGTGATAAGCTTTCACTTTTTGGTAGGGGTATTATTTATTTTTACCATAACAACTTTATATTAGACTCTACTGTAATCTTTTCTTCTTGAGTACTTTTATATGAAATGAGTTCTTATTTGTTCGGAAGGCAAGAGGGAGTAATAACTTTTTTTCAGTTCATTTTCTCTCTGTTGTTCAGATTGGTTTATTCCTATTGTTCTCTTTTTAAGTTCACTGATTCTTTTCTCTGTTATATTCATGCTGTATTGAAAGTATCCATTCAGCTTTTAAAAATATTGTATTTTCAGTTCTGAAATGTTCATTTGGTTCTTTATATTTCCTATTTATTTACTAGACTTTATATTCTTTTCATTTTGGATCTTATTTAAACCTATTTAGCAGGCTGCTTTTGCTACTGTGTCAGCAGGATATGTGGGAGCACCTCTTTGTTACTCCCACATGGGAGTAAGAGTCAAGGTTCCCCACTCAGCTTCTATTGATTTCCAAGGGAGGGAAGGGTGCCTCAATTCCACTGTGCAGAGGTGAGAGTTCAAGCTCCCCACTCACAACTCTAGGTAGTAGGGGTAGGATGACCTTTTTATTGTTGCCAGGTGAACTTCACTGACACCATAGTGGGAGGGTCTTATTAACCCTGGAAGGTGGTAAAAATCTTGGCTTCCTACTAAGCCTTTTCTGCCACCACCTGAGCAGGAAGGGTGCTCCATTATTGCTGGGTGATTTGCAGTCCAGGCTCACCACTGGCCTTTGGTATGGGGGTAAATGTGGAGGCCATATATTTTCCATGATGTTTTTCTGGGATAAAGCAGTTATTCTGTGTAAGTTTTCTGTCTTGCTAGGCTCCCCCTATCCTGGTCCTTTGGCTAAAAAGAGCAGGCTTCATTGGAGCTTTTTTTGTTTGTCTGGTTGCACTCACTGGTGTTTCTGGGTTGCTGACTTCTTCAGTACCCAGCTGAGGAATATAAAGTGCAAGAAACTCACTGCCATGTCATTCCTCAAGTCACAGGATCCCTAGCCAGTCTATCGTTTTCTCTTCAACTTTGAGAATCTTTTTATGTTTTTTTTTTCATATATAACATGCAGATTTTTTGATAGAGGGAGAAATAGAAAGAAATGAATGTGCTTCATCTTGTTGAGAACCATATGTTGGAGAATAGTTTGTGTGTGTGTGTGTGTGTGTGTGTGTGTGTGTGTGTGTGTGTTTAGCTTCTTTTCACCTAATTCAAAGTTCCAGAGCCCTTATTTTATTGTTTTCTCAAAGTATCAAAAATATGACCCGTGTTCTTAAATTTCCTAGGTTTTTCTCTCCCCCATGTTTATTTTTAAATTTTTAACACTTTACATTTTTATTTATTTTAAGTAATTGACTTTATCTTTTAGAGTGGTTTCAGGTTTGCAGAAAAATTGAGTGGAAAGTATGGAGAGTTTCCGTATGTCCCTTTCTCCCTCTGACACCCACAGCTGCCCCACCCTCAATATCCCACACTGGTGTGGTACATTTGTTATAATCTATGAAACAGCATTCACTTATCATTATCAATGAAGTCCATAGTTTACATTAGGATTCATTCTTTGTGAATGAATATTCACAGAATATATAGTCTGTGAATTTTGACAAATGTATAATGACATGTGTCCACCATTATAGTATATACAGAATAGTTATATTGGCCTAAAAATCCTCTGTGTTTCTCCTATTTACCCTTCTATCCCTCCAAACTCTTGGTGACCATTTATCTTTCTACCGTCTTCATAGTATTGTCTTTTCTAGAATGCCATATAGTTGAGATTGTATAGTATTTAGCCTTTTCAGACTATCTTTTATTTAGTAATATGCATTTACGTCTCTTCCATGTCCTTTTATGGCTTGATTACTCAGTATTTTTGCTACTGAATAATAGTCCATTGTCTATACATAGGACAACTTATCTATCCATTCACCTACTGAAGGATATCTTGGTTACTTCCAAGTTTTGGCAGTTATGAATAAAGCTTCTATACACATCCATGTGCAACCTTCTATGTGGACCTGTTTTCAGTTCCTTTGGGTAAATACCAAGGACTGCAATTGCTGGACAGTATGCTATGAGTATGTGTGTGTGTGTGTGTTTTTTTTTAAGAAAATGCTAAACTGTCTTCCAAAGTGGCTGTATTATTTTGCATTCCCAACAGTGTTGCTTCACCTCCCTGCCAGCATTTGGTGTTACCTGAATTTTGAATTCTAATAGGTGTGTAGTGGTATTTCATTGTTTTAGTTTGTATTTTCCTAAGGACATATGCTTTTGAATATCTTTTTATATGCTTATTTGCCATCTTGTATATCTTCTTTGGTAGGGTGTCTGTTCAGATATTTTGCGCATTTTAAAATCTGGTTATTCATTTTCTTATTGTAAAGTTTGAAGAGTTCTTTGTATATTTTGGATATCACTGTCTTATCAGATATATGTTTTGCAAATATTTTCTCCCACTCTGTGGCTTGTCATCTTATTCTTTTGACAGTGACTTTGCAGAGCAGGTATTTTTTTATTTTAATGAACTCTGCTTTATCATTTTTTTCTGTCATGGTTGGTGCCTTTGATGTTATATCCCCACTTTTATTTGTATCTTCTTTTTCCTTTGTTTCTTATTGATCCTGTCCTCTTCAGTTTAGATTTTGCTCCCAGCAGTTTCTCATCCTGTGAGCTATCTTTTTTTTTTTTTTTTTTTTTTTAGACAGAGTCTCACTCTGTCGCCCAGACTGGAGTGCAGTGGTGCGATCTAGGCTCACTGCAAGCTCTGCCTCCCGGGTTCACGCCATTCTCCTGTCTCAGCCTCCCGAGTAGCTGGGACTACAGGTGCCTGCTACCACGCCCAGCTAATTTTTTGTATTTTTAGTAGAGATGGGGTTTCACCATGTTAGCCAGGATGGTCTCGATCTCCTAACCTCATGATCCTCCCACCTCGGCCTCCCAAAGTGCTGGAATTACAGGCTTGAGCCACTGCGCCCGGCCCCTGTGAGCTTTTATCCTGAAACGGATCTTGGTTGTTTGCTTCATAGGGCCCACACTTTTCCAACACTTGCAGATTTTGTTGCAATCCACCTCACAGTTTTGGCTGCTGTTCTTAGTTCAACTTGCTGCACTTTCCAGTAAATGCTTCTTGCAAGTTTGAAGTCCTCATTCCTCCTCCTCCCACCCTCCTTCCTCTCAAATAGATGCTAATATTATATGGATCATATAATTTTTAGTAGTTTGTGCCCATTTGCTCCTATTTTGGTGTTCATGTGGGTAGCTTACCACTTAGTTTCATCATAGGTGGTGTGTGTCAGGTTTGGTTTTGCTATTATAGTTGCCCTACCTGTATTTATGGGGAAATTTCAGGATATTCTAAAACTATACCACCATTGCTGCTATCTTTCCAGAATTCCTTACTATTTTACATTGCGTTTTTCAACCTAACATTCTTAAAGCTGTATATTCTGGCTCACTACCTTGTTTTCATTCATGTTCAACTATTCTCCATGAAGAAAATAGGATGTTGGCTTTCATAGAGAGACTGTGGTGGTCTTATTCCAACACACACACACACACACACACACACACACACACACACACAGAGCCTTTAAATCAATACCTAGATGTATGTTCTTGCTCTATCACTTATGGTTATGGACTGAATTCTGTTCTCTCGAAATACATATGTTGGAGTCCAACCCTCAGTGCCTCAGAATGTGACCATATTTGCAGATATGATTCTTAAAGAGGTAATTAAGTGAAAATGAGATCAAAAGTAAGAAGGGCCCTAATCCAATATGACTGGCATCCTTATAAGAAGAGGAGATTAGAACACAGACGTGCACAGAAGAAAGACCATGTGAGGACATAGCAAGAAGGTGGGCATCTATAAGCCAAGGAGAGGGGCCTCAGAAGAAACCAAACATGTCAATGTATTGATCTTATATGTTAATCCCCCACAACTATGAAAAAATAAATCTCTATTGTTTAAGCCACCCAGTCTGTGGTATTTTGTTATGGTAGCCCTAGCAAACCAATGTGCTTACTGTCTTTGCACGTATGGGAAATCAGGGAAAATGTGGCCTTTGTTACTGAGGGCTTTTCTGAAGATCAAATGTGATAATGTTGTTTAAAAATTATATTGTTAATTAGCTTCCATGTGATAATTAGGAGGGACATCAAGAGGCAATAGATATGTAAGAAAAAATATTTTAAAAGACATGAATATGAACACTTATTTTATGAGAACTTATGAAGGTATTTGTAGTCCCACATAATTTTTCTTGTCTCTAATTAACATTTTGGAAGCACAGTATTTGTATTCTCTAATGAAAATTCTGAAGTTTTAATTCTAACTCAAAAAATTGATTTTTTTGTCACTATGTCTGAAATGCTGTGTTAGAAATTTGATTAAAAATTTTCTTTTGCAGTGTTGTGCTAGTCGCTGAGGCTTAAGACTTAAAAATGAAACATGTTTTACCCCAGTACCTCAATTATCTCTAATCTATGATTAGGGACATCAAAATGCCCAAAAAATAAGCTGTATCTACCTTCTTATTTACTGGAGAGTAGAATGCATCTGGCTAATTTGTCACATATATTCCTCTTTATAAACTAAGTTGAGCACACACCTAAAATACAGATTAAGAAACTCAAATATACTTATATTGCTTATTCAGTAACACAAATATATAGAAAGATAATAACAGGATAAATTACAATAGAAAAATATAAGGATAGCATTAACCAACTAGAAACAAATATTAGATCTTAATTAAGCAAAGCCATAGATGTTGAAGCTCCAAGTGGAAAGATTAGCTGCTGGCCTCAGAGATACCTAGTGGTGTAGCATTATCTGTGTCAATTCTCTTTAGCCCATGGCCTTACATGTAGCTTCTAAGGCTCAGAAACTCAATCTTGTCAACATTTCAGAGTTATTCTTTCTCAAAAAAGTTGACTCTCTGTAATAAAGCTAACTAGAAACTGATACAGAATCTAGAACTGCTTTATATCTATATAATAAAAACAAATAATTGTCAAGAGAATAGCACTTTCTTTTCCTATGTGCAGACTCCAGGAATAATCAAATTATAACAGTTATATCTACTTCTACATTCTGGCACAGCATATATTTATGTACTTATAAAAATATACATGTAGGCCAGGTGCGGTGGCTAATGCCTGTAATCCCAGCACTTTGGGAGGCCAAGGCGGGAGGATCACCTGAGGTTGGGAGTTCGAGACCAACCTGACCAACATGCAGAAACCCTGTCTCTACTAAAATTTCAAAATTAGCTGGGCGTGGTGGCACATGTCTGTAATCCCAGCAACTCTGGAGGCTGAGGCAGGAGAATTGCTTGAACCTGGGAGGCAGAGGTTGCAGTGAGCCAAGATAGCCCTATTGCACTCCTGCCTGGGCAACAAAAGCAAAACTCTGTCACAAAAAAAAATTATATTTATATATATATATGTATATATAGCATTTTGCCTTTGCGTTTTACCTTTATATACTTGAAGATGGAAACATCTGTATGTACCAGAAAGATAAAACTCTCCACAATGTTTAAGCAGTCTTGTTTTTTTAAAAATTGATCATATGCTATTGTATTTGGCTAGGAAGAGTCTGGACTCTTTAGAGAAAAAAAATGGTGCATATCTCACTTAATTCAGGAAGATACATTGTCAAGCAGAAACTAGGCTCTGTTATGGTAACTACTTCAGGAATGTTTACACAGATATTTGACAAAGCTGTGTCATAAATATGAAAATTAATTTATAGAAAATATGTTTGCATTATATTGTAGTCCAGTTTGGTAATAAAATATGGCTTTAAGTTAACAAAGCAATCAAGTGATACTTTTTAGACACAGTATATAAATTGATAAATTGAGATTTCTACTGGATCCTTTCAGTATTATAAAGTATTAATTGATTACTTTTCATTTGCATTATTTTGCATATCAATTAATATACTAATAATATGTGTATCTGAAAGGAAAACTTCCCTTTTCCATCAGCCCCTGCAATTAGGTACAGTCCAGAGATTTCTTGGCAAATATAATATTTAGTCATGATTCCAACTCATCCATTTTGTTTCCAACAGTTTAGGGAAAAGCCCCAAGTAAAGTTTGCTCTCCACTTATACATCCAAACCACTATTTAAACATGAACTCATGTATTTCTAATTGGCTACATGGCAACTGAAACCATGATTAAACTTCAGCTTCTATGGGGGCAATAATTGTCTTATTAAAGATCATTTCTACTGGATAACAAATATGTAAGACATGAGTTTCTTCCTGATACATTTGCATTCCCTTGAGCCTACTTGTCCTGCCAAAATTTGCCCTTTCCTCCGATGGATTTCAATGACTGGTATCTATCTGATTTTGTTGCATTTGTGCATTTTACTTCTCACCACCCACAGATTCCAAAATTGATCGTATACTTTTCTTGTAATTCTGATAAGTTACCATTGGGTTGCCCACTCCTCTCCCTTTCATCATTAAATCTCCTGATAATGCTTCAGAATTTCTCATCCGAGTAAAAGGAAAAATAGAGAAATGGAAGTGCACAATGCATTATCATGGTTGACAGTGTCTGAACTCAGAATGAGGTCAGTGTAAGGGCAAAAAGTGGACATCAGCTTTCTTCAAACACCTCAAGTCTGAAAAGATGATGAATGTAGGAGATGAGGAGAAGTAATCATGTTTTCTACATCTATTGTCTCTGCTCAGCTTTTCCTTTAGTTTAGCACATTCATTTTTAACTGTGATGTACAGACTGAGTCAGAGAATTTCCCTCTGCCTCATGAAGAAATACTGAAATGCCCCATTTATTTGGCCATGTGACAATATCTTTCACAATTTGTCTTTAGATCGGCATGCAAGATTTTCTATAATTTAATATGTTTAAATATGAACAGAAGCTTTCTCTTTCATTAGCATCCAATTCTTTTTGAGGGTCGTCTCTGTTTTTATTTATAAAGTAATAATTTAAAATGAATACTCTTGGGCCCAATAGAGATGTGATTTATCAAAGACTATCAAAATAGCCATTCATGTTATACATAATAACTGCAAAATACTTCCCACTTTTATGACTTAAGTGTGAGAAATCTTGAGACTATTTTATGCTGAATGGAGTAGGTGTTACTTTTAATTTGATATTGCTTGACAATAATCCTTTTAGAAATTTTAAATCACCAACTATTAAATATAAACCCCTTACATTTTACAGTTTTAACACTGTAATGTAACAATTATGGATTGGTTGCTTTTAAAATAGATGTTAATTAGCTTGAAAGACCCATTGTTTCTAAATTTCTGTTAAGTTGGGGTCTCCATTGCTGCTGCCATGGAGTCTCCATTTCTGCTTCTTAGTGAGGTCTTCTTTCTAGTGGGTTCCTTCAGTAATGTAAATTTCCAATGTAAGTTTACAAGGTAAACTCCACTCAAGTTTGCTCTTAAGGACAGCCTAATAACAGTCGCCAAACAATGAGATACTGTGGTGTGTGAACCTGATAATAACCAGAGAGTCTTCTTCATTGAGGTCCTGACGCTACAATTGACTTTCTGTTATCACTTAGAGTTCTTTTAACGTATTAGGCTTCTTTGGGTTCCAGATAGTTGGAAACAATGTGTAATGCTCTAGACCTTCTTCTTCTAAAATCTATGACTGCCAGGTAGTCCTCTACCTGTGCTTTCCCTAACTCAGAGGCACAAGAGCCATAGGACTCTGCTCAGCCTCTGGGGAGCAACTGAACATCTACTTCATTCTCACATTCCACCATCTCTGTTGACCGTGCACCCATGTCACCACATCCTGGCAGTAGAGTTGGGACTCATCAACTTCCTAGAATCCGAATTTTTATGTCACTAATACCAGGCATGAAATATTTTTATTAGTTTACATTGTTCTGTTAATTATGATCAGTAATGACACAATTTGGCTCTGTAACCCACCTGAATCTCATCTTGAATTGTAATCCAAACTGTAATCTCCACGTGTTGGGGGCAGGACCTTGTGGGAGGTAATTAGAACATGGGAGCAATTCCCCCATGCTGTTCTCATGATACTGAGTCAGATCTCATGAGATCCAATGGTTTTATAAGGGACTTTTCCCCCTTCACTTGGCACTATTCTCACTTCTCTCTCCTGCTGTCATGTGAAGAAGGATGTGTTTGCTTCCCCTTTTGTCATGATTTTAAGTTTCCTGAGGCCTCCCCAACCATGTGGAACTGGGGAGTCAATTTAACCTCTTTCCTTTATAAATTACCCAGTCTTGGGTATTTCTTCATAGCAGCATGACAACAGACTAATACAGGAAATTGGTACCACACAGAGTGGGCTGCTGCTATAAGGATACCCAAAAATGTGGAAGCAACTTTGGAACTAGGTAGCAGGCTGAGATTGGAATAGTTTGGAGGGCTCGATACAAGACAGAAAGATGTGGGAAAGTTTGGAACTTCCTAGAGACTTGTTGAATGACTTTGACCAAAATGCTGATAGTGATATGGACGATGAAGTCCAGGCTGAGGTGGTCTCAGATGAAAATGAGGAACTTCTTGGGACCTGGAATAAAGGTGACTCTTACTATGCCTTAGCAAAAAGACTGGCAGCATTTTACCCTTGCCCTAGAGATTCTGTGGAACTTTGAACTTGAGAGAGATGATTTAGGGTATCTGGTGGAAGAAATTTTAAGCAGCAATGTGATCAAGAAGTGACTTGGGTGCTCTAAAAAGCATTCAGTTTTATGTATTCATTCACAAAGATATGGTTTGGAATTGGAATTTATGTTTAAAAGGGAAGTAGAGCATAAAAGTTTGGAAAATTAGCAGCCTGATGATGTGATAGAAAAGAAAAACCCATTTTCTGAGAAGAAATTCAAGCCAGCTGCAGAAATTTGCATAGTAACAAGAAGCCAAATGTTAATCACCAAGACAATGGGGAAAATGTCTCCAGGGCATATCAGAGGTCTTCATGGTAGCCCTTCACTTCACAGGCCCACAGGCCTAGGAGGAAATAATGGTTTCACGGGCCGGGCCCAGTGCCTTGCTGCTTTGTGTAGTCGTGGGACTTGGTGCCCTGTGTCCCAGCCATGGCTAAAAGGGGTCAAATGCAGCTCAGACTGTTGCTTCAAAGGGTACAAGCCCCAAGCCTTGGCAGCTTACACATGGTGTTGGGCCTGCAGGTACATAGAAATAAAGAATTGAAGTTTCAGAACCTCCACCTAGATTTCAGAGGATGTATGGAAATGCCTGGATGTCCAGGCAGAAGTTTGCTTCAAGGACAGAGCCCTCATGGAGAACCTCTGCTAGGAGAGTGCAGAAGGGAAATGTGGGGTTGGAGCCCCCACACAGAGTCCCCACTGAGGCACTGCCTAGTGGAGCTGTGAGAAGAGGGCCATCTTCTTCCAGACTCAAGAATGGTAGATCCACTGACAGCTTGCACCGTGCAACTGGAAAAGCCACAGACACTCAATGCCAGCCTGTTAAAGCAACTGGGAGTGGGACTGTACCTTGCACAGCCACAGGGGTGGAGCTGCCCAAGGCTGTGGGAGCCCACCTCTTGCATCAGCGTGACCTGGATGTGAGACATGGAGTCAAAGGAGATAATTTCAAAGCTTTATGATTTGGCTGCCCCACTGGATTATGGACTTACATGGGGCCTGAGGCCCCTTCGTTTTGGCCAATTTCTTATTTGGAATGAGTGTATTTACACAATGCCTTGTACTCACATGGTATCTAAGAATTAACTAACTTGCTTTTGATTTCACAGGCTTATAGACAGAAGGGACTTGCCTTGTCTCAGATGAGACTTTGGACTTGGAATTTTGGGTTAAGCTGGAATGAGTTAAGACTTTGGAGGACTGTTGGAAGGGCATGATTGTGTTTTGTAATGTGAGGACATGAGATTTGTGAGGGGCCCGTGGCAGAATGATATGGTTTGGCTCTGTGTCCCCACCCAAATCTCATCTTGAATTGTAATCTGAATTGTAATTTCCACAGGTTGGGGGTGGGACCTTGTGGGAGGTGATTAGATCATGGGGCAGTTCCCCTATGCTCTTCTCATAATAGTGAGTTCTCATGAGATTTGATGGTTTTATAAGGAGCTTTCCCCCCTTCACTCAGCACTTCTTTCACTTCTCTCTCCTGCTGCCATGTGAAGAAGGACATGTTTGCTACCCCTTCTGCCATGATTGTAAGTTTCCTAAGGCCTCCCCAGTCATGTGGAACTGTGAGTTAATTAAATTTCTTTCCTTTATAAATTACCCAGTCACAGGCAGTTCTTTATAGCAGCATGAGAATGAACTAATACAAGTAATAACTTTTTTATTTGGTTATGAGTTGCATAGATTTATTTTATAACTTTGATATCAATTGATAATTTAACAGATTAATAACCTACAGTCCTCAAATTCAAGCAATTTATGGATATTTTATTTTTGTGATTTCAGATTCTTTACAGCATGATATGTATACTTTCTTTAGATTTTAAAATTATCTAAACAATTTAGTTTACAAATAGTTACCTTAATGAAGCAAATATATCTTTGTATCATTTTTCCTCCTCTCAGTTGTACCAAATATCTTATATATATATGATTGTATTTGTTTGCTAGGGCTGCCATAACAAAATGTCACAGACTGGGTGGCTTAAACAACAGAAATTTATTTTCTCAGTTCTGGAGGCTAGAAATCCTGAGATTAAAGTGTCTGCAGGATTAATTTTTTTTTTAAGACCCTCTTCTTGGCTTGCAGATGGCTATTTTCTTGCTGTGCCCTATCATGGTCTTCCTTCTGTGCATGTCTGTCTTCATTTCTTCTCCTTATAAGGAGACCAGTCATACTGGATTAGGGCCTACCCTAATGAACTCATTTTAACGTCACTACCTTTTTTAAGGCTCTCTGTTCAAATATGACCACATCTGAAGCTAGGACTTCAGCATACAAATTTGAGGGTGTGAGGAGGACAAAATTCAGCCCATAATGATGTCACTTTACAATTTTTTAATTTGCCAAAAACCAAAAATGTGTAAAGTATATGTTTGTTTGAACTTTATAACAACACAGTGAGGAACCAGTTACTATGAGGTCTAGATACGTGCTTGGTGCCTGTATTAGTTTGTTCTCACACTGCTAATAAAGACATACTTGAGACTGGGTAATTTATAAAGAAAAGAGGTTTAATTGACTCACAGTTCAGCATGGCTGGGGAGGCCTCCAGGAACTTAGAATCATGGTGGAAGGGGAAGCAAACACATCCTTCTTCACATGGTGGCAGCAAGGAGAAGTGCTGAGCAAAGAGGGAAAAGCCCCTTATAAAAGCATCAGATCTCATGAGAACTCACTCACTATCACAAGAACAGCAGCATTGGGGTAACCACCCTCATGACTCAATTACCTCCCACCATGTCCCTCCTACAACATGTGGGGATTATGGGAATTACAATTCAAGATGAGATTTGGGTGGGGACACAAAGCCTAACCATATCAGTGCGTCTTGTCTGGTTTATGGCAAAACCAGAGAAAAATGTTGCTGGTCAAGAGACTTGAGCATGTGTTGGCCTTTGCTGTACCACTAGGAAATGTTGGAAAAATCTAAGCATTCTGTGTCTCAGATCACTGAACTATAACATGTGGGGGCATACGAAAGGTAGAGGGGTACAGGATTTGGGATTATGCACATCATTGTCTAAATGGGACTTTACAGTGCTGCAAAGTGAAGTAACACTTGACAGCTGTACAGATTTTTGAATGGTTTGGTATATTAGGTATGCATATTTTATATCTTGATCTGTAAAACTCGATCATATTTCTACTGTACATTCCTTAATCATAGCTTACTGACCTTATTTGCTGTCTTCCCTTCCTGCTTTATTCTCTGAACAGTAGGTCAGAGTGTAGAATGATTGGTTAATTTTTTAACACTTAGTTGATATATAAGTGCAATTTTGCCATGGATGGTTTTAGCCTAATAATTTACATTGTGCTTTTAAATACAAGATGATAATTTTGATTTTAGAGTTGTAGTTTTTAAAATAAAAAGTCAATTTTTTGATACATTAATACTAAGTATTTAAGAAATTGTAGACTTAATATATATGTAAGATAAATAAAATATCTAGCTATAGTTACAATGTATTATCTGAATGAAAAAAATAGATATTACTGAGACGAACTCATCTGTATCTTTTTCAGTTTTATTTCACTGAAAGCACACCATCATTCTATCCCTGGTCTTGATACAGTAGCAATCCTTATTGATCAAATATCAGATAAGAAAGGCCTTTTGTTATTTTAGTAACTTTACTCTTTTGACTATGGTATCAGATAATCCTCATCAAATTGATTTTATCATAGAGCTAGAGAAAACCAGAGATCATATGGTTGCCCCACTTCAATAAGCAAAGCATATTCTTACACACACACACACACACACACACAAACACACATACTCCCTACACTATACACCACACATACTTTGGTACTCTTTATCAAATGGTTGTGTAGGCTCTTAACCAGCAAGGAAATGTAATTTATGAGGCTGAATATTCCATCTTTGGGCTAATTATTCTTAAGTCCTTTTCTTTTTTTCCTTTCTTGAGTTGAATATAGCCTCCCTGTGGTTTCCCTCCCTTTGGTACTGATCCCGCTTCTGAGCCATGACTGTGATCTAATCTAGTGGAAAACATTTGGGTTTTGGCATTAGAAAGTCCTTTTTCAAACCATGTTTTCACCTTTTATTAACAGTCTTCTTAAGAAAGTTACAGAATAGCTCCAAGACTCAGTTTTCATTTAAATAAAGAAAACAGGCTGGGTGCAGTGGCTCATGCCTGTAATCCCAGCACTCTGGGAGGCCAAGGCGGGCGGATCACTTGAGGTCAGGAGTTCGAGACCAGCCTGACCAACATGGTGAAACCCCATCTCTACTAATTAGCCAGGCATGGTGGCAGGCGCCTGTAATCCCAGTTACTCGGGAGACTGAGGCTGGAGAATTGCTTGAACCCAGGAGACGGAGGCTGCGGTGAGCCGAGATCACACCATTGGACTCCAGCCTGGGTGACAGAGCAAGACTCCCTCTTAAAAAAAAAAAAAACAAAAAACAAAAAACAAAAAAAACTTACTTCATCACTTCATCAGGTTGGTGGGAGGATCAAATTGATAATCAAAGCCTCAAAGGAGTGCTGGGAACACTGACATCATTAACTTGCCTCAGTAAGTTGCCTCTTCCAATTCCACCCCAGTTTTTTTTTTTTTTGACCACTTTTAAATATCTGTGATATTCCTCCTCAGTTTCTCTTATAATACCCTTGAATCAATTTTCATTTTACTGTTTAAAATTACAGAAATTATTTTTAAAATATTGAGCAAATATATTACTTAAAAATTCTAATTTTCTTAGTGCTAAATTTGTTTTTATTTACATTCACAATCAGGAATTTTTACAGTGATTATGTTCCCATAAATTTTCAGTTTATTTCAAACTTCCTTTTAAACAGAACATGATAAACCAAATAAAATGAATAACTTCTTAGGTGTGGGTTTTCTCACTTCAGAGGTTTTTCAGGACTATTCTCTAATTTCCTGTTCAGACTCCATATAGAATTATTATTTCAGTTTTTGCTTATCAGGGGTGTTAATGACAGGAGCTCTCTGCTGCATATTATGAAATAGAAAAACCAAATACAACAAAAAAAAGTAGAATAGAATGGGTAAAAGTGGGAAATGAAGACCAAAGAGAAAAATGAAACATATCAATAAATTTGTAGAGGTTTATGTCATGAAATAACATATCTCTAAATGTTTGTTTTTAATAAAGAATAAATTTTATTTTCAATGTTGAAGATTTTTTAACAATGTGGTCACCTGGCAATGCAGCAGATGGAGGAAGGAGACAGGATGGAACTGCAGAGCTCTATTTCTGCTTTTCCCACAGTAGTTTGACTCCACAGCATTGTCAAAGCCTGAGCTATCAGGATTCCTTTGGCAGACCTGGCTCAGGAAATACCAGCTCTCTCCCACGCCATCAGAAGCCATGCTTAGTGGGTTAACATTTTGCTAATTAATCATTTGATTTAGAGTTAATTCAGCTCTACATGAATTTGAGGAATCTTTTTTTTTCTCTTATCTTTTCTATCATCAGTGCCTAAATATCTCTTATTGTCCCTGGAGATCATTCTTTTGCTTTATAATTCTTTCCTCATGTCTTATCTATATCTTAAACTTGTGACCATTTCAAAGCTTTCTATAACTATAAAATACAATTTATTACTTGTATCAAACAAATATCCTACCTTTGAAAGATATAAGTAGGAATATATGTTTTGTGAAAAGGCATTAAAATTCAAAGGAGGAAGTTAATATGCGATTGATAGACGTGTTGATGTCTACCTTTTTAAAAGCATCAAAATAATTACAAATATTTTCTTTTGAAAGTTGGCCAGGAATACTTTGCCCTGACCGTTTTAAAGGGAAATATGTAACTTATGACCCGGATGGAAATGTTGAAGAGTATCACATAGAATTCCTGGGCGATCCCCATTCAAGATCATGGATAAAGGCAACATTCGTTGGACATTATAGTATCACATTAAAGGTAGGTATCATAACATCAAAACTTTATTCTTCTTGCACTTATTTTTAGTTATGGTAATTTTTATCTTTGATCATAAAATATGTATAAGTTGCTTTTAGATTGATATAATGTATGCTGTTTATTTAATTCAAATATTTGTATTTTTAGTGTTTTTCTCAAAGAAAGTATGGATATAAAATAGTTGTGAGAGTTTTAAATTTTATTTTTCTTTCTGTCTTTTTTTTTTTTTTTTTGGAGACAGAGTCTCGCTCTGTCACCCAGGCTGGAGTGCAATGGCGCGATCTCGGCTCACTGCAAGCTCCGCCTCCTGGGTTCACGCCATTCTCCTGCCTCAGCCTCCCACGTAGCTGGGACTACAGGTGCCCGCCACCATGCACGGCTAATTTTTTTGTGTTTTTAGTAGAGGCGGGGTTTCACCGTGTTTGGCAGGATGGTCTCGAACTCCTGACCTTGTGATCAGCCCGCCCCGGCCTCCGAAAGTGCTGGGATTACAGGCGTGAGCCACTGCGCCCAGCCTTAAATTTTATTTTTCTAATGGTAATATAATAAAAATCAACTGAAGACTTTATGTGATTGCCTTTTGAAACTATTTTAAGACTATCATTTGGTAGTTTTTAAATTCTCTTGAGAAGAGGAGACTCTATGTTATAGCCATAGCTCACAGGAAAACTTAATTATGGATTGCAACCAGTTTTTCAATTTCAAATGGAATATTTCATTTATACTAACTCCTTCAGTATCTTTTTGACTCTTTTTAAACTTTAAATCTCACATTATAATTAATAGATAGATTATTAGATTAGTGTAAAAGTAACTGCGATTTTGCTATTACTTTTGCACCAACCTAATAGTTTCTCAAATTTATGAGAATAGGTAAACTGGACCTATTTCCACATATTTGGTTTAATAAGTATAAATCAATTAAATGATCTGTGTTTATATTCTAATATTGAAACTTTTCATCTGCAAATCATGCTTTCATTAAAACTTGATAAAAAGTGGATGTCAGAAATGTGGATACCTTTTACTCAATTTGAATATTTTCTTTTTTTTCTTTTTTTTTTTTTTTTTTGTGATGGCCAGCCTTGAATTACTGGGCTCAGGTGATCCTCTTGCCTCAGCCTCCCAAGTAGTTAAGTCTACAAGCAGACACTACTGTGCCCAGCTGGATGTTTTTTGTTTGTTTTGTTAATAGATGTGTACATATTTAGAAATACAAATAAGTACATGTACGTATTTAAAACATGCAATTTAATCCACAGTAAAATTAAATCTGTGAAAATTAGGGGTACTTTTTAATGGGTTTTTACTATATCTTTGGCAAATATATAGTAAAAACTATGTATTTTATACTATTTTGTTTGGTGTTTTATACTATTCAGTTTGAAGCAGGTAAGAGGGAAGGCTGTTTTTGTGAAAACATTAAGTATGGAATAACACCATATAAATCAATTTCATGCTAGTTGTGATCCAGTCATCGTTATACGAGGCATCTTCTCTGCTCTGACGTTTTGAATGTGCTCCTAGATAGTTCTGCTGGCAACCACAGAAGACAGGATAGAATATTCCATCTTGGCCGCTTTATAAAGGATACGGGAATCTTTTAGCTGCTCATGAAGCTGACCTTAGAATCTTACCTCAGGATAGCTGAGATTTCCTTTTCTTTGAAGATGGAGATTGTATTGACTCCAATTTACACTCTATTGTCTAGACTTCCTAGGGATTTAATCTTTTATGGTCCTTTCCACTTTGGAGCTCCTATATCCTCAAATGCTGTCTCTATACTGCACCACATTGATCTAGATATTAAATACATGCTCCCAACTTCAGAAAAAAGGACAAAACCACTTACACAAAAAATACTGTATATTTAGACAATGTAGAGTTTTAAAAATTTTTTTCTAGAGGAGAAGTATGTAAATTGTACAAGTTGTCTGATCACTTTTTCTAAAACCAGATGAAGAATGATAGTCATGTATAATTTTCACTGGTTATTGCTAAATCTTACTTCATACACTATTTCAACATCATTTTCCTCTAAATTAATTCTTCTAAATTAATTAACAACTAATTAATATTTCAGGATTTTCACTAAATATGGATTCTCTATATTTTTCAGTGCATATGTGAAGGTGGTATAGACATAAATTTGCCTACAAAGACCTGCATTATATGCATTTAAATTAAATTTTTTTTGTTTTATTATGAAAATTTTAACTATTTTATTTTGGCTCAATCATGTTTGTCTAGTCTTTTAAATAGTTAATTTAATAGGTGCATGGTTGCCTTATGAGACCTCTGACTTAATTAATTTTATTAAGAGCACAACAGTACTCAGTCATTCTCTAGTCATACAGATGATAGTGTTTTCCCCTAATAAATGGAACTATTCATTGATACACTGAGATACACTCCAGAAAATAGTTGAAGGCAATATTTTTATTATAGATTTATAACTGATGTTAGTTTATATATTTTAGTTTTTAATCAGTATCTATAAACATAGCTGAAATCCAGCCTCCTCTCTTATAAAGAAGCCTTGTTATTCTTGAAAGTATTCAGAGATGGGATTCTGGGAAGATGGTAGAGTAGGAAGCACCATGAATATGTCTCTCCACCTAGACAACAATCAGACACTGGCAGAATCTGTCTAATGTAACTATTTTTGAACTCTGGAGTCTATTGAAGGCTTGAAACTTCCAGGAAAAGGCTTGGACTGTATGCTGCAGTTAATTTCCATCAACTTCAGCTCTTAACACAGTAGCAGCTACCAGTCCCCATTCCCAGCCCTGTGGCAGACAGTTGCACATGTTTCTGGAGCATCTTGCACATAGCTTACAGGAGCTGAGGTGGGCAAAGATGACCCTGTTTTTCAAATATTAGGGATCTGTGCTGTAATCACTGATTGCTGCTTATGATCACAAAGGTACAGACAATGAAAGGGGCAGCTAGCTACTGTTATTGTAATCTCCCTCATTTGTGCAAGCCCTTCCCCCTTCAGCTGAAGTGACTTCCAGGAGATTGAAAGGGCTGGCACCCTTTTGCACCACCACTTTCATTTTTCCATTTTTCCTCTTGTGAAAGCCAGACATTAAACATAGGACATTTTAAACCAACTGTATATACAGGGAAAATTAGAAAGTGACTGCGCAGGCAGAGGGAAAGGTGCAGGTTCAGAAAAGACCTGAGTGGACTTAAAGTTTTAGTTCAGGCTGATCCTTGGCACAAAGATAGCCGACAACAATAAAAAGATAAACAAAAACAATAACAAAAACAGCAAATTGTGGGGAAGATGATGAATCTGATTTTCAAACTTACCACATTATTAGACTTATATGTCCAGTTTTCAACAAAAATTCATAAGACCTGTAAAGAAACAGGAAAGTATGGCTCATTTAAAGGAAAAAAAATCAACAGAAATTGTCCCTGACAAAAACTTGATGGCAGATCTACTAGACAAATACTTTAAAGCCACTGTCTTAAAGATGCTCAAAGAACTAAAGGAAGATATTGAGAGTCAAGAACATGATGTATGAACAAAAGACAAATATGAATAAGGAATTAGAAAACCTATAAGAAAACCAAAAGAAATTTAGGAACAGAAAAGTACAACTGAAATGAAAAGTTCACTATAGGGATTCAAAGACAAATTAGAGCAGAGAGAAGAATCGGCAAACTTGAAGGCAGAACAATGGAAATTATTGAGTCTCAGTGTATTAGTCAGGGTTCTTTAGAGGGACAGAACTAATAGTATATATATATCCTAGTATATATCTATGGTGTGTGTGTGTATATATATGTGTATACACATATATATACACATATATACACACACACACACCATAGGATATATATATACACACATCATAGGATGTGTATATATATATATATATACCTACATATAAAGGGGAGTTTATTAAGTATTAACTTACATGATCACAACATCCACAATAGGCTGTCTTCAAGCTTGAGGAGCAAAGAGAACCAGTCCAAATCTCAAAACTGAAGAACTTGGAGTCTGATGTTTAAGGGCAGGAAGCATCCAGCACGGGAGAAAGATGTAGGCTGGGAGGCTAGGCCAGTCTCTCCTTTTCACATTTGTCTGCCTGCTTTATACTTGCTGGCATCTGATTAAATGGTGCCCACCCAATTAAGGGTGGCTCTGCCTTTCCCAGCCCAGTGACTCAAATGTTAATCTCCTTTGGCAACACCCTCACAGACACACCCAAGATCAATACTTTGTATCCTTCAATTCAATCAAGTTGACACTCAGTATTAACCATCACAAGCCCACCCCTTGGCAACTGGAACCTATACACATCTCCTGAGATCATACATAATCTTCAAATAAAGACAATAATGAGATCATAATTATGCCTAACATAATACAACTATCCTTTGTATAATCGGAAATTCACCAGTGCCCAACCCAAATACTCTTACATAAAGTTAACAATACCTAAATGCTGATATGAAGTCAATAAATCTTATGTCACATGATAAAGGAAAAAGGAAATAAAATGAAGATATTTTCTTAGTACAAGTGTATACATGAACGAACATGTTTTTAACAAAGAAAGAGCAAATACTCATGACAATTACAGTCCCATTTCTGCAGCTGGTCATGTGGTTGTAGCTGGTATTGACAACTACCTTCTTCTACTACCCATTCTGTATTCCCTTTGCCTTCAGCAAGCATCTTGGCAGGTCATGGTTTTTTTTCCTGGTGAAGTGACCAAAACCTTCATTCCTGAGGGGTCTGGGCTATTTGTAGTCCTGCCTGGATTGGGCTGTTGTAGTTTGCCATTGACCTAATCACAGGGCATGGTAATACTAAGACAAACTCTCATAGATCTCCTGTATTCCATGCATACTCTTCCTTACCTCCATTGTGGAGTAGTAGACTGATTTCATCTTGATAGCCCAGGTCAGTCACCCAAGCCAACATTGTAACTCCTTTCATAGCCTGTTGACTTAAAGGTAGGAGAAGCCCAAAGTGTCCAGGTGGCAATCTTGCAGTTTAATGGAATCGTTGTTGTGTCTCCTGATGGCAGCATTCCTCCCTCTTGAACTAAGACCTCTAGGCCAGCAAAACATAATGTTGCAGAAACAGGAAGCAAAAATTTTACTAGTGGATCACTAGCAGTGATGGTGAGTGATGCCACTTCCATTTCTACCTCTTGATTCCTGGACCTGTGAATCCTGGCTGTGGGAGAAACAGTACCATATAATGGATGCTGATTCAGAACATATGCAGCCTTCTGGAGAACTTTGGCCAAGCCCTGCAAAGTATTGTCACCTAGTTGGCATTATAATTGTGACTTCACATGGCTATTCCACTGTTCTATCAATCCAGCTATTTTAGGATGATGGGGAACATGGTATGACCAGTGAATTTTATAAGCATGAGCCCACTGCCACGCTTCTTTAGCTGTAAAGTGAGTGCCTTGGTCGGAGGCAATGCTGTGTGGAATACTATGATGGTGGATAAGGCATTCTGTGAGTCGATGGATGATAGTCTTGGCAGAAGCATTGTGTGCAGGTTAGGCAAACCCATATCCAGAGTAAGTGTCTAGTCCAGTGAGGACCTCTGCCTTTTCCATGGTGATAGAGGTCCAATATAATCAACTAGCTACCAGGTAGCTGGCTGATCACCCCAAGGAATGGTGCCATATCGAAGACTCAGTGTTGGTCTCTGCTGCTGGCAAATTGGGCACTCAGCAGTGGCTGTAGCCAGGTCACCCTTGGTGAGTGGAAGTTGATGTTGCTGAGCCCATGCATAACCTCCATCCCTGCCACCATGGCCACTTTGTTCATGGGTCTATTGGGTGATGACAAAGATGACTGGGGAAAGAGGCTGAGTGGTGTCCACAGAACAGGGTCATCCTATCCACTTGATTTTTGAAATCCTTCTTTTCTGGCGTCACCTATTGGTGAGCACTCACATGGGATACAAATATCTTCACCGTTTTTGACCACTCAGAGAGGTCCATCCACATACCTCTTCCCCAAATTTCTTTGTTACCAATTTTCCAGTCATGCTTCTTCCAAGTCCCTGACCATCCAACCAAACCATTGGCTACAGCCCTTGAATCAGTATATAATCACACATCTGGCGATTTCTCCTTCCATGCAAAGTGCACAACCAGGTGCACTGCTTGAAGTTTTGCCTACTGGGAAGATTACCATTCACAACTCTCCTTCAGGGATGTCCTAGAAAGAGGCTGTAGTGCTGCAGCTGTCCACTTTCGAGTGGTGCCTGCATATGGTGCAGAACCATCTCTTCTTCTGTCAACTGATCATAGGGAATTCATCATGAGGCCATTGGTGCAAGCTGGGGGAGAGAAGGCAGGGTGGCAGGACTGGAGACCGTGGGCATTTGAGCCACTTCCCCATGTACCTTACTTGTGCCTTCAGGACCTGCTTGAGCCCGATCACATGTACCACTTCCATTTGATTATGGAATGCTGCTGTGCACAACCCATTTTATGGCTAGATGGGTCAGAAAGCACCCAGTTCATGATAGGCAGTTTAGGTCACCCGGGCACTTGATAATCCATAGTCAAATATTCAGTTTCCACCAAAGCCCAGTAACAGACCAAGAGCTGTCTCTCAAAAGGAGAGTAGTTATCTGCAGAAGATGGCAGGGCCTTGCTCCAAAATCCTGGAGGCCTCCACTGTGATTTACCTATTTGGGCCTGCCAAAGGCTCCAGACAGCATCCTTATCTGCCACTGACACTTCAAGCAACATTGGTTCTGCTGGGTCATATGGCCCAAGTGACAGAACTGTTTGCACAGCAGCCTGGACCTGTTGCATAGCCTTCTCCTGTTCTGGACCACACTCAAAACTGAGAGCCTTTTGGATCACTGACTAAATGCACCAGAGTAACACACCCAAATGAGGAATACGTTGCCTCCAACATCCAAATAAACCCATTAGGCATTGTGCCTCTTTCTTGGTTGTAGGAGAGTCCAAATGCAGCAACTTATCCTTCACCTTAGAAGGAATATCTCAACAAGCCCCACACCGCTGGACTCCTAGAAATTTTGCTGAGGTAGAAGTTCCCTGAATTTTAATTGGATTTATTTCCCATCCTCTGGCAAGCAAATGTCTCACCAATAAGTCCAGTGTGTTTGCTACTTCTTGCTCACTGGATCCAGTCAGCATAGTGTCATCAATATAATGGACCAGTGTGATATCTCATGGAAGTGAAAAGCGATCAAGGTCTCTTGAATAAGATTATGACACAAAGCTGGAGAGTTGATATACCCTTGAGGTGCGACAGTAAAAGTATATTACTGGCCTTGCCAGCTGAAGGCAAATTGCTTCTGGTGGGCCTTATGGACAGGAATGGAGAAAAAGGTATTTGCCAAGTCAACGGCTGCATACCAGGTATCAGGAGATGTGTTAATTTGCTCAAGCAATGAAACCACATCTGGTATAGCAGCTGCAATTGGAATCACCACTTGGTTACACTTATGATAATCCACTCTCCAAGATCTATCTGTCTTCTGCACAGGCCAAATGGGAGAGTTGAACAGGGATGTGGTGGGGATCACCACCCCTGTGTCCTTCAAGTCCTTGATGGTGGCACTAGTCTCCACAGTCCCTCCAGGGATGTGATATTGTTTTTCATTTACTATTTCTCTAGGTAGAGGCAGCTCTAATGGCTTCTATTTGGCCCTTCCCACAATAATAGCCCTCACCTTACCAGTCAGGTAGCCAATGTGGGGGTTCTGCCTGCTGCTAAATATGTCTATGCGAATTATGCATTCTGGCACTGGGGAAATGACCGTAGGATGAGTCCAGGGACCCACTGGACCCACTGTAAGTCAGACCTGAGCTAAAACTCCATTAATTACCTGACCTCCATATGCCCCTACTTTAACTGGAGGACTACAATGACATTTTGGGTTCCCTGGAATCAACGTCAGCTCAGAGCCAGTGTCTAGTAGTCCCTGAAATTTCTGATCATTTCCAGTGCACAGTTACCCAGGTGAAAGCCCAGAGGTCTCCTTGGGGACATGTGGAAGAAAGGTTCACTGCATAAATTGTCGGTAATTTAGTGGGGTCCTTCCTCAAGGTGACCCGGCCTCCCCTTCATTCAAGTGGTTCTGGGTCTGTAAACTGGCTCAAGTCTGGAAATTGATTGAGGGGGTGTGGTTCTCTGTTTTTCTAATTCAAATTAGTCTTTTGTCCATTCAACCTAGAAGTTTTCTGCTTGTATAAATTAAGTAGGAATGCAGTAGGCTTCGTATCAATTGCACTTCTAGGAACATTGTGATTAACTAGCCAATACCAGAGCTCTACACAAGTCAGACTATTCTGATTACTGCTTTGCTTCTGCTGTCCATTACAGTAGCTATGCCCACCTTGCCTTTAATGGTTGAGTATCATCACTTGGCCTCTGCCACCTTGGGATCCAATGATCCTCATTGTATTTAAATTTTGTAGTTGAGTAACTGTGGTTCCCACTGTTAGATCTGACATACAGAGAAGAGCAATTACAGGGCTCCTCAAAATTGCAGATGCTGCCCTCACAAATCTGTTTCACAAGGCATTGGTGAAGGGTATATCTTCTGGACCCTTCCAGCTAGGATGAGTAGGTCTAAGTGACTAATCCACTCCACCATCCCAATCTCCCTAAGCCTTTGGACCCCTTCCTCTACATTGAACCAAGGGAGATTAGGCACTTCCAGCTCACTCACAATGAACCATCTTTTAATCCATGTTTCATGTGACCAAGCAAATAAACTATTAGAACCTTTTTTTAACTCCCCAAGCTGCAACATTAAAAGCAGAATCCCTACTTAGTGGTCCCAAATCAACAGATTCAGCCTGATCAAATTCTGTCTTCCTTCCGCCATTATCCCACACCCTTAATATTCATTATTATGCTTGTTCACCAGATTTCTGTTTATATAAATTAGAGAACTCAAACAGCCCTTCTTGAGTGTAGCACGCCTCCTCATGGTCACACTCTCAACCTCACCTCTAGGGATCTACCAGGACTTTAGTCTAGTTATAGGTCTAGAAGATAACATGAGTGTTGAGGGTGGCTCCTGAGGAGAATCAACATTATTTTCCCTGGCAGCTGCATCAGGGGAGGCCATCACTGTTGTCTCAGGCAGTGTAGGGTTTATCTCCTCAGACAAAGGCAGAAAGGATGATGGCAGCATGGGTCAGGGAAGGGAAGTTGCCACTACAGAGTTTATAAATCTAGTGTCCCCAGCTTCATCAGGGTCCTCCCACATGTCCCCATTCCACATTGCAGGGTCCCATTCTTTTCCAATCAATGCCTTCACTTTTAGAGTAGACACCTGGTGAGGCTGTGCATGCACCTTTCTTTGCAGGTCAGTCACTCGCATGATAAGAGCTTTCCACAATTTCAGCTCTTCCTCTACAGGAGATAAGACTCTCACTTAGGGCAATCTTAGCAGATTTGAGGCTCAGTATCTGCTTCTGAAGCCAGGAGTTAGAATCGCTGAGTTCATCATTTGCTTTCATCACTTTGTCCACTGAACCTAGGAGGGACCAACCAGCTTCATTATAGTCCTTGGTTCTCCAGATATGGTCAAACGTATTATGTATAGAGTCACTAAACTTCTTGCCTCACATGGGCAGTGAATCAGGAGTGTCAAATGCATTTATTTGGCTGTCTAAAGTGTTCACACCAAGGAGTATCAGTGTTTCTATACTGATATGCTCTATAGAAATAGAGTCCTTAGCATTCTGGGGTCTATCATATTAAGCAGCCAACTCCAGAAACCCCCAAACCAACAAAAGAGCTCCATCCTTAATATTCTATTCCTCTGGAACCACTCCTGGTACCAAAATCTATATTAGTCAGGGTTCTCTAGAGGGATGGAACTAATAGGATATATAGGTATATATCCTATTATATACCTATCATATATATATATATATATATTTGAGTTTATTAAGTATTAACTCACCACTTGGGTTACAGAGTGAGGCCCTAACATTATTAGTCTAAAAGCTAGTATATGTAACTTTGGTTTATAGCTCCACATTTTGTTTTCTGCATAACTTAAGATACTGATGCACTGCAAAGAATTATTAGTTTATATTTTTGGGCAAACAACATATAAAGATGAAATTTCGTGACAACAACTGAAAGGGGTGGGGATGAAGCTGTTAAGGGAGCAGAATTTGTGTATGTTGGGGAAGATAAGCTGGTATAAATTCAAATTAAAGTGTTATAACTTTAGGATGTAATCCTCGTGTTAAACACAAAGAAAACAGCTATAGAATATATGCACAAGGAAATGAGAGAGGAATTTAAATGTTTCAGTATAAAAAATTAAACACAAAAGAAGCCAGTAAGGCAAGAAATGAGGAACAAAAAGCTGTAAGACATGTTGAAAACAAATAGCAAAATGACAGAAATAATTGCCTTATTAGTAATTATTTAAATGGGTTAAACTCCCCAGTCAAAAGACAGAGATTAGTAGAATGAATAAAAAGACACGATCTTACTATCTGCTCTCTAACAAGAGATTCACTTTAGATCCAAAGACACAAATAGACTGAAAGTGAAAGAATGAGAAAAGATGTTCCGTGCAAATAGTAACCAAAAGAGAACAGGGGTTGCTATACTAATATTGGACAAAATAAACATAAATGTTACAAGAAACAAAAGAAAGATATTTTGATTAATAAGATGTTCAATATAGCAAGAAGAGATAGCTATTATAAACATGCATCTGTTAAAAGATTATTAAAACATATGAAGCAAAATCTTCCACAACTGAAGGGAGAAATGGACAGTTCAACAATAATAGTTGGAGACTTAATACCCCATTCTCAGTAATGGATAGACCACCAGGCAGAAGATAAGTAAAGAAATAGAGAGCTCAAACAACACAGTAAACCAACTAGATTTAACAGGCATGTACAAAACACTCTACCCGACAGGACTAGTATACACATTTTTCTCAAGTTCACATGGGACATTTTCTACAATAGATGACATGATGGACTACAAATTATGTCTCAGGAGGTTTTTAAAAGATAGATATAAGGCAGAGTATTATCTCGGACCACAATGAAATGAAGGTAGAAATAATAACAGGTAAAATTAGAATTTGTGGGAATTGAACACCCCAAGACAACCAATGAATCAAAGAAAAAATTGTAAGGGAAACTGGAAAACACTTAGAGATGAATGAAACACATCTTAGAGAAAGTGAAAACACAACACACTAAAACTTAATAGTATGCAATGAAAGCAGTACTGAGGGAGAAATTTATACCTACAAACACTTATTAAAAAAACAATAAATATTTCAAATCAACAACTTAACTTTACAACTTAAAGGACCAGAAAAAGAAAAACTAAATCCAAAGCTACTAGAAGGAAGGAAATATTAAAGATAAGAGCAGAGATAAGATATATAATAGAAAAACAATAGAGAAAATCAATGAAAACAGAAGTTGGTTCTTTGAAAAGATCAATAAAACTGTCAAACCTTTAGCTAGATGGACTAAGAATTAAAGAGAAAAGACTCAAATTACTAAAGTCAGAAATAAAGCAGGGACATTACTACCAATTCTACATAAATAAAAATGACTATAAGAGCATACTGTGGACAGTTATACAGCAATGAATTGGATAACCTAGACAAAATGGACAAATTCCTGGAAACACAGAATCTAGCAAAACTAAAGCATGAAGAAATAGAAAACCTGAGTAGACCTGTAACTAGTAATGAGATTGAATTAGTAATCCAAATCTCCCAACAATAAAGAATCTTAGACATGATGGCTTCACTTTGAAGTCTACCAAACACTTAAAGAACAATACTGATCCTTCAAATCCTACTTTTCCAAAAATAGGAGGGCACACTTCCTAACTCATTCTATAAGGCCAGCATTACTCTGGTACAAAAGACACATAAAAACACTGCAAAGAAAGAAAAGTATAGGCCAGTATTCCTTATTTACATTGATGGAAAAAGTCAACAAAATACTAACAAACTTAATTCAGCAGAATAGTAAAAGAATTATACACTATGGCCAAATAGGATTTATCTTGGAATGTAAGAATAGTTCAATATATAAAAATCAACTAATGTAATACACCACATTACCAGAATGAAGAAAAAAAATGATCAGCTTAATTAATGTAGAAAAAGTATTTGACAAGATGCAACAACCTTTCATGATTTAAAAAAAAAAACACTCAACAAACTAGGAATGGAAGGCTACTATCTCAACATAATAAAAGCCATATATGAAAACTCATGGCAAACATTATATTCAAAGATGAAGGATTAAAAGCTTTTCTTCTGAGATGAGGAACAAAGCACAGATGCCAACTTTCACCATTCTATTCAACATAGTTCTGAAAGTTCTAGCCAGAGCAATTAGGCAAGAAAAAAGAAATAAAAGATATCTAGCTTCCACGAACGTTGTCTAGAGGCACTCAGAATGGTCCAGCATTTGACATACCATCGTAGGGTTTCCTACAATACAACCACTAATAAAACTAGGCTTTCCTGAACCCCTGGCAATAGAATTGTTTACCTTTATACAAAGAAGGTTGGGAAAGCACCAAATCTGCATGTGGTGTGTGCCCAGGCAGACTTAGAGGGGTTCGTGCTGTGAGGCCTAAAGTTCTTATGAGATTGTCCAAAACAAAAAAACATGTCAGCAGGCCCTATGGTGTTTCCATGTGTGCTAAATGTTTTCATGACAGGATCAAGTGTGCTTTCCTTATTAAGGAGCAGAAAATTGTTGTGAAATTGTTTAAGGTACAAACACAGAGTCAGAAAGCTAAATAAAAAATGAAGCTTTTTTTAAGGGTAATAAAAATTAAAAGGCTTAAAAAAAAGATCAAAATTGGACAGAAAGAAGTAAAATTATCTTTGTTTGCAGGTGATATGATCTTCTGAGTAGGAAACCTTAAAGATTCCACAAAAAAATTAGAACTAATAAGTGAATTCAACAAAGCAGCAGGATTCAAATACAACAAAGAAATTCAGTTGCATTTCCATACACTAAGAATGCCAAAAGATAATTATAAAAATGATTCCATTTACAATGGCATCAAAAAGAACAAACTACCTGAGAATTAACCAAGGAGATCAAATACTTGTACAATGAAAACTACAAAACATTGGTGAACAAAGTTAAAGAAGATATAAATAAATAGAAATATGTTCCATGTTCACAGACTGGAACTTACTATAGTTAAGGTGTCAATACCGGCCAGATGTGGTGGCTCATGCCTGTAATCCCAGCATTTTGGGAGGCTGAGGAGGATGTAACACTTGGGGCCAGGAGTTCGAGACCCGCCTGGCCACCATGGAAAAACCCCACCTCTACTAAAAATACAAAAATTAGCCAGGCATGTTGGCGCATGCCTATAATACGAGCTACCCGAGTGGCTGAGGCATGATAGTTGTTTGAATCCAGGAGGCAGAGGTTGCAGTGAGCTGAGATTATGCCACTACACTCCAGCCTGGGCTACCAAGTGAGACTCTGTCTCAAAAAAAAAAAAAAAAAAAAAAAAAAAAAAAAAAAAAAAAAAAAAAAAAAAGGCAATACTACCCAAAGCAATGTACAGAGTCAATGCAATCCCTATTAAAATCCTAATGGTATTTTTGCATGAATAGCAAAACCCATCCTAAATTTATTTGGAATCTCAAGGGACCCTGAATAGCCAAAACAATCTTGAAGAAGAACTAAGCTAGAGGACTCACACTTCCTGATTTCAAAACTTAGGACAAAGCCACAGTAAACCTATAGACAAGTGGAATAGAATAGACAGCCCAGAAATAAATTCTCACGTAAATAGTCAAATTATTCTTGACAGTGGGGCAAAGACCATTCAATGGGGAAAGGACAATCTTATCACCAAATGGTGCTCAGAAAAATTGGCTAGTCACATGCAAAAAACTGAAGCTAGACCCTTACCTAAAATCATGTACAAAAACGACCTCATAACAGATCAAAGACCTAAATGTAAGACCTAAAATTCTAAAGTCTTAGAAGAAAACACAGGACAATAACTAGTGGCATATACCAACAATGGAATATTATTTTGCCTTAAATAGAAAGGAAATTCTGACATGACACATCATGAAAGAACCTTGAGGATATTATGATAAGTGAAATAATGCAATCACAAAATGACAAATACCATATGATTCCATTTATATGAAGTATTTAGAATAGTCAAAATTATGGAGACAAAGTAGAATGGTGCTGCCAGGGGCTGAGGGAAGTAGAGAATAGGAAGTTATTGTTTAATGGACACAGAATGTCAGCTTTCAAGATGAAAACAGTTATGGAGATAGAGGGTGGTGATGATTGCACAACATTATAAATGTATTTAGTAACACCAAACTGTACACTTAAAATAGTTAAGATGGTAGATTTTATGTGTATTTTATCATGATAAAAAATTACAGAAGTATGTTTTCAGTATTTATATTACTCTAGTAATTACTCATAGAAATAACCATGAACATGTGCTGCAGGGCTATTTTTTTAAGCTGATGCATGGTATAGAATTCTTCCCCATTAGTACAAATGATTTTTCTTTTATATTTAGTAGGTACATATCTGTGGAACCCATGATTTAAAAGTTTATTTTGTAGCTTGATAGATTACATGATTTAGTGTAGTGTTTTAGTGTAGAGTAATGTAGTGTTTGCTCTTCATGCAAGTCTTGCTGTGCATTAGGAAGCTTTACAAAACAAAAACAGTAAGAAAAACACAGAAATGTCTGAGCCTCACTCTACTGGATCAATTAAATCAGAATCTCTTGGAAAAGGGCCAGGCATAAGCACTTTTAAGTTCCTTAAGCATTTGAAGTTCCTTAAGTTTTAAGGAGAGAGAACCTCTGATTAAGTTTTTCTCAACTTGAGGCATTACAGTTTTGTTGGTTTTATCCCTACTAGTGTAGTAGTCTAACTTTGGTTATGGTTTATAGCTTTCTGTTGGCTTTCTTTGGAGTACTTCTTTTGTTAGCCTTTCTCTTTCATTTGCCTGGACTGGAAATTATGCTCACTGCCATAAGCTTACATGTCTAACCCAATAGTAATCAGTTTAACTGAGCACAACGTTGAGGTCATTCTTGTCATTCAATATTATTTATAATTTGTAGATATTGCTGATTCAGAATTTTGACTTAATGTTTATAGCATGTTTAAGTTGATCAACCAGCTTGTAGGTGGCATAGAGCCATTATAATTTTTCTTGGGCATAAATAATGTATTCCTATTAGCAGTATAGTACAACCAGTAATTGCTTAGACTGCACTTTTGTAGTTTTTTTATGTTGCCAAGAAAAAGTAGATGGTTCATCTCTGATGCTATGATGCTCCTATAGTAAAAATGTAGCTTGTCTTATCCATGATGTGAGTGGATGTTTTTGGCCATATATCTTAGTGGTCTGCTTATCATTGTATGTAAGATATTCCTATATACATATAGAACTATTTTGGGGGGTACCAGAGATCATTTGGGTGTTTATCCATTGTATTATGACGTTTACCCATATTGTCTAGGGAAATGGAAAGGGAGCTTTGCCATATTGCTAAACTTGAGCTTTATAGCTCCAATAATGCTGCTTTCTAATTGTGATAGTCATTAATATTGTTGATCAGCTTTCCAGATCTCTGCCTTCCTGCTGCAAAATAGACTTGCACATTTGACACCCTTATTGTAGGTAGGACCAGTGGCTTGTGAGTGAAAGTGATGAATATCACTTGTTTGAGCACTTCACTGCTAGTGAAATATCATCCAGAGTTCTTTCTTTCCATGGCACAGTGACTGGTAATGTTTGAGGTGTCGGTTTGCTGTTGCCTCAGCCTGGATCCTGAGGGACTGCATTCAACATGTGCTGTGATGACTCCAATAACAAAAAGAGGCCACTAATGTTTATATCAATCATATATTGAGTCTATATATGTAGGCTAAAGATAGGTAGATCTTTTAAACATAATATTTAAAGTCTAACAGCCATCCCTTGAAGGTAGACATCATCACTATTTGACATATGGAAGAAACGGAGACTCAGCCTACATGTCTTCTCCAATGTCTGTCAGCTAAATGACAGGGCAATGGTTAGAATCCATATATCAAGTCCAAATTCTTTTCTCTTTGTACACTATGCCAACATATATATGCATAAGCAGTGACCTAATTTATTTTTGAATGTTTTCTCACATTTGTACCTACAATGAGGAAATTTTTTGTTTTTAAATACATGTTGAATGATGGAAGTCTCTGGTAGACTTGCTCTTTACTTGCTGCTCAATGCTCCCCTATGGAGGAATAAAGACCAAGAAGAACAGGCAGAATTCTTATTTTCAAATTCCATTTGCAGTGGTCATTTGACTAGTACATCTGGATTAACATCTAATTAAAAAGTGTTTTGCTTCTAAGATTCATTAGGATCCCAATTCTAAGATGTAGTCTGTGATAAGGATTAGTAAACAAGTTTATAGCTTCATCATCTGGCAGCATTTTGCCATCAGAGTAGTGGAGTGAAACAGGATACAGATTTATTAGCCGACACACTGGAAAAATACGTTGGAAAATAAAAACTAAAAACTAAAAAACTCTTGCACCATGTTCCTACTATCAAATAATCTTGTACAGCTACCAAATTCTCAGCAAAATTTTATTAAACTAATCCCATAGTTGGCATAAAATTTGCTGTAATTTTGTGATTATTAGATTCAACCTTTGTTTGTTTTCTAAACATCATTTTAGGTTTTGTCCTGGAGAAAGGTTGAAGGAATTAGAGCATGACTCTATAACTGTGACATATTTGTGAATAATCTTCCAAGAAAAACTTTGGTAGTAATTTACAATAGGAAAAGAATAAAGTTGTCAAAGTGGTTAACATAGTGGTTAAAAAGGCAGACTCTAGAATCAGGTTCTTTGGCTTGAAGGATAGCTCTGCTACTTACTAGTGCTTGACCTAAGACAAGTCACTTAACTTTTCAAATCCCAGATACCTCATCTTATTTATTTATTTATTTGTTTATATTTTGAGACAGAGCCTCACTCTGTCACCCAGGCTGGAGTGCAGTGGCACAGTCTCGGCTCACTGCAACCTCTGCTGCCCCAGTTCAAGCGATTCTCCTGCCATTCTCCTGCTTCAGCCTCCGGAGTAGCAGGGATTACAGGTGCCTGCCACCGTGCCTGGCTAATTTTTGTAGTTTTAGTAGAGACGGGGTTTCACCAGGTTAGCCAGGCTGGTCTTGAACTCCTGACCTTGTGATCCACCCACCTCAGCCTCCCAAAGTGCTGGGATTACAGGCATGAGCCACTGTGCCTGGCCACCTTATCTTTAAAATAGAAATTGTGATAGCATCTGCCTTATAAAGTGGATATGAGTGTTAATTGAGATAATACATGTAAAGCATTTAGCATGTGCTTGTCATACAGTAGGCTCTCAATAAATGTTAGTTGTTAGTATTCGTTGGAAGTAACAGGTTAAATATATAGTCAAATTATCTATTTCCTTTCCCTAGGACCCCATCTCTATAGGGGAGAGTACCAAAAAGATGCTGAGAACAATAAGGTGGAGAATAGTATCTTTTATTTTGACTTAAGATCATATATAGAAAATTACGTGATTTTAATGGTCTTTATCAACAAACACAATGCTCCCAGAAATTGAGAGAAGTAGAGCTAGTTGATCATCTTATTCTTTGATTCTTCAGTACATGACTGAAATGAGACCATTGCTGCAATGTTTTCATAGTTTAGCGTAAACAGAAGTGTCAAGAACTATTGAAAGCAGGAAATAAGTTAGAGCCTTCTTAATCTGACTCCTTGGTGAATGAATAAGCCCAATATCAGCAGTGTCTCCAGCATACTTTGGATTTGTTTGATGGAATTTGGAAGGAGAACAGGAAATACTATATTTCATGTTCTTTGCAACTGAATGAAACCAGTTTCTTTCCCTATCTCTATTCTGCTTTTTGGATTCACTCACATTTATATATGCTGACTTCGCAGCACCAACTAAATTGTTGAATTCACCTCTATCATCTCTCAACTTCATCTCTTATGAATTTAGATAGCTGTGAACTTGTACTGAAGTTAAAAGTCCAAACTAAATAATATGACCAACTTCACTCAGTATATAAAGAATGGAACAGGTGGCTACCTTTTCCATCATCAAATGCATGAAAAATGTATCAATTAGGTTTATCATATTGACCCTTCAATGGAACAGCAATATTCTTTTCTAAGAAATTGCAATATATAGCTTTCTCAATTTTCTAAAAGTGCTTATTTTCTGTTAAAGAAAAAAAACATGAATCAGGTCATTGTTTTTAAGCCAATATACAAGACTCACAAAATTGCCCTGAGAGTCATTTCCCTTATATGTAAAGTTGCCTTATAATGAGATTTTTTGTGTTGGGGTTCTTAAATTAGTAAATAGCTGGAGAGTAACTTCTTGTTACATTCTTCCATCAAGAATGGTGAAGTCTAAAACTCAAAATCGTATAATTGTGAAAGTTTATAATTGTGTATATTTATTTATTTATTTATTTATTTATTTATTTATTTTTATTTTTTTTATTATTATTTTTTTTTTGAGACGGAGTCTCGCTCTGTCGCCCAGGCTGGAGTGCAGTGGCGCGATCTCGGCTCACTGCAAGCTCCGCCTCCCGGGTTCACACCATTCACCTGCCTCAGCCTCCCGAGTATCTGGGACTACAGGCACCCGCCACCACGCCCGGCTAATTTTTTGTATTTTTAGTAGAGACGGGGTTTCACCGTGTTAGCCAGGATGGTCTCGATCTCCTGACCTCGTGATCCGCCCGCCTCGGCCTCCCAAAGTGCTGGGATTACAGGCGTGAGCCACCGCGCCCGGCCAATTGTGTATATTTATAATTGTATATATTGTTTATCATTTTCCTTTCATTAATTCTTCCTTCTACCTTATTTTTACACATCAAAAGGAGTTTTAATAAAGCTTGACATATATATTGCATTAATAGTGCTGATATCATGAAGCAGGACTTATGTAGGGAGTATGATGTCCTAGCATTTTTAAAAATGAGATATTAGGTCATGCAAATATTTGTAAGAAAGAGGAGGATATACTATTAAATTTTGTGGATTTCCTCCTTTGTTATCTTTGTCATTACAGGCAAGTGTTATTCCCTTTCATGAGTACGCATTATACTTCTTCATCTTACTTTTTCACTTCTAACTTTTATTTTAAGTTCAGGGGTACACGTGTAGGATGTGCACGTTTGTTACATAGGTAAGTGTGTGCCATGGTGGTTTGCAGCACAGGTCATCCCATCACCCAGGTATTAAGCCCAGCATCCCCTATCTATTCTTCCCTATCCTCTCCATCTTCCTATTCCCCACCCTCTGACTGGCCCCAGTGTGTGTTGTCTCTCCCCTTGTGTCTATTTGGTCTCATGTAGCTCCCACTTAAAAGTAAGAACATGCAATATTTGGTTTTCTGTTCCTGCATTAAATGGCTAAGGATAATGGCCTCTGGCTCCACCCATGTCTGTGCAAAGGACATGATCTCATTCCTTCTTATGGCTGCATAGTATTTCATGTTGTATGTATACCACATTTTCTTTATCCAATCTATCATTGATGGGCATCCAGGTTGATTCCATGTATTTGCTATTGTGAATAGTGCTACAGTGAACACATGTGTGCATGTGTCTTTATAATAGAGTGTTTTTATTCCTTTGGGTCTATACCTAGTAATGGGATTGCTAGGTCTAATGGTATTTCTGTCTCAAGATCTTTGAGGAATCACCACACTGTCTTCCACAATGGTTGAACTAATTTACATTCCCACCATCAGTGTAGAAGTATTCCCTTTTCTCTACAACCTCACCAGCATCTGTTATTTTTTGGCTTTTTAGTAATAGCCATTCTGACTGGTGTGAGATGGTCCCTCATTGTGGTTTTGATTTGTATTTTTCTAATGATCAGTGATGTTGAACTTGTTTTCATATGCTTGTTGGCGGCATGTATGTCTACTTTTGAAAAGTGTCTGTTCATGTACTTGGCCCACTTTTAAATGGGGCTGTTTGTTATTTTCTTATAAATTTGTTTAAGTTCTCATAGATGGTGGATATTAGACTTTTGTCTGATGAATAGATTGCAAAAAGTTTCTCCCATTCTGTAGGTTGCCTGTTTACTCTGTTGATAGTTTCTTTTGCTGTACAGAAGCTCTTTAGTTTAACTAGATCCCATTTGTCAATTTTTGCTTTTGTTGCAATGGCTTTTGACTTTTGTCATGAAATCTTTGCCCATGCCTATGTTCTGAATGGTATTGCCTAGTTTTTTTTTTCCAGTGTTTTTATAGTTTTGGGTTTTACATTTAAGTCTTTATTTCATCTTGAGTTAATTTTTGTAAATGGTGTAAGGAAGGGGTCCAGTTTCAATTTTCTAGATATGGCTAGCCAGTTCTCCCAGTAGCTTCTATTAAATAGGGAATCCTTTCCCCAGTGCTTATTTTTGTCAGTTTTGTTTAAGATCAGATAACTTAGATGTGGGGCCTTATTTCTGGGTTCTTTATTATGTTTCATTGGTCTATGTGTCTGTTCTGGTACCAGTACCGTGCTGTTTTGGTTACTGTAGCCCTGTAGTATAATTTGAAGTCAGGTAGCATGATACCTCCAGCTTTGTTCTTTTCGCTTAGGATTGTTTTGGTTATTCAGGCTCTTTTTCAGCTCCATATGAATTTTGAAAGAGCTTTTTCTAATTCTGTGAAGAATGTCAATGGTAGTCTAATGGGAATAGCATTGAATCTATAACTTACTTTGGTCAGTATGGCCATTTTCATGATATTGATTCTTCTTATCCATGAGCATGGATGTGTTTCTATTTGTTTCTGTCCTCTCTGATTTCTTTGAGCAGTGGTTTGTCGTTCTCCTTGAAGAAGTCCTTCACTTCCCTTGTTAGCTGTATTCCTAGGTATTTTATTCTTTTTATGGCAATTGTGAATGGGAATTCATTTGCGATTTTGCTCTTGGTTTGCCTGTTGTTGGTGAATGCTAGCAATTTTTGCATATTGACTTTGTGTCCTGATACTGTGTTGAAGTTGCTTATCAGCTTAAGAAGCTTCTGGGCTGAGATGATGGGGTTTTCTAGATATAGGATTATGTCATTTGCAAACAAAGATAATTTGACTTTCTCCTTTCCTATTTGAATACTATTTCTTTCTCTTGCTTGATTTCCCTGGCCATAATTTCGAATATTGTGTTGAATAGGAGAGATGAGAGAGGCAATCCTTATCTTGTTCCAGTTTTCAAGGGAATGCTTCCAGCTTTTGCATTCAGTATGATATTGGCTGTGGGTTTGTCTTTTATGGCTCTTATTATTTTGAGGTATGTTCCTTCAATACCTAGTTTATTGAGAGTTTTTTACATGAAAGGATGTTGAATTTTATCAAAGGTCTTGTCTGCATCTATTCAGATAATCATGTGTTTTTTGTCTTTAGTTCTGTTTATGTGATTCATCACATTTATTGATTTGCATATGTTGAACCAACGTTGCATCCTGGGGATGAAGCCAACTTGATCATGGTGGATAAGCTTTTTGATGTGCTGCTGGCTTTGGTTTGCCAGTATTTTGACGAGGATTTTTGCACTGATGTTCATCAAGGATATTGGCCTGAAGTTTTCTTTTTTTGTTGTATCTATACCAGGTTTTGGTATCAGGATGATACTGGCCTCATAGAATGAGTTAGGGAGGAGTCCCTCCTTCTCTATTTTTTGGAATAGTGTCAGTAGGAATGGCATCATCTCTTCTTTATACCTCTGCCCTCTATCTTTCCTTTAAAGTATCTTCTAGTAAAGGATCAGGTCCGGTCCATGAATTAGGTGAAATCCAGTATCCCCAAATCCTAAACAGTGCTGACTAAACTAGTTTTGAAAATAAATTTAGAATTATCACTTCTTTACCATTTGTTTAGCTCACAGAATATGTACTGATTCTGCATCACATATTTAACCATCTTCTTTACCTAGATTTCCCACCTGCCCTTATGATTCTATCATTAAACATAGAATCTGAGCACCTGTTTGTAATAAACACAACTAGAGTTTCACCTTAAACACATATTCTATAAAAAATAAGCAAATATGGAGTAGAAAATAGCATCCAAGTATACTAACATTTTTTTAGGTTCAGGTCTTGATATCCATTAATATTGTGGCTTAAAATTTTTTAGGCTAATCCTGAGTTTTTAAAGGCTTAGTGCAAATGAGTGCATGCTTATTCCATGGCTGATTTAAACCTGTACACTTCTTGCAGTTCTATTTAATGTCTCTACCTGCAGCAGTCTGCCTGGCTAGAGCAGTGGAAGATAGCAGCACTTTAGATAAGCACTGGCCTTAAAAACTATCTATTGACACTATGCTCATTTGCTTCTTGTGCGGTATTCATCAATATATTACTAATACTTCACTATCATTTTACATAGCAGAGTTTACAACTTTTTTTTGCTACAGACCTGATGAATTTCAGTTTTGTTAAAAATAAAAATTCTACACCTTGAAAGCAGAATATATAAAATACTTTAAACTGTACACAGTGTTTTTATTCTTTTTAAAAATTGTATTAAAATAGATATAAGATAAAATTTACCATCTTAATCATTTTTAAATGTACAGTTCATTGGTGATTTAAGTTTTTAACTATGATTAATTGTCCTAAAATTTTTTTCCTAAGCAATATAAAAGTGACCTGATACAGAAAATGACAAATGGCAGTTTCTCATCATTTTCAACACCACTTATTTTTTTATGATATGGGCTAAGGAACTCTTTATAACACCATCTTTGATAGTTAGGCATTAGAATTACCTTGTAGTGAAACAATATCGTTTTGTAGCAGCTTAACACACAAACTCTCTAGGTTGTCTGTTATGAATTACAGCTCTGTCTTACTCTCTATGTAAACTTATGCAAGTTCTAAACTCAGTGCCTCTACTTTCTCATCTGTAAAATGAGGATTCTAGTGCCTACTTTATAAGCTTGTTAAAAAGCTAAATGAGTTATTTGTGAAGCGCTTAGGATGGTGCCTGTCAGTACTATATGAGCATTGAAGAACTTAGTAAGTTTAAAATATTAGGTTCATTAAATTGTAGAACTCCTATAGAAATTAAATATATACACAGCCAACTTCTCTCTATTGTGAATAGAGTGCCTATCTCATTTTTTGGACTGTAGACATCAAATGATAATCTCACATAGTCTTCATTTGTTGTTAAAAATGCTGAGGTTCAGGTTAAGTGACTTGCCTGAGGTTACACAGCAGCAGAACCAGGACTCAAGCCCAGATCTTATGATTACAAACTCCAGATTTTTATACTGTATGTCAACCTGCTTGAAATTTACATCGGGGCATCTGCTTCTCATCTTCATAAGCATACCAAATTCATAATAAGCTATCATTTGTAAACTGGAAAGCCGCACAGGCCTTCTTATTGATCAACTGTTGTTAATTCAGCCAACCTGATTAATTAGCTTAACCTTTAACCAGGGTCTTTCAAAGTTGGAATAAAGATGTGAAAGGTCTTTTCGTCATGCTTAGCGCATTGATTTCTTGCCATGGATTTGAAGGCTCTTCATGTTGTCATTAAAACCTAGGATTTATTTCATTCCCTTTTAACATAGCAGTAACTGGTTATTATTAATACAAATGTTGTTATCCTGTTGCCATTGTTCGTTTTGTGTTTTTTTGTTTGTTTATATTTGTTTGTTTTGATCTACTCTTGGTTCCCAGGCTTGCTGGTCGTCACATTCTGCTGTAGAGCTCCTTAAAAATACCTATTCTTGGCCAGGCACGGTGGCTCATGCCTGTAATCCCAGCACTTTGGGAGGCCATGGCGGGTGGATCATGAGGTCAGGAGATTGAGACCATCCTGGCTAACACGGTGAAACCCTGTCTCCACTAAAAATACAAAAAATTAGCCAGGCATGCTGGCAGGCGCCTCTAGTCCCAGCTACTCAGGAGGCTGAGGCAGGAAAATGGCGTGAACCCGGGAGGCGGAGGTGGCAGTGAGCCAAGATTGCGCCACTGCACTCCAGCCTGGGTGACAGAGCGAGACTCTGTCTCCAAAGAAAAAAAAAAACAAAAAACAAAAAACGTATTCTTGAAATCACTCTCCTTGGTAAATCTCAAGAACCACTGTATAGCAGATTATTTTCCCAAAATATCTTCTGTGTGGTACTGGAATTAACTAAAGAAGATATTTATGTGAAAGTGTATTGTTTGTATTGTGTTTATTGTGTTTACTCTATGGAATGTATGAAAGTATTTATGAAGCTGTGGTACTGAAGAAGCCAGGAAAATCTTGGGCAGGATTGTGACATTAAACTCCCTTGTCCTTTTAAATATGTTTCTTCTTTTGGTGGTGCCTGATTTTCTCTCTGCTGTGACATCCAGAGCCCTCTCATTTTCTCTTCTCAAAATCTGATTTCAGGTCTATCACACTGTATGACTGGCATATTGGTGATATAAAAATTGTTTTCCAAAAGGATGTCACTCCAGATAGTGGACAAACCTAAAATGTCAGATTGGGGCTTCTTTAAAAAAAATTGCCACATGTAGCAGTTGTTTATTCCTTCTAGATAGGAAAAGAGCTTAGATATTCAAAACTTTTAGTAAATATATGTTAAAGTCTAGGTGAATACAAAGCTTAATCTAGTACCTTGTGATTTTTCTGATTGGTTCATTGGAGCCATTTTATCATAAACTGCTTCATTTCCTACCTCCCCAGCCCTACCTGCAATGTTGCAGGGAGTACCCAGTTAGGAATTTGGTCTTCTGTCTTGATATTTTCCAATATTTCAAGCCAAGTAATGGAATTACACTATAAAGATTTGACTCCCAAATTTTCTAATTATTTTTCTCTGGCTAATTTCTTCTCTAGTGCCCATTGCATTCTTGGCATTATCTGTCAATCTGATGTAAGGGGTCACACTAAACAGAGCTAGACTTTTTTTTTTTTTTTTTTAGCTTTAATAGTTTACACTTTCCAGTGGCATGAAGAGTGGGGTACATAAGTTGTTTTGATCTTAAAATTCTGCTGGGTTAAGGAAGCAAAATTACTATTTGTGTCTGTAGGAAACTTAAGCAGAGTAAGCAACAAGTCAGTAATAGTTTTTAAGCAATATTTGCTTCAAGTATTCAATAATTTGAATAAGCTGTCTAAATAAACCATATTTGATTATTTGAAGATTGTATGAACCTATGTTAAAGTGACAGGTGAGTGGGAAGGCAGATATTATTAGAAAGCCAAGGAGGCTAACTAAATCTATGGATTCTCTGATGCACATGGGTATAATGTGGCAATCTTCCAGTTTGTATCAAAGGAACAGGAATGTTCTTACTGTCTGGATTACTGGTTGCTGTTGCAGAAATCCAATTTAAAGAAGACAAGATATCCTAGTGATTAAGTTTCTACTGAACTGCTTTAAGTGAAAACGATCTGCCCAACAGAGGAAAAGAGCGATAGCTTTGGTACAATAGTAAATAGAATGATGCGTCAGTGCAATACATGGTTAGAGTCAGCTACACTGCAACTTTGAATGTATAAATAGCAGTAATTGACATAAATCTCTAGGCAGATACTTTATAATAGGTGGTAGTGTTGGTTTTTAAACATTTAGTGGTGATGCAGTCCAAAGGATAATAATTTTTTATTTCTTTAGATTATGAGATCTATGACTTATATCCACATGTTGCTACAGACATATAAGAAATAATTTAAAGTAATGATCAATATTTGAAATCATACCAATGAATTTTTGAAGCTCTATAAAGAAGATTGTAAGTATGTGTGATTCCAGTTTTCCAGATTTTAAATATATAAACATTGTGTCTAAAAGATAAATTTTCTAAATTGAAGGTGCTTATATTTGCAGTTAGCTTTAATATTGATATTTGAATTGATAATTTTAGATTATAGATGTTGTCATTGTACCTAGAGTGTTGTTATGAGGTTCTCCCACCCCCCAGATTGGTCATACTAAGAACATTTGATTGAATTACTTTAGTTTTAAAGTTAGGTACCATTTTTTGTATAATATTATACTTGACATTAGACACACATTTTTTTCAAGAAAAAAGTGCTACCAATACTAGAGGATAAATCAGTGACCTATGAAATACTTTACAGACCTAAATTGTTTACCCAAAATGAAGTTTTATATTATTTTAGTATCACTGTAATACCAGGTGATCATTATGTTTATAAATTTTTCTTTTTCCTTTGTAGAGGCTAATCACATAATTCAGGATTAAAAAATGTAGCAGCCTTTCATTTTCATCTCCAGTTTCCTGACTGGGTTGTTTTTCATGCCACCTTGAACGAAATATATCTATTTATACTACTCAATAAATATTTACTCAACTCCTATTATTTGAAATTCTTCTAGGTTCCAAAGTGAACAAAATAGACCAAATTGAATGCCCTCATAAAATTTAAATTAGTGGAATAAGACATGTAATAAATAAATAAATAAGAAAAACAGTATAGTATGTTAGTTATTTTTGAGTGCTATGTAGAAAAATTAGGGGAAAACAATAGGCAGAGTTAAGAAGTAGAATACCAAGGGGTGGGAAGGAAAGACTGTCACCTCCCTATCTATTCTAATATTCAAAGCCACATAGCTAGGACATTCTTCCCTACAATTAACCAGACACCAGTGGTTGGTTGTTAATAATTTTTTCTTGATTGTATTTTTCTCTTTCTTTTACTGCGAAAAGTAGTCAGGCCCCTTACATTCTCATATGTCAGGGGAGTTTTCTGTTGTGGTGGTCAAAAGCAGGGTTTCCTTGTTTTCCGGATCTGAGTTCCTTGAGGGTGGGCAGGGCAGACTGGGAACACAAAGGCCAGGGCCACTGCGAGGGAGACACAGGAATAGCAAGACAGAGAAGATAGTCTCTCACACTTGGAAGAGAACAGAAGTCTGTCAGTGCCCTGGGCATGTGGCAGTACCCTGAAGAAGAATAGCACCATGGTATACCCAGGGAGGTTGAACCCATGCTATCAAGGCTCCTAGACTCTGAAAAGATTCTTTTGTGAAGGTGTGGCAAAGAAGGTGTTGGGCTGCCTAACTTCGAGGGACTTGAACAAAAATAATATTCATGTAACCATGATGGGCTGAAGAGCAGTGATCTGCCCTCATTTTTCAAGCACCTTTTAGGCACAATGACTTTCTGATTTATGTGAACCTAGGGAATGTAAAAGGTGGCCCCAAAATGACAGAGATCAAATTTCTTATTATCCTGGTTGGATGAGCACTGTCACATTCAATTTGATTTTGCAAATATGAGGTAATATGACATTGCTTATACATTCAAGTTTGAAAATTAAGATTTATCCTGCTACAACCCCAGGTTATTATTTATTACATCTTGATTATTTCTCTTGTAGAGGAAAAAAGTCTTAAAATAGGAAACAACAGAAGACATGAATTTCTGCCAGATTGCAAATTTCTCTCCACGGGCCTCACTGGTGGACAAACCCTTATGTATTTTTTTCCTTGAATTTTGTTACTCCACATTAGTATGCAGAAATAGCACAAACCTTGTTCAGCGAGTCCAAAGTTATTGAAAAGAGACATTCAACTTCTTCCTTAAGGAAATGGGAAAGGAAAAATGAGGTTAAGGCTTTCAGTTGGTCAATAATACCTGATTAAAACAAGATCACATAGAACAGTGGTTTACAAACTTTTCACTTTTGGACACAGCTAGGGATTTTCTCAGACATAGAGCATTATCTTCTCTGTCTAGCCGTATGTTTAGTCTCAAACCTCACTCTTGCTCCAAACATTTCCATGCTTATTCATTTATCAAAAATAATCTTATTTATATTCATAAGTTTACATAAATTTTTAGTCTAAGTGTCTTTCTTCTCTTTCTATAATTATTACTTCCTTTATCCTCCACTGAAAATTTAATAAAACTGATTGAGAAAACTCAAGTTGCCAAAGTAATATAAACATATTAAGGATATAATATCCTTTCTTGGAATCATAGGATTTACTGGAATGTGATGATCATGATACCCACTCCTTCCTATGGTCTCATCTGGAGTTACTGGTATTAACCCTTGACTTTATAAGCTAGGTTCTTGGAAGTTTTTACTACAGAGCTGCCTTGAAAATGTTTAAATTTAAATTTTAAATTAAAAAAATTAAAATTTGTCTGTTTTGCTGTTGGGAGAGAAGCTTATTTGAAAATTCTAAAATTAATAGATATACTCAGATTTTAGTGAAAGTCTTTAGAACCTCAAGCTAAGTACAAAAATAATTATTTTTGCATTGCAAAGTGAGGTACAAGAGTATGTATGCAGGATTTACAAGGAGGTGCCAAACTTGCTTGGCATACCTTAACCCAATTTTATAAAAGGGTGGAGGTTGAACATACAGAAATTTTTTGGTGGTGGTACATGCTTGTAGTCCTAGTTACTTGGAAGGCTGAGGTGGGAGGATCCCTTGAGCTCAGGGGTTCAAGGGTCCAGTGAGCTATGATCATGCCACTGCAGTCCAGACTGTTCAACAGAGCAAGACCCTCTGAAAGAAAGAAGGAGGGAGGGAAGGACAGAGGAAAGGAGGGAAGGAAGGAAGGAAGGAGAGAAGAAAAGAAGAAAGGGAAGGGAGAGAGAAAAGAAGGGAAAGAGAAGTAAAGGGAAGGGAAGGAAAAGAGAAGGAAAGGGAATGAAAAGAAATCAAAAGGAAAATTTTGGGGGAGGAAATTTTGGTATATTGTGGCATTTTCTCTATACCTCCTTCCTCCCTATCTTGGGGAAAAGAAGATGGCCATTTTTCTTTACCTCATGTGTAGTACAAGGGTGTTTTTTTGTTTATTTTATTATTTTTTATTTTTTTGAATGCCTGATGAATGTGTCTTGGAGCTTGAGCAATACAGTATATTGATATAAAACTTCTCCCTGAGAAATCTACACACTGAAAACTGAAGACAGATGGTAGCACTGGAATGGCCAGCATTATTCCAGTTTTCAGGAGCAATGATGCAGACAACATGGGAAGAGCCAGGGGTCAGTTTAAAAGGGTCTTCACCCAAAAGGGCTTCCTGCCTTCATGCAACCTAAGCAGAAAGAGGCAGAATATGATAATGAGATATAGGTTGAAAGCAACCAACTAAAAAAAAGACATTGTTCCTCTCGAGGAAGTTGGCAATCAGATGTTCCTAGTTGGGAGAGAAGACCCTCTAACAACCCGCAAAGCACACTGTAGTAAAAAAAAAATACTTCAAGCCCAGAGAGCACCAATCCTAGATTGCCATAATAGAAGACAAATAAATATATTTTCTGCAATTTCTTTTGTATTCTCCATATCTAACTCTTTCAGCCACAGAGGACTCAGAACATAGTGGGGGAGAAGAAGAAGCATAGATGGACAAGGAGAACCACTGGCAGCCTGAAGTGTACCCCTAGCTTGTAGGGCACAGGAGCTTTAACTTGAAGTGAAGCTTAGAATTTTGTTTCTTACATGCTAGAGGACACTTTGGATTTTTAATATTGGGGGGAGTAAAACTAATTTCAGGACATTTTATTATTTTAGTGTTATCAGAAACATCACAGGAACTGCTGTAGATTTTAGCCATGGCTTAAGAAACATCTGGATTACAGTTGAAAAAGTTTGAATGGCAGTTGCTTTCTGCTTAAGCTTGAATCCTATTTTGAATAGTATTTGTCTTTGAGAATAATTATTTGTTAAATATGAACTTAATTATCTATTTGATTGCTGGTTAGAAAGGTAAATGTAAATGTTTCCATGCTTTCAAAAGATAATTTTTCTAAATGTAGTTTTTACCTTAGTTTTACCTTATTTATAAAACAGCTTTGTTTCCTTTGCTAATTTGTTTCTAAAATATAATATAAATGTGTTCCAAACCAAATATTTATCTCTTTAAATGCTATTGTATTTTAAGATGGAACTTAACCATAATGGTATTACTGTAGTTCATTCAAGCATGATGTTCATTCATCTTTCACAAACTTTATCCAGTAATTAGTATATGGAATGAATCTATTATATTTAGTGAGATGCTGAGTCTTTGCTTCTTTCTTGTCAATCCAGAAGCCTTTCAGTGAAAGATTCAAATTGAAAGATTATGATAATGTCTAAAAGAGCTAAGTTTATGAGAATGATTTCAAACAAACTTGTTTGTTAACTTCTCAAAATAATGGAGTTAAATAAATGCGAATTACTTCAACATCTCACGAAAAGAACATGAACTCATTTTACATTTTTATTTTAATTAGAGAAAAAACTGGTTGTTCAGGTGGGAAATTTGAATTTTTAAAAGTAGGTAGGATTGCTACTATTATGTAATATTATTCTGGTCTAATTGGCTAATATAATTAACCAAAGAAAGAATCAAAAGTGCCCACACAAGAAAGGAAGAAGAAAAATTACATTATTGTAGACAATTATATACCTGTAAAACCCAAGGAACTCAAACAATCAAACAAAAAAAAACTATGGTAAACAAAACTATTATAAACAATAGGAAAAAACGATTAAAAGCATAAGAAAATTCAGTAGTGTGTCAGGTCATAGTCTTTCTGCCTTAAAGACACAAGCCCATGAATGTTCATCACAGCATCATTCACAATAGCAAATACATGGAATCAACCTAGATGCCCATCATTGGTAGGCTGGATAAAGAAAATGTAGTACATAGACACTATGGAATACTACGTAGCCATAAAAAGAACAAAATCATGTCATTTGTAGCAATATAGATGGAGTCAGAGGTCATTATCCTAAGAGAATCAGTGCAGGAACAGAAAGCCAAATACTGCATGTTCTCACTTCTAAGTGGAAGCTGAACATTGAGTACACATGGACACAAAGATAGGAACAGTAGACACCAGGGCCTACTTGAGGCAATCTTCTAGTAGGGTGGGAGGACAATGAAGATAGAAAAACTACCTATTGGGTACCGTGCTCATTGCCTGGGTGATGAAATAATCTGTACACCAAACCCACATAACACACAATTTACCCATGTAATGGACCTGAACATGTGCCCCCTGAACCCAAAATAAAAGTTGGAAGGAAAAAATAAAGAAGTAACCATTTTGAAAATATGAAGAGACTAAAATTCTCATTTATAATAGCAACAAAACATAAATAATACACTGGTGTAAGCCTAAGAAGCAATGTGCAAGATCTGTGTGAATTAAACTTCAAAATGCTGCTAAGAAACAGAAAATAAAGCCCGAGACTGGCTGTGGTGGCTCATGCCTGTAATCCCAGCACTTTGGGAGGCCAAGGCAGGCAGATCACCTAAGGTCAGAAGTTCAAGACCTGCCTGGCCAACATGGTGAAACCCTGTCTCTATTAAAAATACAAAAATTAGCCAAGTGTGGTGGCACACACCTTTAGTCCCAGCTACTCGGAAGGCTCAGGCACGAAAATTGCTTGAACCCAGGAGGTGGAAGTTGCAGTGAGCCGAGATTGCACCACTGGACTCCAGCCGGGGTGACGAGCAAGACTCTGTCTCAAAATAAAAATAAAAATAAAAATAAAACATGAGTAAATGGAAAGATATAATCCTCTTCTCTTCTTGATGTGGAAGATTTAATATGGAAGATGTCAGTTCTCCTTAAATTAATTTAAATGCCATCTCAATTAAAAAAAACAATTGAGACTTTTGACAAACTAATTATAAATTTGTTGGAAGGTTGAACAAAAGAGAGAGTTAGGCCTATAAAATATGATAGATATAACAAGATGTCACTAGTTAAGGCAATATGGTACTAATAGTGATTTGACAGATTAATAGAAATATATAGAAATTCCACAAATAAACTCAAAAGTACTTGAAAGTATAGTTAATGGTTCAGGTTGTATTCAAATAAGAAAAGTTGTATTGTTTAATAAATGGGATGGGTACAAATAGTAACCTGCGGAAAAAAATGTCCAAACTAGTTCTACAAGGAAGAAAGACTTACATGAACAAAAAAGAAAACACAAAAGTACTAAAATACAAACTACAAACAGAGGAGAATATTTGTAGTACATAGAGGAAAGGGATATTTAAAAAATATATAAAAATATTATTTTACAGTCAGTAAGAAAAAGACCATTATACGTACTAACACAGGACTTGAATCATCATTCCATATAAAAGAAAATATAAATGGCTTTTAAAAAACAATCACAACCTACTGATTGTAGATCTCTATGGCATTGAGAGAACATAGGCAGTAGCCAGGTAGTGGTTACAGTGGGCCTTGGGTGAGACCCAGTACTGTGCTGGCTTCAGATCTGACTCAGTGCATTCCCAGTGGTGGTGGCCACAAGGGTGCTTGTGTCACCTCACCCCCAGCCCCAGGTGACTCACAGAGAGCAAGACTCTGTTTGTTTGTAAGTAAGTCAAGGAACATGAGTCTCTGCCTGATATTCTAGAGAATTCTTCTAGATCTTATCCAACACTCTATGAGTCTGCAAGAGCCATAGCATTACTAGGCTTACGGGGCTCACTAATGCAGATACAGCTTAGATCACAACACTCAAGCTCTTTTAAATACCTGGAAAGCTTTCCCAAAAACAGCAGGTGCAAACAAACCCATATCGTGAAGACTACAATAAATACCTAACTCTTTAATGCCCAGACACTGATGAACATGCACAAGCATCAAGACCATCCAGGAAAACATGACCTCACCAAACAAAGTAAATAAAGCAACAGGGACTAATCCTGAAGAGATACGTGACCTTTCAGACAGAATTCAAAATAGCTGTTTTGAGGAACTCAAAGAAATTCAAGATAACACAGAGAAGGAATTTCGAATTCTATCAGATTAATTGAAGAAAGAGATTGAAATAATTGAAAAGAATTAAGCAGAAGTTCTGGGTTGAAAAAATGCAATTGACATAGTGAAGAAAGCATCAGAGTCTCAATAGCAGAATTGATCAAGCAGAAGAAAGAATTAATGAGCTTGAAGACAGGCTATTTGAAAATACAAAGAAGAGACAAAAGAGAAAAAAAAAGAACGAAGCACACCTACGATATCTAGAAAATAGCCTCAAGAGGGCAAATCTAACAGTTATTGGCCTTAAAGAGGAAGTAAAGAAAGAGATAGTGGTAGAAAATTTATTTAAAGGGATAATAACAGAGAATTTCCCAAACATAGAGAAAGATATCAGTATCCAAGTATGAGAATATTATAGGATATCAAGCAGAATTAACACAAAGAAGACTACTTCAGGGCATTTAATAATCAAACTTCCAAAGGTCAAGGATAAAGAAAGGATCCTAAAAGCAGCAAGAAAAAAGAAACAAATAACAAACAATGGTACTCCGATATACCTGTCAGCAAACTGTTCAGTGGAAACCTTACAGGCCAGGAGAGAGTGGCATGACATATTTGAAGTGCTGAAGTAGAAAAACTTTTACCCTAGAATAGCATATCTAGCAAAAATATCCTTCAAACATGCAGGAGAAATAAAGATTTTCCCAGACAAACAAAAGCTGAGAGATTTCCTCAACACCAGACCTGTCCTACAAGAAATGATAAAAAGAGTACTTCAATCAGAAAGAAAAGGATCTTCCTGAGCAATACAACATCATCTGAAGATCCAAAACTCACTGGCAATAGAAAGTACACAGAAAAACACAGAATGTTATAACACTGTTAACTGTGTTGTGTAAACTGCTCTTCAGTGGAAAGACTAAAAGATGAACCAATCAAAAATAGTAACTGCAACAACTTTTCAAGACATAGAGAGTAAAATAAGATATAAATAGAAACAATAAAAAGTTAAAAAGAGGGAGGAAGGAGTTAAAGTTCAGAGGTGTTTTCTTTTTGCTTATTAGTTTGTTACATGTAAGAACATGTAAGCAGTGTTGTTATCAGCTTAAAATAATGGGTTATAATATTTACAAGCCTCATGGTAATCACAAATCAAAAAACATACAACAGGTACACAAATTAAAAAGCAATAAATTTAAGTTTGCTACCAGGAAAAATAACCTTCATTAAAAGGAAGAGAAGAAGGAAGGAAAGAAGGAAGACTGTAAAACAACCAGAAAACAAATAACAAAATGGCAGGAGTAAGTCCTTTCTTATCGATAATAACATTGAATGTAAATGGACTGAACTCTCCAATCAAAAGACATAGAGTGGCTGAATGGATATAAAAATAAGGTCCAATGATCCATTGCTTACAAGAAACATACTTCACTTATAAAGACACAGGTAGACTGAAAATAAAAGATGGAAAAAGATATTCCATGCCAGTGGAAACCACAAAAGAGCATGAGTAGATATACTTAATACCAGACAATATAGGTTTCAAGACAAAAACTGTAAGAAGAGACAAAGAAGATTATTATATAATGATAAAGGAGTTCATTCATCAAGAGGATATAACAGTTGTAAATATGTATATATATATGCATGTATATGTGTGTATATATATATGATATATATATGTATATATATATGCACCCAACACTGGAGCACCCAGATATATAAAGCAAATATTATTAAAGCTAAAGAGATAGATAGGTCCCAATACAGTAATAGCTGGAGAATTCAACATCCCACTTTCAGCATTGGATAGATCTTCCAGACAGAAAATCAACAAGGAAACATCAGACTTAGTCTGCACTTTGGAACATATAGACCTAATAGACATTTACAGAACATTTCATCCTATGGCTGCAGAATGCACATTCTTTTCCTCAGCACATGGATGATTCTAAAGATAGACCATATGTTAGGTCACAAAACAAGTCTTAAAACATTCAAAAAAATTGAACGTATGTCAGGTATCTTCTCTTACTACAATGCAATAAAACTAGAAATAAATAACAAGAAGAGTTTTGGAAACTATATAAACACATGGAAATTAAACAGTATGCTCCTGAATAACCAGTGGTTCAATGCAGAAATTAAAAAGGAAATTTAGGCCGGGTGCAGTGGCTCGCGCCTGTAATCCCAGCACTTCGGAAGGCCGAGGCTGGCAGATCATGAAGTCAGGAGACCGAGACCATCCTGGCCAACATGGTAAATAAAACCCCATCTCTATGAAAAATACAAAAATTAGCTGGGTGTGGTGGCGCATGCCGGTAATCCCAGCTATTCGGGAGGCTAAGGCAGAATTGCTTGAACCACTGAGTCAGAGGTTGCAGTGAGCCGAGATCGCGTCACAGCACTCTAGCCTGGTGACAGAGCGAGACTCCGTCTTAAAAAAAAAAAAAAAAAAAAGGAAGGAAATTTAAAAATTCATTGAAACAAATGATAATGGAAACATGACATACCAAAACCTATGAGATACAGTAAACACAGTACTAAAAGGGAAGTTTATAGCCATGAGTGCCTAAATTAAAAAAGAAGAAAAGTTTCAAATAAACAACCTAATGATACATTGTAAAGTACTAAAAAAGCAAGAGCAAACAAAACTCAAACTCAACTGATTTTCTTTTACTCAAATTAGTAGAAAAAAATAAATATTGAAGATGTAGAGATGAGATAAATGAAATAGAAACATAAAATACAAAATATCAACAAAACAATTTTTTTTGAAAAGCTAAAGAAAATTGACAAACCTTTAGCCAGATTAACTAAGAAAAAAAGAGATAAGACCCAATAAATAAAATCAGAGATGAAAAAGGAGACATTACAATCAATACTACAGAAATTCAAAGGCTCATTAGTGGCTACCATGAGCAACTATATGCCAATAAATTGGAAAATCTAGAAGAAATGGATAAATTTCTAGACCGTACAACCTACCAAGATTGCACCACAAAGAAATCCACAACTTGAGCAGACCAATAACAAGTAACAAGATAAAAACTATAATAAAAAGTCTCCCAGCAAAGAAAAACCAAGAACCTGATGGGTTCACTGCTGAATTCTATGAAACGTTTAAAGAATAGCTAATACCAGTTCTACTGAAACTATTCCAAAAAATAGAAGTGGAGGGAATACTTTCAAACTCATTCTATGAGGCCAGTATTACTCTGGTACCAAAACCAGACAAACACACATCAAAAAAGAAAACTACAGGCCAGTATCTCTGATGAATACTGATGCAAAAATCCTCAACAAAATACTAGCAAATATAATTAAACAACACATTAACACGATGATTCATTATGATCAAGTGGGTTTTATCCCAGGGATGCAGGATTGGTTCAGCATACACAAATCAATCAGTGTGGCATATCAAAAGAATGAAGGACAAAAACCATATCATCATCTCAATTGATGCTAAAAATGAATTTGATAAAATTCAGCATCCCTTTATGATAAAAACCTCACAAAACTGGGTATAGAAGGAACATACCTCAATATAATAAAAACCACAGACACACAGCTGGTATGTATCATACTGAATGGGGAAAAACTGAAAGCCGTTTCTTTAAAATACGGAACATGACAAGGATGCCCATTGTTATTCAACATAGTGCCAGCTAGCACAATTAGAGAAGAGAAGGAAATAAAGGGCATCCAAATTGGAAAGGAAGAAGTCAAATTATCCTTGTTTGCAGGTGATATCATCTTATATTTAGAGAAACCTAAAGACTTCACCAAAAAGCTGTTAGAACTAATAATCAAATGCAGGAAAGTTGTAGGATACTAATCAACATACAAACATCAGTGGGATATTTATATGCCAATAGTGGACAATGTGAAAAATAAATAAAACAGTAATACCATTTATATTAGCTGCATATAAAATAAAATACCTAGGAATTATCTCAACCAAAAAAGTGAAAATTTTTTACAATGAAAACTGTAAAACATTGATGCAAGAAATTGGAGGACAGAAAAAAATGGAGACATATTTCATGTTTATGGATTGTAAGAATCAATATTGTTAAAATGTCCATACTACCCAAAGCAATCTACAGATTCAATGCAATCCCTATGAAAATACCAATGACATCCTTCACAGAAATAGAAAAAAAGAGTCCCAATATTTATATGTAACCACAAAAGGCTCAGAATAGCCAAAGCTATCCTAAGCAAAAGGAACAAAACTGAAGAAATCACATTACCTGACTTCAAATTATACTATAGAGCTATAGTAACCAAAATGGTATGGTATTGGCATGAAAGCAGGCACACAGACCAGTGGAACAAATGGAGAATGCAGAAATAAATCCATACATCTACAATGAGCTCATTTTTAACAAAGGTGCCAACAACATACATTAGGAAAAGGACAGTCTACAATAAATGTTGCTGAGAAAACTGGATATCCATATGCAGAAGAAAAACTAGAACCCTATCTCTCGCCATAAATGAAAATCAAATAAAAATGGATTAAAGACTAAAATCTAAGACCTCAAACTATGAAACTACTACAAGAAAACTTTGGGGAAACTCACCAGGACATCAGTCTTGGCAAAAATTCCTTGAGTAATATACCCCACAAGCACAGGCAACCAAAGCAAAAGTGGACAAATTGGATAACATCAAGTTAAAAAACTTCTGCACAACAAAGGAAACAATCAACAAAGTGAAGAGACAACCCACAGAATGGCAGTAAATATTTGCAAACTACCCATTTGACAAGGGACTAATAACCAGAATATATAAGAAGCTCAAACAGTTCTATAGGAAAAAAAAAACAAACTAATAATCTAATAAAAAAATGGGCAAACGATTTGAATAGACATTTCTCAAAAGAAGACATACAAATGACAAACAGGCATATGAAAAGGTGCTCAACATCATTGATCACCAGAGAGGCAAATTAAAACTACAATGAGATATTATTTTACCCCAGTTAAAGTGGCTTATATCCAAAAGACAGGCGATAACAAATGCTGGTGAGGATGTAGAGAAAAGGGGATCCTTGTACAGCGTTGGTGGGAATATAAATTAGTACAACTACTATGGAGAACAGTTTGGAAGTTCATCAAAAACTAAAAGTAGGCTGGGTGCAGTGGCTCATCCCTATAATCCCAGCACTCTGGGAGGCCAAGGTGGTTGTATCACTTGAGGTCAGGAGTTCAAGACCAGCCCGCCCAACATGACAAACTCCATCTCTACTAAAAATACAAAAGTTGACCAGGTGTGATGGCACATGCCTGTAATCCCAGCTACTTGGGAGGCTGAGGCAGGAGAATTGCTTAAACCCGGGAGGCAGAGGCTGCACTGAGCCGAAATCATGCCACTGCACTCCAGCTTGGGTGACAGAGTAACACTTTGTCGCAAAAAAAAAACAAAAAAATAGAGCTACTATATGATCCAGCCATCCCACTCCTATGTATATACCCAAAAGAAAGGAAATCGGTTTATTGAAGAGATAATCTACACTCTAATGTTTATTGTAGCACTGTTCACAGTGGCCAAGATTTGGAAGCAACCTAAGTATCTATCAGTATATGAATGGTTAAACAAAATGTGGAACACACCGTGGAATACTATTCAGCTATGAAGAAGAAGGAGATCCATTCATTTGCAACAACATGGATGGAACTGGAGGTCATTACGTTAAGTGAAATAAGCACAGAAAGATAAACTTTGCATTTTCTCACTTATTTGTGGGAGCTAAAAATTAAAAGAGTTGAACTCATGGATATCAAGAGTACAAGGTTGGTTAACGGGCTGGGAAGGTTAATGGAGTGTCAGGGGGATGTGGAGATGTTTAATGAGTACAAAAAATAGAAAGAATGAATAAGACCTAGTATTTTCTAGCACAAAAGGGTGACTATAGTTAAAAATGATTTAATTTTACATTTAAAAATAACTAAAGAGTATAATTGGATTGTTTGTAACACAAAAGATAAATGCTAGAGGCGTTAGCTACCCCATTTACCCTGATCTAATTATTACACATTACATGCCTGTATCAAGATACCTTATGTAACCCATAAGTATATACACCTACTATGTACCTACAAAAATTAAAAATTAATAAAAGAAAGATTGGCAAAGATGTCAAAACTCGGAACAGAAGTGTTCTGCAAGGTGTGGGGAAATATATTAAATATATTGCTTGTGGCATTGTAAACTTTGACCTCCTCATTCAAAAGTGATTTCACAATAACCTCCAAAATTTAAAATATACATACATTAAACCTGTAATTTTATGTCTTGGAACTTATCTTTCAGTATACTTTCAAGTGGGCAAAATGACATATGGACAAAATGTTTTTATTTCAGCATTGCTTCCAACAGCGTATTAGGAACAACCTAAGTGTCCATCAGTTGAGCATTGTCAAATAAATAGGGGTACATATATGCCACATATGTGGATATACATACATCTGTTTTCTCATTCTTTCAGTTCTCTCATCCATATTTCTTGCCTTTAAATACAGCGTGTGTGTGTGTGTGTGTGTGTGTGTGTGTGTGTGCGCGCGCGCGCGCGCGCACATGCGCATTTGTGTATGTGTATATGTAATTCCTAAAGTTTATCTGCAGGTAAGTTTTCTGTCCTGAATTTTCATATCCAACTGCTACTTGACATCTCCACCTCGATGTCATAATTATCTTCCTCTTGGGTATTGAGAAGTCTCATGTCAGTATGTCTGAACTATTTGTTGTTGTTGTTGTTGTTGTTGTTGTTGTTGTTGTTTGTTTGAGACGGAGTCTCGCTCTGTTGCCAGGCTAGAGTGCAGTGGCAGGATCTCGGCTCACTGCAACCTCCACCTCCCGGGTTCAAGCAATTCTGCTGCCTCAGCTTCCCGAGTAGCTGGGACTACAGGCACATGCTACCACGCCCGGCTAACTTTTTATTATTATTTTTTTTATTTTTTAGTAGAGGCAGGGTTTCACCATGTTGCCTAAGCTGGTCTTGAACTCCTGAGCTCAGGCAACCTGTCCAACTCGGCCTCCTAAAGTGCTAGGATTACAGGCATGAGCCACCGCGCCCGCCCCAAACTCTTGATCTTCCAACAAATCTTTCTTTCTTGACAGACTCTTCATCTCAGTAGAGAGCAAATTCCATCCTTTTGCCCGCTGAGTTTGAAAGTCCTAGAGTAATCCTCCATTTCTCCCAAAACCAGTTTTCAAGTGGTCAGGACGTGCTTTTTGCTCTATCATCAAATTATGTCCAGAATCCTAACACTTTTTACTACAGTAACTGTTACTGCCCTGGTCCACACTGCCATCATTTCTTGCATAAATTATTGCAATAGCCTCCTAATTGTCCTACTTCTATACTTGCCTCTGTATAGCCTTTCCTCATCAAAGCAATGAGAATGATTTCTTTAAAAACAGGAATTCAAATCAAATATTACTTTTATGCTCAGAACTCTGCCATGGTGCCATTTTCACTCAAAGTAGTAGCCAAAGACCCTACAATGGCTTGCAAAGGCCTTGATGATGTGGCCCTTGTTAATTTTCTGAAATCATTTCCTATTACTCTCTCTCTTCATCGTTTAGACTCAGCTACACTGGATTCTTTGATGCTTCTTTAATATACATGTACTCTCCCACATTAGAGGATTTTTTTCTCTGCCTGGAGTATGCTTTCCATGGATTTATATATGGCTAACTTCCTGCCCTCCTTCAGGGAGATCATGGCCTAAATTCACCTTTTTGATGAGAGTTACCTTGACCACTCATTACCCACCCCTCAGCACTCATGATCACCCTGACTTTGCCTTACATTTTATTACAGAGCACTTATCACCTCTTACACTATAGCCTTATGTTTTATGCTTGTTATATATTGTCTCTTCTCATAGGCTACAATGTAAGCTTTGTCTGTTTTCTTCAATGATAGATCCTGAGAGTCTGGAATATGTTGAATCAATAAATTCAATCTGCAAGAAAATTTAAAAAATCAATTATATATAACTATTCCTAACATTCATTATATATTTATATGTTGTAGAAATATATAATATTATATAAATTGTATAGTTCTATAAATATATAATATCTCTGGAAGACTGTAAAAGAAACTAGTAATAGTAATTTTGGGAGAAGTAGTACCTGGGATGGGAAAGAAGGCACATTCTATATTGTGAGAATTTGCACCTTATCCCTTCTTCAATTAAAAAAAAGTAATTTAAAAATGCAAAGCACAGTTGAGCCTAATTTGGAAATTAAAATTCCTCTTAAAATAGATCCTTAGTTTTTTGAGTTCCTTAGGAGGTTTTAATTTGTAGTACCACTAGGTGGCACATGCCTACTGATAAGTTCAAAGACTCCCAGACACAAGTGTTAAAACAAACCTTTTCAGTTCCCCTAAGTCATCAAAGTTTATTTTAGCTATATGGCACTGATTTTTCTCAAGAATTTTCTTTAATTATTTTCTTATACTATTTCTGTAGGGCAGCAGTCTCCAACCTTTTTGGTACCAGGGACCAGTTTCATGGAAGACAATTTTTCCATGGACTGGGGGAAGGAAAGGGGATGGTTTTGGGATGATTCAAGCACATTACATTTATTGTGCACTTTATTTCTATTATTATTACATTGTAATATATAATGAAATAGTTATATAACTCACCATAATGTAGAATCGGTGAAAGCACTGAGCTTGTTTTCCCGCAACTAGAGGGTCCCATCTGGGGGTGATGGGAGACAGTGACAGATCATCAGGCATTAGATTCTTATAAGGAGCACACAACCTAGATCTCTCCCACGTGCAGTTCACAATAGGGTTCATGTTCCTATGAGAGTCTAATGCCACAGCTGACGTGACAGGAGGTGGAGCTCAGGCAGTAATGCTTGTTCATCCCCCACTCACCTCTTGCTGTGCCGCCCAGTTCCTAACCGGTCATGGACTAGTACTGGTCTGACCCCCTGCTTTAGGGAATATTATAGCAACTGTTCCTACACTATTCCTATATACAGAATAGTGTAGGAACTGTTTAGTGCTATAAGCTTTAAAGTGATTTTTCACCATAATTTCTAATTTAATATTATAACATTTGACTTGCAGAAATGTCTAAAATCTGTGAAGGCTAGCTTAGACATCCTTAAAATAATTTAAAATTTCCAATATTTAGTGAATTGTATCTGCCTCTTTTCATCTGTTTCCTATGAAATAACTTACTTAATGAATGAAATTCATAGATTATGTGTCCAAAAGTAGAGTTTTGTTTGATCCTATTGTTTCACTGCTTTTATGTCAAGTTAATCAGTGCCCAGGACCAAATGCAATTTATCAGCCTCTTTCTGAATACTTTGTATAATATACCATGAGGTATAGGCAAATGGGTACTGTGGAGGATGCAAAGATAAAATATTATGTATTGCCTCCATCTTCATGGACCTTTCATTTTATGGGTAGTGATGTCATGAACACAAATAACTGTAATAGAAGTCAGAAAGTAGTAAATCAATAAATGAAAGTATTTATGTGTAGTGGGAGCACAGAGTTGATATTAATTTGGGGACTCTAAGAATATGGTGACATTTGAGAAGAGCTTTAAATATATAGTTTCATTCTCTGAATTAATTCAATATGGGTCTTATATAGATTTACACTTCTGTGTAAAGGGTGAATTATCTTATACATCTGAGAGAAAAATATAATCTTTATAGATAGGTGTTAATTATAGGTTAATAAAATAAATAGCCATATTCCTTTTGCTGGTATTCAAAATGAAAATGATGGCATGCATTTTATAAATATAACATTTAAAAACATTATAAAAATCCTTTTTGCTGAGTTTTAAAATAACACTGAAAACATTATTGGACTAGGTCAATTTAACATTTATTTTTGACCCAGATATTTTTTCATTTTGTTTTTCTTCTTAAAATATATTTTTTGAAAATTAAATATGCATTTAGAAAATGTGCTGTATCCAAGTAAAATAACTTACTGAGTTCTTATTATGCCATGAAACTATAATCTATTATTTTATTTCATACTCATGAAACCTTATGATGTATGTAGTGTTATCATTCACAGTTTTTAGATAAAGAAACTAGGGCACAGAAGGTTTAAGAAATTTGTATGCATATGTTAATATCTGCTGTAACACTAAAACTAGATGTGAATAGAATTTTTTATTTTTTATTATTTTATTTTTTGAGACAGAGTCTTACTCTCTCACCTAGACTGGAGTGCAGTGGCACAATCTCGCATCACTGCAGCATCTGCCTCCCAGGTTCAAGCAGTTCTCCTACCTCAGCCTCCCAAGTAGCTGGGAATTACAGGTGTGAACCACTGCACCCTGCCAAATTAATTTTCTTCTAATAAGAAACTTGATTTTCAATTTGTACCACTTTAGTATAATTGCTATGTTTTTTAAAAGGAAATCAACATTATTCTTATTAAATCTATTAATATTAACTACTTTGTGACGCTGAGGGCCTTTTTGTAAGTTCCTAAGTGTGAGATGAATAACATTATCATGATTATCTTAGTGAACCAAACATCTGACCCTTTGACTATTAACTTGCAAAATTTTCACAATTTTGCCGAATTCTAAAATAATATTAAAATAATAATTAGATACGAAAGTCTAAGAAATACGTTATACAATGCTCCAAATTAGATTTTGTTCCAGCTTAATAAGTGGATTTTAAAACAAAGTTATATATTTAAAAATGAATTTTTTTCTTTTTTCTGTATTTATATAGCCAGAAAAGTGTAAGAATAAAAAGAAGTGGTATAAAAGTGCACTACAAGAAGCATGTCTACTCTATGGATATTCTCATGAGCAAAGACTGGAAATGTGCTGCCTATCAAAACTACAAGGTGTATAAATATTTTTTCTTTATTACTCTGAAATAAGGATTTATTCAAATGCATGTTTTCCAAAATATGTTTGCTCATTCAAAAATCTCTATCTCTTTCTCTTCATAGGGAAATAGTATATCATTGTTTATTTGAAAATTATTTTTATATCAATGAATAGCATATATTTTGTCCCCTAAAACAATTTTCAATGACTAAACATACACTCTTTTTAAATGCAGGAGTTCTTGTTAGCACTTTTGTTATCTATCTTCTTTACCGTTAGACTGTCTACATAGATGCCCTTGTGTATTTCAAAGGCATATATTTCACAATGGGAACCATAGCTTTAAATATATTCCTGGCATTAAAATTTCACTTGGATATGCTGTATTATTACAGAACAAAGTATTTTCAAAATATTGCATTTTGAAATAAGTTCAGGGCAGGAATAGAAGAAAAACTTCAACTTTAAAAAAAAACTAGGTGAAAAATTGTGATAATATTTTAGGTTATTTTCAAAGAAAGTTCTATTGAATTCTCAATACTATGGTATATAGTTAGCTTTTTAAGTGAAACCATTTGAAAGATTATAGTAGGTTTGACATTTTTTGTATATATTTAACTTCTAAGTTCAGGGGTACATGTGCAGGCTTGTTATATAGGTAAACTTGTGTCATGGAGATGTGTTATAAAGATATTTCATAACCCAGGTATTAAGCTTAGTACACATTAGTTATTTTTCCTGATCCTTTTCCTCCTCCCACCTTCCACCCTCTGATAAACCCCAATGTGTGTTGTTCTTCTCTATGTGCCCATGTATTCTTGTCAATTAGCTCCCACTTATAAGGGAGAACATGCAGTATTTGGTTTTGTTCCTGCATTAGTTTGCTAATGCTAATGGCATCCAGCTCCATCCATGTCCCTGCAAAGGACTCATCTCACTCTTTTCTATGGCTGCATAGTATTCCATGGTGTACAGGTACCATATTTTCTTTATTGCAGTGTACAGGTGCCACATTTTCTTTACCACATTTTCTTTATCCACATTTTCTTTATACCATTGATGGGCATTTAGGTTGAGTCATTGTCTTTGCTATTGTGAATAGTGTTGAACATATGTGTGCATGTGTCTTTATAATAGAATGATTTATATTCCTTTGGGTATATACCCAGTAATGAGATTGCTGGGTTGAATGATATTTCTGCCCCTAGGTCTTTGAGCGATCACCACACTGTCTTACACAATGGTTGAACTAATTTACACTCCTACCAACAGTGTATAAGCATTCCTATTTCTCCTCAACCTCACCACCATCTGCTATTTTTTGACTTTTTAATAGCAGCCATTCTGACTAGTGTGAGATAGTATCTCATGGTTTTGATTTGCAGTTCTCTAATGATCAGTGATGTTGAACTATTTTTCATATGTAGGTTGGCTGCATGTATGTCTTCTTTTGAAAATTGTCTGTTTGTGTCCTTTGCCCACTTTTTAATGGTTTTTTTTTTCTTGTGAACTTGTTTAAGTTCCCTATAGATGGTGGATATTAGACCTTTGTCAGATGGTGGATATTAGACCTTTGTCAGATGCATAGATTGCAAAAATTTTCTTCCAGTCAGTAAGTTCTCTGCTCACTCTGTGGATAGTTTCTATTGCTGTGCTCTTTGGTTTAATTAGATCACATTTGTCAATTTTTGCTGTGTTGTAATTGCTTTTGGTGTCTTCATTGTGAAATCTTTGCCCATGCCTATGTCCTGAATGGTATTGCCTGAGTTGTCTTCCAGGGTTTTTATAGTTTTAGGTTTTACATTTAAGTCTTGAATCCATCTTCAGTTAATTTTTGTATATGGTATAAGGAAGTGGGGCAGGGTCCAGTTTCAATTTTCTGCATATGGCTAGCCAGTTCTCCCAGTACCATTTATTAAGTAGGGAATCCTTTCCTCATTTTTTTTCTTTTTTTTTTTTTTTTTTTGAGACAGAGTCTTGCCCTCTTGCCCAGGCTGGAGTGCAATGGCGCGATCTCAGCTCACTGCAAGCTCCACCTCCCAGGTTCAAACAATTCTCCTGTCTCAGCCTCCCGAGTAGTTGGGATTACAGGCACATGCCACCATACCCGGATAATTTTTTGTATCTTTAGTAGAGATGGGGTTTCACCATGTTGGCCAGGCTGGTCTTGAACTTCCCATTGCTTGTTTTTGTCAGATTTATTGAAGATCAGATAGTTGTAGGTATGCGGCGTTATTTCTGAGTTCTTTATTCTGTTCCATTGATCTATGGATATGACACATTTTTAACTCTAAAAAGGAAATGATTGCCACATAAAATGATAACTTTTATTTATTTATTTTTTTAGATGGAGTCTCGCTCTGTTGCCCAGGCTGGAGTGCAGTGGCGCGATCTTGGCTCACCGCAACCTCCGCCTCCTGGGTTCTAGCAATTCTCCTGCCTCAGCCTTCTGAGTAGCTGGGATTACAGGTGCCCGCCACCACGCCCAGCTAATTTTTGTATTTTAGTAGAGACGAGGTTTCACCATATTGGCCAGACTGGTCTCCAACTCCTGACCTCAGGTGATCCACCCACCTCAGCCTCCCAAAGTGCTGGGATCACAGGTGTGAGATAGTTTTTATTAAACTTAAATATGTTTAAATTGTTTTCTGCTTAGTGATTATGATCATTTTATATTTTACAAGCCCCTTTTTGTCTTTATTACTTTAAGTTCTAAACAGATTACTCTATGGATAGAAGGATCCGGACTTTGATGCTGACTGAATTTTCAAGTAGCAATGATTTTTTTTTTCTCCTTTGGAAAACTTTATATTTACAAAAAATGTATATGTGAAAAGATTTTATTTGAGAAAAAATTTAAATTTCAACCCAACCACCTAAGTTTAGGATTTAAAGCAAATAAGTAGGTTTGAAAAGAGTGGAAAATGAATGACAAGTTCACAGAAGATTGAGTGGAAAGTACAGAGAGTTCCCATATATCTCCTCCTCACAATCCCTAAACACACAACCTCCCCGACTGTCAACATCCCATACCATGACATCTATTTGTTACAATTCATGAACCTACACTGACACGTCATTGTCACCCAAAGTCCTTAGTTTACATTAGGGTTTACTCTTGCTGTTATGCATTCTGTGTGTCTGGAGAAATGTATAATGACCTGTATCCACCATTATAGTATCATATAGAGTAGTTTCACTGCTCTAAAAATCCTTTGTGTTCCAGCTGTTTGTTTCTACCTCCCCCTTATTCCCTGGCAACTACTGATTTTTGTTATCTGTCTCCATAGTTTTGGCTTTTCCAGAATGTCATATGGTTAGAATCATATGATATGTCACCCTTTCAGATTGGTTTCTTTCTCTTAGTAATATGCATTTAAGTTTCTTCCGTGTATTTGCATGGCTTGATAGATCTTTTTTAAATTAGTGCTGAATAATACCCATTGTCTGTATGTGCCGTGATTTTTTAAAATCATTCACCTATGAAAGGACATCTTGGTTGCTTTTAAATTTTGGCAACTATGAATAAAGCTGCTGTAAACATATATGTGCAGGTTTTTGTCTGGACAGATGTTTTCAACTTCTTTTGATAAATACCAAGGAACACAATTGCTGATCATATGGTGAGATATGTTCAAATTTTAAAGAAACTACCAAACTGTCTTCCAAAATGACTGCACCATTTTGCATTCCCACCAGCAATGAATGAGAGTTCCTGTTGCTCCACATCCTCATCAATATTTGGTGGTGTCAGTGTTTTGGGTTTTGGCCACTCTAGTAGGTGTGTAGTGGCACCTCATAAGTGTTTTAATTTACAATTTCCTAATGACATATGATGTTGAACATCCTTTCATATACTTATTTGCCACCTTTCTATCTTCTTTGGTGAGTTGTTTTCTGAGATATTTTGCTCATTTTTCAATCGGATTGTTCATTTTTTTGCTGCAGAGGTTTTAAGAGTTCTTTGTATATTTTAGATGTCGCTCTTTTATAGGTCTTCTGCAAATACTTGCTCCCAATATGTGGCTTATCTTTTCTATTCTCTTGACAGAATCTTTGGCAGAGCAGACATTTTAAATTTTAATGAAGTCTAGTTTATCAATTATTTCTTTCATGGACCTTGCCTTTGGTGTTGTATCTAAATGTTATTGCCATACATGAGGTCATCTAGGTTTTCTCTTTTATCTTCTAGGAGTTTTATAATTTTGCATTTCGCCCTATGATTCATTGTGAGTTCCTTTTTGTGAAAGGTGTAAGATCAGTGTCTAAATTTACTTTTTGTGTGTGTGGATGTCCAGTTGTTCCTGCACCACTGGTTGAAAAGACTGTCTACTCCATTGTATCACCTTTGCTCCTTTATCAATTATCTATTGACTATATTTATGTGGGTCTATTTCTGGGTTCTTTATTCTGTTCTGTTGATCTATTTGTCTGTTCTTTTGCCAATACCACACTGTATTGATTACTGCAGTTTCATAGTAAGTCTTCAAGTTGGGTAGTGTCAGTTCTCCAGCATTGTTCTTCTCCTTCCATATTGGGTTGGCTATTCTGGGTCTTTGCCTTTCCATAAAAATTTTAGAATCAGTTTGTTGATTTCACAAAATAACTTGCTAGCATTTTTATTGGGATTATATTGAATTTATATATCAAGTTGGGAAGAACTGACATCTTGACCATATTGAGTCTTCTTATCCATGAATGTGGAATATCTTCAAGTTTATTTAGTTCTTTTTTGATTTATTTTATCAGAGTTTGGTAGTTTTTCTCATTTAGATCTTGTATTTCTTTTTAGATTTATGCTTGACTAATTCACTTTGAGGTTTGCCAATGTAAATTCTAATGTGTTTTCATTTCAAATTCTACTTGTTTGGTACTAGTATGTCAGAAATCTATTTATTTTTGGATATTAACCTTGTATCCTGCAACCTTGCTATAATCTATTATTAATTACAGGGTTTTTTTGGTCTATTCTTTTGGATTTACTACATAGACAATCATATCATGTGCAGCGAGAGTTTTATTTCTTCTTTCCAAATGTGTATATCTTTTATTTTCATTTATTGTCTTACTGCGTTATCTAGGCATTCCAGTACAATATTGAGAAGAGTGGTGAGGGAGAAAACCCTTGACTTGTTCTTCATCTTAGCATGACAGCTTCTAGTTTGTTACCATTAAATATGATACTAGCTTTAGATATTTTGTAAATGCTCTTTATGAAGCTGAGGAAGTTCCCGTCCTCCTTGTTTCCTGAGGTTTTTTTTTTTCATACGCTTTTCTGTGATCTGCTTACATGGTCATGTGATTTTTCTTCTTTATGCTGTTGATGTGATTAATTGATTACATTAATTGGTTTCCAATTTTTGAACTACCTTGCATTGAATGAGTTAGGAAGTACTTTCTCTGCTTATATCTTCTGGAAAAGGTTACGGAGAATTGGCATAATTTCTTCCTATATGTTTGATAGCATTCACCAGTGAACCCATCTGGGCTTGCTGCTTTTTGTTTGGGAAGGTTATTATATTGATTCAATTTCTTTAATAATTGTAGGCCTATTCAGATTGCCTGTTTCTTTTTGCGAAAATTTTAGCAGAGTGTCTCTTTCAAGAAATTGATCCATTTCATCTAGGTTATAAAATTTGTGGGCATAGAGTTGTTCATAATGTTCCTTTATTTTCTTTTAATGTCCATGGGATTTGTTATAATGTCTACCTCTTTCATTTCTAATATTAGTAATTTGTGCCTGCCTGCCTCTCTCCCTTTCCTCCTTCCTTCCTGTCTCCCTCCCTCCCTTCTTCCCTTCCTTTCTTCCTTCTTTCCTTCCTTCCTGCCTGCCTTCCTGCCTGCCTTCCTGTCTTCCTTCTGTCCTGTCTTCCTTCCTTCTTGCCTGCCTGCCTGCCTTCCTCTCTAGAGTCTCAATTTTACTGATCTTTCAAAGAGCTAGCTTATGGTTGTATTGATTTTTCTCTGTCTACTGTCTTCAATTTCATTGATTTCTGCTCTTTTATTTTTTTTCTTCTGCTTACTTTGGATTTAGCCTGTTCTTTTTCTTCTAGTTTCCAAAGTAAAAGCTTAGATTATTGATTTTAGAGCTTTTTTCTTTTCTAATAGATGAATTCAATGCTATAAATTTTCCTCTGAACATTGCTTTTGCTGCATCCCATGATTGATAAGTTGCACTTTCATTTTCATTGAGTTCAAAATATTTTAAAATTTTTCTTGAGTTTTTTTTTTTTCTTTGATCTATGTGTTACTTAGAAGTGTGTTCCTTAATCTCCAAGTATTTTGGATTTCCACCTATCTCTCTGTTACCAGTTTCTGGCTTAATTCCATTTTGGTCTGTGAGAGGACATTGTATTATATCTATTCTTTTAAATGTGTTAAGGTATTTTTTATGGCCCAGGATGTGGTCTTTTTTTCTGAGTGTTTCATGTGGGCATAAGAAGGATGTGTATTCTGCTGTTGTTGGATGAAGTAGATTACAGATGTCAAATATATCCAGTTGATTGATGGTGCTTTTGAGTGCAACTGTGTCTTTTTGCTGGATTTGTTCATTTCTGATAGAGGGCTGTTGAAGCCTCTAGCTATAATAGTAGATTTATTTATTTCTCTCTGCAGTTCCATCAGTTTTTGCCTCTCATATTTTGATGCTCTGTTGTTAGGTGCATGTACATTAAAGGTTGCAAGTCTTCTTGGAGTATTGACCTCTTTATTATTATGTATGACCCTCTTTATTCTTGATAACTAAACTTGCTCTGAAGTCTGCTCTGTTTCAAATTAATATAACTCCTCCTACTTCCTTTTCATTAGGGTTAGCATGATATATTTTTTCTTTTAATTCATCCATCTGGGCCATTAATGTTTAAAATGATTATTTTTAATATCATGGATTAATAGTTGTCATATTTGTTATTATTTTCTATTTATTGCCCTTTTTCTTTGTTACTGTTTTTGTCTTTCACTCTTTTTCTGTCTTTGTGATTTTTAGATTTTATATAATTCCATTTTCTTCCCTCTTGACATATCAATTATCAATTATACTTTTTTAAAACTTTTTAAAGTGGTGCCCTTTTTCTTTGTTACTGTTTTTGTCTTTCACTCTTTTTCTGTCTTTGTGATTTTGAGATTTTAAATAATTCCATTTTCTTCCCTCTTAGCATACCAATTATCAGTTATACTTTTTTAAAAACTTTTTGGTGGTTGCCCTAGAGTTTGCAATGTACATTTACAACTAATTCAAATCCCACTTACAAATAATTATCCTGTTTCAGGAATAGTACAAATATCTTATAATGACAGACTATGCCTTCTCATCCCTGGTATCATTGCTATCATTCATTTTACTTATATATAAGCATATATGCACACACACACATAAGATGTATGCATAAGTATACATAATTAAGTGTATCATGATTATTTTAAACAAACATCTATTAGATCAATTAAGAATAAGAAAAGTAAAAAGTTTTTACTTTACCTTTACTTATTCAGTTTTCAGTGCTCTTGTTGTCTTTGTGTAGATCTGAATTTCTAACCTATATTATTTTTCTTCTCTTGGAAGAACTTCTTTTAGTGTTTCTTGGAAGGTAGTTCTATTGGCAACAAATGCCTCCATTTCTTTTTCTTTGCCTGGGAAAGTCTTTATTTCTCCTTCACTTTTGAAAAATAGTTTCACAGGCCATGCACTGTGGCTCAGGCCTGCAATCCCAGCACTTTGGGAGGCTGAGACAAGAGGATCACTTGAGCCCAGAGTTGGAGACCAGCCTGGGCAACACGGTGAGATTCCGTCTCTATAAAAAATTCAAAAATTAGCCAGGTATTCATCTGTAGTCCCAGCTATGCAGGAGACTGAGTGGGAGGATCGCTTGAGCCTGGGAGGTCGAGGCTGCAGTGAGCCATGATTGTGCTACTGCACTCTGACCTGAGTACAGAGTGAGACCCTATTTCAAAAGAAAAAAAAAAAAGGTAATTTCAGAGTGTAGATTTCTAGGTGGCTGTGTTATTTTGTCAACACTTTATTTTGTTCAACTCTTTTATCGATTGCATGGTTTTTGAGGAAAAGTTGGATGTAATTTTTATCTTTTCTATTGGTAAGTTTTTTTTTCTCTGACTTCTTTCAAGATTTTATTTTTAATCTTTTATTTTCTGAAGTTTGAATATGATATGTAGATTTTTGGCATTTATATTACTTAGTGTTTCCTGAGCTTCTGGATATATGGTTTGGCATCTGATATTAATTTGGGGGAAATTATCAGTTATTATTGTGTCAAATTTTTTTTTGTTCCTGCATCTCTTTTCATTCTGGTATGCCTATTACATGTATGTCACACTTTTCTAGTTGTCCCACAGTTCTTGTATATTCTGTTATATTATTTTTTTCAGTCTTTTCTCTTTTTCAGTTTTTTAGTTTTGGTGGTTTTTATTGATATATCCTGAAGCTCAAAGATTGTTTTCTCAGCCATGTCGAGTCTACTGATGAGCGCATAAAACACATTCTTCATTTATGTTGCATTACTTTTGCTCTCAACCATTTCTTGTGAATCTTTCTTAGAATTTTCATTTCTTTGCTTACGTTACCTATCTGTTATTGCATATTGTCTACTTTTAACACTGTAGCTTTTAGCATATTAGTCATGGTTGTTTTAAATTCATGAGCTGATAATCCCATCATCTCTGCCATATCTTGATCTGGTCCTGCTGCTTGCTCTGTCTCTTCAAATTTTCTTTTTTGCCTTTTAGTATGCTTATAAATTTTTATTGAAAGGTGGGCATGATGTTCTGGGTAAAATAACTGCAATCATGATAGTTTAGCAGTGCAGTGGTAAGACATGAGGGGGAGGGAAAGCATTCTATGTTCCTATGATAAAGTCTCAGTCCTAGGCTGTAAACTTCATAAGGGCTTTCCTCCAACCCCCCTTTTTTTTCTTCACCTACATAGATAGTAAAGGATGGCTAGACGGGGCTGGAGTTGAGTATTTTGCTTCCCCCAGGTCAGGCTGGGGTTAGGCTTTGAAAATCCCTCAATAGGTTAGGCTCTGGTAAAATAGTTTCTCCTCAGGGCAGGCCTTGCTAAGAAGTACAGAATGGTCTGACATATTATTTCAAAATGGTTACTTTTCTCCTCCCCCTGATGGAAGCCAGGAGATATTTCCCTAATCTTCTCTGTGAGAACCTGGTAGAGCTCCTACACGTAAAACTCAATAAAAGGGTGTCCCTCCCACCATGACTAGGTCCCCCTGGAGTTTTTGTCTCAGGCTTGTTCCCACAGAGCTTCTAGCAATTTGTCAATTAAAGTTCAGGTTTTCCTACCCCTATACTAGTTTCCACCCTGCTCAGGTTGGTTGTGATTCTCTGTATTTACCTGTCTTTTTCTCCAAATTTGGGGACATCAGTTTGCCCTGTGACCCCACTTCTCCAAAGGATCTAAGAAGAGTTGTTCATTTTTCGTTTTGCTCACCTTTGTACATGTTGTTGGACTCTAGTGGGGACTTCTAATTTCCTTACATGCCAGACCAGAAACTGGACTGTCCTCTATGTTTTTACGAAAATGCTCTCAGCTATCACATTTAAACAAACAAAAACTGACAATTTTTTGAGTCCATGAATACACAAGGTTTAAAAAAATTATTGAAATAAGATAAATCATTGAATTATGTTAATATTTGTATTTCTCCCTAATATGGTTGTAAGTAAAAAATCAATAACATCTGTTCTGGGTCATGAGTCAAAACCACCTCTACTCATTTAGAACATTTTCATTTACTACCTGCAGCTCCTCTTTTGCACTTTAAAAATATGACTTGGATATAGCTCAAAGGAGGAGTGAAGGCCCTTTTCATTATCCACATCTACATTTCCTGTTAACTGCTTTTCACTCTTTATGATGAGAGTCCCTACATGCAGAGATTTCTGAAGGAAGGAAATTAAATCTTTCTCACAAGAGAAAATTTAGCTTTTAGAAAGTTGTTAATTTTTGCTAAAGTTGAACATAGACCTACTGTTATTATTAGTAAAGAAATTACTACTGATCATAATGTTTTAAGTATTACATAAGAATTTTCCTTTGGCATTTGAAAATCAACGTGGTTGTTGATATTCCCCAAGATACTCTACTTTTATTGGAAGATGGTTTTTATAGCTTTTGAACACAAAAAGCTCCTTGAACAACAGTTCACATATTTCTGTTCCCAATTTATTGCCTTGTTAGAAAATTTACATAAGAATGAGGTATATTTTGACAGGAAACATAGCAAACATCCATTTTGGTTAACTCTCTCTATACCATCCAGATACATAGACTCCAATTTTAGTTTTTGAGTTTCTTTTTGTTTAATTTTAACTATTTTTAATGATTGATATTTCATTATGACTTTTATCCTTATTAGAGGTTTTCAAAAGAACAAAGAGTAAATTTACTTTTTTTTAAAGATACAACAAAACTTATTCCATCTTGTAATTACCATAAGGTTCTACTGGGCCCTTTACACATGATTAATCCCAAAATATACTATGAGATTTTAGTGATCTTATTTTTTCCCATTTCTTGAAACACGCTGATATTTTATTATTACTCATCAATTATTTCCAACTATGTTAAAAAGATGAAAATAATTATTTAGATAGAAGAATGGTGGAGTCACCTAAAAAGATGATACAATAGTGAAATATATAATCACTAAAGTGTTTTTCCTAGTATTCCAAAGATCAAGATCTCTCTCTTTCTTTCTCTCTCTTTCACACACACACGCGCGCACACACACACACACACACACACACACACACACACACCCCATGTCTACTAGCTAAAATGGAAGTGAATATTTGTTGATTATCTGTTATCTTCAGACATTGTTTTAGGAGTTTTAATTAAGTAGATTATATTATTTAAATCTCACAATATTCTAGTGAGGTAATCATTTTTACTCCTGGACCTAATTAAATGAAAGAGCTTTTGTACAACAAAGGAAACTATCAACAGAGTAAATAGCCTACAGAATGGGAGAAAATATTCGCAAACTCTGCATCTGAAAAAGGTCTGATGTCCAGCATTTATAATAAGCAAAAAATAACCCCATTAAAAAGTGGGAAAAGGACATGAACAGACACTTTTCAAAAGAAAACATATATGTGGCTAATGAGCATATGAAAAAATGCTCAACATCACTGGCCATTAGAGAAATGCAAATCAAAACCATAATGAGATACTATCTCACACCAGTCAGAATGGTTATTAATAAAAAGTCAAAAAATAACAAATACTGGCGAGGTTGCAGAGAAAAGGGAATGCTATATACTACTTGTGGTAGTGTAATTTAGTTCAGTGACTGTGTAAAGCAGTTTGGCAATTTTTCAAAGAACTTAAAACAGAACCATCATTTGACCCAGCAATCCCATTTTTGGGATCTATACCCAAAGAAATATAAATCATTCTACCATGAAGATACATGCACACATATGTTCATTGCAGCACTATTTTCAATAGCAAAGACATGGAATTAACTTAGATGCCCATCAATTGTAGACTGGATAAAGAAAATATGGTACATATTCACTATGGAATACTATGTAGTCATGTAAAAGAACAAAATAATGTCCTTTCAGCAACATGTTTGGGACTGGAGGCCGTTATCCTAAGCAAGATAATGTAGGAACAGACAATCAAGTGCTGCATGTTGTCACTTATAAGTGAGAACTAAACATTGAGTACATGTGGTCACAAAGAAGGAAACAATAGGCACTGGGGCCTACGTGAGGGTGGAGGGTGGAAAGAGGGTGAGGATTGAAAAACTACCTATCGGGTACTATGCTATATAGCAAACCTGTACATGTACCCCTGAAACTAAAAGTTTAAGAAAAATAATTATTACCCCTGGTTTATCAATAAAGAGAGTCTAAGAGCATATACATTGTTTTATATCTTATACTGTCTAATATAGTAGCCGATACCAAGTAAATGATCAGTTTATTTTAATTAATAAATTACATTAATTTTTTAAGGTAAAATGTATATTTCAGATTCATATGAGATTTTGGATGAAATACATATACATTTTTAATTATAAGTATTATTGAACACTTACTGCATATAAAATGTGGTCCCTGCTTTTGAGGAATATTTTAGTTTCACAGAATACTTAGACATGTTCATAACTAACCATAATACAAGGAAGAAAGTTTCATGGCTTTATATGACTATGATTTTGCAAAAGAGGTGGAGTTTTATCCTAATCAGAGGAATATCTGTAGTAGCACCTAACCTTATACATTCATTAGTGGAGAGAAAGGGTGTTCCAGAAAGAGGGATCATCTTAAATATACAGCTGGATATAGGAAAGAGGATAGTTTACATGTAACCACCAGGTTGTAGGCATGAATATAGTAACCTGTTCCTCTGAGTTTCTATATTTTATGACAACAGTTGTAACCAATAGATACATATACACACATACATACTTTAGCACATCTCAAAATAATATCCTGGGATAGTTTTTTATGAACTATTTCATTACTAATTATTCTGTTTTTAGGAGTGGTATAATGAGAAAATGTACTAAATTTAGGAGTGGCATAATGAGAAAATGTACTAGTAGTTTCCATTCTTGCTGAATCTTTCTCTGAGGCACTGTTGGCAGCTCAGTGGTCCCAAATGGAGACGGCAGACATTCTGGAAAAATTAGAGGCTTGCGATCAGATGGTTCTGGCCAAGCTGCATGACCTCAGGCAGGGTACATTATTTATCTCAGCTGTGAAGTGAGGAGGGACTGCGTACTTTACAAGGTTATAATGAGAATTAAATAAGATATCTATATAAAGTCCTTGTCCCATGTCCAGCATATAATAGATAGATATGAAAATGGAGGCAGCTGGGATTCAGTTCTAGATCCTATATACTCCAGAGCACACAAGCTCCCCAGAACCTAGAAATAAGATATACTAGACACCAACTTGAGGACATCCAACTAGCCAACTTTAAGAGAGGAGATCTGCCAAATAAGTATAAAAATGTTCATATTATTACTTTTGGATTGCATTGCTCTACTAAACAATGGACAGCTCAGTTTACTAGCATATTAATTAAAGGGACAACGGGAACAAAATACTGTTACAATAGTAATGAGAAAGTAGAAAATTCTAATTGTGTAATTCAGTATTTATTTGAACAGGAACATAGGCACTTTTTTGAAGCAGCCATGTTTCATTGTCTTACAGATAAATCCGAAACACATGACAAAGTTGCTGCACTGGTCAAGAAAAGGGTAAGATTGTGTTTTATTATATAAAATATACAAACTTCAAATTTCATTTAACACTATTCTTTAAAGAAAATTATATTATTTAAAAACAAACAATGACATACAATCCATTTTTTCTTCTGAATGTTACTTTAGTATATGTTTCCTTTCTTAGGTTAATACTAGGAAATTAATATTTATGGTTACTTATATTAATGTTATCGGACTGTCAGAAATTAGAACAATAGAGAACTATAAGTAAACAAGTAAATGAGTGTTTTTACTTAAATTATATTTCATATACATACTCATATACTAAAATATTTTCATATACTATATTACTCTAATGTGTATACACAATCTCATAGAAAATTTAAGTAGAATTTACAGCTCAACATGGTGTCTACCTTAAACTTAAGTAGAGAACAATATCAGCCATCTTAATGAATTTTCTGAACCTGGAATTTTGTAAATGAAAATTGTCAACAGCATTTTTAAAGAATTATTACAATTTAATACATTATTTTGAATATTGCATTCAGAGAGTTGTTTAACTCTACTTACTGGCAAAAACTTGGTTGGGATAGGATGAACCTTGACATTCTCCTCAAGAGATGATGTTCTTACCACTAAACAAAGAGAAAGAGTTGGTGCCTAAAACAAATACTTGTGGACATATACTAGTGCCACAATAAAAGGAATTATGATAGAATGAAAAGCCTATGGTGAGATTTCCCGTGTTGAGTGGTGAGGCAGAGCAGATCAAGGGAAGGTCAAGTGTAACCTCAAGGAACAGAAAAGGGTGTTGGGCATGTATCTATAGATGATTAGGCAAAGGATGAGCATCATGTTTGTATTCTTTGTACATTTTATGAGTCCTTCTAAAATCAGGTTTTGTTTTATCTTTTTGCTTTTTGGCTTATAAATATAGGAATCTTGGCTTTTCTTTTTTTTTTTTTTCTGGTTTATCTTTATTTTTTTTTATTTTATTTTTTTTAATGTTTTTTTTTTTATTATACTTTAAGTTTTAGGGTACATGTGCACATTGTGCAGGTTAGTTACATATGTATACATGTGCCATGCTGGTGCGCTGCAGCCACTAACGTGTCATCTAGCATTAGGTATATCTCCCAATGCTATCCCTCCCCCCTCCCCCGACCCCACCACAGTCCCCAGAGTGTGATATTCCCCTTCCTGTGTCCATGTGATCTCATTGTTCAATTCCCACCTATGAGTGAGAATATGCGGTGTTTGGTTTTTTGTTCTTGTGATAGTTTACTGAGAATGATGGTTTCCAATTTCATCCATGTCCCTACAAAGGACATGAACTCATCATTTTTTATGGCTGCATAGTATTCCATGGTGTATATGTGCCACATTTTCTTAATCCAGCCTATCATCGTTGGACATTTGGGTTGGTTCCAAGTCTTTGCTATTGTGAATAATGCCGCAATAAACATACGTGTGCATGTGTCTTTATAGCAGCATGATTTATAGTCATTTGGGTATATACCCAGTAATGGGATGGCTGGGTCAAATGGTATTTCTAGTTCTAGATCCCTGAGGAATCGCCACACTGACTTCCACAATGGTTGAACTAGTTTACAGTCCCACCAACAGTGTAAAAGTGTTCCTATTTCTCCACATCCTCTCCAGCACCTGTTGTTTCCTGACTTTTTAATGATTGCCATTCTAACTGGTGTGAGATGATATCTCATAGTGGTTTTGATTTGCATTTCTCTGATGGCCAGTGATGATGAGCATTTTTTCATGTGTTTTTTGGCTGCATAAATGTCTTCTTTTGAGAAGTGTCTGTTCATGTCCTTCGCCCACTTTTTGATGGGGTTGTTTGTTTTTTTCTTGTAAATTTGTTTGAGTTCATTGTAGATTCTGGATATTAGCCCTTTGTCAGATGAGTAGGTTGTGAAAATTTTCTCCCATGTTGTAGGTTGCCTGTTCACTCTGATGGTAGTTTCTTTTGCTGTGCAGAAGCTCTTTAGTTTAATTAGATCCCATTTGTCAATTTTGGCTTTTGTTGCCATTGCTTTTGGTGTTTTGGACATGAAGTCCTTGCCCATGCCTATGTCCTGAATGGTAATGCCTAGGTTTTCTTCTAGGGTTTTTATGGTTTTAGGTCTAACGTTTAAATCTTTAATCCATCTTGAATTGATTTTTGTATAAGGTGTAAGGAAGGGATCCAGTTTCAGCTTTCTACATATGGCTAGCCAGTTTTCCCAGCACCATTTATTAAATAGGGAATCCTTTCCCCATTGCTTGTTTTTCTCAGGTTTGTCAAAGATCAGATAGTTGTAGATATGCGGCATTATTTCTGAGGGCTCTGTTCTGTTCCATTGATCTATATCTCTGTTTTGGTACCAGTACCTCTCTCACCTCTCCTATTCAACATAGTGTTGGAAGTTCTGGCCAGGGCAATCAGGCAGGAGAAGGAAATAAAGGGTATTCAATTAGGAAAAGAGGAAGTCAAATTGTCCCTGTTTGCAGACGACATGATTGTTTATCTAGAAAACCCCATCGTCTCAGCCCAAAATCTCCTTAAGCTGATAAGCAACTTCAGCAAAGTCTCAGGATACAAAATCAATGTACAAAAATCACAAGCATTCTTATACACCAACAACAGACAAACAGAGAGCCAAATCATGAGTGAACTCCCATTCACAATTGCTTCAAAGAGAATAAAATACCTAGGAATCCAACTTACAAGGGATGTGAAGGACCTCTTCAAGGAGAACTACAAACCACTGCTCAAGGAAATAAAAGAGGACACAAACAAATGGAAGAACATTCCATGCTCATGGGTAGGAAGATTCAATATTGTGAAAATGGCCATACTGCCCAGGGTAATTTATAGATTCAATGCCATCCCCATCAAGCTACCAATGACTTTCTTCACAGAATTGGAAAAAACTACTTTAAAGTTCATATGGAACCAAAAAAGAGCCCGCATCGCCAAGTCAATCCTAAGCCAAAAGAACAAAGCTGGAGGCATCACACTACCTGACTTCAAACTATACTACAAGGCTACAGTAACCAAAACAGCAGGAATCTTGGCTTTTCACTGGCTGAATAATGTTCAGCTCCTTTGCAGAGAGGAATTCAATATCATAGAAAACAAGGTTGCCCTTTATAAAAGAAAGGATATAGGTCTTGTGTGTTCATCTGGAGATTTAGACAGGAATATGTGAAGTAGTGCAGTATTGTTAATGTGGATAGGTTTATTTCAATCTTTGCTAAATGATATTTAGAATCAAAGACTATAAAGATAGTAACTAGTGTTTCTATATATTGCTTTTATTTGTACCAGTTGTTCTTAACAAAGGCAATACTATTCTCAGGCTCAGTGCCATGGGCCAGATCTGACCTTTAAACTATTTGTTGGTCTGCAATGAGATATGTACAGAAAGTAAGAGTAATCATTTATGAACTTGTATGGTAATTTGATAGAATTTTTTTTTGTCTGTTGAATCTGATAGCATAAAATGGAGCTTGTATTTTTTAATATGTCTTTGTTTTTTATTTAATTTTTTCTCTAGTAACTCATTTTTATTTTATTTAATAAAAGTATGGATCTCAGATAGACTGGGGAAAAAACTGATCCTTTACCACAGATAGTTTGAGAGATACTGTCTTAGGGGACATTTAAGAAATTTTTGGAGATGCTGTGGGTTATAGTAATTTTGGAGAATACAAGGTGTTTTACTAGGCAAGGATTAGAGACACTAGATATTCTGAGATGCATGGAACAGGGCTGTGTAAAACAACTGTCCAACATTTGGGATGATTTTGGATGTTCTGCTGGACTCGACAAACTACAAATATAATTTTATATTGAGTTAATACAAAATAATACTGAAACACAGCATGTTAGGCTAAAAGCCAAGGAATGAGAAGGCTTGTTATAGAGAGGCAAACTGTCATAGAATAGACAAATTAAATGGTTCTCGAAATTATCGACTATTTTACTGAACACTTGGTAACATTTTCAACTACATATTTAGCCATAAAAGGTAAAAGTGTAGTTACCGAGAAACCGTGGAAGGAATTTACAGATATGTAACAGGAAATTTGAGATGGCTTTTGTCTTAAAACTAAATATTACTTACTAAATTAATAGAGATACATGAAATGCATTGATTTCACTGAATTTTTAAAAATAAACATTTAGAAATATTTTTAGTGTTGCTAGCAAGATTATAAAACATTTCCACAAACATTGTCTTTCACTTCAGACCCCGAGGGGAAAACAAGGCAGACATTATTATCATTGTTTTATAAAGAAGGTCATTTGTGGTTAGAGAAGTTAAGGAACTTACTCTAGCCACATGGAACTTTTAGATATTTTTATTTAATCTTAATTAGTTTTTCTTAGTTCCTATTAAAATATTGACAAGGTAGCCTCATTAAGATTTGAATGTTAATTTCACTTAGTAAGGTAGCTTTTATTTTTCTTTACAGTTTGGTTTTATAGATATTGAACATAATATTTTTAAAGACAGCCTGTTTTATATAAAATATTATAGATGTATAAAAGAAAGCTGTTGGTATGAAAGCAAAAGATAATGGCAAAATATATTAGGTAATTACTAAGTGCCAGGCACTACATACATGTTGTTTCATTTTATTCCAACAGCAATTATGGGGCATATTCAATACGATCTCTGGTTCACAAGTGAAGAAAACAGGCATAGGGATGTTGACCACTGCCAAAAACACAATGCAAAGATGGATGATAAAAAGTAAGTAACTGCTTCTAGAGCCCCTCTTCCTGGGTTGAAAATCTTAGTAGTTTGTATTTTGTTTATTTATATAAATACGTAAGTACTTATATACATTATATAATACATTATTTATGTAATACAGGGTATTTATATACATTATATAATACATTATTTATATAATACATAAGTATTTATAGAAATAAACAAAATACAAACTGTTAAGATTTTCAACCCAGGGTGAGAGGCTCTAGAATCAATTATTTACTTTTTTATCATCCATCTTTGCATTGTGTTTTTGGCAGTGGTCAACATCCCTATGCCTGTTTTCTTACTTGTGAACCAGAGATAATATTTATATATTTATATAAACAAATGTGTATATACGTGTAAATGTTTTGTGATTTTTTTTTTACAATGAGATCTTATTATATATGTTACTCTATAGATTTAAATACTTTAGATTAACAAATATAGACCTGTTTTTAACATTCTGCATAGCATACCATAGTAGATGTATCAAAGTTTTATTGACCAGTCATATATTGATGAATATGTAGATGTTTTCAAATTCCCGGTGTGGTGTGGTGCTTCTATAAGAAATGACTTAGTAAACATCCTTGGATATATATCCTTAAATGCTGGTACTATTATTTCTATAGGATAGATCCCAAAGAAGAATTGATGGATCAAAGCTACTCACAGTGTTTCCCTGCTTCCCTTGAATCAGGAGTGGACCTTGAGGAATAAGTTGTTAAAGTTATGCGTTGGCCTGTGCTGAGTTGTAGTATCAGTTGTTGCCACCTCTTTGAACCAAGATTTAAGAGTGTTGCCATCTTCAATACTATTCCTAAGTGCCTATTTTGATTGGCATTCCTGGGGTCAAGTATGAGACTTCTATCTACAAGCTTCTGCCCTTCACTTAACTCCCTTTTTTAGCTCTTCAGCCATGTGTGATAGAGGTGTGTAGTACACGTGCACCTGCCTGATCACCTCTGCCCCACTGGCAGCAGTCTGAATGAAAGAGACTCTGAGTAAGTCACACTAATCTCTCTGAGTTCCACTTGATAAAAAGGAGTGGGTCTAGATTCTGTAAGTCCCTTCCTACTCTAATATCCCGTGAACTATAAGATATTTACAACAGCTCATTAAGTATCTGTAGAATATCATAATACTTGTGCAGGCCAGAATTAATAGATATAATAAATATCTGAGTCAAGTGGGCCTAAGATAAATAATAAAATAAGGACTAAAAAACAATAGTGTACCCAGCTGATGGTGTTACCTGTAATAGATTTTGAAAGATGTTTGAATAGATATGTACATGTATGTATATATATTTATATACATATATACGTGTGTGTGTGTGTGTGTGTGTGTGTGTGTGTGTATTCAGGAAACAGTGTACTGTGGTGGAAGAATACAAACTTATAATTGAGACAACTCTGTCTGCAAGAGCTAGTTCTGCTACTTCGTTGTTGTGTCACCTTAGGAAAGTTAACCTAAACATCTTTTAGCCTCATTTAATCAGATCTCTCTAAATTGGCAGTGATAATAATTACCCTGTATGATTTTTATAGACATTAATATACAAAGCAATTATAATAACATATAGTTACTATATTATAATAGGTGGTTAATAAATGCTAGTACTTTTCTTCCAAATTTCTCCTTAGAATGACATAGGAAGTCAGGACTTAAGAAAATTTTAAATTCTCAGACTTACAATAGTATCATAGTTCTATTAGACAGTTAGGATTAGCTATGCCTTTTTTTTTTTATTATACTTTAAGTTCTATGATACATGTGCAGAACGTGCAGGTTTGTTACATAGGTATACACGTGCCATGGTGGTTTGCTGCACCCATCAACCCGTCATCTACATTAGGTATTTCTCCTAATGCTATCCCTCCCCTAGCCAGCCACCCCCCAACAGGCCTCAGTGTGTGATGTTCCCCTCCCTGTGTCCACGTGTTCATTGTTCAACTCCCATTTATGAGTGAGAACATGTGGTGTTTGGTTTTCTGTTCCTGTGTTAGTTTGCTGAGAATGATGGTTTCCAGCTTCATCCATGTCCCTGCAAAGGACGTGAACTCATCCTTTTTTATGGCTGCATAGTATTCCATGGTGTATATGTGCCACATTTTCTTTATCCATTCTATCATTGATGGGCATTTGGATTGGTTGCAAGTCTTTGCTATTGTGAACAGTGCTGCAATAAACATACGTGTGCATGTGTCTTTATAGTAGCATGATTTATAATCCTTTGGGTATATACCCAGTACTGGGATTGCTGGACCAAATGTTATTTCTGGTTCTAAATCCTTGCGGAATCACCACACTGTCTTCCACAGTGGTTGAACTAATTTATACTCCCACCAACAGTGTAAAAGCGTTCCTATTTCTCCATATCCTCTCCAGCATCTGTTGTTTCCTGAATTTTTAATGATCACCATTCTAACTGGTGTGAGATGGTATCTCATTGTGGTTTTGATTTGCATTTCTCTAATGACCAGTGATGATGAGCTTTTTTTCATATGTTTGTTGGCCACATAAATGTCTTCTTTTGAGAAGTGTCTGTTCATATCCTTCCACCACTTTTTGATGTGGTTGTTTGGTTTTTTTCTTGTAAATTTGTTTAAGTTCCTTGTAGATTCTGGATATTAGCCCTTTGTCAGATGGATGGATTGCAAGAAATTTCTCCCATTCTGTAGGTTGCCCGTTCACTCTAATGATAGTTTCTTTTGCTGTGCAGAAGCTCTTTAGTTTAATTAGATCCCATTTGTCAATTTTGGCTTTTATTGCCATTGCTTTTGGTGTTTTAGTCATGAAGTCTTTGCCCATGCCTATTTCCTAAATGGTATTGCCTGGGTTTTCTTCTGAAAATTGCCTAATTATACCCTTACCCATTTTTTCTTAGGCTTATATTTTTTCTGATTGATTTGTAGGCATAGACACTTATTAGTTATTAATAATTTGTTGATATGTTACAAACATTTTCTGATTTTCCTTTTAAATGTTTTGTAGTTCCTTTTCTGTATTTATATAGTAAAATTGTCTCTTTTGGGGATTTCAGTGTTTTTTTGACATGCTTTAAAAGACTGCTCTTTTATTAATATAAAATATGTTTCACAATTCACTTAACCTTTCTTCTATTGTTATTGGTAACACTGATGAAAAGCTTTATCAGTATAGCTTCCTCTCCTACCCTATTCATGGAATTGTTTTTTTAAGGACAATTCCCAGTAGAAGGATTATGCTGAAGTGCTCTCACCATCAGTGCTTGCAAATGCCGTAATTGTCATTGACAGGTATTAGTATAATAAAGATGTTGTTGCCAGTTTACATCATAATTTGTTGTTGTTTCTATGATGTGAAGTAAAAGAAATCTATATACTAATTTAGGGAAAAATTTCATGTTTATAATACTACATGCATCCATGTAGAAACATAGTTTGGTTCTCTATCCATTTTTATTTAGTTTTTTCAATAGAGAATTTTACATATTTCTAATTAACTCTATCCCAGATATTATTACCAACTGGAAAAGGATCTGTTTTTTAATTTTTTGTTTACCTACAGAAATTATGTGTATCTTTTTCCCTAACACTTATTAATGCCAATAATTTAACTTACTATTTGAACAACAAAATTAAGGACCATTTTCTTGATTTATACATTTCGATATGAGGAATTTCAGCTATTATGTTTTCTGATAAAAAGTATTTCTCTCCAAAGTTATTACAAAAAAATTTCATAACAAGCAGAAAATTTTCATTAGCCCAATTAACAGGATAAGTTGCTTACATTTTATGACTAGATGTCTGGATATTTGTGGTAATTGCTAAGCTTGCTATTAATATGGAATTCATGTACTGCAACTCACTTAATTTATTTGGCTTTATATGCATCCTTCCCAGAAGATAAATATATTATAGCAGATTCCTACTGCTGGGTTCTAGCCCTAGGCAGAGAGAAATCTCAGAAAAGAATAGCAAGGAGCAGAACCCCTTGGGAAGAGTTGCAGTCAGGCTTCAAAACCCATTTAATTTCCTTTTGTATTCTACTTTGTGGGCATCATTCACCTTTCCATAGGCCAGTGTTCCCCAGACTTGAATCATTCAGGTATTCCATCACCATTTTGCCATTTTCAGTACTATTACTATAGTTTTCTTTCAGTTTTCAGAGAAGAAATTTTCAACAAGTTGAGTTTAAAGATCTAATTGACTTTTATTAGCGATTCATGAATCTGGCAGCATCTTATCTATGAAATAGAAGGGTGCTCTGCTGGGATTAGCAGAATGATCAGCTTTTGTAAGGCAGCTCCAGCAGGAAGAAGGAAACAGCATTGTGCAAAAAATGAGATTGGTTAACATCAGGTTACTTCAAGTTACTCTCCTTGTGTGGCTTAAAGCAGAAGAGACTTTCTTATTATGCCAGCTCAGATTGACTGGGACCCTTGTTATTGGTTGCTGTGAAATCTCCTGGTTTTTGGAAGACAGGCTTATGTCTCAGTTCAGTTTGATTACATGACACCTAGTGCGAGTGACTCCATTCTAGTTTGGTTTGGATTATTGGAGCCTAGTGCAGGGGCACAGTCCACAACGACGACCTCCTATAAATTTTATTTAGCCAACTTGACTCAACTTTTTCATAATTTATTTTTTTATTGAAGTAAAATTTAAACACAGTGAAATGCAGAGATCTTAAGTGTATAGTTTGATAAATTTTTCTTAAATATATTTACTCATAAAACTATCATCCCCAATCAAAATAAAGAATTTTCCTTACCCAGAAAGTTTCCTCATGTAAATTGTTATCCATTTTATCCATTTATTACTTTAAATCATCAGTGTAAATCTTAACATACAAAGTTCATTTTTCTTTTTTTGAGACAAGGCTGTCGCCCAGGCTGGCATACACTGGCGTGAACACGGATCACTGAAGCCTTCACCTCCTGGGCTCAAATGATCCTTCTGCCTCAGCCTCCCAAGTAGCTGGGACCACAAGTGTGCACCACCATGCCTGGCTAATATTTGTATTTTTTTTGTAGAGACAAGGTACTCCTGGGCTCAAATAATCCTCCCACCTTGGCCTCCCGTAGTGCTGGGATTACAGGCATGAGCCACCCACATCCCACCAGAAAGTTCTTTTCATACTAATTTCATTTGCCCTATGCTCAAAATCTGTAGAGGGAAACTGCCTCCTTACAGAGCAGTATTAAAACGCCCTTCCAGAGGGTGATTTTAACAAGATACTCTTTAGTAACTTCATAACTAACCCTGCTTGATTAAATTGCAAGATTTACCTCTTTTATCTTGAATTAAAGTCTATAGGAGTTCTATAGGATAACAATTAGTAGTAAAATATTACAATTAGAGAAAATAGATAAATCTCTGATTCCAAATCCTTTTATACACCATTTATGAAGGCAAGCAAAGAATCCCTTGCTTCAGAATACCAATTTTCCGGTGCAGATTATTGTATTTGCTCCTTAAGTTAAAAAAGAAAAAGTCTATGTTGAGACTTATATATTTGCTTAACCCTTTTTTATATTTGATTTTTGCTTCATGGATCTGTCTTCAGCCAAACTGCCTACTTGTGGTTTTCACAAAATGGCCAGTGGGAGTGGGAGGAGCTGAGAAGTACAGGGTAAATGCGTGTCAAGGGTGAGTATAGCAGAGTTGAAAACTCATTTGTTTTTCTCCCCTGGAGAGAAAACAATAGTATGTTGTAGTGCGAAGACCACATTATTCCCCGAGTTCATAGGGCAAGTAGTGTAAGAAATGTTGGCTAGCAACTAGCTATAAGGGGAAGTTTTTCCATCCACAGGGCTGCTGGGCTGCTTATTGTCGCTAGGGTTGCAGTTGTAAGGGGCTGTTCTAAGAAAGTAGAAGTGGAGAGGGGTATAGTGATGCCTTCCTAAACCAGTGTTTCTTTCCCAGTGCAGTGAGCGGTTTGTCTGAGAAAATTCAGAGTTTAATTATGCAAATCTGGTTTTTGGTAAACAAAAATTGAGGTTTATCTATCTGTGATTTTCTCTAGTCGTTTAAAACTTGTTTTCATCCTTATTACTAAAAAGCAAACCCAAAAGTATCCTTTTTGAATGTCACTGTTTATAATGACTAGTTTTGTATTAATTTTTCTCCGTACATAATGCCCATTTAAAAATTCAGTTGAGATTAATTTACTTGGAATTTGAATTTGATGATACTTAAAATCTGGTGCTGCAGATTCTAAAAATTTGAAACTTTTCAACCATAAGTCTCCCTGTTTTCTATTCTATATTTTAACTTTGAGCCAGAAAGCAAGAAATATGATTCCACAAAATGTGGCTGCCGTTTTTTAAGAAACAAAATCTTCCTCAAGTACCAGTTATCAAATGGTGAACAGCTGCCAGATGTTGTCCTTTGTTATTTGGACCTAAGGTTGTGGTATGCAGTTTTCTTCAATGCATTTTGCTGATTATATTTATTGAAAATGTAATCCTTTCTCTCTGATTCAGAGACACATAAGTCCTGTTTCCAACTTCAGACTCCACACAAAATGAATCTGAGTTTCCTCTGAAGTCTGGAATATTTCTTGCTCACCATCATCATCTTCACTCCATTCCATCAAAACCAAAACCAGTATTACCAATCAATAGGTTATTGATATAATATAGAATAGGAATTTGAATAATGAGTTTGTATTTTATAGATTGTAGCAATTACACTAGTTATATTAAGTGATTTTTCTATGCCTAATAGTTACACTACTATTCTGCTTGCAAAGGGGAGAGATATCACTGGAAAAAATACAATGTCAGTGAAAAGAAAATTGGCTTATAGCAGAATTCAAGCCTACGGTTTCAAATTTATAAGCATTTGGCTTTTGTCCACAAGTCTTTTGACTTTTCATTTATGTTAAATGACACAGACCTATTTTCTTTCTTTAAAAACCTATAAATTACTACTTCTAAAATTATTTAAAATTATAATGATTTTGAGATGCTATTTGTCTTTTTGTTTATGTAGTTAATACCTTTACTTTGCCAAGCAGGGTGGCTCATGCCCATAATCCTTGCACTTTGGAAGGCTGAGGCAGGTGGATCGCTTGAGCCCCGGAGTTCAAGACAAGCCTGGGTAACATCGTGAAACTTTTTCTCTACTAAAAATTCAAAAATTATGCCAGGTGTGGTGGCGTGCATCTGTGGTCCCAGCTACTCAAGAGGCTGAGGTGGGAGGATCCCCTGAGCCTAGGAAGTTCAGGCTACAGTGAGCCAAGATTGCGCCACTGCACTCCAGCCTGGGTGACGGGAGTGAGTCCCTATCTCAAATAATGATAATAATAACAATAATTCTTTCACTTTGTTCCAGAAATAATTTGCCGTATCATGAAATATTTATATTAGAGATACATCTTAAACTTATACTCTACTATACTAGACAACATTTTAAAAATAATTTTTAAATGTTTTAGTTGTGCTATTGTGGAGAGTCTGTCTATTCCTATGTATGAGAGAGATCTTCTTATGCATCACACTGAAGGTAAATGCTTAAAGCATTTGACAATGATCCATGGGTTGAATAATCAGGCTGGTTATCCTTACTATTCTAGCTGATATAGAGAAAAATTATAAAACAAATAATGAAACATTTGACATTCATTCTTTTGTCCAGAAAAATAGCATAATGTGGATACTATAACCACTGAATATTCTCTGCATCAGCTTTTTAGAATTTAATTGAAACACATAGATTCTAGAAAGTCTTCCCTAAAAACAGTATGTTCTCCCAGCATTCCCCTTGCTAAGATATCTGTTGTTCTTAGGAAAAATCTGTACCCAAGTAGGAATTGTTTCAACTGATTTGGATTTTCAAAAAGTCTACAATTAGAGGTCAAATAATCTAATTTACTGGTTTTATTCAATCAGCTAAGCAACTGTGTCACAAATTCTGCTTTCCATGGGGTTCGTCCCTCCCCGGACACCCTGTCTGGATTAGTCCTTAGTATTCTTAAACTCTTTATAATTATAAGTGAAATCTGTTCTATTACAAAAAGAAATACCTGGATTTTCATGGTCTATCTCTGGTATATATAGTCAAAGACCGCTAAAAAATAAATTAAATGTAAGGCTTTAAAAATTATTAGTGAAGCACCAAGTCATAGAGCTCCTTGAAGTTTCCTGGTACTCCTATCCTCAGCCAGGATTGTAAGTGTTAATCAAAGCCCTTTTATGCCTTTTGTTTAGGGTGGGCTGGTGATCAACTGCTATTTTTAGGGAAAGTGCTCTCATGTCTCAGCTCACTGCTTGAATACACACTCCAGTGTTCTCTTTGATAAGCCCCTCAAAGCAGAGAAATCCACAGTGCTTTATTGTAAACTTACACATGGCTGAAGAAGAGAGTGCAGGGAACGGCAAGATATTTATAAGTCTTATTGCCAGGGACTGGTCTCTCACATTGTTCAAATCTCATAGGAATGCAGAACTCTATTAAAGGTTGACTAGACTGGAGCATGTAGCAATTGATGATTGACATTTATATAAGAAACACTAGATTTGTGTTCTTTCTATTGAAATAGTGTCTAAAATAGGGCCACCAAATGATCATTTTAATCCTCCCCTCTTTTTCAAAGGAAAGTTGAAAGCAATCATTGTCTAGGCCCAAAGACTTAACTATATTATCTCTACTGTCTGGATACTCAGATTAAGTAATAACCATCATTTGCAGTGCTACATGTAACTAGTTTTCATCCTTATTCTAAGCAGATTTTTCAAAGGGAAATGAGGATATTGGCTTTTTCTTTTATATGACTTTTAACAAGGAGTTTGTGTACATTATTCAAAGCACACAGATTCACTTTTAGAAATTCTGTCAAAGCAAGCAGCTCTTTAGTGATTATTGACTGACAATTACTCTCAAAAGAAGATTACAAAACATATTTATGTCTTCCCTGAGCATAAAATACTGAATCAAAATTTCACACCCTCGCATTTAAAAGAACTAACAGACTCATTCTTTTTGTTTAAAAATTAAAAAAGAAAACTTCATTTAGCTGAATAGTGACTTAAGGAAATGGGCAATGTCAAGTCAGTTTATGCAGATTATATAAATCTAATGTAAACACAGTTCTATGGATTTTCTGTCCTTTGCAATTAAAGGCAATTCTGTCATTTGCCATTCCAGTCAGCAATCCTAATTATCATTAAATATATATATTATATATATAATATATAATATATATATTTAACAAATATATATTTTTAATATATATATATAGTCTTTCCATGTAACCACATTGTTTTTTACACTCAACAAGGAAAGCATTAATACTTATTTGGTTTATTTAAAATCAGTGACACCTAGTGTTATATTTGTGTGGATAGGTGGAAAGCATTAAATTAGTGCCTCAAAAACTTTAATTTGCTTGAGAGTCATCTAAGGAGCTTATTTAAACACAGATTCCTGGGCCCAGTCCCAGAGTATCTGATTCAGTAGGCCTAGGGTGGGCATAAAAATTTGCATTTCTATCAAGCTAATTCTGGCCGTTACTCTGAATAGTACTAGGCTAGACAACATAGGAGAATCAGCTATGCAACAGTAGTGAGAGAGGTGGAAGGGATGGGATAGGTAAATATTACAGTATCTACCTGTAGTGGGTTGAATAGTGGCCCCAAAAAGATATATCCATCTGGAACCTTAGAATATGACCTTGTTTGGAATAATGGTCTTTGCAGATGTAATCAAGGTAAGGATAGTAAGATGAGATCATCTTGGAGATGGTCCCTAATTTTAATGTGTCACCAGATACAGATTTCTATCCTATATTACTATAAGATAATACATTTCTCTTGTTTTTCCATTTGTGATAATTTGTTACAGCAGTCCTAGGAAACTAGTGTACTACCCAAGCTCCTACTATACCAGAATGCTAAGTTCCCTCGGTCATATGCTATAAACAAAAAGGGTAGAATCTGGACACTGGTCCATAGGTAAACAATGATTGAACAACTAATTGGCAAGCAGAGTTGGATATTTTCTGAAATGTTATTTAATCTTCCCTCAAATACTTTGAGGTAGATATTTTTTGGCATCATTTAACAAAAGAAGACCTTGAAATGCCAAATAGTTATTTAGGCCACAAATATTTATTGTTTACACCAGACTTGCTGGCTATTGGAGTGGTCAGGTGACTTACAAAAATGACATAGCCAGTAAGTGCCAGAATAAGCACTTAACTCTAGATCCTGTTATACCAAATGCTGTGCTCTTCTCCATCACATTTTATCAAAGGCTCATACTAGGAAGGCAGAGAGCATTTTGGTAAATACTGACTTGTTCATTTCAGTCATTGTGGAATATTTAACAAAGTAGAAAAAGAATTAATTTTTTTCAGCAGGAATCTCTGTGATTTATGGTAACTGTTTAATGGTATTTCCATTAGTACCGATAAAGTACTTTTCACTTGTTGTTATCTTTTAATCTTATTTCCTCCTGTAGTAAACCTTTTTACTTTATATTCAAACATGCAGATAATTTAAGATGATACTTAATAACAATATAGAAATAATAGCTCTACATTGTCTTTGGAGATGGTGGTCAGTGATTTAGACTTATCAATATTCTTTTTTTTTTTTTGAGATGGTGTCTCCCTTTGTGGAGTACAGTGGTGCAATCTTGGCTTCTATGAATTTATTACAAATTTTAGTTAGCTACCTTTTGGGTTTTGATTTCACATGTTATTGCATTTTTGTCAGTGAATGTGGTCTATAAAATAGCGATTACTTTAATATTTTTGAGACTTCCTCTGTGAACCAGTAGGTGGTCAAATTTATAAATGTTTCAGGCTTGGAAACAATATTTATTCTTTAATTATTCAATGCTAGGTTTAATATATGTTCATTATATTAGGCCTATTATTTTTGTGGTTGAATTATCCTATTCACTATATTTTTTCTGCTTTATTATTTTTTGAGAGGTAAATTGTGTAAGAAATTTTAAGAGAGGTAAAAAAACCCTGTAGATTCAGCATTTTCTGTTTGTAATTCTGTGTTTTCACTTTGTACATTTTAAAGCTACGTGTCTTAGTTCATTTAGTGTTGCTATAAAGGAATACTGGGTAATTAATAAAGATTTATTTGGCTCAGGGTTCTACAGGCTGTACAAGAAGAATGGTACTGGTATCTGCTCAGCTTCTGGTGAGGGGCCCAGGATGCTTCCACTCATGATAGAAGGCAAAGGGGAGTCAGCAGGGCTCTTTTTAACAACCAACCGTAGTGAGAATTAATAGACTGAGAACTCACCCACAAAGGAGGGCATTGATCCATTTGTGAAGGATTTACCCCTATAACCCAAACACCTCCCATTAGGCCCCACATCCAACACTGGGGCTCAAATTTCAACAAGAAGTTTGGAGGGAACAAACATCAAAATTATTGCACCAATATTTTAGATAATAGACAGGTCAAGACAATTATATTTTCTGAGTTAATTTTTTTTTAGCATTTGGTAATAACCCTTTTTATCTCTGATTGTGCTTTTTGACTTAATGTCTGCTTTTTTCTACATGAAAATAGCTACATGAGGTTTCTTTTGTTAATAATTATGAATATGTTCCAGCTCCTCACTTTCAACCTTTTTGTTTTGTTTTGTTTTGTTTTTGTTTTTTTGAGACAGAGTCGCACTCCATCACCCAGGCTGTAGTGCAGTGATGCAATATTGGCTCACTGTAACCTACACCTCCCGGGTTCAAGCAATTCTCGTGCTTCAGCCTCCTGAGTAGCTTCAGCCTCCTGAGTATTACTGTTGTATACCATCACACCAGCTAATTTTTGTACTTTTAGTAGAGACGGGGTTTCACCTTGTTGGCCAGGCTTGTCTTGAACTCCTGACCTCAAGTGATCTGCCCACCTTGGCCTCCCAAAGTGTTGGGATTACAGGCGTGAGCCACTACTCCTGTCCCTTTCAACCTTTCCATGTCATTCCGTTTTTTAAATTACAGATTTATTGAGATTTAATTTGTATATCATACAGTTCATTTTTTTTTAAATGTACAATTCAGTTTTTTCAAAGCTTTGCAACCAACATCACTAGCTAATTTTAGAACAGTTTTTCATCACCCTGAAAGGAAACTTTATATCCATTAGCCATCACTGCCCATTTCCCACCTTGCCCTTTTCCGTGGTAACCACGGAATCTATTTTCTGCTTCTATAGATTTGCCTTTTTTAGACATTTTAGATCATATAATACTTTTATGCCTGGCTGTTCACTTTTCATCTATATTGTGGCATGTGTCAGTACTTCATCATTTTTAATGGCTGAATAATATTTCATTATATGGATATACGACACTTTATCCATTGGTGGACATTTGGGTTGTTTCTACTCTTTGGCTATTATAAATAATGCCATTATGAACAATCATGTACTGGTTCTTGTATGGGAATATGCTTCTATTTTTCTTGGGTATATACCTAGGATTGGAATTATGAGATCATAGGGTAACTCTAAATTTGAGGTTTTGAGGAACTACTAAACTATATTCCAAAGTAGCTGTACCATTTTATATTCCCACCAGCAATAAATAAAGATTTCCATTTCTTCACATCCCTGTGAACACTTGTCATTGTCTATTTTTTAAAAAAATATTAGCTATCCTAGTGGGTTGAAGTGGTATGTCATTGTGGTCTTGATTTTCATTTCTCTAATGACTAATGATATTAAGCATCTTTTTGTGTGCTTATTGGCTGTTTATACATCTTCTTTGGAGAAATGTCCATTCAAATTCATTGTGCCTATTTTAATTGGCTTATTGTATTTTTATTGTTGTGAGTTCTTTACATATTCTAGATACAATTTCTTATCAAATATATGATTTGAAAATATTTTTTTCTCATTATGTAGATTTTTTCACTTTCTTGATTGTGTCCGTTAAAATCACAGAAGTTTTAAAATGTTGATGACATCCAATTTATTCTTTTGTTGTTTGTGTTTCTGGTGTCATAGCTAAGAAACCATTAACTAATCCAAGATTATAAAGATTTGCTCCTGTGTTTTCTTCTGAGAGTTGTAAGTTTTATCTCTAACGTTTACATTTTTGGTCCATTTTAACTTTTATGTATGATGTGAGGTACAGGTTGAACTTCATTTTGCATGTGGATATCCAGTTGTCTGAGTACTATTTGTTGAAAAGACTATTCTTTTCTTACTGAATTGTCATGGCACCTTTGCTAAAAATCAGTTGACCATATACATGAGAGTTTTTTTCTGGACTCCCAATTCTATTCTATTGATTTATTCTTCTGTTCTTATTCCAGTACCATACTATCTTGATTACTGTAGCTTTATCATAACTTTTGAAATCAGGAGATGTGACCACCTTCTTTTAGCTACACCCTTTGCAATTGCTCCTTCTAAAGAAGAGTATATTGCCCCACTGCATGCCTTTGGCTGAACTTTGTGACTTACTTTGGCCCATGGAATAACGTCGCAGTGACAGTGCGATAATTCCAACGTAGTCCTTAAGAGGCTTGTGTATTTTTGCTTTTCTTTTGACTTTTGTAAATCCTCTTTTTCTTTACTCCATTACCAATTTGTCTTTTTTTAGGTCAGTGTTTATTTAGATTTACATAATGTTGAGCACTTAATTTACTTATCTTCACTTCTTTTTCATTTTTCTAGATTAATCTTCTTCCTCCAAAGTACATTCTGTAGTAGCTCTTTCAGCAAAGTTCTATCTTTTTAGCTCTACACTAACCCAAGTTTACCCAGTGGTCTTAGGAAAATGCAAGTCATGTAGGGCAGAGCTACCTACCTCAGCCAACCCTAGACCTACAGGAGAGCATTCCTAGCTGTTTCACTGTGCATCAGAGATGCCCCACCAAACCAAGAGGAACCTCAACCAACCTGAGGACATAAGAAAAGAAGCCACCAGTTTCTGTAAGGAAAGTCAAGGATCTTCCATGAGAAGATGATGATGTACAAATGTCTTAACTGTATTAGTCATTTACAAACACTGTGCATGTCCACTGAGGATTAGTAGGGAATGAAACAATTAGAACAGAATCTCTACTCCATGGTCACTAAGGGAACCAGATTGAGTCTCTACCACCTGGTAGCTACATTCTGGAACTTGTAGCCTTTTCAGCTATCAAGATGAGAGTCAACGCTAAGAATCTACCCCAGATGTCAAGAAAGACCCTGGGCATAATCAATGCTGAAGTGAAAAGGATCAACACTGGAGAGAGAAGAGGGGAAGAGGTAAATGTATGACAATCTGGAAGATGAATTGAATTTCACGGCAGTAAGGGAACTCAGGAAGTCATTCAACTATCCAGATGTTAACCAACTAGGAGCAAATGTCTATTCTTTATATGGGTCATATTGTTGGATCCTAACTCATGGGAACTAATAGCTTAAAGTGAGTTTCGAACAAAATTATGAAACTTGAAAATACAGCAAATGAATGTACATAATGTAAACAAGATTTTAAATGGAAAGTACTTAATTTGAAAAATTTTTTCAAAAATGTTAGCAGCAAATTCTAATAATAAATGTGCTGAATAGACAGGCATTATCTGTCTATCCAAGTGTTAAATCTATGAATTTTTCTATCCATTGAAGTACATATTTTTAGACATAATAGAAATGAATTTTCTTTAAAAAAATACAAATTATATTTCTCTTCTTTTGGTGATTATCCTTAAATATGAACATGCTTAATGGGTTTAACAATGTAAACCTAATCACCATCACTCTTCTTCTGAATAATTCAAGGTTCTTAAGATGCTTTCACCTTTGTCTAACCCCTTTTCCTCTTCCATTCAGTTGTCTACTTTTGTAAATCCTCTTTGTTCTTTACTCCATTACCAATTTGTCTTTTTTTAGGTCAGTGTTTATTTAGATTTACATAATGTTCAGCACTTAATTTACTTATCTTCACTTCTTTTTGATTTTTCTAGATTAATCTTCTTCCTCCAAAGTACATTCTGTAGTAGCTCTTTCAGCAAAGTTCTATCTTTTTAGTTCTCACTCTTGAAAAATATTATTTTAAAAATTGTAATTTTTTTCATAATCATGGAAATCAACAATCACAAAAAGCAGAGAAAATAGTATTAAACCTTTTTATACTCCTCAGTATCAACAAACACACACATATGGCTACCTTCTTGAATTTTAGTTTTATTGGATATTGTTTAATTGAAGATATGTTCCTGGATATTGTTTTGATATGGTGTCTATTACAGCCTAATTGTCTTACCTTTATAGCTTGGCACCATGGGCTTTTACAAATTGACATGAAAAATTCTTTTTTTTTTTTTCTTTCTTGAGACAGAATCTTGCTCTGTCACCCAGGCTGGAGTTCAGTGGTACAATCTCAACTCACTGCAGCCTCCGCCTTCAGGGTTCAAGTGATTCTTGTGCCTCAGCCTCCCAAGTAGCTGGAATTACAGGTGTGCACCACCATGCCTGGCTGATTTTTTTATTTTTTATTTTTAGTAGAGACAGCGTTTTGCCATGTTGAGCAGGCTAGTCTCAAATTCCTCACCTCTGATAATCAACCTGCCTTGGCCTCCCAAAGTGCTGGGATTACAGGTGCGAACCACCATGCCTGGCCTAATTCTGGAATATTCTTAGTCATTATCACTGCAAATATTTTATCTTCCATTTTGTTTCTATATTATTCTTATGCAACTCCTTTCAGAAATATTCTTGACCTTATCATTCTATTCTCCATGATTCTTAGCTACTTTTCCAAAAAGTATTTTTGTCTCTCACTGCTATAGATTTGGCGATCTCATCAAATCTACCTTCCAGAATAGTTATTCTTTCTTCAGTGTATCTAATCAGCTCTTTAATTCATCCATTGAATTTTAAATTCAATGACTTGACTTTTTTTTTTGATTCTAGAAGTGCTATTTGGCTCTTCTTAAAAATTCTTTCATGGCTCATAGATATCATAGAAACCTGAAGTTGTTCATTATAGTTTCTAATCCATTTTAACCCTTTAATAACTTAAATACTTATTTTTAATTTAGGTTTATTGCTGTAATACAAACTTACAAAATGAAAATCATAAATGTAGATAAAATTAGATGAATTTTTATAAAATGAGCATTCCCCTCTAACCAGCACCAGATCAAGAAGCAAAACATTTCCAGAACTCCAGAAGTGTTCTCATGCCCTCTTCTAGTCACACTTCCTACCTCCAAGGTAACTGCTATCCTGACTTGTAGTGCCACAGTTTAGCTTTGCCTGTTTATAGTTTTATGTCAACTGAACTATACAGTGCAAATATAATTATTTTATGGGCTTTTTCTTCTCCAAATGATCTATATGCTCTTAATACTTGTGAATTACAAAGACCCTGTATACATTTTTACATTAATTTCTTGGCTCTTTTGCTTACTTTTGTCTTGGTGATTTTAGAAGTCCTAGCTAAGTCTTCGTGTTAATTATTCGATTGGGAAATCTCAGGAGACATGAAATTGGATTTCTCACTTTAATGGTGTAGACCTAGTGTTTTCATTCTTTTAGGATTATTGCTTTTTGTCATCTAATTCCCCATGTCAGACTGCGTACTACCTTATTGCTTTTGTGTCCCGGTGAGTGAAGTTTTTCCTATTTTCTTGTTATGGACAGAAAAAATCCTTGGAGTCCCTAGGCTTTATGGAACATTATTAGCACAGCTCTCTAACCAGTGTCACCCTCAAAACATGTCACTTATCTTTGCCTAGACATGAAAAGCCCAGCTCAAACTCCTTTGGCCCCTTATCCTGGTACAAATTTCTTTTGGGCCCTCACTATGTCAGTTTCCACCTATATATTAATAGCTTTGCATTTCATGTGCTTCTGGCATTTGATTTTTTTTTCTTTATCTAAAGGTTATATATGTGTGTACAACTTTAACGTGTTTTTATTACTATTTTTATGTGTTTGTGAAGTTATGTAAGGGAGAGTGGATAATATGGGAGGTAGGCATCCAAATCAAATCAGTTTAGCACTCCTGAAAGATGAGCTGATCCATGCAATTGCCGTGACTATGCAGTGGTTGACTAGACGTAAAGATGTTGTTTAGGGTTATCAGCCGGGGTGTTTCTTCTGACCAAATTACTTGAACTGCATGGGACCCATTATTTTACTGAGCTGATTTAGTCCTATATGAACTAACTCATATTTTTGTTTTTGTGTTATAGAAGCAGACTTCTAAAAATAATATTGAAAAGAAGAAGCCCAAATTTAGAAAAAGGAAAAGGTATGCTTTTTGAAATTAAATAGTATTATGATAAAATTGAAATATATATTGGATTTAGTTTAGAAACACCCCGGCTAATAACCCTAAACAACATCTTTACGTCTAGTCAACCACTGCATAGTCAGGGCAATTGCATGGATCTGCTCATCTTTCAGGAGTGCTAAACTGATTTGATTTGGATGCCTACCTCCTATATTATCCACTCCCCCTTACATAACTTCATAAACACATAAAAATAGTAATAAAAACACGTTAAAGTTGTACACACATATATAACCTTTAGATAAAGAAAAAATATCAAATGCCAGAAGCACATGAAATGCAAAGCTATTAGTATATAGGTGGAAACTGACATAGTGAGGGCCCAAAAGAAATTTGTACCAGGATAAGGGGCCAAAGGAGTTTGAGCTGGGCTTTATTGGAAACAGAATCTCACAATCCTTGATTCTGTTTCACTTGGAAAATACTGTGTTTACAGTTTTCTAAAAGAATTAATAGAATTATAAGTAGTAGTCTTAGAAGTACGGAAAAAGCTTTATATTCATGAAATATTTTGAAACAGAACTTTTAAAGATTAATATCTTATGAGCAATCAGAAGAGAATGAGGTTTTTAGTTTAAAAATAGTTAATGTAAACCAGAAACAGGTTTTCATAGTGAACAAATAAGCCACAGATGACAAGTTTTAGTGTTTATCGTTGAACCAGTCATTTTTTAAAGAATGGTAATCAGTGCTGTGTTAGGAGGGGTCCTACTCAAAAACAAGGACTGACACCAATAGGTAGCCCTTCTTTGTACTTTTTCAGAAGATGAATAACTAAATTTTAAAAATGGACTTCCACTGCCTTATTTCATTACACTTCACAGTAACCCTATCAAATTGTTAGGAAGTATATTATAATCTCCATTTTAAAAAATGAAGAATCCCTAGCTTGGAGAAGTTAGTGACTTTCTCAAGACCTTATGGTTAGAGAAAGTACATTTGAGCAAACTTTTTTCTGACTCTGTGTCAGCAACATAGAATTGTGGAAACAGTATGGATTTTGCAGTCTGAGAGAGTTTAGTTCTACCATGTTCCACCATTTACCTAAGTTGTCAAATTTCTTGTTTTTCTCTGATACCTCAAATTCTCAGTTTCTTTATATAATGACAGTAACAATTAGTAGGTGTTTTGGAGGAGGATTATGAAAAAGCCAGTGTAAGGTGCTTGGTAAATTGTTAATGCTTTGCACCTAGTGAGAGCTCAAATCAGTATTAGTCTTTTTTGTTTTTCACTGCAACATACTTTGTTACTACATAAAACAACCAAGAGAATTACCTTTAGAAAATATATGCATTTATAATCTACAGTTACCAATGAATAGGCACAAATGGTCATTTAAATATTCATGATTGATCTTTTGAAACTAAATCTGTCAAATTCTTTTTCTAGGAAAGCAATTTTAAAATGCTCTTTTGAAAATGTTTATTCTGATGATGCCTTATCAAAGGAGAACAGGGGTATGTGAAAGCCTGTCCTGCTTTTAGTTCTTTAACCTATATATAATTCCACAGAATGTAGTTGTAGTCCTTTGAAGGAAAAAAAAAGATTTCCTGTGTGTGTGTGTGTGTGTGTGTGTGTGTGTATACACATATATACATGTGCGTACATATGTATACATTTTTACACATATATATGTGTGTGTGTATATATACACATATATATGAGAAATATTAATGAATCATTTTTGTTACTGATTTACATACCAGGGCTTTTAAATTTTCTTTAGGTTTCTATTTCCTTGAATTGAATTTTCTCTGTCTCAGTCATGTATTTAATTTTTTAAAATAACACACCAGCCAGGCACGGTGGCTCACGCCTGTAATCCTAGCACCTTGGGAGGCCAAAGCAGGAAGATGACTTGAGGTCAGGAGTTCAAGACCAGCCTGGTCAACACAGTGAAACCGGTCTCAACTAAAAATACAAAAATTAGCTGGCCGTGGTGGCATGCACCTGTAATCCCAGCTACTCTGGAGGCTGAGGCAGGAGAATCACTTGAGCCTGGGAGGCGGAGGTTGCAGTGAGCCGAGATCACACCACTGCATTCCAGCCTGGGCGACAGAACAACAGAATGACAGAACAAGATTCCCTCTCAATAAATAAATAAATAAATAAATAAATAAATAAATAAATAAATAAATAAAGCACCAGCAGCTGTGGGAAGAAATACCAACAACTATACATTTCAATCCAGACTTCTTCATTCCAAACTTACTGGGATCCTAGGAGTGCCAAAGGGAGAGAAGAAAGAAAAGCAGAAGACTGGGGCTTCCAACTAAATTGTCGTTGGTTAGAACACAGTAGAGTGAATGTGGAATGCAGGGAGAAAGTTTTAGTTTTCAAAGGCAATTTCCTCCTTCTACATTTTCTTTAGTCTTGAAAAGCAGTGAAATGCTTATTTGCAATGTGGAACTTTGGCAGTCATGTTCAAAGCCCATTAAACCCTGAGGAGTTATCAGTGATATATTCCCTTTTCCTTGAAGCCACTCCCAGGGGATCCTATGGCATTGCATTTCAATTGGCTAAATAAGTCAGTCGTTGTAGTCTTATTAAAAGAAAGGAAAGCCAGGTGCAGTGGCTCATGCCTGTAATCCTAGCACCTTGGGAGGCTGAGGTGGGAGGATCCCTTGAGCCCAGGAGTTAAAGACCAGCCTGGGCAACACAGTGAGACCTCATCTCTACTAAAATTAAAAAAAAAAAAATAACTGGGCATGGTGGCACATGCCTGTAGTCCTAGCTACTGGGAAAGCTGAGGTGGGAGGATCACCTGAGCCCAGGAGTTTGAGCTTGCAGTGATCTATGATCACGCCACTGCACTCCACTCTGGGTTACAGAAAGGATGAAGTAGTTATTTTTAAAAAATAACTTCTTTTTTTACATCCAGAATGTAAAGTAGGAAAAGTTTTAGACTCTAACACCTTTCTTTTAGAAAATAAAAGAAAACTAAGTACTTTTTCCTCCTCATCACCCTTCTCTTTTATTAAAACACTTTCAGAATTTCAACATTGACATAGCCGTGCAAATTTATTTAGGATTTTTTTTTCAGTGCCAGCTTTGGGGTAACCCAACCAGTAGCTACTATATAAGGGAATGTGTTAGTCTGTTCTTGCATTGCTATAAAGAAATACCAAAGACTGGGTAATTTATAAGAAAAGAGGTTTTAATTGGCTCACAGTTTTGCAAGCTTTCTAGGAAGCATGGTGCTTGGCTCCTGGGAGCCTTCCCAGAAGGCTTATAATCATGGCAGAAGGTAAAGGGGGAACAGGCATGTCATATGGCAAAAGCAGGAACAAAAGAGGGGAGAGTTGCCACACACTTTTAAATGACCAGATTTCATGAGAACTCACTCACTATCACCAGGACAGTACCAAGGGGATAGTACTCAATCATTTGTGAGAAATCTGCTCCCGTGATGCACTTACCTCCTACCAGGCCCCACTTCCAACACTGTAGATTACAATTCAACATGAGATTTGGGCAGAGACACATATCCAAACTCTATCAGGAGGAAACAGCTTCTTAAACATTTAATAGATAAGTCGAGGTGAAAGAAAACTCCATAAATTTTGTATTTGAAAGTTTTTAAAATAGTGACTGAGTTATTGAGACAAACTGTGAGTTATTTCTTATCAGGAATGGAAAAACAACACTGATTTATTTTCTACACATTAATTTTTAAAAACTAGATATGGGGCTGGGCATGGTGGCTCACGCCTGTAATCCCAGCACTTTGGGAGGCAGAGGCAGGTGGATCACCTGATGTCAGGAGTTCATGACGAGCCTGGCCAACATGGTAAAACCCTGTCTCTACTAAAAATACAAAAATTAGCTGGGTGTGGTGGTACGTGCCTGTAGTCCCAGCTACTTGGGAGGCTGAGGCAGGAGAATTTCTTGAACCTGGGAGGTGGGGGTTGTGGTGAGCCAAGGTTGTGCCACTGCACTCCAGCCTGAGTGACAGAGTGAGACTCCGTCTCAAAAAAAAAAAAAAAAAAAAATCTAGATATGGACTTCGCTACTACAGATACATATTTTTTCTTTCATTTCTTTTTTTTTTTTTTTAACTTTCTCTGAGTAATGGAGTGGCCGTAATGCTACCACTTCACTCTCAACAATAAATTGAAACAAGTCAGAGAAACTACAAGATAATCAGTGTTGACAGAAGATGATTGGTCATGCAATCAGCAAAGGCATTCATTTTGTCCGTATCTTTGGAGGATATCACTGACCAATTTTGATAACATAGTTTGTAGATTAAGGTAACTGCTATTTTTTGAGAATTATTTTTTAACTTCATTTACAATATAGGAATACTTATTTAGAAAAGCAAACTTCCCACTGCTCTGGAAGCAGAAGCTGACAGCAGTCAGGTTGGTGTTGTAAACCCTAGTTGACTTATGAAGTCATCCATTACTTTGTCTAATTTTGATCAAAAGGCAGTGTACATATTTCTTCAGATCACTTGAAAACAGAGAGCCTACAATGCCATTTCGCAATGATATTTATTATCATAAACTGATTGTATTTTAGCCTGACATTAGAAATATAAAGATGTTTGTTTGCCGTTTTTTCTTTTACAGCATAGCTTCAAATCTATCTTCTCAACAGTGTATTAAATGTCATTGTCAATTTCCATAGACTCAGAATGTAAAGTAGGAAAATGTAACATTTGTGAGTGGAACTGGGGAATTGGTGTGAAAATAACCATGAGCAGTCATCTATTAACAGGTTACTAAATAAGAAATCTGTCTTAAAGAGGGCGTTAGTTTTATTAACAAAAGTGCTTCAATAAAAAACTTACATTCCTCTAGAAAATCCTGATTTGATAGACATGACATTGTTATATTTTTAAATAAACTCCCCAGGTGATTATTATGCCCACACAATTTTGAATGCCACTGTTTTAGAATCTAGCATTCTATACTTTGTGTTCTTAGGCCTTAGCAGTAACCCTAGAACACAGATCTATGTGGATGCAACTAACATGTTAATTACAGGCTTTGCTTGTTTGTTTGTTTTTAAACATGAGAACATTTTATAAGATGTGGAGTTGCTTATCAGAAAGCTTGTTTCAAACTATTTTGAAAGAGGTTTTCCATAGAGAAAACCTGAAATTGACTAGAAGGAGGTGATAGCTAGGAAGGCTTATTAGTCTATGCCTATTTTCTTGTGTTCCTGCCCCTTAGTAGGTAAACAGTAAATATTTGTTGATTGAGTATGAAAGTGCTTGGGGAAAGCAGTAAATATTGACAGAAAAATTATTTTCAAGATGAACTTGTGTTATGAAAAATATAAACTTAAAGTAGTTTTCCAGTACTGTAATGACAACCAAGAAAGGGAAACCTATCATAACCTGCTATGATTTTATTTAACATTATTTAATAAGTACTTTAGCAGAATTTAAAATTTTCCTACTTATGTCCTGTTTGGGTATTTTCATTTTCCATGACCTTTCAGCTGCTCTACTAGGTGTGATTTTTGCTGACTTGCCCATGAACTGCAGATAATAGAAGGTGGTATATTAGATTTTACTAAAAAGTGGAAGATGAAGGGATGTGTACTCACAGCCTTTCTCTCTGAATTACGTTGTTTTTGGAAGAGCTTCTTAGATGCTCCATCTGCCTCTGGTGCAAGACAGCAGGCCACATGTGGCCTCCTTTCTTTGAAGCAAAGGCTTCACTAGGCCCTATATCAAATGAAAATGTTTGTTTTATTTAAGTCAAGAACTCAAATGCATATTTTTAATCAGTAGTTAAGTCTAGAGTTATAGTAGGCTTTTATTTCTTTGGTGGGGATATTGTTTTATCTCAGCAAGGTCAATGAATTACCAGATTTTTTTTTTTTTGCCTATTTTTTTTTTTTTTGAAATGGAGTCTTCCTCTGTCGCCCAAGCTGGAGTGCAGTGGTGTGATCTCAGCTCACTGCAAGCTACGCCTCCCGGATTCACGCCATTCTCCTGCCCCAGCCTCCGGAGTAGCTGGTACTACAGGCACCCACCACCACGCCAGGCTAATTTTTTTGTGTTTTTAGTAGAGACGGGGTTTCACCATGTTAGCCAGGATGGTCTCAATCTCCTGACCTCGTGATCCACCCTCAGCCTCCCAAAGTGCTGGGATTACAGGCGTAAGCATGTCACAGTGACACAAAAAGACTTTTATAAATGCAGTATTTTTTTAAAATAAAATTAGATTAGGCAATTAAGATGTGTTGCAATTTGGATTGGGAAGGCACTAGCCTGTGTTCAGCCTAGCCACTTAATTACAAAACTTTTCCTTTTAAACAGTAGTTTAATAGTCTATAGTAGAGATTGGCAAACTGTGGTCACCAGCTGCTGCCTGTTTTTGTAAATAAAGTTTTATTGGAACATAGCCACTCTCATTTGTTTATGTACATGTCAATGGTTTGTGCTACAATAACAGAATTGAGTTTTTGTCACAGACCATCTGGCTCCCAAAGCCTGAAATATTGGCTCTCTGGCCCTTTAGAGAAAAATTTGCTGACACTTTTTCTATAAATAATATAATTTAGCTTGGTGCCCTTGGCCCCTAATTAAAAAAAAATTCTAATAAGCTTTTGATATTTCACTTCTACTTTATGGTTTATACATAGCAAGACTATCACCTACATTTTTCAAGGAAGAATTGTAAAAGACTCACCTTGAAATTCATAATAATTTTGTATCAGGAAGAAGTCATGTATGAAAATTATATGAAACATTTATATTTTACCTTGTAGCATTTAAAAGATTTCTTCTTTCTGGGTAGTTAAGATTATGAATTAGATTGAATTAAGTGAGATGTAGCATTTTTACTGTATTAATCCTGTTTTTTTAGTTGTCTGTGAGACGGAAGTTTTACTAAAAGAGCTGGAGCAAATGCTGCAGCAAGCACTGCAACCCACAGCCACACCTGATGAATCAGAAGAAGGACATGGAGAGGAAATAAATATGGGAGAAAAGGTAATATTGATAGTTATTTTCAGACCTAAATAACAACTTCAAATTCTTTAAACAGCAGAATTGTTCCTAGTTGTACATTTTAAATATATAAAAAACTCTTTTCATGTCTGAAATTTGAGTCCTTGATTATCATGAGGTAAATAATAAACTAGTAACCTGTTAAGAAATCAAAACACATCTATCAGGATTTGAAAAACAATCTGTGTTTAAGTAGAGGAGTTCTTTTAATTTTAAATCTTTGGGATTGGAGTGAAGAAAGATGGATGATGCTCACTATAGCTGAAGTAGGCCACTCCAGAGAGAATTCCTCCTTGCTGCCAATCTTTACAGTCAGGAGAGGGGGCCAGGATACCAAGAGCTCACTGGAAAATCTGCCCCGTCTGGATTATGTACCAAGATAATCTCTACAGGGACAAACCTTATCATTAACATACGGGAAGTAGAATTTTTCACTGGAATAAGTTTTACCATTTATATGTAGACTCCTCCTTTTTTAATTTTTTCATTTGGCTTTCTATGTTGAACTCAGAAAGGCCAAATGTGCTTACTTTATTCAGTGTCTCTGCAATAAAATGAGTTTGTGATACAAGGCTCATGCCATTAGTACAGAGCAGCGATGTGGTAGGTATGAGAAAAAGAAGTCATAGGGTAGACACTTTCACGTGGCAATGCAGCTGTTCCCTAACTAGGAAAAAAAATGGCAGTGAGGAGTTCTGTAACCTTAAGGCTTTATTCATTCATTCATTTAGGTACACAATGTGCCTGGAGTCAAGAGAGCATATTGACACTGACTCTGAAATATAATCCTGTGTCCCAATCCTGGTCCTGCCAATAAGGACTTATGTAATTTGAAAAAGTGGCTTATCACTTACCTCAGAGGATTGTTTTGAGGATTAAATTTGGTAACAAACACCGCATGTTCTCACTCATAGGTGGGAATTGAACAATGAGAACACTTGGACACAGGAAGGGGAACATCACACACTGGGGCCTGTCATGGGGTGGAGGGAGAGGGGAGGGATAGCATTAGGAGACATACCTAATGTAAATGACAAGTTAATGGGTGCAGCACACCAACATGGCACATGTGTACATATGTAACAAACCTGCATGTTGTGCACATGTACCCTAGAACTTAAAGTATAATTTAAAAAAATGGTAAACCAGGAAAAGTGCTTTGCATAGGAACAAACACCCAAGGTTTGGCTATTATTAAAGACTGAAAATTGGCAATGGCAGTTGCTAGAGAGAATAAGTGCTTAGATTTTCTTACTTCATCTCTCTTTTCCCACATTCACAATTTGAGCAACTGCCTATCTCGAAGTCTGTCTGTTCCTAGATGTAGAAAAAGATGGATTTATAAATGGACAAAGGGGTTTATACCTTTAAGCAGACTGCCCAGTTGTATGATTTCATTCAGAATGTCAATAAAAATAGATTATTCGTAAACATGTCCTTTATTGAGTTAGAAATTAATAAAATATACAGAATGTACTACTATGGAGATTATTATGCTAAAGGAAAGTAATATTAACGTTAAGAACTCCTACTTAGTTGAAAAACATAACTTTCTTAATCAGCATCAGCAATATCAATTTTTACCTGAATGTTCATGGGTTGTAAATGCTACTTTTCCAGTTGGGTTCCTTTCCAAAAAAAAAGACTTGTTTTCTATGTATGGGTCTTTTGCAGAACAAGACCTGCAGATTGGTATCATACATCCTATATACGTATAATTAATATACAAATTATTCTTTTTCAGCAAATGTGTGTTTTATTCGAATACCATATGGTTTTGTGCAGTGTTTTTCAGTGTTAGCGGTTTCTTTTCAAAAATACAGCCAGATTGATCTTTATAGCGATGTCCTGGAGCTTTTATAGGCACAGAATTGACTTCTGTTTTGCCATTATAAGTAGTAACTTGATAGAACAGAGAAATACTTCTGATTTTTATTTCTTAAGGTAAAATACATAGCTTTAACCCATCACCAGGCAGGAGACTGCTTGTTGTTTTAGATTGTTGTATTATTTTATGCTTTCAAACAGCATTTCAGAAGTGTAAAAATTAGCAATTTTAACTGGCTAGTGTGCAGGTGAGTGCCTCCTGGTTACTGATTCATAAGCACTCTGCACCCTGAGCTTTGTAAGTCTGGCATTCATGCCAGATTCAGGATATTTGGGTTCTTGTTCACTTTTAAATGAGGAGAATAACAGTGAAACCAACTAGCAAAGCTGGAGAAATTTCAGTTTAAAAGTAAAGAAGTAATCACATGTTGGATTTCATTTATTTATTTATTTATTGTTATTAGAAATAATTAATATGTCTCCCAAAAACAACTCCACTTAAAGCTGGAGATGTGTTGTTTTTAGGGGAGGGTGGCCTCTTATAAGTTAAGTACTCCAAAGAGACCTCTAAGAATTTTAAAGTCCTGAGCATGTTGATTCTCTGAGCAGATATTGTATAAGCTGTTTTCAAAGTTGTAAATTTGATAATGTTTTCATCATTCATTTCACCTGTGAGTTTTCAATTGGATTATCTCAGGCATTTACATCAATGGATGAGAGTAAAAACATGGAAAAAAGCTTATACACATAGATAATCAAAACTCATTTCTATTTGTCATTGAAATGTTTTATGAAATTATTTTCCTACATAGAGTCACCTTCCTAATTATGTTCTTCTTAAGCTAATATTAACATTGGGTGACATGCCTTGACTTGGCAAGCAATCGGAGGAAATAAATTTTAGATTTTTATAAATCCACCTGAATAATTCACAAATTGAATAATCCATACACAAATAAAACAGAGTTTACTGAAAAATTATTTCTATAAAAGGGTACATTTTTGTTATGTGAAAATATTTATATGAACTACATATATACTTTTTCCCTTGAATTACATGGGAAGTGAACCCTATCTTTAATAAACTCTGAAGTTATAAATCAAATAAATCCACATATGCATTGTTTTTACTAGTATCCTTTCCCACTAAGCAAGAGCAAATTATCACTATTTTTAAGTAATGCAGATGACCTTTTGACAAGATGACCACAGAAAATGTGACTAAAACAGTCACATTTTAAGTTGTATTCCCTATAACAATAATGTAAAAAATAAAACAACATAGAAAACTCACATAGAATTAGAATTATCACATTTTTCCAGAGCATAAAATTAAAACTAAAAATGTATAAGGCTGGGGAATAGACACAGACCTAAATAATAACTTTTTCTTATATTAACACATTCATCCTGCATTATACTATATATAGTGATTATTATTTGAACACTAGAATAACAGAAAAGTTTGTGTAGCTAATGTGGCTTGCAGAATTACTACTTTATGTTTTGTTCAATAATCAGGTAAATTTGACATAGTTCCGATTAATTATATGGTTGTTTTGCAGTTATCTAAATGCAGCCCAGAAGCTCCTGCAGGCAGTCTGTTTGAAAACCACTATGAAGAGGACTATCTTGTAATTGATGGGATAAAATTAAAAGCTGGAGAATGTATTGAGGATATAACTAATAAATTTAAAGAAATAGATGCTTTGATGTCTGAGTTTTAGAACATTATACATTTTTCAAATTAATTATAAAAATATTGGCATCTTTATATTTATCCAAAGTTAAAACTTTAAAAATGTTTAGTGAAATAGGTATAAATTATACCAAAGTTTATATTTGCGGTAACTTTCTACTTCATATTTTGAGAATGGCCATGATTTTTAGAGCCAGTCAAATGGTATTTAAGTTAGTGTTAAAAATTTAGAATTAAAAAACCCTGATATTTGTATTTATATATTTCTTGTTTGCCTTAATTTTTAAATGGTTTGTGAAATTTGCCTAACAAACATATGTTTTACAATGATTGTTTAGGCCCTTTGTTCAAAAATGGATAACTTAAAATGGCTGGCCAAGCTATTATAATTCTCAGAGGTAATTCAAATCTAATAAACTTAGAGAATGTATATTTGCAGTGGAATCAAACTATTACAAAATAAAAGGAAATAATTTTTTAAATAATTGTTTAATAGAGTTGAAACTTTTCCTAAAAAGCAAAATTTCACTTGCTACTTCTACTGGAATCAGTTATTTCAACCATGGTACCCAAAACTGACTGCTTAATAGAGTCTCTGGGAGATTTTGGAAGATCAAAATCCTGGACCCTTCCCTGCTGAATCAGTGTCTTTGGAGGTATCATCAGGAAGATGGAAAAATGTAATTTAAAGTGTATAGAGAGAAGTTAAACATATTGATTATAAGAAATCTAACAATATAGAAAGTAAAAACTCATCATTTTTCAGGGATTCTCATGAACAGTTTTAGTAGATATCCTTCTAGATATGTGTGGGCATTCACACCTATCTTTAGTTCCTGCTCTATCTCTTTCTGGTGGTACGGGGTGGGGAAAAGGGCATTCCAAGCACATAAAAACCAAAGCTTGAGGAGAGAAGAAGTGCACGAGAGCATCACCACAGCGGTGAATTTTATTGTGAGTTGCCTCATATTGCTTTAACAAGGAGGCAGCACATGTCTAGATATTAAAAACAAATAAGACACCAAACAACCAACGTGTCACTCATTGAGTGGGTTGCTTCTTTTAAGTATTTTTAGATTCTATGATAATTACGTAGAGTGGAGAGTGGAGATAGACTCACAACGGTGAAATATCTTATTTGTCAAAGTAAAGTATGTATGTATTTCTGTCTTCCTTGTTTTCCTCATGTATTCCTTAGCATTCTGATATTGTGTCATAGGATGTTGAGTTGTAAAGCCTATCTGGGTTCATATTTTACATACTAGCTTGTCTTAAGTCATATAACCAGTAAATAGAAGGCCTGGAAGTTGAGTACATCTCTGTCAGGTTCCAGATCCCATGCCATTGATTATCATCTATAATGTCTTGATGAAGCTTTTAACTAGCTGGGTGGTGGAATGATAATCTAGTTTCCTCATATGTAAAATGGGGATGGAACTATGCAAACCAAGCACTGTTGTGAGGAATAAATGAGATATTTTTTGTGAAAGTGGTTTGTAAATCAATTTGATCTTCTGTTTACTCTTTGCAAAGAGAACCAAGTATGTGTTTAAATATATTGCAATTAATAATTACTGAGATAAAATGTAACTATACATTTGAAATGATCAGTTTTCTTTCTGTTATATCATTTAATCTACTACTCATCAATATCAGAGTTCTTTCTTTCTCATTTATAAAATTAATCTTTGGAAACCATCACAAGCAACATTATGATCTTCTGTCTATCTTTTAAGGTACAGCTCACTGTTGAGTTTTAGAAATGGCTTTAAATAACTTTGCTTTCTTAATAGACATTCAGTTAAAAAGTGAAAGGTGGGGGAAAGTCTTAGTTTTGATGAGTAGTGGCTGGTTTCTGTGTCATTTTGGATCCACTTCAGCAAATGGCCAAATGCCTTTTGCAGGAAAGCCATGCTGTTTTTAAGGATGTGTTCCTGCAGCAAGTTGGAATTTGGGCCCAGGCTCAAAATAACTTTTGAAAATCAGGAAGTTCACCAAAATATTTGATCAGCATTAGGCTCCTTCATTGTTGACGCTTCCTTATTATGACATGTAGTGAATTTCCATAAATCTTAAATTTTATGAAATGAACTTCTTGCAATTTGCAGAGGAAAAGGAGAAGTCAGGAGAGAAGTGTATGTATTTACTTTTATTTATTATACTTTAAGTTCAGGGATACACATGCAGAATGTGCAGGTTTGATACATAGGTATACACGTGCCATGGCGGTTTGCTGCACCCATCAACCCATCATCTACATTAGTTAGGTATTTATCCTAATGCTATTCTTCCCCTAGCCCCCCACCCCCAACAGGCCCTGGTGTGTGATATTCCCCTCCCTGTGTCCATGTGTTCATTGTTCAGCTCCCATTTATGAATGAGAACATGAGATGTTTGGTTTTCTGTTCCTGTGTTAGTTTACTGAGAATGATGGTTTCCAGTTTCATCCATGTCCCTGCAAAGGACATGAACTTATCCTTTTTTATGGCTTCATAGTATTCCATGATGTGTATGTGCCACATTTTCTTTATCCAGTCTATCATTGATGGACATTTGGGTTGGTTCCAAGTCTTTGCTATTGTGAACAGTGCTGCAATAAACATATATGTGCATGTGTCTTTATAGTAGAATGATTTATAATCCTTTGGGTATATACCCAGTAATGGAATTGCTGGGTCAAATGTTATTTCTGGTTCTAGATCCTTGAGGAATCACCACACTGTCTTACACAGTGTGGAACTAATTTAGTGGTTGAATTAATTTATACTCCCACCAACAGTGTAAAAGTGTTTCTACTTCTTCACATCCTCTCCAGCATCTGTTGTTTCCTGACATTTTAATGATTGCCATGCTAACTGGCGTGAGATGGTATCTCATTGTGGTTTTGATTTGCATTTCTCTAATGACCAGTGATGATGAGCTTTTTTTCATATGTTTGTTGACTGCATAAATGTCTTCTTTTGAGAAGTGTCTGTTCATATCCTTGGCCTACTTTTTGATGTTTTTTTTTTCTTGTAAATTTGTTTAAGTTCTTTGTAGATTCTAGATATTAGCCCTTTGTCAGATGGGTAGATTGCAAAAATTTTCTCCCATTCTGTAGGTTGCTTGTTCACTCTGATGATAGTTTCTTTTGCTGTGCAGAAGCTCTTTAGTTTAATTATATCCCATTTGTCAATTTTGGCTTTCATTGCCCTTGCTTTCGGTGTTTTAGTCATGAAGTTTTTGTCCATGCTTATGTCCTGAATGGTATTGCCTAGATTTTCTTCTAGGGTTTTTATGGTTTTAGGTCTTACACTTAAGTCTTTAATCCATGTTGAGTTAATTTTTGTATAAGCTGTTAAGGAAGGGGTCCAGTTTCAGTTTTCTGCATATGGATAGCCAGTTTTCCCATCACCATTTATTAAATAGGGAATTCTTTCCCCATTGCTTGTTTTTGTCAGGTTTGTCAAAGATCAGATGGTTGTAGATGTGTGATGTTATTTCTGAGGCCTCTGTTCTGTTCCATTGGTCTATATATCTGTTTTGGTACCAGTATCATGCTGTTTTGGTTACTGTAGCCTTGTAGTATAGTTTGAAGCCAGGTAATATGATGCCTCCAGTCCACCTTTGTTCTTTTTGCTTAGGATTGTCTTGGCTATACGGGCTCTTTTTTGGTTCCTCATGAAATCTAAAGTAGTTTTTTGTAATTCTGTGAAGAAAGTCAATGGTAGCTTGATGGGGATAGCATTGAGTCTGTAAATTACTTGGGCAGTATGGCCATTTTCACAATATTAATTCTTCCTATCCATGAACATGAAATGTTTTTTCATTTGTTTGTGCTCTCTCTTATTTTCTTCAGTGGTGGTTTGTAGTTCTCCTTGAAGAGGTCCTTCACATGTCTTGTAAGTTGGATTCCTAGGTATTTTATTCTCTTTGTAGCAATTGTGTATGGGAGTTCACTCATGATTTGGCTCTCTGCTTGTCTATTATTGGTGTATAGGAATGCTTGTGATTTTTGCACATTGATATTGTAACCTGAGACTTTGCTAAAGTTGCTTATCAGCCTTAGGAGATTTTGGGCTGAGATGATGGGGTTTTCTAAATATACAATCATGTCATCTGCAAAAAGAGACAATTTGACTTCCTCTCTTCCTATTTGAATACCCTTTATTTCTTTATGTTGCCTGATTGCCCAGGCCAGAACTTCCAATATTGTGTTGAATAGGAGTGGTGAGAGAGGACATCCTTGTCTTTACTGGTTTTCAAAGGGAGTGCTTCCAGCTTTTGCCCATTCAGTATGATATTGGCTGTGGGTTTGTCATTTGTCATAAATAACTCTTATTATTTTGAGATACATTCCATCAATACCTAGTTTATTGAGAGTTTTTAGCATGAAGGGATGTTGAATTTTATCTTATGCCTTTTCTGCATCTATTGAGATAATTATGTGGTTTTTGTCATCGGTTCTGTTTATGTGATGGATTACATTTATTGATTTGTGTATGTTGAACCAGCCTTGCATCCCAAGTATGAAGCCGACTTAATCATGGTTAATAAGCTTTTTGATGTGCTGCTGGATTCAGTTTGCCAGTATTTTATTGAGGATTTTCACATCAATATTCATCAAGGATATTGGCCTGAAATTTTCTTTTTTTGTTGTGTCTCTGCCAGGTTTTGATATTAGGATGATGCTGGCCTCATAAGATGAGTTAGCGAGGAGTCCCTCTTTTTCTATCGTTTTGAATAGTTTCAGAAGGAATGGTACCAGCTCCTCTTTGTACCTCTGGTAGAATTTGGCTGTGAATCCGTCTGGTCCTGGGCTTTTTTTGGTTGGTAGGCTATTAATTACTGTCTCAATTTCAGAACTTGTTATTGGCCTGTTCAGGATTTGACTTCTTCCGGGTTTAGTCTTGGGAGGGTGTAGGTGTCCAGGAATTTATCAATTTCTTCTAGATTTTTTAGTTTATTTGCATAGAGGTGTTTATAGTATTCTTTGATGGTAGTTTGTATATATGTGGGATCAGTGATATATACCCAAAGGATTATAAATCATTCTACTATAAAGAAACATGCACATGTATGTTTATTGCAGCACTGTTCACAATAGCAAAGACTTGCAACCAACCCAAATGCTTATCAATGATAGACTAGATAAAGAAAATGTGGTACATATACACCATGGAATACTATGCAGCTATAAAAAAGAATGAGTTCATGTCTTCTGCAGGGACATGGATGAAAGTGGAAACCATCATTCTCAGCAAACTAACACAGGAACAGAAAACCAAACACCACATGTTCTCATTCATAAGTGGGAGCTGAACAATGAGAACACATGGACACAGGGAGAGGAACATCACACACTGTGACCTTTTGGTGGGCAGCTGGCTAAGGGAGGGATAGCATTAGGCAAAATACCTAATGTAGATGATGGGTTGATGAGTGCAGCAAACCACCATGGCACGTGTATACCTATGTAAGAAACCCACAACTTAAAGTATAATCAAAAACTTTTAGAATGAATAAATGAATTCAGTAAAGTTGCAGGATACAACTTTAGTATACAAAGATGAGTAGTGTTTCTGCACACTGATAACAAACTAGATGAAAAAGAAATCAAGAAAGCAATCCCGGCCGGGCGCAATGGCTCACGCCTGTAATCCCAGCACTTTGGGAGGCCGAGGTGGGCAGATCACGAGGTCAGGAGATCGGACTATCCTGGCTAACATGGTGAAACCCCGTCTCTACTAAAAATACAAAAAATTAGCCAGGCGTGGTGGCGGGCGCCTATAGTCCCAGCTACTTGGGAGGCTGAGTCAGGAGAATGGCGTGAACCCAGGAGGTGGAGCTTGCAGTGAGCAGAGATCATGCCACTGCACTCCAGCCTGGGTGACAGAGCAAGACACCGTCTCAAAAAAAAAAAAAAAAAAAAAAAAGCCATCCCATTTACAATAGCTACAAAAACTTAATAAAATAAAATACCTAGAAATAAACTTAACCAAGGAGGTGAAAGACCTCCTACAAAACTACAAAACACTGATGAAAGAAATTGAAGAGCCAGAAGTAAAAAGACACCCCAAGTTTATGGATTCAAATAATTGGTATTGTAAAAATGACATTACTACCCTAAGCAATCTACAGAGTCAATGCAATTGCCATCAAAACACCAATAACATTCTTCACAGAAATAGGAAAAAAATTATAAAATTATAAAATTTACACAGAATGAAGAAAGAACTCAAATAGACAAAGCAATTCTGAGTAAAAAGAACAAAGCTGGAAGCATCATACTACCAGATTTCAAAATATGCTACAAAGCTATAATAACAAAAACCACATTGTACTGGCATAAAAACAGACATAGAGACCAGGTGAAATATAATAGAGAATCCAGAAATTAATCCATGCATTTATGGTAATCTGATTTGTTATAAAAACACCAAGAACACTCTGTGATGAAAGGACAATCTCTTCAATAAATGGTGCTGGGAAAACTTGACATCCATATACAGAAAATGAAACTGGACCCCTATCTCTCACCATATATAAAAATCAAGTCAAAATGGATTAAATACTCAAGACTCAAAGCTATAAAACTATTAAGAGAAAGCATAAAGGAAATGATTCAAGATCTTGGTCTAAGCAAAGATTTTAGGACCAAGAATTCAAAAGCACGGACAGCATAAACAAAAATAAATGGGACTATATTAAATTTAAAAACTTTTGCATAGCAAAGGAGACAATTAACTTAATGAAGAGACAAACTGATAACCTGTAGAATAAGAGGAAATATTTGCTCATTTGGCAAGGGACCAATATCCAGAATATATAAGGAACTCAAGTATTCGACAGCAAACAAAACAATTAAAAAATAAATAAACAATCTGATTAAAAGGTGGGCAAAAGTTCTGAATAGACACTCCTCAATGGAAGACAAAAGGCCATCAAGTATATGAAAAAAAAATGCTCAACATCACTAATTATCAGGAAAAATGCAAATTAAAACCACAATGAGATATCATCTCATCCCAGTTAAAATGGCTATTACAAGCCACAAAAAAAAAAAAAATGCTGATGAGAACGCAGAGTAAAAGGAACTCTTTAACACTATTGGTGGGAATGTGAATTAATACAGCCATTATGGAAAACAGTATGGAGGCTTCTAAAAAATCTAAAAATATAACTACTACACAATCCAGCAATTTCATTACTGGATATTTATCCGAAGGCATAAAAATCACTATATCAAAGGGATACCCATACACCCATGTTTCTTTCAGCACTATTGACAATAACAAAGATAGGGAATCAAACTTGGTGTCCACCAACAACTGAATGGAGAAAGATAACTGTATATATACACACTGGAATATTACTGAGTGGTAAAAAGTGAATGGAGAAAGATAACTGTATATATACACACTGGAATACTACTGAGCTGTAAAAATGAATGAAGTCCTGTCATTTGCGGCAACTTTGGTGGAACTGGAGGCCATTATGCTAAGTGTGATAAGCAAGGCACAGAAAGATAAGTATTTCATACTCTCACTCATATGTGGGACCTATAAAAATTAATCTTATCGAGGTAGGAAAATGGAATGACAGTTACCAGAGTCTGGGAAAGGTGGGGGAGAGGATGAAGAGTGATTGGTTAATGGGTACAAACATACAATTAGACAGAAGGCAAAAGGTTTAGTGTTTGATAGCACAGTAGGTTGATTATAGTTAAAAAAATTATATATTTCAAAGTAGCTAAAAGATAAGAATTTAAATGTTCCCAACACAAAAATATGATAAATGTTTATGGGGATGGATTCGATCATTGCACATTGTATGCATATATCAACATATCACATGTACCCCATAAATATGTATAACTATTACCTATAAATAAAATAGACTAATTTATAAAAGAATAAATCTGGCAGTCAAGGGGGGGAAATTAAATGTTAAAAGAAATGATGTGTCACTTGATTTAAATGCTAAATGTCCTTTTTGCCAATCACTGTTGTGATGAATACTAGTGCAGAGTCATTGGGTTAATAAACATTTTGGTGAACTGATAGAATTTAAAGATCCAGAGAGTTATATTCCAGTTTGGACAGGGGTAGGGATTTGGAGATGCTTTAGAGAATGAAGCCAGTGTTTACAGATTCCTTTTATGAAAGTGGTCATGTAGCTTTCCTTCCTATATCATAGTCATGATCAGTGAATTTTTTGATATTAAATTACTTAGCTGATAATTTTTAAAATCCACTTTTCTTGGATTAAATTGAAATTTATTGCAATGAGAGCATGAAAACTATTTCATTTTTCATTCACATATTTCACCACAAATACACATATTTTGTGTGTTTGTAGTCTCTGTTTGTAACGTCTAGCTTTGTATGATGGTTCTTGCCCCAGCCCTTGCAGTAAGTATTTAAATTCATTCAAAACCATTATTGCTCATAAATTTTACCTTACACAAAATAGATCATAAATACTTTTAGGTCAGGGTCTGGGACTTATGGATTTTATAATCCTTTGACCTAGCACAGCAAGCAAGGGCTTAAGAAATATTTGTTTAATAAATGAATAAATCAAGTTTATGTTATTAAAATGCCTGGAACAAATACCCTTGCCCAAGTGAAGCTTAAATTTGCCATCTAACTTAGCCTTTCCAATTATGTAAGTCTAAATTCTCAAAACTGGATGAACCTTGAATGTTTTCACATTTTAGCACTCACACATGGCCACGTATGCTTTATTACTTATTTCATGTGTGTGTCAGCCAGTATTTAAGATGATTCTCAACTTCTGGTATCCAAACTCATGTAGTCTCTTTTTACATTGAATAGGGCTGAGCTGTATAACCATTAAGATATTGCAAACATGACAGAATGTAACCTCCAAGTTTCAGTCATAAAAAACAGTGCAGCTTTTACTTTGTTCTCTTTTGGAGAAGTCATCTGGAGGAATCCAGCTGCCCCACCATGAGGACACTCTAGCAAGCCTGTAAAGAGGTCCAAGTGGTAAGAAACTGAGGCCTCCAGCCAACAACCAGCACTAATATGACAGCCACGTGGGTGAGCTCTTTTAGAAGTAATCCACCAGCCTCAGTCCAGCCTTCAGATAACCACAACCCAGGCTGACATCTTGACTGCAACTTCATGAAAGACCCTGAGCCAAAACTTCTCAACTAAGGCTTGCCTAGATTCCTGACCCACACTCATGTTTTGGGATAATTTCCTACACATCAATATATAAATAATGCAATATTTGATGGGCTTGTCTTACCAAATAGATTATAAGCATCTTAGAGAAAAGAACCATATGTCTCATTTCTCACAGTGCCTGGAGTAGCACTGAGATACTTGTCTCAATAAATGATGTTAATGCTTCACAATTACATTCTAGTCAAGTCAACAAATATTTATTAATATCTACCAGATACTCTTCTAGGGGCTAAGAAAAGAAGTAAACCTAAAGGGACAAGGTGAAGTCTAATGGAGAAGACAGATAATTTAAAAATAGATATGGATCAGGTCAATGAATCAATGAAGATATGAAGCTAAGAAGAAAACCAAAACAAGGATGGGGGATGATACTTTATATATTTTAGACAAGGTGTCAGAAAGGCCTCTCTGGTTAGACATTTGTGCATAGAACTATGCATGTATCTGGGAAAGAGCATCCCAGGCAGAGGGAACCACAGGTTCAAAGGTTATGATACTGCAAAAGCATGGCATATTCAATAAGGCCAATATGGCTAAGGCTGAGTTCACTATTTGCTTCAGATTTCACTATTTAGTTAATTGAGCTTCTCACGAATGCACCTTTACATTTGAATCTCTCACAGTGCCTTGGATCCCTCTCTTCCTGAATTTGAACATGGCACCAAATATTGGTCTGCAATAAACAGATCTGTTCATGTAAGTTAGTCATTTTATAAACACATGAATATGGCTAATAAGTCAAAATAAGCTAATATTTGTAATTGGAATGAAGAATTAGAAAATTTACTGATTGCAATCTTCCTGTTATTATTTCTGCTCTTTGAAGCTTTCTGATTTTGTTAAAGCCATTAGTGCCCACCAATAAATTATATAGCCTTTGTAGTAACACAAATATGTTTGAATGTTACTGACATTGCAGGAAAGAATCAGGCTCAATCAGTATATGTTTATGAAGAAATAACGTCTCAAATTGGCAAGTGATTAGCTCTCCCAACAGAAGAACAAATAAAATTCTGTCATTCTATGCTGTGGACTTTACTTCTTTTCCTTCACTTCTGAAACACGTATCATGTTGAATCAAATGATCACTGAATAATGAATTTGGCCTTCATTACAGTGTGTTAGTTACCATAAATAAATGAAATTATGTGTGCATTTCATGGACATCCAATTTTTTTAATCTTATATTTCACCTTAGATAACCAAGTGAAGTGTATCCTTATTTTAAAAGTAAACACTCCTTTCAGAGGCATAATGCAGAATTTAAACTCACATTTAACATTTTTAATTATATGTAAATAAGAACTCCTGCAGGGCGTGGTGGCTCACGCCTGTAATCCCAACACTTTGGGAGGCCGAGGAGGGAGGATCACGAGGTCAGGAGATTGAGACCCTGTCTCTTCTAAAAATACAAAAAATAAATTAGCCGGGCATGGTGGCAGGCGCCTGTAGTCCCAGCTACCCGGGAGGCTGAGGCAGGAGAATGGCATGAACCCGGGAGGCTGAGCTTGCAGTGAGCTGAGATCCCACCACTGTACTCCAGCCTGGGCGACAGAGCCAGACTCCATCCCCAAAAAAACAAAACAAACAAACAAAACTCCTCATAGTTTTACTACGACAGTAGCTGGTGTTCTCTCTTTAAAAGATGAGTGATTTTCTTTCTTTCTTGCTCCCTTTTATAAACATAATCTTGGCAAATTAATGAATTATTTTATTTGTGCTATAATGCTGAAGAGTAAACTTCACAGAGGACACATGGGGAAAGTTGGGAATAGGGAATAATAAGGCAGAACAAGGGAGAATCAAAAAGAGGAAGCCAGAAAGAGAGACACAGAGATAGAAAGATACAAAGAAAAATTCTGTAGCTTGTGTGCATGTGTGTGTGGGGAGGAGGAGTAGGTGTGCATTTGTGTGTGTGTGCAGGCAAGACAGTGAAGAGGTAACTACTGAGATATAGCCAGAATGGAAAAAGGACCACCATTTAAAGACTAGGATTTGTTGGTGAGAAAGAAGAGTAGTTTGTTATTTTTTAAAAACATAATACTGAAAAATGTAATTACCATACATGCTTTTTCTTCTTAAATAAAAATGAGGCCATTCAAATTATAAAAGGAAAAATATCAAAAATTCCTAAAAATAAGTGCATCTATTAAGTATTTTACCTGGAAGCCTACTACCATACATTTTTATCAAAGCGAATTAAAAGGTATGAGGGCTAGGCATGTGTAGTGTCATTTATAATTGAGTTTTCCCAGCTCGATCAGAATTTCTTTTGATAACCTAATTAGATACAGTCAAAGGTATTTTAAAAATCTTTCTGTGATTCATATTTACTTAATATGAATTGTTTCACTTTGAGACACTCGGCTCTGATAATAATTTATCAAAAAAATTAACTTTGATAGAATCTAGTAAATGAATTTGTAAAATGTAAACAAATTTCAAACTTACAACTTTTTTTCATGAGTTATAATGCATACATTTAGCATAAACTTAAGCATATGCTGAAGTCTATTCATCTTAAATTGCACAATTTTTAACGATATTTAATCTTTAGCTTCAGGACATTCAAACAATTATTTGGAATGTTCCAAACCCCTAGAATTTGGTTTTCTAAGTAGCAAGAACTTTAAAAATTCATTCTCCATAGAAATGATTATCTCTTAATGACAATTTTAAGAGAATTTTGGTATGCTTTTATTGAAGAGAAGAGTTTTTAAGAATCCCACCAATGTTTTAAGTAGAAAAATAAAAAACAACCAAAGAAGTAAATCCTCACAAATATTTTCCCTAAAGGACTTCCTTCTTTTAGAAACTATATTTCAAGGGAAATCTAATCTGTGTGTACTTGATTCATTTATACACCTTCAGAGACATTTCAAATACCAACACTTTTTAAGAGTCTTCTTATAAGTCTTTTCCAAGATATTTTTATTTGGACTAGAGGTTCATGTTTTGTTGACACTAAATGGAGCTTGGGATGAGAGAGAAAAAGTTAGCTCAGAGCCCACAGAGTTCAAGTGACTCCAAACAAGGTCAAAAGCATTCTTCTAGTCTCAAATAAGATTGTAGTGAAGAATAGAAGTGTTCACTATGTGATAGCATGTTTAAGCCAAAGATTTAACAAAGAAATAACACATTATCCTGAAACCATTAAATACGTAAGGCCTAAAGCAAATTCTATACAAAGTAGAATAAGTTGGAAATTCTTACATTTGCTTGGTTTGTGATTTAATTATTATTTTTTTTTTAGACAATTTTTTTTTTTGGAGATAGAGTCTCACTTTGTCACCAAGGCTGGAGTGAAGTAATGCAATCTTTGCTCACTGCAATCTCTGCCTCCCAAGTTCAAGTGATTCTCCTGCCTCAGCCTCCTGAGTATCTGGGATTACAGGTGTGTGCCACCATGTCCAGCTAATTTTTGTATTTTTAGTAGAGATGGTGTTTAACCATGTTGGCCAGGCTGGTCTCAAACTCCTGACCTCAAGTAATCTGCCTGCCTCAGCCTCCCAAAGTGCTGGGATTACAGGCATAAGCCACCCAGCCCAGCCAAGACAGGTATTTTTAAAAACACGTTTTTGTAGTTTTCGTATTTCTATTGCTAATTGTCTTAGTGTTTCCCCCAGAAACAAATATTTGGGGGGTAAGTGTTTTATTTGGGAGTTGGTGCTAGACAATACTGGGAGGCGATGTGAAGAAGTGACACAGGGAAGGTGGACACTAAGGGTGTGTTATCAAGCAAATTCCCATCATGGGCAACTAAAGCTCAATGCTGCTGGGGAACTCTGAGAGCCAGTGTGGGACATACACCTCAGAACTGTGCCACCCAGAGTGTGAGGAAGCTAAGCTATTTATATGCCACTTCCCATTGGTCACTGGTTAGAGACTGTTCCTGGAAGGTAATGATTCCCCATGCTTCTGGCCTGCCATATACAGCAGAATGGACAGAGGTGGTCAGAATCAAGGTGATGTGGGATGCCTGGACAACATCTACTACTCTGATATCTGTTCTATTTTATTTCAGAATAATAACCAAAGGAGGTTTATGGTGGAGGATGAAGAAAAGCTCTGTCTGAGTTAGTGAGTTTGTTAAAGCAATTTTTCAAGCAAAAGAAAATTTGTGATTGAGGCCAAAGAGAATTTGAGAGCCTCAATTACTCAGATTTTAAAAAACAACACTTAATGTTTACACTTAGTGTTTGACGCTTCATTTTCCTTCATATGGATAATAGCTAACATTTATTAAACACTTCTTATATGCCCGACACTGTGCTGAGTGGTTTAGCTTTTAATAAAACATTTAGTCCTCACAACTACCCAATGAGATAGACAATATTGTTATCTTTGTTTCACAGATGAGGAAACTGACACATAAAAAGATTCTGTAATTTGCCCAAGATCTAGTAGCAGAACAGGAATTATAGTTCAGTCTGGTCTCAAAACCATGTGCAAAAGTTCCTAGGTCTAGCAGGAAGTTTTGCACAAACCCAGCTACCAGAGAATAAATCTGGTCAGGCAGAATACTCACACAGCACATCAGGCAAAGCAAATTTATTACTCATAGACAGGCAGCAAGGATAGATAGAAGCCTGGAATCCATGAGGAGCCAGTTCTTCAAGATGCAGGAAAGCTGCCCAGAGTGGAGAGAGTCTGGTCTGTGCATGCCCCACTTTGCATTGCAGCTGAGGGACCACTAAAAGCACTTTGCTCTGGGTTTTATACCCTGGGTGTCACTTGAGTCTCTGAGTGCAATCACTGCAGAACATCCTAATTTAGGAGGAATGAAGGCATGGTCTAGGATATTCTGACACTTCCTTCTTATTTCAGAATGTTGCATTCTCAGTACATTTGGCCTGAGAATTGCAAACAAGGGGGAAAGAGCTGGCTTGGCCAACGCCATCCAGGGATCTGCCCTCCTGCACTATGGTCTTCAACACTGCATATACTGTTTTGTTAGATAATCTAGCATTTGTGGTACAATGGTTAACTCTGTTTCAAATTGATTGTGCCAGTAGGGTACCCAGACTAAACATGATTTCTGGGTGTGTCTGTGAGGCTGTTTCTGGATGAGATTAGCATTTGAATTGGTGGAATTGATAAAGTAGATTGACCTCCTCAATGTGGCTGGACATCATCCAATCTGTTGAGGGACTGAATAGAGCAAAAAGTCAGAGAAAGAAGTAATTCACCCCTTTTTGCTTTCTGCCTGCCTGTCTGAGCTGGGACATCAGTCTTCTGCTGTCCTTGGACTGACCACCATTGTCAGTCCCTTGTTCTCAGACCTTTCAACCTGAAGTAGAATTATACCACCAGCTTTCCTGAGTCTCCAGCTTTCTGACAGCAGATTGTGGGACTTCATATATAAATGAAGGTATTTACCATGAAAAAATGGCTCACACAGTCATGGAGGCTGATATATATATGCTTCTATTTCTCTGGAGAACCCTGACTAATACAGATTTTTGTTTGGGTACCAAAAATGGTTCCAGAGGAACATAATTTTAAGGATGACTTTTCTAAATTGGTCAAAGTGTTTCTGAAATTGGATCTCTAATCTACTTAGATTTGAAGATGCTAATGACTCTATTTTCAGTAGTAAAGAGAGCACTGATAGTCCATAGTATGTAGTATTTATAGAGATAAAATATCTCCATTTGATACCCTAATCAACCACTTAAAGGAGCAAGGAGTTGGGTGACTGTGTATATTATATGTATAAATATTTTTAGAACTCTAATGAATGTAATGAGGTTGGCTGGTTGTGCATAATGTCCCTGGACAAAGTGTTGAAAGTAAAGGATAAGCTCAGGGATTCTCATTCCCAGTGCAAGTGCCGCATACATGACCTGAAAACATCTATGTGTGCCCTGAAGAAGATCCTTATTGCCTGTAGCTTCAGGACTGAGATTGCTGAAAAATCAAATAAAGAATCTTATCCTGTTATTGGTTGAATTACAATGCAAGTTGAACTCCTAGCCTTCTAGCATGTCTGCTGTTAAACTGAGGGCATTGATTGGGAAGGAATGGGGTTCTCTATGTTGAAACAGAGATGTGTGAAAAGACCCTGATGAATCTGGGGACCCTGACCCCCTAAATTCTGATTAGTGTTTTTGCCAGTAGAAGTCACCTCGCTAGTTATGGTGGCCTTTCTACCCTCTGTCTGAGGGTATTGACTCTGTATTGCCTGAGGAAACTATAATAGCCTCCTCTGATGCAGTTGCCATGCAAGACAATGCTGACTGTCCTCAGGACCCACCCCCAGAACCCCTCTTTGCTTCTATAATGATAACTAAACTCAAGCCCTACCAGCACTTTAAAGGTGAGGTACAAAGAATGACCCATGAGGAGTTGCACTACACTACAAAAGAACTATGTGAGTTTTCTAATTTATATAGACAGAAATGGGGAGCATATGAGGAAATGAATGTTGAGGGTGTGGAATAATGGTGGAAAAAACATAAAGTTGTATCAGGCTGAATTTGCTGATATAGGCTTACTAAGCAGAGATTCTGCATTTAATGTTGCAGCTTGGGAGTTAGGAAGAACTGTAACTGTTTTGTTGTTTGGCTAAAACTTGGACTATCAGGGGAACCGGCCCCCAATATTTCGATGTAGGTTCTTTCTATTTTCCCTAAGTGTCAGCCGGTCTGAGAAATAAAGAGAAAGTACAAAGAGAGAAATTTTACAGCTGGGCCGCCGGGGATGACATCACTTATCGGTAGGTCCATGTTGCCCACCTGAGCTGCAAAACCAGCAGGTTTTTATTAAGGACTTCAAAAGGGGAGGGAATGTATGAACAGGGAGTAGGTCACAAAGTTCACATTCTTTAAAGGGCAATAAAGATCACAAGGCAAAGGGCAAAGCAAAGATCACAAGGCAAAGGGCAAAATTAGAATTACTGATGAGGGTCTATGTTCAGCTATGCATGTATTGTCTTGATAAACATCTTAAACAACAGAAAACAGGGTTTGAGAACAGAGAACCAGTCTGACCTCAAATTCACCAGGGTGGGGTTTCTTCCCCATCCTAATAAGCCTGGGTACTGCAGGAGGCCAGGGCGTATTTCAGTCTTTATCTCAACCACATAAGACAGACACTCCCAGAGGAGCCGTTTATAGACCTCCCCCAGGAATGCATTCCTTCCCCAGGGTTTAATTATTAATATTCCTTGCTGGGAAAAGAATTCAGCGATATCTCTCCTACTTGCACGTCCGTTTATAGGATCTCTGCAAGAAGAAAAATATGGCTCTATTCTGCCCGACCCCGCAGGCTGTCAGACCTTATGGTTGTCTTCCCTTGTTCCCTAAAATCACTGTTATTCTGTTCGTTTTCAAGGTGCACTGATTTCATATTGTTCAAACACACATGTTTTACAATCAATTTGTACAATAGTGGTCCTGAGATGACATACATTCTCAGCTTACGAAGATAACAGGATTAAGAGATTAAAGTAAAGACAGGCATAATAAATTATAAGACTATTATTTGGGAACTTATAAATGTCCATGAAATCTTCACAATTTATGTTCAGAGATTGCAGTAAAGACAGGCATAAGAAATTATAAAAGTATTAATTTTGGGAACTGATAAATGTCCATGAAATCTACACAATTTATATTCCTCTGCTGCGGCTCCAGCTGGTCCCTCTGTTTGGGGTCCCTGACTCCTGCAACATTGGACCAAAAGGTGACCTATGATGAGGGAATTAGAAAGGCCAGACCTGCCTTGGTTGAATGTTGAGGAAGAGATTCAATGGCTTAGAGAGATTGTAAGGTTAGAGTGGAGTTTTCATTTAAGACCTACTAACCCACTGTGGGAAAGCCCAGAAGATGTACCTTTCATCAATACTTTGAGAGAGAAATTTGTGAAGGGAGTCCCAGCTACCTCTTCAGAATTCCATGATCACTCACTCCACTCATCACTCTAGGCCAGACCTTACAGTAGGGATTGCAGTGATTGAATTGGGAAATTAAAATGCAATGGGAGTAATTGAAGTAATTGAATCCCTGGGTGGCAAAGGCCAAGTGGCATCACGCAACTGCTAAAGGGAAGGAAGACATTGTTACCATAATGGACAGAAGAGTCAAAGTGGCAATTAGAATAGCCTGACTCACAAAGACTTAGGGTGTTGGCTAATTGATCATGATGTCCCTAGAAGTGAAACAGAAAAAAGCCTACTAAATTCTTATTGGATCTGTATAAGCAGAAATGTTCTAGATCAAGTGAACAAAATTCTAATTTGAATCATAAACACAGAGTCACAACTCCTCAATCAATTTCCAGACTTGAGCAAGATTATAGACATAGAGTGCCATGAATGAAGGGGAGGCTGGGTCCTCTTCAGAAGAGACCATGGGACACTGCCAAAAATTTACTGTTAACCTTCCTCATAGACCAAAGGAACTTTTGGCCTTTTACTGGGGTAACTGTGCACTGGGGAGAGGAAATAATCAGAACTTTGGGGAATTACTGGATACTGGCTCTGAACTGATACTAATTCCAGGAGACCCAAAATGTCACTTTGGGTCCACCGGTGAAAGTAGGGGCTGATGGAGGGGTCAGGTAATCAATGAAGTTTTAGCTGAAGACAATTTCATAGTGGGCCCTGTAGGTCCTCAACCCTAGCCTGTGGTTATTTCTCCAGTTCCAAAATGCATAATTGGAATAGTTGTACTTAGCAGCTGGTGAAATCCCCACACTGGTTCCCTAACTTGTGCTGTGAGGGCTATCATTGTGGGAAAGGCCAAGTGGAAGCCACTAGAACTGCCTCTACCTAGGAAAATAGTAAGTCAAATGCTGTGTGAAGCTTTTTGTTTTTTTAATAAGAACCTTAATCCTATTTATAAGGGAGAAGCCCTCAAGATCTAATCACCTCTTGAAGGTCCCACCTCTTAATACTATCACATTGGCAACACCTAAATTTTGAAGGGTATGCATTCAAACCACAGCTTAGCTCCTAAACCAGATGTGGTTTTATTGCTTGAGTAAATTAACACACCCCCCAACATGGTATGAGGTTAATAATCTGGCAAAGGCCTTTTCTCCATTTTTGTCAATAAGGCCTTCCAAAAGCAGTGTGTTTTCAGCTGGAAAGGCCAGTAATATACCTTTACTGTCCTACCTCAGGGGTGTATTAACCTTCCAACCTTTTGTCATAATTTAGTTCACAGGGATCGTGATCATCTTTACCTTCCATAAGGTATCACACTAGTTTATTACATTGATGACACTGTGCTGATTGGACCTAGTGAGCACAAAGTAGCCAACATTATAGAATTATTGGTAAGACATTTGCATGCCAGAGGGTAGGAAATAAACCCATATAAATTCAAGGACTTCTACTTCAGTTAAATTTCTCGGGGCTCAGTGGTGTGGGACATGTCAAGATATCTCTTCCAAGATGAAGAATAAGTTGTTGCATCTAGCCCCTCCTACAACCACAAATGAGGCACAATGCTTAGTGGGCCTCCTTAGATTTTTGGAGGCAATATATTCCTCAGTTGGATGTGTTTCTCTAGCCCTTTTACTAAGTGACCTGAAAAGCTTCTCATTTTGTGAGAAGCCCAGAGGAAGAGAAGACTCTGCAACAGGTCCAGGCTCCTGTTTAAGCTGCTTTGCCACTTGGGCCATATGATCCTGCAGATTCTATGATGCCTGAAATGTCAGTGCATATAGAGATGCTATTTGGAGGCTTTGACAGGTCCTTATGGGTGAATCACAGTATAGACCTTTAGGATTTTGGAGCAAAGTCTTGCCATCATCCACAGAACTATGGTCCTTTTGGGAAATACCTCTTGGCCTGCTACTGAGCCTTAGCAAAAGCTGGGTGCTTAACCATGGGCCACCAAGCTACCTTGTGATCTGAGATGCTCATACAAACTGGGTTATTCTTTCTCCCAGCCTGCACCTCTGGCTTTTTGGGGAATTCCCTATGGTCAGTTGACAGTGGAAGAGAAGCCTTGGCCTTTGTTAACAGAGAGTTCTGCATTACCTGCAGGCATCACCTGAAAGTGGACAGCTGCAAACCTATAGCCCCAATCTGGGATGTTTCTGAAGCACAATGGTGAAGAAAAATCTTCCCAGTGAGCATAACTTCAAGAAGTGAATCTGATTGTTCACTTTGCTTGAAAGGAGAAATGACCAGATGTGCCATTAGATTCACTAGCCTAGCCACTGATTCATGGGCTAGGCTAGTGGTTTTGCTGGATAGTAATGAGAGATTTGGACATGACTGGAAAATTGATAACAAGGAAATTGGAGGAAGAGGTATATGGATAGATCTCTCTGAATGGACAAAAACCATGATGATATTTGTGTCTCATGTGAATGCTCACCAATGGTGGCCTCAGGAGAGGAGGATTTTAATAAGTAAGTGGTTAGGATGATTCTTTCTGTGGATAGCAGTCAGACTCTTTCCCAGCCTCCCCCGTCATCACCCAAAGGGTTCATGAATAAAGTCATCGTGATGGCATGGGCTCAGCAACATGGACTTCCACTCATCTAGACCAACCTTGTTACAGCTATTGCTGAGCGTGAAATCTGCCAGCAGCAGAGACCAACATTGAATCCCTGTATGGCACCATTCCCTGGGGTGATCTGCCAGCTTCTTGGTTGATTACATTGGACTGCTTCCATCATGGAATGAGCAGCATTTTGTTCTTACTGGCATGGACACTTATTCTAGATACAGATTTGCCTTCTCTGCATGCAATGCTTCTGCTAAAACTACCATCATGGACTTTTAGAATATTTTATCCACACTCATGGAACTCACAGCAAAAAAAAAAAAAAAAAAAAAGTGTGGTAAGGAGCCCATGTTTATGGAATTCACTGGTTTTATATTTTCTACCATCTGGAAATGGTATGGCCTTTTGAAGACTCAGTTACAATGGCAGGGGTGGGACAAGGTTCTGTAGAAGGCTGTATATGCTCTGAATCAGTGTCTGATATGTGGTGCTATTTCTTCTATACCCAGGATTCACATTTCAGGCATCAAGGAGTAGAAATGAAAATGGCAGTACTTGCCATTACCCCTAGTGACCTACTGGCAAAATTTTTGCTTCTTGTTCCTGTGACTTTATGCTCTGCTGGCCTAGAGGTCTTAGTTCCAAAGGGAGAAATGCTTCTACTAGAAGACACAACAGTGATTCCATTGAAATAGAAGTTAAGACCGCCCCCAGCCATGCTGGACTTCCCATGTTTTTGAATCAACAGATAAATAAGAGAGTTACTGTGCTGGCTGGAGTGATTGACCCTGACTACCAAGGGGGAATTGTACTACTACTCTACAATGGAAGTAAGGAAGAGTATGTAAGGAGTCTCTTAGTATTACCATGGCCTATGATTAATGTCAGTGAAAAACTACAACAGTCCCATCCAGGCAAGGCTACTAATGGCCCAAGACCCTTTAAGAATCAAGGTTTGGGTCACTCCAACAGGTAAAGAATCATGACCAACTGAGATGCCTTTTTCTACTCATTTTTTTTGCACAGGACTGATAGGAGGGAGTTTTTTTTTTTTTTTTTTTTTGAGACGGAGTCTTGCTCTGTCGCCCAGGCTGGAGTGCAGTGGCAGGATCTCGGCTCACTGCAAACTCTGCTTCCTGGGTTCACGCCATTCTCCTACCTCAGCCTCCCAAGTAGCTGGGACCACAGGCACCCACCACCATGCCTGGCTAATTTTTTTGTATTTTTAGTAGAGACAGGGTTTCACTGTGTTAGCCAGGATGGTCTCAATCTCCTAACCTCATGATCCACCCGCCTCGGCCTCCCAAAGTGCTGAGATTACAGGCGTGAGCCACCATGCCCTGCCCAGGAGGAAGTCATTTTTTGAAGCACGCATTCTTCTTTCTGTACTTATACTTTCACCTAGTTTTCAACCCTATGGGAACTTGTGGTTACCTTGAAGTCAAAATAAACTTAAAAATAAAATTATGGAACAGAAAAGCACTTTTGGGACCAAATAAACCCTCTATGTGTGAGAATTCTGAAACATGCAGAAATTGCATACATTCAGTACAACAGACCGAAAAGTTATAGACGAGGCCACCTCTTTCTTGTTCCTTAGCATGTAAATGACAGCAAAAACACTTTGGGTTATTTTATACATAGTGCATAAGTTAAATTTATTTTATATGCTATTTTATGACCTGAAACTGTTTAGTAAATTGGCTAGCATGTCTCTGACTAATACGGTAATGTCAAAATATCATTCCTTGCAGCTTATTCATTTATGTATTTTTAGATGAAAAGTTGTTTATATGCCGCCCAAATGGGGTGGTGGGTTGGGGAGGAGGTGTTGTAGGAAAAGCAGTATAGCTTCTCAAGAGCTATTAAGTCAACAGCTTAAGTGAGGTAAGACTATGTATTGGCTTTTTAAAAATTTAAGATAAATAAAAACCTGGCACGTGGGGACTTTCATTTATAATTTTGTATACTTTTCAGAGTTATAAAAATGTTGTCTTTAAATTTTAAATTTTTATAAAAAAGGTGGAGGGAACCAGCTTAGGCTCTATTTTGCCCTTCCATCTTTTCTGCCATGTGACAAGATTCATCCCCTCCAGAGAGCACAGAAACCAAACACCATCTCAGACAGAGTGATATTCCCCTCACCAGAGACTGAACTAGCCAGAAACTTGATCTTGGACTTCCCAGCCTCCAGAACTGTGAGAAATACATTCTGTTTATAAATTACTCACTTTGTGGTATTTTGTTTTAGGGATACAAACAATCTAAGAGAGTGGGGAGACAGACTCTGCCTCTTAGAGAGAGGAATGACAAATTCATATGACATGGGGAGGTGAAGAACGAGGGTCCTTTATGCAATTTATCACGGGGCTATGGCAGAATATTGGTTGTGTTGATTGCTGATTGTTGTTTGCCCCATGTCCATTCAATACATTAGTTTCTTTTAGCCACCTCAGAAATAACAAGCAGGAACCACCTTGGACATTGCTGCATGCCAAGTCCAGCTCATAAGTATTGCCAAAGGAATTAGCTCGACAGTGTCCTGGTTTAAGATCCAGTTCTCATGACCATGGCACTAGGTAGGGAAGGCAAAAGACAATGAACTTAAGTCTGATTTCTTTACACTGGTGGTTCACTGGGACAGTGGGAGGAAAACAGGTCTCTTGTAATCCAGGGCATCTCAAAGAATATGCTTGAGGTTTAGTTTTTATTCAAATCCCTAGACTTCTCTTTTAACTCCACCTACGTTTCTACCTGACATCTTCTTTGGGGAAGTCCATACCCCTGGACATTCTGGAAATGCTACCTAGTTCCATTCTCAAATTAGGATTTTTACGTTCACCTCCTTGTATCACCATGTCATTAAAATATAGGAGGGGGAATTGCTGTCCTGGGACATTTTATTTGGTGGTGGCATCTTCAGGGATGAAGGTTACAATGGAATATGCTTGCTTACGGCAGGCTTTACCTGTCTAGAGAAATGCACACCTTTTTCTAATTTGCACACAGATGTTATATAGGCCAACAATAGCCCAGACTTTCCTGGTTTTCCCTTGGTGACAGCTCTAATGCTGGTGATTTTCTTCCAAGTTAGTACAAACCACAGATGCCTTTGTGGTTCAAATTATTCAAAGAGCAACTTTTACCTTCTAGTATGTAGTCACCAGTTGCTCTTAAATTAACCTATATTTTTCCTTGTATTATTGTGCAAACCTATTTTCCTTCAGAATGTTAACTCTACTAATTTCCCAAGTACTACTTGAACTTGAGCATGCTAATATATTTTATTCTCAATTTTACTGCCCATCTCTAGCTGAAACTGATTCCCGTTGCTTGTATGAGAAAGAACCTTAACTAATACATTAGCTAAAGAAATACCGCAAAGAAACAACAGGATTGCTTAATCAACATGGCAGCTTGATCTGCAAAAGTTAAAAAAAAAAGTAAAAGAAAAAGTCAAAGTAGTCTTGGCTGTATTAGCAACATCAGGCAATTACAGAATCTGCTGCAATAAATGGCCAAGGTTATGGCACCCATAAAGTTTAATTTGCATTCTGAATATTACCATGTGTTCATGGAGAATGCAAAGCAGGCTCTGCAGGTTGTGAGCAGCTGAATTACAGTGCATTTCAGGATTTCTTTGGTCCATGCATGGGCAGGAGGAGAATGGCTTGCTGGTGTGTGGTCAGCCTCAACCTTTGCCTCCTTCAGCAGGACATACGGAACATTAAAGCAGATGGCCCTTCTGGGCTACCCTTGGAGGACATAGAATCACCAGATGGTCTGATGTAAATTGTCACTGGGTGCACTGCAGCCAATCAGATTATCTGGGTCATTTTGGGGATTAATGTAGATGGTCAGAAGATTGATTAGGTTGCCTTGGTTGGAACCTGCTGGTATGGAAATGAAAATGATTTAGCCAATTGTGCCAAATGTGTGTTATTCCAAGTTGCCCAGTGAGAAAGCGAGCTGGCCTTGTGCAGAGACACTGAAATTGGATGAGAACCTCATTGCTAGAGAACATACAGGAAATTATATTTCCAGATAAATGAAATATGTAGGAATCATACCACTACAGGGGGAAAGGGTTCTAAGCCCAGAACATTTTCCCACAGCTTCCTCACACTTACCTATCTTGCATGCATCCATGGCAAGAGAGGAAGTCAGGGCTCTGATTCGTTCTGATAAACTTCTCTGCTAGGCTGTATGGATCTCCTGCTCATCTTTCCATTCCTGGGCACCTTCCACGGGTCAGCGTTTCCCATAAACCCATGTGGAAGCACTCTGTTACCAATTGCCCAGGTTGTATAACTGGGATTGTCCTTCCAGGATGTCTGTCTGCTCCACTCCTAACTGCTCTATCACAGCCATGAGCAGAACAGGCATCAGACTTAGAAAATCATAGGGAATTCCTTTTTAGTGAAACAATGCATAATTTTAGGATACGAGGAGAGAGTGAGAGAGGAAGGGTGAGAGGGAGAGAATGGCCAAAAGTGTTTCCCTATTCTTTATTCCTTAAAAAATTGCAGTGCCAAGCCACATTCAAACATAACCCCACTAGAAGGTGAATCTTCAGTTGTCAGATTCTCCAGCACCTCAAGACTGGCTGAGTTCCCTCAGTCTTGTAGGTGTTGTGTGGCTAGAGAGGGGAGGAGAGAGGAGCAGAAGGTAGGGGTGCTCCTTACCTGAGGTTGAGCCCCTTCAGCACCAAGGCTGACCATTCTAGCTGGGGAGCTGTCCTGGCCCATTTTGTTGCAATGCTGAGGGCAGGAACTGGGGACCATCTGTGACATCCAAAACAGAGCTTTCACCTCATTTGAGATGCTGATGAACAAGGATTTAAAATATTTACCTCATTTCTTTAATAAGTGAGTTAACATCATTTTTGAAAAACAAGGTTTGTTTTTAGGAAAGAATTTTAGTTGTAGATCTCTTCTGTAATAAAGCAGAGTATATATATACATCAAGAAAAAATTTTAAAAAGGCTACATAAATGAATGATGCACACTAAACAATTTAAAATTATTCCTATATAAATCACTCAGAGAAAAATATAACATAGGAATAAAATAAAAATCTTCATAACCTCCCAGTGGGGTTTTAGTATATTTCCTTCTAGTCATTTCTCTATGTGTATGAGAAAACCTTTTTAAAAATTGGATCATTGGTGTATATACACACACCACACATACATACTTTTCCAATCAATCTGTATTAGTTTACTATGGCTGCCATAACAAAATATCACAGACTTGGTGGCATAAAGAACAGGAATTTGTTTCTCACACTTCTGAAGGCTGGAAGTTTGAGGTCAAGGTGATGGGAGGTTTGTTTTCTCCTGAGGCCCCTTTCCTTGGCTTGCCGATGGCAGTCTTCTCTCAGTGTCCTCATGAGACCTTTTCTCTATGCACTCCTGGTGCTCTTCCTCTTCTTATAGGGACACCAGTCATATTGGATTATGCCTTTATTGAACCTAATTACCTCTTTAAAGACCCTACCTCCAAATACAGTCACTTTGGGAGTTAGGGTTTCACCATATGAATTTTGAGGGGACACAATTCAGTTCATAACACTGTTTAACATTATATAATAATCTTTCCTCTATATCATTAAAGTCTTGAAAATATTTCAGTGGCTATACTATAACTTACACAATCTTTTCCTATTATTTTAGTTGTTTATAATAAGCAAAGTGTTATTTTACTTATAAGTAATATTGCAGGAACATCTGCTTGCATAAATGTTAAGTGTGAATATTTGCCTTTCAAGTGAATTTTAAGCTGTTGGGTAAAAGGCATCAGGGAGAGAGCTGTGGTGCGGGACAGACCCAGGGGTACCTACGGGTAGATTGTCTTAGTTTTCTCCATTTCACATCCCATTCTTGGACTACAAGCCATTGACCAGCACAGGCCCCAGGCCCACCAAAAGATACTTACCCCCTAACTGTGATCCCATCCCAGTGACAGGAGGTGCTTGCCAGCTCCCACTTGTCCATCTGTGGTGTGGTCCCTGTTATTGACTTTTCTCTGATCCTCTACTTCCCCTTCTCTGGAACTTTACTTCTCTAGCTCTTCTCATAATTAGGCAAGGTCTCCTTACTTTGGCACACTCCTTACTCCATAATAGTAAGAAGAGTTTACTATATGCAGAAGAGCTTACTATATGGTAGGGTGCAGAACCGCCTTAATAGTAGGGTGGCTCTCCATTCCTAGTTGAACCCTAACTGATACAGGCAATTTGTCTCTCTGTACTTCAATACCCTCATATGTAAATTGAGGCTAATATATGGGGCGGCATTTAGATGTTCTAAGGTACACTTAGAACAGTGCCTGGCACATAAAAAAAACTCAATGAATTCAGTCTGTTATCTTCATTATTGTTATCACCTTATACCCAGGTACCTGCTTTAGATTTGTAATTTAGTCCAAGTATGGCTGTTAGCTTCTTTCTTGATTCCAATAAAAATTGGCTTGCAGAAACATTTGCAAAGCATAGTTAATTTTACTGGTCAGGTGTAGGAAGATATGAAGGGAATTTTACATCATGGTATTACAAGGAACTCCAGGTTGAAAAGCTAACTTTCTTATTCTTAAATTTTCTTCTTCTGCATGCCCCTGGGCATTCCCACTGGTACTTTACCCAAACAACCCAAAACACCTACCTCATGCCTCTCCCCAGATGTTCCCTCCTTATCTGCTTTCCTCATCTCCTCAAGTCTTTTTTCTCCCTATCTTTCCCAAGAGCAAATCCTACTTTTTCTTGATTTGTCCTGTCAAGCAGCTTGGCAATGGTTTTATTACTTAAATTGTTTCTGTGGTCCTTAACCAGGGGCAATTTTAGTACCAATGGGGTATTTTGCAATGTCTAGAGACACTTTTTGGTTGGTTGTCACAACTGGGAGTGATATTGGCATCTAATCAGTATAGGCCAGGGATGCTGAAAACATCCTACAACAAAGAATTATCTAGTCCAAAATATCAATAGTGCTGAGATTCAGAGACCCTAAACTAGTGCAACACTCATGTTCTCAGAGCCTTAGTGTTACCCCAATTAGCTTACCAAGACAGTTTTCCAAGAAAAGACAGCTCTCTTTCCTATACAAATTTTGGCCCTAGCTATTAAGAAAATACATTTCCGCCCAGGTGCGGTGGCTCACACTTGTAATCCCAGCACTTTGGGAGGCCAAGGCAGGTGGATCACAAGGTCAGGAGTTCGAGACCAGCCTGACCAACATGGTGAAACTCTGTCTCCACTAAAAATACAAAAAAAAAAAAAAAATAGCTGGGCATGGTGGTGCACACCTGTAACCCCAGCTACTCAGGAGGCTGAGGCAGGAGAATCGCTTAAACCTGGGAGGCAGAGGCTGCAGCAAGCTGAGCTTGCAAAACTGCACTCCAGCCTGGGCGATAGAGCAAGACTCCATCTCAAAAAAAAAAAAAAAAAAAAAAAAAGAAAAGAAAATACGTTTCTATCTCTGCACAAAGAGAAGTTGTAGCTTTTCCTACACTATTATGCAAAACATGCTTCCCTTGTTCAGCTCTAGGATTAGCTTCTAGATCTGTGCTGTCCAATATGACAGCCACTGTATACATATGGTTATTATATTACCAAAAGTTAACATTAAAAATTCAGTTCCTCAGTCATACTAGTCACATTTCAAAGTGGCTACCAAATGGGATAGTGCAGATATAGAACATCTTCATCACCCCAGAAAGTTCTACTGGACTGTATGATTGTAGAGCTTCTTACATTGCCCCTAGGCATTCCTTATCATTCTTCTTTTAAATTTAACTTTTAAGTTCAGGTGTACACGTGCAGGTTTGTTACATAAGTAACAAAAGTAAGTGGCTTGTTGTACAGATTATTTTGTCACCCAGGTATTAGGCCTAGTACCCATTAGTTATTGTTCCTACCTTCTCCCTCCTCCCATCTTCGATCCTTTGATAGGCCTCAGTGTTTGTTGTTTCACCATGTGTCCATGTATTCTCATCATTAATCTTGCACTTATAAGTAAGAACATGCAGTATTTGGTTTTCTGTTCTTGCATTAGTTTCCTAAGGATAATGGCTTCCAGCTCCATCCATGTTCCTTCAAAGGGCACGATCTCATTCTTTTTTCTAGCTGCATAGTATTCCATGGTATATACATGCCACATTTTCTTTATCCAGTCTACCATTGATGGGCATTTAGGTTGACTCTGTGTCTTTGCTACTGTGAATAGAGTTGCAGTGAACATACATGTGCAAGTGTCTTTATAATAGAATGACTTCCAGTCCTTTCAGTATGTACACAGTAATGAGATTGTTGGGTCACATGGTATTTCTGTTTTTAGGTCTTTGAGGAATCACCACACTGTCTTCCAACATGGTTGAACCAATTTACACTCCTCCCAACAGTGTATAAGTGTTCCTTTTTCTCTGCAATCTCGACAGCATCTATTATTTTTTGACTTTTTATTAATAGCCATTCTGACTGGTGTGAGATGGTATCTCATTGTGGTTTTGATTTTTCATTTCTCTAATGATCAGTGAAGCTGAGTTTTTTTCATATGCTTGCTGGCCACATGTATGTCTTCTTCTGAAAAGTGTCTGTTCATATCCTTTGCCCACTTTCTAATGGGGCTGGTTTTTTTGCTTGTTAATTTGTTTAAATTCCTTATAGATTCTGGATATTAGACCTTTGTCAGATTCATAGTTTGCAAAAATTTTCTCCCATTCTGTAAGCTGTCTGCTCACTCTGTTGATAGTTTCCTTTGCTGTGCAGAAGCTCTTTAGTTTATTTAGATATCATTTGTCAATTTTGCTTTTGTTGCAATAGCTTTTGGTGTCTTTGTCACGAAATCTTTGCCTGTTCCTGTGTCCAGAATGGTATTGCCTATGTTGTCTTCCAGGATTTTTATAGTTGTGGGTTTTACATTTAAATCTTTTTAATCCATCTTTTTTTGGATTAAAACAACACAGATTTATTTATCACTCACACTTCACGTCTAAAGCATGTCACTTGAGGGATGCTATATTAGCATTGTCACTCAGGGACACAGGCTGACAGAGAGTTGGCCATGTGACTGACATCACCGTCTCAACATTCTAACAGAGGAGAATGCAAGGGGAATCACATACGAGCTTTGAAGTGCTTCCATCCAGGAGAGACACCTGTCACTTCCACTCTTCTTTAACAGGCCAAAGGAAGTCACACAGCCATGCCTAACTCCATGGGGTTAAAGAAGCATAATCTTCCCTTGTGTTGGGAGAAGAGGAGAACCAGAACTACTAGTAAACACTACTGACATGTGCCTCACCATCCATAATCTACCTCCCTAATTCCTTTCTCCCCTTCTTCCCTCTCTGATCTTCTATCTGAACTCCATCCCATGATCCCTTGCCATTCTAATGTTATCCCCTTCCATCCCTTTCTTTGTTTTGTTTTGTCTTTGTTTTTTTGATAGTGAGCTCTTTTTTTCTTGAATAAGTTTTTGGGGAACAGGTGGTGTTCAGTTACGTGAATAAGTTCCGTAGTGGTGATTTCTGAGATTTTGTTACACCCATCACCCAAGCAGTGTACACTGTACCAAATGTGTAGTCTTTTATCCCTCACCCCACTCCCACTCTTTCCCCCAAGTCCCCAAAGTCTATTGTATCATTCTTATGCCTTTATGTCCTCATAGCTTAGTTCCCGCTTATGAGTGAGAACATACAATATTTGGTTTTCCATCCCTGAGTTAGAATAACGGTCTCCAATTCCATCCAGTTTGCTGCAAATGTCATTATTTCATTTCTTTTTATAGCTGAGTAGTTTTTTGTATATGGTGTAAGAAAGGGGTTCAGTTTCAATCTTCTGCATATGGCTAGCCAATTCTCCCAGCACCATTTATTGAACAGGGGATCTTTTTGCCATTGCATGTTTTTGTCAGTTTTGTCAGAGATCAGATAGTTGTATGTGTGTGGCCTTATTTCTGGGTTCTCTATTCCCTTCCCTTGGTCTATGCTTTTGTACCAGTACCATGCTGTTTTGGTTACTGTAGCCCTGTATGATAGTTTGAAGTTTGGTGGCATGGCCTCCAGCTTTGTTCTTTTTGTTTAGGATTGTCTTGGCTATTCAGGTTCTTTTTTGGTTTCACATGAATTTTAAAACAGTTTTTTTTCTAGTTCTGTGAAGAATGTCAATGGTAGTTTAATAGGAAACTATAAATTGAATCTATAAATTGCTTTTGGCAGTATTGCCATTTTTACACTATCGATTGTTCCTATCCATGATCATGGATTGTTTTTCCACTTGTTTGTATCATTTCTGATTTCTTTGAGCAGTGCTTTGTAGTTCGCCTAGCAGAGATCTTTCACCTCCCGGGTTAGCTGTATTCCTAGGTACTGTGTGTGTGTATGTGTGTGTGGCAATTGTGAATGGTATTGTGTTCCTGATTTGGCTCTTGCCTTGACTGTTATTGGTGTATAGGAATGTTAGTGATTTTTGCACATTGATTTTGTATCCTGAGATTTTGCTAAAGTTGTTAATCAGCTTAAGAAGCTTTTGGACTGAGACTATAGGTTTTTCTGGATATAAGATAATGTCATCTGCAAAGAGAGATAGTTTGACTTCCTCTCTTCCGATTTGAATGCTCTTTATTTCTTTGTCTTGCTTGATTGCCCTGACCAGAAGTTCCAATACTATGCTGAATAGGAGTGGTGAGAGGGCATCCTTGTCTTGTGCCGGTTTTCAAGGGGAATGCTTCCAGCGTTTGCCCATTCACTATGATGTTGGCCATAGATTTGTCATAGGTGGCTGTTATTATTTTGAGGTATGTTCCTTCAATACTTAGTTTATTGAGAGTTTTTAACATGAATGGATGTTGAATTTTATTGAGGGATTTTTCTGTATCTATTGAGATAATTATGTGTTTTTTTTTGTCTTTAGTTCTGTTTATGTGATGAATCACTTTTATTGATTTGCATATGTTGAACCAATCTTACATCCCAGGGATACTTGATCATGATGGATAAGCTTTCTAATGGCTGCTGGATTCAGTTTGCCAGTATTTTATTGAGGAGTTTTGCACTGATGTTCATCAAGGATATTGGCCTGAAGTTTTCTTCTTTTTGTTGTGTCTCTGCCAGGTTTTGGTATCAGGATGATGCTGGCCTCATAGAATGAATTAGGGAGGAGTCTCTCCTACTCAAGTTTTTGGAATAGTTTCAGAATAAATAGTACCAGATACCCTTTGTAAATCTGGTAGAATTCAGCTGTGAATCTGATTCTGGGCTTTTTTTGGTTGGTAGGCTACTGACTACTGACTCAATTTCCACGCTCATTATTGATCTGTTCAGGGATTCAGTTTCTTCCTGGTTCAGTCTTAGGAGGGTGTATGTGTTCAGGAATTTGTCCATTTCTTCTAGATTTTCTAGTTTATGTGCATAGAGATGTTCATAATATTTTCTGATTGTCATCTGTATTTCTGTGGGATCAGTGGTAATATTCCCCTTGTCGTTTCTAATTGTGCTTATTTGAATCTTCTCTCCTTTCTTCTTTATTAGTCTAGGTAGCAGCCTATCCATTTTATTAATTTTATCAAAAAACTAGCTCCTGGATTCATTGATCTTTTGAATGATGTGTGTGTGTGTGTGTGTGTGTGTCTGTGTGTCTGTGTCTCGATCTCCTTCATTTCAGCTCCGATTTTGGTTATTTCTTGTATTCTCCTAGCTTTGGGCTTGGTTTGCTCTTGGTTCTCTAGTTCTTTTAATTGTGATGTTAGGTTGTTAAACTGAGATCTTTCTAACTTTTTGATGTGAGCATTTAGTGCTATAAATTTCCCTCTTAACACTGTGTTAGCTATGTTCCAGAGATTCTAATATGTTTTGTCTTTATTCTCTTTAGTTTCAAAGAACTTCTTAATTTCTGCCTTAATTTCATTATTTACCCAAAAGTCATTCAGGAGTAGGTTATTTAACTTCTATGTAATTTTATGGTTTTGAGTGAATTTCTTAGTGTCCCTCACCATTCTTTTTTGTTCACTTCTGTAAATCTCCATGTCTTTCGTGATCCAGTCAGCAAATCACAGCAGGTGTCACTCCAGCACCAGAGTGAGCTGAAAGTGCCTCCCCTGGGAAGGGATTCTGCCTCAGATATTAGGAGAGTAACTCAAAGACACTTGGGTCCTTTGAAGGGAATTGTAAACTCCTCAAGGCCAGGAGTTTACAATTTCTTTCCCTAAGGACCCAAGGTACATAGCATGGTGTCTGACACATGGGCAGCATTTAATAAATAATTAATTTAGTGAGTTGAGTGAATTACATAAATCCTAACAAGTTACGTATCTCTGTGTTGGCCTGTGTCTTGGCACTCCAGGATTAACCAGACTTGGCCATCAAGTTGGTTTGTTGTAGCCAAAACCTACATGGTAGGGAGGGGTAATAAACAGATAATGGGAGTTTGCATGGGGTTCTGTTTCCTTGCCAGCTAGGTGGCCTTCGTTGTTATTTGGCTGATTGCTTAACCTCTGTGGGCCTCAGTTTTCTCCTTTGTAAAATGAGGATCTAATTTTTGACTTTCCTACCTTCTGTTTTGTGTGTGTGTATGTGTGTGTATGTGTGTGTGTGTGTGTGAGGTTTGAATGAGGTAATTTAGTTAATAGCAGTTTGTAAAATATAGATACCAGTAGCTTTTATTATTATGGCAATTACACAGGCAATGGTCCTGGTTAAAATTAGCAGGGGCCATATATTTCTTCCCCTTGTAGAATTCTAGCTTTCAGACTCATGGTAACATTTGTTTATCTTACTACTGAAAAGATTTTTTTGGTTGCTTTGAGCTCATTCCTTGATCTCCTTTCTGTTTCCTCATTAAAAAAGAAAAGAATAGCTAATGAATTACAGATGCTGTAAATGCCAAGCAATGACAACAGGCTGCTCTCAGGGGTCCAGTATCCTTGCATTCCACCGTATCTGTCTCTTCCACTTTCTCTTCAGTCTGGCATTTAACACCACCCCTGATGACATTATGGTTTCATCTTTAGAGAATGGTGTCACAGAAGTTAACACTTTTGTCATTATCCATTGAGCTGATTTTGAAATTCCTAAAAGGGTTTAAAAGCAAGATCAGCTGACTTCAGTTATAGCAGATATTATAGGTGAAACATGCTCTTCTGAAATGGCTGTTATGTCTGCATCTACATCCACACTGAAATTCATCATCTCCAGCTGCATTCTCTCTTCATTTTGGTGGCGAGAGGGGGACCAAAGTTTGGTGCTTTCAGCTATGAGACTTCCAGGTTTTAGGCAGTATTTCTGCAGCATACATTTCCAACACCTTGCTCTAATCGCAATGCTCTTTGCTTCATTTTACTCATATCCTATCTATCTTCCAAGGCCCATGTCTTTCTTTCTTCTCTCTTACTGCTGGGACTACTCCTCCAATTATTTCCTTCCCTGTAGTGAGAGAATGATAGAAACTTAAGGCTGGAAGGGACCTAAAAGATCCTCTAGTCTTAAACATCCTATAACCCTTCAATCTATCCCAATTAGTTGTTCAACCTGTGCTTGAACAAACTATTACATCACACCAATTACCTTAGAGTTAATACAAATGGTCTAATTGTTTTATAACTTAGTTTTCACTCCCCAGTAAAACAGTCATGAGTTGTTCCTTTATTATCTCTTTCAACCCTTAACGTATTTGTATTGGTTGGGATTGCTTTTGACTGTATGTAGCAGAAATCTGAATAAAGTTGACAAACAAATAAAGCTTTATCTTCTCTCATAACAAGAAGTCTTGGAGATGGGCCATTGTTGTTGTTGGCTCAGAGGGTCAATGATGTTGCAGCCAGCAAAATTTTTGCTATGATCTCTTTGCTGCAGCTCTTTCCAGGTACCATGATTACATTTAAAGCAGAAAGAAGGCAGTCACATCTATAACTTTTTGTCATGATAGCAATAGCTTCTTCAGAAAATTTTCATTAGTTTTATGCTTACGTCTCATTGACTAGAGTGATCATATCTGCAAGACTGGGCTGTAGAAACTGAAATGAGATTGTCATGTTTGGTGTATCCCAATAATAATTCATATCCTGGGGATAGGCTTATTGCCTCTCTCCAAAGTATTTGGGATCTGTTAGACAGAAAGAAAGGGAGAATGCTATTAGGAGAGCTACGGTCATAAGCTGTGTTCCTCTACAAGCTAGTCATGAGACAACTTTGCAAGCAAAAAGAGCTGATTTAGGAGATGATCCCAAGAAGCATTGGCAGGAGAGTGGAAAAATGAAAAATGGATGGGTAGAAAGATGTATTAATGAGCAGGTTAGTGCTGTGGGCAACTGCAGCTCAGTCCTACTCAGGACCTCTGTGAGACAACGTAGAGCTTTCCTACCTGAGGGGCAAAGAAGCTAGAATATTTAACCAGCCATTCCCATCCATCATTGGTAGAAAGTTGCTCCCAGCAACACTAACTTCCAAGCACCTCCAGCCTATCACTTGTACGGACTAACCATCTCCCTCAAGCAGAGAGTTTTAGATGCTTTTAACAAGAGCAATCCATGTACTCAGACATGGTGAGTGCCAAGGGACATGCAGTGTCTGCTAAGCTACCATCAATGCCTGTCACAGTACTTACAAGGTACTCAATAAATACTTTAATTCAATGAACACTTATTGAGTACCTACTACTTGCCAAGCACTGTGAAAGATATTTACTAATTGATTTATTCTCCGAGGGACCTTTTTAATATAAACAAAAACAAAACACACGGTCTTTGTACTCAGATCTTGATAAATTATAAAATGCACTTTCCCTATGTCTATGACCCTTCTCCTTTCCCTATTCAATATTGGTGTATAAACTTTTTGTTCCTATCGAAGGAATCAGTCAGTACTAGAACAGCCTGTCACTGCACATAGTGTAATTCTTAGGAAACAAGCTGTTTTATTTCATAAAATGTTCAATGTTTCTGAGTTCTACTTTGTCCTTAAGAGCAGATATTTACTAACTAGCACATTAGTTGCTTGAAAAAAAGTGAATGTCTCTTTTTCTTATTCTAGCATGGAGATTTACTGCCATGAAAGAAACACTATTGTTCTTTTCTTAATAACTTACATGAGGACATGGTTGTCATGAATGTAGGTGTTGGCTTCAAACCTCCCTCAAAAGTTATTCTTAGGAACAACAGGAAAAATGCAATCATCCTGTCATCCCAGGCTAGCTTTGCTCCAGTGTGAGATTCTCTTGTGCTGGGTGGATTGAGTCTGATTATGGTGCCATGACTATTTTGCTTTCAATTTCTTTTGCCTCCCTTCTTTTCTGGCTCTGCCCCTCTGCACTCATTGACTACGAATTTATTGGGTATTGTAGTGGGATTGATGCCTCTCTAGCATCTATTACACTCCTTTTCTATTATGGTAGACATATGGTTTGGTAGGACTGACCACCACACTCATACCCAAGGGCAAGACGTGATTGGCTTGTGTCAACGAGATATTTTCCTGGTCATGGTGATTAGTTCATGGGGGTTTATGTACAATGAGTATGGAGCCAGCCTGAGAACAAAGATGGCACAATATAGAAAGATAGATCCAAGAGAACAGAAGTGAAATAAAGTTAGAGCCCACTTCAAACTGTTTTAGAAACTATATTATTTCTATACATTTTGGTTCCATGAACTAATAAATTTCTTTTGTTGTTAAAACAGTTTGAGTTGGTTTTCCTTGACTTGCAGCCCAAAACATCTTGACTAGAAAAAAAAAAAAAAAACCCTGCAGTTTCTTTCTTCATCCAGCCTTGAATTGGCCCTACCTTTCACTCTGTATTCTCCTTTTGTTTCTCTGGGTTCCAAATCTGGATTTCAGTCACCCAATATCCAGCCTGCCAATATCTTCCCAAAATGTGGCCAATACTTAACCATGGAAAGACTCAGTCATCCAGCTTACTAAGACCTTCTGAGGCATGGAGAATTACCATAAGACATATGCCAAGTATATCCCCAAATCGTGTCTTTCGACTATAAACTCCATAAAGGTTGCCTTATTCTAAATTATATAAAAACTGTGAGGCAAGAAAATGTTTGACAATAAGCCTAGTTCTGGAATTGGTGTTCACAGTCTTTAGTTCTCCTATTGTAAACCAAAATTCCTTTATTTATAAATGGTGAGTGATTAGCTGTGGAATCTGGGCAGTGTAATTTGCAGCAAATTACGTTTAGTGTAGTTCACCTTGTGTTGATCTCTGAGGAAGAAATCATTTTCACTCACAAGAGCTAGTCAAATACAAATCTATCCCTTTCATAAAACAGCTATTTTTCAACATACCCTAGAGAACATGAGAAGAAAGAGCCTTACCTGGACATATGAGAGAGTTACAGTAAGTATGAGGAGGGTTTTCTTCATGCAAGGTGTTTTAAGAAATAGAATGGGTGAGGTTAGTAAATGTCAGCAAGGTTAGTAAATGTTATTTATTTAGAGATCCTTAAAAACAAAGTGGTTTTGTGTAGGTGAAGATTTGCTTAATGACAATGAAAAATAGAGTCTTTAGCTGTCTGATGATTGACACTGAAAAGCATATACTTAGTTTCCTGTAAAAGACCGAAGAGAGCTTTCAGAATAAATAGCACTATAAACACAGATGCAAAAATTTGCACTACCTGGAAAGTATGGGTTCTTTCCTTTTTTCTATTCAACAAAAATCCCATAGAATTCATTGGCCTCTGACATTTCAATGCATAGTTGGTAAAAACAGGTCAGGTTTGGTTGGCGTCTGACTACATGGCACATTGATTTTGCTCTTACTTTGGCCATCTTTTGAAGCCTTGCTTGGTGTACCCACATTTGGTCAGAGAACATTTATAGTCTGCTCAGTGATCTTGACATTCCTAATTTAGAAGCAATAGGTACATCTAATGACTCACTCGGTCCTGTTGATTTTGCTTCTAATTCCCTCTAGAATACAGCACCTCTTCTTTCTTTGTGGTTGCTCTCTTATTCAAAATCTTATTTCTTGCTTCTCTTACAGCTCTGGTCCCCTAGTTGGTTTCCTTGCCCTCTTATCTTACTTTTCTCTATAGGGTTATCATGAAATCTCCCACATCTTATTCCTTGCTTAAAATACCACCATCATTACCATGATATAGAAGCACCTTCACGATCTGCGTCCAGACAACCTTTCCACCCACCTCTCATTTCTCGTTTACACACTTGAGGTTCTGCAATGTAACATTACACTCATCGTCTTGCTCTCTACCCATTGTTCTCTCCGCTTTGAACAGCAAGGATGCTCCCTCCCTTTTATTATTTCTTGTTGACATCTCCTCATCCTTCCAGATTCAGCCCAGCCACTGCTTCCTCCCTGACACCTCAGACTGAGTTAGACACCATTTGGGTTCCTACAGCACGTAGTGCTGATTGTCAGTCTCCTGAGATCCTGGAGGGCTGGAGCTATGTCTTGCATTTCTGTATTTCTGGCATAGTTCTTAGAGCCTAGTACAAGTGCTCAGGAAAGGTTTGTGAAATGAAGGGCTGAATGAATGAGGGAGAGATTATGCTTAACTTGCTCTCTTAGGGAATGAGAAATGAATGAGTTAGGGTCATTACGCACTCCTGAGGGGTATGGACTGTGGTTGAGCATAAGTTATGCCTTTGTAAGAACATGGTTAGCTCTGTTTGGGATTGTTAATCAAAATCTAGACTTCTGACTTCCTGTGCTACACAAAAAGCGCAATGCCGTAGAATTCCAACATTCAAACATACTGAAAGAAGACCAGGTGGCTAGAGCTTGTCCAACTCATACAGGCAGTTACCTAACTGATACAAAGTTACTATGCACCCTGGAGTTTCAGACACCCAAGTAAGAGCTGAAAATTGGGGTAGAAATAGTCTTTATTAGCGTGTCCTCAAATAACCCCAAACTAAAATCCCCTGCATGATATGAAAATATTTCAATGGATCTTTCAACAGTGGGTCTATTAAGTTTTAAATTTGCAGTTCGAATAGAGTCTAATAATACCTAGTAGATATTTATAAATGTGATGAGAGCTTTATGTAATTACATTATTTAATCTCCACAACAACCCAAAGGTATAGGAAATGTTATTATCCCCATTTTACAGGTGGGGAAATTGAAGTTCAGAGAAATTAAATAATTTAGGTGACTTTCCGAAGTCATACATATACTGGTAGTGGAGTTAGAATTTAAAATTATATTCATCAGACATCAGGGACTTGCACTCTTAATTAGCTACTTTTTGCAGTCTTAGCCAGGAGGGAAAGCAACATGTGCACATTTTCAGTTCTTTTTATTGATACTGTATCAACAAAAGCATATGAAGTTTTCACTATCTAAACAAGGTAGCAAGATGTGAAGCATCAAATATTTAAAACTAAGAATCTGGAATGTAAGTAAATATGAAGGGAAAATATTATTCTAGCTATGCAAGGCATGGGTTATTATTCACAAAGTGATAGATGAGAAAACTGAGATCAGAAAGAGGGGTGGATAAATTGTCCAAGGTCACAGAGTGAGTGGCTGAAGTGGGATTTGAAGAAGGCATGACTTACTCTGAAATCCTCACTGGGCCTCAGTTGTTGGGTGCTGGTAAGGCTCTTATTTAAATTTGTCATGGAAACATAGAGCAGGAATAAACTTAATGCCAGAAATCCTGCCTACTGCTTACCATATGACTAGAAGACATAGTTGAAACAAAAATTTTTTACCACTCTGAGATACTATTCTGGCATTAAAGTGAATTAAAAAACACAATGTGGTACTACCTCATACCCACTTGAATGGCTACTATCAAAAAGACAGAAAATAAATGTTGGAAAGGATACAGAGAAATTGAAACTCCTTTACACTGTTGGTGGGAATGTAAAATGCTGTAGCTGCTTGGAAAACAGTACAGTAGTTCCTCCAAAAATTAAAAATAGGAATTACCATATGATCCAGCAATTCCACTTCCGTGTATATACCCAAAAGCACTGAAATCAGGAACTCAAAGAGATATTCCTACATGAATGTTCATGACAGCATTATTTACAGTAGCCAAAAGGTAAAAGCAACATAAATGTCCATCTGTGGTGAGTGGATAAACAAAATGTTGTGTGTGTATATATGTGTGTATATATATATATATATATATATATATATATATATATATATACACACATATATATTTATATATAACAGTGGAGTATTATTCATTCTTAAAAGGATATGAAATTCTGACACATTCTATGAAATGAATGAACCTTGAGGACATTAAGTTAAGTAAAACAAGCCTGTCAGGAAAGGATAAATACCATATGATTTCACACATAGGAAGTACCTAGAATAGTCAGATTCCTAAAGACAGAAAGTAGAAGGGTGGTTGCCAGGGGCAGGGTTTGAGGGGAATAGGGAGTTATTGTCAATGGGTACAGAGTTGCAGGTTTGCAAATGAGAAGAACTCTAGGGACGGATGGTGGTGGTGGTTGCACAGCAATGTGAATGTATTTAATGCCATTGACTTGTATACCTAAAATGGTTAAGATGGAAAATTTTCTATGTGTATTTTACCACACTTAAAAATAATTTTAAAATGAGCTAAGTATTACCAGTCAGAGTTCAGTCAGGAAACCAGTTACCACTCTAGCCTTTCAAATGGAAGAGAGTGTGATAGATTCAGTCACACATGGGATGGCCAGCAGAAGATGATGAATTCACCCAGAGGTTAGCAAGAGCAGGAGGCTTTTCCCACCCCTAGGGCTAGAATTCCACAGAGAGGAAGGTGTATTACCTGGTCCTAGAATCTGGGGCCACATAGTGGTAACTAAAACCACCGTGGTGGGGGTGTGTGGGGCTGCTGCCCAGCGAGACCTAGGGCAACTGAAGGAGGGTCTTTCTGTCTGGCAAGAGCTGGAGCCACAGAGGAGATGTAGCTGCTGCTGGATGCAGCTGAGGCAAGAGAGAGGGGAATAAATTCCCTAGCGTCTCCCCTCCTTACACCCTGCCATCTTCTACCAGTACCTCCTATGGACTGAAACTATCCAGAGATCAGTTAGCAAAAGAGCCCAGATATGTAGTTTCCTGTGACACAGAGCAGAGCAGGGAACACAACAAACAATGAGAAATTGATGTAAGAGCAAGCTGGCAAAACACCAGCACACTAGTCTGTGAAAGGCTTCTTTCCTTCTTGTTTAAAAAGCAATTTTAGAAAATCTCTCTACATTGAGTTTCAAATACCTCAGTGCTCAGTGATACTGATTATTATTAAATTAATTCACTTTCTAGAAGTTAGACACATTTATTAAGAGTCTATATATATTTGAACAGAGGTTTAGCTTTGGTTATCATTCAATGGTTCAGAAACTATCTCTTGGCCAACCAACTTCAAGTCATCCTGAGCAAAACGGCATACTGTTTTGTTTTGATTTGTTTGTAAAGGGTGAGCTCAGATGAAATAAAACTCTTGCTCTTCCTTTAAAATCAGATTAGCGTTCACTTTCTTCTCCGGCCCTCTCTCGTTACCTTTCACTCACCCCAAACCTAGGTTAGTGTTTCTTTCCTCTGCAACCTCGGCACCATGAGTTTACTTAGAGTATAATACTTATAATAATAATTTTAACATTTTGTTGATTTGTCTATTCTTTCTACATAAGTCTGCAAACTACTCAAGAGCAAAGACATTATGTGTGTGTGTACATACAGTATATGTATATATATGTTCATAGATATGTGTGTGGGTGTACTTTGCTATCTCCATCACTAATAACTAACATTAACCATTTCAGGGCCAGATACATAGTAAGGACTCAATACCGTTTTTTAAAATAAATAAATGAATAATTGTTTAATGAAACACACTTAATAGGTTTCAGCAACTGTTTGGATGTGGGGAGCTAGAAAGAAGAGTCAAAACTGCATGCGAGCTGTTCAGCTTTGATGATTAGGAAGAATTGTGCTGTTAATATAAATAACAAAGAATTGGATAAAACCTGGTTTTAATAAAGAGCTTTGTGAATTTGGGTTTTGAAAAATTCTAATAGACAATCAGAAGTATGGAACTGGCCTCAGAAGAGATGTCAGGGCTTAAAGATAAATTTGAAAGTCATCTTCATAGATGGGATTTATAGAGGAATCATCATGTAGCAGCCTGTTTTTTCCATATATTGCTGCAACAGGGTTTTCTCTTATCCTACATGCTCTTTTAGTACTTTACTACTTCCATATCAAGAAATGGAGACTATGTCCTCTCCCCTTGAACCTGGGTAGGCCTTTGTGTTTGCCTTGATCAACAGTGTATAGAAGAAATGGCCTTGTTCTGGTAGCTTTCTGCCTTGTTCTAGTAGACTCTTTGCTCCTAGAACACAGCCACCATGTTGTGAGGAAGCCCAAGCGGCCTTTGGTGAGCTCATGTGAAGAGGAACAGAGACCCCTGGCCCACAGCCCTTGAGCCCCAGCCAACAGCTAATACCAACTTGCCAGCCACATGAGTGAGCCATCTTCAATGTGAAGCTTTCAGCCCCCACTGGAGCTGCTCCAGCTGATGTGGAATAGAGCTGAGGCATGTCACATCTACCAAGCTTTGTCTGAATTGCAGTTGTGTGAGCACCATAAACGATTTTTATTATTTTAGAGTATTAAGTTCTGGGGGTAATTTGTTATATAGCAAGAGATCATTGACATATATAGGTGGAAAGGATCATGAAATTTGTGTCTGAGAGGCCTGAATTCAAATGCCTGGTTTTGCTATTACCAGGATTGTGGCTTTAGGCATTCTATTTATACTCTCAGAACGTCACTTTTCTCAGGCATAAAATGGAGCTAGCAATGCTTATTGCAATGAGGCTGTTATGATACATAAAAGAAATGTTATACATTAAATGCCTAGTGGTGTGTTTAATCTCTCTGGTGATTAATAACGAGTGCTATTTCAAGAAAGTTAAAGTTTTGTGAGCTCTCAAGAGAGAATATTCATGGAGTAGAACAGGTCACTTGGAGATGGATAGGGAACAAAGAGTAAAAATGAGAGTTGGTGAGGGATTAGTCAGAAAAGGAGGAGGAATTTAGACTGTGTAAGATTGATTATTTCACTCAATTTTTCTTCAGAAAATTTGAAAGTCCTTAATTTGAAATTTTTTTTGATAAAATTTGAGTGAAATAAGGGACAGACAGATGATGAAGATAAAGGAACCACAAAGGCATTAATTCCTGCAGTGGAGAGGTGATGAGTGACACACAACAGAACAGTGTCGACAGAGCAGAGGGCTGGGAGCCTGAATACTAAGGGGTAAAAAGAGAGGGAATAGTGAGAAGAAGCAAACAGTTGGCATCTCTGTATCTCTTAATTTCTAAGCATGTATGTTATTCTAAAGGTATGTGAGAATATCAAAATATGAAAAAGGTGTGTATCACCCACCAAAATTTCTATTTCTCCAGTATAGTAGTCCTTCTCTTTTCTCTAGAAATTTATCCAGATGCACCTTCTAACTCATCATCCACACTCTTCTGGTTCTCCCTAGAGGATTATTTATTATGTTTCTTACTGCCTCTGTGGGTTATTTTTTCTTATGTGTTTTGTATTTACATTTAAATTATCATTTTCCAAAATGTTGCATCTAATTATTTGCCATAGTTGTGCATGTTTGTTATACTCTGATTTCAAAATGGAAAGCAAAGTGTACAGATAAAGAACATAATGACCAGGGGATCAATATCTAGAAATAGGAGAAGAGATGCAAATGAAAGCATACCATTAAAAACTACAGATTTCCCACCTTCACTTGATTATTTGATACTTTCAGTGTGCAATTAACTAGTCAGAAGATATCTACTATTGTAATCTCAGTTTTTGAGTTGAACACATTACACTTTATTTCACAAATAGGGAAATGGAGACTCAGAAAAGATACCTGTGTGAAGTTGCAATTACTCACCTTCCTACAATAGTTCAGTGAAATTGACACAAACATGTGATCATAGTAAAATCCATGGTGAAAACCTAGTTTCCAAATAGACTGTTCTTGTTTTACTTTGTTGAAGACTAAATTTTCCGAGATGAGATGCAAAGTCATTCACATAAAAGGTTTTTAATATTCATTCTCAAACATGTATTTAGCTCCCACCATGTACAAGGCACTGCATTAGGTGGGCCTTCTAAAACATACTACATGAGGGCATGAAAGATAATTTGTGGTTTAAAAAGCCAAATTATGAAAATGTAATATTTATTAGGCACTTGTAAGATAAAAGGTACTTGCTAGAGCACCTCCTCTGCAAGCTTTATACCTTCGTATAATTTCTGGTTTGCTCAGGAGATATGAGCATGATGCTAATGAGAACCAGGTCAGGAGTTTAATTCTTGACAGCTTTGTACCAGGAATGTTAATTCTGACCAACCATGTCTAGGTTGTTGTTAGTTGTAGTTAGTTCTGCAACTGAGGGAAGTGTGGCTGGTAGAGCTAATGGTGACCGAGCAGTCATATAGGGCCAGTAAGTGGATACATGAGGCAGGAAATAGAGTTATCCATGGTATGTTCCAGAGTTCTCCCCCGCCGCAGGAGACAGCAGTCGGCAAGGGGGATTGGGACGTGGGATATAGGATACAGGGCTGAAATTGAAGCAGGATTCACTTGGGAAGCATAACACTTCTTCCCCATATCTATTTCTTTCCATGTGTGTGGAGTTCAACTAGCACAGCAACCCTGGCCTCTCTCAACTCTTTCACTCCCACTGCCTCAGGAGAGGTTTCTTGTCTGCCTAGTGAATTTGGGAAAAGATGGACTGAGTTTGCTGGCCTCCTCCTTTTTCTTTCTGGGAGCTAGCTGCCTGCAGGGCACATGCCCACACTGTTTGTGACTGGGTGAATCTGTCTGCCTGATCTTAGTGTTCATAAATAGGAAGACCATTTGCTTACAGATACAAGCTACATCTTCCAACCTAGATGTTATCAGTAATAGAGGTGATATTTTGGCCCTGGATATTCTTTGGCCTTATTTCTCACCTTAAGAACTTGGGTTGGTTATTTATTGGGTTCCCTTTTTAAGACTCCTAAGGGATACACAGGGAGAACGCTCTGGTTGCTGAAACTCCTGGGGTAAGTGGGTGTGTACTGACTTTTTTCTTTCTGGTGCTCTCATAGTCTTTTGTGGCATACCTTAAGTATCCATATTGCTGTTGTTTACAAAGCAGAGACTATCACATGCTTCATCTCTATGGCTCCAGTGTCCAGCAAAGATCCCAGTAAATGTAAATATGCAACAAAGATCCCCAGTAACCCCGTCTCTACTAAAAATACAAAATTAGCTGGGCATGGTGGCGCATGCCTGTAATCCCAGCTACTTGGGAGGCTGAGGCAGGAGAATCGCTTGAACCTGGGAGGCAGAGGTTGTGGAGAGCTGAGATGGCGCCATTGCACTCCAGTGTGGGCAACAAGAGCAAAAGTCTGTCTCAAAAGAAAGAAAGAAAGAAAGAAATCCCCAGTATGGCAACCAGGAATCCAAGCTGGGAGGCCCAAATCAAAGTAAAGGGCACAGAAATAATCAAATGTGGGAGATCATAGGAGAGGGACTGCATTTCTCAGCACCACACCTAAACATTCAGAAGCACCAATTGTCAGAACCAGCTCAGCGAAGCTGACATTCTGCATAAGACTCAGGAAGCCGAATGGGCCAGCTCACTAAGGCAGAATTGCTCTGATATTGCTTGGGCAGAATGTGACTTCCCTTCAAACTGAAAAGGTCTGGAAACATTTTCGCGTGACCCCAAAATTAAAGTTCAGAATCCTGGGAATTCTTATGTCCCCAAACTACACGTAAAATTTTAGTCATCTGTTAAGAAACGTGTGTGTTTGAGCAAGTAAAGGGTGGTGCATCTTCCAAACATTGCTCAAGACAACTATTAGAGTTTGTGGCTTAATTTTATTAAGATATCAGCAAAGGTGTAGAAACACAGAACTGAGAGTTTGGCCCTCTTAGTTCATCACTGAAGGAGTAAATATTTTTGTCTTCTTTCATCCTCACTCTGCTCCCTCTCTTTTCAACTGGATTGATGTGGATTATGAATAAACTTGCCCTCCGTTTTTGAGAAAACGACGTCTGAGTGAGGTGGGTCTTAAGAAGCCCTCATGAAAGTCAAGATGTTTTGAATGGTGTCTGAGCTCCCGGCCAGCCTCCTGAAATCATATTATCTGAAGTCCCTTGGAGTTTCTTTCCTGAGGACAACAACAGTCTATTTATTGGTTTCAGTTGCTATGAAGTGACCATCCTGCAGAAGTGAGGCTGTTGCCCTTAGCTACACATTTCTTTGTGGGAATAATTTTGAATCACACAGTACCAAATCAGCAGCTGGGCAAGGCACAGACCCTGATGAAATATTTTCCTAGTGTTAGCCTCCTTTTATAAGACAGGTTGTGGCTAATTCAGTTTAGAAGTGATGCATGTCATTTTTCAATCAAAGAAAAGGGCTGACTTTATTTTAACACTATCCTCTTCCCTCTCTAGTAGGGATTTGCTTATTTTTATTCTGCCTTCCTGAGGTGTGTTAGTTAAAATACCAATCCAAATCTCTGGAATAATTTTTTTCCTGATCATACCCACCTTACATGGTTATTGAAAGGATTATAGGGGATAATATACAGAGCACACTTAAGCAATGATAGGCAGTGCAATTATAAGTGTGGTTGTTGTTATTCTTATCCCAGAGAAGAGAAAGCTCGAGGGGGCTGGTTTCTGTTTTCAAATCATGAGTGTTTTTGTTTTATTCCCTCTCCTCTCATCTCACCCCATCCCATCCCATCTCATTCCATTGGTTCCATAGATATTTAATATCCAGACTAAGTGTTGAGTACATTTCTATTTTGAATTTCATTTGCTATCTTCTAGTACTGTTAACTCTATGATCTCTCTTTTGTTTTGCATTTCACCTTCCATTTTGAGAGTAATCTGCAAGTTTTGATATTTACTTTCAACATAGATGCACTCAATGTAATCAACTTTCCATTATACACCAACAAGATGCTTGGGGTGGGGGGGGGATGTCTTTATGTATCCTGTACTCTGAATCCATTTGCAGTCTTTTGTCTCTTTTTCTTAAAGCAGTTTCCAAATGCATTCTATGTCTGCTGATGTTCGAAAAGGCTGTAAAATTAAAGCTAGGCAATTATGAATACTATGAAAAAGGTTTTGACAACTTTTGGTGGCATTTAATTCAAGTTAAACTTCTCTCATTCAAAATAATAAGCATAATGTTACTTATTATGTAAATGAGGTGGCAAAGGCAGATGTTTTTCTTCCTGGTGCATTCACTGGGGATTAATACATACAAAAGCTGAGAAGGAGGGGCTGGTGTGCAACCTGGGAACTGGAATAAGGGTTGAGCAAGAGGAAAGATGATTACTCTTGAGCTGTGCTGTTCAATAGTGGAGCCGATAACCACATAAGGCTATTTAAATTTAAATCAATTAAAATGAAATAAAATTAAAATTCAGCTTTTCAGTCATATTAGCCAATTCATTTGTTCAATAGCCACATGTGGCTGGTGGCTACTTATTGAAGAGCACAGATGAAGACCATTTCTATCATTGTAGAAAGTTCTACTGGACAGTGGTGCTAAACCTAGAAGGGTTAAAACAAAGGGAAGGATGCTTGTAGATTCCTCTACAATTGGAACTTTATGCATAAGAGTTCCACAAGGTTCTCAGAATGGATGTACATCCACGAAGAGCCAAGAGATGTAAGAGTTAGGATTAAGTGGCTAGTATATCTTTTTGTATATCACGGTGATACACTATATCTGTGCTTCTCAAACTTTAAATGTGCATACATATCACATGGGGACCCTAAGGTGCAGACACTGATTCAGTAGGTCTGGGGTGGGGCCTGAGAGTCAGCATTCATAAACAGCTCCTAGGTGATACTGATGAACACTCAGGTGATGATCTGTGAATTGCACTTTGGGTAGCAAGGTGCTAAAGCCCTTAATAGCAGAGACTTGATTTACAGCAACATCCCTGAAGATGGTTAACCAATCTGACACAGGAATCTTTAATCACTGGAGGCTGGTGCCAGGGTACATCTCATAGCCTCTTAAAATTGAATCATTTCACATCAAAGTCCTGCTGGAGACAGCAGAAGCTGCTGTCATGTTACCAAGAAGGAAAAATGGCTCATCGGAAAATACTGAATACACTAATTTGAATCTATGATAATTGGGATAGTACTCTACCTTTCTAGTTCTCCATTTTTGCAGATTAAGAACTTTTTTTTAAACTAGCATAGAAGAAACTGCTGCTCCATGGAAACACTGATTTGCATACATAAAAATTCAGTCTATAGACATCCTTCTCAACCTTGTCTGCACAATTGGAATCACCTGGGGGAACTTTTAAACATTAACATGTTAGATTTCACCCTCAGATATTTTAATTTAATTGATTGTGAGGGAGGAAGTCGTGTTTTTTGAACACTCCCCAGGTGATTCTCACATGCAGTAGCGGAGAATCTTTGATCACAGCAGTGGATCTCAAACTTGAGCATGCATCAAAATCATGCCTTGTGAAAACATGGATTGCTGGATCTCACCTCTAGAGTTTCTGATTTGGTAGGTCTAGGATGGACACTGAGTGTGCATTTCCAACAAATTCCCAGGTGCTACTGCTGCTGGTTTGGGAATCACACTTGGAGAATCACTCACAGGCAGCACTGTTTCTCAATCTTGGCTACACATTGTAATCACCTGGAGAGGTTTAACAACTACTTGTGCTTAGATCCCACCCCAAATATTCTGATTTAAGTTTTCTGGGGCCTAGTAGTCTGGGCATTGAAGATTTTAAAAAGTTTCCCACTATGAAAACTTGAGAAACATTAATGGTAATAAAGCAAACCCATTAGGTCTGGGGACTAGAAGCACTGGCTTTACCTGGATGTTAGAAATTTAGACTCTCACACCCAAACCCAGACCGGCTGAATCATAACCTGCATTTTGACAACATTTTCCTGGTGACTTCATATACATTAAAGGTGAGAAGTACGACACCAGATAGCCTTTTAAAGTAACAGTTTGTTGATCTGTGTGATTTAAAGAAATTCTTGTAATAATTTTTTATAGTCCCTAAAAATATTGGGGCACATAATTTGGTCCAAACTCACTCCAAATTATTGTAGCTTTATTAGGTTGCCACTGCACAGACAAGCACTTGTCAGCTTCTGTTTGCCTTGCAACCGAAGACATTAGTTATCCCAGCAGAAAGAAACTGTGGACTTTCAAGTCTCAAGTAGAAAGAAGGTCAAGAATAAACAAGTTTTTAAGAAACTAGTTCCACATATTTTCATCAAGTTTATTATTCAAGACAAAGGGAATTTTAGGTTAATGCCTTTAGAGTTTAGAAAACTGTATGCTTTTATTACCAGAGATACAATATAGATAAATTTTCTTTTTTTTTTTTTTTTTGGAGATGAAGTCTCGCTCTTGTTCTGCAGGTTGGACTGCAATGGCGCGATCTTGGCTCACTGCAACCTCCGCCTCCGGGGTGCAAGCGATTCTCCTGCCGGGGTCCCCCGAAGCAGCTGGGATTACAGGCGCCTGCTAACCATGCCTGGCTAATTTTTGCATTTTTTTTAGTTGAGACGGGGTTTCACCATGTTGGCTAGGCTGGTCTAGAACTCCTGACCTCAGGTGATCCACACGCCTCGGCCTCCCAAAGTGCTGGGATTACAGGCATGAGCCACCATGCCAGGCCGATAAATTCTTAATTCATGAAACTTTTCATTATGCATGACTAAGATCCTGGAGGATGAGAGGTGGTGGGGAATATAATGTCTTAAAAAAAAGTTGCTAAATTGTGTTTTCCTAGTGAGCCTTTCTTGGTAGTCTTTTAGGGAAATAATGAGTGCCCATAGATGATTATAATGTAGAAAGACCAACCATGTGATGTGCCAGAGCACTGGCTCTTAAACTTAAATGTGGTAGGAATCACTTGTTAGATGCAGATTCTGATTCAGTAGGTCTAGGGTAGGGCCCAAGACTTTGCACTTCTAACAAACTCCCAGATGTTGGGAAGCTTCTGGTTCATGGATCATACTTAGTAGCAAGGAGTTAAGAGTGACTACTCTCCCAGGACACCTTTTTGTAAACTCCAATTTCAGTGACTCAAAAATTCAAGAGGTCTGGTATAAATAGGAAGAAGGGTGATGTTGTTGAAAGTGCTAATTTACTAATTTAAATCATTTGGGAAGAGAAAGCCAAAGGTCAAAATTATTCATAGACCTATCATTAATGGAAAGTTAATTGAGAAATGAAGAGTCATTTAAGGCAACTGCAAAATAGTAACACAAATACCTCAGATGACTAGTAGGGCAAAATTTTCAAAATGTTGCAAGCTGTCTTCATGCTTGAAGTAGCAATTTACATGCATAATTAGGTGCAATCAACAGTTTTGAAATGTAATATATTTTCCGAGTCCATATTTACTTGTGACAGATGCTTAAAAAAAACTGTCCCCCAAAAATAGAGGGGCAGAAGAAAGGAGAAATATTTGCATTTAACAATAAGAATCTTTAAAAGGACATGTCTAAATTTAGGACAAATTTAATTGAAGTATTGTATCTTTATTTTGATTTAATCTTCATTTAAGCCTTGAAAGAAGTTCACAAACGTATTTTGGAAGTAGCAAGCATGGAAGAATAATAACTTACCAGTCAGCTATTCCTGCTGCTGTCTGAACTGACATGTGATTTTTATTGCTACACTGTAGGGAAAAAAAAAAAAACAAAAACCTGACAAATTCAAACCTTTATTGCACAAAATATTATTGACTTTCTTCCTGTCTTCAGAAGGGGCTTCATTCTCTAAAGATACCAAATATCTTTTAGGAAATTTAAATAAAGGTGATTTAAACCGGTAGCTTCTATTTTGTAAATCAAGGTCTTCAGATGAACACTCAGTGTGAACATATATCATCTTACTGTTCTCGGTATAACAATGTTAGGTGCTCGATATGCACAAAGACACTCTGCTAAGCACATTACACATATAATCTAATTTACCATTATAAACGTTCTATAATGATTGTTGGTTTATTACCAGGTACTGGGGAGGAGCTCACTCTATTTTCAACAATTCCCAATTTAGAAAACGAACTTGAAATCTGATTTTTAGAAAATCTGAAGAAAAAGAGAATGGGTAATTTGGTCCCTAAACTTTTTCTTCTTTTTCAAAAACTTGTTCACATTGCATTACCCAGATTGGTTGTCTACACTGATGAAAGTGGCAATTAATTTCTGTCACACATGCAGAGTCAGATTAAAAGATAGCATTGAGGGATACAACCTAATGATGTGTTCTTGTGTAACTGCATCAATGGGACAGTGTGTCTTGATATGTAAAAGTTGTGTTTAAGTTAATGCAAAGCATTCATGGGATGAGCAATGCAATTTTCCAGTTTCATCAAGCAAGTGTGATCTGTGATACATGCTAGGGGAAAAAAGCCATCCTCTGCCAAGAAACGCATGAATAGTTCATTAATCTGCTGATCCATTTGGGAGCATTATGGAATTCAAAGCCCAGAATAATGGGCTCTATTTAATATTGAACAGGTTCTTGATAACCCGCCATTTCTCTCCAGAGCTGCTTGAAAGTCCCTCCTGGACGTGCAGAGTTGCAGTGGCAGTTCCCATGAAGTTGTAAGCTACTACCCAGGATCAAGTGGTGTTAAATTGAGAAGTCATCCTGTTCACCTGACTAGTGGTGAACCCTGATTTAAGAATTTCCAAGGCTACCCTCGCCATCTCTATTTAAATTTATAGACGCAACGCACTGCCTGCCCTGGGGTCACCACCGAAGCCTCCTGGTGGAGCCCTGCCCTGCTGAGGACGCTCTTCCAGCACAGAACTCACCACCAAAAAGAGACGGCGCCCAGCTGGCGCCCGCCCCGGGCACATTGCAGTAAATGCCTGGCAGCGACTTCTCGCTTCTCCTTCCTCCTACCCCATCGACCCTCTGTTGCCGACCTTTACGCCAAACTCCGGCGCGCCGCGAGACTCGCGTCCTCGCTGTCCCCGAGGGGCCCCACCCCTTCCCGGTTCTAACCTGCGACCTGGCCAGAGGCAAGGGTAGGTCGACTTCCTGCCCGGAATTTGCCGTTGGCTTCTCCTTCTCTACTCCAGTTCTTTAGTGCAGGGCTGTGCGGCGCGGAGCCGCCAGCGGCAGAACAGACCCCGGAGCGGAGCTCTGGGATACACACACGCGCAGCCCGGAGGGACTGACCCCGGAGGCGCGCTCGGCCGGGAGAGGGAGGGGACCAGGGCCAGCGCGGAGGCGGGGGTCACCTGGGGTTGGGGGTGGGCGCACCAGCCCTCCGCACGCTCCTCTCTTTCTAGTCCTCGCCGCCACCACCTCGCACAGGTCGGAGATCCCTCCTTTCCTTGGCTCCTTTGCGTTGGGGAGGGGGTAAGGCTGAGGGTCGGCGCTTGGTCAGCGGGCGGGGAAGGTAGATTTCACTTGCACCTGAGAGTCCCTATTCTTGCCAGCTTCGCCGGGCAAAGCCCGGCGACCAGGTTGGTTCTTCCAGCAACTTTGTTCAGAAGGTTGGTAGGGAGGAGAAACGCCAAGGGGCCCCAAGAGACGCTGGAAAGCGGCTAGGAGCGTGGGCCGGGCTGGAGAGCAAGTACCCAAGCGGCCCTGAGGCTGGGAGCGCGGCTGGGAGGCGCCGCCGCCGCCGCCGCCGCCGCCGCCGGGATGCGCTCTGCTTAGCGGGACTGCCGGGGGCGCCTGAAGGCCAGCGCTCCAAGGACACGCGGCCACCCGCTCCTCGCGCACCCCGGCCCAGACGCCGCCAGGGCCGGAGCCAAGCAGGCGAGCGGAGCTGCGGGGAGCGGGGGCGAAGGGTGGCAGAAGGGAGGGCGCGCGGGAGGCGGCCCCTCCTCGGCGAGCCATGCGTGCCACGGGCAGCTGAGTAGCTGCCGGGCGCCGCTGCCAAGTCTCCACTCCGCTTTTGTCTTGCCCTCCAGTGAATGGGAAGATGGAGATGGATGTTGAGGGAGTTTCTCCGCGCCCGGAGCCCATCCCCCGCTCCCAGGGGGCTGGCGGAGCCTGCCAGGCGCCGCCACAGCCGCCCCAGCCCCAGCCGCCGCCTCAGCAGCTGGCTCAGGATGAACTGCCCGGCGAGAGTGCAGGCGCTGAGGACAGCGACGATCCCGAGACGAGACCCAACGGCGAGAAAGGAGAGAGCAAGGTAGGTCCACAGTGTTGGCGCTGTGATACCTTTTGAACAAAACCAAGGAGTTGCTGTCGTGGCTGTCACTTTAACCCCTCCGCTCCCCAACCCCCTTCCCTGGTTTGTGTGGGGGTGGGGGTGGCAGATGTGAAGAAGGCTTAAGATTTAAGGGAATCCATGGGCGATAGTGACTTTCCGAACTGGAGGGTATGTGCAGAAGTCTGTCCTGGTTTCAGTGTTCAGCGGTGTGTGCAGAGAAAAGTCGTCTGGTACATGCGGTGTGATGCTCTGGGCAAGCACAGCACCTCAGTAGAGCAGTGATGAGACCTTTGCTTGCCCTCGCAGTCTAACTGAGGCTTATTTGGATGATATGGGTCTAAGAGAAACATTTCTTTAGGAGCTGCCAAGTGGCTTCTGAGACTCCTTGGAGGGTGGTGACATCAACCTAAAGATAACAATGGGAGCAAAGTTTGGCTCATTTGCAGAATGGAGTGCCCTGCTTAACCCCGCTCTAAGCTGGAGGTCCTCCTCCTGACCTGGCATCCTCCTTCTAGGAGGGCAGGGATCAAGTGCCTGGCAGCAGATGAGCCCTACAAATCTTTTGCAGCCCTGCTGTGTCATTGTAGACCGGGGGATAGCTGCTACTTGCTGTGGAAAGAGGAGTTCTTCAGGTAATTGGATTCTAGTAAGAAATGGCTTGAATGTTATTTTCTGGTGCTGATGTCTCTTCCGCTGAGAAAATTGTAAAGTAGAGGAAATGGCATAGAAAATACTGCCTTGGTAGTATTAGTAGGGTGTGTTTATTACAGCTTTGTCTCTGAGCAGTCTTCCTTCACACACTCGGAGTTTAGTTTTGTGGAAGCTAATGTTGCTTTGTTTTATCTGTATAAAGTGTACACTGTGTATTTGTTAATATATTTTGAAACTGGCTGGCAATATTGGGGAAAAGTTGGTTCAACAAATCAGACTATTGGAACCAAATGAGTCAGTCAATCTATTTTCTCACTTTTGCTCACTTAAGGAAGTGTGCAGGAAAATGGGCGCTTCTGCTAGTTAGAAAGGAATTGTGTGTCATGAAGTGCCCCTTAACGGAGATTGCCTTGGTTTCTGTTAGAGCTTTCCTAAGATACTAGTGGATTAAATAAATACTGGAAACATGTCGGGATCACATTGAATTGCTGTTCTGTGTTTGGAGACAGGCTCACTTAACAAGTTCAGATTTGCAAATGTTCAGGATTGTTTTGCATTTTGAAACTGAGCTAAGAATCAAAATTGTTGTTTATCTTCCAAAATCAATATTGTTATTTAAATGGCAGTTTACCAAGGAACTAGAATTTGAACACATTCTAGATGCGACCGGGGTGCCTTACAAATGCATACAAGATTTACATTGTGAAAACTATGATGAATTTTAATATTCTGATATCCTCAGCTTTCCAGTCGCTCTTGATTTCATGAATATTTAATTTTGTCATGACTGCATATTTACTACTTTAAATGACTGTCTGCGCTCAGTTTTATGAAATAACCATAACTGAGCATCATATTACCTAATTGAACTTTAAGTGTCTTTTGCAAAATAGGTGTGGAGAATAATTAAAATATACAGCCAGTACTGCCATTTCCATATTGTTGATTCATATGCCCTGAGCATGAGAAATTCCTGCCATCAGCAAAAATCTGTGCTTATTTGTTTCCCTTTGATGCACCATGCAGACTGTCTAATGTTCTACCGGTTGTGAGGAATAAGGAAGGCAGTGCACTAGAAATATGACAGCAGGTGAAAAGAGAACTGAAAGCGGGTTGATTACATTTAGTTAATTAGCATGTTCAGATAATTGAGTATTCTGATGATGTGATTTGCTTCATGTTTGTCTGTAATTTCTTGAGGTGGAAACAAAATACTACTTTTTTTTTTCCCTCCAGGTGTTTGTCTTAAAAAATTATGTTGCATCTTTCTCTTAACCTAGAAATCAGCTGTGTTAACCCTTTGCTTGCCTCTAATACTGTCCTACTGTTTCTTTGGAGTCTGAGGATGGTTGCTGTGTTTCAGACTTTAATAACTGTTCTTGTCTTTGATGGGTACTAAGGCAAGTTATAAATTGATTTTTCTTAGAAAATTCTTATTTCATTAGTGGGAAGTCCTTTGGATGTCTGACCAAATTATTCTATTAAAATATAAATAGAAGACAAACTGGTATAAAGTGAAATGGGGTTTTATCAAGCTATTTGGGTTGAGGGGGAGGAGTTTATCACAGTATGGTTTTCAAACAGTAATGTACAAACATAATGTACCAGATGATTATGTTTTCTTTTCATTCATGAAAGCAATAAAATACAAATTTCAAAAACTGAATTATTTACTTTAACTTTACCTTAAGGATATTATAAGTAGGATGTGAGTAGATATGCCCTTTGAAAATAAAGTATCAGAGACTAATGGCATTTTTTTTAAGATTCTGCTTTAGGGCCATGATTTATTCTCCTATGAATTTATCTCAGTTGTCTTATTGGAAAAGAAATCAGAGCTTAGTGCCAGATCAGCTTGTCTCCTAAATTGCAGGTTCATGGTCATATGTCCTCGGAAAGTCTATGAAATAGGAAGAGAGGTTAGAAAACTGGATCAGTCAAGGGACTTTTTACGCCCAAGTTTCATGATGTGACTGGTGCTTTCTGTCCTAGAATAATGTTTCCTGATTCCTCTCTAGCAAATACTCTTCAAAGAAATATTAAAGCAGCTGCATATTATATTGCTTTGATTCCATGAACTGGGGAGGAAACAGACCTGAAATAGACCATCTATTCTTCCTCTGTGCTTTAAGGCAGGTTTATATTAAACCCTTACAAAAAGCAGCCTCTTCTCTTTGCAATGACATCCAAAGATAATATTGTAATCACCTTTGGTGACCTAGTGAGATATTTCTTTCTTGTCTTAGCAAAGAAGATTAAATGATCATGGTCCTTAAGTAAGAGACCTTCAAATTCTTGAAAGTGCTCTTGATTCTGGATTTGATCATCCTCAGAACTTCCTTAGAAAGCTTTTTCCAGGCTCTAAATATTGCATCCTTTCATTGCTTTTTAAAATTCTTCTGAAATGCTTTGGTTATACCAAATAACTCTTGGATGGGTGTTTCTGAAACTTTCTTTGGAAAAGTTTAAAAAAGTTTCTTGTGTCGAGGACCTGTACTCCAGTGTCTTATTCCCTCTGTATTATAAAGTTACTTATGCAAATGTGGAAATTCTTCCCATGATCTGATCTTAGATGCTAAAGAAAAATGATTATTTGTTTCCTTCAGGTTCATCTCTTTCATGAATATATGAATGGTGCTTTCTGTCCTCCCTTTTACTTCCTTCCTCACACCCTATGCCTGCTTCACCTCCCCTCTGCCAATACTATTTACTACAGTGTTATATATAGAAGGCATGTTTATGGCCCAGATATGAAGCATTATGACCAAACTCTCTTTTTTGCTCAGCTCTTATTAAATCCTTGGTTTGCAAGATGTGTTATTCCCATGGCTTTGGATTAGAGGAACTCTGTACTGTTGCTACCAATGATACATCATTGATGAAAATGACTCAGTTCTCACTTCAACTGCATTCCATCAGTAATGCTGTTCTAACAGTGATTCTTTAGGAGCATACTGTAGGGACTCTTACCGAGCATGTCATTACATTTATGAAAGCCTTTTATTTTGGAAATAAATTTACATTTATAGAAGAGGTGCAAAGATATATCCTTTGCCCAGTTTCCTCTAATATTAACATCCTACATAATCAAGGTATGTATATTACAATAAAGAAATGAATATTTGCATGAAACTACTAGTTAACTTGTGTAGTAAATTTTTTTTTCGAGTGAATGTGTAACATATAGTTGCTTTCCATTCTATTCCTTTAGTCTTTAAGGTGGTCTTTATACGTGAAAGGCTCTGTGAGAGGGTATTTAAGCGTCAAATTTAACTTCTGGGTGATGATCTCTCCCTTTTATCTGTTGAGTAGGAGCAGCTTGCAAAGTGCAAAGTCGGAGGTCCCTGAAGTTCTGCATCAACTGCAGTGAGCCCTGGGGGAGTTACAAGTTTGGCAAAGCTCTTGAGTGCTGTTAACGTGTGAGGAATAATGGTCTTCCTTTTTTGTTTTAACCTGAAAAACATTCCTGCTCCAGGTAAGATAGGGTTTATCAGTACACAGAGGACAGCAAAGTCTCAAGTGGCAGGCAGAGGATAAAAGGCAATGGATAAATTCAAGGTAGTTCACTTTGATGCCTAACCCCTTGGGCGATTGTTTGTGGCATGAAATCTAATGGAAGCCTTTTTGGTTTTACATTGTATATTAGCCAGGTGAACTCTGACTTCTGGCACAGAAGCAGAAACGTGTCCACAATAGGTAGGACGTCAATGTGATTAAAACTGTTGACTGTGAAATAAAAAAAGACCCCAATTTGATCCTGGCTTTGTCTTTTATTAGCTCTTGACCTTAGACAAGGTCTTAACCTTTCCAAAGCTTAACCTTTTCATCTGTAAAATAGGAATAATTATAAATTATTTTACAATAACCATCTATGGTTATTGTATGGCTCGAACGAGATAAAATGTATAGAGTTTTTTATTCAGTGCTTCATAGGTAATGGCTGCTCAATAATAGTGAATAAATTTTATGAGTTGGGGCTTCAAGTCTCCCTAATTTTTTTCAGTTTACTAGAGGGTTCTGGGACTGGAAATGACACAGCCATACTTTTCTACAGTCAAACCAATTTGCTGCTCATCCACCTGGTTTTGCCCTGTGGTCCTTAAGATGTTCTCAGGTCTTGGTGGGCAGAAGGTTAGCAAATAGTTATCCTGACTTGTCAATAGTCTGCTGTTTTCTCATCAGGAAAACCAAGGAAGAGCAGGATGAAAAGTCCCTATATCCTACCCCAGGCCCCAGAAGTATGCCTAAGACACTAGGAAAGCAAATGGATTACTCTGCTTTTGCACATTATATTTACGGCTTTTCAGGAAGATTAGGTGGCAAATCTTAAGACTTAACAAATGATTGAGTTAAAAAGTTGTATCTGTTAGGACTCTTTGGTTGCAGGAAATAGAAACTGGCTTTACTGTGAGCAAAATATTGTAAAATTTTAAGGTAATTACAAAATCAAACGGAAAATGACAAAACTAGTTTTGGGGAAATGCTGACACAAGAGTTGCTCAGATTTAAGTAGTAGAAAGTACTGAAAGGGCGCTGACATAAGAAAAATAAATCCTAGCCATTTTTTGCCTTTATGCCACTCTGCTCAAGACCTGTATTTCATGGGAAGGTTATCTAACTGGCCTCTCTTGGGTCAGATAGCTGCTTCTTGGCCAAGGTAAGGTGGGAATCCTCAATGCAGGTTCCTTCAAATTGTTTCTTTTGGATGGGGTTTAATTCTTGGAAAAATAAATCATGGTGCTGTTATCAGACCAAAGAAAATGGATATTAGTTGCCAAAACAACCATTATCACCCCTTTCCTAGATAGAGAGAGGCAGAGAGAAAGAATGAGAAAGAGAATGAGAAAAAATGAGAGGGAGAAACAGACATATTTAGACAAGAATCTGGAACATTTTGTAGCATTGTATTCCTACCATTTTAAAAGAAAGAATACAGAGGAAAGTATGGAATCTATCATGTACTTATGTACAGGAAGAAGGGCAGAGAACTTGATCCTTATTTATTTATTTATTTATTTAGACAGAGTCTTGCTCTGTCACCCAGGCTGGAGTGCGGTGGCGTGATCTCGGCTCACTGCAACCTCTGCCTCCCGGGTTCAAGCAATTCTCCTGCGACAGCCTTTTGAGTAGCTGGGATTACAGGCGCATGCCACCACCCCTGGCTAATTTTTGTATATTTAGTAGAGATGGGGTTTCACCATGTTGGTCAGGCTGGTCTCAAACTCATGACCTCGTGATCTGCCCGCCTCGGCCTCCTAAAGTGTTGGGATTACAGGCTTGAACCACTGCACCTGGCCGATCCTTATTTTTATATGCAAAATGAGACTCCTAGAATTAGGAAACTGGATTGGAATGCGTATCCCACTGGATCTCGTCTACCTAATCTCCTTTCTTTATTTTTACATAGGAGAAAATTGAGGTCCCATAAGTGATTTGCCCAAAGGCAGAGCTGGCACTTGAATACCTTTTAACCTGGAACCTGCATCCAGGTGACATAAGTCAAAGTCCCTCCTCTTCTTAGGAAACTCTAATCCTCTCTGAGTTCTTATATGGTTACATTAAACATTGGGAGTCTGCTTTAGAATTTCAGAATTCTTAGTTTCTCAACTTATAAAATGAGATCAGCAGCACACATCTCCTGAACAGATAATCTGACAATGGGTGCAATTGGGCCCTGATGTTTTAAAATACAAATACAGACCTTTCATGGTACTCCTGTCCTTTAGAATAAAATATATTAATAATTTTTGTTGGCCTGTAAATTGAAGCAAGTTGATTTATTGCTCAAATTTCTAAAGCTTTTTCTTTGACCTTTGAATTTACATGTCAAAATGTTTCTGTCCTCACATTTTGACCTTGTACCATATGGAGGAAGTCCTGTAGGTGGTGGAATCATGGACAGTGTTAGTTTCTCATTTTTGGGTGGCAAGTGTGGGGAGTAAGTTGTTCATTCCTGGGCACACATTCTTCTGGCACCATGCCTGGCACATAGGTGCTCAATAAATAGTGGTTATGTTGAATTCTGCATTGATGCATTCAGTCAACATGTATTAGCTGGAATTGCAAAGTTAAAGAAGTTAAAACTCCGCCACAGTTCAGTGGAGGAGACACACTTATACACAGATCATCATGCTATAAGACGGTGAGGGCCATGAAAGAGATGAGAATAAGAGGTATTGCAGAGAGGGGCTCAGCTGCCCTCCCTGAACGGAGGCTGCATGGAAAGGAGCCATTTCACCAGGTTTAAGAGGAGTAGGAAATGCAGAGCAAGAGCTTTCCAGATAGAGGGAATGGGTCAATATTTGGAATGGCTGAGAAAGATTCAGAAGTTTGTCATAGAATTGAGTAGAGGTAATAGCTGGAGGTTTATTTATCATGAAGGCCTTGTAATGCCATGCCAGGAAGTTTGGACTTTATCTTATAAATAGGTTGAGAGTAAAACTTTGAGACTGTCTTAGCGGTCTAACACTGTCCAGCAGGGGTTTCCAGACTTGGTAATTCCCTACATCGTAAATGTAAAAGAAAATCTCGATACAAAAATAGAATTAACTCCTGTTTATTGTATGACAAGAGAGGATATTACATTATTTCATAAATGAAGTGCATTTAAGCACCAAAAATGATAAATAAAATTTATGTCAGGATAGAGCAGCCTTTCTTGAGAAAGAATAGGTAGCAGCCTTAACTCAACCCTCTCCCAACCCATCTCTCTCACATGCATCCTGTCTTATCCCATCATAGCCCATCACACCCCACTGTCCTCATTGTCCTCACTTCTCTGTAGACTTCTATGTACTTCCTTATGGATAGGGGGTTGGGAACTGCTGGGGGCACCCGTTTCAAGCCTGAGATTGGGCTGAGGCATTTTTGCTGAGTTTATCTTCTTTTTCTCATGGGCACGACCATGGCAGAGTTACTGTCAGTGGTAAGAGGGATTGATGTTCTTAGACTAGCCTATTGTTTTTACCTCTAAAAAGTAATTAAAAATAAGACATTCCTGAGCTCACTCAAAAACATAACTGGAGGCAGCAGGAGGAGTAGTGATTCTCGTAGCATATTCTTAAAAATTGAGGCCATTTAACATGTTTTGTAAGATAAAGTATTGACCTGTCTAACAAGCATTCTAATGAATAGCCAAACGAAATGAGACTGTGGGACACATAGAGACACTGCTCAGCGAGTGGCTCCTTTATTTCTTGAGATTCGTCTTAAATAATCAAAGGCACAGGTCACAATTCATTTGCAAAAACTAGTGACTGGCTCTGTGCTGTCCATCCATCCCATGCTTCCTCCTGTATGCTTTTCCCAGACTTGCATCCGCCTCCCCACGTTAGACCCTTTTGTTCTGTACAATGTTTTATTTTTATTTCTATTTTTTATTGTACTTTAAGACCCAGCAATCCCATTACTGGGGATATAACGAAAAGATTATAAATCATTCTACTATAAAGACACATGTACACGTATGTTTATTATAGCACTATTCACAATAGCAAAGACTTGGAACCAACCCAAATGCCCATCAATGATAGACTGGATAAAGAAAATGTTGCACATATATACCATGGAATACAATCTGTTTTTTAAGTAAGATTAATTGCCATATAATTTACAGACAGTAAAACTCACGCTTTTTAAATCTACAGTTTGGGTTTTGACAAATGTATACACCTGTGTAACCACCACAATTAGGATGTAGGATGTTTCCATCATCCTCAAAGAGTTCTTTTGCATTCCTTGCTGCATAGTTCCCTCACCTTTCCCCAGCCTTTTCCAAAATTTTCTGTAAAGTGAGTCAGATAGTATATAGCCCTTTGTATCCAGCTTCCTTTGCTTAACAAAATTTGTTTGATATCCACCCATTTTATTGTATGTATCAATAGTTCATTTTTCTTACTCGATAATATTTCATTGTATGGATGTATACCACGTGTTGCTTTTCTGTTTACCTGATGATGTACATTTGGGTTGCTTACAAATTTTTGGCTTTTATGAATAAAGCTGCTATAAGCTTTGTTTTGTGAGTGTGAGGACATTTTCATTTCTCTCGGATGAATTTCTAGGGATGAGATTGTTAGGTCATATAAGTGTGTGTTTAACTTTATAGGAAGTTGCCAATCTATTGTTAAAAGTAGCTCAACCGTTTCACATTTCTATCAGTTCCAGTCCCTGAGAGTTCCAGTTCCTCCACATCATTGTGAACACTCGGCATTGGCAGTATTTTTAATTTTAGCTATTCAAGTAGATGTACAATGATATCTCATTGTGGCTTTAATTTGTATTTCCCTATTAAATAATGATATTGAGCATCTTTTTATGTGCTTAATTGCTATTTGTATGTTTCTTTGGTAAAAAGTCTGTTCAAATCTTTGCTCCGTCTTAGAAAAAATTGGGTTGTTTATTTTCTTTATTGAGACAATCTATTATTTTCACATAGATTTAGGTTTCAGAAACCCTGGTGGAAGTTTGAGGAGATTACGAAGTGAGGGACATTTCAAGCTTTCTTTATTAGGGTTGTTGGTGAACTAGCATTTATTGGGCATTTATCATGTGCCAATCACAGAGCAAGGTAGATTCACATCAGGTGGTCTCATCTTATGCTTTCCAGTAATCCTGAGAAATACCTATTATTAACCCTGAGGTCACACAGCTAGTATATGTCAGAGAAGGAATTCAATTTAAGTCTTCCTGATATACTGTTTCCGCTTCCTCAGGTGTGACTCCAAAGCTTGTTCTCCACAACTGACTGGTTAGTTTCCCAGCCAAATCCCTTGCACTGCTCTGGGTGTTTTAAAAGTAGCCCTCAGGTGAAATAACACTGCTGGCACTGACATGCAAATCAGAACATTGAGCTTAAGGCAAAGAGAATGCTCCCAGTTTTATTTCAGTCCCGAAAAAAAAAAAAACCTATCCATTTCAGAAGATAGAAAAGTGAGAGTTCGCCAGAGAAGTTGAAGGTCTGAGGTGTTCATTTACATGTCAGCACCCAGGGATGTGCATCTCTCTCAGATAAATTGCACTGCTGTGTTACCCACGGGCCTAGGTTTGGGGTCATTCTTGGGAATTAGGCCCCATTTTAAACCCCAGTTTTGTTTCTACAGGCTGTAAGGACCTTGGGCAAACCATATGAACACTCTGGTCTGGATTTTCTTATCAATGAAGATGATGGATAAGGTCTTCTTACATACCTGAAGTTATAGGATGGAATTACTAGTAAGGTTACTAACTTATCTTAGTTTAACATTGAAAGTTCTCCATCTCAGGTAAACCAGAAAACTTAGTCACCCTCCTTATAGGATGCATGTAAAACATCTGTGCCTTTGTAGGCTCTCAGGATATGAGAGCTGTCATTGTTGAATGTGCTTTGGGGCATTCAATCTGTGAGTCTGAAAATGACTCATTGTATTTCAGAACTAATGAGGCCCTATGAATGATTCCAGGTTCTTCAAATTGACTTTAAAAATAGTTCAAAGCAAGGCTCTGGATTTGAATTGTAGGAACAATATTACCTTTCTGAATAAGTGGCCATAGAACTTTCTGAGGCAGCTCCCCAAAGCCTCTAACCACAATGTAAGTGTGTTTTAGGATGCTAGCTCTGTTTTAGAATGCTAGTCTCCCTGGCTGGAGAACGGAAAGCTCTTTGAAAGAGTGCTTTCACTGGCAGAACACAAATCAGCTCAATAATTTTTTCTTTAAAGTTGCGTGGTTGGTAGGGTTTGTGTCATTAAGAATCTGACTCAATATTTCCCATGGTAACCCTCATTTGGGAAAAAAAAAACTGCTCTTGTAGGAAAGAATGTGGGACTTGGATGGTATGACATTGAATCCTGGATCTGCCCTTTATAACTGTGAACTCCTGGACAAGTCACATTTTCTTTGAGTCTCAGTATCCTTTACTGTTCAGGATCCTTTACTGTTCTGTCTAGACCAGAAACTCAAATTCAGTAGTGCATGAGCAAAGCCTATTGTAAGTTCTTGCATGAATCTGAATGTATATCTGTCAGTCACTCTGGTTTTGTTGGATAAATGAGTCCTACCTGCATTCATGGTTTTCTGTTATTCTATTTAAGGAATTGAACAAAAGAACATCAGAGTTAAAGGAGCTGGGGGATAGGGTGCAAAGGATCATGTGGTCATTCCTGAGAAGGATATCCTCAGATGATACTGCATGGGTCCGTGTGCCCAGGAGGTCCAAGGGGCTGGATTTGAGTGGCAGGACACCACCAGGGGCCTCTTCAACTGACCCTGAAAACTTGCTCTCCTGACTGTCTTGCTTGCTCTTTGGATGAAAGTAATAATAACCTTTTTAAAAATATATATACTTTGAAGATTTTTGAGCTCACAGTGTCCTACCCTAAGCCTTTGCTAAAGCCATTCCCTTTGCCTAGAATGCTCTTCCTTCCCTCTCTTTCACTTTCTTGTCACCCAGTTAATTCCTACTCAGCCTTCAAAATTCAGTTCAATACCTCAAGGAAGCTTTCCCTGATTTGGACCTTTCCCTGCATACCTCATAAGTCAGGTTCCTCACATAGAGGGGAATAATACACACTGGGGCCTATTGGAGGTTGGAGGGTGGGAGAAGGAAGAGGATCAGGAAAATAACTAATGGATACTAGGCTTAATACCTAGTGGTGCAATAATCTGTACAACAAACCCCCATGATACAAGTTTACCTGCACATGTACCCCTGAACTTAAATTAGAAAAAATAAGTCCCTGTTGATGGGATATCACACATTCTTAGTTGCGTAATCTGTCTAATGTATGTCATGAGGATAGGGACAGATCTGTATTTTCAGGCAATTTCTCCAATCCTAACGTAGTAGCAATCATATCAGGGTACCCATTTGGGTAATCTTTTATCTAAGACTTACTTTCTGGGACAGGATGGTCGATGTTCTTATGCAGCCCACATTTTAGTGGGAGAGAGAGATACTAAACAAGTAAACAACTAAATAAACATCACAGAAAATAAACAACTAAAAAAAATACTTGACACCAGTGGCCCCTTAGCTGTAGGCACATATTCAGACCCCCTGTCTAACCATATTTATTCAAGACAGCAAACAAATAACCATAATCCAGCCTGTTTTCTGGAATGGCCATGTATCTTAGAGCCTAAGAACCTGGCCTTGTCTACTTCTTTCTACTTTGTTTTCAGGGTTTAAGTTCTGCTCACCATATTGGCATTGGGAAATATGCAGCAAATGCGCCACCAGCTCCCTTCCTGGGTTCAGGTTAGTCATTGCAAACTAATCACAGCACTCTTTGCTATTGAGTTCAGCCTTCGCCTTGGGAGCAGGCATTCCTTAACAATCAATTGGAGGTGGTGTACAAGATGAAACTCTGGTGCTGTCCTTGCTAGGCTTACAGCTTTCTTAGCAATGGCTTCTCCCTTGCTTAGACCAGACACTCAATCTTCAGTGCTCCCCTCCTCAATTTCTAAACCTGAATTATTCAATATAATGGTCAATTGACACATGTGGCTATTTACATTTAAACTTGATTAAAATTTAATTAAAAATTCAGTTACTTATTTGCACAGCTCCATTTCAAATGCTTAAAAGCCGTAAGTCTAATGGTTGCACAATGCAGATATAGAGTGTGTCTATTATTGCAGAAAGTTTTATAGGACAGGGATGTTATAGACTCTGACTTTACCTCTCCTAGCCTGCCTCAGCTGTTGTTATGAGAAGCTGTGAAACAAATCCTTTGACAAGGACGGAAATTTTACAACTTCCCTGGGTTTGCTTTAGGTTCTTGGTGACTTACAAATTGTTTTAGAATTACCAATATTGTTGTGTATAGAGGCAGCTTAGAGCAAGATCTCTTTCAAAAACTTTGGCTAGTGGGGTTACTATTTTTACTTAGGTATTCTCTTGAATCTTGGTATTTGCCCTTGACCATTATAGAGAGCAGTCTTTGGTAAAGTGGTTCCAAGAGATGGCTTTTCTATTACTCAAGTTCAAAGCCTTTATTAGTGGGTAGTGGAAGCACTGCCTGAAGCACCATTGACATCTCCTCTTAGCCATTTACTAATGATTGTCTTCACACTGTGGGGATTACTATAATGGTACTTATTGTCAGAATACACAGGCAGAGAAATCTTGCCAAGAGCCCAAATCTAAGATCATCAAAGAGCCTCCATGCTTGCAACAACAACGTAGGGAATAATTTTCAAATTATATAATGGATAAAGAATACTAAGTTACAAAGTAACACTCTTAAGGTGTTTGTCCTATTCTCTTCTTACATCTTACTGAATAAAATTTCAAATACGTTATGATTGCTAGTGGTTTTAGGTATAGATAAATAAGAAAAAGAGTGTATATGAAAAAACGTCTGATAATAGATATTACCTTTTTAACCCTTCTTGTATTTCTTCTTTTAAATCCATGAGTGAGAAGAGTAATCTTTTTAAGATTGGAGGAAGGATTGGAGGAAGTCTCCTGATATGAGACTTGCTGTGCCTTTGTCTGGCACATTAACTGTCAGCGGGAAAAGAGATGGGAAAATGGCCCCAGGGTGGATTTGGTGAATTTCCTCCCTGTTAGCTAGGATGAAAATTTGAATGACACCTTGAAGTGATCTAAAACTCTTATTTACACGTCCAGTTAGCTGGGAGGCCCCTAGGCATCCCATTCAGGATGTAGCAATGCATGGAAGACAGTGAGAGTGGGAGATGTCAGCCTTCTCTCCTCCATTTCAGCAGTGGCAGATAATCTGAACCAAGGAATGAGAATACAGTTGATACAGAGAACAATAATCAAGAAAGAAAAAGATATATAGCTAAGCCAATAAAAATGACATCTTTCTGGTATTTTTACCTACCATTTAAATAAGTATTAAAACATAGAGATACAGAAACACTAATATATTTGCCAAAAGTTAGAGATGTAACCAAGGCAACCATAATTGCCCTTTAGTCATTACCTTCTTATTTCTTTATGTTTGAACTAAAGACATGAAGCTAGAGCTCATTCCAGAGTCCTGTGCATCAGGGAGTTCACTTTCACCACTGAGATTTACTAGTGAAAATATGGACTCTAGGTATCTGTGATGTCAATAGCTTCAAGCAACTTGAAACCTAGAAGGGCACATGAATAAGGAGCAAGAATGAGGAAAAATTGCTGTAACTCCTTGCTGTAACTATTGTGTCTTCCCATGCTCACTACTCAGAAATGTGAACTCACTTTCTGTATGTGATTGTAGCAAAAGCACTTAGCTCAGAGTCACGCCAGCTGGGAGTCACAACCTAAATATTGGGTGGTCACGTGTCCATTTGTTCTACTTTCAGTTTCCAGGCAATTTTGGAATTCAAAGAAACCTCCTTGTTTATGGCACCAGTCCCTGAATTCTATAGAGATTCAGTATCTGTGGCAATATCAACATGTCAGATGTTGCTTCTTTGGTTGTGTATCCTTTTAATGAAGGAAGAAGAGGTAGAGAAAAAAGAAAATCCTTGAGGGACAAGCAGTATTGAAGACCTAACATTTCACAGCTGCTGTGATGTTTGAAAATTTATGTGAAGTCTTTATTTTGATGCAACAATTTAATTGTGGCCTAGAGCTGAGATTTGCATCTCTAAGGCTATTCAATGTAGAGTTACAACGATAAGGTAACACCATACACTTCACTACATTGTTTAGTATTTTTTTTCTTTCGTTTTTCTTTGGTGTCATTTGCATAACAGCTGTGTTTGAAAAACTCCAAGTTCTATAAAGGGTTAATTTTGCACTGGGTTAGCAACTAAGGTCTAACCTTCTTCAGGGCTAGACTAAGTGTCTATTTGGTGTCAGGTAGGTGAAGCAGTCTGATGTTTGAGTTGAGAATCATATCACTCTCTAAAAACAGTCTGGCTTTCTGCTGATGATTCATCAGAAAAATGAGCATGGTAATTGAATTGGGGGTTGAAAAGGATCACAAGAAAAATAACCACATTCGACTTTTGGCGCTGTCATATGAAATCCTGTTAATGTGCTATACATAAAGCAATGATCTCTCATAGTGGACTCTTTTAGCAAATGCAGGCACTTATTTTTTTTGCTCTGATCAGTTACAAGAGACTGTCTATCGATGCTGTTAAATCAGGGTGGGATTTGGAAACAGAATTGGAAAATGAGTCTCTCTGAATGCCTGTGATGCCTTTTATGTGTTGATCAGATTCTGGGAAAGAAATCTGGGTTCTAAAGGAAAAGATGACAACTCAGAGAAACTCAAATGGTGGAATTTTCTCAGAAAAGAATTAATCCTCTTTTTGAGCATGGTTGTGATAAAAACTGTTACAGGACCTGTAGCTGCTTTACTTTGGAAAGATACAGGTTTTCTTCCAACTGTATGGATAGTTGGTTTGTACAGGTTGGACAAAATAACCATCTTTTGGCAAGTTATAGGTTTAACTCTTCTCTAGAGAGGCGTTTCTCCACTGGGGATGATTTTGGCCCTCCCTCTAGGGACATTCAGTCATATCTGCAGACATTTTTGGCTGTCACAGCCATTGGTGGGGTGCTCCTGGCATCCAGTAGGTAGAAGCCAAGGATGCTGATAAATATCCTGCAATGCACATTGCAGCCTCCTACAATGCCAAATTATCAGGCCCAACATATCAGTAGGGCTAAGGTTCAGAAACCCTGATCTGAAAAATATTCTGGGACTTTCGGGTCTTGTTTTTGTATATCCTTTATGAGAATAATATTTTGAGGGGAAGTTTTAAAACAGAATGTGTAAGGCTTTGTCTTGTTATGAGGTAGTCAGGATCCCCAAGTCTGTAAATATATCCTTTTTCCAGATCTAATTGTAAGAGACTAGTATGAGGAGAAAGTTTCTTAAACCAAGAATTCCAAGCGTTGTCTTTTCTCTAATAAAATTGAGATTTGCGGGGACCCTTTCTGTTGTTTTGAAGGTAGAAGACGGGAAACTTCTCTAAAAATCATAGTCTCAGACTTTAATGAAGGTTCTGTCTCTCTTTTCTTTTTCTAGAGATGGAGTCTCGCTATGTTGCCCAGGCTGTTCTGGAACTCTTGGGCTCAAACGATCCTTCCACCTAAGCCTCCCAGAGTGCTGGGATTACAGGTGTGATCCACCATGATTGGAAAGATTGTGTCTTGATGCCAAACTATATAGCTTTGGGTTTCTAAACCAGTGATTTCAAATTGTGTAGCAGTTATACTGTCATTAAATTTTGCTACAAACATTTTCTTATCTTCTACAATATGGATTAGTCCATGCTTATGAATTTTCAAACCAGGAAAAACATTGTATCCCAAATAGTTTACTTAAAAAACACATGCAACCTAAGGCTCAGAATACTTACCTCTGTAAAGTACTGGAGACTAAATTAGTCATGTTAAAAAAAAAAAGAAGGCTACTTAAACTTATCCAGTGGGTAGAAACTTTAAACAAATGCATGCACAGTGCAGATTTTACTTTTTAATTTTGGTAAGCATGAATAAGGAAAATACTTTATTAAGAAGGAAAACTCTCTTGATTCCACCTTAAATCTTGAAAGATTTAATCTATCAGATTTGTTACTTCGTCTCTTTACTCACTAAAGTTAAAGTAGCAGTCAGTGTGAGATGGTCAAGAAAGGGTCCCATATCAGTTGCTATACCCAGAGCCCAAAGTAAGAAGTGTGACACTTTATTTCAGGTGTTGGCTAACTGTTTCTGCAAAGTGCCAAATAGTAAATATTTTCAGCTTTTTGAACCACACAGTCTCTGTCTCAACTATTCAACTCTTTTATAGTGTAAAGCAGTCATAGACAAATGAATGGATGTGTTTATATTATAACAAAATTGTATTTGCAAAAACAGGCATTAGGACCAATTTGGCTATCAGATCATAGTGTGTCCGCCACTGCTTTATTTAATTCATGCAGTTTTATCATGAGCAAATGCATGATTCTTGTTACATTTTTTCAATGGTGAGGATTATTTATGAAACTATGATACTTTCTTCAAAGCCTCCAGATTGGGAGTCATTGCAGGATGCACTTAAGTGTAGGTTTATAGGCCACCTACAACCTAAAAGGCAGAGAAAATGCCATACCCACAAATTGACTTTGTTAAAACATGATTCAGTGTTCATGGAAATTATCTTATGGGATCTGTTAGGTTATTATAAAAATACAACAGCATTCTCTAATATTTGCTAGATTTCAGAATTAGTGAGAAATCAGGTTAAAAAAAAAAAAATCAGTCATTTCAAAAGAGGATTCCCTGAGGACATGAACTGTGCCACGGACTGCTGGTCAGAATAGCGCATGAGATGAGGACAGAATTGTCAGACATTACTTGACACTGTCCTTGGCAGTGTGTGATGAGGTCTGGAAGTGTGTTGCTCGGTTATAGTCCGGGTCTTCCTGATAGAGTTTTCTGACAAGGAGTTGTGTTGCTAGTCCTTGTCAGTGTGCCACCTACTGTGATGTAAGAGCGAGTGATGGTTCCTGCAAACTGTAAAGAGGGAAATGAGCCACCACACGTTCTTTGCTTTCTGTTTTCAGTAATCACGTCAATATGATCAAACACTGTGGCACTTCCAACAAGTCAGCCAGTCGCAATGTGGAGGCAATGAGAGATTTTTTTCCACCTCTTAAGTGCCCTCAGTGAAGAAAGAGAAAACTGAAGTAGTTTGGTGTGAGGGTTCTCAATCATAGGATGGTAGTGATGCAGTGTGCTGTGTAGCAGCACAAGCATCAAATTGCCCTGAAGTCTTCATTTTATGTGAAATGTGAGGCTCTTAAGAAATAGTCTCTGATTCCCTGAATGAAGTATATGCTCTGTTCAATTAGCCATGTTTTCTTCAGTTCTGCCAGTCAACACCCCTTCCTCAGAATGAATTAAACCTTTAAATTTGCCTTTCACATGAGCCAATGATAAGTTCATGAGTAAAACCTTTGCTGCCTTGTTAAAAAGAGCCTGTCACCCAGGTAGAACTGATTTCATCTGTGACTCAGTTGGAGAACACTCAAGGTAATACACGATGCCTGGCAGAGTCTATTCCCCTATTTCCAGGAAGCATCAAACATAATTAAAGATAGGCAAACCTTTTCAGCCTAAAGTAGAGCTAATTTTCTCTTTTTCACTCTCTGTCTCTATATTGAACAAGCTAGTAAAATTCATTATCTATTGGAGAATAATAAATTAACCCAAAACTTAGCAGCAAAAGGAACAATAAGTATTTATTATCTCACATAGTTTCTGTAGGTCAGGAATTCAAGCAACTTACCTGCAGGGTTCTGGATCATACTGTCTCATGAAGTCGCAGCACAGATGTCAGCTTGGACTACAACCATCTAAAAGCTTGACTGGACTTGGATGATTGGCTTCCAATATGGCCCAGTCATGTGGCTGGGAAGTTAGTGCTGGTGGTGTGTGGGGGGCCTGAATTCCTTGCCACCTAAATCTCTCCATGGGGCTTCTTGAGTATCCTTACAACATTGTAGCTGGTTTCTTCCAGACTAGTGATTCAAGTGAGAGGAAGGTGGAAGCCACAATGTTTTTTTATGAACTAGCCTCGGAAGTCATACTCTGGCATGTTTGCAGTACCAAATTGTATACACAGAGCAGCCCTACGCAGTGTGGCCGGAGGAAGCACAGAGGTGTGAATATGAAGAGGTGAGAATCATTGGGGGCCTTCTTGGAGGTGGGCTCCTATAGCCAGTTACTTGATCCTTAAATCACATTGTGGAGGTATCTTCCTACTCTTTTAAAAATCATTCCTGATCCCAAATAGGGCCTTCTCAATTCTGAACAGGCATTTTATTTCATGTGTTGCCTTTGCGTGCTCATAAATGGCTCATAAATTCCTCAACCCATTCTTAATTTTCATTTGCGTAGAGATAACAATTTTAGTAAAGGTTCTTTCTAAACTTAGGAAGATCATAACTAACCTAGGCTTTTCACATAAGCAAGAATGTAAAGCTTAGCATATATTAGACCAATTTTTTTTTTTTTTTTTTTTTTTTGCTGTTAATAACACCTGTCAGGTATCTTGGCTGGAAATTTTAAAAGATGCTGGTTGTTCAATTTTTAAAAATCCTCTTAATATGTTGTGATTACATGTATCTAGATTTTCTTTTTGTCTCTTGCTTAGTATCTCAACTGGTCTTAAATCTTTTTTCATGTAAGTTTCCTCTATGGAATCTGCATTAGTGCTACTGACAAACCTAAAGGTGTGTAATGTCTCACACATAATAGAGCTTTATTTCTCACTTTTATCACAGTCTAAAATGTGTGTTCTTGGTCAGTGGGTGGCTTTCTTTATGCAGTGAACCACTGGCTCCTTTCATCTTTCGCTTCTGCCATCCTCGATGGCCACATCATCATCTGCATCCAGTCTGAGGAAAGGAAAGAGGGTGGAGATGGTGATGCCACTGACATTCCGCTGGAGGGAACCAGTTATATGGCTATGGCTGGTCCAGGGGCTAGGAAATGTGATTACTCATGAGGCAGTTGCTTCCCAGACACAAGTATATTCTCTAGAAGCAGGGGTTGTGGGGAGGATTTTATAGAAAGGCAACCGTCTCTGCCTGAGATCCCAGGCTCCAGAACTTAGCTGCCTTGGAACATTTTGTAAGAACTAGAATTATGTATATTTGAGATTTTGTGACAAAAGTTAATCTTACTTCACTTTATAAGTTAAATTTAAAATAATGTGAACCAAATTCTATAATAAAAATTTCAGCAAGAATCACTTAAATTTCAAAGTTGGAAGCCAAGCACATTGTAAAGTGTTTATACTATTGATACATGGAGGGAAGTGGGCATCACTTTGGACTGATAAATATAAATATTGGACTGATAATATTTTAATATAAAAATAATATATATATACATAATATAAATATAAAGCTCACTGTCCTTTTGAGGATTATTCTGGAATAATGTGAAACTTTCAAGATATCCACCCTTTCATAGGGAAGCAATCAGCTTTGTTTACACAAAATATCCTCAAACTTATATTTATGTCCCTGTTTCTAGTAATACGTCAGTTTGGATATATCTCAACCATCTATTTTCTCCCCAGTGTTAGCATGGTCATTTTCCAGTTGAGGTACTTCTGGGCTGTTATTGCCATTGCTTTACTAATTGTTGTTATTATTATTAGCAATACCACTTATCCAGCACTTACTGGGGCCAGGCATTGACCTAAAATTTTGCTTATCTTTTATCTAATTTAATCCTCACAAAACCTTGTAAAGTAAGCACATCATCCTAATTTGACCATTACACTGAGTTTCAAAGGCTAAGGTGCAGTTATCGGTGGAGTTGGGATTTAAATATATTCTGCTTGGTACAAAGCCCTTGCTTTCTTTCACCTTATGGTGTATATCAGACTAACTGCAATATAATAAGTTTGTTTGACTTTTTGTTCTTATATCTCTGGGGAAAATTAAATCATGTTTCTTGATCCTTAAATCACATTGTGGAGGTGTCTTCCTACTCTTTTAAAAATCATTCCTGATCCCAAATAGGGCCTTCTCAATTCTGAACAGGCATTTTATTTCATGTGTTGCCTTTGCATGCTCACAAATGGCTTAAACAATGTTTCCGCTACCCTTTCTTAGAGCGTGGGTCTCCTTTGTGAATAAATTTGCAAGCATCTTGAAGAAAATGGAGTGCGAGCCATTAACCATTTTGGCTTTTTGGAGAAGAATCCAATCTTCTGTGACAGAATGGCAGGATTGATAATTCTTGTGAAGGCACTTTGGAAAGAATTCTATTACCAACTTTAGCAACCCTTTTCATTCTGTCCCACACTACCAACTCATCGGTAAACTGGTAAATGGATTCAGCTGATACAGATTTTCCCATTTGCTGGGCTTGCAAACCCATGTTGTCTTCAACAGCTCTTTTCTTGGTCTAGCCTCATAGAATCAGTCTTTGCAAGTGGTAAAAAGAACAAGCTTTTAAATCAGACGGCTCTGAGTTGGAATCCTGGCTGAGAACCTTTGTAACTGTGTATGGTGTTTGAGAAATTACTTAATCTTTCAATACATCAGTCTTTAATTTTGTAAATGGAAATGGTAGTGCCTAAAGACCTAAACAAGGACACATAAACAAAAATGCTTGGTGTCAGAAGACCAGTAGGTCCCGAGAAATTCTACTGCTACATGAATTTGTTTAAAAAACAATGTCAGTTAGGAATGCAGCAAGTAACAATAACAGGAACAACAAAAGTATGAAAAATAGCTAGAGAAATCAGGATTGATTTTTCTCACTTAGTAAGTCTGTAGACTGGTGGCTAGCGATGTTGGTTCAGGACCTCTATGGCATCAGGGCTGTAATCTCTGTGATTCTCTTGGCTTTGTCCTCGGGCTAGCAAGATGGCTTCTGAAACTGCAGACATTATATTCGTGTACAAGATGAGAGGAAGAGGGAGATATCAGCTGTGCTTTTCTCTATTATCAGGTAAACACAAAAATTTTTCAGAAACTCCCCAGCGATTTTTAACTGATGTCTGATTGGCTGGGTTGTGTCACATGACGATTCCCAGCTGCGAGATGGGCTTGGACGGTGACTATCTAGCTTTGCCAGCTTCAACAGGGGAGTTGAGCAAAGACTCTATTCATAGTCTCATTTGTTGATAGAGTGGCATGGGATTGGGGGTATAGGAAGTATAAAAGAGGAATGTGTACATGTTATGTTGTGAAAGAAAGCATAGTGGAAAAAAATGACTGCATAGCAGTAGGACTGAGGCTTAAATATCAGAGAGGAAAGGAGTGTTTCAGAAAGATCCTAAAGAATAATGATAGGTAGAGAAAAGAGTAGGGGTTTCCAGGCCATAGAAATGGGATGCAGTGACACATGAGCACTGTGTGCATTTCATGTTTGGAATTTAGTAGAAACTTGGTGGCTCTAGGTTGGTGTGTGTGTGTGTGGGTGGGGGTGGGTGGGTATGATTTAGTTGGTGTTGTGGGGAGTGTTAAGTGTGGAGTGTGTTAAGTGTGGAAAGATAAAGTAAAACTAGACTTTAAAGAGCCTTGTGCATAGCAGGAAGCAGTTTGGACTTTGGCAGCTGGGAAGGGTACTAGATGGCTTTAACATAAGCTTAGGTTTGAACTGGCGTGAAGATGTATCTAATGCAGGTTATGGGGTATTGGACTACTGTTGTGAGGAAAAAAATAGAGAAGACAACAAATACCGGAGAGCTTTAGGCAGTGGGCATGACGAGACTTGTCCTGATTTGCTTGAAGAATAACAGAGAGGGAGGAGTTAAGAATAACCCTGAGACATCTAGCTTGGGTGCATGATGATACTATTGAGTAGAGGACAAGGAATACTGGAAAGGAGCAGGATTTGGGGGAGAGAATAATGATTCTGGCTTTAAACGTATATAATTGAATGGGCCTGCAGGAGTTCTAAAGATTGGAGATTCTATTTTAAAGGCCAGGAGAGAGGTTGATGGAAGGTACAGTTACAGAGGAGTAACTGACATCAACCTAGGGCAGCATGCAGAGTGCTAGAGCAGCATGCAACCTAGGCCAAAAAGGAAGAGGCAGAGGAAGAGAAGAAACGAAGAGGGAGTGGCGTTCTGAAGAGGAGTGGGCATCCAATAATTCAGAGAATTCATGCAGAATGGAAGAGACAACACTGATTCTGAACACTAACTTCATTTGTTATGTCTCTGACATGTTTCCTTTTTTGGATGTTCCCTTATCTAGACCCTAATTTCTTTGTTATCTGAACTGTTACATCTACTTTCTATTTAGTTTTGTACAAAGTATTAAGCTATTTTTTGTACAAGATATTTGTAAAACTAAAATAAATGCTGGATTTTTTCTGCTTAAAAGCAACATAGGCTCATTATGAGAAAAATCAGAAAACACTGATAGGTAAAAATAAGAAGAGGAAAACCCTCATAATCCTACTACCCAGTAATTACCACTGCCAAGATCTTGGTATATATTTTTCTTGACTAATATTTTTAAACACAAATACACACACAATTTAACATAAATTAGGACACTCTGTACACATTGTATTGCAACCTGCTTTCTTAAATATCACATTATACTGTATCATAAAAATGTTAAATGCTCATCTAACAGCATTACTTTTCATGGATGAATAATATTCCACTCAATCTCTATAAAATTTGAGACAATTCTTTCCTTAATGTTGTACTTTAAGGTTGCTTTTAATTTTTCCCTATTATAAGCAGGGCTGCAGAGAACATTCTTATAGATAAATGTTAGTATACTTTAATGAATAAATGTTAATGCGAGGAAGTATCTTTAAAATAAGTGCTTAGAAAGGGATCACTGGCTCTTCCAATATCCTTTTGAGTGTTGCTCTCAATTTCCTCCCACATACCCAAATGTCTAAAAAGCTCCATTGTGGACTTCTCCTGTTCTTCTTACAATTATTATGAAAGTAACTCTTTGCTCTTCTCTGCACATGACTTGTTCTCATGATACAGAGGGTTTCCTGAGGAGCCACCAAAGTGTTTGAAGGGATGTGAAGGGAGAACCAGAAGCAAAGGTCAGACAGAACAGCATCTCATCCTGAAGAACAATTTGATAATGCATTTCCAATAAAGGAAGAACTTGTCACTGAAGCAGGGTCAGCTGTTATCCTCTGCAGTCAAAAAGAGAAGAAACAGGTTAAATCTCTAGGGTGGGTGATTTAAGTTACCTACATGAAATCATTTCCTGGTATTGTAGGCTATTAAGCTTTGAGATGTGCTCCTGGGTGTGACTTTGGAGTCTTATTGGGAAAGATTTAGGCATTTTTAGAATCTCTTTTGGCAGAGGTGGTTAAGTGGACTTTTGTCAGAATGAGATGCCCCTCTCGGTGACCTCTGAAGGCCACTGTTAAGCCCACGAAGTCAGTCTTCAACCTGGGAGATGTGCCATTACTCATGGTTTATTGCACTTGGGTCAGGTGATTATCATTTAAGCCTGTTTTCTGTGTATGTTTGTGTGAACCACTCTACAGAGTTGATTGAAATCTGAAGCTATTTTTCCACTTCAATTCTTTTGTCCATGAATAGTGCTTCTGTGAGAAAAGAGATCAGTGTTGTTTATTGTTGCTACTTTTGTTTTCTTATAGCTGGAAGCTTTTTCTATCAATACAAATTCCGATTCTTTATGAAAGATCAGAGTTAGTCACATGTAATCTGTATATCCAGGGTTACTCTAAGCGACACCATTTTCAACCTTCTGTAGAAATCACTTTGATTCTAAGCTGTTTCTTCATTTCTTATATTTTGGGCTTGCGTTAGAAATATTTTCCTTTTTCTTTGGGGCTGAATGCCTGATGGAGAAAGTACAGGCGGACAGCCGAAAATTTTTTCCCTCTAAATAAAAGATCACAGAAGGTGCCTGAGGAGATTTAGACCTCAGGAAAACTAAAATGAGCATTTTAATTCACTCTTCTGGGACTATTTTACATTTTTTTGGTTGGAGGGGAGCTTTGTGACCCTCTCCTTTTTAAAGTATTTTGTCAGTGAGTACTAATTTGATTTGTTAGTGCTATACCGATGGCAAAATGTGATTAATAAGTGAGGAAGATAGGAGTTTTGAATCAGGGGACTATGACCATGTCATGTTGGATTTTTAGCACTGAAATATTTATTCAGTTGTAGAAAAAATATTTAGAAAGTAAGTTCTCCTGCCTTTTTGGATTTCATGTGAAAAATGTGAAGGTATGGAACTGCTGTCTCCCCGAAAAGTTTCCTGATTTTTGTGCTCTTGACTGCATCTTTTTCCAGTACCGATAAGTCAGTTTGTGATGCCCTCCCCTTGAAAATAATGATATTGGTTTCACCAGGAAAGTACCATTGTGGGAAATAGCTGATCAGTTAGAATCAGTGCAAATATGTGCAGAACAGTGAGGAAAGAAGAAGGCTCATTGACCTGGGACTCTGGAGACTTATGGTCTATTCCTGGCTGCCTGGAACTAGCTCTTAGGCATCTTTTCATTTTTCTGTACATGGCCCAAGTAGGACAGACACTATTCTGAGAGCCAGGGACCCTAACTTCTCACTTACAACCTTCTACTAATTTACTGCATGTATGAGTCTAAGCAAGGCTTTCTCCTGTCATTTTCTCCTATGTATAACAATAGGGCTACTTCCAAATTATAGACAAATTTGAGTAAGCATTTAGTATCAAGGATTATAAAATTTAAGTGCTCCAAAATGCTCTAAGTATATTTATGTCACTTTCTAAATCACAAAACAAATCCAAACGTGTAAAATGAGGAAGTAGGTGTTGATGATTACTAAGATACTGGATTTTTTTCATTGAATTCCTGAGTTATGAAGAAATTCACAAGAAACAAATGATTACTTGTTTGACAATCTGGAAGGTAAACATGGGCATGTGGGACAACTTGGCAAGTAAAAGACAAAGGATTACAGGTATGTTTCCTGTCTGCTGTGAACTGGCAGGTGCAGGGGAAACTGAAAAGGTGGGGGAAATATAGAGTCTTTTGGAGGCCAAAGCAGGCAGATCACTTGAGGCCAAGTATTCGAGACCGGCCTGGTCAACATGGTGAAACCCCGTCTCTACCAAATATACAAAAATTAGCTGGCTGTGGTGGCACACACCTGTAATCCCAGCTACTCGGGAAGCTGAGGCAGGAGAATCGCTGGAACCCTGGAGGTGGAGATTGTAGTGAGCCAAGATTGTGCCACTGCACTCCAGCCTGGGTGACAGAGCAAGACTCTTGTCTCAAAAAAAAAAAAAAAAAAAAAAAAAAAAAGAGTCTTTTAGAGAGGGCTTATGTGTATTTGGTATTTGTTGCTCTTTCCTATGCAAGGCTTCTTCTCACTGGTTTTATTTTCATTTTTCTCCTTTACTCTTCCATGCCCCTTTACCCCATTTCAATTCTCCTTTTCCACATAGGCACCTACTCTAGAGGAGCCATCATTAAAAAAAGGTGCACCGGTATAAAATATGGCATCTTGTTTTGTGTATTATACTATGGTTCTCGGTTGGCTTCTTAATTTACTCAAAACTATATGTTCGATATCGACTTATATTTTGTGTATAGCTGGTTTGCTTCAGTAATAATTATATTACAAGTATGCATCCATCATATTTTACTGATTCATTTTCCCAGTGGTAGGCGGTCTCACTCCCAGCTATGACAAGCAATACTTTATTGTGTCAAAATGTTTCTGTGGTATATGTTTCAGTTTGGATTGTCTGGTTATAGCATATATAGTAATGTGTATCACTCTCAAGTATGGTTATATTTTTTTTATTGTTAGTGCAAGCACATTTGTGAGAAACATATATGAAAATTATTCTTAACCATCACTTAAATTTTTCCATTCTCATGGGATTTAATTACATTTCTTTTATTAATAGTAAATTTGAGCATCTCTTTTTGTGTTTGTGGGCCATTTGGTTTTCCCCTACTGTGATGTGATGTGTGTGTGTGAGATGATGTAATTTTGGATAACATAGTGATGTAAGTTTGGAAGCCGCCCTCATTCTTAATAGCTACCTTATCTATCTAAAGGAATCAACTGCTAATCCCATCAGTAAATTACTCTTAGTAAAGACAAAGGGTTAGGGCTGGGCACCGTGGCTCATGCCTATAATCCCAGCACTTTGGGAGGCCAAGGTGGGTGGATCACCTGAGGTCAGGAGTTTGAGACCAGCCTGGCCAGCATGGCGAAACCCCATCTCTACTAAAAAAATACAAAAAAAAAATTAGCAGGGCATGGTGGTGTGCAACTATAATCCTAGCTACTCAGGAGGCTGAGGCAGGAGAATCACTTGAACTTGGGAGGCGGAGGTTGAAGTGAGCCAAGATCATGCCATTGCACTCCAGCCTGGGCAACAAGAGTGAAACTCCATCTCAAAAAAAAAAAAAATTTTCAAAGGATTAATAAGATTCCCTCCTCCTCCTATCTCTATTACCAGATAGAGAGTTAAAAGCTTTGTTACCACCAGTTTCTAAAAGCTAAGAAAAGTTTCTGTGCATCTCATTGCAGGCAAGAAGTTTGACCCTATTAATGGAGGCACTAGTCTGATAGAGACTATCCAAGAGAAGTCAGAGTCAGAGACTCTAATTTCTCATATAACCCGCTGTTAACGTATTGAATAAATTTGTTTATGTAAGATTTTCTCTCCTTATGTGTCATATTTAAAATAAATAATAGGAATAAATACTCCGAAGTCACGGGCACATTCAAGTATGTATCTAATATCAAGCACTATAACATTTTCACTTTTCCAGGGCTGGCATGTAAGGATCTTGGAAGATGTCTCCGTCATCCACACAATAAGACAAATAATGCTGAATAAACTGAAAAATTAACAACTCTTAGAGCTCTCAGAGAACTGAAGGGTCACAGGGCAAATTGCCGCCCCCAAAATTGGAGAGACAGGGAAATACAGAGAATTACAATTTTACCAGAGTAGAAACCCAAAAGGAACAACCACTGGGGAAAGCAGTGCTAGAGCAGGGACACCTAAACTATCATTAGTGAATTGCTGGAGGCTCACCGTGGACAAGTTAGAGAGTTCAGAACTCCAGGAAACCTAGTCTTAGGGGGTTGTTCCAATGCTTTTGTGAGTTTTATGTACAGGAGCTCTACCAGGTTCTCATAGTGAATACTGGAGAAAAATCCAATTGTACTTCTGACAAGGGGCACATCCTTAAATATGCCCAAGTGTTCTGTTCTTCTTAAGATCTTCCCTCGAAGCAAACCATTTCACCAAAGCCTAACAGACTGGTCTTTTATCTAAGCCTAAGAGACCATGGGGAAAGGAAGCCCCTTCTGGTTTTGCCTGACCTGTGTTGGGCAGTAAAAGGGGGCACAGAAAAACATCTGTGAAGTTTACAACCCAGAGGCATAGGTTCACTAAAACTGAGACTTACTCACAGGACTGCAGAATGTGTCCCCACCCCTCACAGCTCAGCACTGCATCACTAAAGATCTATTTACTGCAGCTCCTTTTACCCAGTAAATGTCTCGTTTTCAACAAAAAAAAATGACAAGGCATACTAAAAGACAAAAAACACAACTTGAAGAGACAGAGCAAGCATCAGAATCAGACTCAGATATGGCAGGAATGTTGGAATTATTGGAAAGGGAATTATTAATATGCTAAAGGCTCTAATGAAAAAAGTAGACAACAAGCAAGACCAGCTGGGTAATATAAGCAGAAAAATGAAGATTTTAAGAATCAAAAAAGAAATGCTACAAATAAAAACTATTGTAACAGAATTGAAGAATGCCTTTGATAGACTCATTTGTAAAACTCTTAAGTGCCTCTAATGTTATGAGTATACAGTATTCAAATGACACTTTAAATTTTAAAACAAGTCTCAACTTTACAATCTCTGTGAAGCACGTTGCTTTTTACGTGATACATTCTGGTGCTGCTTATTTCATTCTTGACTTTGAAATGTTCACGGAAGGGAAAAGGGGAGTTTTTGAAGAAATAGTATGGGAATCAGAACATTATGCAGTGCCTTCAAAGGTACGATGTACAACTACACATTCATTCTGGGTGAATAAATTTTCATTTAGAAATTATTTAGTGAAAATTATTTTTGTCTTAATGAAGTTGAATTCAAATTGTGGCATAAAAGATTCTGACATCAGCTTTAAAATTTGGATACTTAAAATTTGGGAGGTGTGAAGATGAAAATTAGAAAAAATGTTATGAAATGCTAAGATATTTTATTTAAGATTTACAGCACTTTTTTGGTCAGTATATTCTATCAATACTTTTTTCCCCCAGAGAAATCTTGCATCTCATGTTTTGTGATGCTATATAAGTTGTTGCTTGTTTTTAACTGACAATAGCCATCAACTATGTTTGGCTTATGCAAAAGACTGCAAATTAGGCTGGGCATGGTGGCTCATGCCTGTAACCCCAGCACTTTGGGAGGCCGAGGAGGGCAGATCGCTTGAGGTCAGGAGTTCGAGACCAGCCTGGCCAACATGGCAAAACCCTGTCTCTACTAATAATACAAAAATTAGCTGGGCATGGAGGTGCGTGCCTGTAGTCCTAGCTACTCTGGAGGCCGAGGTATGAGAATCGCTTAAACCAGGGACGCGGAGGTTTCAGTGAGCCAAGATCATGCCACTCTACTCCAGCCTGGGTGACAGAGTGAGACCCTGTCTCAAAAAAAGAGTGCAAATTAAAAATAAAAAGAAATAGGAACAGTCAAAAGAAATATGTTAGGAGCATTTTATAATATGTAAGGATAGCGGCAAAGCACATTCTTAAGATGGATACTGCTTTTGTTTTATTATTTTTTCATGGGATCATCAAAAACATACTTTTCTGCAACTTTTGCTTTTGTCAATGACATATTACCAGCATCTTTCCAAGTCATTGCAAACACATTTGTCTTATTCTTTGCCTGTTTTATAAATATAAAATAATTTGTTAAAACATTGCCTATTTATGCCATTGCCTACGTATTTGCTTTTAAGTAGAGTGCTTCAGTAGTCATAATTACATAATGTATCTTTAAGTAGTCATGCTAGTGTTTCTGTAGGGTAAATTGTTAAAATTATAGAGATTACAAAGTCATGGATTGTGGTTATTTAACATGTCGATAGTGACTGTCAAATTCCCTCCAGAAAGGATGCTCTAGCCTCCTTTCCTCTGAGAGGAAAATGCCTGTTTGTCACACATTCACCACAACTCAACATCATCAATCTTTGTATTTTTTCTCAATCCAGTACCCTTCAATTGGTATCTGTAGGATTCTGGCTCAAGATGACAGACTGATCACATATATCTGACTCTTCTTTCTATTAACATTACAGATTTTTTTTTTTTAAAGAATGGAACTATAATAGCACTGAGCAAGAACATTCCTTAAACTATCAATGGCCAGAAGTTTTGAAGAATATGTGGAAGACAGAAAGCATCAGTTCAATCAATGGACTCATGGAGAAAGCTCAGTAGGAAATCAAAATTCAGAGCAGCTTCAAGTCTGGGGGTCAATAGAGAGCTAGAATGAGCCACAGAGAAATCATCAAAGTTACTCATTTTATAGAACTGTGTTTCCAATAACATGGACATTTGGTTGCCCCTCTGGGCCTTTATTAATTAGAACAGTTTCAAGGAATAGGCTTTTGCTCTTGAGCTAAGATTGAAGAACTGCTTCCTAAAGAAAACAATTTGTCTGGGGGTAGCTCTCAGTGAGAATATAGGAGTCTATAGTGAAGCAGGGTGGTGTATGTAGGAAATCCTGATCTCCACAACAGATATAGTCAGGTAAACTGAAGAAAAGGTAAGTGCCTGGGAAGGAAATAGAGCAAAGGATTCCATTCCTATGGTAATTGTGTCTGTCCTCAGTCTCTTTGCATGCCTCATGTCCCGGCAAACTCCAGGATGGGCACCTATTGACATCTCAAGTACACCATTGTCCCACCTAGAGCCTGCAGTCAGCCCTTTCATTTCAAGGGAGAGATGCCTGTGCAAGCAAACATATATAGCTTTAAAGTAAGTCCATGTTACAAAGGTTTCATTTGATGAAAACACCGAGGAAAATCTTGAAAGAATGAAAATAAACAGAACAACTAATCTAAAGTAAATAGAAATAGTTTTAATAATGGAAAAACTTTAATGTTCTCAGAGTAAATAGCTTTCATCCTGAAAATAGCAAGAGTTTATGAAAATAGGAAAAACAGATTGCTGACATTAAAAAAATCAATGGATGGCATAAATAATCTAATGGGACTGAAGACCATGTTGCTGTTCTTAAAGATAGCATCAAGGAAACCTTTGATAATGCACAGCAAAATGAATCAGAAAATAAGGAAATAATACGAAGATGGGAACAGAGGTCTAGTCATCTAATGTGACTCTAATGGGAACTCCACAGAACAAGAAAAAGAAAGAATAGAAAAAAGGACATAGCCCAAAAATAATAGAAGAGTTTTTTTTAAGCAAAAGAAATATAACTCTTCAGACTGAAAGATTCCAGTAAGTACCAAGCAGAAAGAAGGAAAAGAAAGCCTACTGCTAACTTAGTGTTCAGCTTTTGGTAATTAACCACTCCTCTACCATATATTAGAACTGGCTGGTTAATGCTACTTAGGGATCAGTGTGGAAGCTGGGAGAGATTGGTTCTTAACCTTTCTGAGATATCTAGCATGTAAGGACTCAGTGATCATGAAACGAAAAAGGGGCCATTTTTGTCCCGTAAGGAGAGTATCAGCCTGAGAAAGAATCCACCACATAGAAGACCAGGTCTGAGAGATAGAAAGAAAGAGGCACAGGTCTAATAACATTGAAATTATCAGTCTGGCCATATCTGATTTTAGTACTACTGCATGATTCATATTAGGGACGAAAGAGTTTGAGATGCGTTTCTGCATGAAAGTTGTGAGAATACATTTAATGTACTAGAGGAATTCTGGCACTCTGAGGATAAAGAGAAGATCCTAAAAGCTTCCAAAGAGAAGAAACAAATTACTTACCAAGAAATAAGACTTGGAATGACATTCTACCTTTTGTCAGCAACACTGAATAGCCAACAAAAAAGTAGTGTTTTCTTTTTTCTTTTCTTTTTTTTTTTCTTCTGAGACGGAATCTCACTCTGTTACCTGGGCTGGAGTGCAGTGGTGGGATCTTGGCTCACCGCAACCTCCAGCGGGTTCAAGCAGTTCTCCTGCCTCAGTCTCCCAAGTAGCTGGGATCATAGGCACCTGCCACCATGCCTGGCTAAATTTAATTTTTTTTTTGTATTTTTAGTAGAGACAGTGTTGCACCATGTTGACCAGAGTATTTTCAGAATATGGGAGGGTGGGGAAAGGTTTGAAGCTGGCATTCTATACTTGTAACATTACCAATCAGGCATGAAGGCCACTGAAGATATTTTTGGGTGTGCAATAATTCAGGAAGTTTATGAAAAGATTGTAATAGGAGGTATTTCAGCAATATGGTGAAAGAGTAAGACTTAGGAGAACTAAAGGAAGCTAGAAAGAAGGTAAGAGGTTAATTTGTGTGGGGGCCTGAAAATGTCTCCTCCAATGAGAAGTGATTTAGGACAACAGATTCCTTGTGTATTACTCTTCTTGGTTCTAAAGTGAATAATAGCTACACGTTTATAAAAATCATAAACATTCTTAATTGGTTTTCCATTTTTAGAATTAACCTATATGGACAAAGCACAGAAGACTGACTTAACAATCTAAAGGCAAAATGTATATGCTTTAAAGTGCAGTGATTGCAAATGGGGGCAAAATGATTTGCTTTAAACAACTATGAAATAAATGTAACTTCTCTGAGCAAAATCTTGTGGAACTGGTGTCTGTCTGAATAGAGGAATGACCATAAGTCTGCATTAGAGGCAGGGCAAAGGGAGAATGGAGACACATCAGTTGGGAACGTTGTTGTATCTGACCTGAGACAGGCTCCGCAGAAAAGGGGCTGAGGTATGATAAGTCTAAGAGGGTCAGACCAGCGGTTGTGCTCCTGGTTGGGACCAGTGTTTGCTCTCTAGGAAAGCATTCAGACCATTAGATTATTACCCCTTTCCCTAGGACCCTTTGTTACCTAAAATTGAATATGTAATTTTTTTGTTGATGTGGTTTTGGTTAGAAGGCGTAAAATGTACTCACTTTTCTGAGAAAGAGGATTACACGTGATAAAATGATGCCTTGTGTCTTAAATATTTAAAAAGAGAAGGGGGGAGAAAGCTGAAATGTTCTGATTTCACTTTCCCCACTTGAAATTGGTGTGAAAGGGCTTAGCCTCTTTTCAGAGAAATAAGAGTCTCACGCTCAAAGTGCATAAACACAGAAAAGAGAAATAAAACGTGTTAATTGGTGATTAAAGGAGAAAAGTTCAATATTTTTTGACTGTATGGCAAAAGCTTATATTCTCAAGAATAAACATTTCTAATGAGATCCAAAGACCACAGGGCAAAAGAAAATGGGGTAGCAAAGGCTTTTTAATAATCTAAAATAGCTAGGGAGAAACAAAGACAGTTTTAAGGCTTTAGTGAAAGTTATTTGCTATTGTGTTGGAAAAAAGGACCCAATGTTTAGACTGAATTTTTTATTTTTCAACCACTTGAGTTGGTATGATTTTTCGAAATCATTCTTTCTCCTTTTCTACTGTTAACATGTAGCTATAATTTGGTTTCTCTGACTTGGGATATTTTAAGGCAAAGGAGATATGAAAGCTTGAGGATATGGAATGGACTTTATCACAGGCTAGGGTTAGGCAAAAAAGAAGAAATGAAGTCATTTTTAAGGGAGCAACTGGAGAAGAACCCAGAGCTGTGCTACTGAAAGTGGACACTCAGTGGTCACTAAATGTCATCAAGGGATAACTTTATGAAGCATGCATATGTGATGGAAGCATTATCAATTAAAGTAGTATAGAAGAAAAACACAGTATTTAGAAATTGATACATATTTTTTAAAAAAGAGAATGATCCAAGAAACATACTTCTAGAAATGAGTTCATTAAAAATAAAAAAAGTTATGTAAAAGGACATGGGAAGAAAAATGTGACAATAGAAAAGCCTTGTGTGGCTCTTATCTGTATGTGTTAGCAGTGCTAGAATAATAATGGTGAAGGTACCAGTAAGAGAAAACATTCTAGAGATTTATAAGTAATACCTTTTAAAATAGTTATTGGACACCTTTGTTAGTGTATGACAACCCAAATGAACAATCATACCAATAGACATAATTTATACAAAAAGACGTGGAGTCTATTGAGAGAAGCAGGCCATACCCAAAATAATAGCTAATATTTACAGAGTTCCTACTCTGTGCCAGGCACTATGTGAAATGCTTTTGATGTATGGTCTCATTTAATTCTCATTGCAGTTTTTTGAGGTACCAGCCTTGTACAGATGAAGCTTCAAGAGATTGAACAATTTTGTAAGATCTCACCAATAAGTAGCAGTCTTAGGTTTTGAATTCAGATCCTCTGAGTTTGTAGCCATGTTCTGAACCACTCTGTTACTATAAGGGTGTTACTGCTGCTGCTATTAAAGTGATATAAGTACTATTTTCATAGAAGGAACAGAAATTTCACTGATACAAGGAGTAACTTTTTACCTCAAGGGCCTACGTTTATTTTCACCTCAGCTTCAAATAAACAATAAATAAAAATCAAAATGACAAATGATGGCTGCAATTTCTGAGTACTTCGTACATGCTGGGTAATGTATTTGACATGTATCATCTCATGTAATTATGCTATGAACTCTGGGAGGCATTAAGTCAAATGATTAAGGAGGCAAGTCAGAGTCATACAGCCTGGGTTCAAATACCATCTCTTGGCATTACTAGCTGGCTGCCTTCAGCAAGTGGTATTTTCACTGAACTTCGAGATCCCCACCTGTAAGTGGCAATAGTAATACCACCTTCATCATGAAGTGGTGAGGCTTAAATTGCTAATCAGAATAATGTCTGGAACATAGTAATTGCTCAACTGTTAGTTTTTTTTTTTTTTTTTAATATTCTAATCTAGGTGAGAAAATGGAGACTCAGAAGTTAAATAACCTGCCCAAGGTCAATAGTTCTTATATAACAAAGATGGGATTCTGATCTTTCTACGCCACGAACCTCAGTCTTTGCTCTTGAGCCCTCTGTTGTACTACCCTCCTAGGATCTGACTTCACAACTCTGTTTTCTAAGTATCATTCAGGGTGCTTTTCCTCCTAATTTAATCTATGAATAGGTTGCCTGTTGAGCATAGATATGTCAAGGTTAAGGCAATGAATAAATTAGGAAATTGACACAGTTGCAGATGACCCATTTTTTAAAGATTGAATTTAAAAGCACTTTCTCTTCAAAAGAAACTGGATTAAGTAGAACTACCCGGTTTAACTAAAACATAGAACATCTATTTGAAGAAACATTTAGAATATTTTATTTCCAATGGTGGCTTGTTCATAAATGCATAATGTTAAAAAAGGAAGCAGAGCTTTTAGTTTCAGACTTTGAAGTTTTTTTAAAAAGAAGCACAATAGGCTGTATAATCCGTATCCAAAGTGCAGGGTAGCATGAAGAAGTACAAATAAAGCATGTCTCAAATGGTTATATTCAGGGGAATCTTGTTGTAAGGTAGTATTAAGAGGTGGTGTAATGAGCTCTTTATAAGTTAACTATATGACCTTAGGCTTTTATCTTCTGTAGGTTTTTTTCTTTTAAAAATATTTTAGGAAACCATGATATATCAGAGACCATGCATTGTGTAATGCTGTGCATTTAACTAAAAGGAAAAAGGTCAAACTTGGCCTATGGCAACATCCGGAATATCCTGCCCCAAACCTGCTGGGGATCTCATCACAGAAAGACATTAATTTTGTGAATTTGTCACATTCAGGACCCAATCTCACTAAGCTCACGCACTGCTAGTGGTTTCTTCTCTCAGTTGTGGACTCAGAAACTTTTTACCCTAATGTATAAAACAAGCAAACCAATTGACGAAGGTACAGTGAATCCCAAGACACATGTCACAGCTAACCCATAATCTCCCTGTAGGCACAGACAACAAATTATAGGCAGCTGGTTGCTTAGCGAGGCTATAACCAGCTGAGGTGAGTGAGTTACATGATTTAAGTATTTAATGGCATGAGGATAAGATGGTTGCCCTGCCGCTAGGACCAGATTCTCTAAACTATACTTGGATCGGCACTGCCAACTATGTCTCCTCTGTGTAACCCTGGGCAAGTTCCTTGTCTCACTGTGTCTCAAGTTCCCTACCTGTAAAAAATGTGTGAGTAAATGTTTGACAAAATGCTTGGCCATGATATTCCATTATCATCTTCGCTATACAGACTTCAACTGCCAACAGTCTCCTTTCTTCATACAGAGGCCATTGTATCTCTCTAAAGTGACTTTGCACATCTCTGATTTTTAAAGTTTAGTTCATAGAGGAAAACATTTTTTTCTGACTTCCAAGTTCTCGTAGGTTCCAAATAAAGAAAGCAACGATAATGGTTTTTTTTGTTTGTTTGTTTTTTGCTTTTTTTTTAGAGGGTATCGATGTAGCCAAGTTAAAAGTGGTTGGGCTCTTTCAGTGTTGATAAAACACAGGGTATCCTGCCAAAAGTCTGTAGAAAGGAGACCTGTCTATGTAAACTATCTATTTGTAACTTCTAAAAGACTATCCTCTGGTATTGTAGCTTTTCTTTCTTTCTTTTCCTTAAATATTTGTATCAGGATAAAAAGCATGGCCTTTCCTCAAATTTTTCATGAATATGTTTCACTTTCCAATAGAACAGAGCATGAGCATGAGCTTGCTGTTTTCCTCCTGATTTTAAAGACTGTGCTTGCAGGGAACAAAGAGTAGAGAACAAGTGGGCCTTTATGTTGCAAAGACAGTTGATAATTGACACCTGCTTCCAAGCAATTACTGCCTGTGCAATATTTAATTCAGCTGTTTTTTGGCTTTGGCTTTTTATGAGAAAACAATTTTAGCATAACACTGTAAATCTCTTTTCTCTCTTGGCCTCAGACTGTGTATTTAGAAACTAATATCCCCTGTTTGGGGTCAGATATTTGCTGGGGTAGTGCATTGTCTCAGTCTCTTTCTGCTGCTATAACTGACTACCACAAACTGGGAAATTTACAAACAATACAAGTTTATTCACCTACAGTTATGGGGGCTGGGAAGCTCAAGAGCATGGAGCCAACATATGGTAAGAGCCTTCATGCTGCCTCCTCCCATGGCAGAAGGACAGAAGGGGAAGAGAGTACACATGAGAGTCACTAGCAAGAAGAGGCCAAACTTGCTTTTATAACAAGTCCACTCAGTTGATAACTCACCCACTCCCACAATGATGACATTAATCCATTAATGAGGGCCCAGCCCTCATGACCTAATCACCTCTTATTAGGCCCTATCCCTCCAATACTGTTGCATAGGGAATTAAGTTTCCAATATGGGAACTTGCGGGGAAACATTCAAACCATAGCATGCCTGATCTAATTTCTTTTAGAAAAAAGTCAGCTGTTACCTATGGAAATGTGGAGTTGGACTCATTAATTTAGTATTTTATTTTGAACATTTGGCAGCCATTTACTTGTTTTCATTCAAATCAAAGAGTTAGAGTTCCAAAGTAAATCATTTTCATGTTACGAGTCTTGACTTCACAGTGTTTCCTCTTGATGTTTCTGTGAAATGTGTTATCCTGGATTAGTACAAAATCAGGCCCCAATGCTTCAGTATTAAATATCACACAGCTGTATTAACTTTTTATGAGATGAAACTGAGCTGCAAAACATTATGTGTGGATTTTGGAGGGGATTGTTTCTGACTGGTGAGTTATGATGGCTGGGTTTTTATCTATAGTACTAGAGTTGGGCTGATCAGATTAATGCATTTTAGGCATATAAACCTGAATTATAAAGAAGAGAAATATGTTCTCATTGCAAGCAATTCTTTATAAGTAATGATGTCATGGTATGAGCTTTTTAAGCTACTAAAATATAGTCCGGATGATTGGGAAAGGCTTATATTTCTCGATTCCCTGGGATCCTAATGTGCATATCTCTAAAAGGAAGCAGAATATAATGGCCTTGCAAGGGCTGTCTGTAGTTGATGGGACACCCAGTGCCATCAAATCATGGGCTGCACTGAATGTGATTAGGAGCTGTCACAATACATTTAGCCCTCATCGGTTAGAGAGAGAATCGGGGCCAAAGGTCATTTTCTACAGCAAAGTGGGCATTTAGTGCTTTTATTTGCACTAATGGTAAATGATAGTTAATGAAAATCATTTATAAACCTTGTCCAAACCAGTGTTTCTCTACTGAAAACAGCGGCTGGCTGCCTCTGGAAAGGACTGTAATTGCAATATGGTTGACGCCATGTGATAGTAATTGGGCTTATAGCTTAATGAAGTCTGTGTCCAGTAACTCATTTCCACATAGTGGGAAAACAAGCCAAGGTAACAGCCCTCCCTGATGAGAACTTATATTACTGCTTCACCTAGTTGACTTTTGTCACTTTGCACTTTGAAGTGAAATATTACCACCTTTGAAATGTGGTGCCCAGTCTGAGGCCTCATACTTTTGAATCATGGTCGACACATACTCTAATAATGATTAATAGCCTTTCCAAGTATTCTAGTTGTTTTAAAGGTCATTTAATCTTTATGTAGCAGCTTAATTGAAAGTTTTTATCCTTCTTATACACCTGGCATTCATTTAGAGGGAAAGAAATATAATTACAGCAAGTGGATGAGAAATAATTTATTAGGCATTTCTTTTCTTTCCTCAGATTTTCATCTTACTCATAAAAATTTTCATTCATTATATTTCTTTCCCAATAGTTGGGTAAAGTTTCTTCTGGTGAAATTTAATGATGGTAGCTTCTTGAGTCAATTCTATTTCATCAATCAACTATTGGGAAACGGTGCCAGGCTACTCACTCATACTTTCTTTTAAATCATGGATATCTGAGGGAGAGAACCACCTGCTTGAAGGACTAGTACGGCCAGATCTTCCTATCCACAGGTTCCACATCTGCAGATTCAACCAACTGCAAATCAGAAATATTAGACAAATATACAAAATAAAAATACAAATAGGAACAATGCACTATAACAACAATTTACATAGCATTTACATTGCATTGGGTATTGTAAATAATCTAAATCTGACTTAAAGTTTATGGGAGGATGTGCATAGTTTATGGGCAAATAGTATGACTTTTTATATAAGGGACTGAGCATCTGCAGATTTTGATACCTGTGAAGGGTCCTGGAACCAATTCCCTGTGGATATTGGGGGACGACTGTATGACGATGAGAATGTTTCTGAAGACTTTCAACAGTCTGAAGATGTATAAATCATCGAGGATGATTTATACAGAACAGCTAATAATAACAACCATTTATTGAGATTTACTATTTGCTGAACACTGGACAGGGCCTTTGATGTGCCCGATCTCATTTAATCTTTCTAGTACCTTTATGAGGCCCATAGGGTCTCCCCATTTTACAGATGAGGAAAATGAGAAAGAGAGGTAGGTATCATGCTCAAAGGAGGCAGCTAATAAGCAGGGCTGCACCTAGCCAGTGTGGCACTGTGTGCAAATTAGAGAAAGGCTCTCACTCCAGTGATGGCTTGGCTGGCAGTGCACAGTAAGGCTTTTGACCCCTGCTTGCACCTGCTGCCAGGTACCCGTGTATATTGCACAATCCATACAACTTATGTGGCGGCCCAGTTGGTGAGTGACAGATCCTGAGTTAAAGCCATAGCAGTAGACCATTGCTGTTCAATGGAAATGGAAATGTAATTTAAAATTTTCTAGTAGCCACATTTAAAAACGTAAAAAGAAGGAGGCAACGGTATTTTTAAGAATACGTTTTATTTAACCTAATATGTCAAAAACATTGTTTCAACATGTAATCAGTATCAAAATGGTACATTCTTTTTATTTTTAGTGAACTAGTCCTTGAAATCCAGTGGGCATGTTACATGTATAATACTCTCAGTTTGGACTAGTTACATTTCAAGTGCTCAACAGCCACACATGGCTAGTGGCTTAGACAGAGACAGTGCAGTTCTAGAGCTCCAAGTCTTAACATCTTCCCCTGCACTCATATTTTTCCAAAAAAAATAAAAAGCTGAATTCAATCAAAGCATCCTCAAAAAAAAAAACTTATTAAAAAAAGGAAGGCAGATCAGAAATTCCAAACCTCTGCCTGTTACCAGTATACTCAAGAAAGCTTGTTTTTGCATACGAAAAGTATATTTGCACTATTATTAATATGTTACATATTATATTAATATAGTTACATGTTGAGTATATGGAGTCTGAGTATCTATTAATGGATTTTCAAAATTCCGTGGATCTTTTAGGTGCTGTCTTTTTGCCATTCCTTTTGTCTTTTGCATTTTAGTGAGAAGGTGGGCAAAGAATTCAAGAAGAAATAAGACCGAAACCAAAGAACTTTTGAATTTGTCAGCATTACTCTGGTAAGAGTAATGCAGTCCAGAAGCTTAAAGACATTTTTGGATGACTGGTTCAAAGATATTAGATGATGTTTATTCTCTGAAGAGTTAGACAACGTTACCAGATGCACAAAAGTGCAGGCTGAGTGAACCCAGCTTTTCAACTTGCAGTGGCTGCTAGCAAGATTTAGTGAGTTAATTTTAATTTATGGAATTTTTTTCTTCCATCTACTTTATTCTTTTTGGTAATAGAGTATGAATCAGGCTGAATGTCATCAGTCTGTGACTAGTAATATCTTTTTGGAAAATGCTCAGGATTCTTTTGAAACTCTCTGGAAAGTGGTGACATCACTTGAAAGGGTTTATAGAGCTTTAATTACTAATTGATTACTACAATTACAGTCTGGGGAAATTGCCATACAATGGAGAGTGGTACTTGGGTGGCATGGCCTCGTTTCCTTGAAGCAAGGACAGCAGTGAATAGTGTAGCATTTTGGGAAGAAGACAGGCATTACAATCTTAGGTTTGCTATGACCTCTTTTAATTTTCTTATTAGAAACATGGGAGAATGATCCCTATTACGATTGTCATGAGGAACTAATGAGAATTTATGGAAAGCATCAAGCTCTGTGCCAGCAGAAAGAAGACAATTCATAAATTGCAGCCTTCATCCTTTCTAATAAAACTTATTATCATAACTTTTTGAGCTGGTTATATATTTTTTCCCATCAAAACAAAATTATTAACAATTATGGTTTATTGTTAACAAAACCTATCATCCAGCACTCAGGATCATGATCCTACCACATAGCTTATGCTACTAAAAACACAACAGTATCATTCTCAGAAAAAAGAATGAATTGAGACATTGTCAAAATAAGTTCAAATAAAGATGATATGAATTATATAGGATTATACTGGACAAAAATAATTTTTTGGCTCTCATAGGAGTGGAAAGATTTCCAAAAAGCTAAAGAAATGTGTATATTTTTTCTACAAAAAAGTGCTAAAAGCAATTATAATCTGTTTTTTTCTTTCTTATTTCTTTTTTCTTTTCTTTTTGCCCTTTGTCCTCCCTTCCTTCCTTTGAGGAAATGGGTTAAGTTGCTGAAAGTTTAGGCTTGAAGTTTTGTGTGTGGAGCAGGGAGCCTTGTGACTAAAATGTTTTAACTCACAGATCAAGGTGATGTATGTGGGTTATGGCCGTGGGGATATTTTTATTCCAGAACTGTTATTATTTTGAGTTACCAAGGTCTGGATAATTGTGTAAAATGCAAATGCTCCCAATCCTAATTTGTATCTGTGATTGAGCTGTGTTGTCCAACTCTTTGGATTGGCCACCAAATACCCTTAAATAATGATTACATATTAGAGTAAGAGCCAAAGAAAACAGCACCTAGGTATAGTTGAACACTTCACTTAAGTATCACTTAAGAACCTTTGGTGTAAGCAACAGATCCCAATTCTGTGCAAGTCAAGAAATAAGAGAGTTTAGAGAAGGGCTGCTGAACAGATAAGATGCCAGAATACCTGGATGATCCATGGCAATAGATTAGGAACAGGCGACTCTTGGCGTTCAGCAATAGGATCTACCTAATTGTTTCATCATTTATCATCTTATGCCACTTTTCTAAAGATTAGAAGTTACAGTAAAGCGCCCAGTGACTGAAGCTTGGATTACTTGACTGCCCCCTTGGATGGGCCGGGGTATAACTGGCTTTATAATGCCACCAAGACTGAATATTGCATGTGGATGCTGAGTAGCCAAGCTAGTCAATCGATAAATGTCTACCACAGATACAATTTTCACTCAGGAGCAACTTCTATTAACAACTGCTTCCATTTACACTAATTTTCATTTAAGTCTCAATAATCCTAATGCTTTAATTCTTCTTGCTTCCTTTCATGGGGTCTGAAGTCCTTCTGTGGCTTAGTCACTGCTGAGTCTCTGGTGCCTTGGTATTCCACACTTTGCCACAAACTCAGCAGCTGTTGAAAATTTCTCAGTGGAATGCTGCATTTTTCTTTCCAGTTTTCCTGATCTCCATCTCGTTTGCCAAAAAACCAAGAGAGACAAGAAAAAAAAATTATATTATGGCTTAAGAAAACAAAACACAGCTCATCATGGTCTTTATATACTAAGCTTCTCTTAATGATTTGTAGTAGTATCTTAGTTTCATCTCTCTTTTCTTATTTTCTGCACTTGAAAACTACCTTTAAAACACACACACACACACACGCACGCACATACTCATACACAATGACATTATTATATAACTGTCGTGGAGTTTAGCTTTTATTTTTTTCCTCCAGCAATGAAACCTGATGAGTACCATTGTAAGTTAATGCCCATAGATCTTGTCAAACATGATTGTGTGGTTGATGGATACAGTGAAGAGGTCTGCCTGGTGTTTCCCACACATCTCTTTGAGGTGCTACAAAGATAATGTTGACATTTTAATATAGTGTCAATACATATTATAATTCAGAGAACATTTTGCATAATGTTAGGCACCTAATAGGAGGTCAGTAAATTCATGTTATTGATTGATTGATGCAGCACCTGTACAGCATAATTACTTATCCTTCAAGACAATTATTAGGATCTGGCTGGTAATGGAAGCTATGAAATACCATAGTTTTGTTAGAGCTGATTTCTTTTCTTCTGGAAAATGGTTGTCATTTTTGAACTGTTTTAGCCATAGCTGTTGGTTTAGGAGATTCCCATAGTGAGACTATGAAGTGAACTGTGGAATACACAATTTGTGTTACTGCATCATGTCTAAACAGTTATATGAGGGAAATAAGCCAAACCCTACACTGCTATAGGAATTCTTGCATATGTCCTCAAACTTTCTCAATAATTTGTAGATTATGCCTGTGGTTTTGCAGTCCATCATTCATCTTTCCTTATAATTTTTAACAGGTAACTCCTATTCTAGCATTTAGACATGTGAATGTGTGATACCACAGCCCTAGAAATGGGGATCTGGTAGATTTAAGCTAAGAAAATTGAAACTATTGGTAAAGAGGAGTGGATTATTAAAAACCAAATTTCATAGAGATTCTTGTAATGCCCTAACCACAGTTGAATCCGGTAGCACTCTTTCACCAATTCAAGATAAATAAAATGTATTGGCTCACATAAGTCAGACATTCTGGGGTACGACTGATTTTAAGGCTCAGTTGTCTTCAGGGCTCAGATTTAGTTCCTCTTTATCTCTTGGCTTCATTGTCTGTGTATTTGCTCCATTTTTTTTTTGTTATTATACTTTAAGTTCTAGGTTACATGTGCACAACATGCAGGTTTGTTACATAGGTATACATGTGCCATGTTGGTTTGCTGCACCCATCAACTCGTCATTTACATTAGGTATTTCTCCTAATTCTATCCCTCCCTGAGCCCCTAACCCCCTGACAGGCCCCGGTGTGTGATGTTCCCCACCCTGTGTCCAAGTGTTCTCATTGTTCAGTTCCCGCCAATGAGTAAGAACATGTGGTGTTTGGTTTTCTGTCCTTGTGATGGTTTGCTGAGAATGATGGTTTCCAGCTTCGTATATGTCCCGACATGAACTCATCCTTTTTTACAGCTGCATAGTATTCCAGGGTGTACATGTGCCACATTTTCTTAATCCAGTCTACCATTGATGGACATTTGGGTTGGTTCCAAGTCTTTTCTATTGTGAATAGTGCTGCAAAAACATACGTGTGCATGTGTCTTTAATGTAGCATGATTTATAATCTTTTGGGTATATACCCAGTAATGGGATGGCTGGGTCAAATGGTATTTCTAGTTCTAGATCACTGAGGAATGGCCACACTGTCTTCCACAATGGTTGAACTAATTTACACTCCCACCAACAGTGTAAAAGCGTTCCTGTTTCTCCACATCCTCTCCAGCATCTGTTGTTTCCTGACTTTTTAATGATCGCCATTCTAACTGGTGTGAGATGGTATCTCATTGTGGTTTTGATTTGCATTTCTCTGATGACCAGTGATGATGAGCATTTTTTCACGTGTCTGTTGGCTGCATAAATGTCTTCTTTTGAGAAGTGTCTGTTCATATCCTTTGACTACTTTTTGATGTGGTTGTTTGTTTTTTTCTTGTAAATTTGTTTAAGTTCTTTGTAGATTCTGGATATTAGCCTTTGTCAGATGAGTAGATTGCAAAAATTTTCTCCCATTCTGTAGGTTGCCTGTTCACTCTGATGGTAGTTTCTTTTGCTGTGCAGAAGGTCTTTAATTTAATTAGATCCCATTTGTCAATTTTGGCTTTTGTTGCCATTGCTTTTGGTGTTTTAGTCATGAAGTCCTTGCCCATGCCTATGTCCTGAATGGTATTGCCTAGGTTTTCTTCTAGGGTTTTTATGGTTTCAGGTCTAACATGTAAGTCTTTAACCCATCTTGAATTAATTTTTGTATAAGGTGTAAGGAAGGGATCCAGTTTCAGCTTTCTACATATGGCTAGCCAGTTTTCCCAGCACCATTTATTAAATAGGGAATCCTTTCCCCATTGCTTGTTTTTGTCAGGTTTGTCAAAGATCAGGTGGTTGTAGATGTGTGGTGTTTCTGAGGCCTCTGTTCTCTTTCATTGGTCTATATATCTGTTTTGGTAGCAGTACCATGGTGTTTTGGTTACTGTAGGTTGTATATAGTTTGAAGTGAGGTGGTGTGATGCCTCCAGCTTTGTTCTTTTTGCTTAGGACATTGCTTGTCTTGGCAATGTGGGCTCTTTTTTAAAAAAAGACATAGACTGGCAAATTGGATAAAGAGTCAAGACCCATCCGTGTGCTGTATTCAGGAGACCAATCTCATGTGCAGAGACACACATAGGCTCAAAATAGAGGGATGGAGGAAGCTCTACCAAACAAATGGAAAATGAAAAAAAAAGCAGAGGTTGCAATCCTAGTCTCTGATAAAACACTTTAAACCAACAAAGATCGAAAAAGACAAAGAAGGCCATTACATAATGTTAAAGGGATAAATTCAACAAGAAGAGCTAACTATCCTAAATATATATGCACCCAATACAGGAGCACCCACATTCATAAAGCAGGTCCTTAGAGACCTACAAAAAGACTTAGACTCCCACACAATAGTAATGGGAGACTTTAACACCCCACTGTCAGTATTAGACAGATCAATGAGACAGAAGGTTAACAAGGATATCCAGGACTTGAATTCAGCTCTGCACCAACAGGACCTAATAGACATCTGCAGAACTCTCCATCCCAAATCAACAGAATATACATTCTTCTCAGCACCACATCACACTTATTCTAAAATTGACCACATAATTGGAAGTAAAGCACTCCTCAGCAAATGTAAAAGAACAGAAAGCACAACAAACTGTCTCTCAGACCACAGTGCAATCAAACTAGACTCAGGATTAAAAAACTCACTCAGAACTACCCAAATATATGGAAACTGAACAACCTGCTACTGAATGACTACTGGGTAAATAATAAAATGAAGGCAGAAATAAAGATGTTCTTTGAAACCAGTGAGAACAAGGACACAATGTACCAGAATCTCTGGGACACATTTAAAGCAGTGGGTAGAGGGAAATTTATAGCACTAAATGCCCACAAGAGAAATCAGGAAAGATCTAAAGTCAACATCCTAACATCACAATTAAAAGATCTAGAGAAGCAAGAGCAAATACATTCAAAACTAGCAGAAGGCAAAAAATAACTAAGATCAGAGCAGAATTAAAGGAGATAGAGACATAAAAAAACCCTTCAAAAAATCAATGAATCCAGGAGCTGATTTTTTGAAAAGATGAACAAAATTGATAGACTGCTAGCAAGACTAATAAAGAAGAAAAGAGAGAAGAATCAAATAGATGCAATAAAAAATGATAAAGGGGATATCACCACTGATTCCGCAGAAATACAAACTACCATCAGAGAATACTATAATCACCTCTACGCAAATAAACTAGAAAATCTAGAAGAAATGGATAAATTCCTGGACACACACACCCTCCCAAAACTAAACCAGGAAGAAGTTGAATCTCTGAATAGACCAATAGCAGGCTCTGAAATTGAGGCAATAATTAACCTACCAATCAAAAAAAGTCCAGGACCAGACAGATTCACAGCCGAATTCTACCAGAGGTACAAAAAGGAGCTGGTACCATTCCTTCTGAAACTACTCCAATCAATAGAAAAAGAGGGAATCCTCCCTTACTCATTTTATGAGGCCAGCATCATCCTGATACCAAAGCCTGGCAGAGACACAACAAAAAAAGAGAAATTTAGACCAATATCCCTGATGAACATCGATGCGAAATCCTCAATAAACTACTGGCAAACCGAATCCAGCAGCACATCAAAAACCTTATCCACCATGATCAAGTGGGCTTCATCCCTGGGATGCAAGGCCAATTCAACATACACAAATCGATAATTGTAATCCATCACATAAACAGAACCGACGACAAAAACCACATGATTATCTCAATAGATGCAGAAAAGGCCTTTGACAAAATTCAACAGCCCTTTGTGCTAAAAACTCTCAATAAACTAGGTATTGATGGAACATATCTCAAAATAATAAGAGGTATTTATGACAAACCCACAGCCAATATCATACTGAATGGGCAAAAACTGGAAGCATTCCCTTTGAAAACTGGCACAAGACAAGGATGTCCTCTCTCACCACTCCTATTCAATATAGTGTCGGAAGTTCTGGCCAGGGCAATCAGGCAAGAGAAAGAAATAAAGGGTATTCAGTTAGGGAAAGAGGAAGTCAAATTGTCCCTGTTTGCAGATGACGTGATTGTATATCTAGAAAACCCCATCGTCTCAGCCCAAAATCTCCTTAAGCTGATAAGTAACTTCAGCAAAGTCTCAGGATACAAAATCAATGTGCAAAAATCACAAGCATTCCTATACATCAATAATAGACAACAGAGAGCCAAACCATGAATGAACTCCCATTCACAATTGCAACAAAGAGAATAAAATACCTAGGAATCTAACTTACAAGGGATGTGAATGACCTCTTCAAGGAGAGCTATAAACCACTGCTCACCAAAATCAAAGAGGGCACAAACAAATGGAAGAGCATTCCATGCTCATGGATAGGAAGAATCAATATCGTGAAAATGGCCATACTGCCCAAGGTAATTTATAGATTCAATGCCATCCCCATTAAGCTACCAATGACTTTCTCCGCAGAATTGGAAAAAACTACTTTAAAGTTTATATGCTCCATTCTTTTCTGGTCACAGACGGCTGCCAGACATGGCATTGTGCCTGTTGTGAGAAGTGGGAGTTTCTTTTGTGGAAGTCTGAGCAGTCTTAGTGGCTCTGAATAGGTAATGCATCCATCCCTGGATGATTGATTCACTGTGGTCAAAATGAATACCAAATCTTAAATGGCTTGGGTCTGAGGTTTGTGCCCCATGCCTGGAGTTTGGGGTTGTATTCCTTCTCAAACTACGTCCAAATACGTTCACATTGACACGTTGTATATATAGTATCTAAAATAATATAGATAAAATAGTAGGACATGATGAAAACATTGATGTGGCTACTTTTTGGCAGTGTAGGTAGGTTAAGCTTTTTTGCTCTTTCTTCTTTGTGGTTTCTAAATTTTCAGATATGAGAGTATAAAATTTTCATAAGTAGAAAGATATTAATTGCAATTACACTATAGTAGTAAAATAACTTATTTTGGATTCTTTAAAAATAATTTAAGATTTTTTTCTTCCTGACTTTTCCTTTGCATTTGTCTTAGAAAATCCTTGTCACTAATAAGTTAAATATTTGCCTATGGTCTATCATTTATAAATTAATTTTTCAGTATCTTTGAAATTTATTTGGGTGTATGGTATAAGGTGAGACTTTAATTTTCTTTTCTTTTTTTCCAAATGGGCAAATTTTTGAAATTTTATTCCTTCTCCATTGATTTGGAAGGCTTATATTCTTGTGCTTTTTTTTTTTTTTTAAAACTATGCCAGGGTTCTTCTAGAAAAATTCTCTGTTGACCTTATGTTAGCCAACCCCATACGGCTGAAGGAAAGAGGTAGCCAAGTGTGAAGATTTGAGAAAACAGGAAAGAAAGTTCATGTTCCCTGCTTGGATAGCTGTCTGGTTCCTTGGAGGTAGCATTACTTCCAAAAACCAAAACTCTACAATCATGTGACAGCATTGTTTCCTCTCCCCAAATCATTCCTACTGGAACACCTGTTAATGTAGGAGAAAGCTGCTGATCAAACATGGGAAGCCATTTGTAAACACCTGGGAGAAATCAGCGAGCAGCCCTGCCAAGTTCACTTCTAGTCCCACGTGGCAAACTTTACAGATTCAGAACTCTGTGGAAAATATTCATTACTGTAAAAAGTAGTCCTTGTTTGTGCATAAACAAGACATTTACTGGAAATGTGTTTTAATTGTTCACATATTTGCCGAGAACCTTTTCTAATTTTGCCAACAAAGTTTTATATTTCAGAACATAATTTTCACCATTTTGGAACAGTTTTTAGTATGGTCTTAAAATGAAAGATTTTGATGTAATACAGATATGAAATGTTATAAATGATTTAAAAGAAACTTTCCTAGCATCTCCCATAACAGTGACACCTGAAAAAGATAATTGCAGTGGACATTCCATTGGTGATACAATCAGAGAGAGTTTTTAAAGGCTTAATGATCTTTCCATTAGTATGTTTAAATCCTACATGGAAGCATCCCTGGAGTTATTTCAACTTTAGAAGCTCCATTGAGGTCAGTAAGAGTCTTGCTTTGGAAGAATTGCATTTTTAAAAATAATATTGAATATTTTGTGCTTATCCAAATCAAGACTACTGTGGATTTTTTTCAGTAAAAGGCTGTAGAATTCTGTTTATTTCAAAATCTCCTTTCAGCATTCCCATTATAGTTTGCAACCATCCTAACTCAATTTTCTTAAAATTACTTCTCATACAAATATCAATGTCATTCTTTTTAAAAGACCAATTGCACTCAGTGTCATGTCTCCATCACTTTGTAGGAGATGCAATCTCAATGAATGGGCTAGAGTTTTCTCTTTTGAGACTTGTGGACTGAATGAGACCGTCTGCATAGATATGTTTAGCATCTTATTTAGATATTTTTTAGTGTGTGTTCAACTGATAATCAAGACTCAGGGCTGTTAATAGATGGGTTTCTCTTGTAAGTGAACTGTGTTTCCTATGGTGAAAAGCAAAATTCCCTATGCCAAATCTCCGAACTCTTAGGATGTTGTATATGTAAAGTCAATTGGCATGCTTAGTTTGAGTCTCTGTGATAAAATATCTAGAACATGTCAGATGCTGGCTCCCCCTGTAAATTGGAAATAGGTCATGTCACATCTTAGGTGTATCAGAGTGCGTTCATGATCATATTCCATTTTGGATTTATGATTATGAACCTAAACTTGAGCCCATGTATGGGGCTGGTTAAAAGTTATTTTATAGATATTCCACTCTTCTTGGCTTCTGAGCCCAGCCGTGCTGTGATGATTATTGCCTCCATGTTGAATGTTCTCCCTGCACTCCTGCTCTGTCAGGGGAAACACTTGCAACACTTTGGATATGGCTAATTCTTATTTATTGGTTTGCATGGTGTGCCATGTACTTCTGAAAACAAGGTCACTGTATTATAATTAAATGAAGATTATTTGTCTGTTGCAAATACTTAGCAAAAACAAAACAAAATTCAACAAACTGATGCCAAAAGTACATTATTATTTGGGTCACAATGATCTAATGCATATTTATCTATGTTCCTCAATAAGAATATTCATTTGTTTTCTTGTTTCTTGTGAGCCAGAATTGTCATAATTTCTATAACCCCAGTGCAGAATTCAGGATTCAGCCAGATGAATGGAAACCCAGCTGATAGATGAGAGCAAAGCCTGATGAGGAAGGGACCTTTATCTGGGTGAAGGGAAGGTGATGTGATCCTTTGGGTGGGAAGACATCTTTCACTCTTAGGATATATCCTTGTGTGTTTAAAGCTGTGTTGTACATTTACAAAGCCACATGGGGGGTCATTAATCTGATTGAATGGTTGATGGGGAGCAATTGCCATGGACTTAGGGCTTTGAAGGGGCCACTGCCGTCAGAGGTCCAGGAGAGCCAGGGCAAAGGGGCTGCTATTTCAGGATATCCACAGAGACGGCGCACCCACAGAAGGAAACTTGTTCTAGGATTCAGGCCTGAGCTTAGGAGCAGCAAACTTCTTTCCAAAACAATAAATAATTATACGGGTGGATTTTGCAGAACTAGTGTAAGTAATAGATTCCTCTTAATATGGAACTTCAACTACTTAATTTTCCTTTAAAAAAAGCTGAGCCTTATCTTGTTAAAAAGAAATATATTTTAAGTATAAAAATGACTGTGGCACACTTATTTATATGTTAAACTAAATTAATGCTAACGTGCTTTATTGTTAAAGTAATTATATATCTTTTAAAAATAAGATAAATGTTTATATAGTTGTGTATGGGTGTGATATTAATTCATTTGTAGGGGATTTAAAAATCATTATTTTGATAGCTGGTACTAAAGTTTTTTTCTAGTGACAAAATTTTGTTTGTTTGTTTGTTTTTTGAGACGGCGTCTCGCTCTGTCACCCAGACTGGAGTGCAATGGCGTGATCTCGGCTCACTGCAATCTCTCCCTCCCGGGTTCAAGCGATTCTCCTGCCTCAGCCTCCCAAGTAGCTGGGACTACAGGCGCCTGCCACCATGCCCAGCTAATTTTTATATTTTTAATAGAGACGAGGTTTCACCATGTTGGCCAGGATGGTCTCGATCTCTTGACATCATGATCCGCCCACCTCGGCCTCCCAAAGTGCTGGGATTACAGGTGTGAGCCACCGCGCCCGGCCAAAACTGTTTTTGTTTAGGGGAATATTCAGGGCTAGGTGAAGCCTTGAAGTCAATGTTTGTGAGAAAAATATTAAACAAATAGCTAAATATATTTGTATACCCAATGAGCAAGAATGGCTGTGGGAGAGGTGCATGAAAGAGAGAAGATAAGAGAGAGGAATGGAAAGAAGAAAGTGAATGAGTCAGACAACATGGTGGGATGATGTCGTCTACAAATGGAGGTGGCCATGGAGACATTCCTGGTGTTAGGTAGGCTAAGAAACATTTTAAGTTATATTCAGTGGCAGCCAGCAAGGTGGCAATACCTTGCAGGGCTGGGGCAAGATTCTGTAGGCTATATATGCTCTGAATCAGTGTCCACTATATGGTGCTGTTTCTCCCATAGCCAGGATTAAGGTCCAAGAATTAAGGGGTGGAAATGGGAGTGGTACCGCTCAATATTACCCCTAGCGAACCACTAGCAAAATTTTTGCTTCCTGTTCTTGAGACCTGATGCTCTGCTGGCCTAGAGGTCTTAGTTCTAGAAGGAGGAACGTTTCTACTAGGAGGCACAACAGTGATTCTATTAAACTGAAATTTAAGACTGCTGCTAGCCACTTTGCATTTAAATCAACAGGCAAAGAAGGGAGTTACTATGTTGGTGGGGGTGAGTGATACTAGGGATCAAGAAGAAATCAGACTGCAACTCTACAATGTTGGTGAGGAAGAGGATGTCTGGAATATAGAGATCCCTTAGGGTATCTCTTAGAATTACCACGCCTTGTGATTAAGGCTAATGGAAAACCACAACACCTTAATCTAGGCAGGACTACTGATGGCCCAAACCCTTCAGTAATGAAGGTTTGGGTCACCCATCAGGTAAAGAACCATGACTAGATGACCAAATGATCAGTTACAGAAATAAGGACCATAATTGCCATTAGTATTTCCTCCTTATTTTGTTATGAATACTTTTGTGTGTATATATAATTATATTATGCAAATATCCTTGTTTTCTTTCCTGTCTTATTCTCTTATCATGCAACACATGTTGACTTTACATCAGTATTTAAGTATTGTTAATTTTACATCATGGTATTTAAGTTATAAAATATCAGGACAAGAGTAAACATCACTCAAGGACCTTACCTCCTCTTCTGAGAAAGAGCTTAGTTGGCACTTTTGGTCGTATGCAGAATAAGAGAAATTATGATGTTGTTATTGTCTTTCTTTGGAGATTAAGTATGGCTTATGCCAAATAGACAAGGGGTGAGTTTGTGATGGTTTTTTTTTTTTTTTTTTTTTTTGAGATGGAGTCTTCCTCTGTCGCCCAGGCTGGAGTGTAGTGGTATGATCTCAGCTCACTGCAGCCTCCACCTCCCGGGTTCAAGCAATTATCCTGCCTCAGCCTCCTGAGTAGTTGGGACTACAGGCATGTGCCACCATGCCCAGCTAAATTTTATATTTTTAGTAGAGACAGGGTTTAGCCATGTTGGCCAGGTGGGTCTGGAACTCCTGACCTCAGGTAATCCACCCACCTCAGCCTCCCAAAGTGCTGGGATTACAGGCATGAGCCATTGTGCCCAGAGAGTCTAATGGTTAATTTTATGTCAACTTCACTGGACTAAGGAATGCCCAGATAGCTGGTAAAACATTTCTGGGTATGCCTATAAGGGTGTTTCTGGAAGAGATCAGCATTCAAATTGGTGAACTGAGTAAAGGCATGTGGCTTTCTCCAGTGGGGGTGGGTATCATCCAATTTGTTGAGGTCCTGAATAAAATAAAAAGGCGGAGGAAGGGTAAATTTGCTCACTGCTTGGGCTAAGACATTCATCTTCTGCTGCCAGACATGACCTCCTTTTTCTTAGACTTTCAGACTTAGATCAGGACTTACAGACTTCGCCTCCTTGTTCCTAGACTTTCAGACTCAGATCGGGACTTACACTAATGGCTCCCAAGTTCTTGGGCCTTTGGATTTGGATTGAATTACACCATCAGGTTTTCTGTTTTGCCATCGTACAGACAGCAGGTTGTGGGACTTATCTGCCTTCCTAACTGCTTGAGCCAATTCTTATAATAATTTACACACACACACACACACACACACACACACACCCTGTCGGTTTTGATTCTTTGGCGAATCCTGACTAATACAGTGTGAAAAGGTCTAATGCTCAAACTTTTATGTGTGTGGCTGCTTTTTAAAGCTATTAGTAAAGGCTGGCACACACCCCAGTACATGGCTGGGGTAACACAGTGGCTGAATTCCAAGACAGGGGTGGCAGAGAGGCGAGATCAGTGCTGCATGAGGTAAGTCTTGTGTGAGATGTGGAATAAGTCCCATGGACCCATAGTGGCCTTGAGACAAAAATCCCCTAGGGATTTGAAGACAATTTCTGGAGAATACTGAACTTTCTCAAGGGCAGGATAAAAGGAGATGGAGCCAATTTTATATAAATCAGAAAGGAAAGGATGGGTGGAAGGGTAGATGGGTGGGTGAGTATGAAGTAGAAACACACTGCTTGGTTAATTTAGAATTCCATTACTCAAGTTTTCATCTCTACAGGGCAATGGTGTAATTCTGGCCAATGTTGTCATAAAAAAATAAGGAACTTGAGGGCAGTCTGGAGAAGGCTGTTAGAGGCTTTCTGGTTCAGAGGGCTCCACATGGACCCACTCGAATGGTCAGGGCCCACTAGATGTAAACATGAAGCCCTCTTGAGATCCAAGGAGTAAATAAACCTAATACTGAACACCTCTCGCTCTCTGCATCCCAAGGAGACAGCTTTCTTTAGTGCTCCTCTGCATTATCCCCACTTGCTAATGCCCAGAGGGAGAGAGAGAGAGTGAAATACTTTTTCATTTCTCTGCCCTCATTTAAAACTCTCTCCTTCAGCTGATTTTGTCAGAAACACTTCTATGACTTTTTAGAGGAGACTGAGGATGCAATTAAATGTCAATGAGTTGAATTAATTAATGTGGGTTACTATGACATAAGGGGAGTTGTTCATTCATTTTGGTCCTATTGAGATATATAACTCCAAAATATTGGTTTCAACAGAATAAGAGAATATTGGTTGTATGCAGAATAAGAGAAATTATGATGTTGTTATTGTCTTTCTTTGGAGATTAAGTATGGCTTATGCCAAATAGACAAGGGGTGAGTTTGTGATGGTTTTTTTTTTTTTGTTTGTTTGTTTGTTTTTTTTTTTTGAGATGGAGTCTTCCTCTGTCGCCCAGGCTGGAGTGTAGTGGTATGATCTCAGCTCACTGCAGCCTCCACCTCCCGGATTCAAGCGATTATCCTGCCTCAGCCTCCTGAGTAGTTGGGACTACAGGCATGTGCCACCATGCCCAGCTAAATTTTATATTTTTAGTAGAGACAGGGTTTAGCCATGTTGGCCAGGTGGGTCTGGAACTCCTGACCTCAGGTAATCCACCCACCTCAGCCTCCCAATTATTTTTCCCCCTCGGTTTGCTAGCAGCTTATCACCGAACAAGTCACTGAACTTAACTAAAATGCACACGTGAGGAATATTTCATAGGTAACCATGTGGATTTTAATTGTACATGTCTTGATTATCCTATGTGGGAACCATTTTATTCAAACTTTTACTAATAAATTCTTTGGCACTTACCTGGTACTAAGGAGAGTTAAGTCATCCCAAAGGAAATATAAACAAGTACTTGGCTTTTGATGACCTTTTGGTATTATGTTCTCTAGTTGTTTCACATGTGTTACTCTTATAATTGAGCCCTTGTCATATTCTGTTTGTGTTCTCAGGGGTACCTCACATTCTTTGGGGATGCAAAGTAGACATTGAATAAACATTTACTGAATTGCATTCAGCTATGAAGGTAATTCTGCAATGACATGATGTATAATCTCTTAGCGTAGCTCTTGGTTTATCTGTTGTGTTGAATCTTGACTATACATGCTTGAATCCATGCATGCTATAATTTCCCTGTCAACTTTGAACTATGTGCATCTCTTGGGCAGAGATTTAATAGATTGATTAGTGTAGAAATGGATAGAATAGTGTAGGTGCTAAGAACCAGGCTCCCTGGGTTCAGATGCTGGCTTGCTTGCCTGAATAACCTTGAAAATTTACTTACTACTCAGTGGCTCAGTTTCCCAATTTATAAAATGGGAATAATAACAGTTCCTACCTCATAACCTTGATGGGAGAATAAAATAATTTTTTATATGTATGTGTATATATTTTTATGTGTATGTATATTTGTATATTTTGATATGTATATATATTTTTATATGTGCTTGTGTATATATGTATATATATTTTGATGTGTGTTAATGTACATGTGTTTATATATTTTGATATGTGTGACATATACATATACACATAGCTCTAAGAATAGTGCATGGCATGTAAGTGTTATACAATTGTTTGTTATTATTGTTACTATTAAAAATGTTTAGTATTTAATATGGTGTAAGTCAGGGCATGTCTTTTTTTCTCTTTTTCATTCAGGAGGCTTATTCTTATTGTTTATTTGGACAGTGAGTTGCTATAAAAACTGGAAATATCACTATAATTTGGGATTTTCCCTGAGTGTCTTAGGGTGGTACTAAATAACAGTAGCTTTTGCCCAGCCTCTGGAAGCACCCGTCTGCCCAGGACCAGCGCTGCTCTTATGTTAAAAGCAAAAAGGCCTAAACTTGTCTAGGAACTCCCCACCTGCGTTCATCATTCTTTGTCTAGCTGCAGCCCGAGTGGGCGCATTTATCCATTTTGATTAGAAGGTGAATCAATAATCAAGCATACAGGGTCCCTCAGGCTCAGTCTTAAGAGCTGCTTTCAGCTTAAGGAAAAGGAAAATATTCTCCCTCCTTTTCTATCATTTCTTACCGGAATCAGATGTTGGATGAAGTGCCTTGGGGCCCTGATGAGTGACATATGAAGATTCCTGCACACCCTCCTACCTTTACATCATTTGAGAACTCCAGGTCGACTACATGATTTGTTTGGTTGTATTATAAATCTGAAGTGCCACGTGACAATGCCCCAGAAATGTTTTCAGGGAATGTGACTTTATGAGGCTTCAAGGGCTGGTTACAATGATGTTGACCAAATAAAGAAATAATCAACAGAAAACTCGTGTGATGAGTCATTCAACAAATTTTCATTGAGCACTTAGTATATTCCAGACCCGCTATGGCCCAAATCTATGCCTGTTTTTTTATATGACCTACAAGCTAAGAATGATCTTTGTAGTTTTAAATGGATTAAGAAAAATCAAAAGAATATTCTGTGAAATGTGAAAATTATATACAACTCAAAATTCAGTGTCCATAAATAAAGTCTTACTGGTACCTTGCCACATCCTTTTGTTTACTGCTCTCTCTGTTGCTTTCTGCCCTAAAACAGCTGGACCAAGTACCTGCCAAAAAGATGCTATAGCTTCAGAGGCATGAAACATTTACTATCTGGCTTTTTTTTGTCTGAGACAGAGTCTCACTCTGTTGCTCACCTGGGCTGCAGTGCAGTGGCACGATCTTGGCTCGCTGCAGCCTCCGCCCCCCAGGTTCAAGCGATTCTCCTGCCTCAGCCTCCTGAGTAGCTGGGATTACAGGTGCCTGCCACTACGGCCAGCTAATTTTTTGTATTTTTAGTAGAGATGGGGTTTCACCATGTTGGCCAGGCTGGTCTCGAACTCCTGACCTTGTGATTTGCCCGCCTCGGCCTCCCAAAGGGCTGGAATTACAGGCATGAGCCACTGCACCCGGCCTACTATCTGGCCTTTTAAAGAAAAGCCTTATCAACCCCTGGCCTTCATCAACAGATGCCCTACCCTCTGCTTCTTGCTGGGGTTGGCCAAGCAGAGGGCAAGGGAGCACAGACTTTGGGGAATTAATTCTCCAGCTGCCTCTCTTTGGGGTCTCTGTCAATTGCCTAAATTAGCTCCTGAAGGTCACAGAGTCTGCCAGGTGGTCTTTGGAATACAAAACCCTTTTCATCTTCATGTGCCAGCATCTGCTTTTCCCCTTACCCCTCTAGGCTTAGGGGTGCTAATGTCCCTCGCTGTTCCTAGGCCCTGGTTACTGCACCATCCCTATGGTTTCTCCACACTCTGTACCCACTTTTGTAAATAGTCCCTTTATTAAGCAAACCTCAATTTGCAAGGTTTGTTTGTAATAATGTATTTCTTGCTTGGCGCCTCCTAGGTAATAATACGGAAATAAACAAATCAGAGATTAAGACAATTTAATGAAAATGAAATATTAAATAGAACATGAAATAGGGTGATGTGCTAACGGAGAGAGGGAATGGCCAGAGAGGCCTCTTGGGGAAGTGAAGTTTGAATGCTGAGAAGAAAAGTGTGAGGAAGCGATCTGGAGAGGTGATATTTCAGAGTGGAGAAGCACCTGGTGTACAATTTTTAAGGTGCTTAGATTATAGGAAGGAGGCCTGTAGGCTAGAGGACAGTAAGTCATATAAAATGAGGAGCGAGATAAGCAGGAGCCAGTTTCCATATGGCCTGATGGGTTAGCAAAGATTAACTATTACTCAGATTCCACGTTATCACACGTTTCTCATGTAAATCTAATGAAAAAAAGGTGTTAGTCATGCTGATTCAAATAGTTTTATGTAATTGTGATTTTCTTGTAAATTAGATGTGAGATAAGTATTTTATTATAAATATAATGGGAATATTTAAGGAAGTATGGCATAAAAGGATTTAAAAAGAATCACACTGCCTGTTTTTTGGAGGGGAGTTTTTGATGGCAAGAAAGGCTCTATAAACACTGGTAAAAGGCTGAGCTCACTGCAGTAATGAGCAGGCCTCCAACCAGAAGGTCATAGCTGAATGCTGCTATTAATTTCTGTTCTGTTATCTTCCAGTGGAACTTTGGAGATGTTATGGTACTTAGGCCTGGTATTAAGGAATGGAAGAGTTTGTAAGTGGGACCATGATGATTTGAATTCAGTTTTATTAACCTCATGGCATGTCTTGCTTGGTTTTTCACAGAGAAGACATTGCATTTCCTTCCTTTGTTTCTTTGGGAGATAATGTCTTATTTTCTGCATTTTTAATTCCTTATAAAGCTTTAAAAATCTTAATCTAACCCCTCTTCAAGCAGCAAAGAATAAAAGTCAGTTTTTGGATAGATTTTTATATTTGGTTTCTGTAAAACAGGAAAAAAAAGTGCATCCGCATAAGCAGTTTGTGATTGTGTTTTGATTGTACTAACTGGTTTTGATTGTGTTCTCTGTACTCTCTTAATTGTTTCTCTGGGTTTTTTGGTCAGGGTGCTGTGGTTAACTTTTCTATTCTATTTTCAGTGTTTCAGCCACATTAATTTACAGGTGATGCCTCATAAAGGCTGGTATTCATTCTCCCTGTCCCCACTCTCCCCACCTGTTCTCTCTGCTCAACCCCTGCTCAGCTGCAAAACCCCTTGCTATTATAGAATTAGATCCTTGGGGGTATCTTCTGATCATCCCCAACAACCTGCAAGAGGGAGATTTCCTTAGTTGGGATCGCATTGCAGGGTGGTCAGAATTTATTTTTTAACTTTTATTGCAGTTTCAGGAGTAAATGTGCAGATTGGTTTATAGATAAACTGAATGTTGCAGAGGTTTGGTGTATAGATGATTTCATCACCCAGGTAATAAGCAGAGTACCCAATAGGTGGTTTTTCAAATCTTCACTCTCCTCCCACACTCCACCCTCAAGTAGGCCCTGTTGTCTATTGTTCCCTTTTTTATGTCTATGTGTACTCAGCGTTTAGCTCCCACTTTTAAATGAGAACATGCAGTGTTTGGTTTTCTCTTTCTGTGTTAACTTAGTATCATGGCGTCGAGCTCCATCCATGTTGCTGCAAAGGACATTATCATTCTTTTTTATGACTATATAATATTCCACGGTGTATATGTACCACATTTTCCTTATCTGGTCTACCACTGATGGACATTTGGGTTGATTCATTGTCTTTACTATTGTGAATAGTGTTGAAATGAACATACGTGTGCTTGTGTCTTTATGGTAGAATGATTTATATTCCTTTGGGTAGATACCCAATAATGAGGTTGCTGGGTTGAATGGTAGTTCTGTTTTACATTCTTTGATAAATCACCAAACTGATTTCCACAGTGGCTGAACTAATTTGCATTCCTACCAGCAGTGTGTAATCATTCCCTCTTCTCTGCAAGCTTGCTAGCATCTGTTATTTTTTGACTTTTTAATAGTAGCCACAGTGAAATGGTGTCTCATTGTGGTTTTGATGTGCATTTCTAGAATGATTAGTGATGAGCATTTTTCATATGCTTGTTGGCCACATGTATGTCTTCTTTTGAAAAGTGTCTGTTCGGCCGGGCGCGGTGGCTCATGCCTATAATCCCAGCACTTTGGGAGGCCAAGGTGGGTGGATCAAGAGGTCAGGAGATTGAGACCATCCTGGCTAACATGGTGAAACCCCATCTCTACTAAAAATACAAAAAATTAGCCGGGCGTGGTGGCGGGCGCCTGTAGTTCCAGCTACTCGGGAGGCTGAGGCAGGAGAATGGCGTAAACCTGGGAGGCGCAGCTTGCAGTGAGCGCAGATTGCGCCACTGCACTCCAGCCTGGGCGACAGAACGAGACTCTCTCTCAAAAAAAAAAAAAAAGAAAAGTGTCTCTTCATGTCCTTTGTCCACTTTTTAATGGGGTTGTTTGGTTTTTTGCTTGTTAATTTTTTTAAGTTCCTTATGCATTCTGGATATTAGACCTTTGTCAGATGCATAGTTTGCGAATATTTTCTCCTATCCTGTAGGTTGTCTGTTTACTTTGTTGTTAGTTTCTTTTGCTGTGCAGAAGCTCTTTGGTTTAATTAGGTCCCATTTGTCAATTTTTGTTTTCATTGCAATCGGTTTTGGAGTATTCATCAAAAGTTTTTGCCAGGGCCTATACCTAGAATTGTATTTCCCAGTTTTCTTCAAGGTTTGTTTTTTTTTTTCTTTTTTAATAGTTTTAGGTTTTACGTTTAAGTCTTTAATCCATATTGAATTGATTTTTGTATATGGTATAAGGAAGTCATCCAGTTTTAATCTTCTGCTTATGGCTAGCCAGTTATCCCAGCCAGGGGGGTCAGAATATTTTGTCACTTCTCTTTCTGCCCCTCTTCCATGTGGCTTTGGCATCTCCACGTAAGAGATTTTGCCCCTTCTCAGTTGTCAGCCTCGTGCTGCTTGGTTGTACAGTGTGAGCCCAGTAAGGATCCTTCTTAGATACCTTGGTGAATTTCACAAGACTCTTCAACTACCTGTTTTTGTCTACTTAGTGTTTTCTTTTCTCTCAACTTCTGCATTTCACTTAATTTTGCCTGTTTCCTGTGATATAAGTGGTAAGCCTTTTGGTAAGGGCTGCACATAGTTTAAGACAGAACCGTAAGCACACTTCATTCATTTATTTAGCAAATATTTATTGGATGCTTCATATGCAGCAGGCCTGGTGCTAGTGATTGAAAAGTCTTTGTCCTCAAGGAGCACATAATGCCATGGAGGAGCTGGGCATCCAAGCTAATACTTATGATTAAATATGGTAAGTGTAATAGAAAGATGATGATGATTATAGAGGCAGTAAAATGTTGTGGTTGACAGCCCAGATTCTGGAGCCAGACAGCCTTCATTCAAATCCCAGCATCACCCATAACACTAGTTATCTGTGTGTTCCTAGACAAAGTACTTGAAGTTGGTGTACCTGATATTCCCTACCAGGGAAAAGGAGATAATATAAGGATTAAGTGGGTTAATACAGTAACACAACTAGAAGAACGCCTGACATATGGCTAAATGATCATTATCTATTGTTATTAATAGCCCCTTCTAATCCTGACAGCATTAAACTTTGAAAGAGAGGATAGAATTTAATTTGGGATAGTTGCCACTTGGAATCTGGAGAATTTTTTAATAAGCCACTTTCTGGCTATTGGGATTACACAGTAACTAAAAAATTGGGATTGAACCCTTAAAAATACTTTCAAAATATTTCCCCTTGCATTTATGTATTAAACTCAAACCGTCTCTATCTGATTTGCTGTGTTGCAAGAAGAAGAAATGAATCTTTCCTGTTTACTAATGGAGCCAGTTGCACTGATTCGAGGGAACATTTTTCATCTTGTAATCCAGTACTTCAGTGCCAACCTCTTTTTAAATTAGCTGTCTTCTCTGTGGGCATTCTAAGGAAATAGGTGACTGCAAAGGCAAAATATTGGTTTTAATTCCCATTTTTCAGTATTGCACCTTGTAAGCGACATATGCAAAGGGAGAGCTCTCAGAAATTCCTTTAAGTATTAAGTATAGAAAACAAGCATCAGGAGCCTAAACTTCAGCAACCGCTCTGCCTGTCAGTAATCCAATGTTCCAAATGTTTTTCTGAAGTCATTACTCCTGTCAAGCTCTTGTTGCCATATACTTTTCCTTGGCATCTTGAGGGACTGAGTCTGAGACACCTTCGAATCCTCATTAATTAGCACATATTAGTTGCTCAATCGTTGTTCATTGAATAAACAGATGAATAAATTATTTTAGTGTCTGGTTCTGTCATGTAATATGTCTAGCAACTACCTATCTACAGAACATATAATATATCTAGCAACTACCTATCTAGAGAACTTTCCTTTTTTCCTTCTGCATCTTGTTTGGAGATAAGAAACTAAAATGCTTTATCCCCTGGTAGGACTTCTGAATCCAGTTGTGAAGTTTGGCATTGCATAGTCACAAAGAAGCATCTAAACGGAAAGATTGACACTGAAATTCAGACTGTGCTCTGCTCACCAAACCATGTGCCCTGACCAGAGGCTCTATCTAATCAGAGGATTGGGGTTTTCTCTCCTACAGACAGGCATGTTGTACTATATTTTTTGCCCAGAGAGGGCACGTTTATCTAATATGTATACAAGTGATCATATAGCTTAGTAGTGGCCATGGCAGTAAATTCAGAATTCATTGCTATGTTCTATGATTCCTGAAAGTAGAAAAGGAATAGGATGAGTAAATAATGTCCTCTTTCGCTGAGCCTATTTCTCAAATTAGATCTGTCATCGTATGAAAACCAGCTGCTGCTGCTTCTGTCACTCAGGTCTGTGATCACCACACTTCAGAACAGTTTGCTGTTATTTTCAGGTAGTTTCATAATCATATGGATAACTCATTAACAGTCTTTCCTTGCTACCAGAATATTAACTTTAAAAGCATCTCCTACTAATGATAAATTTTTAGCACCATCTGTATGTAGGTGAGCTGGAAGAAACTTAAAAGGAAAAGCCCCACAGAATCCCTAATTGCCCTCTTAGCCAAGATTTTTCAATTCATGCTCCTGTTGAATCTGTTGCAGGAACTGCTAATGATTAGAAAAATGAATAGTTTATGTCTTTTCCCTGTGCATATTCTGTTGGCTCTGCTAATGACTAATGAAGGGGCTGGAAAGCAGGGGGCACAAATCAGCCAGCTCCTCATTGAGCTCCTGCTGGGATGTGACTAGTACAAAAATTGAAGAGAACTGGGCCCAGCTTTCATGGAGTGTGAGTCTAGCCCACAGGCCAACAGCTTCATGCAACTAACCTTGCTTGTCTCTGAGCTGGTGGTATGATTGTAAATGTATACTTGTATTCCACCCCCCACCCCGCCAAAAAAGCTGATGGATTATAGGGTTCAAGTGGGTAACTTTAATGAAAGAAGGAGGCTGGTGGGATAAAAGAAGACATGATTAGGATGAGGATGGACAAATGAGGACTAGTTCCCTCTAAAGGGAGCAGAACCCAACCCCATACACCAAGATGTTTCCAGGCATTCAGTGTTTTCAAAGGAAACTGGAAAAATTTACTTTTTGATGTGAAATCTAACATTTAAAAAATGTTGGCTTAAACTCTTTCAAATCAATATAGGACAAATAAAGCATTGCTAAGAACAAACCATGTCTAACCCCTGGAGGAGGAGGAGGCCAGTTCAGTCAGGGTTACCCAGGGAAATAGAACCAATAGGAGATCTATCTATCTAGCCACCTATTTATCTATGTATAGATAGATAGACACATAGAAATATATATACATATAGACATATATATATATAGGTATGCATATAGAAAATATAAACCATTGGGGCTAAGGGAACTGAATCCTTGCACAGTCAAAAATCTGCTTATAATGTTTGATTCCCCCCAAAACTTGACTAATAGCCTGCTGTTGACCAGAAGCCTTACTGATAATATAAACAGTTGATTAACACATATTTTATATGTCATATGTATAATATACTGTATTCTTGCAATGAGCTAGATAAGAGTACATGCTAGTAAGAAATTTTAAGGCAAAGTATATTTACTGTTCATTAAATAGTAGTGGATTATCATAAAGATTTTCATCCTTGTTGTCTTCATATTGAGTAGGCTGAGGAGGAGGGAGAGGAGGAATTGGTCTTGCTGTCTCAGGGGTGGCAGAGGTGGGAGGCAGGTGCACTCTGTGTAACTTTTAATTGAAAAACATCCTTACATAAGTGGACCTGTGTAGTTCACAGCCATGTTATTCAAGGGTCAACTATATATATAAAAAATATATAATATATATAATATATCAATATATATAATTTATAAATAAATATTTGCATATTTTTAAATATAAAACTTTAAAATATATGTGCATTTAGTTTAGAAAAAAATATATATATGTGTATAAAATTAGTGAGATTTAATGTAAGAAATTAGTTCATGTTTTTGGAGCTGTCAAATCTAAAACCTGTAGGGCAGGCCAGCAGGCTAGAAACTCAGGAAGTAGTTGATGCTAGATTCTTGAGGCAGATTTTTTTTTCTTTTCTGGGAAGCCTGTCTTTGCTTATAAGGACTTCAGCTTATTAAATGAGACCACCAACATTATTGAGGGTAATTTCCTTTACAGTCAACTGATCATAGATCAGTTAATCACATCTCCAGGATACCTTCCCAGCAATATCTAGATTAGTGTTTGATTAAACAATTGGGTACTGTAATCTAGCCAAGTTGACATGTCACACCCAGGATTTGGGGAAGATGCTTCTAGAACAATGTCATGTTGAACACTTAGCACAGGGCCCCACACACTCCATAAATATTGCATTTGAATGCAATCAGTTCTTATGTTAGCCAGAGGATGAATTATCTGGAAGTGAATAACATTTAAAGCTTCAAGGCCATATTACCCAGGCATCTTCAGATAAACAGAACCAATGGGAGATGTATGTAGAGAGAGGGAAGGAGAAGGAGAGTTATTATAAGGTATTAGCTCACACCATTTGTGGAAGCTAAGTCCCATGATCTTCCTTCTGCGTGATGGAGGCCCAAGAAAGTCCATGGTATAATTTGAAGACCTAGAGAGCCTGACAGTCAAAGGTACAGATTTCAGTCTAAGTCTGAAAACCTGAGAACACTCGGGCAAAAGGAGGGTGAATCCACCCCTTCTCCATCTTTTTATTTTACTTAGGCACTCAGTGAATTGGATGTTGCCTACCCACAGTGGGGAGGGCAGTCTATTTTACTAAGTCCACAAATTCAGATGCTAATCTCTTCCCGAAACATCTTCACAGACACACCTAGAAGTCATGTTAATGAGTTATCTGGGCGACCCATGGCCCAGTCAACTTAACACATAAAGTTAACCATCAGAAGGACCTCTCACTCATACAAGATCCTTCCAAAGTGCTATACCTAATTTTGTGTTCATAATATTGGATCATTTATCTTGGTCGTCCTCCACTGTGTAAGTGTCAGACCCCTCAACACCTGCCTCTGCCTCAGTCAGCTCTGCCACTGTGTCTATGTGCCCTCCAGCCAGTCCCTCTCTGTTTCTGAACCTCAGTTTCTCCATATGTAAATTGGAGAAGAAAATTCCAACCGTCTTCTGGGGTTCTTTGAGGGTTAAGAGAAGATGCTATAAACTTATGAACATACAAAAAACCTAAATGCTTTATCCTAGTTTCTGCTTCTCAAAAGTGTTCTAATATTAGTATTTTAGTAGCTAAAAAAGCATCATCAACTTCCTGTACTCAATAAAATAGGTAATGTAAAGGGAGAATATACAATTTCCCACCCCCAAGAGACATAAAGAATAAATTTCATTTTCAATAACTAGTTTTCCAAGTGCTTCGTATTAAAAATGTAGGCATCACCTAGCAAGTTGAATGCTAATTAGCACCCTCCATTACATGTTGCCTGGGGCCTGCAGCTGTGCAGAGGGTCTCACACACATGATTATTCAACCTCCTTCTCACAGTAGCAGTGAGACAGATGTCACCATCCCCATTTTCCAGAATGGGGCAACTGAAATCCAGAGAGGTTACATTTGATTTGCCCAATATCAAGTTAAGCAGCAGAGCTGAGATTCAAACCCTGCAGTGTGCTGCTCTGTTAGCTGAGGAGAGCAGGTGCTTGGAGTGGCGAGGAGAACATTTGCTTATGGTGGCTATTTAACCAAGTAAAATTAGGCCCTAAGCACTGGCTTAAGAAATGTAGTCCTCTGCTGCCTCTCAGGGAGCTACTTCAGGTCTTCTTTGTGTAGGCTGTGCACTGCCCAAGGCTCCTGATCCTGGCCAAGTGGGGTCTGAAATATAACATATGCTTCACTGATAAACTGAGATTCCCAAAGAACTGCAGTAGCCTAGAGGGATGCCATTTTCTCCTGCACATGTCAATGTGTAGAGCTGACGGCTCTGGCCAGCCTTGAATATCTTCTCTGCCTTTCTATGAGTCTTTCATTCACAGTTATTTAAAAGCTTTCCTTATTCCTTTCTAAGCATTTGAATCTTGCCAATCTTATGGATCATCACCTTTGTACAAATTCTCCTGAATTCCTAGGTCTGCTGTGCTGTGATCTTAAGTCCTTCTCAGTTCCACTTCATTTATAGATTCACTCATTCATCAACAAACTTTTTCTTTTTAGAGACAGAGCTTCACTCTATCACCCAGGCTGGAGTACAGTGTTGTGATCATAGCTCGTTGTAACCTCGAACTCCTGGGCTCAAGTGATCCTCCCGTGTTGGCCTCCCAAAGTGCTGGGATTACAGGTATGAGCCACTGTGCCTGGCCAACAAACGTTTATTATAGTATGTATTAGGGTTCTCTAGAGGGACAGAACCAATAGAATATATGTGTATATATATTATATATATATTTTATATATTATCTATATTATATATAATATAGATATATATAATAAAATTTATATATCATATATTATATAATATTGTATATTATATATATTATACATATATATTAGGGGAGTTTATTAAGTATTGACTCACACGATTACAAGGTCCCATAATAGGCCATCTGTAAGCTGAGGTGCAAGGAGAGCCAGTCCAAGTCTCTTAGTCTTAGCTAGCTCTTAGTCTCCGAAACTAAGAACTTGGAGTCTGATGTTTGAGGGCAGGAAGAGTCCAGCATGGGAGAAAGATGTAGGCTGGGAAGCTAGGCCATTCTAGTCTTTGCACATTTTTCTGCCTGCTTTATATTCTAGCTGTGCTGGCAGCTGATTAGATTGTACCCACCCAGATTAAGAGTGGGTCTGGCTTTCCCAGGCCGCTGACTCAAACGTTAATCTCCTTTGGCAACACCCTCACAGACACACCCAGGATCAACACTTTGCATCCTTGAATCCCATCAAGTTGACCCTCAGTATTAACTGTCAGATAGTATGTGTCCTGTACTTTTCTAGATGTTGGAATTAGAATAGAGGTAGACTCAGATGTAAGTGAGAAAGTGTCTTTGCAATCAAAAAGTTCAAATTTGTGGAGGGAAAAGAATTATAAAAAAAATTGTTATAATAAATGTGTATTGCATGTTTACTATGTGCTTGTTTTGTTCTAAGTGCTTTGCTTGCATTCATTCATTTCATCCTTCCAGTAATCTCATGAAGGTTGGTAGGACTACTATCCCCAATTTATGTTAGATCGAACCATGTGAAATTGCCATTGCCTTTGATATCAGTCAAAGCAGTTGTAGGATAGCAGTTTAATATGGTTTGGCTTAAGAGACTCGGAACCGTATGTACAGTTACATCATTTGCCCAAGCCACTCCCATAGTAAGTGATGGAGCTAGGTTCTGAACCCACGTAGTCTGACTCCAGAGCACACGTACCTGACCCCACATAGGCTAAGCTGCCTGATAATTGGAGTGTTGGTGCTCAGAGGTGGGAGTAGCTGCTTGCTTTGCCTGAAGAAATCATAGAAAGCTTTCCTACAGTGGGATGTGGGCTCTTAACATTCCTTGACTTCATGCTCCCTGTCTACCACTATATTCTAGGTTTATCAAGGGCAGAACCCTGTTACTTACTCATCACCTACATCATGGCACCTGGTCCAGTGCTTTGAATTTAGGAAGAATTCCATAAAAAATATTTGTTTACTATTACCGTCAGTGTGTCTTGGTTTTCTAAGAGACAAAATGTGAAAAAGGAAGAGCGCGGGGTTGAGCCTGAGAATTCGGGGCTTAGGAAGAAGAAAAGAAAAAATTCCCAAAGTACCTGAAATAAAGATAATGAAAAGTTCCTCTAACTCAACAATAATTAATAGTAATAAATGATTCATAACATTATAATAAACTTTTTAGTTTATTTAGTTCCTGGATAGGTGAGCACTGGCTATTCAGACTATGAAAAACGAGGGAATTTGATTTGTGAAGAAATAGATTTTTACAAGAAAGCTTCCTGCTTTCTAATCTGTCTGTTCCAGCCTAACTTTGTCACATCAATGCTTAATGCTTGATTTCTTTATAATGCAAGGGTTATCCTCATAGAGAGAAATCTCAAAAGGGTTCGGTGTCTTAAGTGTATTACTCTATGTTAGGACTGAGAAACTATAGTTTTGTTGTTTTTTTTTTTTTTGACAGAGGTAGAGATTAGAGCAGAGAAAAAAGATTTAAACACATTTCCATAGGCTGACTTTAATTGTGGCAGAAGCCCCTTAAGTCACACTTAATGATTGTTTTCTCCAAGGAGAGCATTCTCGTGCGCATCCAATGTTGACTCCATTGATAATATGTACATAGTCTCATTCTAACATAATCTAAATCTGCTAATTATGGAGTGGTTTGTGTTGGTAACCAGATTCTATGCTTTTGCCTTCTAGCATATTCCTAATTTTTTTTTTTTTTTTTTTTTGCCAACCATGGGAGCACAAAGAAGTGACTGGAACTTTCTGTAAAATTTATGAGCTGGTCTTATTTTTATGATAAAAGATTTGCTCTTCAGTATACCCTCTGGTAAATTTAAAATTTTATTCAAATTAGGTTAAATCACAGCAGACAACTAAGAAGCATATTGTTATTCACCTTAAATTCAATTCTAAGCAACTCACTGTCTGAGGTTTATAAAGTCCCCAAAATTATAATATGCAAACCTTGAAATATCCCATTCAGTGGTCCACATGCCACTGATATGTGGTTCTCAAGTAGGGGAGGGGGAATTTTGCCCTCCTTGGGGACAGTTTTGTTGTCACAATTGTAGAGAAGGAGACTGCTAATGGTATCTAGTGAGTAGGGGCCAGGGACGCTGCTCACAAACACAATGCACAGGACAGGCCCCAACAACAAAGAATCATCCCAGCAAATGCCAATAGTGCAGAGGCTGAAAAACCCTGACCTACATCATTATATGAAAGAAAACTGATTTTAGATGCATATATCAAGGTTTAACATTTAGCAGATGGAAGAATATCAGATAAATATCTAGATAACTTGCTTTTGATAATTGTGTGCAAAAATGAAAAAGCGATCACATTATTTGTAGTAACTCACAAATATAACTTACTTGTTTGAAAGCCTATTTGCATCTTTGTCCCAGCTTTTTTAATCTATAGAATTTGAATTCAATTCTTAAAATTATGTGGGCCATGAACTAGGATGATGAACTAGGACTAAGGAGTTTTGTAAAGTATGTATTTATTTTTTTCTTAGCCAATAATTTGTCTGAATTTTTAAGATCCTTATTAATTTCTGAACCTCTCTTTTCTGGGCAAGAGACATTTGGGGTCAGTGTCCACCTTTTGTTTAAACCTCTTTCTTAGGTTTCTTCTCAGACTCCACTGTCTTGTCTGGCAGCATGAGCTCTCTCACATCTTTATCATTGCTGTTTTTTCTGTGCACCAACAGTTATGTTTACCGGAAGTGTCTTCATCTTCTTTCACTAGGTAATGCATAAAATCTGCAGAGTCCTAATGCTCAGTGTGCTTATGGTGCAGTTTGGCATGGCCTTCCTTGCTCTTGCTTTGTGAATTGTAAACAGGGAGTCATGTGGACTGCCCCCATCTGAAGCTCTGTCTGGAGTCCCCCACACCTTGGTTCTTGGGATAGTTCTCCCACAGCTTGCATCTAGATGGATGAGTGCACAGGCACCATCACTGTTCTGCATCTCACATACTTCTAAGAGGCCTTGTCCTTTACTGATCTTGTCCAAGCCACGCATGCTCAGAAGCTGTGGGGTGGCAGCCAGTCAGTACATGTGCTATAGTGTAGTCTGTCAGGCCATCCCACACACTGTATTTTGGAAATTGTCAAGTTAAACTGGAACAACTGTCACAACCTCTTTAACAGGCATCTGATAAGGCCATCTGCTGATAACATGGGCTACCCATTATCTTGTATTTGAATGTGCTCCAGTTATTCCTATCCTTCGTTATTAAGAATTTCCAAATATAGATATAGAGCCACCAATACTACCTTCTCATGTTTGCCTGTATTTCAGTTGGTATCTATTGTTGGGAACCTTACTACTGTCAACTTTACCAAACCCTACTTGGCTTGCTGAAAAGAGACCTCTAGCTTGGCACAGATCCTTAATGTTTACTTTTCTTTAGAATTCACAAGGCATACATGTTTATTTTAGATAAAGATTGGAAAATATAGAAAAGTATAAAGAAAAAAGTACTTATAATTTTACCATTTACTGTTAAAATTTCAGATACATTGCTTTACGTGTATCTATGCATAAATAGATATGAATATTTTTAACAAAATAAAAAATCATACTATTATTGAGCTTATTTGACTTAGAATATGAGTCATTTACCCAAATATTTATGTATATTGAGAAACATTTTAAATGACTGCACAGTATTTTAACAGATAGCTGTACCGTAACATACGTGTATAAATATTTATTTCTTTACTGGTTGCTTTTGTTCAATGTTTACATTTGTTCCACTCTTTTCACTGTGACAGTCACCTGCCAATGTATACATCTCTGGTTGTTAACCCCAGAGGGTAAAGTCCTAGACATGGAATTAGTTGGTAAAAGGCTGTGAACATTTTTAAGAGTTTTGATATATGTTAACAAACACCCTCCAAAAGATGTTTGCCACTTATTTAATTTTCTTATTCTGAATTAGCTAAAACTTTCAGCACTCACCATTGATTTTCTATCTTTCTTTCAGTAGGGATTTTTCTACTGTCTCACCATTAAGGATATTTTATTATGGAAGTGTCTGCTGTTCCATTTTTTTAAGTATTTTCATGTTTTAATTAGGCATGGATGTTGGATTTTATCAAATGCCTTTTGGACATCTATCTATGTTATCAAATAATTCCTGTCATTTGATCTGTCAACATGAGGGATTATATAAATGTGTTTCCTCACAGTCATCTTTGCCTTCCTTGCCCTTTAGGTTTTCCTGGACTCTCCTACTTTGGGGTGAGCAGGCCTTCTGTGTGGGAAGGGAGGTTGTGGAAAAGTTCTGTTGCTCGTGGACTGTCAGATAAGGCTGCACACATTGTCCTTGCACTCTCAGCTTTTCCGGAAGCTGTATGTGTATAGTTTCGATAATGGTGCCTGGGAAGTTGTTTCCCATCTGAGCAGTGCTGCAGCCTCCAAGGCTGTTGATCTGAGGCAGGATAACTTGATTCCAGGTAGGATTTCCTGTCTTTCTCAGTACTCTCATGTGGAATTTTCTCGCCAGAACCTTAAACTTGAGGGAGACTAATGAGGCATTTTAGCATTTCCTCTCATGCCAGTTTTACTGCACTGCTTTCTCAGGAGCAGAAGTTATTGTCAAATTTTGATATCTTCTTTTAGCTCAAAATAAATCGGGTATGGAAAATACACTTTAAAGTTTACAGTGGAAATTTGGAACCATTGCCTGATCGAAGTGTTGATGATGTATTACTCATTGTTGATGTACTCATCTTCATCACTGCTTAGATTAATTTTATAAGCCTAAACTTATAGCATGGTATACTCTAGTACACTTGGATAAATCATTCTAAAAAGGAGACAAAAAGATACACATTTAATGTACAGTCTTAACCATGTGATGGCTAACAAAAAAAGTGCTGTATTAAAATATTTCTGTTTTTATTTTCAAGAGTTAACTGATGTAAAAATAATTTAAAATTGTAACACAGCTGAATAGATCCATGGGTATAATGGAAATGAATGTGGCATCATTCTAAGTGTGTGGCATTATCTAATAAATTTTAATTTTAGCTCTTCCAATTATCTCAGTCACTATCTAAGACTGGAAACTAGGTTAAATATTACATGATTCATTTTCTTAAAAGGGAAGAGAGAATAATGTTTTAAGACCCCATTTTTGAGAGCTTTCTGCATACTAGTCACTGTGCAATAGTGCAGTTTAGTCCACGTTCATGGTGGAAATTTGGCGTCCACAAGGAAGTATGCCCAAGCTTTTCAATCATTTTACACATCTCCATAAATCTGTAAAAATAAACATGGGAAATCTTGCGAATGTATTTAATGAACTTCTAGACATGTGTTCCTTTGCGGTGGAAAAAATATAATTTGAAACCTTACGATGTGTTAAACACAGGAGGCCAAAATCACTGTGATTTAATGAAAAACAAATTTAAGTTGAACAACTCTAGAATATATAGGACTGGGGAAGTTATCAAACAAAGCATTATCTGTGAAAAAAAGTCTTTATAGATAGAAGGGAAAACAGACAGCTAGATGTTGACAGTGAATGCCAAGTTTCAACAGTTAGCTTTACTAAAGCCATTTATTTGCAGCAATTCTCAGTGGGGTTGATCACACTTCTAATAATGCCTGTGAATCATATTTCAGAGCTACTCTAAACATGAGAGAATCATTCACAAGGTACAATTTTAACTCATAAGCTTAAAGTGATGTAATAATGGATAGATAACTTCATTTTAAAAAATTTGAAAAGAGGATATTTTGATTGAAATATAACCAGTGCTTGTCTCAAGTTTTTGTAAGGTAGCAATCTCACATAATTGTATCATCCTGAGTGTGATAATATGGAAATTGCAGGTTGAATGTGGACCTATTTTTCTGTATTCAATGAATATATTGCTGTAAAGCTATATGTAAATCACCTTTAAAAATCAATTGAATCATCTTTGATATGTTAGAGGATCTCTCTGAGAAAAAAATCCATTTGGGAAAGATTTCATAGACTGCTGTGTCATCTCCTAGTTTATAGTATTTAAATATGGATTTTCTCAGACTTGTTTAAAGTGTGCATTGTAGTTAATCGTCCTGACATCCTGATTTGACTTAGCTATGTGACTATTGCACATTTTTGGAGAGGATGGGATGTAAAAGCAAAACGGTATGTGAAGTTAACAACTAAGAGAGGGAACAGATTCCTGCATATGTGTTTTTTGTTAGAATCTTATTTTTTCAATGTTACATATAGATAATTTTGAAAATTATACAGTTCTGTAAGATTCACAATAACCAACTGTAGTCCTCTTTCTCCCTTTCTACTCAGCTCAATTCCTTCCTCCCAGAGTCAACCATTTCTAATGTTTAGAGCTGTTTCTCTTGAGTTTTACCTTAATCTTTCCAAAAATTCAAGCTTATACCATCATTGATTTGATTCTGGGTTTCATTTTTTTTCTTTTCTTATTTTCTTTTGCTTTTACTATGCACCATGACACTCAATGTTTTTGAGTGTTAGACATTAACTATTGGCATTCTTTGAAGGGGAAAGGCTAGGCTCTTTCCTTCACCACAAGTGAAACAGATTCTACCTACCTCTCCTTTAGAGGTGTATAATAGTCTTTGTAAGAATCAATGTTTGGTTTTACAATATTTGATTATGTAAATGTGATGGGATATTAAATTGTTTCATCCAAGAAACCATGTAACAATACACAATTTCAAAGTGAGGTAGAATACCAAAATGAATGACCAAGAACCAGTTGCTTGTACATGGTAGGGAAGGAGAGTTTGCTGTGTTGGAGGCATTACTGAGATAAATTAAAGATCCAGTTAAACAGAATGATATACCCAGAGCTTGTTGAGGCAAGCTGGGTATGTCCTGTGAACATATGTGAACCCCAGTAGGGAGGGCTAGCCCAGAGCCCTCGTTACTCTGGCCCAAGAAGACCTTGGGTGTGTGTATGTGACTGTGTGTATGGGGGGTGGTTAGGTAGGGTGACAATGTAGAGGGAGTCTGTGTTGAGAGGTAGAGGGGTAGAAAGAGTCTGGGGGATCTAATTGCTTTGTTATAGAGACTTTTAGCCATTCTTCTTGTTTTCTGCTTTCCCCCCGTATTTCATAGGTATCTATTGCTCCCCAAACCTGGATCCTTCTGGGGCTTGCAGTACAAATACTTTTAGAAAGGGGCTTCCCCACTGCTGACACACTTCCCCTGGTCTGCTGATTTCACATGCTCGCCAGCCTTCAAAAGTAACTGTTGTTTTTTTTCTCCTCTTCTTTGTCTTTTTTTGCCTTAAAAAAAAATCTCTATTGTTGTGATTGGTGGGGTTTTGAGTCAGAGTGGTGGTAGACATATGTGTTCAATCTGTAACATTTACCTGGGGTTTCAAAATTTATTCTAACATAAAGGTGTATAAAAGGAGTATGCCCATAGGATAAGAAGGTGAATAATTATTGAATTATTTTGAGGAAAAGGAAATATTTGAATATTGTACCTTTCTTTTGTGTTCCTGATCTTGATCAGCTGTTTTGTCTGCTTGAAGAAGGCAGGGAGGTTAAATGGTCATATCCAGAGTGGGTAACCATACTCCTCAAGACAGTGCTGTCTGGGACGGCAGCCCCTATGGAGTTGCACCACACACATATTCTACCTGTACAGATTCAGCTACACCAATTCTAAAGAATAAGGGCTTACAAAGTATATCTCTTTGGCCCATCAGGCTCCATATTCCCTGTCCCTTAAAGCTTTTTAAAAAAATAAAAAATATGAAAAAAATCTAGAAGAATCAATTCTTAGCTTTAGTGCTTTTAAGGACTCAGTGATAGAAATATAAAGATAAATTTAAAAATTATTCAAGGGTCACTTTGTATATGCTTAATTTTGCCTTAAAATCTGATTTTAGATTCCCAATTGTGTCAGATGAGAGGCTACTACAGTCATTCTACTCCACTATACAGAACCAAAATATTGAATGTATGCTTATTCCTGTGGCTGTATGGTATTATGGGAAAATCTGAGTCTTGTAATTTATATGACCTTGGGTTTAGATTCTAGCTTTTCCATAGTGGACATATTATTTAACTTTCCTGAATTAAAAAACCTGGTTATTTAACTAACCAGGTTTTCTTGCCTGGTTGCAGTTTTCTAGTGGTTGCAGTTATAAATACTTAATAGGCTTATTTTTAAGAGTTAATATTAGACAATATTTTAGGCATGGTGAAGACTGCTGTGTATACAGTATATGGTTAAAAGATGAATTTCCTTGTTGACCTCACAGCTGAAAATTAACTCACTACTTTTCATGAATCAGGTAGCTGATTATTTTCAGGATGTTGATGTAGGCCCAAGAATATGTACTCACATTTATTGAGTACTTACTACCTTATATTGTTCATGTTCTTTACTGATTTATTTAATGACTTATTTAACTCAAATTTGAATTTTTAATTCTCAAAAACTCTGTGAGTTAGCTACAATTTCCATTTCTATGTAATAGATGTGTAAACTGAGGTCCATAGAGATTAAATAGTTTACCCAAGGTCACAGAACTGCCAACTGGTAGAGCTGGAATTTGAACCCAGAATAATGATAGCATTTCCCAGCATGATTTAGGAGAAAAGATAAACTCTACTTTTTTCTTTGGCCTTCTGGAAAATTCATATTAGCTCTTGTATTTAATGTAAAATCATAGGAAATTTTTTCTATAAGGGAATAATATGAAATACATATTAGGTTGGTGAAAAGTAATTGCAGTTTTTGCAATTAAAAGTAATAGCAAAAACCATAATTACATTTGCCCCAACCTAATAGATTGCATTTTTAAAATTATATATTGAGGAAACCTTACTCAAAACTAGTTTAGGCAATAAAGGAGATTTATATGGAATTCAAAGAATGGTTAACTTACAAAACTGTAGAAAGAATACAAGTCGGCCCAGGAACAGCTGGTGCCAGAGAATTAAACCCCACCGGGACTTTCTTCCCATGTTTCATCTGTGCCTCTCTGTGCCTGTTGACTCCTCCCTTTCTCATTGTAGACAGGCTTTCTAGTTAGTGCAAAAAGCATAGCTGCTGACAACCTAAGTGTAACATTTTATATGACTTAAGCCAAGTGAGAGGGCTCAATTTCCTTCTCAGATTCAGGTTGCAAAACCCCAGGGAAGAACTGAGTCAGAGCCTCATCCTTGGAACACTTAACTGTAGCCTGAGAATGCAGTCCTAAAGAATATGGCTTCCCTTGAGGCAGCCTTGTAGGCTTGGGATTATGGAGGGTGAGGGCAGCCGAATCAGTCAGGAATACTTTTGGCTGCAGGTAAGAAAACAGAGTTAACTAATGGTGGCTTGGTCTAAAGGGATATTTATGATTCACTTATTTACCATTATAACAAAAAATCTGAAGTTAGGGTTGAACCATTATGTCAGTGATATTATTAAGAACCTTATAATGTTCTATTTTTTCACACTGTCTTCCTTTTATAGGCTTTTCTTAATTCTGCTTGTCATCTCTTCATCACAAGGTGGCACAAGGTGGCCAGAGGTCCGAACATCATGTACACATTCAAGGCAAGAGAGAAAGTGCATGGTTAAGCAAAGTTTCTTCTTTCTTCAGTCTCTCTTATCTCTTTTCTTAGGAGCCCACAGCAGACTTCCCTTTTTGACTCATCAGCCAAAATGGAGCTGTGTGACTGTCTCTACCTTTGAGGGAGTCTAGGAAAAGCAGCAACTCGCTTATTCACCTGTGTTGCGAGAGGCAGTAACTGAGTAGGGGTTAGGAATGGCTATTGCTTTAGCCAATCAACAATGTTTGCCACAGTGGGTGAAGAGGTGGACACAATTGTCAGTTGCCATGAGGACAGGAAGGATGGATATTAGACAGTCTCATGTACTACATGACATAAAAATGTCATGAGCTTAGACCTCAGCAACTTTCAACTATCTTCAAGAGAGCAGACCCAGCCAATTTTATTCTTTGTTTGCCTCCCAAATAGGACTTGGGGGCCTTTCTGCCTTCTGGTTCTGCTCATGTGATGTCCCCTCAAACTCTTTTGTTTTTTCTTCTCCTCTAGAGCTGGCAGACCTTGTAGCCTTATTTCAAGGCTCACCTCAATCTGCGAAGCTCATAGATGATATCTCATCCCTTTGAATTCCAACCACTGCTTGATCACACAATCCACAAGTTGTGTAATGTACTACTTGATGACAATTTACATTTTGCCCTTTTATCCTGTAACTTAGCTTTTGGCACCAATGAATCTGATTATCTCAATTAGATTGTAGGTATTTTTATTTATTAATTGGCAAAAATTGCATGTATTTATCATGTACAAAATAATGTTTAAAAATATGTATACATTGCAGAATGGCTCCATAGAGCTAATTAATATGTGCAGTATTTCACATGCTTATTTTTTTTTGTGGTGAGAACATTTAAAAATCTACTCTCAGCAATTTTCAAATATACAGTACATTGTTATTAACTGTAGTCACTATGATGTGCAAAAGATGTCTTGAACTTATTCTTCATATCTAACAGAGATTTTGTATCCTTTGACAGTCTCTCCAATGCACATCCTTCCCCCACCCACCAGCCCTTGATAACCACCAATGTACTTTCTACTTCTGTGAGTTCAACTCTTTTAGATTTCACGTATACATGAGATCATGTGGTATTTGTCTTTCTGTGCCTGACTTATTTCACTTAATGCCCTCCAGGTTCATCCATGTTGTCACAAATGCCAGGATTTTCTTATTTTTAAAGACTGAATAGTGTCCCATTGTGTATATATATATATATATATATATATATATACTACATTTTCTTTATCCATTTATCTGTTGATGGACACTTAGAATGATTCTATATCGTAGCTACTGTGAATAATGTTACAGTGAATGAACACAGGAGTGCAAATATCTCTTTGACATACTAATTTCATTTCCTTTGGATATATACCCAGTAATGGGATTGCTTGATTGTATGGTAGTTCCATTTTTAATTTTTGGAGGAACCTCCAGACTGTTTTCCATAATGGTTGTACTAATTTACATTCCCACCAACAGTTGTTCCCATTGAACTCTTGTCCCACCAACAAGGATTCCCTTTTCTCCACATCCTCACCATCACTTGTTGTCTTTTGTCTTTCTGATAATAGCCATTTTAAGAGATATGAGTTATATATTATAGTGTTTTAAATTTGTATCTCCCTGATGATTAATGATATTGAACATTTTTTCACATCTGTTAGACATTTCTATGCCTTTATTTTTTTAAAAAATAAGAGATGAGGTCTTGCTCTGTTGCCCAAGCTGAAGTGTAATAGTACAATCATGGCTCACTGCAGTCTCCAATTCCTGGGCTCAAACAATCCTTTGGCCTCCCAAAATGCTGACGTTGTGGGCATGAGCTGCCACACTGGCTTGTATGTCTTCTTTTGAAAAATGTCTATTCAGGTCCTTTGCCCATTTTTAAATTGGGTTACTTGTTTTTCTGCTATATAGTTGGAATTCTTTATGTATTTTGGATATTAACCCATTATCAGATGCATAGTTCACAAATGTTTTCTCCCATTTCAAAGGCTTTTTTCTTCACTCTGTTGTTTCCTTTGCTGTGCAGAAGCCTTTTAGTTTAATGTAATCCCATTTGTCTTTTTTGTTTTGTTTGCCTGTGCAGGTTATAGATATCTTAAACAGAACAACCCTTCCTCTATTTCTTTGTAAAGACCATGGCAAAACACAGAGTACGTGGTAGGTACACAATTAATACATGTTGGCTAATTCCCTCTATAAAATAGTGTTTATTCCATAACTAATCCATGAAGAATAATTTTAATCTATGGCATGCTTTGAAATAGGGGCTTTACAAGAGAGAACTGGGAGGAGAATATTCCTTTAGTGCACAATCCTTTGGCCTAGGTCAAACTTGGTTTTAGGGCATCTACTTAGATGACATCTTTCTCCTCAAAATTCCTGATGGTGCATCATCACACAAGTAATACTCAATAAAGGCTGTTTCTTTTTCCACTCAAAGCAGCTGTTAGGTTTGCATTATAGACAAAACAGCCACTATGCCTGTCCACTGTGCTATTTTGCTCCTGCCTGTTTTTGAAGTATTTTCAGTAATGCCATGGGTTGTTGCATTTTACTTTCTCTGGAGTCAAGTGACTATTATGCAAGGGCAGAAAAGGAAAGGAGAGAGTTTGATGTAAACACTGTGGTTTTTCAAAAGAAGTCAAGTTCTTTAGAGAAAGGGGAGATAGCAATGGGAAGTGCTGCTCAGTGTGAAAAGGTGAGATGCTAAAAAACAGTGCAGCCAGCAATAGGTTCTGTGTTTGCTGAGCATTTGATGAATGAAAATTCTATTTGTATTTGAGGATGATAGAATTCGAAATGGTCATATTTCAGCTTCATAATGTTCTTGAGAGTATAGCTGCATTTTTTTGCGTCTTTTTTTCTTTTCATCTTTGATGTCCAGCTGGTGTGTTGAGACAAGAGTATGATTATGGAATTGGATTTGAAGAGCGGCACTAAATCATTCTCACTCAGTACTTGACCTTCATCCTAAACAGAATAGATTTCATGGGAGGAATCAGGTTGGAGAAGATATAATTTAATTCTGCCATGGGTCAGACAGAAAGTTAAGTCCTTTAAGTTCCTTATTCTGTGATACTGCTTAGTGATGTTTTTGAAGAAAGCAATTTTTAATATTAGAATCATTTTCTCTCTCTCCCACATTTATTTAATTACTTTAATACACAAGCCCATTTTAAATAAATTTTTCTTGCTAGCATTCCTTTCTGCATCTTTTAGAAAATGGTCAATTTTTAAACTTTTGGTGAATTAAATGGAAAAAACTGTACTGCTTCTATTTTGACATGCCAGGTGACAAGTACTTAGTACTGCAAAGATGTAAGCCTGTGGTTTCCCTGTTTAAAGGTTATTGGGAATCAGATGTATTTGTTTCCTTCTTTCTTCACCTCAAAACAAGATAATAGATGAGGATTACTGTGAGATTTTCTTCTGTACCCTTTTTTTTAGGTTTTACATAACCTTGTTTTGTATGCTTCCACTAAGAAAACTTCATCATTTCTTCCTTGTAGCATTGTGTTTACTGAACCCTTCCTTCAGGAGGAGTTCACCACTCTCACTGAAGTCAGATTTGCCACGTCCACAGTATAACACTACTGTGTCTTTTTCCCCTAGAAGATAAATCTTATCTCTGATGGGGATACTCAGTAGCTGTATCTCCAAAGGGCTATTGCTTTGGATATTTTCTTTGCAGAGGTAGTCCTGTCTACACATTCTTCTCAATTCTTTAGTTAATATGTATATTTTAACTTCTCTCCAGGCATCATCGCCAGCTCTTATCACTTAGCCTTCTTTTGCCTCACATGTTCTGACATGTTCAAAATGGAGTGTTCCAAATTGTACCAGCCATCCTAATGAGGTTGGCTTGTTGTGTTCTTCCCCATGAGCAGCACCTTCCATGTGAATCTCAGCGTGGTACTGACCTATTATCCCTCCCCATTACTCATTCCTGACTCTGTCTTCCTACTCTGCACTCACTCTGCAAGTTTAGATTTAACCTCTTGCCAGTCATTTTCAACCCACCCAATTTTTTGTTCAAGAATGGTTCTTAGTTAACCTTCTTCCAGCTTTCGTGTATTAATTTGGAATGTTCTAAGAACTCCTTCCTTCAAATGTGACCTGATTTATTTGGTGGGTAGTTTCATATTGAAGGAGATGATAACCATGGGTGTTATGCCCCCTTCCTATGAAACTACAGATAATTCATTGGACTACTTGCCTTTGGGCATAGTGCATATAATGGTGTAGACAAATTTAGAAGTGCTTAATAGCATAATTATATTAATTTTTCTGGGTTGCTTGAGGTCACAGAAAACCAGCAAGCCCTGAGCCAATTCCAATATATGCTTTTATATAACAAAATAATGATGAAATAACTGTCTCTAGCATTCCTGTGACATGCAACTATAGATACAGTATTTAAAAGGGTCCAATGAAGGGAAATATCAAAGGCACAGTTTTCATATCCAGGATTGCACCATAGGTCCCCTGACCCACATAAAACTCAGAGGCTCATAGAGGCCAGCAATCTCAACTTACCACCCAGTAGTTCAGTTTTTGAGGGCAGAAACTTGATTCTCTGCTCTGTCCCCTATGGCACTCGCCACAGTGCTTTGCACCTGGTGGCCATCCTTTAAAAATTTGTCAAATAAAATGATGAGTTCAGAGATTGAGGGAGCTATACATGCACCACAATATGTTCCTGACAGAGCACATGAAGCAACTTGCTTCATGGCATGACTATCTGTGACTAGAAGCCAGACCCTCTACTCCTGTTCTGGCACTCGTTCCACTGAATCTCAGTACCACTCCTGGTTTCATCACCATCCCTGTAGACTCTTGGTCCTCCATAATGTTTCTCCAAGGAAGATAGTCTGGTTTGCAAAACCTTAAATATCTGAGCTCACACTGGTTGCCATCCCATGATAGCAGGCTATGTGTCTGAAATCTATCTTGAAGACATAACCCAATCAAAAATATGGTTTGGAATACATAGGTATTGGAACCTTCCATTTTTTCCATTCTCTTGATTTGTGTCACTGACCATAATAACACATATCCCTTAAGAAGCAGTGGGCACCATTGTCGGGAGAGATTTAATGGGGAGTTTTCATTACTTCTCTGTGGATTCCATTTTTAAAAATCTTGCGGTCCATTTGGCTTATTGCACTCTATCACCTTTCCAATACACCTAAAAGACCCAGATGGGTCCACTCACTCCTGACCTCTTGTCATCAAGATTCATTCTTTGATCTGACAAACATTTTACTGAGCATCTACTTTGTGCCAGCCACCATTCTAGGTCCTAAGAATCTCCACTCTTGCAGAGATTGTATTTTGGAAGGAAAAGGTAGACAAATACATAATCCAGACTAGTTATTTCATCCTTTCTGTTTTTCCTTCACTCTTAAGCTTGACCTTCCATTAGAATTAATGGAGCTGCCTATATTGAATGTGTCTCTAGGCATATAAGACTAAATGACCCATAGAACAAAGTGCAATGGCTGACATTTTAGAGAAAGAGAGGAAAAGAGAGAGAGAGTGTATGTGTATTGTGTGTGTCTGTAAATGTCAGAAACTTATAAGCAATAAAAGTGCAAGCCAGAACTGGATACCATGTTTAAAGAAAGAAAATTTAAAAAAACTGAAAAAAAATTCCTCTTTTATCCTAATTATACCTTTTCCTTCAGGAAGACATTTTCAAGACAGGTAAAAGTTAGTGTTCCCTGCCCGCTACATACTCAGTTGAATTATGTAATGTGTTTTCTATTTGTGGGCATTCCGCATATTAGTTGTCTGGGATCTGGGATTGGGGATTTTCTCTCTCTCTCTCTCTCTGTCTTTTTAAATTAAATTAACTATTGGCTCATCAAGGTTGAATGGCGAAAATTTAAGCTAGATGTATGGTTGAGGTCATTAGCTTATAGATGGTAACTAAAGGCTTTTTTTTTTTTTTTTTTTTTTTTTGAGACAGAGTCTCGCTCTGTTGCCAAGGCTGGAGTGCAGTGACATGATCATAGCTCACTGCAGTGTCAACCTCTTGGGTTTAGGGAAGCTGCTCAGCTTCCCAGAGTAGCTGGGACTATAGGCATGTGCTACCATGCCTGGCTTATTTTTTTTATTTTTTAGTTTTTAGGTAGAATTGAAGTCTTGCTATGTTGCCCAGGCTGGTCTCCAACTCCTAGCTTCAAACAATCCTCCTGCCTGGGCCTCCCAAAGTGCTGGGATTACAGGTGTGAGCCACCACACCTGGTAATAATTAATATCTTAAGAATGATTTCGTTTGCCCTGAGGAAATGAGTGTGCAGTGTGAGATGAGAAAAGGGTTGTTAACAAATCCCATGTGAACAGCCACATGTGAAGGTCCAGGAAAGAGATCCTCAAAGAGACTGAAAGGTCGATGTGGAATGGAATCAAAGTGAAGACACTTTTAAGAGTTGATTCTATAAAATGCTGAAGAGAGGTCAACAAAGCTACATACCAAATGACTCCATTGAATTTAGAAGAAATTTCAAGTGAGAGGGCCAAGGACCTCTGAAATAAGCACAGCGAAATGAAAGGAATAGAACCGCGAGAAGAACTGGCCAAGAAAAGCATAGGAGGGATGGGTTAGAGCCATGCTTAATGCCTACTATAACGTTTCCAATATGTGTGAATAGGTTGTTTTTGTTCCTCTGAGTGGCGGTTCAGTGAAATCAGAGATGGCTCTCACATTAGCAAGCTCTCCTTTGATGTAGCCCATTTCTGTGGGAAATCCATTTCCAAGAGGAGACTCTCCTGTGCTCTGTTGAAAATCAGCCTCCAGGAAACCCATATGGGAATTCTGAGGAGAAAAGAAAAACTTCTAGGGAGATGTTTTGAAATCCTTTGAGCTGCATATAATCAGTGCAAACTTTACATGTATATTGACTGTACATTCGGAGCACTTTAAGCAGTAAAGACCTCAAAGGCTCCAGTCCATTATGAGAACAAACAGCAATTTAAAGCAATATTTTCCCAGAGAAAAGAAATCAGGAGGAACAAAGATGCTGGGGTTGGGGCTTTTTTCCCTGTTCGTTTGTGAGAAAATGTGCTTTTGATTGATAATCTAAAGAAGACTGTGTTCAGCATAGCATATTTTTGATCGTTAATGAATTTGGAGAATAGTAATTTAAAACATTTGGGGTGGTTCCTTCAGGCACTTTTTCCAATACGTCTTTTATTCTTTCCAATATCTGGAACATGAAGAGTGAGAATGAAAATAATTGCCCTTGCTCTCCTTTGCTCTCTTTCCTGTGAGTCTGACTACCAGCAAGACCTTCTATTCTCATGAATTCTTCGCTTTCATTTTTTAATAACAAGGCTGCAACTTTTTTGTCAAAGGCAAGAGTATGCTGTCCTGTAGAAGACAGGACCCATGATGAATCCAACATACTTCTTTTTGCATCTTTTTCTTTGAAATTCAACTAGAGCAATTTGTTTATAGAAATACTGAATGGCTTTAGAGAAAATACTCGATTTCTAATTCAGATCAATATACTGGAATGAAAACATTATTTTCCCCCATTTGTACTTTTTTTTTCTTCATGTTTGTATTTGATTTTTGTGGTCACACATTTTGCATTGGTGGCACTTGGTAGCAAGACACTATGCAGATAAGATGCTACTGAGGACTATCAGACCATGGAAACTTAATAGCATCTTGGTAATGTGTGCAGCTTATGTCTGCTCAGATTCACATATAGCATAATTTCCTATGCTACTTAGAAAAATAAAAACAAGAAGCAACACCATTATACAATAAACCACTAATTTCAGGCTTCATTTACAAACAAGTAGCACGCTGCTGTTAAATAAACATTAAAGAGCTTTCTATTATCCAGTTATTGTTGAAAATACTGGTCATGTAATAACCCAGATAGTCAATATATTTTTGTTAAATTAAGATTGACATTTAATAAGAAATTAAAGATATTTAATAAGAAAAATGTGTGCTAAAATCAGAGTCAGAATACATCATTGCATAGCACTAAAGTATGTTAACCTCTTTAAGATGTCACAACAGTATTTCAGATGCTGTCCAATTTTTCATGGACATAGTTACTAAACGGCATGACATTTCAAACATGTTAGAATCTTCAAAAACTGCATACCCTTCTCTTTACTCTGGTTTCTGTTTCACTATCAGGAAACCTGAAGAACAATGAGTATTACTAATGGGTTGACATTTTTGGAGGTATATTGTGTGCCAGGGAGTGTGCTGGAGATTTTTAATATATTTTCTCTAATCCCCACAGTAATATTCCTATTGTATGGATTAGAAAACTGAGGCTCAGAGAATTTAAGTAACTTGCCCAAGAGTATGTAACTCCTAGTGATGAAGAAGAGATTCAAATGCAGGTCCATCTGCCTCTAAATTTAAGACCCTTTCCATTGGAACAACTACATCAGAATCTCTAGGGGTAGGCCTCAGGTGTTAATATTCTTTAGAAGATAGCCTTGGAGATTTTAACATAGAGCTTTGATTGGAAAAGATTGCATTTGTACCTTTTGTCTTTCATGAGCACAAGTAAAGAAATCAGCTTTGCTAATGTGGTTTGTTTATGGGGACAAAGCGATATAGACTAGCAAAAGTAGGAATATCTTCATTTTGCATTTTCTTCAGCTTCCTGTTTGGAGTTGCTCCATTCCTTACAACAAGAGGAAGAAAGTATGTATTATATGTGCAAATATATGTGTATATGAGACTGTTGCTATGTGTACATCATTCATGTCTGTAAGAATGGAAAACTATTTAAAATGGCAGATATGTAGATGAAATGTTTATATAGAAAAAGTATACAGAAAATGTTGAGCAAAACTATGTACTCACTGATCAAAAGGGTTAAGGAAAAAGAAGTGATATGAATATAGACTGTAATGTTGAATAGTTTCTGTGTGCGTGTTTGTGAAAGCTCTTTGAGTTCATTATTTTAGAAACTTAAAAAAATTAATTCAGAGCAGAAGTCACTGGATTTGACAATTGGATATTTAATCTCCTGGCTCTTTAACTGCAGATGATAGAAGGTCACTTTGTTTCTGGGTGGTGGGGGATAAAGAAGGATTTACTTGTTCATTTCTCGACTCAACATCCTTGGTATTTGAAGTTTAGGTCAAATAATATTGTCCAAGAAGCTAGTCTGTCTTAAATATGTCACAATTTGTTAGCAAATTCATCTAGAATGTTTAGGGTTTTTTTTTCTTTGACTGACATGGTTTTCGTAGTAGTGGAAAATCTTTTCCCACTTTCCTCCGCTCCCTAGGCAGGCCAGTGAACCCCTAAAATAGTTCTGTTGGCATCCTTGCTTAATATTCAGCTTGCTTAATATTCAGTTTGGCTCTACTCTGTATTTTGCCTGCAAATCAAACACTACTTCACTCCCTTCAGCCCCCAATTTATGGCCTTAGTACCCATGATTCTTTGCTGATCCTTGAGAATGTAGCTATCACAATTACAACAGAACACTACCTGTTCTCAAATGCTCATCAATGCCACCAGCACAGTTTGCTTGGAGGTGCCCAACTGTGTTATAATGTTAGTTTATTTGGAGTTTCAAGATAGGACGATGCTTCATGTCATTAGGTAAGGCTAATAGAATCTAATATTATCTTTATCTCAATTTTCATCATTTTAATTAACTATTGGTTGTAAGGAGATTTGAATTTCCGGTCATTTTAGTGCATATTCTTTTGTTATACAGTGGGGAAGCATTACTACTAAGAGTTAATTAGACCCTACTAGTTATATAAGTTAATTTGGGAAACTTAAAGAGTTTCCCAAAACTAGACATACAAAGATTTTAGTAGATGAATGGGATTTGTTCTGTGTCCTCGACTAGTGAAGAGTTTAGAAAAGTACACAGCCATTATCAGGGCTGGAGTGAGTGATGTGATTAATCAAAGAGGTATTCAGCTGAGGAGTTACAAGCTAATTTGGGGTCCCTCTGCTTTCTGAACCAAACCATTTGTTGTTTCTATTAACTGTGGGGTAAATGAAAATTTCAGGATCGTGAACAGTTCTATCTAGTCTCTTATTCACTAACAAAGACAATGCTTACAAATAATTTGAGTAATTTTCCAACTTCTTTCAGCTTTCTACCTGAATGTGGGTCTTTTCAATAAATCCAAGAATCCAAGGACCTGAAATACCTGTTCTCCTTTAATGACAGGGGCCAGACAGGGGCAGAAGAGGGTCTCACAGGTCTCTAGGTAGTTAACTGTTTGCTAATCTTCTCTTCACCAAAGGAGAAGGGATGGCCTAGACCTTTTATCATTTTCTCGGTGTCAGAGGTATGGCTCTTGGGAATAATTTTAACTCCTACCTAATCCAATTTTGACTTCAACCCACAAAGTCCTTTTATGTTTTTTTGGGGAGGATTAGGGGGATAGGGATATAAACATTAATGTTCTTCTCTAATTTATAGAGGAAGAAATAAAGATAAAACAGGCAGGACTCCTGTACAAATAATTTTCATGAGAGCATTTGCAAATATTGTTTCTTCTTTTTAAAAACAAGCATGCAGATATCTTAGAAGAAAGGGCACCTTGGCCTTTGGTCTTCCTTTCCTAGAATAATGGTTATAACATTACTCCCCTGTGTTCCCATAGGAAGGAAAAAGCAATACAAGAATTGTGCTAATGGGATTTCAAGCCCTGTGGGCACCAGAGGATAGTGCCATTTGTAGATGAGCTTACTCATGGAAGAGATAGGGGGAGAAGCTAGTATGATGGGGTAAGGGAGGAGCAGAGCGGGACAGGGAGAAGCAGAAGCTGCAGCCAGAGTCTGAGAACAAGTAGGATTTTTCCCAAGGCAACTTTTTGGGCTTCCAGACTATTGACCTTCACCTTCCAATGTTTTGAGTTCTCTCACAGGCATGAAGTCCAAGAAAGCTGATCAAAAACAACTTAAATAAGCAAGATCCATGCAGTACCGTTAAGGTCCCCGTGTCTGCTTTTCATTGGCTTTTCTGTTTGCTTTCCATTTGGCCTATTTGATTCTCTTTATATTCTGGGCACGTAGAGAAATGCATATTTTTGTAGTAGGTCTGTTCTATCTATATTTGAGTTTGCAGGAGGGCATGCCATTTGGAAAGTTTTACTTAATACGAGCAATAGTGAGAGAAAAAAAAAAGACAACTTTGTGTTTGAAGTAGTAGCCTTGTTTCAATGACATTTAAAAGATGGATGCTCACGATCATGCATCTTTCCAAGCTAAGAAGCCAGCATATCTTGAGAAAATGAATGGATTCAACAGGCTGGTTAATACATTATCTTTGTTTTGCTGCCGGCTAACAAGGGAGAAATGTTACAACTTGGCCAATAGGTTGTCGTGCTCTTGTTTTTATGTTGATGTAAAGTATCTAATATGCTGAACACTAAAAATATCCTGTATTACTTTAGTTCCTGGAGGAAACTAAAAATAGAATGGAGAGAATGAATGAAACATAACCAAGCATTATTTAGTCCCTTTCCTTCTTTTCCGATAGGAATCTCTTTTCATATAGGCCCTACTACATCAAGATTCCTAACGTCTTGTTTCTTGCCCTTGGATGAGGTTCTCTGGGGGCTGGAAATAGTGTGTTCAATGGCTTCATTTCCATAGCTTTCTCTCAGTGGCCATCTGAGGTGGGAGTTTAGAAACTTAAAGACAGAACTGATTTGCAAAAAGGAATTCTCTTACAAGAACAGGACTTTCAATTATGATCATTTACATTTGATCAGATTAAAAGGGCAGGGGGACTTTGAGGTAGTCTGTCTTTTGCTTTTGAAAGCTGTGGAAGAAATGAATTACTGACAGATTGGAACCATGGTGATGATAAAGAAATTCATTTGATTATTGTGCTGTCAAAACAATGCAAAGTTTGAGAAAATATTTTAGAAGCATATGGAAATATTAGGACCATTTTAAACATTCATTTCATGTCCTTGCCCAAGTCATGCTATAAATACACATCCCAGGGGGAATATACGAGAGTTAGGTTGTAATCTTTTGAAAGTAACAATAAAACCAAATCAAACTGGCTTGAGCAACAGAGGGGGGATATATGAGCTCACATAACTTTAGAAGGTCAAAGGTAGAGCAGGCTCAGGCAGTATCTGATCCAGAGTCATTAGGACTCTGACTTTATTGCTCATGATTCTCTTGGCCCTGCCTTTGCTGGTATTTTGGCATCATTGAGAGTCTGGCTGTCGGCATTGTAGCAAAGGGCTGCAGCAATTTGAGGCCTTCTGTCCACACATGGTCCTGTCCAGACAAGGTGAAAAGGTGGATATGCCCTTGTTTCTTATTCCTAGAAAGGACCTGAGGCTCATTCTGCTCAATCCACTTGGCTGGTTTAGATTAGGACACATGCTAACCCCTGGAGATGGGGATGGAGTTAGTATTCCCAGAATCACACAGAGTCTCCAATGTAAACAAGGAATGTCAGAAAGAGCTGAATGGATGCTTGGGATGCAACCAACAAGTGTCCATGATGACTCACTGCAATTAAGATTCTTTTAAGTTTCGGCTGGGTGTGGTGGCTCCTGCCTATAATCCCAGCATTTTGGGAGGCCAAGGCGGGTGGATCATCTGAGGTCGGGAGTTCGAGACCAGCCAGACCAACATGGTGAAACCCCGTCTCTATGAAAAATACAAAATTAGCTGGGCTTGGTGGCACATGCCTGTAATCCCAGCTACTCAGGAGGCTGAGGCAGGAGAATGGCTTGAACCTGGGAGGCGGAGATTGCAGTGAGCCAAGATAGTGCCATTGCCCTCCAGCCTGGGTGACAGAGCGAGACTGTCTCAAAAAAAAAAAAAAAAAAAAAAAAAAAGATTCTTTTAATAGGTCAAGGAAAGAGAATTTCACGATCATTCCCTTCCCATCATTTTCTGTTAGAACATATTTTTGATGATTGTTAACACATAATTATCTATTGCATTCTTCAAGATACCCAGAGAGGCCAAATTCCCTACTTTACGCTAGAGTGTGGTATGGTATTTCATAGCCAGTGCATTCACCTTACTTTTTCCCTTAACTCTTGGTGGAATTTAATCCCATTTTTTCTTACTTAATACTCACTGGAAAGAAAGAACAGCTGGCCTAGGCATTCTGTATGATATCCTAAACCTGTTTTCATTGTTTTAGTATCACTTTTATTAGCTTTGCCTCCTGATGTCACAGTAAGGTAATGGCCCTTGTTTTCTGTGGTCCCCAGTTTACTGATTTGAGGCAGGTTTAACTGACATATCAGAGGTCCTATTCTGAGTTACATGAGACAGGTGATATTAACGGCTACAGCTCCAAAGTTGTAGGAGATAGCAAACTGCAGCCCATGGGCCACATCTGGCCTGTGGACTGTTTTTGTAAGTAAAAGCTTATTAGAATACAGCCACATTACTTTATTTATGTATGTCTATGACTGCTTTCAGCACTACAGTAGCAGAGTTGAGTAGCTGTGGCAGACACTGTATGGCCTGAAAGGCTTAAAATATTTACTGTCTTGCCCTTTACAGGAAAAGTTTACTGACCCCTGAATTGAATGAGCCACATTCTTCACTTTAAAAACTGTGAAAGATTTTACAGCTGGATATTACTCTTCCCAAGCCTTTCTGGTTAGGATTTGTCTTTCAAAGTGATCAAAGAATGTTGGAGATACAAATAATCTGAGAAGATTCATCTAGTCTGGAATGTCTTCCATTCCACAGATAAAAGCCCCAGAGATATCACGTGGCTTATACAAGCTTCCACAGAATATTAGAGATAGACTAGAGTGCCCTTTATTTCCTACACAGGTTTGTGTATTGGAAGAGTACCTAAACATACTGTCACCAAAACAGGATCATTTCCCTCATCCCTCCTCAAGGACCTTATTCTGTCAGTTACCTCGTCTTTTCTGTATCTTCTATTGCTTCCTCTCCACTGTCCTTTCAAATTATTATTAATAGAATACTCAGGACTTAAATATTGTAATAAGGACATTGCCATCACCTATTTCATCTAGACATAATGTCATGCTTCTTCCCTTCCCTTCATTGCCCACAGTGGCACACGACTCACTATTTTACTCCCTCAAGTTCCATTCTAAATTCAGCTCTTCTAAAACTGTTCCAGCTGGGGTCGCAGACAAATCCATGGGACGATATGTAGTCTTCGTCTGTCCCAATTTTTGTGTAGCATGAAAACTCTTGACACCACACACTACAAACTACATTTCATGGGAGGCTCTTTTTCTCTTGTTTTTGAACCATGATCCTATTTTACTTCTCTTCCTACCTTCTGTTAAGTCTCTCTCCCACATTATTCCTTCTCTGCCTATCTTGTGTTTTCCCAGGTTTCATACTTAGAAGCTCTCCTTAGCAATCTTGTACTTTGTTGTGGATTCCAAGACTGTCTACTGAACTGAAGAATGTCTCTGAATGTAGCAGAAGTAATACTCACCAGCTCTCCCTCTGAATTACTCCTCTATTTGACTCTTCATCATCCTCTTCTTCATTCTCATGACATTTCAATACCTAATATATACTGAACACTTGTTATCAAGCAGGTTCAGTGCTGAGAGCTTTTGAAAGTAGAAGAGCACTTTTAAAAGATTGAAAATTATTTTCAACTTTAAAAAATCAAAAAAAATTTACCAAGTAAATACGTTCAGGTAAGCAGCATCCACATCAGAAAATAACATTGCCAGCATTTTAGGGGCTTCTTTAATGCTTTAATGCTCCCTTCCTGGTTACTAACCCTCTACCCAGTGATAATCATCCGGACTTTTTTTTTCAAGATGGAGTTTTGCTCTTACTGCCCAGGCTGGAGTGCAATGGCATGTTCTCGGCTCACTGCAACCTCCGCCTCCCAGGTTCGAGCAATTCTCATGCCTCAGCCTCCCAAATAGCTGGGATTACAGGTGCCCGCCATCACGCCCAGCTAATTTTTTGTATTTTTAGTAGAGACAGGGTTTCATCATGTTGATTAGACTGGTCTCAAACTCCTGACCTCAGGTGATCCACCCGCCTCAGCCTCCCAAAGTGCTGGGATTACAGGCATGAGCCACCGTGCCTGGCCAGTCATCCAGACTTTTTAACATTTATTAGTTTAGCCTGTGTCTGTGTGTTATTTAAATGGAGTCATACAATATGTAGTATTTGGTATCTGGCCTCTTTGCTCAATTTTATGTCTGTAAGATTTGTCTATCTTTTTATGTGTAGTTGTTGATTGCTCATGCCCATTACTGTGTAGTGTCCCATTGTATGAATAACTACAATTTATGTATCTATTTTTCTGTTGCTGGAAATGTTGCTTATTTTTAGTTTATTATTATCACAAGCAGGACTATTAGGAAATTTTCATATATATATATATATGTACCATTCAGCACCCATAATACACGTTTCTATTGCGTATAATCTTAAGAGTGAAACTGCTAGGTCATAGAACATACATATGTTCAAAAATTGTACTCTCAGTTTATATTCGCACTACCAGTATATGAGAGTTCTTGTCCATGTAGCATATATTCTAATTTTCAAAATGGTTCTGTGACATAGTTACAGTTTTATTGTCGTTTTTCATTTTAATAAAATCCGAGTCTTAGACAAGATAAAAGACCAATGTCATGTACTATTAGTTTATACCCCAATGCAGTCTGACCCCAGAGCCTGTATAGTTTAGTAAAGTGTCCAAGGGAGAGAATACAGTCGTGAGTTCTTAGTTTCCCTTTCTGGTTGGGTCAGTGAAGTCCCTTCCTCACCCCTCTTTTCTGTTTATCTCTACAGACAGAAACTAAAAACAATGGCTACAGGCCGCTAAAAGCCTAAAACAAAACAAAACAGAACAACAACAACAAAATAAGTTGGCTTAGACAAGCTTGCAAACCACTATCCTTTCTTATGCCTCTAGGTTAAGGATGTTATCATATACAGGTGTCCTCTACTTGGTAACTTTCACAGCTCATTTCCATAAAGCCAAATGCCAGCCCAGTGTATGTCACCTCCTACTGTGGCCAACAGATGGCGCTAATGGTGGTTTGAAACTTGTCACTTGGGGCTTTTGAGCACATGAGCTCAGACATAGCCTCTTAGAACTAGTCTTTCTCTATAATGGTCTGAGCTGACCTGAGAGCCAGAAACTTTAGGATCATTTCTCTCTCCCACCCCACCTAGTTAAATCCCAAATCCCATTCATCTTAATCAGAAATAATTCCTGAATATGTACCCCTCTCCATTCTCTCCTTCCTCTGTGTGTGCTCTCCTCCTGTCCCTTTTTTTAGCACTCATCACAGGTGGCTATTTATGTATCTGCATTGCCCTGCTATGCTGTGAACTCCTCAGGGCAGAGACTGGGTCATATTCATTCTGTGTCCCCGGTGTCTGACAGTGCCTGGCACAAAGAAGGTGCTCACGTTGGGGACTGAATAAAGTTCCCCTGGCAGAAACCCAAAAGGTTCAAAATGACTGTTCTTTCCTGTAGTCACAGAAGCTCACAGGGCATTTGACTTGCCCTGTATGCTCTGAATGGTCTGGTATCGTACTCTGACCTATGGGAGATCAGGGCTTATTATCACACAGGCTTCTGGCCAACAGTGTGGCTTATTTGTACATTCCATCTCTCTTCTTCCAGAAGATGAAAGACAGGACATGATACAAGCTACGAGATCATTTTTTTAAAGAAAAATGGGTGGTTGTCATAGCATTTCTGGTGTCAGACTGCAGATATGATCAAGCTGTCCATTTACCCTGGTTCAAATTGAATTGCTGGTAATTAAGAATGGGGAATGGGGTTAGGTCCATCTGAGATCAGACAGCAGAACCATTAAGGACAGATAAATCCCTTTATGAGAAATAAAGAGACTCCTGGTTATTAGACTGTATGTTTGTGGGCTAGGTGTTTGTTTTTAATCACAAAGTTTTGTACACTTGGAAGAGGTTAGGTAAAAACATTAAGCAGATTAACATTTTACAAATATTTTCTTTCCCTGACCGTCCTTTTCTACCTCCTTCCCACAGTTACAACTTTTCAATGTTAGTGCTGATATTCTCTCTCTCTAGTATATCACTGTGTTGGGTTAGGAGCCAGACTGCTTGGGTTCAGCTCTTGGTGCCACCCCTCCTATTTATGTGATCTTGGGCAAATTAACCTCTCTGAGCCCCAGATTTCTCATTAGTAAAGTGAGTTTACTATTATAATATTACCTTCCTCATAGGGGTGTAATGGGGATTAAATGAGTTTTAATACATCTAAAACTCTTAGAATAGTGCCAGCCCATATTAAGTGCACTTGGTAAATATTGGCTTTTTTTTTTAAATCACACCAGACATAGCTGTTTTATGAAAGCATTTCCACAGTAACCATGAGCAAGTTCATTTATTATTATGTTTCATGTTGTGGTAGCTTGTATTATTAGGGTGAAAAATGGCCAAATGTAAATGAACTTATATTTAAACTATTTTTTTCTCACCAATTTTGCTGGATAATTTCTATACTCGTTACATAATATGAGCAGAATCCTATACTCTCTACACATGCCACCATAATTTCTTATGTTTATATTGCATCTTAAAGTTTATAAGTGACTTTCACTTATAAAATCTCATTTGAAACTCTAAGAAAGCCTTGCAAGATGGACAGGGCTTTTCAAATATTCATTCCTATGTTATTTAAGAGATAAGAAAGCTGTGTCTTTCTGTAGTTAAGGGAATTTTGCAAGATCTCAAGGATAGTAAATGACAGAGCTGGGATTACCATCCTTCTGGTCCCAGTAGCTCACTCATGGTCAGGGTCTAGGAGCTTGTGGACAAACATGCACATTAGGGAGCTTGGTGAGCTGCAAGTGGATGGTGTGTATGTCCGTTAGTAAAATGTGTGTACATGCAATGGCTTCTACCTAACACAGAAATTAGGTATTAAAAACCTTCGTAAGAGAATTCACAGTTGAGGCCATTATTTCAAAACTAAGAATGGGCAATAGAAGTCCCAAATGAGTCTATGCAAGCCTTTAAAATTTTATGTTACTAAAGTAACTTAAGACAGTACCATAAATTAGGACTATCTCACTGACAGTTTACACATTTTTAGTGAGTAGCAAGTAATTCCAGGATCTCCCTTGCCAACATTTGCAGCATGTCACCTTTATGGTTTTTGTTTGTTTGTTTTGCAGATACTGACACAGCACACTGCAATTTTTTTCTGGGTCTGCTCTGCCATCTAAATGTTCAATGCCTGTCTGGTTTTATGACTTCATATTATTGATTTCTGCCATTCCTGCGGCCTGCATCTGTCAGCCCCTCTTAGACGCCTCTAAGCTTTCTTCCTTTGCTCAGACACAGCCAGAATGCAATACTAAGGTTCTACCTTCCCTTACCTCCTTTGTCTTACTCAAGTCTTCTAAGACCAGTCTTCCTTTTCTGCTATTTTCTGTATCTCCTGTTAAAATTCTCAAACCCCAGAACATCTTTATTAATTTGTCTTTAAAAGACTGACCTAGAACTGAAAACTTCACTGTTTCAGAATAAAAGTATGGGTGCCACAATTTTGCATAAGCTTTCATTCAATTCAGCTAAAAAGTACGCATGGAGTTTCTATGTATGCTCTCCTAGTTCCTCAGGAAAATTCCCTTTGAGGGCCTGGACCTTTGTGATTCATCCAGGCTCATTTGGATTCAGTTCCCTTTTCATGGGATGCCTGTGGAATAAATAAAGTATAGCTATTGTTTACTGTTATTAATTAAGTCTGCCAAACTTTTCTTTTTTCAGCCCCACCTTTCACCTCACCAAAGCCGAACACCTGTACTACCAAAAGCCTCTTGATAGAGCTATGTTTTTATTTGAAAAATGCGAGCTAGCTCTGTAGATATTTCCTTGTAGGAATGTTAAGGAGAAATATATCCGATTGTATTGCCAGTTGGTTGAAGGGATGTTGTAATTGATAACCCCGTACCCATGAGTTCTGACCAGGGATAAGTAATAAAAGCATCAGAACCTCTTTCTCTTCCTGATGAAATAGTGTAGTAGATGCTGTGATGTGCAGCCCAGGTGCCTGCTTTAGGACCCAGGCATTCATTTTCTCAACTGCAGCTAGTGAGGGACACTGTTCTCACATGTCATTCTCTCTGCCCAGTTGCTCACTGCCTCTGGGAATTGCTTTGCCCAAGGTTGTGATTGCTCCCAGGAGGAAAGGGGCAGAGAGTATCCAATAACCTTTTATCTAGCACACCAGTGCCCAGCCCCTTGCTTCAATTTAAGACGACTGTAAAGGACCTTGCAAGCGTTCAAACTCCCCACTGAATCCAGAGACCTCTATTGAGAGTGTATCACAGTATAGGTCCTCTCTCTACCTAATCCCGCTTCCTTCCCTTTCCTCCAGAATTTATCCCAAGGGCACTCCCGACAAACCTCTGGCACACAAATCTCAGAGTCTTAGGCTCTGTTTCCCAGGGAACTCAACCTCAGAGAATTAATCTGATTATCTGTGCAGTAGGTTGGCTGAAAATGGAGGGCAAAATCCCCCCAGAGTCCTCCCACCATTGCCAAGCAAATGGCACTGGTCCAGAATTGTTTTGACCGTTAAATCTCATATTTGGCAGTGAGATATTTCTTGACATGGAACTTCATAAGGAATACTGGAAGTATTCAGTTCTTTAACTTATATCTTTTAGTGAAAATTCCTTTTTGTTATACACACACAACTGCCCTCCCCCCCAAAGAATGGTTTAGCTTAAAATGACCCTAAATTTGTACTTTTAAAATATCATCCTCAGTGTTGAGGTTAGGCAAGCAGTAGTGAACGTGGAAGACATGATCCCATGGTGGGGAGAGAGGCAAGTCAGGAGATGGTTACAACACGGCCAGAGAGCCTGTGATTCGGGCAACTGTGCTGTCCTGAGAGGATACATAAGAAAAGTAGCTAACTGGGGTTGAGGAGATTTAGAGAATGCTTTTCTCTACTTGCTGAGGGCCAGGGATTGGATTGGTGAGTGAATCTTGGGATCCTGAGGGAGGGGTGGAGGTTTTAGGGAGAGCCTTGAAGAAGAGACAAGATCCTGGTGGGCTTGAGTAATGAAGAGAAGTCCATAGTTCTGTCCATGGAACACGGTTTGAGGTGGGGTGAGGTGACAACAGAGGCTGAAAAGGTGAGCGGAGGTCAGATCCTGCAGGGCTTAGTGAGACAGGTTAGAGAAACAGAGCTGTATTCTCTGAGCAATGGAGAGGCATCAGTGGATTTTAGGAAAGGAGTGAGCTAACCGTATTTGCTTACTTTGTGAGTCTAATATTTGTGAGTTGGATTATGATCATTCATAATATAGATCAGTAGAGTCAAGTTGACTGAAAAAAATTAAAATCAGTGCCCACAAAATAATCAAGATAAAGGATCGTTCTTTTCCATGTGCATTGATTGTGAGAGGCCTACATTTAAGGACACAAGTGGATCTCAAGAATACCAAGGACAAGAGAGAATGGGACATCTGATGGTGGAGGCATGTGAACTAAGAATACTGAAGCAGCCATTCTGTGTGTGTGTGTATGTATGTGTGTGTGTGTGTGTTCTGCTCTCTGCCTGGACAGCATTACTTCTGTTCCTTTCTTTTCTTTTTCTTTTCAGTGTATCCTTGTCTCTGTCTCTTTTTTTTTCTCTGTCTCTGTTGCTTTAAATTTTCTCTCACTAGGTCTCTCTCTGCCTCCTTAGGCAAAACAGGCACCTAAAACATATCTATTAAAGAGATTCCCCTGAAGGACAGTTCCCTGAGTCCGTTCATAGCCACAGCATTTCTGGGTTACCAAAAATGCCTGGAATGACATAGCTGAGTGGCTGGGAGCTCCCAGTCTTCGTGGGAAGTCATTTTCTGTCATTGACAGTTTTAGGACTGAATAGAAATCATACATTTTTTTCTGTTATTTTATTCATGTCTAAGCTTCCTTAATTAAAAAATGATTATATTCTCCATGGAGTAAATATTTGATCTTAAACTTAGCAGGTGCACTGGCATCAGTACTTCTCAGGAAGCTTTCCCCAAACTCAAATCTGCTGTGAATGACCCAACCCAAACTCTACCAATAAGTCACAGTTTTCCTGCAGAAACTCATTCTTTTTCAGATTGCTAAATTGTGGGGGAGCACCTGAAGACAGATATTGATCTGTTAAGATAAATGAGAGAAAATGACCAGAACAAATAAACTTTGGGGAACCAAATTATAGAAACCATCTATCCCCATCAAAATCCCTGCTCCATTCAGCTGTTCTTCATTTTGAGAACAAAAAAAAGGACAAACAAATGTTGACTGATAGACTTGTTCAGGTTTGAAGTTTGTTTTTGTGTAAAGATATTATTGGAGCTACTGCTGCTTTCTTGATGTTTGTCGTGTATTTTTTTTCCCCAACTCTGTTCTGTTTGAAGTAAGATGTTACTTCACTCTGACAATTGGGATTGCCTAATTGATGTTGCCAAGGAAGAAGCCTCTCTTGGTTTCTGTGTCACTCTTGTGCACTCAGAAATGTCTCTAATCCCTCTAATGATTATCTTCACGGCATGCAAGCACATCTTACCCTGAGAGTAGAACAGTGGCTAAGGAAACAGAGTGAAATCTTAGCCAGAATGTTCAGAGCATGGAGTTACTTGAACAGACTGCCTCTTGATTAAGCTGGAATATTCTACAGTGTACGTTTTCACGCTCATTGAATGAAGTTTACTCAAATATTTTTATATAAATGAGTACCTTCTCAGTGTAATGACTCTTTGGAAGGGAGTGAGGGTAACATGAGAAAGTTGAGAGAAATAGGTAGGCTCTTGTTTCAGGTCTGTTGTGGATATTGTGACACAATACATTAGGCAAGTCCCTTGACATTTCCTGCTAAAGGAGGTCAGACTGGGTGGTCACTAATACCCTTTCCACAAATCTCGTGTTCTGGATGGATGCATTTTGGGACCTGATCTAAGACAGTTGTTCACTTTTGTAAGTAGTTCCATTCTCATTCTAAAAGTCAAGATTATAGAAGAAACTATGTTCATGAAATTGGTGGTTCTTATTCCTCCGGAAAGCAAAAATTGATGCGTTTGCCATTTTAGCTGTAGAAGAGTGAGGTGCAACATGTTATTACTTCTCTGTGCATTTGTGAGTGAGTGGACATATCTATGGGTGTGTGCCTGCATATATGCATACATGTGTGTTTGGGGAAGGATGGGTTTTAAGGGACCGAAAAAAGAACAGTTATACCAGCAAAATATGGTGGACAGCTTAAGCACCAAGCGGGCACTTTTCCTTTCTCTGCTTTTTATATCAGTTTTTATGCTACAATTGCTGCCTTCTATTTAATAGAATTCCTCCACCTCTCCATGATCATTTTCTAGGTCTTCCTGGTGGGAGTTATTTCTGTTTCTTACGCTGTACCCAGCAGGTCCTCAGTAAAGACTTGTTGAATGGAACTGAATATAATTATGTTTCAAATATTAGCTCTTAGAGGTAGCAATTTTTTAAGGAATCTCAAGTGCCGAAGTCCTTAGGGGTAGGAAAGCCTCAAGCATGCAAACTGAGTTATGCGGAAGACAGTCATGCTGCCTTTTGTGCTGCAAGACCTGCTGACTTACTCAGTTGTTCTCCTGATTGCTCTAAGAAGTGCTACATTTACTCTCCTCTGCCAAATTTGTAGGGAACATCTATTAATACAGTCATGCATCACTTAGTGACAGGAATGTGTTCTGAGAAATGTGTCATGAGACAATTTTGTTGTGTGAACATATAGCGTGTATTTACACAAACATAGATGGAATCGCCTACTTACATACCTACCCTGTATGGCATAGCCTATTGCTCCTAGACTATGTTACTGGACCAATTACTGTAATCAATTGTAACACAGTGGTACATATTTGTATATCTAAACGTTAGAATAGGCACAGTAAAAATATGGTATAATCATATGGGACCTCTGTCGTATATGTGTCTGTTGTTGACTGCAACATCGTTATATATGGTGCATGATTGTACTTAGGATTTGTTCATGGATTAGTGGTTTCCATCTCTACTGTCAGCATCCTGCTGTAAGACACCATAGTTTCTTCCCATGATGATGTAGTAATCCCCTAAACTAGTGGTTTTTCAGATCTTGATATGCGTCAAAATCACCTTGGAGGGTTTATTAAAACACAGATTACTTGTCCCCACCTCCAGAGTTTCTGTTTCAGTAGATCTGGGGTGGGGCTCTGAAAATCTGCTTTTCTAACAAGTTCCCAGGTGATGTTTATGACATTGGTCCTCAGACCTCACCCTGAAAATCTGCACCCTACATAGTCTACATGTCTCTTTTCTTGGACCAAGGCTCATTATGTGTGCAGAAGCTGGAGTGATCTGTTATAAACATAAATTAGATGGCATTATTCTCTCTTAATACCTTCCAGAGTTCCTGCCCCAGCCTATGAGGGTGATATGGTCTGGACCTCTATTGGTACCCAAATCTCGTGTTCAACTGTAATCCCCAGTGTTGGAGGTGGGGCCTGGTGGGAGGTGATTGGATCATGGGTGTGGATCCTTCATGAATGGTTGGTCACCATCCCTTTGGTGCTGTTCTCGTGATAGAGTTCTCATGAGATCTAGTTGTTTAAAAGTTAAGCCGGGTGCAGTGGCTCACACCTGTAATCCCAGCACTTTGGGAGGCTGAGGCTGATACATCACTTGAGGCCAGGAGTTTGAGACCAACCTGGAAAACATGGCAAAAACCTGTCTCTACTAAAAATACAAAACCTAGCTGGGCATGTTGGTACATGCCTGTAGCCCCAGTTACCTGGGAGGCTGAGGCACAAGAATCGCTTGAACCAGGGAAGCAGAGGTTGCAGTGAGCCAAGATCATGCCATTGTACTCTAGCCTGGGTGACAGAGCAAGATTCTGCCTCTAAATAGATAAATAAATAAAGTGTGTGGCATCTCCCCCCTCTCTCTCGGTGCTGCTTCTGCCATGTAAGATGCCTGCCTCTGCATTGCCTTTCGTCACGAGTAAAAGTTTCATGAGGCCTCCCCAGAAGCAGAAGGTACTATGCTTCATGTACAGCCTGCAGAACTGTGAGCCAATTAAACCTCTTTTCTTTATAAATTACCCAGTCTCAGGTATTTCTTTATAACAGTGCTAGATGAACTAATATGGAGGCCTGTGTATTCTGACTCATGGGGCCACCAGACTGGACCCTGCCTGACTTCCCAACTTTGTCTGCCCCATCTGCACCTTCCTCACCATTCTACTGTATCACCTGCCTCCATTCAGGACCTGACCATACCACCTGTTCTTTCCAACTCTTCACAGAGTCTCTGCTTTTGGTGAGAAGCATTCTGCTCTCCTTTAATTTCACCTATTACTACCTGAACATCCTTTTCCTCTCAGCAACATTGTTACTTCTTCATAGAAGACATCCCTAACATACAAGAAAATGTTGTATAGTAATACTGCTTATTCCTTTTTCCCCTTTTTAGTCTTTAGCACAATATTTTATGGTATTAATTTGTGTTTTGACCTTATGAATAACCGTATTTCACCTTAGATTATAAACTCCATGAAGGAAGGGACCATATATGTTTTGGTCACTGCTGAATCTTTAATGCATAGCAGTGCCTGACACATGGTAGATACCTACGAAACATTTTTTCAATGAGTGATTGGATGGGTTGTAACAGAAATCAGTTTCTCTACTCACAAAACTTCTGACAAAAAAATGAGTAGTTTTCCATATATTGTACTTTTCCAGTTCCCTGGGGATACCAATTGGATATACACACAATTTAATTCAATTCTGACAGTAACTCAAGTTAGCATCAACCTCATGAGTTAAGAGCTCAATCCCTCAAGACTGCCCCCTACTTCAGATGCCAGTAGTAGGTCCCTAGATTACTACCCACATTCTTACCTGACGTGGCTACAAATTGGGTGTCTCATGACCCCCTCCTCAGGTTCAATGATATGTCATGATGGCTCACAGGACTCAGGAAAACACTTTATTTACCGTTACTGGTTTATTATAAAGGATATTGTAAAGGATACAAATGAACAGCCAAACAAAGAGGTACATAGGATGAGGACTGAAAGGGTCCTGAGTGCAGGAGCTTTTGTCTTTTTGGAATTGGAATATGCCACCCTCCTGTGACGTGGATAAATTCACCAACCTGGAAACTCTCCAAACCCCTAGATTTAGGCTTTTTATGGAGGCCCCATTGCTTAGGCATGATTGATTAAATCATTGGCCATTGGTGATTGACTCGATCTCCAGCCCCTTCCATTCCATAGAGGTTGGGGGTAGGGGTGAAAGTTCTAATTCTTCAATCTTGCCCTGGTCTTTCTGGTGACCCACTCCCATCCTGAAGCTATCTAGGGTCCCCGGCCACCAGTCATCTCATTTGCATACTGAAAGCTACCACTCTGGAGATTCCAAGGGCCTTAGAAGCTGGCTTAAGAATCAGACTAAGGCCAAATATTATAACAAAGGATTCTCCTATTTCCCTTATCACTCAGAAAGTTACAAGAGTTTTAGGAGCTCTGTGTCAGGAAGTGAGGGCAGAGACAAATAGATATTTTTTATTACATTGTAGATGAATGTGATTCTGAAGTGTTGGAGGTTGTAGAAAAATCTTAGAAGAGGAGGGAAGGAGTACCTGCTACCTAGCATTTGTCTATTGCTATGTGCACTGCTTTATCTGTCAAATGAACATATGCAAGGTCTGTTTTTGAAATTTTTGCCAAAGAGCCCAGAATTGGCAGATGGAATCAACATCTCCATCACCAACACTCTGCTTGGTCATATTGAGACGGGATAGTTCCCTTGAACCCCTTCGCAGGCAGGAACTGGAGTGGCTTGTTTCACTCAGCTCGCCACTGGCCACTCCTCGCCAGAGGGAGCGTGCAAGCCAGTGCAGGAACTGGAGCTAACAAATGCTGGAACCAGCCGGTCGCTCCTCTCTGGCAGGAGCAGGCTCTGTGCAGGCCCTGCAGCAGCATCCAAGCATGTTACAACCAGTGATCTTCAGCTCTGCCTTCTGGGGATGGCCAAGTGCCAACCAGCTCAGTGTAGGGTCAGGATGGCAGCCCCTGCCCTTTTGGCACCGGGGTTCTTGTTTGGCGTCCAGGAAGAATCAGGTCACACTAACTGTTTGAAAGGTGATGAATGCAGAAGACTTTATTGAGTGGTGGGTGGCTCTCAGTCGAAAGGGAGTCTGGAAAGGGGATGGGAAGGTGATATTTCCCTGAAGCCTGGCCATCTCTGGCAGGGCCACTCTCTGAAGCTGCACCATCTGAAGTTAGTGGTGTCTCTCTGTAGTCTCCAATCCTCAGTTGCTTCTCTGCCCGCCGCTCAGCCGCTTGTATCCTCAACGCTCAGCCATTTGTGTTGTTCCGCCAGCTGAAGTCTTTTATGGGCACAGGATAGGGGGAGGGCAGGCCAAAAAAGCAACATTTGGATGGAAAAACAGGGTCAGCTGTTTTCAGTTAGGGCCTCAGTTCCCAGCTCTAGGGTGAGGTTTAGCGGGGAGCCCAGCCGTTCTGTATCATTATCAGCTCAAAACAGTGTCTCCCTTAAAACTCCTTCCTTGGGTAATCTGATGCTGAAGTTAATAAAACCATGTCTGTGACTGAAAGAACTAATTCGTGTATCTTTGAAATGTAGTACCCCTTATGCATAATAAGGTCAAAGTTTTCAGAAACATTTTTGGCTCAAAATAATGGAATTATTTCGAAGATAGTCTTGTGGAATTTCAAATGCCTTCCTTCTTGGGGTTGTCCTTTCCTTTGGCATCGCCTATTTCTCTGGGGAAATTTTGCCCCTTCTTGGACTCCACACCTTGCTTGTGTCTTTTCTCGCCAATCTTCTCTTCCTAGATTCCATCCATGGAACCTGTGCTCAAGGAAAATCAAAGCATTCCTCAGAATTCATGGACAGGTAGGGTCATCGCAGTTACATGACAAAGCAGATTATGAACCCAAGTCTGCTATTTACTCACTTACTCTAGCACAGCACTAACCTCCCTACCTACATATTGAATTCTAATTTTCCTTTTGAGTTGTGTGCACTTCAGGAGTTAGAGGGGAGTGATCATGAAGGCGCCACATTATCAAATTCAGGTAACCTATGGGATCAGTCTAAAAGTGATGGAGGCATTTAAGACAGAAATCCACGGCCTTTACCACCATTTGGTCCATGCAAAGGGGTGGTCCCAGAGTGATGTGTTTTGCCTCCAGGGTTTTCAGAATTTTTTTTTTTTTTAGAAGTTCAATTTAAGGGAAGCACACTGTCAGATGGAAATAATAATTTGAATTTGACATTGACACAGTTCACTTAGGTGCAAAAATTGCCAGGGAGTCCTAGAAGGTAAAAGTGAGGTGAGGAGTCAGAGAAATTTGATACATCTGGAGTTAGTGTGATACTGTCAATGACCATAGACAGTACTTTTTTTTTTTTTTTTTTTTTTTGGTCTGCTCAGTGTTTCTTTTCTGGTATCAGAACATGTTTCTTCATTATGGAGAACTACCCCTCCCACCCCTCTTCTCCCCATTCCTCCTGCTTTACAGCCTTATTGTTGGAAGACAATTCTTGTGGATCTTTCATATTTCTGCACATCTTGTGTCAGCTCTTGTTTCAGAGGATCTTTTCAAGGATGTTTATAGTAAACAGCCTTGGATAATAGAGATAGGGCTTCCCTGCAGGAAATGGCTAGGTTTGTTTCCTGACTAGAATAATAAAGATAATATCTCCCTCCAGGGTGAAGGGTGAGCAGGTTTGCTAGCAGCCTCCTTCTAAGATCAGGGGTTTCCTAAACTTGAGGCCCTCACATATGAGGCAAATCAACTGTATGTATGCAGCACCTACCTGGGCCACTCTGTATGTTTTTCAAGGGACTTGTGGAGCAAGGGGAGCCAATGTGAATATGAAGCACAGACTGCTTTCTGTGCCATGAGTAATCAAGTTTTTTGTCTCTGACCCAAGGGTCTAGCAGCATGTGTGAAGCTGTGGGAGGCTCTCTTCTTAACTGGCAAGGAAGGTAAGATCTCAGACCCCTCACGGCTCTTGACAGCTGACTGTTGGTTGGAAAGCCTGGCCAGTGAGAGTAGAGCAGGCTCCTGTCCACAAGGATCACTTTGGTATAGTCGGATGACAAAGATCAGGCCCATAGGAAGGGTCTTCAAGGCTTTTGCTGGAGTTACTGGGCAAGGGATGTAGAATAGGAGCCTAGGCATCTTTGTGGTTACCTGGGGAGAGCCCCTTGAGAATGAGTCCCTTTACAGAGTAAAGCAGAGTCAAGAAAATGAGAGAGGGGAGGGGCAGAAAGCAAGGGAAATTGATTGAGGTTGAAATTGAGATTGATTTTATTTGGGAGTGTTGATTGAGAGCCTGGATATCGCGCTGCCTTTTCTGTTACATAAGTCAGTACATTCACTTTGTTTGCTTAAGCCAGTTTGTGTGGGAATTTCGATATTAACAAGTGAAAAAGTCCTGTCAAATACAGTTGCAAAAGAGTGGGTTGACCATCCCAAGAGGGACCACTACTCTAGAGGTTTCTACTCAAGCTTTTCCTGTGTGAGCATATAACCTTCAACTGCTTACCCACTCTAAAATACATCTAAGCAATGGCTATTAGGGTATAGAACTTGAGCTTGGTGCCTCTCCCCAGATGGCTCCCTGAGCAGTTATCTCTTTTTTGATGCTCTGCTTATATATCTGTGTGTCTGCTTCCCCAAGATGATGTGAAAACTGTAAATCAAAACAAATGCAGAATGCTATGGAGAGACAAGATGGGTGCAGTAAGAAAGGTGAAAAACATGGAAGATGGCAATGCTTTGGAACTCCTGGGGCCACACCCATGTAAGGAAGTGAGGAATTTGGGATTGTAGAGGTTTTTGCCTCTAAATTCATCACTCAAAGTTGTTCTGTGGCCCTGCAGAGAAATGATAATCAAGTTATTGTTATTATTATTCTGTGGGAAAGCACTGTAGAATTTAGGATTACACAATGAACCCTGTGAGGTGAAAAGATTGGCAGCTTCTTCTTTTAAAAACAGCTTTGTTTCTAAAGTGGAGAAAGATTATTTTCTTTTGCTTTTCATTTCTTTATGTTATGTTGTGTGTGAGCACAAATATGCATGTATATTAATGTATAGCCATGACCATGCATGTTTGCATGTGTATACATGTGCATGTACATGTGAGCCTATGTGCACATATGTGTATGGGCGGGTATGCCTGTATATGTATGTGTATCTAGGCATTTATCTTTCTAATTTGGATAGCAGAATTATAATCATCTTTCCAATATTTGATTAATAATTTCACATAATTCACAGTGTTTCTTTTACCAAATGTCGTTTTACCTTTCCAGTAATAGTTTCAATTTGTAGTTGGAGAAGAGGCATAAAGAAGTAGATAAAGATTATCAGGTAAAGTTGTGGCAGAGGATGCTAATAGATGAAAAAAAAAAAAAAGAGGATCAGAGGTTTAAAAAAAGTGAGCAAAGAACCAGTTCAATTACTGAGACTTCTATGAAATCCCATGCAAGGCTGCTTCAATTCCGTTGCCAGACTTTTTTTCTGACTTCTTGTCGTACAAACCATGTGTTGGTCTCCTAGGCAATGCATCACTGTTCTGAGATGCTTTGCTCATACATGTTCAGGCTTCCCTCCATGCCCTCATGTTTTCTGCCTCTGCACTTATATTTATCCCTTGCCTGAAATAACATGCTTTTCCCTTCTGAGCCCTATGTGTCTTCATTTCACCCCAGACAGACTCACTCACCCAGCCTCTGGGTCTAAATTGCCCCCTAATTTACAAAACCACGTGACCCTTCCAGGTAGATGCCGTGTCTTGCTTTCTTTTTGACCCAAAGCAAGCAAAAATGTTGAGTGATGCTTCTCACTTTCAACACACACACACACCTCAAGTTAATTCTGAGATCAATTTTTTGAGACTGGTCCCTGGGACATGTCACCAGTGAGATGAAGATGTATGAGAGTGCAAAGAAGTTGGAGTTCTTTTTCTTTTCTTAAGAGGAATTTTCACTTGCGAGCAAAATTTTAATTGGATGTCTAAACTTCCAGATAAGCTTTTGTTCAACATTTGTCATGAATTTATAGGGGAAGTAAAAAATCAATATTCTGCAGTACTTCTTTCATCCCAAGGAGGTTGAAAGACTTTAGCTGCAAAGTGAGGAGATCAGAAGAGAAACAGATTTATTAAAGAAAAAAACACCTCATCTTACCAATATCATTTGGAAGAACAGACCCTTTCTGAAGCAATTTCTGATCTCCTTTCCAAAGGCGATCACTATTAATAGGCAACCATGAAGACGAGAAGCAAGAAGAAGGTTCACAGAGAAAAATGCAGAGTGCAATTTTCTATTCTCTACTCTTTTGTAGAAAGAGATCCCAGTTATAAGTATGAACAATTTGCAAACATTTAAGCCAGGAGTTCTGCCAAATTTAAATGCCTTTGGCAATCAAGACAAGAAGCATCTCTCTCTGATATAACTCCAAATAGCTGGAAAATGACAAATAGGGCAGAATTTCCCATGCACCCTTCCTACACACACACTAGGTTTCTTTGTAGAACAGTAATGTCATCTCATAACTTTTTCACTAGCTGCAGTTTGATGTATATGTTTGAGAATTTCCTTGTTTCCTTTTGTCTGAATGCTTTGATATTGTAGGGGAGAAAAAGTCATAACTTTTCCTCACTCATCACAAGGTTTATGACTGAGTTCCGTAAAAGAAAAGGAAGATTTAAGCCAGAGAAAAGCAAAGCAAATTTATTAGCCAAATATTATGGGATATGAGAGTCTTCAGAAATGAAGACCCCCAAACATAGGGAAGATCATGTATTTTTATGCTTAGGTTTGATGAAGAACGGACAGACATGTAGAAGTATGATTAGATGAAAAAGGAGTATGACTGAATGGTAATAAACTGGGGGTGGGGGAAGTAGCAAGGTCTGTTTCTTGAGATTGTTCTTGGCCTCTCTGGATAGCATTCCCTCCCTTCGGATATAGGGCAGATCATCTGCCACACAAGAGGCTTCAGGAAAGAAGTTCAGAGAGATCTTTCTGCTTCTGTGGCTTTCTCAGTTTCCTTCAGCTTGAAATACTGAGTATTGTAAGGTGCCACATTTGGGGCTAGTGTTTCCTGTACCCCATCAGCATCATATGTGAAATTGTTTTATTTTTTCCAAAACCTGTTACGAATTTGCTCTAGCAAAATCCACATTCTTATTTCTTATTAAAACAGTCCCACTTAAAGTTTTTAAGTCTCAGTGTTAACAATGTAAAACCTACTAAAGGAGTGTAATTGGATTGTTTGTAACTCAATAAATAAATGCTTAGGGGGATGGATAAAACAAACAAAACAATGTAAAAACTTCAAACTTCTATTTAGTTGATATTTCTTAATCTCAGCTGTCCTCCCTCCCTCTCAACCCCATCATCCCCCTAATCAAGGCTAAACTTGTGGCTCTGGTGGCTAGGAGTGGTGGGGTCTGGGTTATGGTCTGTTCTCTTACGCACTTTTTGCTCTGCCTTCTTGGAATGATGACTCTGATTGATGTTGAGGGCAATGAGGAAGGGAATGAGATGAAAATGTTGCCTTGTATGCCTGTCCATAGTGAAGTTGCATGACTCTTCTTGGTTGGCCCTAATTGCTGACCTAGTTTGCGATTGAGTCCATGAAATCCTTGAGCATGGGTGGTGGCTCCATCAGGCCTCCTGATAACAGTCTCATCTTAAGTGGCTCCCTATGCAAGACTCTACTCCATCTTCTAGTTGATCCCTAGCTGAACACCTCCCATCCTTTGCCGTATCCTATAGCTGTGCCTGGCACGACTATAATACAGTGTCATCTGTGTTTACAGTGTTTCCATCTCTGTTGTCTACTGGTATGTTCAGCTCTAATTTACACACATTTCAGGAGCAGGAAACTTTCCCTTTTTATACCATATCCACCCAGTGCTCTTTACCTACCTCCAGTGGTATAAGGACTTGCTAGCAAGCTCAGTGACTAAACTTACCCCAATTAAGGTACACAATGTTCCCTCTCCTTTTCATGGAGCCTCCCTCCCTCTCCAGTGTTGGGAGAGAGGAGAAGAGCTAATCTTGAGAAATTCTTCAGTTCTGCAGCCTCCTTCTTTTTCTCTTTACTTTTACACCAATAACGTGAATGTAAGAGGTGGGAATTAGGTGGGGGGTAGTTAATGCTGAGTCTACTGACCTGTTACCTTCGTTTCTTCTCTTTTCTCTTCTCTTCTCTTCTCTTCTCTCTTCTTTCTCTTCTCTTCTCTTCCTTTCCTTCTCTTCTCTTCTCCTTTTCTTTTCTTTTCTTTGATGGAGTTTTGCTCTTGTTGCCCAGGCTGGAGTGCAATGGTGTGGTCTTGGCTCACTGCAACCTCCGCCTCACGGGTTCAAGTGATTTTCCTGCCTCAGCCTCCCAAGTAGCTGAGATTACAGGTGCCCCCCACTATGCCTGGCTAATTTTTGTATTTTTAGTAGAGACAGGGTTTCACCACGTTGGCCAGGCTGGTCTCGAATTGCTGACCTCAGGTGATCCACCCACCTCCCAAATGCTGGGATTACAGGCATGAGCCACTGTGCCTGGCCCTTGTTACCTTTCAACATGGCCTGTGGGATGGTGGCTAGGATGTAGAACACTTAAGGCATCTGCTCTAGATTACTGGGACAGCAGAACTCTGTACCTAACATCATCTTTTTATGCTATGGTTAATGCCTTTTACTGAAAAAAGGAAAGAGTGAAAGGGAAAGTATCAGAAAGAAGTAATGAATATTTTCCTTATAGTGGCCCAAAAAATAGTAAGGAAGAGCCTATTAGACATGGAATATTTGGATCTTACTGGGAGAGACTAGTCTCTTTATTCCTGGATCCCAGCATAGTGCCTGACACATGCTTGCTGGGTAAATATTGAAAGAAACTTCCAAATTGCCAAGGTGCTAGAAGGTAATTGTGTGATTTTGCTATACAAATACTAAATTGGAGACAGAGCAACCCTGGAAGAAACATGTTCCCAGTTTTTGTCTCCCCCAACTCTTCCTGAGCTCCAGTGTTTGTTTCCCTTGCCCTGCCCACATAAAACTGCACAATAGAAAAATTGGAATTGTCTTTGAAGTGACCATAGTGAATAGTGGTGGTTGTCAATGCTAAATAGCTATTTTGAAATCTTGGATTTAGCTTGCTATGGCAAAATGAGTGGCATTAAAGCCCTCACTTCTAGAGCACAATGGAGTTAGGGATATATACCTAGAAATAGTGCTTCACAGCTACATTAAGTAAGAAAATTAATGTCAGGCAGTACCACCTGTAGAAATGGACCCAGTACCTTGGGTCTCAAACTTTGGAAAACTTCATATTCATCAACACACACACACACACACACACACACACACACACGCTCACACATACACTTCAATAAAGAATACACGATGCCTCTGTTACTCAGGATTCAGCGCTCAGTGTTGGCAGCTAAACATCCACTCTCATGACTACTAATACTGTTCAGGCCCCAGGGAAATGCTTTCCCACATCTCACCCAATGTTCTCAAACAAAAGATGACTGCATCTGAATGCCGTGAAGATTTGTGGGTTGTGTTGTCTGAAACAGGCCCTGCTTTGGAGTGTGGGGAAGATTTGAGCAGCAAAAGCACTTCGGTAAGAAAAAAGACTAATTAAATTGTAAAACCTTTCTCTCAGTGTGAGTGTAGTAGTGTATTGCATAAAAAGTATTATTTTTCAGTAGAATCAAGCCTCCATTTCCTTGCTTCTCTTCATGGTTCCAGAGGTACCTGGGAATTAGCGTTCTCTTTGCAGTAGTTGCACATGGTGACTGGAGAACATTTGGCAGTATTGAACAACTACTGATCCCCAAGTCACTGTCCATCAACAAAACGTGCAGATGTGTACAATAACACTTCAGTCATCTTTGATATTTTGCTGACTTTTAGTTAGATAAAAGCTATAACTTTACACACATTTAAAAAAAAACATTATAGTCATAAAGTCTTTTTCAAGGTAGGAGAATAGAATACATTTATGTTTTCTAGACTCATATATAACTTAAGATATGTAGGTTTTTATTTGTACTTTTCTTCCAAGCCCTACAAATATTAGGGTTGGACCTAATGTAAAATATTAGGTCAGAGTAGTGGCCTCATAAAAGTAAGTTTCCTTTCTCTTGCCTAAATATTGGTCTGTCACCATGAAAGAATAGCTGTATCTCTGAACTTTATTTTATGGGGGTGGAATTATAGGACAATGGCTAAGATTTTGCCAGTGTTAAGTAGCCTGGTCTTTTCCCATGAAACTCAAGACTAATTTCTACAGGAGAAAATGGACTATGATCCCTTTGTTTTCACTAAAACTGCATGTTCATGAGGATCAATAACAGGCCAGATTTGGAGCTTGTTTCTTTGTATTTAAATATATTCTTTTCCCAGCATAAATACAAGCTTACTTGGTTGGCAAAATATGCATTTTGTCTCACGATTTAAGGATCATTTTTGTCCTTAACAATGACAGCAGTAAAAATTATAATATTAACTGACTATGGAGAAGCACTTTACAATGTTCAATGTGCTTATATATATTTTACCACCTGTTAATACATTAAGAAAGAAAACTGTGGCTTCTGACATTCTGATAGATCTAGTTGCAAAGTTAATGGCAATATGCAAGGGTTTTTACCTCTATTTATTTCTATATTCTATTAACAAACTGAGGCTAGACATTAATTTCCAACTGGCTTATGCATTTCAGAACATTTTAAATTTTGTTTTCTTTTCATGGAAATGAAAATATAACTATAGTTTTCAGAGAATGTTTATGCTGCAATGGTTTATTTTTCATTCTGGCAAATCAATAGCTAACTCTCTAGGGAAAGCATAATTTGGCAGTTAGGTTGTTTGACCTTTCATTTTTCAGAAGTCTTTGAGGCATTGCATTTGTTGTTCATGATGGTATGTTTGGAGTTTGTATCCATCTATATAAAGAGACACAATAAGAATACAAGTATCAGGCAAGGAGCTGAGAAATCTAGGTTCTTGGCTTCACTTTTCCTAATCTTTCTGAGCTTCAGCTCATCTGTCTAATCACATTAAGATGTTTGCCCGCCTATGTAACATAACTATTGTGAAGAACAGACTGGATGATGGATGTGAAAGTGCTTTGAAAACCGATCACTATGGCAAATAAATGGTATCAGAAGTAAATGATACTATTATAGACTAGGATGGGCACATTAAGCCCTGAGGGCCAAATCCAGCTTGCTACTTGTTTTTGTAAGTAAGATTTTATGGGAACACACCACAGCTATTTATTATTATTATTATTATTATAATACTTTAAGTTTTAGGGTACATGTGCACAATGTGCAGGTTAGTTACATATGTATACATGTGCCATGCTGGTGTGCTGCACCCATTAACTCGTCATTTAGCATTAGGTTTATCTCCTAAAGCTATCCCTCCCCCATCCCCCCACCCCACAACAGTCCCCAGAGTGTGATGTTCCCCTTGCAGTGTCCATGTGTTCTCATTGTTCAATTCCCACCTGTGAGTGAGAATATGTGGTGTTTGGTTTTTTGTTCTTGCGATAGTTTACTGAGAATGATGATTTCCAATTTCATCCACGTCCCTACAAAGGACATGAACTCATCATTTTTTATGGCTGCATAGTATTCCATGGTGTATATGTGCCACATTTTCTTAATCCAGTCTATCATTGGTGGACATTTGGGTTGGTTCCAAGTCTTTGCTATTGTGAATAGTGCCGCAGTAAACATACGTGTGCATGTGTCTTTATAGCAGCATGATTTATAGTCCTTTGGGTATATACCCAGTAATGGGATGGCTGGGTCAAATGGTATTTCTAGTTCTAGATCCCTGAGGAATCGCCACACTGACTTCCACAATGGTTGAGCTAGTTTACAGTCCCACCTACAGTGTAAAAGTGTTCCTATTTCTCCACATCCTCTCCAGCACCTGTTGTTTCCTGACTTTTTAATGATCGCCATTCTAACTGGTGTGAGATGGTATCTTATTGTGGTTTTGATTTGCATTTCTCTGATGGCCAGTGATGGTGAGCATTTTTTCATGTGCTTTTTGGCTGCATAAATGTCTTCTTTTGAGAAGTGTCTGTTCTTCATATCCTTCGCCCACTTTTTGATGGGGTTGTTTGTTTTTTTCTTATAAATTTGTTTGAGTTCATTGTAGATTCTGGATATTAGCCCTTTGTCAGATGAGTAGGTTGCAAAAATTTTCTCCCATTTGGTAGGTTGCCTGTTCACTCTGATGGTAGTTTCTTTTGCTGTGCAGAAGCTAGTTTAATTAGATCCCATTTGTCAATTTTGGCTTTTGTTGCCATAGCTTTTGGTGTTTTAGACATGAAGTCCTTGCCCATGCCTATGTCCTGAATGGTAATGCCTAGGTTTTCTTCTAGGGTTTTTATGGTTTTAGGCCTAACATTTAAGTCTTTAATCCATTTTGAATTAATTTTTGTATAAGGTGTAAGGAAGGGATCCAGTTTCAGCTTTCTACTTATGGCTAGCCAGTTTTCCCAGCACCATCTATTAAATAGGGAATCCTTTCCCCATTGCTTCTTTTTCTCAGGTTTGTCAAAGATCAGATAGTTGTAGATATGTGGCGTTATTTCTGAGGGCTCTGTTCTGTTCCATTGATCTATATCTCTGTTTTGGTACCAGTACCACGCTGTTTTGGTTATGTAGCCTTGTAGTATAGTTTGAAGTCAGGTAGCGTGATGCCTCCAGCTTTGTTCTTTTGGCTTAGGATTGGCTTGGCGATGCAGGCTCTTTTTTGGTGCCGTATGAACTTTAAAGTAGTTTTTTCCAATTCTGTGAAGAAAGTCATTGGTAGCTTGATGGGGATGGCATTGAATCTGTAAATTACCTTGGGCAGTATGGCCATTTTCATGATATTGATTCTTCCTACCCATGAGCATGGAATGTTCTTCCATTTGTTTGTATCCTCTTTTATTTCATTGAGCAGTGGTTTGTAGTTCTCCTTGAAGAGGTCCTTCACATCCCTTGTAAGTTGGATTCCTAGGTATTTTATTCTCTTTGAAGCAATTGTGAATGGGAGTTCACTCATGATTTGGCTCTCTGTTTGTCTGTTATTCGTGTATAAGAATGCTTGTGATTTTTGCACATTGATTTTGTATCCTGAGACTTTGCTGAAGTTGCTTATCAGCTTAAGGAGGGAGATTTTGGGCTGAGACAATGGGGTTTTCTAGATATACAATCATGTCATCTGCAAACAGGGACAATTTGACTTCCTCTTTTCCTAATTGAATACCCTTTATTTCCTTCTCCTGCCTAATTGCCCTGGCCAGAACTTCCAACACTATGTTGAATAGGAGTGGTGAGAGAGGGCATCCCTGTCTTGTGCCAGTTTTCAAAGGGAATGCTTCCAGTTTTTGTCCATTCAGTATGATATTGGTTGTGGGCTTGTCATAGATAGCTCTTATTGTTTTGAGATACGTCCCATCAATACCTAATTTATTGAGAGTTTTTAGCATGAAGGGTTATTGAATTTTGTCAAAGGTCTTTTCTGCATCTATTGAGATAATCATGTGGTTTTTATCTTTGGTTCTTTTTATATGCTGGATTACATTTATTGATTTGCGTGTATTGAACCAGCCTTGCATCCCAGGGATGAAGCCCACTTGATCATGGTGGATAAGCTTTTTGATGTGCTGCTGGATTTGGTTTGCCAGTATTTTATTGAGGATTTTTGCATCAACGTTCATCAAGGATATTGGTCTAAAATTCTCTTTTTTGGTTGTGTCTCTGCCCGGCTTTGGTATCAGGATGATGCTGGCCTCATAAAATGAGTTAGGGAGGATTCCCTCTTTTTCTATTGATTGGAATAGTTTCAGAAGGAATGGTACCAGTTCCTCCTTGTACCTCTGGTAGAATTCGGCTGTGAATCCATCTGGTCCTGGACTCTTTTTGGTTGGTAAGCTATTGACTATTGCCACAATTTCAGAGCCTGTTATTGGTCTATTCAGAGATTCAACTTCTTCCTGGTTAAGCAGGAAAGATCCAAAATTGACACCCTAACATCACAATTAAAGGAACTAGAAAAGCAAGAGCAAACACATTCAAAAGCTTGCAGAAGGCAAGAATAACTAAAATCAGAGCAGAAATGAAGGAAATAGAGACACAATAAACCCTTCAAAAAATTAATGAATCCAGGAGCTGGTTTTTTGAAGGGATCAACAAAATTGATCGACCGCCAGCAAGACTAATAAAGAAGAAAAGAGAGAAGAATCAAATAGACGCAATAAAAAATGATAAAGGGGATATCACCACCGATCCCACAGAAATACAAACTACCATCAGAGAATACTACAAACACCTCTACGCAAATAAACTAGAAAATCTAGAAGAAATGGATAAATTCCTCGACACATATTTGTTTATATATTGTCTGTGGTTGCTGTCATGCTGCAATGGCAGAGTGGAGCAGTTGTGACAGAAACCACATGGCCAGCAAAACCTAACATATTTGCTGTTGGATTCTTTACAGAAAAAGCCTGCCAACCCATGTTAGAGACCACAGACTATTTGTTTGGAATTCTCAGATGTGGGGAATAAATAGCATCTAATCTAAAATTTTAGGAGGAAGCTGTAGTTCCTCTTCAAGTGATGAATGAATGCTTTTAAAAAAATTAATAACAATGGCTAGTAAAGAAATAATGATAGAATTAGAAAATATCAATTTTTATAGACTTTTTGAAATAACTGATGGAAGCCAAGGATTGTCAACGAATATTAAAACTTTTGTATAAGGTGTTGTTTGGGGAAAAATATGCTTATACTGTGTTGAAAACATGATGCCACAGGTTACTTACTAATTGTAAAAGGAAAAACAAAACCTTCTGTAGGGGAGAGATCTGGTGGTCACTACCTTAGCCATTTGATCAGGCTCTTTATCAGTAAAATTGAGACAGACAGATGTGGTGTGCCTTCTAACAATACACAAAGTTTTGAAAAACCATTATCTATTAACTATTCTTGTCAAAATGTGTAAGGTAGACTTAATTTCTAGTTTATAGGAAATACTGAGAATATAGGACTCAGTTAAATGACACCAAAATGAAACAGACAAATCAAAAACTGAAACCATGGAAGAGCATTTCTAGATTGTTGGCGCTATAACAGCCAAATGTCACGTGGGAACCTCAATTGGGTTCACTGTAGAAAAAGGAAAGCTATAGAGTCTTATGGGCCAGCTGGGACTTTGAATATGGACTAGATATTGAATATTGTTATATTAGAGAACAATTATTAATTATGTCTTGTTAATAAGATAATGATATTGTGGTTATACGGTGGACAGTGTGTGAAGTTTTTTGAGTTACTTTCAAATGCTTGAGACAAACACACACACAAACACATACAAAACATGGCAAAAGAATATATGAGAGTTCATTGTACTAGTCTTTTAACTTTTTTACTTTTGAGCATTCCCAAAATAAAAAATGGAGAATCAAATTCAATAAGCAATTATTGCCGGTGAAATAAAGAACCCAGGAAATTGACATCTAGTAGAAGGAAGATCTGGGTTTCTTTGCCATTTGGTTAATAATGGTGAGCAGTAGTGTTGTCTCTGGTGTGCTTTATCCAGCCACTCAAGTGAAAAAATCAGAGATAAAACATTCTCTTTTCATGATTTTTTCCCTGCAGATGTTCATTCCTGATGGTAATTCATCTTACAGCCAGGGAACCCACCAAAGCAATATTTTTCCCTTATAAAATTTCATCTTACTAGTTGTCACCCATCATCCCAGGCTGTTGAAATCTTTAGAATTTTGATTGGCCTATTCAATCTGTTAGTTATCTTTCTCAGTCTTGTGACATCTGAATGGTTGATGAGCTCACTTTCTATGTCTTCATCCAAGTAGATAATGAAGATATGGAATAGCACCTCCTTCCTGCTCCCTCATAGCTGAAGACAAAGCCTCACAGCATTCTAGTGCCTGCTCCCTGCCTGCAGTGGGGAGGCGGGGAGCAGGCACTAGATGCTCAGCAGCCCAGATTGGGCCCCGTGCTTCAACTAGCTACAAACATAGCCTGCCATCTCTGACCCAGGACCCTTTCTGCACTAGCCCCTTCAGATCCTCTTGGCCTCAGCACTTTTTCCACCTGCTGCTGCTTCTGCTGCAACTTTCCCAGCATGAGCTTTTATTGGCTCCATTCAGGCACATCCTGATCATGAGGGGCCTCTCACCTTGTGTCCTGAGACATTCCTATTAACATCAAGGCAAGAGATACCCTGAGGAGGACCACAATCCTGCCGAAGCGTGTTCACCCTGGAAATGTGAGGGTCTCCAGCCCTATAGGGCAAATCTTTGAGCAAAGGGAGACTGAAGTCTGAAGATACATTCATTGCCCTTTCTCCCTCTAGGCAGACCCCTGAGCTGACTCATGAATGTCAGGAACACATATTACATAATAAGATCAACTGTTCTAAATTTAAATTAATTTGGTCATATGTAAATTATACAAAATCCAAATGTCTTTAGAAACAATACTTTCCTGGTGATATTTTTTGCTGTTCTGAAGAGCAACAAATACTTATTCTAAGTCAGTGGCTCGTGATTAATTATATCTGTACAAAAGTGTTTTGCATGTTTTTCTTGCTCCTGCCATTGATTGTTTTACTTTGTATATACTACTTCCTTTTATTCTTTATGTCTGTCATTTTAAATATTTCTAGAAGTTAAGAAATGCGATTAACTGGCTTATATATTGTTGGTTATAAATTATTTTAAAACATCATTATTTCATATATATATAGCTGAACCATTCTTATTTATTTATTTAAGAGACAGGGTCTCGTTCTGTCACCCAGGCTGGAGTGCAGTGCGTGATTGTAGCTTACTATATAACCTCAAACTCCTGGCCTCAATCAATCTGCCTGCCTCAGACTCATTGGGATTACTGGTGTGAGCCACCTTGCCCAGGACCATTTGTTTTTGGTGTAGAATTATGACTCGCCAATGGCTCATTGGGAAGCAGTATGGGGCAGTGGTCTTGAGCACACATTTTAAAATAAGATTTTTGGGGCTCACATCCATTCTGTGCCATTAACTGTCTTATTTTGGCAATTTACTGTATTTAATTGCTGTGCCTCAGTTTCCTCATCTGTATAATGAGCATGATACTATTAGTATTTTTTATAGGCTATTGTGAAGATTGAGTTAAATATGTATAAAGCAATTATGAAAGCACTTGGTATTAATAAATAGTAAATGTGAGCTGATATTATCATATGATGGTTATTACTACAATTATTATTACCACTACTATCATTAAAATTATTTTTTTCTAGAAATTATCATCCCTTTAGCCATAGGATATACCTATAACTAAGATGTAAGCAAAAGTAGTCTCCTGAGCAGCTAAAATAAACGCCATAAAATTATGTCACTAAATACAAGATCTTTACCTAGATCTTCATTCAGAGCATATTTACTCTTATGCTGCATTCAATGCTAGTAAGTTTTTAATCTATTTTTCTGGATCATAGTTAATTGGAAGCATCTTATTAGAAAGCAGGAGAATAGGGCTGTTCTTTCTAAGGTATCCTTAGGGAAAGCTTTGTGGTGACAATTAACTATAAAATAGGAGACAATACAGGAGAAAATCACAAGACCCTGTAAAGCATGATGACCATGAGTATTAATTCATCTGACAAATATTTATGAACACTTTGTGCCAGGCCTTGTCCTGGACCAAGAAAATGCAAAGGTGAATGTAATTGATAAGGCCTTGACAGGAGACTGTGTTCCATGGCAGGGGTTGGAGGAAGTAAATACAGTCATCCCTCAGTATCTGTGGGGAACTGATTCCAAGTCCCCTCCTGCAGGTATCGAAATCCAAGAATGCTCAAGTCCTTTATATAAATGGTTTAGTATTTGCATATAATTTAGGCACATCCTCTGTATAGTTAAATTATCTCTAGATTATGTATAATGCCTAATATAATGTAAATACTATGTAAATAGTTGTTATACTGTATTTTTAAAATTCGTATTCACTTTGGGAGGCTGACGTGGGCAAATCACTTGAACCCAGGAGTTTGAGACCAGTCTGAGCAACATGTCAACACCCCCTCTCTACAAAAAATACAAAAATTAGCCTGGCGTGATAATGCATGCCTGTAGTCCCAGATACTTAGTGGGCTGAGGTGGGCTTGAGCCCGGGAGGTTGAGGCTGCAGTGAGCTGTGATCAGCACCACTGCACTCCAGCCTGGGAGACAGAGTGAGACCATCTCTCAAAAACAATTTTTGGTAACATTTTCATTTTTACATTGTTTTTGTTTGTTATTTGTTTTTTTCTAAATATTTTTGATGCTCAGTTGGTTGAATCTGCAGATGCAGACTCCACGGATATGGGGACTGGCTGTGCAACTAAAGAATGCAGTGCATAGGGTCACATGGTAGAAAGCAACTGAGATGGCAGTGGGAGTACTTTGAAAAAGACTGGGGTGAAACCCGAAGTATGAAATGAAAACAGCCTTGTCAACAGCTCAGGGACGAATATTCCATGTAGAGGAATAAGCAAGTGTGAAGGCCATAAAGTATGAAAGAGTTCAGTGGATTCAAACTATAGAAAGAAGGCCAGAGAAGATGGAATGTGACTAGCCCAGGGCAAGATGGTGGATGACATGAGCTAATATTGGAGAGCTAGGAAGGGGTAAGCTCACAACTGGCTTTAAAGATGGTAGTAAGGATATGGAATTCTATGATATAGACTCCACTGATAGGTTACAAGCAGGATAGCGATGTGATGTAATACAGTCATACAGTCACATGCTGCCCAATTATGTTTTAGTTGATGAAGGACTACATATACAATGGTGATGCCATAAGATTATAATACCATACTTTTACTCTACCTTTTCTATGTTTAGATATGCTTAGATACACAGATACTTACCCTTGTGTTACAGTTGCCTACAGTATTCAGTGCAGTAACAACATGCTATCTAGCTTTGTATCCTAGGAGCAGTAGGCTATCCATACGGCCTCCGTGTGTAGTAGGCTGTACCAACTAGCTTTGTGTAAGTATACTCTGTGATGGTCACACAGTGACGAAATTGCCTATTGATGCATTCCTCAGAATGTATCCCCATCATTAAGGGATACATGATAGTGTGTGTGTGTCTGTCTATCTATCTGTCTGTGTATCTATCTATCTATCTATCTATCTATCTATCTATCTATCTATCTACCTATCTAGATACAGATATAGCAGGTCCTCGTTTCATTCAGCGTCCTCTCATTATAACATTCATGAGGAAAAAAAGTTGAATCCCAGCTTGGGTCGCTGTCTGTGTGGAGTTTGCACGTTCTCTCCATGTCTGTGTGGGTTTTCTCTGAGTATTCTGGTTTCTTCTCACATCCCAAAGATGTGCACATTAGGTGAATTGGCATGTCTACATGGTCCCAGTGTGAGTGTGTGTAAGTGCGTATATATATGTATGAGTGTGCCCTGTGTTGGAATGAGATCCTTCTAGGGCTGGTTCCTGCCTTGTGCCCTGAGCTTCCAGGATAGTTTCTGGCCACCTATGACCCTGTAATAGAATAATTAGGTAAATGATTATCATAGTTGTTTCTATTAATCTTTTAAAAATGTATGTATAATTCACATTTATTTCAGTGTTTCAATATTAAAAGTGTTTAGGTTTTTATTTAGAAGTTTAGTGACATTTTGGTGATCAAAAGTATGCCATGGGAAGTTAACATTTGTTTATATCAATTATCTTATGGTAAAATTGGTTTCATTATGCCTCGTTTCACTTCAAGTTGCAGTTTCCAAGAACCTATCAATGATGTTAAGTGAACAGTTACTGTATAATATAGATGATGATTGTCACTGCTAAACAGAATGGATTGGGAAAGGGTGAGATTGAAAACAGAAAAATTACTTAGGAGACTTTTGAAGCAGTTTAGTTGAGAGTTGATGGAAGGTTGAATTAAGATACTGGTGGTAGAGAAAGAAGTTCTTACGTTTGAGACATATTTTAGGGATGGACTTGACAGGATTTCTGAAGAATTGAGAAAGTGCAGGAGGAGAGGGATAAGCAAAGGTAGGAGTCAGAATCAGAGGTGACTGCTTTTCCTTCATTTGAACATCTGGATGATAATGGTGCCATTTCCTGCGATGAAGAGGCACAGAATAGACTGAGGGCATGGTGTTTTGTTTGGATGGTTATTTAGTAGACAGCCAAGTAGAGCAGCTGGACAGGCATTTAACTGTGCATTTGTATGGAAGGAGAATAAAGGATGGATGTCTTGTATATCTCAAGAACCTCTGAGGGTTGATACACAAGGGAGCATAGGAATATAATGAGGCTGTAAGCTTTTTGAGATAAATATTGGTGAAGGTTGATATTGATGTGTTAATTTTGAAAACATCAAATACCTAACTAGGCAACAGTTGATTTTAATATTTATAAAGGCCTATTAAAGTTCTCCCTAAGTGAGATAGGCCTCTTTTATTAAGAAGCTAGGGGAAAAAATTCAGTTTTTTTTTCATATGAGCACTGCAGTTTACTCAAGCCTCCCTCATATTTACTAAAAACGTCTTTCCAGGAGCCCCTAAGCAAGTCCTTTTGCATTTGTGCCTCCTGGGTTTCCTTTCTGAAGAACAGAGGTAAATGAACTCGATGATCTCTGAAGATACACTAGATGTTAATTTTGTTTGTTTGTTTTAGAATTCTGGGTCTCAGGGCCTCCTTTAGTTAAAACAGCCACTCTTAAAAAGGACTCAGAATGACTGAAACATTTAAGGGATGGCAAAGCTCTGAGTTTTATTATGTACACTTACCAAGGTGGGTAAACGTTGGAATGCCAAGGTCATTTGGCCCCTGGCCAGGGAGACTGAGTTCCATGTTGGAGTGGGGAGGGTAGAGATGCATCTCCCTTCATAGAAAAGCAGCAGGGCCCTTCTCAGCTACGTTCATTAGCAAAACTGCTTCAGAGCCCTTTCTCAATCTGTGAAATCTTTGATCTTAAAAAGAGGTTTTGTCTTTTTTATTTTTTTAATTTAAACTTTATATGATGTTAGCTTCTTAACAAGCAAATTCTGCCTTCCTTCTCCCATAACCACCTTTGTAGAACTGCACACTGATTTATTTTGCTGGCGAGTACAGTGATTTTATTATCTTTCACCATGCGTAGGATGGCTCCATGGCAGTTTTGTTCAAGCCCTTTGGTGGGAGAGCCTGCCGAATTTGTAAAGGTGTCATTATTTATTCTTTTAATATTCTCAAACAGCAGCAGTTATGTTGCTTGCTTGAAATAAAGGCATTAAATACAAGACCGTGAGAGATTGCCATAGGATATCTGTAGCAGGAAGTATTTGCTATTTTCAACATCAATTTCTTGACCACTTGAATCATATCTTAACCTTTTGCCAAATATTGACTATTCCTGTCAGATTGGGGCATATTGCCTTTTGTTGAAAACTAGTTGAACAGATCATGTCAGAAATGAAGGAAGAATGAAGTTTGCATGATTAAAATAAATCGTAAGATCTTTGTTCAAGTTCCAAAACACTGGAGAAGGGGAGATGAGTTGAAGTTCTTTGGCTCTGGCCAGCAGGGACAAATATCTTCCTGTAACTAGACTGTTAGGCTGAGAATTGTGGCCTCATTAAAATAAATAGCAGAGACTTGAGAAACTTTGGGGAAACTATAGACTGATGTTTCTCGGGGAAACTATATAGTGATGTTTCTCTGGGAATTGTTTCCGGGGAAGATTGGGGTGATAGGCCTATTGCAGGTTGCTTGGTCTGTACTTTCTGAATCCTACCCATTCTTCTTCTTTTACTGTTTGTATACTCCCAAACAAGGCTGCCTCCATTTTTCTTTTTTGTGTAAAATAAATGGTTAATCTTCTGCTTTTAGTGTCTGCGTCCTTGTATATCTTTTAGATGGAGAGAGACAGTGCGTCTGTGCTTTTATACTGTCTCCACTACTTACAAGTATGTCTTTTTCTAAGTTCAGTTTTCTTGCTTATAAAATGGATTTGATTTCTACCTCAATGTGGGGATTAAATACAAATAGGAGACAACAAGGATTGAAAAGTGTGTGGGCTTTTGAGTGCATCCTGGTTTTGAGTCTTATTGGCAGTGTCATTCTGGCAAGTTATTTTACCTTTCTAGGCCTCAGTTTCTCCACATGTATAATTGAGATAATGTCTGTGTTGCAGGGTGGTTGTAAATGAGACATAGAAAATACTTAGCTCAGTGCTAACTGAAACAGGCACAATAGGGAGTAGCTGCTATCATTACAACATTTTATATACATACCATGGAACTGGACTCTAAAATAGTTTAAGATATTTCAAAATTCAATATAAATTGGGCTGGCCCTGAGCCTGTATAGACACACATATATAGTTAGCATCGTATCATGTCCTGGTCTTGTAATGCAGTTTTATGGCATTGACTTTAAAGGAAAGCATTGCAGCAGACCCAAGAACCTGAAGCCATGAGTCTTGCCTCATACAGAAGCATCAAGTACCAGGAACTTCTGCTACAGGGACATCTTGGTGGAATTTAGTGTTTTGTAGTCATCAGTTGTCAGAGAAGATATGATTCAATGGAGTCCTAGTATCAGAACTTCCACAGCCAGTGTCAGTTGGGTATCATCAGCCTTGGGTATTTTTTTAGGGCCATCTTTCATATGTGAGAGGGTAGTTACAGATGGTCCATAGTATTAGTCTCGAGGTCTTAGAATTTTCCCATCATGGAGGCATAGGGTGTGGATTCACTGGCTGGTCCCTGGTTTGTACCTGGTTTTCCAATAGAGAAGCAATTACTCATGTGGGCTCTGATAGCAGGATGCTGATTGACGTTATATAAAAGAAGGGTTCAGTTGACAAAGATATCTGGAAAATGAAAGGAATGTATCTTAGAGTACACAGCTAGACATGAGTACTAGCTCCAGATATTCTATCTATTACCCTTTGCAGTGTGTTAATAATATTAGAACATTTTATTAAACTCCCACCAGATGCCTAGCACTATGCTTGGCATTTTATACATGTTATCTCTAATCCTTCCCAAGCCCTTCAGAATCCTTTGCTGTACCTCGATGCTGCAGTTGCTAAAACCAAAGCTCAGATTACATGGCTTCATCATGCCCACAAAACTAGGGGAAGATCTGGGCTTCACACCCAAGTCACACTATTGCCAAAGACCAGGTTTGTTGCACTCTTGGGGGCACTGTGTGTTATATTCCCGAGGGAAAAGAAAGACACTGCCTAAAATGATACTTTGAAAACCATACCTCCACTGGGTTGATCTGAGGACTGCTGAGCTGGTAGTTATGCCCAGGGAAGAAATAACTCTCCGTATGATCCACTTTTTTGTGAACCACAACAAGAAGAGAGAGGTGGTGTTTAATATTTAACAAATGATAAGGCATGGATAGAAATCAAATTAAAGATCCTGGGCTTAAGCCTGAAGCAGGGCCTTGGAGGTCACCTGATTGTGTCAGTCACAAGGAGGCCCAGAAAGTTCCCAGAGACGGGGCAGTCAGGGTGAGGAACACCTGGAGGGATTTGGGACAGCAACCATATTCCAATTAGTTTAGAGAGTTTTTTTTTTTTTCTTATTTTGATGTCTAAGTATGAGTCAGTTGCCTACCAGCTGAACACCAGCTTTCCAGTGAAAACCAGTTCCAGTGAAACCAGTCAGTTTGAGGCACTGCGATGTTTCCTAACTTGCCAGGTGACAAGTTGCACACCTGCCCCTATTGCTATAAAGCCTTGTTTGTTTTCTAGTGGAGGGGGCAGGAAGACAAGTGGCTCTGCACAGAGAATTTTTTGTCTGCTTCAGCTGTTTTCTTATTTTAAAGCCAATATCAGTAGAAGTAGTCCTTGTTTTTTTCAGCATTGTTTACTTTCCAATATTTATACGGGGTTATCTATCATGCCCTTCCCTGGAGCACTATTTTATAAAGGATAAGGAAGTTTAGCTCCTTCAGCTTCTCCTAAATTTTAAATAAGAGAAGAATTCTACATGTTCCTTTTTTTTGCCTATAGTGATTAAGATGAAAGCCAAAAAATGTCTCAGCTCCTCTAATTGTCTTCCCCATGAGTGATTATTTTTATTCTTCTAGATTCAAAATCTGATTTAAAAATTCTGTAAAACACATTGTTTTTTACATGAAGTCAATTATTCCCCATGTCTTATGTACTTTGTTGATATGAACTTAAATACTTGGTTAATTTAAAATGCAGAAGGTGTTGAACCTGTTTGATTTGGTTCCCAGATTTTGCTTTCGTCCCAATTCCATATGTAGCTGGAGAGAGGTGTCAGGGGCTCAATGATCCATTATGCTCCCCCACATTTATTGGGGTGCTCTTGCACCAGGAGATTACTGGAGGCTAGAGGACTTTTCTGGATGTGGGGTGGGGGCAAGGGGTGTGAAGGACTTGTAGCTATCTATTTTCTATATATTCTCTGTATAATTTTCACCTGTAAGCACAATAGCATTTATAAACAGAATGGGAAAAGATTTTTATCAAGACTCTCTACTTTTCTCATTTGTCAGAAGGGACATTTTATGGCTGCTTTCTCCAAACTTTCAGAGTAAATCAGTAGCTAAACGAGGACTTTGTCACTAACCTCAGAGTTGATGATGGAGTTGTGAATTTTGTCTTGTTAAAATAACTTTCTATTGAAGCTTCCTTTCCACTCCAATTTTTGGATTTTGTGGTCTCCCATCTATTCTTTCAATCCCAATAGGGAGCTTATTATTTGGCAGTTTCCTCTGAAACATTATGGTTCTGGAAGTTGACTCTGGATTGATCTCCACTGATCCTGTCAGCAGGGACCGTGGGACTAGCCTGTCTCCCATTAAGACCTATTCTTCGACTAAACCAAATTCCCTGAGGAAGCTGGGCTGAGCTAGCTGGGACCACGTGTGACGTTATAGCGTGGTATCAGGCAGGCAGACTTCTGATGGCCCATTCAGTTTCAGTAGATGCCTGGATTTTCTACTGGCACTGAGCCAGAGGCTGCTAGGCTCAGAGGTGCCTCTAACCTCACTTGGTGACTTCATTTTCAAAACCGAACCTGAGAAACTGGCAATCTGTCATATCTAGACTCAAAAGCAATGGGCCACAATATCTTGTCTGTGTAAGGCACTCATGCTTCTTTGCCACATTATTTGATAATGGTTTCATGTCATGAATGCACAAGTAGAGAGATCTTATGGAAAATATATTGGCATGAATAAGGACAGGCATATATTTGCTGTCACCCTTCTCTAAAGGTGGAAGAATAACCTGGTGTAGAGGATGATGGAATCAGAGTTAAGAGACGTAGGTCCTTGCCATGCTGGCAAGAACTAAGTGAGGCACTGGACTTCTTTGTGCCAAGGATTCATGGAAAATGCCATGGGGGTCATTCTCTGGTTAACAGAGGTCACCTGAGGATCTGAGTAAAAACTGTGATGTCTGTTGCCTTTATAGGCAAAATGAATAGGTTAAGGTATTGACTGTGAAGTCCAGGGGAAGTGATGATGCTGAAAGGTAACATGTAAAGTGATGGTGGGAAGATGAATATCAGCATAGATGAGGAGTGGGAACCAGCAGTTGTTTAGCAGTTTTGTTCAGGTGATGGTCATGGGCTTGGTGATTGATCAGGTGTGTTCCAGAGTAGGGCAGGAAGATGCAGAGATACTATTTCAAAATCTAGGAGTAATGAACGCCGAAAAAGAAGAAAAATGAACTTATAATGCCAAATTGAGAAAAATATAAAATGATAAATATATTAGGGTTCTCTAGAGGGACAGAACTAATAGGATAGATGTATGTATGAAAGGGAGTTTATTAAGGAGTATTGACTCACACGATCACAAGTTGAAGTCCCACAATAGGCCGTCTGCAAGCTGAGGAGCAAGGAACCAGTCCAAGTCCCAAAACCTCAGAAGTAGGGAAGCCAACAGTGCAGCCTTCAGTCTGTGGCCAAAGGCCCAAGAGCCCCTGGAAAACCACTGGTGTGTAAGTCCAAGAGTCAAAAAGCTGAAGAACTTGGAGTCTGATGTTCCAGGGCAGGAAGCATCCAGCATGAGAGAAAGATGAAGGCTGGAAGACTCAGCAAGTCTGCTCTTCCATCTTCTCCTGCCTGCTATATTCTAGCCACACTGGCAATTGATTAGATGGTGCCCACTCTGATTGAGGGTGGGTCTGCCTTGTTCAATCCACTGACTCAAATGTTAATCTCCTTTGGCAACACTCTCACAGACACACAGGAACAATACTTTGCATCCTTCAATCCAATCAAATTGACACTATTAACCATCACAGTAAAGGTTCTTCTAATAGAATATTGCCTCCATTATGTGTGCTCAAGTATCAGGAAGTAAAAGTTGAGGCCGCATGGAGAGGACCACCGAAGCAGAGTCTTTGCAGTGGAGAAGCCGGTTAACAGAGCAACTCAAAGGGCTATTTCAGACAACGTTCAAGTAGCAATTCCTCGGTAATTCCAATTTCTGTATCACACTTTTTTTTTTTTCCTTGAGACTGAGTCTCACTGTGTCACCCAGGCTGGAGTATAGTGCTATGATCTTGGCTCACTGCAATTTCTGCCTCCCGGGTTCAAGCAATTCTCCCTTCCTCAGCTTTCTGAGTCGCTGGGATTACAGGTGCCTGCCACGACACCCGACTAATTTTTGTATTTTTTAGTAAAGACAGGGTTTTGCCATGTCGGCCAGGCTGGTCTTGAACTCCTGACCTCAGGTGATCCGCCTGCCTCGGCATCCTAAAGTGCTGGGATGAGTCACTGTGTCCAGCCCACACCATCTTATGTTGCTGAGATTTATGCCATAAACTTGAGTGCAATTTTTGATTCATTATTTGTTTTAAGGAACTATATGTGAAGCTGGTTCCTCTACCCCAGCTTCTGGTGGTTTAACACAATGATAGAGCACAAGAACATTGGAGTCAGATGACTGGATTCAAATTCTAACTCTGCCCCTTACTAGCCATGTGACTTTGGGCAAGTTTCTTTCTCTCTCTCTCAATGCCTTTTTTTAGTCCTTTGCAAAAGGAAGATGATAATAGTACCTACCTCACAGGGATGTTGCAGATTTAAGAGACAGAAGATATCTAGTTCATAATAAGTGTTCAATATATGTTAGCTACTGTTATTATCAGTATTAGATTCACAGAGTTCCTTTAGGACTAACTGTTGTAGTAGAAGCATCATGAATTGAACACTGGGACAAACCTGGACTTGAATAGTGACTTTTACACTTATCACCTGGGTGACCATGGGTAAGCCATTCAACTTTTTTGAGTTTCAGTTGTACCCACCTGCAAAATGGTGCTCATGGTACTTGCATGCAGCACTGTTGGGGCTTTAAGAATGGCTCGTATGTGTAAAACATGAGGCACAGTGCCTGGTTTGAGATGGCTTTCTCATAAATAATAGCTACTATCATTACTATTGCCATTTTTTTTCTTGTATATAAACATAGGCTTAAGATTACCCATGGGTAGGAAATGTAACTGAGATTCAAGGGCTATCATTTCCTGTCCCAAAGTTAGTATTTATATTGAGCTTCTATTTATTTGCACTACTGGCTCAAACTTCTTGTCCTTTCTTGACTTTGGCCTTTGGTATCTCTTTTGATCTTTTAAATCTTTATCCTTCTAGGCTCATCTAGATATTCTGACTTCTTGTTGAGGCCCTGCCAATTCATCCTTGATCCAAACAGCATAGCACCTACCTGGATTTAATCCTAGCTCCAGTATTTACATTAAGCATATGACTTAACTTTTCTGAGCCTCAACCATCTTTCAAATGGTCATTCTAATAATGATCTTATTAGATCTTTGTGAGGCCTAAATAAGACGAAGTATGATACAGTACCTAACTATATCCACCATTCAGACGGTGCTCTGTGTTAAATTGGTTGCCCTGGAAACAGACGCTGAGGCAGAGATTTATATGTAGATTTTTGGGGGCAGTGATCTCTGGAACAATATCTATAAGAAAGTGAGGGTCACAGGATTAGGCAGAGGGGAAAGTTGAATTGCAGTGCAATTGCAAATGAGGCTTCAGCCAAACCCAAGGGAAGACTCCAATTGGGCTGATCCTTTAGGATTATCCCAAGGGGGCCCAGCTTTTGTTACTGCAACATCCAGTCATTGGATGGGGGCTACCTGGGGTGGATGGTTTAGTGTGGAGCTCCCTTTGACCAAGGGCAGTTCCTGGAGAGGGGTGCAGCTATGAGCTGTCAGTAGGCAGCACTTCTGATAGCTGCAGGATTGAGTGCCTGTGTCCTGAAGGGGATCTGAGCACACAGCACAGTATCCACTATATGCTCAGTAATTTTAAATTGCTTCTCTTCAATTCTTTGGCATCCATTTCCTTTCTCTTGTTGTAGCTCTAAGTTTCACCCTGATTAGCACTTGTCTTTTTCTCTAGAGAGTCCCCAATTCCGATGTTGCTCCTTTTGAGTTGAAATAGGTTATTTTATGACTTTCATCTTTCTTACCTTGGGAGCTAGTTGCAGCAGGGGTTGAGGGGTGAATTAGGGAAACCAGTTATTCATCTCTCATTGTCCAATGATTAAAGACTTAAAGTGGAGGTGGTATCTTTCCTTTTTAAATTTAATGGCCACCTCTGAACATTTGATGTTGAATCCCCTCAATTTTGTGATGAACAGATTTGGAAGGCTGTGTCTGTGCTAAACGTGAAAGAATGCTGTGCTCAGTTAATGGTGTATAAGCATATATAGGCCTAGTATACTCTCACAACAGAGGACACTTCTGTAACCCCAGGTGTGTGGGAGTTTTTCCTCCCACACACCAGTCAAGCAATTCTGTGGCGGATTCTCCAGCAGACACCACCTGGTGTCCTCAATTCAATTCGATTCTGACAGTATCTACCTGGAGAGAGTGTCACATCCCACAGGTTGAGGACACAGACCCACAAGACTTTCCCCCACTTCAGATGCCAGTCGCAAGTAATAAGTTGTTACTGATACTTCTGACCAACCACACTTCCCAAGTTCAATTAATTTGCTAGAGTGGCTCACAGAACCAAGATAAGTACTTTACTTTTGTGAACTCATTCATTATAAAGGATATTACAAATGATACAGATTAACATGCATAGGACAAGGTATGGGAAAAGGAGCACAGAGCTTCCGTGCCCTCCATGGGCATGCCACCCTCCAGAACCCTCCATGTGTTCAGCCATCTGGAAGCTCTTTGAGGGCCTGTTCTTTTGAGGTTTTTGGGGGCCTTCACTATGTAGGCATGATTGGTCAAATCATTGCCTATTAGCGATCAACTTAACCTTCAGCCCCTTTCTCCTCCCTATGGGTTAAGGAGTAGGGCTGAAAGTCTCAACCCTCTAATCGTGCCTTTATTTTCCTTGTGACCAGCTCCCATCCTGAAGCCACCCAGGGACCCCCAGCCACCAGGCATCTCATTAATATACAGAAGAGACTCATATCACTCCAGAGATTACAAGGATTTTAGGAGCTGTATGTAAGAAACAGGGTGAAGACCAAATATATAAAAATCCCATTATACATCACAATGTCACATGATGTCTGCTATGGGAGTGGGTTAAGAGACTGGGGGTACTCATGCTCCATTTTTGTCATTTTAAATATAGAGCTTTGTCTTCCCTTTCAATGTTAAATATAAAAATGCTTTGGCTTTTTCTGGTCTTCTGGGGTAAATTTCTATACCAATGTTCACAGCTTATTTGCCCCTTTAAAAATAATTAAGCCATATGCCTACAATTGTTTCTCAGGTCACCTTAATCACTTCTACAGCTTCATCTCCTGGAAAACTTTCCTTAAATAATTAAGAGTTCATTAAGAAAACTGGGCTACTTTCACAAATGCCTTTTTTTAAAAAAATTAATTTTAACTTTTTTGTTGTAGCAACCTGCTAGATCAACACAAATGCTTTTTTATTTGCCTTCCTGTTAAATCGGGACTCACCTTTTGTGAATATATTACATTAATGCATGTTTGTTTTATGGATTTGTTTAGTGTATCCCCTAAGGAACATTCTTTCTCTGCCATCCTTGCCTGTCTTCGATTGTGTAAGGTCCCAGAAGGCAAATACTATGTCTTTTAAAATTGTATTGTACAGTGCTGTGCACAAATGAACGATTAATTCTCAAAATACTGACAGTGGAAAAAGGCACAAAGGAGCTGATAATATCTTAAATGATTTAAATGATGTGTTTAATGCATTGGTTATCCCCCATTTTTTTTTTCTAATAAAAGCTGTCAGAAAGAAACAAGATAATGTTCAAAGTATATTGAGTTTTTCTGAACTAAAGTTCTGGTTAAATTAAAATTATTATTAAAAGATCAGTCTTAGGTGTTTCTGTCTATATCCACAAGCTGTTATTGTTGGATGCTTTTACCAGGCTCTTTAAATTGTCCTCATGAGCTTAAAAGCCTGAAGAATAGCAATGGTGGCATTGGGAAGGTAGAGGATCCATACTTGATGTGGCTCAAGGATGGTCAAATTTTCTGTAAAGGGCTACACAATATGAATATTTTCAACTCTGTGGGCCATAAGGTCTATGTCACAACTACTCAACTCTACTGTTGTAGCATGGAAGCACCTGTAGACAATATGTAAATAAATCATGGTGGTATTCTAATGAAACTTTATCTTCAAAAAGAGAGGAGGGTCAGGTTTAGCCTGTGGGCTATGATGGCTAACACCTGATCCAGGTGATTAGACTAGATTCCCCCGATTACTCCTGCACTGATTCTGAAATACATCACTAAGTTGAACCAATGGCAAGAGAGACACAATTGAAAAGTCAAGAATGTGAAAACAGTTTTAATGACTTATATTCACAACATTTGTTGCCTTGTTTGGTTACTCCTGGGCATGGTGCTCAGGAATGCTCAATAAAGAGTAGGTTCCCCTGGGACAGTTCCTAGTTCCCAGGGTCGTGGGTACTTCCATTTTTAAGATCCTGGTCACCAGGTGGTCTCAATATGGTCTCCTTCACTTAATAACTGCCAGATTTGGGGAATCCACTGGTTTTCTCTGCACCTAACCACATTTTTCTTTCCTGGATTAAGCGGATTGTGATATCTTCCCTACTGACTTTAAGCGTTGTTATAATGGCTGAGTGAAATATTGCTCAAGCACACACATCATCACACATTCCTATTTAAAAAGAAAATATTAAGTTTGCTTCACCCGCTTTTTCTCTAAACCTGAGCATGGTACTTGGTTGATTTTTTTTTTTCTCGGCAGATTTGTATGTCTGTGTTTGAGTGATATTAAATGTCCAAATATAGTTAAATAATTGAATGATTCTTAAGCTTTGCTTCACAGTGGACTCACCTGCAGCATTTAAAAAAATCCTGATGCCTTGGTAACACCTCAGATTAACTGAATCTGAATCTCTATGAGGGGGACCCAGCATTAATATACTTTTAAAACTACCCAAGTGTATCATTTTCTGTTGCTACTGAAACAAATTACCACAAATTTAGTAGCTTAAAATAACACAAATTTATTATCTCACTGTGTTGTAGGTTATACATCTGACACAGGTCTCATCTGAGCTATAGTCAAGGTGCTAGCAAGGCTGCATTCTTTTCTGGAGGCCCTAGGGCAAGCTTGTCCAACCCGCCAGCCACATGCAGTCCAGGACGACTTTGAGTGTGGCCCAACACAAATTTGTAAACTTTCTTAAAACATTATGAGATTTTTTTATGCTATTTTCTTTTTAGCTCATTAGCTATCATTAGTGTTAGTGTATTTTATGTGTGGTCCAAGACAATTCTTCTTCTTCCAAAGTGGCCCAGGGAAGCCAAAAGATTGGACACCTGTGCTCTAGAAGATAATGCATTCCTTTGCCTTTTGCAGACTCTGAAGAGGCCACCCATGGTCTTTGGTTCATGGCCCCGTTCCTTTTCAAAGTCAGCAACAGCAGGTCAAAATCCCCTTTTATCTCATCACTATGGCCTTGGACTCAACTCGTTTTTCTTCCTTTCCCCCTTTTAAGGACTGTTACATTGGGCCCATCTGGATGATCCAAGTTAATACCTCTGTTTTAAGATCAGCTGATCTTAAACCTTAATTCCATCTGCCATGTAGCCTAACATACTCACAGGTTCTGGGGAGTATGATGTGTACAGCTTTGGAAGCCCATTATCCTACCTACCACATCAGGTAATTACTACTCTGATAGGGAAAAGTGTATGAGCCCTAACTAGTAGAAGCAAATTATTCCCACAAGTGTTCTGTTGATGGCTAGTGCATAAGCATTCATTCCTTCATTGATTCATTCTTTCAATAAATGGTGATTTCCTTTTGAGTTCTTGGCATTGATTCTAGAGATACAATAATAAACATTGTGGTGAAGGTCTAATGAAAAGAAAAATATATTTAAATAGAGAAAATACAGATGCCTTGGGTCCTCCTAGAAAGGGTCCTTTCCCAAATTTTGAGACCAGGCTAGGATTTGTGGAAGAAGTGATGTGAGAATTACATATGTATAGAATATGGAATAAAAATAGCCTTAGTAGCTCTTCCAGACACTTAATGCATTATTTTTAATCCTTACTACAAAATTGAATAGTGCATACTATTACTGCCATTTTGCAGATGTGGAAACTGAGTCTCATGAAGGTGAAATAATAATAATAGTTATTGTATTATTCTGTGAAATCATGTGTGTAGTTCTATACTAGGGAATTTTAGAATGGCCATCATTTCTTTAAACACTGAGCTAATATTTTGCTGTCTTCCAAGTTCAAATGTCTTTCTGAAGAAAAAAAAACAGAAATCTGATTCACCCTCTATGGTTATAACTGACACATAGCCACATAAGTGTTTAGCCTTGTGGCTTGTTTTCTATCTGAACCAGAAGAGTACCATGTTCTCAATGGAGGCGTAGTCAGTATGGATTTTATTGGGCATAACAGGACTCCCAGCATACAGTCACTGTGGTACCACTGTCGACATTACAGTTCATCCCGGTATCAAAGTGACTGGATATGAGGATCTGGTGCCTTCTGGATTTAAGCAGTGAAGGGTCATTTGAAGATTTCAGTGCCTGCTGCTCTTTTGAAAAGTGAGTAGGAGAACCCCGTTTAGTGTTCTTAGACTTACTTAGCTCCTCCTTTCCATTTTAGGCCTAACAGATCCACTTGGGGTGCTTCTACCATGAGTCTGTTTTTATTAAGTCATTTGACTTTCACAAGTAGCCAGATTTAGTTTCTCTGTGACAAGAATATAGATAATGCTTCCTAGACTAGTCATTTCTTGTCTATCATATCTACAATCACTGAAGGAAAAACCTACAGTGTATAGAATATTGGGATACATTGGAAATTTCTAAAAGAGGCTTTAAAGAATTTCTTTGAGTTGCTTCATTCTAGGCATTGATGCTTGAAATGTAAAGATAAATAGGAAGGCCACGGTTTAGTGACAAAATGCAGATAATTAAATGAAGGAAATAAAGGTGCATTGCGATGTATTAAGAAAGGGCTTTAGGCCAAATTTTAAGACCAGGTAAGGATTTCTGGAGAAAGTGATGCTCAACGGTGATATAAGGATTAGATAAGTAGAGAATGTTGGATAATAACTGCCTGAATGCCTACTCTGGGCAGTTAATAAATTATCTTTAATTCTCACAAAACCGTGCACAGTGGTTACTATTACCACTATGTTGCACTAGTGGTTACTATTACCACTATGAGGCTCCTACAGAGCAAGTAACTTTTAAGGTCTCATAAACAAAATGACACAACTGGAATTGGGCTGGGAAAAGACTAAGCTTCAGTACTAATATAATGGCCATTAGTCATGTATTTAAATTTAAATTACTTTGGCTGTTTAAATTCTTGGATATTTAAACTTATTTTTTTAATTAAAAAATTAAAAATAGTCTACATGGTACAGATATGTTACTAACCCAAAAAAGTTCTAGAACACCTTTAAATATTTTCTAAATACCCTAGAGCAATATTGTCCAATAAAACTTCCTGCAATGAAGGAACTGTTCTTTAATCTGCACTACCGAATGTGGTGGCAACTAGCCACATGTGACTGTTGAGTACCTGAACGAAGTGTAAAGAAGGAGCATAACAGGACTCCCAGCATACAGTCACTGTGTTACCACTATCAACATTATGGTTCATCCAGGTATCAAAGTGATAGATATGAGGATCTGGTGTCTTCTGGATTTAAGCAGTGAAGGGTCATTTGAAGATTTCACTTCTTTACACTTCATTACACTTCATTCAGGTACTCAACAGTCACATGCAGCTAGTTGCCACCATACTGGGTAGTGCAGATTAAAGAACAGTTCCTTCGTTGCAGAAAGTTTTATTAGACAGCATTGCTCTAGGGTATTTAGAAAATATGTAAAGGTGTTCTAGAACTTTGTTGAGTTAGTAACATATCACTACCATGTAGGCACCTAGACTATCAGAACCAGAAGCAGACTTTATTTCTATATGAGTAGCTATGTTCTACCCTTACTAGTCACAAGGTAGATAATAAAAGACTCAAAAAGAGGCTTCACCCAGCCTGTTCTACTAATACGTGCAGAGTGGGACAAGAATTTGGGGGTTCATATGGTTAGTATTTTCAGGGGACCACGTGTTTCTTGTGCAGGAAATGCAAGTGGTGACCTTAGCATGGGGATAACAGCGGGCTATTTTAGCAAAGTGAAGCACTGCTACTATGTATTGAGAGAGTACCTAATAAATCAGTTAAATGTGTCAAATTGGAAATGATTAAGATAGTTTTCAAGTGATATCTCAGCATCCATTTATAGATAAACTAGTAATATGCTAAAAGAAGTTGTTCTTATAAGAATATCCATTGATACAGATCCTTAATAGTAATATTCATTAATACAGATCCTTAAAATACTCTAGTGTTATTTCTTTCATCTTAGTGGAAGCTTACCTTTCCATAGTGCTCTCAACTTATCTAAGGAAATTTATAAGTTTTAAATCCTATCATCTTCAAAGTCAACCTATAAAGAAGGATGGGCAAGTATTATGATCAGCAATGACCAGGTGAGGGAAATAGGGTACTGAGAGGTTTACTTTTCTGTTCAAAGTAGGTGATCTGGGGTTGATTCCACATCTGTTGGTGCCTAATCTTTGGATATTTCCAACAGCCCCAAAAAGGAAAGAAAGCAACCTCACTTATGTAAGGAAAATGAATCTATAATTACTATTTTTTCCCATTGTTTCAAAAGTTTACCCCCAAACACTTCATATTAATGAAGTTTTACTGCTCTCCAGAAGATGTTGACTCATGCTGGATTGAAGAGAATCCAGTAGGCAGTTTGTGGAGTCACTCAGTACATACACATGACTTTTTGTCTCAATGTTGGAGCCGTAGGAGACAATGAATAGTTGCTGTTTAATCACCTGGTAAGGACTAAGTAGTAACCAAGTGTAGGCACCTAAAGTGGATCTTACTTTGCTTATTACTGAGAAACACTCGTAGTTTCTTCACTGTTACAGGCCGTTAAAGTGGAATGGGTTTGTTATTGATGGTCTATGTAGCAATTCCAGTGTGATAGATACCAGCAAACACACAGGGAGTGAACTGTCTTGCCCTAGTCTACAAATAGAGATCAATGACTATTTTATTTGCTCAACCCTGCCTCCAGTCCATGGCTGTGGCCTCCATCATGAAGTAGCTGGAATGATTAATGATCTATTGGAGGTATTAATGCCTCTTGTTTTGGTACTCTAATTATAGAAGCAGATTGGAGCCAAGCTTTTAGAGTGGGTTTGAGATTGAAAAATATTTGAAAAGCAGGTGATTGGTCCAACACCTCCACTTCTTTCAATTTAACCATAAATCAGTTGTGAGTGATTTTTTCACTGTAATTTTTCATAGGTTTTGAACTTGGGTAATGAGCATCCCTGTCCCATAGTGAAACTGTGATTTTCCTAGATCTTGTTGGAAAGAAGATGAAGATTTATGAAGGGGGATAGAAGGAAATATATTGCATTTCTTTTTATCCTCTGCTTGGTATTTTTCTCTTCCTCTCCTGTACTTCAACCCCTATAAGTCTCAACTTTCATGCATGCCACACATGGCATATAGTATTTGGAAATGGGAAAGCTGCAGTGTGTCTTGACCTACTTTCCAGTGACTGTACAATTACAAATAAGAAGTTGATGCTATATAAAGTAGTACTACATTCTACACTGAAAAGAACATATGGAGAAGCAAAGAGTGCGTTTGCCCAAGCAGCACCAATTTTTAAAACTCATTTGCTGAGTTTGTTGACTTAATTTTTTTTTTTTTTAAGTTGAGGATGGCTCAAGGCATTGCTGTCACCCAAGAAGCTACCATGAGGACTGTGGAAAAAATTCTGAGGAACCCTAGGTGAAGAGATAGGTTTAAATTGGAATCAGTTTGACAATTTTTCCTTCCCTAACTAGAACTGCAGCTTACCCCACTGTGGGTAATGTAATACATCAGTGCCTGATGAAAATCTGGCTTGCAAATTGTGGAAAAGCACAGGATTTTTTACATTTGTATAATTTTAATTTTTTTGAAGTATTTTATTATCTGGGAAGTAGATTGACAGCAAAGGGCATCTTAAAATAGATTGTTTATAGACACTCAAATGCAGCAAATGCACATGTTTACCTTTATACCATAGCACACGGAAAATTCCACCAGGTCTTTTAGGGTATTCAATTTTTGTAGCTGCAACACTAAAGCACTATGTATTTGAGTAATGTATTACATTTATCATTTATTTAAAATATGAGGTTCATATATTAACAGCTTTGTATTCCAATTCTATGAATGGAAGGAATGATTCCCTCTGTATTAGGTTTCTCCAGAGAAGCAGAACCAATAGAGTGTTTTTAGAGATATATAGAAAGAGATTTATTAGGAGGGACTGGCTTATGCAATTAGGGAGGCTGAGAAATTCTATAATCGGCCATCTGCAAGTGGAGGCCCAGGAGAGCTGGGGGTATAGTTTCAATCCAAACCCTAAGGCCTGAGAACCAGGGGAGCCAATAGTGTAGATCCCAGTCCATGTCTGAAGACCTGAGAACCAGGAGTGCTGATGTCTGAAGGCAAGGAGAAGAAAGAGGTCCCAGCTCAAGCAGAGAATTTTTTTTTCTTTATTTTTAAATTTTATTTTATGTTCCAGGATACATGTGCAGAACATGCAGGTTTGTTACATAGGTATACACGTGGCATGGTGGTTTGCTGCACCTATTGACCTGTCCTCTAAGTTCCCTCCCCTCGTCCCCCATCCCACAACAGGCCCCAGTGTGTATTGTTCCCCACCCTGTGTCCATGTGTTTTTATTGTTCAGCTCCCACTTATGAGTGAGAACATGTGGTGTTTGGTTTTCTGTTCCTGCATTAGTTTGCTGAGGATGGTGGCTTCCAGCTTCATCCATGTCCCTGCAAAGGACATGATCTTGTTCCTTTTTATGGCTTCATAGTATTCCATGGTGTATATGTACCACATTTTCTTTATCCAGACTATCACTGATGGGCATTTGGGTGGATTCCATGATTTTGCCATTGTAAATAGTGCTGCAGTAAACATACATGTGCATGTGTCTTTATAGTAGAATGATTTATATTTCTCTGGGTATATACCCAGTAATGGGATTGCTGGGTCAAATGGTACTTCTGGTTCTAGATCCTTGAGGAATCACCATACTGTCTTCCACAATGGTTGAACCAATTTACATTCAGAGGGAATTTTTTTTGTTCCATTCAGACCCTCAATGATGCCTGCTCACACTGGGGAGACTAATCTTCTTTACTCAGTCTACCTATTCAAATGCTAATCTCTTCTAGAAACACCCTCACAGACACATCCAGAAATAATGCTTACCTGCTATGTTGGCATCCATTAGCCCAGTCAAGTTGACACATAAGATTAATCATCACACCTTTCTTCTTTCCTTCCAGCCTGCCTGCCTACTTTTCTTCTTAAAATATCTACTGAGCCATTATTACGTACCAAAACAGTAAGTTAGTCTTAGGTGGCTGGGTAGTGGGAGGGAAAGGTAATATTAAAAATAAGATTCAGTCCCTGCCATCAAAGACCTTTCACTTTAGTTGGGGAGAGTAGACAGCATAGGTTTTTATTATTTTTGCAGACAACAGAGTCCATGTTGAGCCAAAAAAGAAAGAAAAAACTTGTTTTGAGGGCATTGGGTAGCTAGCAGAGTCTTTGGAAGGCCTAGGAAACCAGTCTTTTTGGTTTGTTTTTGTTTTAAGAGACAGGGTTCTCTCTCTGTCCTTTAGGCTGGAGTTCAGTGGTGCAATCATAGCTCGCTGCAGCTTGGAAGTCCTGGGCTTTCCTTCTACCTCAGCCTTCCAAAGTGTTGGGATCACTGCACCTGGCCTGGAAACCGGGTTTAAATGCCACATAGCCAGATATAAGAGCAGCCAGGAGAAATGCCAAACCACCTCTCCAAGGGAAGTCCCACTGCTTTACAGTATTGAGCAGAACCCTCTGCCAGAGCTGCCACAAAAGAAGAAATTCCTTTAACACCACACTTGCAAGAAGAACTAATGTCCCAAAGTGAATCTTTGTGTGTTTTGAGTGACCTTGTGTTGCCTTTTTTTTTTTTTTCATCTCCAACCTCCTACAGGTCTACCTACTTAGCAAAACATAGGACACATCTGCTTTCTTATCTGCAAAAAAGTCCAGGGAGTGTAATTGTTGGCTTTCCAGTTTCTATTACATAGGAAGTTACATCAGGTGGGTCGAAATGCATATGGAGGGAATGATCCCATAGTATCCACCTTAGGGAGACAGGTTAGCAAATAACTAGAATAAATTGTGTGTTATGCTGGAGTAGATAATAGTTCTGTGGGAACACCCAGTGAAGGCACCTGTCTCAAGAGGAAGGAAGGGTATTCAGGGAAGCATCTTGGAGTAGGGCTACACTTGCTGAATCTTGAAGGGTTTCAGGACTTTATTAGTTAGGATAGGATAAGATAGGTACATGTTATAGAAGCAAACAGCTTCAAAATCTCAGTGGTTAACACATTCACACAAAACTCCTGCAAAGTCTCTGCTCTGGGGGGCACCGGGTACAAATTTGTGCAGCCTGGTGGCAAAATGAAAACACTGGGCCCCTTTTCTAAAACTTGCGAGACAGTGACAGCAGAGCGTTAAGCCAAGCACAGAGCCCATCCGAGGGCAGGGTCCTGGGTGATCACATAGGTTACATGCCCATGCTGCTGGCCCTAGGTGAGGGTCTAGGAGACTCTCCAGAGAAGCTTTCTTCTACTTGGTAATTCAGTAATTCATGCAGCTTCAGTCTGTGGCTCTGCCATCTCAACACAACCTCTTCCACATTTGCCAAAACTGGGCAAGAGAGAGACTGGAGGGCCACACAGGGCATTTCACTGCCTCAACCCAGAAGTGATGCGCCTTACTTCTGCTCACATTTCATCGGCTAGAATTGATCACGTGGCCTTGACTGACTACCAGGTGGCTAGGAAGTGGAGAGTCCTGCATGCCTAAGAAGGAGAAGGCAGGTTATGATGAATCAGCATCATCTACCCAATGGATCAAAGAAAAGGGAATGCTATAAACAATATCTTTGTTATTTGAAAATACTATTTGTATTTGAATATTAATAAATTTAGAGTGGCTTAAAAATTCAATAAGCATGTTTGCTTTTTGCCAATCTACTCATTTTGAATAGAACAATTTCAAAATTAATTTTTTTTTTTTTTTGCTAAATCCAAGTGCTACTCGAATAATTAGCAGTAACTGGTGAAAAACTCTGAGGGAGTAAGTAATAACTAATGAAAAATGTTTGGAAAAAGGAAAAATGTTTCTATTTTAGTATGTATATATCTTAAGATACAAATTGTATTTTATTGAAAACAATGTATATGAAAAACAATCAAATAAAAACATTCTCTTGAATTTTTAAACTTTTTTTTAACCAATGAATATACTCAAATATATGTGCTCAGACAAGAAAATAATATCAGTGAAATGATTCTAAAGAGTTTATCTGCCTCTGTCAAGTCTTCTGAATTATCTTTATCTGTTGTGTACTCAAGTGTATTCACATATAAAATCCACTTCTAAACATGGGAAATAGGGTTTCAAAAGAGCTCACCCTTGTGTCACTGATGCCCTGTGTCTATTACTCTGACAATTTATCTGTGAATTAAAACAAAATTGCCAAGTCCAATAATGTGGTACAGACAATAAAAGGAGCTTAGATAAGAGATAAATAAATGTGGTTCATGGCAGACATGTTGGGGTATCTATTGACAGGTATATTTCTTTTTTTCCAACGAACTCCTATTGCTTGTTGTACACATTTAATTTGCACTCCTTTAATTTTATTCCTTTAAATTCAATGTTGCTCTTTTTGCCACTTCCACTACAGTATTGAACTACTATTAGAATGCTTTCTTTTTGATGTTGTACTGTGCTTTATTGGAAAGAAAACTGGACTTAGAACAAATCATTGGATTTGCTCTGAAGTAGAGCCCAAACACTTACCAATTATGCAAATTTATCTTTTTTGTCTATAAAATGGGAGTTATAGTTATGATGATCATAATAACAAATGTGGTGTTAAGGTGATCACTAATTGCTTTTCTGACTCAGTGAAGTGAAGGGATTTACACTCTAGACTCTGAATCAGGAATCAGCAAACTATGTTCCAGAGGTCCACCTACTTAGCAAAACATAGGACATTGCCTGGCAAATTTGGCTCTTCACTCATTTTTTTTCCACTCATTTTGTTTTTTAATAGGAACACAGACATGCCTTTCATCTATGTAATGTCTATGGCTACTTTCCTGCTCTGACAGCAAAATTGAGTGGTAGTTGTGACAGGCACTGTGTGGCCCACAAAGTCTAAAGTATTTACTGCCTGGCCCTTTACGGAAACAATTTTCAAATCGCTGATCTAGAGAGTCACCAAATACCTGTTTTGATTTGAGAAAATGTAGGAATACTGCCTTAAAGGGATATGAGGTGGCCTTTAAAAAAAATCTTTGTGCTCTGTACTAGACCTAGAAAATCTCCAAGGACAGCCTAACCCAGCTTTCAGCTGCTGAAAGAGGTGTAACATTTATCTTTTCACTCTTGAAGTGCTACCTACGGGGCCACCGCTGGCAGAGGTCATTAGGCAAATGCAGGCTCATCTCTCCGTGATACTACATGTGAGGCATTTGCACAAATGTAGATTGTAGTAAGGCCTGAATGTAATGTATATACTTCAGTCACTTTTATGAAATTGTTCAGTCATCTGGACGTTTCTCACTGTGTTTACCAGGAAATGTGAAATAGAGAATTGAGCAATTTTCCCATCAATTTGATCAATGTAGAACAGCAACCTGGATGCCTTCAGTCTTTTTTTTAAATGCCTTTTTTTCTCTCAATTGCTACAATTTATTTATTTATTTTACTAAATTGCCTAGTTAATTACTTCAATTTTCCAATCTATCTTACCATTGAAGGCTAAGACTGTTTGAATTTTACATGTGGTTGGTACAATTGAGGTCTGTACCTAAAGTGTAAGATTTTCAGTGTAGGATTCATGTTTGTTTATCCACCTTCTTGCTTGGTCCTTTTGATCTGTAACCTAGACTGTTCAAATCTCACCTTTGAATCAATCAAGTAGATTATGGAAACACAAAAGGAAAGGAGGAGAGAGATTGGAATGAAAAACCAACAACTGACGAATTTGGAGAAATAGTGCCCTAGTGGCAAAGGAGAAGGTACTAGAAGACCATAGGTTGATGCTTTGGAAATAGTTAAGTAGGGCTTGAGGGGAAGCAGAAACAGCCAACACTTTAGAAGAAAGATCAATGAATAAGAGGAAATACTTTAAAAAGGATAAGCAGCCAATAAAGTTATATTTGAGAGTAACCAATCCGAGAAAATAAAACTGGTTCTGAATTCCAAAATTGTTGTGATTTGAAGGGGGAATCTTGAGCAGGCTTCATCCAGTCCTACCTCAATCAAGTGGGGGAAATTTTCTCATCAGACTGCTGCCTGTTCAAGAACTCTCTTATCTTCAGGGGTTGGTATCTTCCTTGTTATATAAAGAATTGCCTATGAACAGTTGGGCAGATAGGGCGAGGAGCAAACTTTCAGGACAAGTGGACATCAACAGGTAATATATTAGTCACTGTGGATTGAAGGGCTTTGGTGATATCAAAGAAATATATCTGGATGACATGATCTTACAGCCCCTGGCCATGGATGGTACTTGCTTTAGGAGAGAATACTGATTTCTTGTTCTCATACCTTCCTGTTTATATAGCCTTTCTCCTTCCTTCTTCCTTTTCTACTCATTTGTACAAACGGTTTGTACATTTTGAAGAGTGGCTTTTGAACTTAGTAGTATAGTGTTTTTGCAGTCTTTGTTTTCTGGTTTCCCCAAGAGTGACTCATGCATTCTGAAAAAGAGGGCTTTGGGTCTGAGGAAGGAACTCTGTGGGAAGAATAATACTTTAAAATACTATAACCTGCTAAAAGTGGTTATTAGCTTTGGTGACTTAGAGTTTATTGGTGACTTTAAACATTGAAGTTGAAGGGAGCCATACTTTAGGACCAAGATTCAAAGAGCATTCAGAAGGATTTTCTTTTTGGTTGATTAGTTGGTAAGTTATTTTTAGATAAGAAGTTATAAGTGGGTACAGAAAGGTACTGGAACATTACAGAATGATGGGGAAAATCCACACAGATCCAAGTCTCAGGCACTACAAGTTCAGGAGGCATCTTTCACAATAAAAGCTGAGAACCTATGACTAACAGAGGAGAAGGGCACTAACCAGTGTCCGATTTGGTCACGTTCTGAGGAGCAAGATGGACAGAGGTTATTGAAAGTCATAGGCTGGGAGTAGAAATAAATTCCTGCAGAGGAAGTTTTGCAAATGACTGACATGTTTCAAAAGCCCAGGCCTCTCATAAGTGACCTTTTTTAATCGTAAGAGGCTTTCAAATATTTGATGAGTAAATGCCTGAGGAAGTAGTAGTTAACTTGGATCTTGAAAAACATATAGGTTAGCATGGCAGCATAAAGGGAGTATGAGGTCATTCTAATTAAAAGGAGTTACCTGAAGTAGGATAAAAATGGTATATGTCTGGCATATTCTGAAGACTCTTAGCAAACTGATATATTAAAATCAATCTATTCCAAAAGTTGGTGTGAGATCTGACGGTCTTATTGTAGCTTTGGGTGTGTGTGTATGTGGGTGTGTGTATGCTTTCCATTGAGTGCAAGTACATAAACTATTTACCAAGCTAGGTTATAAACTGGAAGGCTCAGCCTACATATTTTATCTAAAGAATCATAACTCCTTTAGTGTAGTTTTAACAAAATTTTTTAATTCTTTTTTTTTTTTTTTGAGACGGAGTCTTGCTCTGTTGCCCAGGCTGGAGTACAGTAGTGTGATCTTGGCTCACTGCAACCACCGCCTCCTGGGTTCAAGCAATTCTCCTGCCTCAGCCTCCCGAGGAGCTGGGACTACAGGCACCCGCCGCTATGCCTGGCTAATTTTTTTTTTGTATTTTTTAGTAGAGACAGGGTTTCGCCCTGTTGCCCAGGCTGGTTTTGAACTCCTGAGCTCAGGCAGTCCGCCCACCTCGGCCTCCCAGAGTACTAGGATTACAGGCGTGAGCCACCGCGCTGGCCAACAAAATATTTTAATTATTTGTTTTCTTTCACTTACCTAACTTACCTAACTGAAGACTTTCTTGGCCTAGATGTGTGCAAGTTTTAATGTACTCAAGAATCACTTGAGGGTTGTTCAAATTGCAGATTCTGATTCAGAAGGTTTAGCAGAGAGACAGAGGCCTGAGATCCACATTTCTTACAAGCTCCCAGGTGATGCTGCTGCTGCTGCTGCTGCTGCTGCTGGTCTGGGGATTGTACTTTGAGTAGAAATTACTAAATGGAAGTGGAAAGAGTTTGGTAGCAAAAAGGTGTTTAGTTTTATCATCGTAATGGCTTGCGTGGTTGAATTCTGGCTCTGAGACCTGTGAACTATATGATTTGGACATGTTATTTAAGCTGTTTGAGTCTCATTTCTTTATCTGGAAAATAGGGATAATGATACCACCTTCACAAGCATCATTCTAATAGATACATTTCTCCTTGGTCTATCTCATTCACTGTTTTATCTTTGGTAGCTAGAATGCCTGGCACATCACAAATGCTTCATAAGCACTTATTGAAAGAATGAATTGAATGAATTAATGAAAAAATAGGTTTGATTATGAATCTTACAATGTAAATAGACTATACAGCAAAGGATCTCGCCCTAAGAGACATTTTCATAAATGTTGATTGCTTCCCCATCCCCTTTGCCCTCTGAAATAAAAAGCCAAATTTAGATGCATGTTTCAAACTGCTGAAGCAACAACATATAAAACAGGTACTGTCTTTGCGATATCTCAATGAAATAACAATTACACTTCAGATAATAGAAATTTGATTGATTGATGAGAGAGTAGTTTTCATAATGTTATTATTACATATAAATGGATAAGGGCAAATTAGGCAATCACGTCTCATACATTGATCATCTAAATATATACATATGTCTTATCTGTTGCTGGAGCACTGAAAGGGAAGCCACTGTAAGAAAACACGAACCTTTTTAGAATTCTTTGGATTCAGAAGACACTGGAACCAGTTACATAGCTGATATTGAGAATAAAATTTGATAAGCCTGGATTACCTACTCATAGACTCCCTACTTTCTCCAAATGTCTAAATTTGAGTTTAGCAACCTTGGTCCTTTCAAAGTGCAACAGCCCTGGAATATCAAAAGTTAAACTAGTATGCTTTAATAAGTATTGTTAGCTGGTTTATAGTGAGGAAAGAGATTAGGCTACTAAACTAAAATACCAGCTATGGGTCAGGAACTGAAGTAGATAGTGGAGGGATGGGGTGAGGAAGGCAGAGCCAGTTTTCACCCTCATGAACCTTATTCTCAAGAGCAGAGCAGGGAGACCCAGGAAAACAGGAAGAGACCAACAGCTGTATTGTTTGATTGGCTTTCAGAATTGTGTTCCCTGAGATGAGTTTTCCTTTGTTGGTTAAATGGGCTTAAGACCATTTCTGGTGGGGTTTTTGCTGTTCTATTAACTGCTGTATCATCAGCACTTATAACAGTGAAGATTATATGGTAGGTTTTCAATAAACATTTGTTTAATGATGAAAAACTTTGCAGGAAAGTACTCTTAGTAAATTCATGTTAACGATGACTGAGAACTTACAGTTCTGTGCACACCCAGAACAAATATATATTATCATTTCTGCCTTATATGTAAACAATGTGTAGGTTTTAGCCATAATTAATTTATTAATTAAGGTTAAAAAAAGAAACACCCCTAAACTATGAAACTATCTTTTTGCTAAGGCACTTGAATAGGAGCAGCAAAAAATTAACAAAAAATACTGCTACTGACAGTTCTCCATATTGAGAATTTTCTTCTTGACTTAGTACTTTTAATTTTTATAGTAGCTGCCACTGCCATTAGTGGCAGTTATATTTTTTGTGTTTATTGAAGTTGACAGTAGATTGAGTTTGTGTATTTATTTTGTTCCTAAAGCTGATTATTATTAAGTGTATTTTTTAAAGCATGGTTTGCTCTTCTATAAACCTTCTGGGGACACCACCACTCTCACTTTCTTAAGTACAGGATTATCAACAATGTTGCTACTTACTAGTTTGGTCTAGTCCTTATGCCATAGAGCATTCATTGCCCAAAGCAGGAGGTACCATAAGGTCAATAAAAAACATGGCTGGTCTAAAAAAAAAAAAAAAAAAAAAAAAAAAAAAAGGAAGGCAGATATGCAGTTTGTAAGCCATGTGACTAGTAGATCTCTATAATTATGATTACAATTAAGATCATTTTAATAGGGAAGTAAAGAAGTGATATGGTTTGGCTGTGTCCCCACTCAAATCTCATCTTGAATTATAGTTCTCTTAATCCCCACAGGACATGGGAGGGACCAGGTAGAGATAATTGAATTATGGGGACAGTTTTCCCCATGCTGTTCTCGTGATAGTGAGTAAGTTCTCACGAGATCTGATAGTTTTATAAGGGGCTTTTCCCCCACTTCGCTCTGCACTTCTTGCTGCTGCCATGTGAAGAAGGCTGTGTTTGCTTCCCCTTCCGCCATGATTATAAGTTTCCTGAGGCCTCCCAAGCCCTGCAGAACTGTGAATCTATTAAACCTCTTTCCTTTATAAATCACCCAGTCTCGGGTATATCGTTATCAGCAGCGTGAGAATGGACTAATAAAAGAAGGTTTCATCTTACAGTGTAGTAGTGAAGGCTCTTATTTTGGGCTCACCTCTGGCTGGTAGGGAATTAGTATCCACACAAGCAGGTCAGGCTTATTAAATCTTAAGCAAGACATCTTGGGCAATTCCTGCAGTTATGATGATGAGTGAGCCCATGAAATTTCTGGGTAATCAGGTAGATGGGATGGCCCACTAATTCCAAACACAGCCAACCATACTGAGATTAGGAGTAGTACTTACACATATAAACCACATCAATTGTAGTATTGTCACTTTGTGTGTGTTTTTTACATAACTGGGATAAATGTTTAAAAATGGTAGAGGAGGAGAGGGATAAAACAAAAAACAGTCAAAACAAGTATTTTTTTGTCCTGGAGTGATAGTTATATAGTAATATTGTCCCAAGAAGTCAGTTTTTTCTCATTAGGAAAAGTGAAGGTGAGAAATAATTGCCCTTACCATTTAATAAGTGAGGTAAGTGTGAGCAGAAATGACACACAGAGTTTTATAAAAAATTAATGTGTGGCCCTGAGTGATGGGATCTGTATCTGGGAGGCAAAGGGTGGAGACTAAAGGGGCCAAGTAGACCCAAATGGAGAAAGTGACCTTGAGAGTAAGTGCAAAATAAAACAGAACAACAACAACAAAAAAAACCATGGGCATGAAACCAGTATGGAGGAGAAGAGACATTCCCCTAGGCAAATGGAGCCTATCTCCCTGTAATGTTCAAATATGTAAAATACAAAGATGAAAGGGAGGAGGTAAAAGGAGAAAGAGAGTCCTCTGCTTCAACTAGCCATGCGTCTGTTATTGGGCAAGGCATATGATCTCCTGGAATTCAGAGTCATTTTCTATTAAGTGAGGTAAAAGGACTATAATGAGTGATTTTTATATTGTCCTGTGTAGATTTTAGGGATGCTAGAAAGGGGCCTTCTCAAGGAGTAGGTTTGGTTCCAAAGTGGTTGAAAACCAATGATCCTAGGATGATCTCTGGATCTAACAAATTAGCATTTTTTTACTTTTATCATCTCTTTAATAGGGAAGGATTGATGATGAAATACAAAATAACACTTCCATTTTATGCTTCTAATTAACTGAAAAACTTATTGTACTTGCTTAGTAATCTGTATGTAGTTAATTTGATGATTTGCAATTAACATTGTGTTTCCAAAGTCTTTTTACTCTTATACATGTCTTGATTGGAATAGAAGTCCCTGAATTTATTTTTACTCATTGAACCACTAAGTTCTTGTAACAAATGTCCAGGATAAAATACAAATTGGACTAAGGTCCTGAAAAATTGTTACACAGGTTATGTCTTCAATAAGTTACCTGTTATATATAAATGATCCTAATTAAGGCAGGCTACGAGCTCAGTGCTGGCATTAGACTTTATTTGTTTGGGTAATATTTTCACTTTGCTCTCTTATCTCCAGCAATGTAAAGATAGTTTAATAGATCAGCACTCATAAAGAGGTGCCAACATATCAGAGGCTTATGGACAAAATGATATGAATCCTCATAGTGGCACTTTATGAGAAAAGGAGAAGGTAATAAGATAGGAGGGGCTAAATAGAAGAGAAAACAGGGCAGGGTGATGGTAGAAGAGACAATTAATTCCTTCTGAGCTGATTTTAGGATGTATCAATGACTATACCCTAATGAGAAAGGATACAGAGAAAGAGGAATCTATATGGCAGGCAAAAATAAGATATGGATCAAAAACTCTCTTCTATATGTTCATAATGCTGACTCACAGGATCAAAGACTTTCTAAATGTTGAATTGGCCTTCTGGGTACAATGAAGGACACAGTATAAACCTCATCCCAACTCATTCATGATGAAGAGTGCGTTTTTAGAAAAATTTTCAGATCATGAGGCAGAAAAATGACCAGAATAGTCTAATTTAATTCCTATTATTTTATTTTTGCCAATGTTATTTGAGTAGAAAACTGCTTTAAAAAATCTTGTAGGAAACAGCTTATTTTTGATTTATGGCTCACTATTTTGGAAAACTGTTTGGTATATAGATACTGCTGGACCTTTTCCTCTTAAAATACCTGACAATATTCGGGAAACAAATAAATAAGTTAACGGACAAACATAATTACTTTATGAAGTATATTCTGATAAGCAGCTGCCACCAGACAGAAAGATCCACTATAAAGGCTTGCTTTGCTCCTCGATCCCTCAGCACCTTGAATTTGCAATAGCTGCATCTCATTATCCTATCTCTGTTACTTTCAGGATAGGTTTGCATTGATAGCATTCTGAAAAATGTCAGTAACTATCTCGAATAATGTGTTACTTCCTCCATATTAAAAAAATGCCAAAAGCACTTATTGAATTGTTTTCATCTGGTCGGTAATGAAGATTGGTATTTAACCTGTTTTTATGCCCATAAATAGTTAATCCCATTATCGTAAACAAAATGAGGCTGATAGCCTTATTTATAGAAATATATTTTAAAAGAGGAAACAGTTGGGGCTGGAGAACACTTTCTCAAGCTTTTAAATGCAATTAATAGATTCTCAACTTGGAAAGCTAGAATGAAAATTTTCTCTTCTAAATGTAGGTTGAACACATTATTTTGTGCATTATTATCTGTATAGGAACAATGATAAGATCAATATATTTTGGTGCCGAAGGGTTCCCCCTAATCATGTACCTTCTCTGACTCATTCAGCTAAGTATTTTGAAAAACCCAAATCTTATTCCAGAGTAATTTGTCAGCCATATGTCAAAAAAAAAAATGTGTAAGCTGTCGAAATTATCACCCATGGAGATACTTTTAAACCCTAAAGAAAATAAACAGATACAGTTATAAATGACATGGTCACCTCTTTATTCTGTTTTTTCCCTTCACTTTTTTTTCTACTGTTATCAATAAGGTAAGTTACACTTCTGTGACTTCCTAGTCTTCCAACAATTTAAAAGAGTCTTAGAATTATTTTTGGCATTTTAGGGCTTAATACACCTGACTAATGATGTCTTTTATAACACAGGAGTTATTTTGCTGCTTGAGATCTCTAATGTACTTAAAATTGATAGAAATAACTAATCTACTTGGGGTGACAAGTTAGAGTGTATAGTGTATTAATTGTATGCTCAAATTTTCTTTTCTTTTTTCCTTTTTTTTATTTTTATTTTTTTTGAGATGGAGTCTAGCTCTGTTGCCCAGGCTGGAGTGCAGTGGCACGATCTCGGCTCACTTCAAGCTCCGCCTCCCGGGTTCGCGCCATTTTCCTGCCTCAGCCTCCTGAGTAGCTGGGACTACAGGCGCCCGCCACCACACCCGGCTAATTTTTTGTATTTTTGGTAGAGACGGAGTTTCACCGTGTTAGCCAGGATGGTCTCGATCTCCTGACCTTGTGATCCACCCGCCTCGACCTCCCAAAGTGCTGAGATTACAGGCGTGAACCACCGCGCCCGGCCTCAAATTTTCTTTTCAAAACATGCAAAGATTTTATTTTCCATCACAGAATAAAGAATTTACAGTTGGGTTCCCTGGACTGAATTTTCACCTCTTGGAATGTATGTATTAGTATCTTGTATTGGGTGCATTTCACAGTGTAACTGTCTTCTTTTCAGCATCAACGCTCAATGAGAATGATGAGGTCAACCATCACAGCTGTAAACAGCCTGATTCTATGAATTGGAAACTTCCATCAAAAGTCTATAACACTGATTCATAGCTTATTTTTTCACCCTCGCTCCAGTTATTTAATTTATCTTACCATTACCATAAATGTTTCTGGCCTTATCATTGAAGACTTTTGTCCTCTTAACTGTAGCATTTGTTTCATTACTTTTCCTGTCCTACTTTAATTTCCAGAAAATTGCATAGATTTCTTTCCTGTGATTTTTTCCCCACTCACCCTAACCTCCTAGAATGCTGCCTGCTAGTCTTCCTGAATCCAACCTTCCCTTCATTCTCATCCTTTGTCTGAAGCCTTCTCTGACAAGTTTGGAGACCACTTTGACTATATCATCAACTGAACTAAAGAAGGTATTTTCAGGATTCATAGAGTATTGTCTTGTCATATTTCTCTATGTTTATATCTCGTGTATAGTCTAGATTCCTGAGCTCCTTAAAGGTGACTTCACTACCATAGTTTGTGTATATCTTCCTCAAACAGTACATATAGTTGCATATAGTAGTTGAAGCAGTTAGGCAAATTGAAAATTAATAATTTAAATCGATCTCCTTGCCTTTATATTAGTCTGATACCCTAAATCAGAAGATTGTAAGCCTATTGAGGGAAGTTCCTATTCAACTTTCATTCTCCAGCACCTTGAGCCTATCATACGGTAAGCATCTAACATTGTCTGTTGAGTTGAACTGAATCATCTCTAGTAACTGGATATAGCATACTTGTTTTAAAGACGTTTGGAAAAGAAGAGATATGACATAGCATTCCTTGATAACTTGGCTTCTTATCATTCTTTGTATTTAAGTTAAGTTACCCTAGCTGAGCCTGACAATGAGATAGCTTCTATTTTGGCTTAGCCAAAATTTTGGATATTGATGATGATTTGACTGAAATCACTACCTCTGATGAAAGTTATGTTATTCATGTATGCAGCCTTCCAATTTTATTTTAAATATGTTAAAATTTAAAAAAATTATCCCAGGATATTTTAAATTATAAGATTGGAACATATCCACTGAGAGTTTTAAGCATAGCTTTTAGTACTGGAGGTTTAAATGTATTACGTAGGTACCTTTCCAAATTTCTCATTCTAAATCTCAGCTTTATCTAAAGAATGTTGAAATCACAAGGAGAAAATGAATAAAAGTGAAGTCATTGCCCTTTGACCGATCAGCCTGCCAACACCTCTATTTTGTCTGTGGTAACTGGTTGTTATACAGCCTCAGTTGGCCCCCTCTGGTGGCAGTTCCCTGATCTACCACCTAAAGCCCTTCTGGTGTATGGTTTTGGTGTATGGTTAAAGCCCTTTTGGTGTATGGTTAATGACCTATGAACAAGCTGTCTAGACATAGCATTAAAAGTCATAAAATGCCATCTTCATTTGCTCTGTTATCAGCAGGGACATTCCAAAAGTCCGTGTGAAAAAAAATCCACCAACAGAAAACCAACACTGAAATTTCCAGATGACTAGATTTTAATTTTCATTTTCTGAAATATAGATATAAACACTGAGATAAAATATACTGGTATTAAAATGTCCTCAAAAAAGCAGAGGCTAGGAAAGCTAGAATACACAAAATGCCTTTCTTCCACCCCTAGTAGTAGTTTCAACAGTCTCCATAACCTAAAGCACTAAAGGCCCTTCCCCTGTACCTCAGACCTTAGAAATTTGTTGGACATAGTATAGAGCCTGGATTTTACACTCAAGTAAATATGCTCTGTGTGTTCCCAAAAAGACCAATATTTATATATCAAGCTCACCAAGTTAAATTTACTTTCCCACATTAAGCCTGCATGATGAATGGCTTTATCTTGCTTATTACAGCCTGTTAAATCATAAATCCCTAGGAAGGAGAAAGAGGAAAAAAATAACTTGAATGAAAAAAGCCTCTGAGGGACAAACCATTACTTTTTAAGGTAGTTATACTGCATCACATTTGCTAACAATAATATGTAAAATACATTGGAAACCTATTTGCTCTTATTTTCTTTCCATTTTAATTTCTGTTGTTAACAACAACAAAAAAAGGAATATCTGACTAACCTGATATTTCCATTTCCTTATTTTGTTACATACATAATATAGTGTTCCTTGAACCTATTTTATTTATATTCTCATTTGTTAGGTGAATAAAAGAATGCATGAATAAACATGAGTATTAAAGCATTTTCATATCCTGGTTGGAATGTCCATTCCACTTACTGAAATTTTAGCCCCCATTTCTGTTTTAAGAAAATTCTCTATTTCTCAGAGAGGCTTTCTCTTGTCTTTGGTTGGAGGTTTTCTTTCCTTCTACCACACTTTGTATTTTGCTTGGATTACTATTTTAATCTGCTTTGTATCAAAGGCATTTAAGTAATGTTCATAACGGTAAAGTATTGTGTTCAATTCTCAACTACACACTTAGTGCTTTTGTGTTTCTTTCTTTATATTCCACAAAGTAGAGCATAGGGCATTAGGAAGGTAGGGTAGTGTCAGGGTGACCCTATAATTTACTGCCCAAATCGGACACTTGTGAGATAGAAGGGAGTGGTGTTAGTCATTATGCTGGACAATAGGCAAAGTCCGGACCCTCCTGGGAAAGCCAGATGTATGGGATCCCTAAGAAGCATGAAATATTGAAACATGAATGAGAATTGTGCATCAGGCACTGTGTTCAGGTCTGTTTTCTTATACCTTAGAGTAAAATAGACTGTAGTGGTATCTTGTGATTAAATTGTGCTTTGTGTAGATAATGGGGTTAAACACTTAGGAGAATAAACATATATGGCAAATTATTAGATCATTCAGTCTTCAATTCTGGCAGGTGAGAATAAAAATAAAATAGGTAGTGTCTATTGTTTAGGTTTATTCTGTATACTGGTAGCATACATAAAATAATTGTTTAAAGCTTAGCATTATAGTTGTGTACGTGTATGTCTCCATTTCTAGAAGATGAACTACTTCAAGGCAGAAAATGCACCTGATTTATATTTGTATCTCTTATATTTCCTTATATGTGCATAGTCAACACTGTAGGCTATGAAATTGTACTGAATCTTGAAAGAGTTCTGCTGGTTAAACCTGTGTTTAATGGAGGCTCTTCTATAAAATTCTTGACTAATAGAACTAATTCTTTACTTATGAGAGACCTATTCTTTTTAAAAGAAGCCATCCCATTTTTGAGTTGCCATATTTATGGGAAAATACCACTTTAATTTAAATGAAAACACATCTTGTTATAATTTTGATTTGACGTATTGTTTGAGTACTCACCACAGACAAGGCATTTTTAGTTTACCTGCTAGTCCTCATTTGACCTTCTGGATCTACCCAGAATAAATCTAAATCCCCTTCCTTTCAAATAGTTGAAGTCTGCTATTACGGTCTCCTGAGTTTTTTCTTATCAAGCCTATCTTTCTCAGGTTTTTAAATCATTTTTCTTATGACTTATTTTTCAGACTAATTGCTATTCAGTTCATCTTTGAAAGAATCCTACTTTGAAAGTCTCCCTTAAAAAGGAATACTCAGTTCAGAGCAAAATCTTCTAGCTGAGGTCTGAGCAATGTATAGGAGTTGGTTACCAAGGCTGCCCTGTAGTTGTGTATATTGTGTGCTCTGTGAGAGTGCCTGAAAAAGGAGGAAAAGGTATGCTAACTTCCAGCCTGCACTCCAACCCACCAAGTCACATGCCTTGGCTCAGGGTTTTGTCTTTGCACGGGAAGGGCCTCCATTTTTTTTTTTTTTTTTTTTTTTTTTTTAGCAGAAAGGCATCATATGGGTTTGTCAATATAAAATCTATTACTCTGATTCTCACCTTGCTTAGCTCTTAGACTCTGAACGTCTTTATAATACAGCATAAGATTTCCTATGCTGTTTTGGCAATCATATCATATCATTTTGGCAATCATATCATTTGTGCAGTATCATGACCCTGTAGCTAACTAAAGTTTCCGGGTCTTATTTATATGAGCTTCTGTTAATCCAAATTTCTTCTATTGTACCTGACATTGATATATGTCGTTGAAAAGGATAACAACTTTCTGCAATTTGTACAGATTTTCTTCCACATTGACTTGAGGTCATTAATTAATACTCTTTGAAAATATTTTTTTCAACCAGCCATTAGTCCATCTTACTATTAGTCATTTCTCTCTCTTCTTTAAAAGCATATCTTGAAACAGTAAAATCTTTCACTGAGCTTCTTGTTTTGTGTTTATAGTACTTTCCTGAGTTGACCAGGCTTAGCAACTATATCTAGGCAAACCAATGCTAATTTTGATAATCACTTCTTTTGAAGCATCTACAATTTATTTAATATGCATATTAAAATTGTATTGAGGCTTGATATCAAGGTCAGCAATTTCTGGAGTCTGTGTTTTTTTTTCCATTTCTCATTTCCCGTTTATTTTGAAAACCAGAACATTCATTTCTTTCTGAGCACCTGGCATCTTTCCTATTCTCTTTAAATCTTCTTGGGGATTCTGTGAAGATGACTGCATTTATCACTCATTTTGTCCACCTATCCCTCTTAACTTCTCTTTGGAGCATCACAATAACCAATGTAAGAAGACTAGAGGAAACTTGAGGGTATGTCTGTGATTCCACATTCTCCAGAGAGTTCTAGGAAGAAAGCAGGTACAAAGCTTCCTTCTCAAAGATATTGGTCAAGAATCAAGAAGTAAGCAACAGAAAAGACTTGCTTTACCTTAATTATTGGGTGGGTCGAGATGATGACTTTTGAGATTTTGTGAGGAGCCCACACCTTCCTGCCTGCTGCTTTTGCTCTTCGCAGGGTTCCCTATCCTGCTGGATCAATTTAAACATAGTGTTTTACTACATGGGAAGGCTGAATGTCTTCCAGTCATCACATGTAAAAGAGGAACGTTACCTGTACAATAAAAAACTTGATGTTAGAAAGGAACCATTCCCACATCCCAGGAGAAGAACAAGCTCATTCACAGCTGGCCTAACAACATAAGATATACGCCTTCTATTGACTCATGGGTTCCCTCTGCGTGAGAAAATCCAACAGCTTAATCTCTGCAAGTTACTGTGGGAGCACTCAACAGTGAGAAGAAAAGCAAAATTTCAGCTCTGAGAGGAAGACTAAGCAGACTAATTCAGTCAGGATATACTAGACTTTGCTGCAATAACAAATGACCCCAAAAACTAAATAGCTTAAAATAAGATTAATTCTCACTCAAGGTCCATGTTCACTGTTCACCAAGGGTTGCCTGGAGGGCTCTTCTCCATGGCATTAACATCCTTACTACAGATTCAGGGTGATAGAAAAGCCACTTACTGGAACAATGGTGGTTGCTCTGACAGAGAGAAAATTTGACATATGCACTGGCTCTTAAAGCTTCTGCCCTGAAGTTACATGCAACACATTTCTCACGTTTTAATGGCAAAATCAAGTCACCCTTAACTTCACATGCATAAGAAGTGCAATGTCACTATGCTGATGAAAAGAGAAAGAACTAAAATTATGTAAACAGCCAAATGAAGCACTTGAAAATGTTTTTCTATTGATATGGAAATAATAGAATTGACACATGGAAACTTTACCAAAAAAGTAAGATGATTTAAAGGACATGCAGTTAGAATTCTTACATTCTAGAATTAATTAAAAATGCTTTGCAAATTTAAAAATTCAATAGACAATTTGAAAGGAAAATAGTCTCTTCTGAGATTCCTGGAAGATCAAATATATGGATTATCTCACAGCATAGAGCAAAAATACAAAGGAGCAAACATTTGAGTGAAAAATGTAAGAGACAGACGATAGTTCCAAGACACTTAAATTGCAAATAAAAAAATTTTCCAGGAGGAAAAAAGAAGCAGATTGAGGAGCAACAATAATTAAAACAAACAAACAAACAAGAAAAGCTCTTTGATATAAAGAAAGACTTGAAATTTCTGTTTGAAAACTTTCAAGGTCCAGAAAGTTTCCCTGAAGAAAAAAATTGTGTGTACACAGATATATATATGTATATATGTATGCACACTCATATATCTAACATATTTATACACATGTGTACATAAACGTGTGAATACATATATAGATATATTTATAGGTATGTTGGTATGTGTACACTGGAGTTACACATACATAGGATATGTCTGTATATGTGTTGGGGGATATATATATGCAAGAGTATACATAGATAGACATATCTATTTTCTGGTGAAATCCTGGAAGGACAAAGAGACCAAGAAATTTTCTAAGCTTCCAGAGAGAAAATATATTTCATTTAGGGAAAGAGAATCAGACCAGCACTATCTTGTAACCACTGAAGTTAGAACAATGGAATATCTAGGAGTTATTGAGGGGAAGAGGAACAGCCTGAAATCCCGTCTGATATTTCACTTACCTGAATGGGAAAACTTCAGAGGGCATGCCATTCTTTTTTTCTTCATCTTTTATTTTAAGTTTAGGGATGTGCAGGTTTGTTACATAGGTAAACATGTACCGTGGTGGTTTGCTGAATAGATAATTCCATCACCTACGAATTAAGCCCAGCACCCATCTGCTATTCTCCCTAATACTTTCCCTCCCCTCATGTCCACCTTCCTACAGGCCCCAGTGTGTGTTATTCCCCACCTCATGTGTCCATGTGTTCTCATCATTCAGCTCCCACTTATAAAAGAGAACATGCAGCACTTGGTTTTCTGTTCCTGTGCTAGTTTGCTGAGGATAATGGCTTCCAACTCCATCCATGTCCCTGCAAAGTACATGATCTCATTCCTTTTTATGGCTGCATAGTATTTCATAGTATTTAATGGCTTCCATCTCCATCCATGTCCCTGCAAAGTACATGATCTCATTCCTTTTTATGGCTGCATAGTATTTCATAGTATTTAATGGCCTCCATCTCCATCCATGTCCCTGCAAAGTACATGATCTCATTCCTTTTTATGGCTGCATAGTATTTCATAGTATTTAATGGCTTCCATCTCCATCCATGTCCCTGCAAAGTACATGATCTCATTCCTTTTTATGGCTGCATAATGTTTCATGGTGTGTATGTATCACATTTTATTTATCCAGTCTATCATTGATGGGCATTTAGGTTGATTCCATGTCTTTGCTATTGCAAATAGTGCTTCAGTGAACATACACGTGCATGTATCTTTATAATAGAATGATTTATGTTCTTTTGGGTACATACTGAATAATGGGATTGCTGGGTCAAATGGTATTTCTGGTTCTAGGTCTTTCAGGAATCACCACACTGTCTTCCACAGTGGTTGAACTAATTTACATTCCCACCAACAGTATAAAAGTGTTCCTATTTCTCCATGGTCTTGCCAGCATTTGTTGTTTCTTGACTTTTTGATAGTAGCTGTTCTGACTGGCATGACATGGTATCTCATTGTGGTTTTCTTTTTTTGGTTGTATCTCTGCTAGGTTTTGGTATCAGGATGATGTTGTCCTCATAGAATGAGTTAGGGAGGAGGAGTCTCTCCTTTTCTATATTTTGGAATAGTTTCAGTAGGCATGGTACTACCTCTTCTTTGTATCTCTGGTAGAATTCAGCTGTAATCCATCTGGTCCTGGGATTCTTTTTTTTTTTTTTTCCTTTTTGGTTGGTAGGCTCTTTATTCCTGCATCAATTTTAGAACTCGTTATTGTTCTATTCAGAGATTTAATTTCTTCCTGGATCAGTCTTGGGAGGGTTTATGTGTCTAGGAATTTATCCATTTCATCTATATTTTCTAATTTATGTACATAGAAGTGTTTATAGAGGTGTTTATAGTAGGTTTGATGGCTGTTTGTATTTCTATGTGGTCAGTGTTTATATCCCCCTTTTTATTTCTGGTTGTGTTTATTTGAATCTTCTATCTTTTCTTCTTTATTATTCTAGCTACAGGTCTATCTATTTTATTAATTTTTTCAAGAAAATAGTTCCTGGATTCATTGATTTTTTTAAAGGGTTTTTTTGTGTCTCTATATCATTTAGTTCAGCTCTGATATTGGTTATTTCTTGTCTTTTGCTAGCTTTGGGCTTGGTTTACTTTTGGTCCTCCAGTTTTTTTAGTTGTCATGTTAGGTTGTTAATTGTGATCTTTCTAGCTTTTTGATGCGGGTATTTAATGCTATAAATTTCCCTCTTAACACTGCTTTAGCTGCATCCCAATGATTCTAGTACATTGTCTCTTTGTTCTCATTAGTTTCAAAGAACTTCTTGATTTCTGCCTTAATTTCATTATTTACCCAGGAGTCATTCAGGAGCAAGTTGTTCAATTTCTTTGTACTTGTGTGGTTTTGAGTGCATTTCTCAATCTTGAGTTCTAATTTGATTGCACTGTCATCTGAGAGACTGTTAGTTGTGATTTCAGTTCTTTTGCATTTGCTGAGAGTGTTTTACTTCCACTTATGTGATCAACTTCAGAGTAAGTGTTGTGTGGTGATGTGAGGAATGTATATTCTGTTGTTTTGGGGTGGAGAGTTCTCTATATATTTACCATGTCCACTTGATCCAGAGCTGAGTTCAGATCCTGAATATCTTTGTTATTTTTCTGTCTCTATGACCTATCTAATATTGTCAGTGGAGTGTTAAAGTCTCCCACTATTATTTTGTGGAAGTCTAAGTCTCTTTGTAGGTCTCTGAGAACTTGCTTTATGAATCTGAGTGCTCCTGTATTGAGTGCATATATATTTAGGATAGTTAACTCTTCTTGTTGAATTGAATCCTTTAACATTATGTAATGCCCTTGTCTTTTTTGGTCTTTGTTGGTTTAACATCTGTTTTGTCAGAAACTAGGATTGCAACCCTTGCTTTTTTCTGCTTTCCATTTGCTTGGCAAATTTTCCTCCATGCCTTTATTTTGAGCCTGTGTGTGTCTTTGCATGTAAGATGGGTCTCTTAAAGACAGCATACTGATGGATCTTGGCTCTCTATCCAGCTTGCCAGTCTGTGTCCTTTAATTGGACATTTAGCCCATTGACATTAAAGGTTAGCATTGTTACGTGTGAATTTGATCCTGTCATCATGGTGCTAGCTGGTCATATTGTAGACTTGTTTATGTGGTTGCTTTATTGTGTTACTACTGGTCTGTGTACTTAATTGTGTTTTTGTAGTGGTAACAGTTTTTCCTTCCCATATTTAGTGCTTCCTTCAAGAGCTCTTGCAAGGCAAGCCTGGTGCTGATGAATTCCCTCAGCATTTCTTTGTCTGAAAAGTTTCTTATTTATCCTTTGCTTATGAAGCTTAGTTTGGCCAGATACGAAATTCTTAGTTGGAAATTCTTCTTCTTTTTTTTTTTTAAGAATGTTGAATATTGGTCCCCAATCTCTTCTGGCTTATAGGGTTTCCACTGAGAGGTCCAGTATTAGTTTGATGTGCTTTCTTTGTAGGTGACCTGACCTTTCTCTCTGGCTGCCCTTAACATTTTTTCTTTCATTTTGACCTTGGAGAATCTGATGATTACATTTCTTGGGGTTGATCTTCTCATGGAGTATTGTACTGGGGTTCTGTGGATTTCCTGACTTTGAATGTTGGCCTGTCTTGCTAGGTTGGGGAAGTTCTCCTGGATGATACTCTGAAGTATGTTTTCCAACGTGGTTACATTCTCTCCATCTCTTTCAGGTACCCCAGTAAATCAGAAGTTTGGTCTCTTAACATAATCCCGTATTGCTTGGAGGTTTTTTTTTTTTAATTCCTTTTCATTCTATTTTCTGTGTTCTTGTCTGCTTGTCTTATTTCAGAAAGATGGTCTTTAAGCTCTGAGATTCTTTCCTCTGCTCGGTCTATTCTGCTATTGATACTTGTGATTGCATTGTGAAATTCTTGTGTTTTTTACCTCCATCAGGTTGGTTATATTTCTCTCTAAACTGGCTATTCTGGCTATCAACTCCTGTATTATTTTATCATGTTTCTTAGCTTCTTTGCATTGAGTTAGAACATGCTCCTTTAGCTCAGCAAAGTTTGTTATTACCCCCCCTTCTGAAGCCTACTTCTGTCAATTCAGCCATCTCAGCCTCAGCCCAGTTCTGTGCTCTTGCTGGAGAGGTGTTGCGGTCATTTGGAGGAGAACAGGCACTCTGGCTTTTTGAGTTTTCAGCATTTTTGCATTGATTCTTTCTCATCTTTGTGGGCTTATCTACCTTCAATATTTGAGGTTGCTAACCTTTGAATGGGGTTTTTGTAGGGTCTTTTTTGTTGACATTATTGTTTCTGTTTGTTTGTTTTTCTTTTAACAGTCAGGCCACTCTTCCATAGGGCTGCTGCAGTTTGCTGGGGGTCTGCTTCAGACCCTAGTTGCCTCCATTTTTCCCATGCCTGGAGGTATCACCAGTGAAGCCTGCAAAACAGCAAAGATGGCACCCTGCTCCTTTTTCTGGAATCTCCGTCCCAGGTGGGTACTGACCTGTTGCCGGCCTGAGTATACCTGTAGGAGGTGGCTGGAGACCTATGTTGGGAGGTCTCATCCCATCAAGAGGAATGGGATCAGGGACCTGCCTAAAGAAGCAGTCTGGCTGCTTTTTGTTAGAGCAAGTGTGCTGTGTTGTGGGGGACCCTTCCTCATCCAGACTGTTTGGATTCTCCAATGCTGGCAGGCTGGAACAGCTGAGTCTACCAAACCACAGAGGTGGTGGCCAACCCTCCCTCCAGGAACTCGGTCCTGTCTCAAGCCTCCAGCCTGTTGCTGTTGATTGGCTGGAATTCCAAGTTAGAGGGTCTTAACTTATGAGTTGCTATAGAAGTGGGGCCTGCAGAACAATGCTTCTTGGCCCCCTGGATTCAGCCCCCTTCCTAGGGATGTGTACAGAGAGATCTCCTGCCTTGCTGGGGATCCCAGGGCCAGAGTATGTAAAACTCTTGGGTGTCTGTGTGTGCCTGAGCGGGGGCTCTTCTGAGGCTCCACACAGCTCTGTGTATCAGACTCCAGGTCGTGATGGTGTGAGCTCACGAGGGGATCTCCTGATCCCACGGGTTGCAAAGATCCCTGGAAGAAGCATGGTTTCTCCAGCAGGGTTGCAAAATCACTTGCCACTTCCTTTGGCTGGGGGTAGGGTTCCTTTGGTTCCATGCCACTTCTGGGTGGGCTGTTGGCCCACCATGCTTTTCTTCATCCTCCATGGGTTGAGTCAGTGTGTGTAGTCAGTCCCAATGGGAGAACTTAGACACTTCAGTTTAAGGTGCTAAATTCACTTGCCACTTTCATTCCTCTCTGTGAGTGCCACAGACCTTAGCTGCTTTGAATCGGCCATCTTGGCCGCTCTCTCTGCCATTATTATACTCCGTCTGTAAAAACATTTGGTGAACTAATATGACTAATTGAAAATTGAACCAATGTAGACATTTCCGGATAGGGGAGACAGTACAATGAGGAGAGATGAACAGAAAATTTCACAATACATAGTTAAATATTTATTCATCATAATAGCCCCATAAATTTGGTATTCTTTGCCCAACTTATAGATGAGAAACAGACTTAAAGCTGCCTGGCATTCAGAGTGGAAGAGCTAGGATTCAAACTAAAGCTCTTTGTGTGCAGAGTCCAAGCTCTTAACCACTTAATCATCTTACTTTTCTTGAAGCCTTTGATATGGGGAGAACTGCTTAAATCAAACACAAAACCCAAGAACCACAAAAAAAAGATAAACACTTTTTTTGCTGAAAATGTTTGGCAAAAGATATCAAGACAAAGTCTAAAGATCAAAAATAGAGTAGGGAAAATACTTGTAACAAATGACAGAACAAAAGTTCATATAATATATAACTCATCTGATCAGACTAAGTGATAAAAAGTAAATGACTAAAGTTGAAAAATAAGCAAAGTACATGAACAGGCAGTTCACAGAAGAGAAATGCAAATTGCTGGTACCTGTATGGGAAAAAAAAAGATCCCCTATCTCATTTGTAATCTGGGTATCACAAATTAAAACAATAATGGACACAATTTTTTATCTGTTTCATTGGTTAAAATAAAAAGCAGGTAGAACATTCATCATATGACTGGTGAGGACTCAGTTTAAATATATATATATATATATATACACACACACACACACACACACACACATACACATTCATATGCTTATAATCATAGTATAAATTTTTACAGTATGAAAAATAACCTGGTGGCATCTATGAAAATTAAAATTGTACACATCCAGAAAACCCTCTGGGAAACAATTCTTCAGAAGTCACAGCATATTATATTAAAACATTAGTGTACTGGTAAATGTTTTACCAGTTGCTCTCCAGAACAAAGGAGAAGAAGGAGGAGAGAAATGAAAGGAAGGAAGAGGATGAGGGAGGAAGGAAGGGAAGGAAAAAAGGAAGGAAGAAAGGAAGAAAATCTCGTTGTAGTACTTACCACTGTCCATGCTGTAAATACTCCCATTATGGTCAAGTCCAGGTTACTAATGTGCCATCCCTAAATGCAGAATTGGGGAGAGATGCACACAATTGGCTGTACTGAGTCTATATGAGTGGGCTCCAGCACGCCACTCCATTAAAATATGTGCATAAGGACCTCGATTGCAACATTATCGTGATCCCATAACTATGTCTTCTTCTGTAGTCTCTCTATATGGTTAGAATTGTTAAAAAAAAAAAAAAAGCACTTAATATTTGTGTAGTTTTTGAAATTCTTATAAGAGTTTTAAAGAATAAAATTCACTATATGTTTTACAGTTACCGCATAAAATATTTCAGTATTTTAGAATCTGATTTATTTGGTCCTGGAGTCTCAAACTCAATCAGTCAAGTGCTCTATTACTATTTCCTCATCATCTCTTAGACATTGTAAAGAAATCTGACAGCTCTATTAATAAAATGAATCTTTAGCACTTCAAGGTTGCCAAACGAGTGATAGATAACTTCTTTACTAACCTTGGAGGATGTGTGTGTGACTATATTAAGGAAGCTGTCAGATTTCCTTTTCTGTTTTAAATGCACTAGAATTCAAGTTCCATGAGGTCAAAAGACCATGTTTGCCTTATGCACCAACATTTTTTTCCAGATGCTGGTGCAATTCCTAGCATTTAGACATTAATAAATAATTTAAGTAATCAGCCAGTAAAATAAATAAACGAATATTCTCTTTGTTAATTTTGGCCCTTTTTGTTTGAAAACCATCCTGATAGAGAAAATGACTGCAAAAGAGTGGTCTGGTTTTTTCTTCTATGAACATTAACTGTACTACAATTAGCTAACCTATCTTTTGTTTTTCTTTTTGGAGTGAGCTTTAAAAAAGGACTCATAGAAGAAAAGGCACTTTTATTTCTTCACAATTTTATCAAAAGTCCTTAGTTCTTTCTCTGCTTTAGCCTTCCTGAGACTTTGTATGCATTCTTCACCTTGGACATTTTTTCTTTCTTTGTGAAGAGTCTTTGAAAATATAAGCCTATGAGAGATCTGCCTGTGCAGCCACTTGGTTAGCACTATTTTTTCACAATCCTTTCTTTTAAGGTTCATTTGGATCTTTATGATAATATGATAATTTCCCCCTTTAAGAATCTCCTGCCTCATTTGAGCCACTTTCCTTTTAAATTTGTCAAGCCGCTTTGCTAGTTCTACTTCTTTTGGTTTGATAAGCAAACCAAAAATCTTTCAGGCTCCTGAGCCTACTAGACATAGGTATCATTAGAGATTGGACAGTTTTTCCTAGTTTTATATCTATCTTTGTTTCTCCACCTCAAAAGCCCTTAGGCTGTCATATGTGGGACAGACATTGCATTGTCTCTTCACAGTTCATGATTTATGTAGTGTTTGCTGAATGCTCACTACATGTCTGTCTGAGTCAGTATTGCCTGTTACAAAGTTCTAGGAAAAAAAATGTCAAAATATCTAATACAGTGCAGTTCCTTTGGGCACTTAAATAGTATGTGTGTATGTGTGTGTTGTGTACTGTGTAAGGAAAATATTTACATTTTTTAAAGGAAGAAAGTCTGAAATAGATTGATGTTTAGGTAATTCCAAGTCCTTTTAAAATAGTATAGTATCTGAGCTGTATTTGAGTCAGCTAATCAGGGCAGCAGCTGTGGAGGCTTGTAGACTGAACTTTAGAGTAATACACACAGCAACTCCTTAAACTTTCAGAACTACTTTCCAAATTAGAAACTAACCTGCAGTGGTGTCATAAAATTTGTCGTATCTCTAGACTGCCTGTTTTTTCCTTTCTGCAAAGACAATAAAGAGAAGGGCAATCAGGAAACTTGGAAAGAGAAAGAGGGAATACTCTGTACTAAATAGCAGGCAGACAACAGAGATGTATTTTTTTTGTTAGTGTGAATGTTAGAGAAAGTGAAAACTTAAATATAAGAAAGATCACATAGAGTTTAGACACTCATAATGCTGGACAGATGGCTTTGAGCAAAGCGTGTCACCCAACACACGCACGCACACACACACACACACACATACACACACACACAGCAAAAAACTTAAGGATAGCACGAGGACTAATTAGTTGTGTGTTTGTGATCATGCTTAGATTGCGAAGTGACAAATAACAGTATAAGGTTTGTGGATGTGCCACCTAATTGTATCTAGCTGTTTGAATTTCTTTTGCTATTGTTCTTTCTATTGTTTTGGTAAATATAAAGAAAGGTAGTTAGTTGTTTTAATAAAGAGCTCCATTTTATGAAAAAAACCTTTCCTAAGTGAATGAGTAGGTAATAAATTACCTAAGGAATGATTGCGCTATTTATATCTCTATTTTGGTCCATGAAGCCATTGCTAAGCCACTACTGTTCAGCTTGCAGCTGAATATCTGAATTGTAACTACATTTTATAAAGAAATAAATGGCCTCATTATGTAAAGTCATGCCTATAAAATGACAGTAAACTTCATTATAATTAACTTTTGTACTCTGATTAGGAACATATAAACCTGTCAGAGAATTTTTATCCTGAAATCTGTGACCTAAACATTTCATTGTCTGAGCTCAGGGGACAGAACTGGAATCTCTGAAGAATATGGGTTACTCTCTTCTTCACCCATATAAAATGGACATACAGTAGTCTCCCTTTATCTGCAGGGGATACATTCTAAGACCCCCAGTGGATGCCTGGAACTGCAGATAGTAACAAACCCTATACAGTATATACTATGATTTTTCCTATACGTATATACTTATGATAAAGTTTAATTTATAAATTAGGCACAGTAAGAGATTAACAACAATAACTAACCATAAAATAGAACAATCATAACAAAATACTGTAATAAATGTTATGTAAATGTGGCCTTTCTCTCCAAATATCTTACTGTACTATCCACCCATTTTTGGATTGCAGTTGGCAGTGGGTAACTGAAACCATGGAAAGCTAAACCACAAATAGTGGGGGACCACTGTGCTCTTTGCCCCTTGCCAAATTGTCAAGGGAATATAAAGAATAAAGTCTTCAAAGCTCTACAGAACATATATAAATAATCATTTTAATTTAACACTTTCCTTGAGCAGACAAATAGGCCCTGTGATTTGACGGGTTCCTTTTCGTCTCCATTATCTATGATGGTAATGCATAAATCGCACTCTAACGAGCTCATATGTTAATATCTTCGATAGGATGCTTGATAGATCTGGCAGCCTGGATGGATGTGATTTCTAACCAGCTTCATATTCTAGTTGTGTAACAAACTAGAAGGGCGACAGCAATCCAGTTTGGGCTTTTCACTTTGCCAGGTATAGTAATGAGTTCATCTCTACTTTCTCCTGGGAAAGCACTGAGAATTTTAAGAGATAAAGGTGTTTTAAAATGATGATCAGACATAAATTTGAGCCATAATTTAACAAGTTATTACTAGGATGCTTACTAAGTGAAGGACATTTTACTATGTGTTTGGTAGGAGAAATGTTTCCAAATGCCAACAATACTCATTCCCTTTTCTGAAGGAGCTTAAAATATCATCAAGAAAGTAAAGACTTTAAAGTTGCTTAGTGTGGTTATTTCCACAGTTTTGAATAGTAACTAAGGACATACCTGGATGGAGGTATAAATGGCCACCTGAGATTGCCATTTGTTGAATCAATGAACCTGAGTGGGTTGGGTCAGTGGCTGACTCCTAGTTAGTATTAATTAAGTCTTTAAACAAATGGAAAACTTAGAAAACATGAGAGAAGTAGCAGAATGAGATAACTCTCTGAGAGAACAAGACTTTCTAAGGTTGCTCCAAGCACCTGCTCTGGGACTGGTTAAAAGGTGATGGAGCATATGTTTAATATAGACTTTCTGACTAGACTGATCTCACCATAGGTGTTCACGGAGACTGGATGGGAACATGAGAGAAAATAAGGGGAGACTGTAGAGTGTTAGGTCCTTAAGGGGGACAAGATATGTAGAACTGAAGAGAACAAAAGATATGGAATGCAGATGAATGAGAGGTAAGTAGGAATGAGAGGTAGTAGGCAATGAACAAATTATTATTAAAAATAGGGCCCTATTTTCTGGCCCATATTAAGTAAACTACATGTTTTTGGAACTTTCAATTTTGTTGATTCTTTACAATACTGTCTCTCACCTTGTTTTCTAAATATTTATGAAGTTTTGCTTTCAAAGTTAGATTCCTGAGTGTTTTACCTAGACATTATTTATATACATAAGCCCTGTTTACCTAAACAGTGGTTTGGGATAACTTTATCTATTTAAATAGGATAGCATTCTTTTTCTGCAGATGTCAAACATATTATTGGAATCATGAAGGATGTTGGTTTCAGTGCTGTTATAGGAAAGACAACAAAACTCTAATTTTATATAATGAATCAGAATGCAGGCCATTTCATGCAGTAGGTTTTCTAAAAATAAAAATTAGTTAATCCTTTGAATTTTATGGAAAAGTACAAACTTTTTTTGGACTTTATATAATGGAGAAAATCTGCCAATATTTTTCTTCCCTGTTCCTCTCCTACTTTATCAATAAATTAAGATACAATCATATCAACTTTATAAATCACTAACAACAAAAATGATCCCAGCCTATTGATTAATATTGAATATACTGATGAAGCCAATATAAAATAAGAGCACTTTGTGAGCCAAGAGTTTTGTTGAAACTAGAACTTCATGGATAAGTTTGCCAGTCAGAAGTCAGGAGACCTGTTTCTTGATTCTGAGTTTGCTACACACAACTGGGGCTATTGATAAACCATCTTTCTCTCTAGGTCTCTGTATCTGTGTCTGTAAAATTTAGAACTAAAAGTTTGTTGGTTACAAATAATAATAATAACAAATATTTATTGAGCTCTTACTCTCTGTCAGGCACTGTGCTAAGCCCTTTGTTTGTATTATCCCACTTAATTCAAACAATAGCTTCTTTGACGTAAAATTATTATTATCCCAAATTTTCAGCTGTGAAAACAGAGATGCAAAGTGGACTATGGTGTAATATACTAGGCAGTGCACTGAGTGCTGTTCTTGTATCATTGCCCACTTTGGTATAATCCTCACAATAACCTTGAGGTCTACCTCCATTTCAGAGGGTAGGAAATGAAGACTCCAGGAAGGCAAGTGATTTGCCCACCTTTTCTTCATAAGAACACAACAGATCTAGCACAGATGTACAAGTTTCTTGACTCCTAGGCTGACATTTTTACACTATACACTGCTTACATTAAAACCATTGAAATCTGACATTTTCCATGTCTATAATTTTATCTATAGAAGAAGCCTAGGAATTTGGCAACTCACAAGCTGAATCTGGCCCATAGCTGTGTCTTGTTTGCCTGCACAGTAATTTAAAAAGTTTGTCATTGCCAACATTTTAATGTTAGGAAGCTTCCCATAAACAATCTTGATTTTTGTCTTCTCTTGAAAAAATAGGAAGTTCCGGCCCCTTGTAGCCTCATAGCAAGTGATCGCTGGAACTGAGTCCCACACTCTTAGGTTTCACACTGTGCCCACCCAGCCCTCTTCATTTGCCTGGGGGCCCTCCAGGGCCTTTATGTTCATATGACTTGTGGACTACATCGAATAATTCTATTTCTTCAAAAATCATGGCATTTGAAGGTTTGCAGCACAGCACAGCAAGTTGGTTATTCTACTTGGCTTCTTTCTCATGACATGTATGGGAATGAAAGTCATAGTGGTATGGTTGGTTTATCTTTCACAGGGCTTTTACATACTGAACATTTCTCCAATGTAAGTGACATTTCAAATTCAAGAAGGCAAGCCCAGTCATAATTGGCACTGTCACTGTTCGAGTTTGATGTTGGCACCTCATGTGTTTGCCCTGGTTGAGTAATCTGTTTACATCTGGGTAGGCCACACACAGACAAATGTGAACTCTGTTTATATTCATTTCCTCCCTGGGAACTTGGTTCCTGTGAATCGCAGCTTTGGAAGGCCTGATAGATTGGAAATTTACTGGTATAGACTTGGAAGCAAAAACTTTACGTGAATCCGTTTTGGGAGCTGACCTGAGTAACCTTCTTTGGGCTACAGCAAAGGGGACTTTCCCATTGACAGGTCCAGTTGATTAGAACAATTGTATGAATGCCATGCATGAATATAAGATGATCAATGTAATCAAGACACTCAGTAATCCCATGTTACAGATGAGGCAATTGAAACCCAGAATAGAGTTAGCTAGATGAGTGCCTATTATATATCATAAATATGTCTTAGTAATGAGCAGAATTCTCTCTTATTTCCTGGGTGTCTCTCCCAAACATGTAACAACCAGCTCCACTCCCAGCACTCCCAAAGAAAGACAGACTCACCCCTGCCAAACTTCACTGTCTCTGCCTTCTTCATTTCCTGTGAGCATCAGTATGCAAAGGTTCAAGAGGGATAGGATTAAGTTTAGAAGACCAAAAACTCCTGGGTCTGGCCTCTGTCTTACCCTGTGGGTCAACAGCCTCCTAAGGCCTCCTTCCCCAGTTGTGATAATCTGGCAAAATTCTTGCAGTATTGGCATCAGTAAGCTGCATCTTAAATAAAATCTTACATTTAAGACTTTGTTGAGAGCCCCCATTCTTCAGATATAGAGCTAGGAATGCTGGAAGTCATTTAGAGAAAATTGTCTCCTTTTACTCTCCTTTCCTCATCTCCTCCCACCTCCAGCAGTAGGTTACAGGTAAAATTAGGAGAGGAGTAAATGGAAAAAAATGGGAAGGTCTCCAGGAGGTGAATCATTGGCACCATTTATTATCAGGAATACTTGTCTGGAACCTATTTTTGGAAGCATTGGGATACCTAATCCTGGTTTGTCAGAACTGCAAAATATCTCCTTGCAGAGACCATCTAATTTTTTATTCAGAAAATATAGTCACTTTAGTCTCCAGCATTCTGCTGGGCATTATGAAGCTTACAAAAAGAGCATGCAGAAGGGATGGCCTCAGCTTTCAGGGAGTACATACTCTAGTTGCAAAGTCAGAAATGTGTACAACAGTGTTTATGTAAGAGCCTTAGTCTTCTTCGAAGCACCATCAGCATCATAAAAACACTTAACATGATAAATATTCCCGTATCCATTCTTCATTAATAACACCTAGAGCTTCTCAAGGACAAATGTATTTTTGAGGTGAAAGAAAAGGGATGATATAAAACTAAGGTGAAGAGATGTTAAGCTGCCTTAGGAGTAGAGACCGGGCTGATTTAGAAGTGACTTTATAAAAGGTAATCTTTAATATTCAAGTACTTTAGACATTAATGAGACTACCAAGGGGTAATGTTTAATAACTTACTACAGGTTAAATAGCCAATGATAACTTCTATGCAAACTTGAGCACAATTTGGGATAGTATGGTATGTTTTTAATGCGATTCCTAAGAAAGTGCTGAAGTCTTCCGTATGTATGGGTAATATTGTTGGCAACACAAGATACCATTTTTATGCGATAATGGCACTCCTACATGTAAAAATCCCAGAGAGTGAATCAGCCTTATGGAATGTGTTTCCTGTTTTCTATTTTGCCACAGTTTTCTTTCAGTAGACATGTAGCTTTGAAGGTGAGTATAATTAAACATTCCTTGGTATTGCATCTCTCATGCATATATGAGAAAATTTAGCGGCAAATTTCTTCTCTAAAGAATGTGCAAAACACTTTTGAATTGATCAGCTCTTCTAGTACTTTACTCTGAAACTTGGTTGTTCTGGCTCGTGTCTATTTTCAATACATTGTATGTAAATGATGATTTATTTTCTAAGTGAATTTATCTGACTGTCAGATGAAGCATTCTGCGTGGATGGAGGTGGAAGTTAGAGGAAGGTCACGAGAATATGTTCTGTGTGCCTTCACATTTGGTGCTTAGAGGTCTCTGGTTATTATTGTGCTTCCCTTCCATGCCCTTCTTAATTCTGGCTTTTATCCCAGCCATTGTGACAGCTGTTTGTAATTCTGTTGGCAGTTCATTTCTGGATGAATTACACATTGCTCTGTCTGCTTGTCATTGTTGTGGCCTCTTCAAGTTCCCATGTGATGGGAGAACAAAACAGTCTGGGCTCTGTAAAGGACTCGACTTTCTATTCAAATTGGAATTATTTTTAGAAAGCTTCTGTAGAATCTAAAGTTTCCTCAATCAGCAGGATTCATATAAAGCCATATGTTGGTGTGCTTTCCTCAGAAAAAGCCTTAGAAAAGTTCTTTTAGAATCTCACAGCTTGTGGGAGGCTGCATTCTGTGGGCAGGCCTGCCCCACGCACCTGGAGTCACGGCAAGGTTTCTGTGAGGTGCTGAGTGTGTGAGGTCTTCGGTGGTAATTTGCTCTTGAGGCACTAGACTCAACCAACAAGGGCCAAAACTATATTACAGTGAACTCTGTTAGCAGCCAAGTTGAGGATGCAGAGTGATCTGTTTAATCAATACTTTATCTGGATTGTCAGTTGTAAAAGGCTTAGAAATAATGCAACAAAATACTCAACTCTGAAATAACACCGAGTGTCATTTCACCTTTGTTTGATTCAGAAGGTCCTTTAGAATCTTTGTGTCCTGGGGGAGCTAGTTAATAAAGATTCCAGGTTTAGAATGTTTGATAAATTAGCCTTTATTCTAGTTAGGAAGGGAAATAGACAAGTGGAAATGCCATAAAGTCCTCCTGGCCCAAGAGGGAGATGAGAGGCCTAAGCAAAAATAAGGTATTTGCGGTTAGTGGCATTAGTATTACTCATCGCTCACCGCTATTAAGTACCCCATAAATATTTCACTTCTGGAGTGTAAGGTGGGTCAAAGTAGGACCTCTTCTTTACCTATATTGGACCCTCACCTATTAGCACCCTGTTCTGTAATATGCTTTGAGATATTTAATAATTCTATTGATTTGCAGCAAAGGCCCAGGGTTTTTAGGAAAGTTCTCCCAGAAATGGGCCTCACATTGGTCTGTCTAGCTCATGTAGCCCAGTTCACCCCAAACTGGACTGTCACTCAGAAACAGGTCAAGAGAACGTATCTGATTACACAGGATTTCATGTCCCAGTGGCCTGGAGGGCATAGCATGTGCCACAGGACTGATGTTCTGACTTGGTGCCCTGTCTCAGGGCCAGCTCTCATTTTAGGCTTCCAGGTTCATCCTTCAAAGGGTTGGAAACAGCATCACAATTTTTTTATCTTAGGAGATTTCTCACCCTTGACAAGCCCGCAGGACAAACAGACCTGACCTCCATGGCCCCTTGTCTCTCAGCCCTGGTTAAATGAATATTCACTCTGTGGAGCATCACACCAGGCATCGTGTAAAATTATAGAAGAAGGAGGTGCTGCACTCCTGGCCTTTGAGCATCTTATCAACTTACAGGAAAGACAAAACCAGCACACAACAAAATATATAAAAACTTAAATGTCAGCTGCATATATATATATATATATATAGTTATTTATAAATTCAATTGACATAGACTGGAAATACATATTTATGTATACATATATCTATATGTACATAAAGTTAAGGCATTTCTGAAATGACTGAAGTGACTAGAATTAGAAAAAGGTAGTTTTCTATTGGCTTAGTTTTAGTCCCCCAGAAGTGACCCTGAGACAAGGACTTGAGAGCAAGTAGTTTATTTGGGAGGTATAGCAAATGCCAGTAAGAAGAGAGGGAAAGAATGACAGGAAAAGTAAGGCAGACAACAAAGGGTATGATATGGAGCCAGCTATGACTGTGCACAGCTAGAGCTAAAGCCTATGAAAAAATTCTGGGAAATAATTTAGAACATTTGCCCTGGACTCCTATCAGTAACTGGTTGAGGACTCCTCTCAAGGTGAGTTAATACCCAGATATTCATAGATCACCATACCTGGACAGAATAGTTTCTCGAGAAACAAAACAAAACAAACCTCATGCAAAGAGATGCAGTTAATGGCAGTTTCAAGGCTGGTCTTTGTAAGACCTGAGGGATACAGTAAGGGACCAACATTCTCTGCTACATTCACACATATTAGTGAGAAAAATGGTTTGGAAAGGAGAAAGGGATTTTGAACATTTAGGAAGCCAGTGTCTATAAAGACCCAAAAGTAATGATAGATAACATTCAAACCAGTACAAAAAGCATCCTTATGCAAGTTCCTCAAAGGAGTATGCCTCAAGTGGCATAGGGAAAAAGATCTGGGAGACCAGTTGAACCAGACAGAAAACGAGGAGCAACTTGGGGTACAAGGATTCAGATTGTGATGGCTGCCCTAAGTTAGGATTCCCTGTGATCCACTAGACATGTTTCAGCTGCAAACCATACTGGGAATAGTGGGTAGTTTAGCCACATTGTGGATTATGAAGCATCTACTTTATCTGTGGCATGAAGTCCTGACACATCACAGGAAACATTTCAGAAGAATGAGAGCTGGGTGCTATTGGAGATGCAATGGGTCAGCATGTCCTTCCTTCAACTCACCTAGGTCAAAGAGGTGGGCAGTTGCCAACAAGCACTGGAGGTTTTATACTAGGTCTCCTGTATTTTTAAAGGATAAGACTGACAGCACTGGGATGGTGGGCATGGGGCTCATGATGATTAGTAGTACCTCTAAAGTGGATCTGATGTAATATAGTCTTCTCTTGAATTGCATTGTATGTATAGATCTTCTCTAAGGAGCTGGTAGATGGGAAGTTAAGACTGGCAAAGACAGAAACACTGCAGAGGGCTCTTGTTCATCTGACACTGGTTAGTTATTGACATATTGCTACAGAAGGCCTGTAGCCTAGGCTTTAGCAAATGCCTCCTACAAGGACTCCTGTGTGTCGATCTTTGTTAATGGAAATGTCTATGTGTTTTATGTAACTTTTAGCTGCCCTGGCAGATGTGCCTAGGAATGAGCTCTCTGAGAATGCATCTCAGGGTTAATTATTCTTTAATATGTAAAATCATACTAATATGGTTTGGATGTGTCCCCACACAAATCTCATCTTGAATTGTAGTTCCCATAATCCCCAAGTGTTGTGAGAAGGACCCAGTGGGAAGTAATTTAATCTTGGGGGCAGTTACCCTCTTGCTGTTCTCTTGTTAATGAATGAGTTCTCTTGAGATCTGATGGTTTTATAAGGGGCTTTTCCCCACTTTGCTTGGCATTTCTGACTCCTGCTGCCATGTGAAGGAAAGTGTGTTTGCTTCCCCTTCTGGGATCATTTTAAGTTTCCTGAGGCCTCCCCAGCCATGTGCAACTGCGAGTCAACTGAACTCCTTTCCTTCATAAATTATCTAGTCTTGGATATTTCTTCATAGCAATGTGAGAACAGACTAATACAGTAAATTGGTGCTACAGAGAGTAGGTGTTGCTATAAAGATACCCAAAAATGTGGAATCCACTTTGGAATTGGGTAACAGGCAGAGGTTGGAACAGTTTGGAGGACTCAGAGGAAGACAGGAATATGTGGAAAAGTTTGGAACTTCCTAGAGACTGGTTGAATGGCTTTCACCAAAATGCTGATAATGATATGGACAATGAAGTCTAGGCTGAATTGGTCTCAGATGGAGATGAAGAATCTTGGGAACTGGAGCAAAGGTTACTCTTGGTATACTTTAGCAAAGAGACTGATGGCATTTTACACCTGCCCTAGAAATCTGTGGAACTTTGAACTTGAGGGAAATGATCTGAAATAGGAATGTGCATTTAAAAGGAAAGCAGAGCATAAAAGTTTGAAAAATTTGAGCCTGATAATGCAATAGAAAAAATATATTTTCTTGAGAGAAAGTCAAGCTGGCTGTAGAAATTTGCACAAGTAATGAGGAACCAAATGTTAATCACCAAGACAATAGGAAAAATGTCTCCAGGGCGTATCAGAGATCTTTATGGCAGCCCCTCCCATCACAGGCCCAGAGGCTATTGAATAGGAGCTTACATGAAACGATCTCTAAAATATAGTAAACTTTCACTATCCAGTATGCTAGTACAAGTTTACTGTACCTGCACACATTGCTATTTAAGCTCAAATTAATTAAGATTAAGTATAATTTAAAATTTAGTTTCTTAATCATGGTAGCTTCATTTCAGGAACTCAAAGCTACCAGTGGCTAGTGACTTCTATATTAGACAGCACAGAACATTTCCATCATGGCATGAAGCTCTGCAATAGAACTATAGTGAATGAGCAAAGCGTAACTCAAAAACCTCATTCCCAACACATAAACAAGTCTACAAAATAACCGGCTAGCGTCATGATGACAGGATCAAGTCCACATATAACAATACCACTAACCTTAAATGTAAATGGGCTAAATGCTCCAATTAAAAGACACAAAATGGCAATTTAAATAAAGAACCAAGATCCATCAGTATGCTGTCTTCAAGAGACCCATTTCACATGCAAAGACACACATAGGCTCCAAAATAAAGGGATGGAGGAAAATTTATGAAGCAAATGGAAAACAGAAAAAAACAAGGACTGCCATCCTAATTACTGGCAAAATAGATTTTAAACTACCAAAGATCAAAAAAGGCAAGGGCATTACATAATGGTAAAGGGTTCAATTTAACAAGAAGAGCTAACTATCCTAAATATATATGCACCCAACACAGGAGCCCTCAGATTCACAAAGTAAGTTCTTAGAGACCTTCAAAGAGATTTAGACTCCCACACAGTAGTAGTGGGAGACTTTAACACCCCACTGACGGTATTAGATAGATCACAGAGACAGAAAATTAACAAAGATATTCAGGACCCAAACTCAGCTCTCCATTAGGTGGACCTGATAGATATCTACAGAACTCTTCACCCCCAAAAAACAGAATATACATTCTTCTCATCACTGCATGACTCTTACTCTAAAACTGACCACATAATCGGAACTAAAACTCTCCTCAGCAAATGTAAAAGAACTGAAATCATAACAAACCATCTCTCAGACCACAGTGCAATCAAATTATAACTCAAGATTAAGTAATTCACTCAAAACCACACGCCTATGTGGAAATTGAACAACCTGCTCCTGAATGACTCCTAGGTAAATAATGAAATTAAGGCAGAAATAAAGAAGTTCTTTGAAACTACTGAGAACAAAGATACAATCTACCATAATCTCTGGATGCAGCCAAGGCAGTGTTAAGAGGGAAATTTATAGCTCTAAATGCCCACATCCAAAAGCTAGAAAGATCTCAAGTTAACAACCTAAAATCACTTAAAACAACTAGAGAACCAAGAGGAAACAAACCACAAGGCTAGAAAAAAAAACAAGAAATAACCAAGATCAGAGCTGAACTGAAGAATCTAGAAACATGAAAAACCCTTCAAAAAATCGATGAATCCAGGAGCTGGGTTTTGGAAAAAATATTAATAAAATAGATAGACCTCTAGCTAGACTAATAAAGAAGAAAAGAAAGAAAAATCAAATAAACACAATCAGAAATGATAAGGGGGATCTCCCCACTGACCGCACAGAAATACAAACAGTCATCAAAAAATACTATAAACACCTCTATGCACATAAACTAGAAAATCTAGAAGAAATGGATAAATTCCTGGACATATATATCCTCTCAAGACTGAACCAGGAAGGAATTGAATCCCTGAATAGACCAATAATGAGTTCTGAAAATTGAGGCAGTAATAAATAGGCTATTGACTGAAAAAAGCCCAGGGCCAGATGGATTCACAGCTGAATTCTGCCAGAGGTACAAAGAAGAGCGGATACCATTCCTATAGAAACTATTCCAAAACACTGAAAAAGAGGGACTCCTCTCTAACTCATTCTATGAGGCCAGTATCATCCTGATACCAAAACCTGCCAGAAATACAACAAAAAAATAGAACACTTTAGGCCAATATCCTTAATGAATATCGATGTGAAAATTGTCAACAAAATACTAGCAAACTGAATCCAGCAGCACATCAAAAAGCTTATCCACCACAATCAAGTAGGCTTCATCCCGGGGTTGCAAGGTTAGTTCAACATAGGCAAATCAATAAATATGACTCATCACATAAACAGAGCTAAAGACAAAAACCACATGATTATGTAAATAGATGCATAAAAGGCCTTTGATAAAAATTAACATCCCTTCATTTTAAAAACTCTTAATAAACTAGGTATTGAAAGAACATACCTCTAAATAATAAAAGCCATATATGACAAACCCACAGCCAATATCATACTGAATGGGCAAAAGCTGGAAGCATTCCCCTTGAAAACCAGCACAAGACAAGTTTGCCCTATCTCACCAGTCCTATTCAAGATAGTATTGGAAGTTCTGGCCAGGGGAATCAGGCAAGAGAAAGAAATAAAGGACATTCAAATAGGAAGAGAGGAAGCCAAACTACCTTTGTTTGCAGATGATACGATCCTGTATCTGGAAAACCCCATCTTCTCAGCCCAAGAGCTGCTTAGATGATAAGCAACTTGGCAAACCCTCAGGATACAAAAGTCAATGTGAAAAAGTCACTAGCATTTCTATACACCAACAACAGATAAGCCAAGAACCAAATCACAGGTGATCCATTTACAACTGCTGCAAAAAGAATAAAATTCCTAGGAATACAGCTAACAAGGGAATTGAAGGACCTCTTCAAGGAGAACTACAAACCACTGCTCAAAGAAATCAGAGAGGACAGAACAAATGGAAAATCATTAATTCCATGTTCATGGATAGGAAGAATTAATATTGTGAAAATGGCCATACTGCCAAAAGCACTTTATAGATTCAGTGCTATTCCCATTAAACTACCATTGACATTCTTCACAAAATTAGAAAAAAACTATTTGGAAATGCATACAGAACCAAAAAGAGCCTAAATAATCAAGGCAGTTCTAAGCAAAAAGAACAAAGCTGAAGGCATCACACTACCCGACTTCAAAGTATATTACAGGGCTGCAGTAACCAAAACAGCATGGTACTTGTATAAGAACAGACACATAGACCAATGGAACAGAATAGAGAACCCAGAAATAAGACTACATACCTACAACCATCTGATCTTCAACAAACCTGACAAAAACAAGCAATGGGGAAAGGATTTCCTATTCAATAAACAGTGCTGGGAGAACTGGCTAGCCATATGCGGAAAATTGAAATTGGACCCCTTCCTTACACAATATGCAAAAATCAACTCAAGATGAATTAAAGAGTTAAATGTAAAACCCACAACTATAAAAACCCTAGATGAAAACCTAGGCAATACAATTCAGGTCATAGGCACAGGCTAAGATTTCATGATGAAGACATCAAAAGCAATTGCAACAAAAGGAAAAATTGGCAAATGGGATGTAATTAAACTAAAGAGCTTCTGCACAGCAAAAGAAATCATCAATAAATTAAACAGATAACCTGCAGAATGGGAGAAAATTTTGCGACATATCCGTCTCATAAACATCTAATATCCAGCATGTATAAGGAACTTAAACAAATTTACAAGAAGATAACAACCTCATTAAAAGTGGGCAAAGGACATGAACAGATACGTCTCAAAAAAAGACATACATGTGGCCAACTAACATATGAAAAAAAAGCTCAATATCACTGATCATTAGAGAAATGCAAATCAAAACCACAATGAGATGCCATCTCACACCAGTCAGAATGGCTATTATTATTAGGTTGGTGCAAAAGTAATTGTGGCTTTTGTCATCAAAATTAATGGCAAAAAAACACAGTTACTTTTGTACCAACCTTCTAAAAAGTCAAAAAACAACACATGCTGGCGATGTTGTGGAGAAAAACAAAATGCTTTTACACTGTTGGTGGGAGTGTAAATTAGCTAAATCATTATAGAAAACAGTGTGGTGATTCCTGAAAGACCTAGAAGCAGAAATATCTTTCAACCCAGCAATCCCATTACTGAGTATATACCCAAAGTAATATAAATTGTTGTATTATAAAGATACATGTGCATGTATAGTCATTGCTGCACTATTCACGATAGCACAGACATGGAATCAGCCTAAATGCCCATCAGTGATAGACTAGATAAAGAAAATGTGGCACATATACCCCATGGAATACTATGCAGCCATAAAAAGGAATGAGATAATTTCCTTCTTGGGGGCATAGATGGATTTGGAAGCTGTTATCCTCAGCAAACTATCATAGGAACAGAAAACCAAATACCCTGTGTTTTCACTTATAAGTGGGAGCTGAAAGATGACAACACATGGACACATGAGGGCGGGAAACACACACTGGGGCCTGTTGGAGAGTGGAGGTGGGAGGAGGGAGAACATCAGGTAGAATAGCTAACACATGCTGGGCTTAATACCTTGGTGATGGGATGATCTGTGCAGCAAACCACAGTGGCACACTTTTACCTATATAACAAACCTGCATATCCTGCATACATATCCCTGAACTTAAAATGAAAGAAAAAAAAAAACCTAGTCTCCAAACCTAGCTCTGCGCTTTATTAGTCATGCATCCATAGGGAGATTACTTAACATCTCTGTGCCTCTGTTGCTGTGTGAAATAGGGATAGTCAAGATAGCACATCACACGGTTCAGGTGAGAATTAAATGCAACATTATTTATAAAGTTATTAATGCATTATCTGGCACATTGTGAATTCTCAATACGTGTTCCTAAAATGGGAGAGCGTCTCTGTCTTAGTCCTTTTGTGTTGCTATAAAGGAATACTCAAGAATGGTTAATTTATGAAGAAAAAAAGGTTTATTTAGATCACAATTCTCATGGCTGGAAGGTTAAAGATTGGACATCTTCATCTGGTAAGGGCCTCAGGCTGCTTTCACTCATAGCGGAAGGCAAAGGGGAGCCACATGTGCAGAGATCACATAGTGAGAGAGGAAGCAAGGGAGAGGGAAAGGTGCCAGGCCCTTTTAAACAACCAGCTCTTTCAGGAACTAGTGGAGCCCAAAAGAGGGCAGTAATCTACTCATGAAGGATCCTCTCTCTTGACCCATACACCTCACCCCAGGCCCCATCTCCAACATTGGGGATCAAATTTCAGCATGAAGTTTGGAGGGTACAAATATCCAAATCACTGTAGTCTCTTAGCTCCAACATTATGTGAGTTTCTAAATGCTGTGCCATATCTGTTTTCTCCCTGATGTTGATAATTTATATTTGGAGCACACCATGGAGTCAGGGAGTCCTACAATAACTCACAAGGTCATTTTATTTAACATACATTTATACAACTCATACCATGTGCCAGGGTCTAACGTAAGGACTGGACACATATTTATTTCATCTTCCACACAAGCCTATGTGGTAGGTATTCTACACAAAAGCCTACACATTTCTATACCTGCCACATTTTGTGACTTATCTTGATAAGTCCTGTGGGAGTGGGGAGGGGAGAATAAAGATGAAAGAGTAAGATTCTGCCCTTAAGGCAGAGGATAGAGAAACAAATAATCGTAGAGGGTATATTATCTCAGGCTATTTTGCGTGCATTATTTAATTTCAAGCAACAACTCTGTGAGATAGGTGATATTCCCATTATATAGATGTGGAAATAAACTAAAGAGGTTTTATAACTAGCTCAACATTGCACAGCTAGTTCATTGTGAGAAATGGGATTCTAACTTGGGCCTAATTCCAAATCCCATACACTTTTCACTGCATCTTGATGTCTGTTAATAGGAAAGATAATATGCATATATAAATATAAGGTATAAATAAAATAATATAGATAAATTGTCCTAGGAGTTAAGGGGAGTAAGGGATTACTCCTAGCCAAGAGGGTCATGAGAACCTTCATTGAAGAGGGATTATTTGAAATAGGACCTAAAAGTGAACAGGATGTGGGCTGGTGGGATTGGGGGAAGGAGATTCCAGGTAGACGGAAGAGCACAAGCAAAGGCTATGATCGGATCAGGATAACATGTGGAGTTGGTAGTGAAGTACCAAGGAGGGGGACCTGCCTGGGTGGGATACAGTATCTTTCACCAACATTGTTTAGAATTGCCAAAGCGTGGTCATAACAAAGAGCAGTCTGACTTTGTTTAAAGGCAGTGTTATTACTGCCTTTAAATTCTACAGATAATGTGCCTGCTTTATTATGTGTACCCAGGACAGACCACTCCTGTCAACCTCTATCCTTTGGTATGCCTTTGGGTTTGTTGGAATAAGTTTCTCTTGAATTCTGTTCTCTATATGTCTTTCTTGGTAGCACTCCAATTTCTGCGATTTCCAGCCTGTGTTATTCCCAGCCTGTGTTATTTCTGGCTTGTATTCTTCACTATGTGATTTTTACCCTGTGTTCCAGGAAGACAGGTTCTTTCAGGGTCAAAGAGGTAGCCCTAGGCTTTCTATAGGTTTTGGAAAAGAAGGGTCTTAAGTGGAGCCAGGTGTTTCTCATATTCCAGGTCTGGAGTTCTTCTGTCTCAGGCAGGAAGCCTGGCTGAAATAAAAACTTTCTTCAGGATCTGAGCAATACCCTAAAGTCCACAAGCAATGCTAGATTGAACTAAATGACATGGGCCATGGAAGAATCTTCTTAGAATTCTTGTCACGTGGTGGGAAGTTAAGAGTGGGCTGACTTGAACATTGAAACCGTTAAAGGGAAGACCATGTGGTTGATACCCTCCCTACCCTCATCCCCTGGCCTTTCCTTGACTACCACCCTGGGGCAAAGGAAGAAGGAGGATCTCCTGCTAATTTTCAACTGCGTTTTGCTCTCTGTTATGTAGTATTTCAGTGACATCATCCACTCAGGAGAGTTGGGGCGAGGCTGGCTGAGGTTCTCAAGGAGCTGAGTTTTGAGTTCAGGTGCTCGTGTAGCAGTGGAATGATGCCTCCTGACCTTTCAGACCTTTGAGACCTCTGGGCGGTCTTAGAAATCACTTCAAGCCTCCAGTCCAGGATACGACTGCCTAGGGGAATTCCAGGGAAAGGTGGCAGGTAGAGTATCCTTTCTGAGTTTTATTCTCTCGTCCTCCTTTCCCTTCTTTCTATGTGTCTGTGTTGCTCCGTTGTGTCTCCTCCTCAAGATTCCAAAGAACATTAATGCCAAGGTATTTATTTTATGTTCTTGTCAACAGAGATGCCATGGACTACAAGGTGATGAATACCACTATGAGCTCACTACAAGATCTCAAAGATTTCAAGCCACTGGCTGTTACAAAGCATAAAGCCACCCTTCTGGAGCAGCGGCGGGAGGCAGGCTGGGAGGAGGTAAGGAATCATCCACTCTTCCCTCTACCCCTTGACTCCATCAACCTTTAGCTGTCAGATTGTTTGGGCTCATGCCTGATGGGCTTTTTCCCATGTGTTCTTCCACAGGCCCCAAGTTTTGGCCAGACGATAGACCACCTCCTTAGGTGTCCGGGGAGCTGCTGAAACATAATGAGGAAGATGCTGCTGATCCAAAGGATAAAAACACAGAAACTAGAACCAAGAAGCACCTAAAGTGGACTCATGCCCAGCATCCCTGCAGACTGACTTTCTCTGAGCTATAGTTCTGCATTGGACTGTTTTTCCTTTGCTATCACCTGCCCAACACACAATCCTGGATGCTTTTGATTGGTTGGATTTCTTTTTTTTTTTTCCTGCCTTTTCTTTTTCTTTCCTTGACCCTGGGAATTATAAACGAGAAATTGCTTTAAAAAGTATTGTTCTGTGCTAAAATTAGCCTTGTTTATGAACAAGTTTTATCCCTAGGGATTTCCTGAATTGCAATCCCAGATTACCTTGTAAATGGGGCTGTGTTGTTTGATTTGTATAGTACTGATCTGTAGGTTAAAATACGTTTCCTTTCTTTTGTTTCATTCTTTTTTTAAAAGTCTGGATCCAGGTAATGGCCTGAGTCACATTTGCTTAGCTACTGAAGCGATCTCAATATGTTATCGCTTAGAGTTGAAACATAATCAAACATACGTTATACCTGGGGCTCTTGCACACTATTTGATATATATATGTTACTCTACAAAGAAACACAAACCTTGTATGTTGAAATGTAATTCCTGTTTGATCCTGCAGCTAGAATGCTAAAGAAATTGCAAATATCAAAAGTGACTTCAAATACCCTGAATATAAGCTAGTCAACAGTAAGTGGATGGTTCCAGAATACCATATTCTAAGACAAAGCAGGAATTAGAGATCAACTGACCTCATCCATAATGTTGCTCAGGTCTGTCTGTGGATCTGTCCATTTTGGAGTAAAAAACAAGGCATGCTTCTGTGATTGTGTTTATGAAAACTGTAGTATTTCAGATTTATGTTTTGCAATTGTGCCTGCCTTGCAATAAAACACCTTCAGTTGACTCAGCAATAAGGTCTCTGTCAATTTCCTGCAAAACTGTGTCCTTATTGGCTTTCTAAAAAAGTCCAGTGTAGACCTATCAGTGGTGACCTGCTAGACATTTCAGCTGGATCTAGCATTATTGCTCTTTCAGAAATAGCACTAGAGCTGTCCATTGTCTACACATGGGGTCAGAGTTGTATGGTCAGATTCTCAATTCTTCATATTACCATCAGCTACAGAAATCTCTAGTCACAGCCTAACCCTGTTACATATATGTGCTGCCATCTGCCATTGTGTTCTAACTCTGGAGTCCCTATTTATTTCTGAGATTTTAGGACAAGACAAAAATCCTCTGGACCTCAGTGTCCTCATATACAAAATGGGAATAATGATACTTCCTATGATTGTGGTGATAAGTGCCTGTAAAAGGACATCACATGGATGGTACTTTGCACGTTGTAAATTCATTGGGATGTGGCAATGTTCAATAAATGGTGGTTATTTTATTTGTTAATAAAGAATTGAATGAATTTCTAAATCTCTTACAGTTGACCTTTAGTTGAGAACACTGTGTAACTTCTGAATAGTTTCTTAGCCCTCTTTACTTAAAGCCCTTGGAAAAAACATGAAGATTCATGAGACGGAAGTCCCGAGTGGAGAATCTGCTGCTGCCTTCCTTGGCCACATAACCAAATACCTCAATTCCTTAATTCCTCCTTCTGAAAAATAGGGCAGATGTTTTACCTCCTTCACAGCGATGACACTATCCTGTTTGCAGAAAATGATATACTGTACACATAACTGTATGAGACACCACCTTTTCCACTTATTTGCATCATCAAGCTCATGTCATCCAAAGGGAGGTGAGTATCCCTCTAAATACTGACAAGAAGAGCTCATTAACTAAGAAGAATAATTCAGACCATCAAAAACCGAATCAAACTGGATCTGTCACTTTAGTGGAAAGCACTTTTGAGAAAACCCTGGTATTCTCTACCACCACACCTGGGATTTCAGGGTGATGAAAATGTGCAGCAAAGACAAGAGCTAAGATATTTCATTTTGGACTGGGTGGCAAATGGAATAGTCATTCCCTGATTGCCATGGTACAGATTATTGTCCCACAGACATTATCCCTGGACTTCAAGACATGCATAGTAGAAAGAACATTTTCTACTTTCTACCCTGAAGTCATTAAAATGACAATAATACTTGCAATAGCAAGTTAACAGTTATTGAGCACTTACTATAGACTGGGAATTAGGCAAAACATTACAAGCACTGGCTCATAATCATCACAGTGATTATATGAGTAGGTACTCTCATTACCCCCATTGCCTACCCGAGAAACTGAGGCATGAAGTGGTTAGGTAACTAAGCCAGACCACCTAGTTGGTGAGGGGCATAGCTGGATGAATCAGTCAGGTTGTCCTGATTCCAGAGCTTGGGCTCTTCACTGCCATGCTCAGCTGCTTCCTCACTTGGGCTTCAGTCCCTGTCTGATTGCTTACTGGCTTGCGAATTTAAACCTCACCTTTGGAACTTCACTGTCCTTATTTGTGATTTCGGTCTATTCTCATTCTCTCTCGCCTGCTTCCCACAATTATTGCCTATGTTCTTGGAAGAATGTGTTCCACCTACCATGAAAAGTAAATATTTTATTTTTTAAATAATATTTTAAAAATTAAAT